>NC_000003.12:192455574-193705574 GCF_000001405.40 Homo sapiens | reverse complement strand
CTTGTGGACATATTTTAAAGATTAAATGAGATAAAAAAGCTCTATGCCAATTAAGGGCAGTTTTATATAAAACAGAATTAAAGTTTTCACAAATGTCAGCATTAGAAGAACGCTGAATGAACATCCAACCAAACCCTCTTATTTTATCAATGGAGAAATAAAGCTACCTGGAGACAGATTTTCATCAAATGATCATGTTCCCATTTTAGATATTTCATTCTGGCAGGAGTGTGGGGGATGAACAGGAGATGAAAATGAAGGCCCATGGCAACAACAAAGGTGAGACATGGGGGGCCACCTGATCTGTGCAGACAGGATGGGAAAGAGTGGAGGGGTACAAATATATTAAACTGGTGGGTCGGGCGTGGTGACTTACGCTTGTAATCCCAGTGCTCTGGGAGGCCGAGGTGGGTGGATAGCCTGAGATCAGGAGTTCGAGACCAGCCTGGCCAACGTGGTGAAACCCTGTCTCTACTAAAAATACCAAAAAAAAAAAAAAAAAAAAAAATTAGCTGGGCGTAGTGGTGCACACCTGTAGTCCCAGCTACTCCGGACACTAAGGCAGGAGAATCGCTTGAACCTGGGAGGCGGAGGTTGCAGTGAGCTGAGATCGTGCCACTGCACTCCAGCCTGGGCAACTGAGTGAGACTCTGTCTCAAAAAAAAAAAAAAGTGGTGATTGGATTTGTTGGTTGCACTGGGGAGAGGGTCCCAGGTTTTTGTCTTGTGCAACTAGGTATATCACAGTGTCTGTCACAAAAATAGTGGAATCTGGAGAAGAGACAGGTTTACTGGAGAAAGAATTGGTTGCATTTTGGATAGGTTAAGTGTGAAGTGCCTGTGGGACATGCAGGTATAGTTGGCGATATGGGTTTGTGAAGCATGGAGAGAGGAACAGGATGGAGCTCGAGTTGAGAGCCAGGAGCAGATACAGCAGGGGGAGCTGATCAGCCAGGGAGAAGTAGGGTCAAGAAACGCAGAGTGTTCAGGGAACGACAACACTCAGGCAGGCCTGTGAGCAGCACTGAAAACCAATAGGCATTTTGTTATTAGAAGGGAAACCAGGAGAAAGTAGTGGCACAGAAGCCAAAGAAATAAGAGGTTAGAGAGAGAGAGAGAGGGCGAGTGAATGTATGTTACAAAGTTCTAAATGTCCCAGAGGGAGGAGAGGGAGAATGAAAGGTTATCACAAAATATTAAATAACCTTAAGGGACCAAGCCAAATAATAAATGTATTGAGGGCAATTAGCCAAATGGAGGTCACTGGTGGCCTTGCTGAGGGGCAGATGGCAAAGTGGCAGTGGTGGTGGTGAGGATATGGTGCAAGGGCCCAGATGGTAAAAGAAAACACTGGCTTTGAGGGGGCTGAAGAAGGAATGGGGAGGACTTCTCTTTCAAGGAGGATGGCTGTGAATGAAACACAGTGGAGTTTACAGATACACAGACAGTCCTCGACTTACAATGGTTTGATTGATAACTTTTCAACTTTATGGTGGCACGAAAGCTATATGCATTCAGTAGAAACTGTACTTCAAGTACTCAGAAAACTGTTCTGTTTTCCACTTTCAGGCCGGTATTCAGCACATTACAAGACATTCAACACTTTATTATAAAATAGGCCCTGTGTTAGATGACTTTGCCCAACTGCAGGCTAATGTAAGTGTTCTGAGCATGTTTAAGGTAGGCCAGGCTAAGATGTGATGTTCAGCAGGTGAGGTGTATTAAAATGCATTTTAGACTTAGAATATTTTCAAATTATGATGAGTTTATTGGGATGTAACTCCATCCTAAGTCAAGGAGCATCTTTATAGGGTTCACAGAAGAGGCCAACTTATTTCTAGATGCTGGGATTCCTGAATATTTTAAACCTTCACTTGCCTTATTTCTAGGTAACTATATCCAGAGTACCCAGAATAGAGTAACGCTTTTTTGCCAACCAGCTCATGATATGAAAAGGAACTGCCTCCTTACGATGGTTGAACGGGTAAGGGAAGAAAGCTATTAGTACTCTTCCAGCCCATTCTGTACCTGCTCTTTTTCTAAGCTCTGCAGTCAAACCTACATGGGATCCCATAAAGACTTTGTCAACCAGCCAGCGGTGGAACTTGAGGCAACCTCTCTGAGCCAGAGTTAGCCTGTTGGTAAACGACAATGCCTGCCTTAGGAAGTTGTAAGAATAAGCAAGATAATGTGTTTAAAGTACCTGGGATACAGCAGGCATTTAATAAATGAGAATTTCCCTCCAGTCCAGCCTCATAATAAAGCAGAAACAACAAAAAACTCTGCATCTCTAAAAATGACCAGAAATCATGTTATTTTCAGAAGGCCTTGGTACTATTATCACCCAAATGCACCGAGGCCAGAAATGAGCAGAAAGCTATAGTTGAAATCAGAGGTTTCAAATAGTGACTCACGAGTGGGAAGCATGCTATTTGCAGATGTTTCTCTTGGACTCACACAAGTATTTAAGATTTTCAAAATTAGCTGCTAACATTTAAAAATAGGGAAGTTTCACATAAATAGATCCCCAACTTCTTTCACAAAACGACTGGCTTTGGAAGTATTGAACCTGTGGCCCTGGGTCTAAATCTTCATGAAACACATAGTACTTGCCTAGGAATCAGGGAACAGTTTCTAGCTGTAACATTAATTGAGCAAATTGCTTTTCTCTGGGTCTCTCTCTTTTTTTTTTTTTTTCAAAGTAAGAGTTATCACTGTTCTAAAACAATAGTTCATTTTTTAGGTAAACAAAGTAAATCCGAGGACAAAAACATGGTAAAACTTCTTGAAATCACACGATACATACAGGTAACCAGGTAGTAGAAGGCTTTCAAAATGGTGCAGAATATATAAATATTGGCTGCACAAAAGATTATCCAAACTACAGGTATCAATAAAAACACCATGATGATTCAGAAAGAGGAAAACCCTCTTAAAATGAACTACTGTATGCCTAAATACACAGGAAGGTTTAAGCTTCCCATTAGATGTGGCACATGCAGACTTGTCCCATACTCATCTGCTCTAGAAAGTTCCCCATTTCCACATTCTCATCTTGTGGTTTTTGAGGAGGTTGAGCATACCACGCCTCATCCGTGGAGGCTTTCTGCTTGGCTGGCTTCAGACAAAGTTACCATTAACTCCCCAACCTGCAAGAAAATGATTTGACACAAAGGATTCCAAAATGTCCTCCTCTCCCCCTACAAGCCTGCAAACAAATGGTACAGGAATGAGGCCAGAAAGGAATCCCCCGCCTACCAGGCCCCTGAATTCATTTACCTACCTCAGAGCCCATTCAGAGAAAGGGGTGGGACAGGGAACAAGAGATGCTTGGAGGCCAAGTGGAGTTTGGGGGTCGAGCGCCACATTACAAGATTTGACAGGCCTTTGCGAGCCCTCAGCTTCTTTGTGTCTCTCACATAATAGAGAAACACAAAGTGAGCAGCACACGACCTGTGGTTACACCCTTGGACAGAGCACACTCTTTGCAAATGCTAATAGTATTGTAGCATCCTGTCACCCGGTAACACAAAAAAGGATGTTGATTTTCACATGAACCAGAACAGGCCCATTGTACACAAGTTTGTGACCAACTTGTAGTACCTGCACATCAAAAGGCCAGCCAATCATAGAGTACACAGCTGGCGAAACGTACCAACGGGGGGCGCCCAATGGGGAGAGCATCCAGGTCCAAATGCCTCACTCCACCAACAGGATAAGAAAACAATGCTTTTGACGCGAACAAAATTACACTCTCAGAATCTTGATTCAGCTATGACCAGAGCAATGAGTATAATTAGCAAGAATGTGAATGTCTCAGATGTTTTGAGAAATCTGAATGTATGAAAGTGGGAGTGGCTTTGTGATGGTACCAACAGCCTATGAAATGGCAGAGGCAGCAAATGGCAGGCATGTTCAATTAAGCATTCATATTAGAGATGTTCTGATACGGGTAAAGATAACTCATACAGATTTTGGCATGAAAATCTGTCTTTCGGTCCTAATAGTCTTGGGAAACCAGACATATCTCAAGGCAAGAAAATTAAAGAATGTACATGAGATACCTGGAATATAAGTTTAGTAGAAATTTTAAAGAATTCTGCTAATAGCTTTTCCTTCAAAATAATTTTATTGGGGGTGGGGCGCAGAAAGACACTCAAAAGTAGTAATTTGGGCCAGGCTAGGTGGCTCACGCTTATAATCCCAGCACTCCGGAAGGCTGAGGTAGGAGGCTTGCCTGAACTCAGAATTTTGAGATCAGTTTGGCAACATATTGAGATCTCATCTCTACTAAAAATTAAAAAAAAGATTAGCTAGGCATGGTGGTGTGTCCCTGTAGTCCCACCTACTCGAGAGGTTGAGGTGGGAGGATCACTTGAGCCCAGGAGGTCGAGGTTGCAGTGAGCTGTGATTGTGTCACTGCACTCCAGCATGAGGGACAGTGAGAAACCCTGTCTCAAAAAAAAAAAAAATAGTAATTTGGAAAAAGAAAATATTCAATCAAGTTTTTAAAAACTGAGGAAAGAGCAATTCCATATTTTAATACTTGGACTAACTAAAAAAGATTGACAGAATCTGCACAGGATAAAATGAGAGAATTAACATTATTAACATGTTGAGAATTGCAAAGCACTTGTTTTTTACACCTAAAACTTAAGGCCTGGCGTTAACATGAAATTAGAACCTACTGAATCTCATCTTCTTGTCCACTAAGGTCTCACAGGCAGCCACACATCTCTGCTGATAGTTCCATTCTTGCAATGCAACAATAGCCTCATGTAATTAGTAAAGACTATCATAGGCCATTTTTGTTATGAGTTAGGTCATTTTGTACTTTCTAGGTATATCATGTGCCCTAATGTGCTCCTAATATCATAAATGTTTACTTTCCGAAAAGTATTTCTGAAAGGGAGCATATTTTGGAAAGTGCATAGGCTTGTAATCATACTTGTTTTCAAGTTTCAACTTTGCTATTCAACTAGAATAACCTTGTGCAAAACCTGAGCTGATTTTCTCATCTATAAAATGGAAACAATACTTTCTGTGATAATGGGTGCAAAACACAAGGTATACTGGTTTCTTTGCTCTGGATTCAAGTTTTCTTCTTAGTTTCAAAATTTTAAAGGGAAACCAAAAATGTTTCATGGGACCAATCCTTGGCAAGATAGGATATTGACCGTTCAAAAAGAATTCAGTGGAGTTTCTCCATGGATCCCAAAATGCTGCTGGCCAGTTTTAGTCTACTTTGTAGTGTTCTGAGTCCTGCTCAGACCTTTATAATAGGCCCTTAGTTAGGATGTGTTAATATTTCTGGAATGGCTGCAAACTTACACATATCTCTCTGCATCCTTCCTCTCAACACACATCAGGCACCTCCTGCTACTGTGGTGTTGCTCCCGGCAGCGGGGAGGCAGGCATGTTATTGTCACTGGGTGTGTACTGTGTCCTTGAGGTGATTTCTGATTTTTTTACTATATATATATATGAATTGATTGTAGAAAAAAATTATATACATTAGGTATGCAAGGGGAGTGGCTGTGTACCACCTGGAGCATTATGGCACATGTGGGAATTCTTAAACCCTCTAGACAAATATATTTCTTAAAATGAGAAATAAGTAAGCATTGTATTTTCTTAGTGACGCAAACTAACACAGAAAGCTGTTTCTGCGTTAAGATGTATGGAAAGAGAGATTAATAACAAAAATAGAACACAAACTAAAGGAGCAGAAAAATGGTTAGGTTCATTCCTTCAGTTGAGAGGGAAATTAATTTCAGCATTTCCTGGCAGCTGAAGCAAAGAAAATGGTAAAGTCTTGAGTTCTCATTGTCACAAGGAGAGCAGTACATACATGTGTCTGGAGGGGAAACCGCTGGTACTATCTAGTAATCCTTAATGAATTTCAGTGATAATCAAGACATGTCATTAGGTTAGACTTCTGCAAAAGAGACTGTGTATTTTCTTCAAATAGATGTGTCATAAGGTCTTGCCTGTGAAGCCAAGGACGTAATATCAAAGAGGTAGGTAAGTAGCAGCCCAGGCAGTATTGCTTTCTGATGATTTGGCCTAATCTCAGATGAAGTTTACCAAAGCAAAAAAAGGAGGTTAACCTATTCCCTACATATTCTCTCACAAATATCAGAGGTCTCAAGAGCTTTTGGAAAGTATTAGGTCACATAAACCATGAGCATATTTTCTGACAAATGGATAAAATTCTAACTTCCGTATTGTTGCTCTGTGATTTAATAACTACAAGAGTAAGCAGCAGAATGAGTATTCTGTTCTGAACATTAAAGAGTGTAACTTATATTCTTAATACAGCCGTAAGACATATCTCTGTGGGGGGCTGCTGGCAGTATCACTGCACTGTGACTAGATCTTCAGGGGTGCCTCTGGCCTAGTTTTTTCAAAAACAGATCTCTGAATTTCCCAAATACTTGGAAAGGAACAGTTTACACCTGGGTTAATGAATTAAAAGTACTAACAGCAGGAACAAGAATTTTTTATCACAAAGAGTAACAATCACGCCTGTGATCCCAGCACTTTGGGAGGCCGAGGCGGGTGGATCACGAGGTCAGGAGATTGAGACCATCCTGGCTAACATGGGGAAACCCCATCTCTACTAAAAATACAAAAAATTAGCCAGGCATGGTGGCAGGTGCCTGTAGTCCCAGCTACTCGGGAGGCTGAGGCAGGAGAATGGCCTGAACCCGGGAGGTGGAGCTTGCAGTGAGCTGAGATCGCGCCACTGCACTCCAGCCTGGGCGACAGAGCAAGACTCCAACTCAAAAAAAAAAAAAAAAAAAAAAAAAGATTTTCATTTAACAGCATTTATAAGTAGTATTTACCTCCTTGTCAGTGACTTGGCCACAAATGCACCTTAACGCGGCTTCTGCAGAATATGTACGTAACTCACGAGAAGTCTTGGAGAGGAATCACATACATACTCTCAATTTTCAAGCTCAATTCTGTCATTTTAGGATATAAATTTAAACAAATGCCTTATGATATAGGTTTTTCCTACCCTTAGTTTTAGAAGCTGTCTTCTTCCAGCTAGAGATCACCCATATTTAAGCCTTCCTGATACTGTCTCCTGGTTTTGAACCTTTAACAATTTTTGTAGTATTTGTTTGAACACTTAAGTTTTCTACACTTATTAACTGGGTCTAATATGTGCAGGACATGATTGTTTTAGTTATCACAAATCGGGTATGTGGTTATTTTAAGACGTACTTCATAATTAAATACATCTGTATTATCTATAGGCACATGGTAGCTATTTCAATTTGATAAATATATTAATTCTTCAATCAGACATGCTAAAAAAATTAATTGCTCTATTAAATCTTCAGTAACTAAATTCTTCAAACGTTTTGATACACGAAGATTCTGAACTTGAATTACACAAGGATGAAAACCTAGTTTAAAATAAAGTATGGGGCCTCACACTGAGTCTGTTAGCACTGATAAAGAAAACCAATGCTAACACGATTGAAACATGTTCTTGCCTCTGCATCTTCTGAAGGAATTAAGAAGGCACACCTATACGCTACCTAACTTGACATATCCAATGATCGACAATTAGTAGGTATCATTTATGAGCAAAGTTCTGGAGGAATAACAAAGTGAGTAACAGGAGTTTATAATCAGATGGTAGATGAAATTAAAGTCTCTTCCAGTTCTAAAGCTTAGTTATAACTTCTTAGTAAGCCTCATATGAACATGTTGGCAGCATTAATGAAAATGACAGCCTTGGCAGCAAAGTGAAATTAGAAAACCTTTTTTATATATTTTACCAAGGAAAATAACAAAATGTTTTGACAAGTACCACGATGTGAAAAAAAGCACCGGTTGACCATGGAGTACAACTGTGAAATGCAAGGCATGTGAAATTCAAGCATTCAGAGAAAAGCCACACTGAGAGCTTGTTAGACCATGAATCTGGTTATACTATGGGGTCAAATAATGACCCTAGGTATACAGGTTTCTCTTTCCCTCGTTAAAACAGAAAAAAATTTAAAAGATGCTCTCCAATAATAGAATTATAATGTGATTTAAATATTTTTTAATTACTCATCTACACAAATGACCTTTGATCAAGCTCAGGCAAAATATAAGTTGCAATAATATCTACACGTAATGTGAAGGTTTTAAAAAAATAATACAAAGTTCATTCACAGTGCACAAGTGAAAACAAGGTAAGTTTCAAATATCTCAACAACATATAGCCATGATCATTCAAAAGGTAAGCATATTTTAAAGCACATTTCCATACTGCTAGAGCTATAACATAGACCAGCTTAGAGAACTGAGAGAAAAACCATTACTTTGATCCCCTTTATTGGAAAGCAAAAATACCAGATTTCTTTCCTCAGATACATACATCTAGAATAAATAAATACAAAATTATTAACTAAAGATTTTATCTTTTAAACCTATACTCTGACTCTCATCCTATGTCAAATTCCCACATTGTGAGGCTGGGAAGCACCACTCTCTGCCATGTTCCCTACTTATTTTTATATCATTCATTTGCATTTGGAGGCTGAATAATTTGCAGAAAGAAGTCTGCGGAAAAAACTGTAGAAAATGGGAATACAAAGAGGGCAATATCATAAACTACTAGAAAGGTTGACTGTTCCACCCGCAACTATAGCACAGTGGGTTAAACGGGGAAGCTGCAAGGGCCACTTATTTCGTGCTGTGCACTGCCTAGGTACACTGATTTTTAAAATTGAAGTCCTAGCCAAATTAAGTTTGGATATCATCTATTTACAGTTGTTCAGTCTTCCATACAGAGCTTTGTCCACTCCACTCTTTGCAAATTCTGACATAAAAACAAATGATTCTGTGGCTAGTTCGAATTTAACTTCTGTATATTTAGTATCTTTTTGTTTAAATTAGAATCATTTCTGACTTTTGAACTACAGACACAAGACACAGGGTTTACTCTTGAGACTGAATTTTATTTTCTTTCAATAACATCTGCAGTTGATAAATACCTAGCTTTCAAGGAAAAATAAAGCATGCTTAGGATGAGATCAGCTAAAAAGAAGAAAAAAAAACCCATGAAAGAAGCCACATTACTGTGGGGCATGGAGAGGGCGTCAGGACTCTCATGTGGGACTTTTAGTAATATTAATTGTTATCATCTATTCACATACGTTACAATACTGATCTCCTCAAAGAAATGAAGATCTCCCTCCATCTCTTTTTAAAACTTATACAAAGGGATGTGATAACAGTAGTGACTAATATTAGCCTTTTCCTTGGGAGAAATCTGTGGAAATACAGCTGAAGGTCTTTCTTTCTATAGTTGACAGAAGTAAATAAATATGGTCCTGTTTTATTCTTTAGAAATAGATGTGTAGTTGTAATTGTTATGCTTTACAACTGCAAAAATATTCATTAACATGCATTAACCTGTAAGCACTGGTTAGAGGGGTGTACCCAGTAAGGTCATCTCCTAATCTGTGTATAGAACATAATAGAGCTCTCCTCCCTTTCTATTCACTCCTGTCCCTAGACCTAAAAGAAATAAAAAAAGTTCCTGACTATGCATCTACCAGCGCATCTGTGCTGCTTAAGGCTGGACCTACTTTTCTTATCAAACAGTATAAAACAAACATACATTGAATTCCTGGTTTCGGAAGTATTTTTTCATATCCTCAACCGAGCATACCAAGTGTTACATCTTGAGGGATCACAACGAAGCATGCATTGATGTAAAACAATAAAATGGGGAGTAGCAATGGGGCTGTTACCAAAAAGCAACTCCAAGAAAATAAGATTTAGCAAACTGTAAAATCAAAAACATCACACAATGGACACTTTTATTAACAAAGTAAAGGCTTAGTGAAAAGGCAGCAAATGAGATAGACATTTTAAGTAAAGAAAGCATTTCTTTGCTTGAATGTCCTTTAGCCAATTAAAAAATATTTATTTAAAACACATGAAAATGTTGTGAAGGTAGTATTGTAATTAAATTGCAATAAATTGAACTAAATTTTTCTTTATTCAGCTGAGAGGGGGATGGTCAACATTACTTTAATTGTTGAAATAATTTCTATTTAAAATAGTCTTATGAAAGAAAGCCTTTTTCTGATACCTAGTTGAAATGTTTGATAATATTCTAAATGAAATTAGTCAATTGATTATCCTTAATCTTCCTCATCCTGTGTCATAATCCGGTGGCTCTGTCAACAGGAGAAAAACCACTATTAACAGAAAGCCTAACGTAAGTATACAACATCTAAAATAAATCAATTTCAAATGGATATAGAGAGTGAGAAAACAGCAACTGAATCAAATAGGTAAGCTGGTACTGACTTGGCTTCCAAGGCAAATTTCTTCGCTGGCTATGAAGGGTTGAAATTTCTTTCACTGAACGTTACAATCCAAATTAACCTGTTTTAAGGGTTCTTCTGTTACCCATTTTTCTTTCATGTGGTGAATATAAACTGAATTATCATGGTCAAATAGTTTCTGGGAATAGAATACTACAGACACATACAATGATTTAGCAGGCTACTGTGATTTTATATACAATTGATAACTTTAAACAATTGCTATATAAGTTTTATTTCAAAACACCTAGCATTGTATTTCTGGAAAAGAAACTGAACATTGAGCAACCTCAGTTAATCCATTAAACGAGTGCCACCACAAATAAGACAACAAACAGAGAACAAGTTTCTTATCTTCAAGGACTGAACCTAATGGCCATACCAATTATATTATTCCGATTTGTCACTTTAGTACAACAAAATAGGATGTTAATCCATTACCACTGTTCTTCCATTCGAGAGGCAGCTGATGGTTAAAGCGCCCGTAACATACATCGATTATTTTTATCCCATGACTTTATTGTATGTTTAGAAAGGTGGAACAGCAGAAGAAAAAGAGGCTGGACAAAAGACGTTGATGTTTTTGTTCTTCAGATGTATGCAGAGCTGATTATGAGTACGATTCTGTAAAAATAAACCCATTTAACAAACTGAGGTCAGGGGAGATAAATGCAAAATTTCTAAACAAAGTTGATGACTGCATGATCACAACAATGTTGAAGCCTAACCGCTTACCTTTGCTAGTTTTACTAAACTTATATAGTCTATCACCGACCTAACAATATTGGCATAATTTTTTTATCAAACATAAGTTAAAAGCATATACTAAAATTAATTGAAGAAGAATCTGTGTATGACTGTATAGCATATAAACACCTTCAGCAAATATTAGAATAACAATTAATTAGGAATCCTATGTGTTAAAACTATACTTGAGAAAGTATTCCTTAGGGTCCTTGGTAACTTTGATAAAATGGTCAGAATGAAGCAAGGTTACCATTCTGCCAGATTTATTCTTTTAAATGCATCTGCAGGGTACAAAACAGATCATCTGTCCAGATCACAAGATACTTTGTAAAAGTTCACAGAGTCTTAAGTCACAAGGGTTGAAAAGGGTCTTAGAGACTAGACAGGTAGCAGCAACAGCAACTCTGGATGTCACACTGATCAGCTGAGGGGAGAGACACCATTATGTAAAACACTGGCTGGCTTTCAGCTTCCTCATTTTGTTAAAAAAACAGAAATACAGCTTGTCTTTTTAACGGGGCTTCCGGGGCTTTCATCAATTTTTCCCCGCAAAGCACACACAGGTCAGTAAATAGAACTATGATGTAAGCTCTGGTGCTAAAGGGGAGATCAAGGAGGCGCTACAGATGTTTATTTCTAATAGTAAGTATTCACGGTAACCACCATGATTAGGGTGATATTGTAACACTTAATGGTTTTAAAATAAAATATTCATACACAAAAGACATAGAAAACATTTATGAACACGGACACTTATAAAACACAAAAATTATGTTTAGCTTGTGTTAAAGATGATTATGTATTTTTGTATATTTCCATATATCTGTCTTCACTTTTTTTTTGAGACAAGAGTCTCGCTCTGTCGCCCAGGCTGGAGTGCAGTGGCACGATTTCTGCTTACTGCAACCACTACCTTCCAGGTTCAAGTGATTCTCCTGACTCAGGCTCCCGAGTAGCTGGGATTACAGGCATGTGCCAGCACACCTGGGCAATTTTTGTATTTTTATTAGAGACGGGGTTTCACCATGTTGGTCAGGCTGGTCTCCAACTCCTGACCTCAAGTGATCCGCCCGCCTTGGTCTCCCTAAGTGCTGGGATTACAGGAGTGAGCCACCGCACTGGCCTGTCTTAACTTACTAAAGAAACAAATGAAATAAAGTTACAAAGCTTTATTTTCAAGTTTTCTAGGTCTTGTTTCTCTCCTCCTTTGCTGGCACACTGTTCCGAATGATGTACCATGGAAGTTGTACTTCCCTTTCCACCCTGCTTTCTCAAATACATTTTCCTGACAGGAAAGTAGGTAGTTTGGTTTAAGAGCCTTTTCTGAACTGACCTGAACCGAGCGTAGCCAGGGAGGGAACCTTTTACATTTCTACTCCTTCTAGTTCTGAGCCTGCTGCAGGCTGTCTGTAGGGTAAGGGTCACAGACAAAAGTGACAAAATATTTGAAGTGATAATGACTTAACTACAGTATTTTTCTTTCCTCAACTTCTTTTATAAAAGCAAATGCCAGCCTGGACAACGGGGTGAAACCCCATCTCTACAAAAAATTAAAGAAATTAGCTGGGCATGGTGGCATGAGCCTGTGGCCCCAGTTCCTTGAGAGGCTGATGTGGGAGGACTGCTTGAGCCCAGGAGGTTGAGGCTGCAGTGAACAGTGATTGCACTACTGCACTCCAGCCTGGGTGGCAGAGCGAGGTCTCCTCTCAAGCAAGTGACTTACTGATTAAAATTCTTCAGCAACAATTAATTGATTATGCTACTAAGGAAAAGTCCTTAAATATGTATTTTATTAGGAACATGCCTCTAATGCCAGAAAGCAGAATCAGACAAGAAAGTAAATTCAAGGAGTACTAAATTCTAAGGCTATATAAATTAAGTAGGAAAAACACTTATCTAAATGTTTTTAAACAAAAGAGATAAGGATTAAGAACAATTATTAAAATTTTAATTAAGTCAAACAGAAAACTTTCTAAGTTAAATATTTAACATACACATCATTATTGATAGACTATAGGCAAGAAGAATAAAGTAATGTCAACTACAGCTCAATTCTTTACACCTAGAAAATGAGTCACCTGCATATTATACAATATCTTAGCTCTGTGTTCACCTTTGTTCTATTCAAAATGAGTTCTAGAGGATATTCTTAATTCAGCCAGAAGGCAATCAAGTTATTCAAAGCAACGTTATACAAATGAAATTCGGAAGCTAGTTTCAGAGATTCATGCCATTGAAATTACAGCATAAGTGACAAGCAGGATGTAAATGAAGCAGAATGATAAACTATTAAGAAAAGTGTAATTTTGTATTTAGTCAGCACCAATACAGTTAGAGAATTTTTACTCACTTAATTTATTTCTCCTGATGAAGAGCTTCAATGAAAGCATCAAGTTTTTCTTGAATTTCTCTAACTTTCTCTGTGGAGATAAAAATAAAGAAAAACATTTATTTTTCAAAGGTATCACAAATCAGGAGGTAATTATTTACTAAATGGTTGGTATACTTAACTATTTGCGGGAAAAAGAAAAATATGAGTCTCACCATACCACCTTTTACCCAAATAAAGTCCAGATGGATTATAGTAGTAGGTCTCAGACATTTTTTGGAAGTGGGAGGAGAGACTGACTGACCCCTTTGAGGATCTAACAAAAACTCTGGACTCTTAACATGGAAAAAAGCATGTATTAAGTACATGTACAATTATGTAGAGAATTTTAAGGAATTCTCAGATTCTCTGAAGCCCAATTAAGAACCCACAGTTACTAATGTCTGGATCATAGGCAAATATAAAACAATGAAACCATTTTAAAAAACTAAAAGAAAATAGAGGTGGCCTTAGACTGGGAAATGACTTTTTAAATATAAAGTAGTAAGAGTTACAAAGGAAAAGATCAATCAATATGGCCATATTGAAATGTATACTTTTATTTATATGTCATAAAATTAAAAGACAAAGGAAGCTGTGGGAGATGCTTGCAACAAACATGAGAAGTGCAATGGTGCTATAAAAATACATACAAAAAAGTACTTTGCCAGCTATAAATAAGTTTAAAAATACCAGAGCCACTAGAGGTAGATTTACATTATTTATTTTAGGTTTTCATGTTTATAGACTTCCAAATGAAATATATACTCTCTGAAATGTAGATTTCCTCCACAAATGTGAACTGCTCATAGTACATGCCAATCCCCTCTTAAAATTGGAAAAGTCATGATCTATACTACTTCACATGCACCTCCTACTTTATTTTATATTCTGAGATGGGGGTCCTACTCTGTCGCCCAGGTTGGCGTGCAGTGGTGTTGGCAGGGCTTACTGCAGCCTCAACCTCCTGAGCTCAGGTGATCCTCCCGCCTTGGCCTCCCACGTAGCTAAGACCACAGGCACGTGCCACCACGCCTGGCTAAGTTTTTATTTTTAATTTTTTTGTGGAGATAGGATCTCACTTTGTTGCCCAGGCTGGTCCTGAACACCTGGGCTCAAGTGATCCTCCTGCCTTGGCCTCCCAAAGTCCTGGGATTACAGGTGTGAGCCACTGTGCCTGGCCTCCTATTTTAAAACACAGGTTATAGTAAGCATGATAAATATTTTTGTTCTTTTAAGGTAATTTAACATATTAGTGGAAATGATCAATTAAGGTGGGTTGGCTGGTTCAAAGTGAGTGACCTAGAGGCAAAACTGGCAAGCATTCTACTTTCACTATGTAGGAAAACCATGTAAGATGCATTTAATATTTGACATTTATATCTTTTATATTTAAAAGTAAATAATCTGCAATTGAAGATACATGTATTCCTTTTTACCAGCGAGGCAGCTATTAGTGATGAGTACCCAAGAAAATGAAGAATTGTCCTTTTTATGAATTCTTATTAGCATTGCAGGAACTCAAAAAAGCCTACCACGGTTGGATATAAAGAACGTAACATTTTCATATTCTTTTTCCAGTAATTTATTCTTTTCATATTATTTTTCCAGTAATTTAAAACTTCTAGGTCTCACTATGTTGCCCAGGCTAGACTCAGACTCCTGGGCTCAATTGATCCTGCTGCCTCAGCCTCCTGAGTAGCTGAGACTACAGGTGAGTGCCACTATGCCTGGCTGAAGCACTTCTTATTCTAGGCATTAGATTCAGACTGATATAAAATCTGTGTGTGTGTGGGGTGGGGTGGGGGGGGAGTCCAGTTGTTTTAATCAAGCTATGTATTGAGAAAATATGATAATAGTTATTATGAAGGTAGCATTAACCCCTTATATATAAAATTAAACTAGAGAAACTTAAAAAAAAAAATCCTAACCCATCTCCTAGAAGTTGAGTCTCAATTTTTTGGTAGGCTGACTTCCATTTTTTAAACAGCAGACAAACAAGTAAATATTCTTGTTTTCCCAAAATAAGGCCACATTCTTAGTTTAAAAATTAATTCATCTAGTTGCTTAGAAACAGCTTAACCTATTTTTTTTTTTTTTCAGTGAATGTAAGAAAGTTTCACATCAGTTCATCAGTTGGAGGATTTTTAAAAAGTGGGGAGGTTAGGAGAAAGACATTTTCTAAATTGTTACCTAGAATGCTGGAAATGAATGTGGTCTTAAAAAACCATCTAACTTAAATCACACAACACACGGGAATCTCAAACGGGTGCTTCTCTCCACATTTCATTGAGAAATATTTCTACTTGGAAATGCTGTACTGTATGAAGAGAAGAAATCCAACTCCATTTGATACACGATTTGAGTACAATAGGGCAGTGCATGGCCAGGTCTACCCATTCTTTTGGCCTACTGGTGACCCCCATCTTAAGCTGGATGGACTACTGCAGGGAGGTGGTACAGCAGCCTCACTCCCTACAAGAGACTATTCAGAGAAGATCCAATTGAATTGAAAGATACCAAGAGCCACCCTGATGCAGGTGTCTCACCCTGTAAGGTCTAAATGAAAATCAGATTTTTCTAAAATTAACAGGTAAGCAGTTTTTTTCCTAAATAAAAGCAAAAAGACTATTTAATGTACTTTAATATGAAAACCACAAAATGAAAAAATGCCGAATTTCCCTTAAATATTTACGATTAGAATATCAGGACACAGTACTACCATGCCTTGAAACCTCAGGAATGACAAAGGACACTTAACTAAGTTACCAGGAAGTAATGGGGGTAGGAGGTGTGAACGGAGGGGAGACTGGAGGTGAGTGTTAAAAGAGCAATTATGATAAATGTATCCTTTAAACATTAACTAAAAAACATTTATTTCTTTGTTCTTTCACTTTCACAATGTACTTCATAAAGTGATATGAGGACACAGATGATATCCTACCTTTGAGAAGCATTCCTGGCTTACTCTGCTATGATGTATCTACTATGTATTTCCAAATTTGGCGTTTCATTTGGTTCTCATACAACCTTGCAGGTATCATTGCTAAATATGAGGACATTAAAGCCTGGAGTTAGCCTTGTCTACACTTCTCTGATTAAGAAACACATCTGCTACGATGTTTGTTTGTCTGACGCAGAGTCTTGCACTGTCACCCAGGAGTGCAGTGATGCAAACACGGCTCACTACAGCCTCGACCTCCCAGGCTCAAGCGATTCTCCTACCTTAGCCTTCCAAGTAGCTGGGACCACAGGCATGCAGCACCACACCTGGCTAATTTAAAACAATTTTTTTTGTCAAGATGGGGGTCTCACTATGTTGCCCAGGCTGGTCTCGAAGTCTTGGCCTCAAGCAATCCTCCCCACTCGGCTTCACAAACTGCTGGAATTACAGGGCGTGAGCTACTACACCCAGTCTGCTACTGTATGTTAACTCATAATAACAAAGCTCATAGTGACGAAGCAAATGCTGTTATTTTAAGTCTCTTTGGTCTTTTTTAAGTATTACCTTTGACTTAAAATAAGACGCATTTCAGGGAGAATCGGGAGGCGGAGGTTGCAGTGAGCTGAGATCATGCCACTGCACTCCAGCCTGGTGACATAGCGAGACTCTGTCTCAAAAAAAAAAAAAAAAAAAAAAAAAAAAAAAAAAAAAAAAAAAAAAAGAAAAGACCCATTTCAGTAAAAATCAGGGAACAAAACAGTTACACCTCCTAAGTAGTCTATGCCTAAGGATGACCGGACACTCCATAATATGCTATCATATTCTGATGAAAATGATGCCCTCTTGAGAAGACTAAATTGACGCACACTTGGAGAAGCCCCTGGAGAACAATACAGGAGTACAAAATGGGCCCAAAAATGCTCAGAGTCTTCAGTGTCTAGAACAAGGCCTGATCACTGCGTACGGTCAATCAATGATAAACGAAGTTGCCCAAAATATGGCACAGAAGATAAGGGCTGTGGTTTTCAAAGGGAAAAACTAACTTAGCTGGCTTCATGAATACTACACTAGTGATCAAGAGGGAGGAAGACAGGATCAGAAGAGCTAGAGCAAGCCTGGGAACAGGAGGCAAGATACACATAGATAATGAAAGTCAAAGAAAGCTGGTGGCTCACACCTGAACCAGACAAGCAACACAGATCAGGATACTCGGGCCCAAAAACACAAGTGGGAAAAAAAAATCCCTTCATCTTAATGGTTGCACCTTATTATCAAGGCTGAAAGAGCTGGCTATGTATACATATTCACTTGCAGCTTTAGAAACTACATTCCGATTTCTTGCTTTTCAAGAAAGCTACATTACAAATAATAAGCAGAATTATTTCTCATAAATTCATTCATTTTAAATTTTGATACAAGTTTCCAAGAATGTCTGTATACTAACTGTGCCATCTGGCTGCCCAGAAAACCAAGTTATCCATAAACAATGAAGTTAAATGTTGGCAACAAAAACTCCCTACTTTCCGATCCTTCAGATTAATGCTTCAGTATCACGGTGCTTTCAAATTTCAAAAATATTATTGTAACTATTTCACCATTAGAAATTGCTTTCTCTCAGAAATACGTGTATGGATCAGCATGACTAATTATAAAGCAAACTCATATTTCCATTAAATATTTGAATTAAATATTCACAAATAAAGAATAAAATTTGTGATTTACTTGGTAAATTAAACCAACTCAGGAAGGGATTAACAAACTGCTATTTCTGCTATACAGAAATAGCTATTTCTACGTGTAGTGAATACTGAGTCTACTTTCCATTTATCCAATGTTTACTTAAAAGATGAGCTATTTCAAACATCAATTCACTGTGCTTCTTGATTGAGTCATGAATATTCCCATAATCCCCAACTCATAAACCGTCTCAGTGAATGAAGTTCCTTCTCTTTTTTCTTTTCTTCAGCTGACTTGACACCCATTCATGTTTTGGGTCTCTTTATCTCTACATGAAATGATACTGCTACTCTCATTTTCTTTTTGGGTCTTCTGATACTTGCTCTAAAAGTCTCAAATATAGACTAATCTGTAATTAGGTTTTGAATACACTGTGAATACCAAAAGGCCAAACCCGGGAGAAGGTTCACTTCAGTGGTTAATAACAGTTTAGAACAGGAACAAAGAACCACACACAAAACACTAACACATGCCCTGAAATAAACCTTTTAAAACTTTTGATGTTTTTAAAGAAAGCAAGCTGCCAACTTACTAATGCAGTGTACTTTAAGCAAACCACACATCCAAAGATCCAAATGTACCTTAATGGAACTGTTGTATAACATGCTGCCTGAGCACTTGGTGTTAAGCTTTAAGACACCCTCTAAGTGAGATTCTACTGTAGAAAGCTATTCACTAGAGTACTGAAAAGTAAAGGAACGCTTCTTATTATGTAATATATATTGTTCATGAAAAGGTTTGCTTTTTATTAAACTACACTATATACTTGCCCTTTAGAAGTTCAGTATTTAAATGAATCTAGGGTGTGGGGGAAACAAAAAAAGGAAAAAAGGTAAACAAGAGACTACACTCAAGATTCTCAAAACTGTAGCTAAAATCTTAGAGTTAGCACAAGAAAAAAGGTGCATCTTTTAGTTGATGAAAGGTTGAACCAAACAGATAGATGAAGGAATATGATTAAATCTAGCACTTATCTTCTGCATCTTAGTTCTGTAGATTTTTTCCTTGAAATAGGCATGATTATTTTTTAACACTCAATGAAGACAGACAGAACACTCCTGCATGTTACAGAAGGAGGCATCAATTCACACGTCCAGGAAAACTGTTAAAGACTGGTACAGTACTTTGAAAGCTGAGGTTCCCAGATTTCTGGGGCCTGTAAACGCTGGGTTAGTTTCACTACTTCAAAAACTCAAATGGAAAACTTCATTTGGACAAGAAACCCATCCCCTCTCCTAACAACTACTTCCTTATACTGATTAGGAACTCTAACTGGTGGTTGTATTTCTAACGAGAAGAATGTAACTGCACTGTTGTAGACAAAATCTTCTGTAACATGGACTTCATGGGATTAATAATGAAAGAAACATTTGATGAAAATTTTTTTTAAGAATCCCTAGTCTAACACCTTTAATAATCTATGGGGCAATTATTTGATATGATTTTTATAAAGCAGAGAACATGTTGTAATGTGTGTCATTTAAAATATATGACAATGTTGTATTCGCCGTTAACCTCATAACTGGATAAGTCACAGTCCTAGCTTTATCTATAAAATGAAGGAATCTGTCCAGGAGAATTCAAAGTCCACACTAATTTAAAACTTATGATTAAAATGTATTGTTCTAATTCATTATATACTTCATCTTTTAAATTTTTTTTGTTTATTCCTTAGTATCTTTTTATTTATTGGATATTAATCCTCTAGTAAAATATGTAACCACAAATTGCCATATCATTCTCATGGGGCTTCATAATTCATTTTGGAAAGATCATTTTTATAATGTATTTTTTCTGAGCATTAATGTGGAGAACAGCAAGGACTGCTTGGGTAAATTCTCTACTTACCAAAAAGTCTGTCATTTAAAATCACTCGGCCCAGCATAGCACTGCTTGCTATGTAATAGATGTCCATGAATATTCATGCATTCATAGTTGAGTGATCTGACTTAAACAATACTTAATCATTAAAGGTGATTATTTAAAAATTGCTATTTTGTGACCCCCATAAAGTATAATTTAGAAAGAAAGCAACCTTAAGAAAGTCTGTGAGGTAAATTACAACTGATGCCTGCTGAATATATAAAAAACTCCACAGCAATTTGTTGATAAATTCAGCTTTTTTTTTTTTTGAGATGGAGTCTCGCTCTGTCGTCCAGGCTGGAGTGCAGTGGCGCAATCTCGGCTCACTGCAACCTCCGCCTCCCGGTTTCAAATGATTCTTCTGCCTCAGCCTCCGGAGTAGCTGGGACTACAGGCAGGCATCACCATGCCTGGCCAATTTTTTTGTATTTTTAGTAGTGATGGGGTTTCACCATATTGGCTAGGCTGGTCTCAAACTCCTGACCTCGTGATCCACCTGCCTTGGCCTCCCAAAGTGCTGGGATTACAGGCGTGAACCACCGCGCCTGGTCAGATAAATTCAGCTTTTTAAAAAATAAACTCTTATAACACAAGCATTTCTACTAGGCTCCTTTTGGCTAGTACAATTAAAACCGCTTCAAATACTTTCTACATATTTTAAGGCCTATTCCCCAAAAGGCTTCAGTATGAACATGAATTAGCCTTATATTTAGGCTTTTATACTTGTTAGACCACTCAACTTTCTTAAGTGGATGGCAATTCTAATTTCAGCTCAGTTATAATGATTATGGCTCTGACTTAACTAATAAAAATAGTACTTGGCTGGGCGCAGTGGCTCACGCCTGTAATCCCAGCACTTTGGGAGGCCGAGGCGGGTGGATCACATGAGGTCAGGAGTTCAAGATCACCCTGGCCAACATGGCGAAAACCCATCTCTACTAAAAATACAAAAATTAGCCGGGCGTAGTGGCGGGCGCCTGTAATCCCAGCTACCTGGGAGGCTGAGGCAGGAGAATCACTTGAATCCAGGAGGCGGAGGTTGTAGTGAGCCAAGATCATGCCACTGCACTCCAGCCTGGGTGACAGAGCAAGACTCTGTCTCAAAAAAAAAAAAAAAAAAAAAAGGTAGTACCATTCCAGGTGCTTGTCAATGTCAATGAGTGTAAAATCTTGAACTTCTGGCTACCTGATATTTACTAAAAGGATCAGCTGCAAAAAGAAATAATATTTATGGGAGACTGTATGGAGGACATACAGTTCATCTATTTCTCTGGATACTATGTATTTTATCTTTAGATAAGCCAAACCAAATAGCTGTATGTTTGGACAGCATCATATTTTCCCTAGAACTACGCATGTTAGCCCGCATGAGAAACATTACAATAAAGGGCCCCATGATTTTCATGATTATGTGTAGCCATTAGATTCATTGTATCATCTAACTCAGTGTCCACTTTAAGGGAAATTTCTCTCAGTTGTGCGTACGAAGAAGACCCATGCTTCTCCTAAGCAACTGCTGTGTTGTTGTCTGATGGCCACCATGAATGATGGAATGACCTCTGCTTTCCATTTTGTAACTGCCAGCCACCAGGAAACTGAGGGCTAAATTTGCAGCTTACCTCTAGCAAAGTCCCAGCATACTTGGGAGATATGCAAGTTTGGTTCTAGACTGCCACAATAAAGCGTATATCACAATAAAGTGAGTCACATAAGGTTTTTTGGTTTTCCGGTGCGTTTAAGTTACGTTTACAGTATACTGTAATATATTAAGTGTGTAATAGCATTATGTCTAAAAAGACAATGTACATAACTTATTTAAAAGTACTTTATTGCTAACAAATGCTAAGGATCACCTGAGCCTTCAGCAAGTCATAATCTTTTTGCTGGTGGAGGGTCTGGCCCTGACGTTGATGGCTGCTGACTGATCAGGGTGGTGGCTGTTGCAGGTTACGGTGGCTATGGCAATTTCTTAAAATAAGACAACAATTGTAGTTTGCTGCACTGATTGATTCTTCCTTTCATGAAAGATTTCACAGTAGGATGTGATGCTGTCTGATAGCATTTTACCCACAATAGGTAATTTTGGGTAAATTTTACCCAAATTTACTCAAATTTTTCTTCTTTAAAAATTGGGACACTATCTTCTCAAACCCTGCAGCTGCTTTATCTACTAAGTTTATGTAATATTCTAAATCCTTTACTGCCATTTCAACAATGTTCACAGCATCTTCACCAGGAACAGATTCCATCTCAAGAAACCACTTTCTTCAAACTGAGACTGCCAAAAAAAAAAAAAAGAAAAAAGAAACCACTTTCTTTGCTTGTCCATAAAAAGCAATGTTTCATCTGTTCAAGTTTTATCATATTACAACAGAACTAATTCTAGTTCTATTGCTGTCTCTACCATATCTGCAGTTACTTCCTCCTCTTAAGTCCCAAACTCTTCAAAGTCATCCATGAGGGTTGGAATCAACTTCTTCCAAACTGTTAATGGTGACATTCTGACCTCCTCCCATGAATCCTGAATGGTCTTAACAGCATCTAAAATGGTGAGTCCTTTCCAGAAGCTTTTCCTTTTTTTTTCTCCTAAATCCATCAGAGGAATCACTATCTATGGCAGCTAGGGCCTTAAGACACGTATTTTTAAAATAATAAGACTTCAAGGTTGAAAGTATTCCTTGATCCATGGGCTGCAGAATGGATGTTGTGCTAGCAGGCACAAAAACAACATAAATCTCCTTGTACATCTCCCTCAGAACTCTTGCTTGACCAGATGCATTGTCAATGAGCAGTAATATTTTGAAAGAAAACTTTTCTGAGCAGGTCTCGAGAGTTATAATATTCAGTAAACCATGCTGTAAACAGATGTGCTGTCATCCAGGCTTTTTGTTCCACTTTTAGAAAACAAGCAGGATAGACTTAGCATAATCCTTAAGGGCCCTAGGATTTTCAGAATGGTAAATTCTTTAGGTTGGCTTCAACTTAAAGGCACCTGCTGCATTGGCACCCAAAATGAGGGGATAGCCTCTCTTTCGAAGCCTCGAAGCTGGGCATTGACTTCTCTCTAGCTATTAAATTACTAGATGGCATCGTCTTCCAATAGACAGCTACTTCATCTGCATCAAGAATCTGTTGTTTAGTATAATCACCTTCATCAATTATCTTAGTTAGATATTCTTGATAACTTGCTGCAGCTGCTACATCAGCACCTTGCACTTTCATGTTGCAGAATGGCTTTTTTCCTCTTAAACCTTATGAACCAAACTTTGCTAGCTTCAAATTTTATTCTGCAGCTTCCTCACCTCTCAGCTTTCGGAGAATTGAATAGAGTTAGGAACTTGCTCTGGATTAGGTTTTAGCTTAAGGGAATGTTATGGCTGGTTTGATCTTCTATCCAGACCAGTGAAACTTCCTGCGTCTCAGGCAATAAGGCTGTTCTGCTTTATCATTCGTGTGTTCACTGGAATAACACTTTTAATTTCCTTCAAGAACTTTTCTTTTGCATTCACAATTTGGCTAATAGCCCATTTTGGCTTTCAACAAACCTCCTTTACTAAGCTTAATCATTTCTAGTTGTTGATTTAAAGTGAAATATGGCACTCTTTCTTTCACTTGAACATGTAGAGGCCATTGTAGGGTTATTAGCTGGCCAAATTTCAATATTGTTGTGTCCTATGGAATAGGGAGGCCTGAAGAGGAGGAGAGAGACAGGGAATGTCTAGTTGGTGGAACAGCCAGAATACACACGTTTACTGATTAAGGTCACTGACTAATATGGGCACAGTTAGTGGTACCCAAAATAGCTACAATACAAACATCAAAGATCACCATGACAGACAGAATAATAATGGAAAAATTTGAAATATTGCAAGAATTACCAAAATGTGACAGTGACATGAGGTGAGCACATGGCTGTTGGGAAAATAGTGCCAACAGGCTTGTTCAATGCAGGGTTGCCACAAAACTTCTATTGTTAAAAATGCAATAACTGTGAAGTGCAATAAAGTGACATGCAATACAATGAGGTCTGCCTGTACGTAGAACCCTTGAGCATGCACTTTGAGGGGCACCAATTTTATCTGAAAGTTTACTTTATTTCACTTGCCTGGATTTTCCTTTTCTTTCAACCCAAATTTTTCACTTAAGTAGTTTTATCTTTTGCGTAGGATATATGTAAGCTGCCTCAAATTCCTTTTGGAATATGCCAGGGAATTAATAAACAAACTAACAAGCTAGTCCACAGAAGATATATTATTAGCCAGCTGATTCACATAATACACCACAATATTCTAAAAGTGGTCATTTTATACTGGTAATAGTTTTTAAATCAGTAATTTAAGAATATTCTGCAGGGCCATAGAGGGACAATATTTGTTACATAAAACCTTGCATAAATAATTTCTGCATGGGAGAAAAAGTAAATTATTTTTATTTCTGCTGAATTCTTAGAAAACCCAATGATATCAATATCTATTCCTACAATACTTATTTTCAGCAACAGAAGTAAAAGCATAAATGTTTATGGGATTTATGATCATCTTTTTAAATGTAAAAAATGAATAGATTTTACCATAAGATTACAATGATTTACTCTGAAATATTTTACTTTTGTATCCAATACATAAGATGCTCCACACTTAAATTATCACAAAAAACTTAAAAAGTTATTTTATATGTTAACTCATTAATGATACATGGCTTTGTTTTCTCAAAAAAGAGTTACATTATTTCAAAATGAATACATTCATTTTACTCCCTGACAAAAATCTAAATATCGATAATACATTTTAAAAAATATGATTTAGGCAATTAATTGGGAAGATTAAAAAAGATCAGTAAAATATTCTTAGTCAATTAAATGCTTTAAAAATTCATCTTTTCTTCTTTTTCTCTTATTCCTAAAATTGTATTTTTCCCTGATTTAGTTAGGAGGAAAGCAGAAATGTTCTAAGAAAAGGAAAACCACCCAGGCAGCTCTTAAAGAGGTAGGCATCATTTATCACCTGCAAAGACAGATTTATAAGAAGGCCCCTTCTGTTCCTTTAAGACTGCAAAACAGATGGGAAGTGAATGGACAGTCAATGGGACAAGAAAACACATGGGAGGTGCTGCTGTATGCATGTTCCCAGCATAAGAAAGAGGTCAAGATTGTAACTGCATGACTGGGTCCTGGAAAGGGTCTTTCTTCAAGCTGTTACAAAGACAAACGCTGTTCCTCATCCTGCTGTCAAACTGTTATAAATATTGGTTTGTCAAAAGACCTTCAGTGCTGAAGCTTTAAAAAGGAGGCATAACAGACGAATGAATCATGAGAATGATTCTTAAACAGTCAGTTCATCACTGTAATTTTAAAAGTAAAAGATCAGAGAATGTAATTCTGATTTATACACCAAACTAAAAATTCATAAAAAAAGAAATTAAAAATCGTAGGTTTTAATAAAATTATGAATTAGGTGAGATGAAAGCAAAAATGAAATACAAGTTCCATTTCTTAAAAAAATGGTGTATTAGGATAAAGCATTATGAAACTTAGCACAAGAAGAACAGGTATTCATGTTAGGCTGATTTCAGAAGTTCTCGGTTTATCACCGAGTTTATCTTACAGAGGTGCTGTTTATCACAACTGAGTGAGAATCAGGCTCAGAAAAATAAAAATAACTTCTAAACTAATTTCATTTATTCCATTAAACTGGAAAATCACCTTTAAGTCACAATTTCTTTTCTATTGAACAATCACAAAATTCAACTGGCACTGAGCATACATAGATTTATAAACCTAGAATTATCTTTTTGGAGGAATGAAAACATTATGTACCTCTTTAGGAGGCAAATTCATTGTTATAGATCCTTAACACGTATCAAAAATCACATAAAAAAGAAGCCAAATTATATGAACTTGGTTGTCTATGGTTACCACAAACACAAACCCAGAGACTAATGATGAACAGAATACCTAAACAATTCTTTAAAAAAAGTCCTATCTGTAACACATATGATTAGCCCCAGCTTTGCCATAAATATTTACATAATGGGCTTAACCATTTATGTCAATGAACGTTAATTTCTCTATCTGAACAATGGGCATAATGCCTCATATGACTTTACAGACACACATGGACAAGCAGAAGTTTTGTAAACTGTAAAATAAAGCACTACATAAATGTGAGGGCCAGATCCTAGAGTTTCAAGTAGGATATGGACTCCAAAGTACCAAATGATGCAGTTACATGGAAGCATTTTCTTCCCTCCCTCCCTCCCTCTCTTTCTCTTTCTTTATGAGTTTTGAAACCTTTTTTTTCCCCGTTATTTCTTCTTAAAAACAAAAACAAAAACAAAAGCGGGCTCTATGTGCAGAATGTGCAGGCTACACAGGTATACGTGTGCCATGGTGGTCTGCTGCACTTAAGTCCTCTAAGTTCCCTCCCCTCGCCCCCCACGCCCCAACAGGCCCTGGCGTATGCTGTTCCCCTCCCTGTGTCCATGTGTTCTCAATGTTCAATTCCCACTTATGAGTGAGAACATGTGGTGTTTGGTTTTCTGTACATGGAAGTATTTTCTAGTCCTGAATGCATGCCTGGGCCATTATTTTCTCTTAAATTTTCAGTAATCTTGGGAAAAAAAAACAACTTCAGTAGAAGTGAGACTCAAAGAGCTAACCTTTGTAATAGAGATTAGAGTTCACAGTAGCTACTAGACTGCATGGAAGGTTCAACCCATTAGTTTTAAGATGAGAATGACTTGAGCATCTTTGAAGAGAGAAAGGGGATATAATGAATACACAAGCACACAAAGGAAGGCCAGGTCCCAAATACAGGTATGGGATTACTGTTCAAAGGAGAGTGATTTTCAGTACATGCTATGCTACAATATGGCTTCCAGAATACTTGAACTATATAAAGTAATGGGTACCATAGGTTTCATTTTTACTAATGCTGCTTATTCCTCTTAATGAACATTTCTGAAATAAGTTTATATGAAGAAAATGAAAAAAAATCTAGCCCACTGAGCGATGGGAAATTAAAACTAGGGGCAATGACAACGAGCTGTGGGTATAAGAAGCCAACCTGAGACCTCTTCACGAAAAATGTGTTCCAGAAATTATGTCCCTAGGACCACATTCAAAAGTGTCTTAAACTACAGTGCAATCTCTGGGTGGTGGCAATTATTTTTTAAAATTTTGCCATCTATAGTTTCTAATTTCCCACAATGCATATACACTAGCTCTCTCATAATGAAAAGGATGTTAAAAAAAAAAACCCTCAAATTCCAGTAGTGTACTTTGGTAAAGATCAGTCTAAAGACAGATCTGTATATATGACACAGTCTATGAAGCAGTGCCAACAAAAGGAGAGACTAAAGATAAAATGGCTTTAATTCTTGGCCCAGAAAAGAGATCTAACTGAAGTTAATCAAAACAGCAAACTTCTACTGCTCAGAATATTGAAACTAGAGAATAGATGAATGAGCTGTTCTAAGAGAAATTGAAATGAAATATTCTGTACACAGGAGGTAACAATGAAACAATCTTAAATGGGTGATACAAGTGTGGAAACTGTGAGTTCAACAAAGATTTTGATTTATTTTCAGATGATAGATCCATGATGCATAGTTACAGGATATGAGAATTCACTGTGAATCCCCCAACCACTGAGGATGGTATCACGATGAGCAACGACCATGCAGTCCCATGAAATGTCCCTCAGCATCACAACCAGCAGTAGGTTACTTGGGAAAATATCTGTTACTTTTAAGATAGAGCACATCGTGTATTAGCTTCGTCATTTCCATGAATAGGATAATTAAGACTACAACATTTCAAAGTAATTCTGAATCGTGCTCACTGGGGGAGAAGGGCTGTGGGAGACACAGTTTAGAAATGTACAAAATAGTGCAAAATTAAAATTCTCTTCACATTTAACTAATTTCTCCAACTACCTGGAGAACTGTACTTAACAGAGGTTACCAGTTTCATGTGCATCAATCCACCAATCCCTTAAGATTTCCTATCTCGTTTAATTTTATTTTTTATATACTGTTGCAGAGTCCAATGAATTGTTTTGTGATTAGGTTTTCAATTACTACATTCTACTTTTTCTATCAAATATGCAAAAACATAATTTAAAAATAAAAACGCTTAAGATAAAGTTTATTCCCAACTTTAAAGGTATTAGATCACTTGAGCCCAGGAGTTCAAGGCTGCAGTGAGCCATGATCACACCACTGCACTCTAGCCTGGGCAGCAAGTGACACTCTTTCTAAAGAAAAAAAAAAAAAAAAAAGAAGTAAAAGAAAAAAAAATTGTGCACTGGCCTTTTGAATACATTAAGAGTATTTTCACAATAGTATATAAGTAAAACCTACATTAAAATGATAAATGGCAAATTCAATCCATACATTATTGTAGAGAACATTCTTGTCTTTATTCTTAATCAGTTAAAACTTGAGTTTAAAGCAAAAGAATATACTTGCTAGTAAAGTGTTGATTACCAGCAGCATGTATAATATTATAGAAAAGAAAATGTTCTTTTACGCTTGTACTAATTTATTGATATTCTTCAACAGTGACTTTTTTTTTTTTTTTTTTTTTTTTTGAGACGAGTCTTGCTCTGTCACCCAGGCTGGAGTGCAGTGGCGCGATCTCGGCTCACCGCAAGCTCCGCCTCCCAGGTTCACGCCATTCTCCTGCCTCAGCCTCCCCAGCAGCTGGGACTACAGGCGCCCGCCACCACGCCTGGCTAAATTTTTTGTATTTTTAGTAGAGACGGGGTTTCACTGTGTTAGCCAGGATGGTCTGGATCTCCTGACCTTGTGATCCGCCCACCTTGGCCTCCTAAAGTGCTGGGATTACAGGCGTGAGCCACCACACCCGGCCACAACGGTGACTTTTAAAGACAGACTTAGGCCATGAAAAATGTACTTCATTCTAAAAGACCCATTTTGAGTCTCGATTTTCTCATCAATAACCTGGAAACCACACCACTCAGGCGTTGTCATGTGGAATTCTGTGTGTAAATAACCACTTCTCTAACAGAGAGGACTTTCCTTGAGGATTACTTTATCTTTGTATCAACTCAGGTTTTTTTGTTTGTTTGTTCTGTTCCAACACAAAGCAGAGCCTACTTCATCTATACAGACTCAAGGTAAAAATAATTCTTCACTATCTTTCCTAGTTGCTTTAATGTGTTAACTGCCTTACTATAAAAAAAATTATTTTACAAAGCCCAGATTTTTAAAATTGCCAGATTTACCATGAAAAGATGCCTTAAAGAGTTCAAGTATTGCTACCATAAAACAAATACATTATTTATTCTGTAGTGAAGAGGAAAAAAAAATCAATTTTTCTGTCTCTCAAACATACACATTTCTACATCATATAATCATTCCAAAAAGTACTTGAATGTATTCCAATGAACTTAAAAATTCCTAATAAACATAAAAAGTTATTAAAGTTTCCTGGTGAACTGGGTAGACTGGCATTAGGAAATCATTGGTGATCTATCAATAAGTGGTTTTGATATAGATGAAAGCCAGACTGCACGATATTAGGAAGGGAGTGGGCAGAACAGGAGTGAATGCCACACAGGCAAGCTGCTCTACAAGAGAAATGAGCAGTAACTTTCTGGCAAGACAGAGTAGAAGAAAGTTTCCTTGGGATGAAAAGAGTTAGTTCCCCCCAACTTTTTAAGTCAAGAGAAGGGGGCTAATGAACAGTCTGTATTACAAGATCACAATCGAACATTCAGTAAATGTGTACAGTACAATATGTAACACACGAGGTATGGGGAATTTATGAATGAACCAAATCACTTTGGCAGAAGGGATCGACCGTGATAGACATGAAAATGTTTTTCTTCTTTAAATGGTTATTTTCATTGATTTACAGTTGCCTATAGTGAGAAGCCTCTATTCTGCTCAATTAAACAACACTGGCAGTATCTGAGTAAGGTTTTTAGTCACTGAAGGAAGGTAAATAAGCAGGTGGGATAAAAATACTGGGTTAGGTTGAAGTGATGATGATATAGAAGAGACGCAGTGAGAGAAGTGCATAAAAAGAAAGGGAAAAGGTTGCCTCGAGATGTGTTAAAAGCCAGGAGAGAGGAAATGGTGTTGTGAGCCCAAGAAACAGAGCAACAGTACTGAGATATGAAAGATGCTGCCGGGATGCTTCGAGCTCACACGTTCTCTTCGGGACACCCTGCTCTATTCTTCTTGATTGGGTGTTTTTTTTTTTTTTTTTTTTTTTCTTAAAAAAAAAAAATCTCCTCTGAACCTACATACCTAGAATTCTACAACTTGGTATCACCCTCTCTTCCTTTAAAATTCATTTTCTTTGGTTAAGTCTACAGAAACAAAAAGAACACACCAGTGCAGATGCCTTTAAAGTCCCTTTAAAGTTCATTTTCTTTGGTTAAGTCTACAGAAACAAAAAGAACACACCAGTGCAGATGCAGTTCAAATTGCTCACCAAATTTTCCAAAGTGACGTTGTGTCTCAGACTCTACAAATGAATGTATGTCAATTTTATCCCAATTAATAGCATGAAAAATTGTCTTGCTATGCACTGAAAGAACTCTTTGGAGTGCCAGCTCAGGGGCAGGCGGGTACACGGTAATCGGGGATGGCAAGAATCACCTGTGTAGCTTTGTCAAAATACACATGGCAGAGCCCCACCTCCGCAAACAGTTTTAAACACATCACTTCCCCTTTCTACACTTTTCAGTTCCAAATTCCGAGTACAATAATCTTTCTAGGAAAATTTCCATCTCATACTACTTCACAGACGATATTCTCATCCGTAACAACACTCAAGGGTATGGCAGGTATGGGAGAAGTGTCGGAATGTGAAGTCACTGTAGAAATTAAGTTCCAGGGTACCTTGATGTTTTCTTTTCTAAATGTGAAGAATAAAATCATTCTGCCTACCTCAGGGTTCTATTTAGCTATGTTCTGACTACTTTTTATTCATGTTTCCACATGGCATAGAGATTTCTTATAACTATCCTATAAATTAGAACTATATTTTGGATTCAGTGAAAGAATCTTTTTAGATTTAAGCAGTTATGATACATTTCTAATCCTAGCTTTTAAAATGGCAGTATTAGGTCACCTTGCTGCTGCTCCCTTTTAGTACCATAATTTCAAAAATGCACTCATGCATTTGTTTTCTCTCACTAAATGATATTATGAAGAACAAAGTTTTCATTTAAAACATGATTTGTTACTGAGGTGGCTTACTGAAAAAAGAAACTTTCATCTATAGCCTATACTTCTAAGTTTTAGAATCTCATGCAGACCTAAATAAAAAGGTGGTATCTTTGCTCCTTTCTAATTATCAAGAGAAAGCACAGGATGAAGGATAAGAGGAGACTGGGAAAGTGAAGAAACACAAAGACAAGCCCCAAAAGCATTGTCTACTCCCAAGAGAAACAAACTTTAAGTTTCCAGAAACAATTGCTCGCTGTCTGGGAGATGCTCAGGCATCAAACAATAAAGAACAGTCAACAGAGGCAAGAGGCCGAGCACGCTGCTGCGAGCCCGACTCTCTAATCCCCACAAGCTCCAGTAAAAGGGCCAGCTGTTGCCACCTCGCGTAGGGAGTCAGCAGAGCAAATTAACTGTGAGAGGAAAAAAAGCTGAGGATATTGGAAAATTCTAATTTACCAGCCTCTTTAAGCTATATTGCTTTTAACATTAAGGATATCAAACTATACCATTAAAATAGGCCTGTACAATGGTAGCCCAAGTGAAGGAATTTACCACTGTTTTCACATTTTATTGGTAAATGAGATACAGCTCTGAAGTATTCAGTCTACTAAAGTATATCTTCTCTCACATAAAGAACAAGAAATAGGAATAAATACACTGTAATTTCTAATAAGTTGCACTTCCAATCCAGCTCAACAAAAAGCCTCAAGTTAAAATAACAGCCACCATTATGCTCAATTAAAGATTCCACAGATTTTATTAATATATCTGTTATAGCTGAACTTTAGGATTCTAAGTAGGAACACAACCTCATTGAAAAACTCTAAATATGGGGCAACTTAGACACTACTTACGCATGGTGGAATCTGATAAAGGATATCTAGAGACATGTTTACAATTCATATAAAGAAAATTAACTTCCCTTGGTTTGCTTAGTGGTTTCATGCACACTGTACTGTTCATTTACTCAGATGTTCTATGAAAGTTCTCATACAATTTGAAAGATGCTTATATTATAGGAAGTACCTGTGGTAATAATGATTATCTTCATCATTATCATCATCACTAACATGTATGTCTTTCCGATCAACCCTGTGAAGGACACTGGTAACTATGGAAGCTTCTCAATATAAAGGACAATTTTATGTCATCATATTTTCCAAAGGCTTGAGTTTTTACTCCCTCCCAAATGATTCTGGCACAGTAGTGAAAAGACCCAGGCCCAAATCTCAGCTTCAGCATCTACTACCTACGAGTTCCTAACCCTCCATTTCATCTGTAAAATGAGAAAAATAACTACCTAACTCAAAAGTTGTGAGAATCAAATGAAAATTCACATAAAGCATTTAACCTAATATCTGGCACAAGAAAAGTATTCAAATGTTATTTTACATTCATAAACAGTTTCAAGTTTTTACACAAAATCAAAAGGAATTTATTGTAAAATAAGGAGAAAAGACTCCTTAGGTTTTTGTTTTTCGTTTTTTTTTTTTTTTTGAGATGGAGTCTCGCTCTGTTACCCAGGCTGGAATGCAATGGCACAGTCTTGGCTCACTGCAACCTCTGCCTCCCGGGTTCAGGCGATTCTCCTGTCTCAGCCTCCCGAGTAGCTGGAATTACAGGCGCCTGCCACCATGCCCAGCTAATTTTCGCATTTTTAGTAGAGACGGGGTTTCACCATGTTGGCCAGGCTGATCTCGAACTCCTGACCTCAGGTGATCCACCCGCCTCGGCCTCCCATAGTGCTGGGATTACAGGCGTGAGGCACCGCATCCGGCCAAGACTCCTTAGGTCTTAGAGCAATCTAAATGATCAATAATGCCCCTTGAATGTGTCAGTATCAATAAGTCTCTGATTACACGCACAGAGAATAAAAAGTGTAACAGGCTTTAGTGAACAAGGGTTCCAGGCAATTTCTATGAAGGCCCAATACCTCACAATAACCTAGTAACAGCAGATACAATGTTCACAGAAAAAACAATAAAATAATTCCACACTGTACTGGTGAAACTTGGCTTAGCAGCAAACACTACTACCAATTGTTATTGATGCCCAGATACTTAGTTTCTGAGGTAGAATGGGGCAAAAAACAAATTGCACTTATGATGACAATCATAAGATAGATTTTATGAATTATAAAATAGATCATAATAGAAAGAACAACTTTGAATTGAACTATAACATACCAATCTTCATCTCTCCAAAGAAAGTATTCTAAAGTTATACTATTTCAATAAACAGATTGGACACATTACTAAAACTTACACTGGGACTCCAAACAGATTTTATCTAAGTTGACACCAAACTTAAAATATCTATTTAAAAAATCCTTTGAAACTGAATTTTCTAGAAAATCAAAAGAATTTCATGAAAGTCCCAGTGGGCATATTTTAACACCAGACAATTCTAAGTATGGGTAGATACTGCAAACAAGAAATTAAGGTAGAAAAATCAGCTGCATATCCTATTAAATTATCCATGAGGTAACTCAGTGTTTCAACGTCTTCAGGGATGATGTTCTCAAAAGTCTCATTTCCTCTAAAGTACTTTCACATGACCCTAATCCATTATTAGTTATAAAAACAAAATTTAACCTTTTTTTAACCTTTTATGCATAAACAATTTCAGACTTACAGAAAAGTTGCAAGACCACTACAAAGATCATATTTCTCCTGAAACATTTGTTGTAATCATGCATTATCATCCCCAAATATTCTACTTTGTATTCGCTATGAATAATGGTATTTTCCAAAATAATCCCAACCTAATAAAAATTTAAAAATTAACACTGATATATTACTACAATGGAACCCTCGGATCCCCTTCAAATATCACTAACTGGCCCATTAATGTCCTTAGAGCAAAAAGATCCAATCTAGGATCATACATTGCATTTAGTTTTAAGTCTCTTCCAACTGGAGCAGCTCTTCACTCTTTCCTTGTCTTTCATGATCTTGATGCATTTGAAGATTACAGGCCAGTTATTTTGCAGACTGTGCTCTAACTTGGGTTTGTCTCATGTATTGTTATGACTGAATTTAAGTTCTACATCTTTGGTAAGAAGTACTTCAGGAGTCTTCTTGCATTTTAGAGTCTTCTTGCATATGGTTTTGATTTGACCATTACTGATAATATTAACTCTGACCACTTGCTTAAAGTGATGATTGCCAGGCTTCATCCACTGTAAAGTTACTCTTTTCCCTCTTTTAATTAGTACATATTTTCTGTGAACATATTTTGCGTGATGACATAAACATCCCTTTTTGCATCATGGTTTTATTCCCTTATTTATATAATTACCAATGTATGGATTCCTATTTCATTCAATGAGTTACAATTTGTTACTGTCATTATTTTGGGGCCCAAATTGTCCCCAGCCTGGCCAGTTGGAGCCTCCTTCAGAGGGTTTCTGTGACCTGCTGACATCTCCTCATCATCTTTCAAGCACTCCCTTCCTTTCTACACCCACAGGCTCATCCTGTCCTTTCCCTGCTCCAGCTATGGAATCTACCATATCTCCAAAGAATCCTGGAAGAGCCTCTCCTGAGACAAAATCATGTGAGCTCCTTTTTCATTTCTTCAATCTTCCTAACTCTAGCTTTATGGTTTCATTTCAATAGTGAACACAGTATATCTTCTCCAGGATGTGAAAGAAAAATGTACTACTACTACTTATGTACTCATCTTAAAGGGCAGTCAGGGCTGGGCATGGTGGCTCATGCCTATAATTCCAGCACTTTGGGAGGCCGAGGCGGGCGGATCATGAGGTCAGGAGATCGAGACCATCCTGGCTAACATGGGGAAACCCCGTCTCTACTAAAAATACAAAAAATAAGCCAGGCATGGTGGCGGGCGCCTGTAGCCCCAGCTACTCGGGAGGCAGAGGTGGGAGAACCACCTTGCAGTGAGCCGAGATCGTGCCACTGCACTCTAGCCTGGGCGACACAGCGAGACTCCATCTCAAAAAAAAAAAAAAAGGTGGGGGGGAAGTCTCCAAGGTAAGGAAATGATTTAAAATCGTACAAGCTTAAAACTGGCAAAAATATGAATGCATCAACATTTTAACACTCTATACAATATTCTGTAACAGGCTGAAACTGTAGTAAAAATTTGATTGCCTCCCTTTCTCCAAATCCAATCAACCAACACACTATGTTCTAATTGAACAGGCTATACTAGAAACTTTGATCCTTATAATACATTAATAACTTAAATTTGGAAAGTTTTCTGGCTGAAGTATCCATGACCCTATTCCCAAGTGTCAGACCAAAGATAAACAGTAACGAAAAGGCACTCTCCAGACTCTTTTCCAACTAATGAACAAAGTCATGGCTCATCTCCTTGAGGGTGACTGATGCAGCTGAGTTACTGGCAAAACCCTTGCTTCCAAGGACATTATTTGGTACATTAACACCATTATAATTTTATATGTACAAAAGTAGTAAATCATTTCAAGGGAGTTATATGACTGCTTTCTCAGGAAAACCAGCAGTAGAACATAGAACTTGGCTTGACAGTGTACATATCTGAGTTAGTAATCCACTTCCTTTAAATAATCAAATTGGGAGCGGAGAGTAATGGGGTTGCAAAGCCTCTACTAAAAACATAAGAAAAGATACTTATGATTTTCCAATCACTTAAAAATGTGTTATGCTGGTAAAATTCATTGAATTGTTTCACTGTCTTGATAATTATATCACGAGGGATATAAAAGAAATATATTTGTATACACTGTGACAATGATATACCACTTCCTGTAACGGTACTAATTTAGCATGAAATTATGAACCAGGGACTTGCAAATGTTTGCGGAAGTAATTCTAACAATCCTGAGAAATAACCACTATAATAGTCATTTTACAAATAAAGAAGCTAAGGCTCTGGGAGATTCCCTGCCGAAGATGACACAGCTAGTAGTAAATGGCAATTCAGATTTGAGCACTAATCTTCTACGTTAGCACAAACTTAACTACATTGCCAAGGTGGCATGAGAAAAACCAAAAGTGACAGAAAATGAAAATAAAAGTTAAAATGAGATATGTCTCGAAAGAAGAATATTTAAAGGAAGAAAGAAAAGGAAAGGAGAAAGCAATGCAGAACTTAGATTATTACTAGAGGGAGAGAATGGGGCCGCAAGCGCTGATGGCAAGGGGTGAGCATGCTGCGCAGGCACAGGGTGTAACACAGAAGAGCCCTGCCTGGCTTCTTCAGGATAACCCTATGGATTGTACTGTAATCCTACAACTCAGCTTAGAAGGCACTTTTAAATTTGCAGAACTTCTTTCTAATTTATTAACGATATCTGCTTTTTTTCCTTTTAGATATCAGAAAACTAATAAGACAGGAAATTTAAGTACACGTTGAAAGAAAAAGATACTTTGTTACACGAAGCTGAAGTCAGTGAAACTTGTAACAAGGCAGGCTCAAACAGAGGTACCAACTACAGGTATTTTATTTTTATTTAATAACAATAATGTTTCACTGATTTCCTTGAGTTCTCAAAGATCTAAGTAAATTTTAGTATGCAATCCTATCTTAAAGCTAGGAACCTACAAGAAACAACCAAATATCAACCCCAAACAGTGACAAAGTGATTATTAGTAGGGCCAAGCTAGGGGGGTGGGAAGGGGAAGCCATGGTAGCCTACTGCAGGTGTTAATGCCTGACCTGGGTTACAATGGGTTCACATGGGGCTGTTGGTAGCCTGGTCCAGTACTGAGGAGAGTATCTGTGCAGGAGGGTGGCCTGGTGCAGGCTGGCGAAGCACAGGCAGGGTAAAGAGGGTATCTCCACAAAGGCATGGTCTGGCTTCAGGTGAGGAAGGAATCTGTCTGGGGTCGGGCAGAGGCTAGCGGGTGGGAAGGATGAGATGGAGAGGCACCTGGCACAAAGCGTCAGAGCAGAGCTCAGTAAAAGGGACTCCATGACGAAGAGCAACCTGGCACGGATGTCAGAGCCCAGACAAGGTAAAAGAAGTGTCAATGCTGGGTGCGGCGCCATGTGGTGGCCTGGTGTGTAGTGTTGAGTCCGAGCTGGGGAAAAAGAACATTTCTGCAATGGAAAAGGACATATCTTCATTCAAGTTGGGTTACGTATAGGAGGACTGACCAAAATATGAAAATATATTAAGGATACTAGAAGCCCGTTTTCTATCAGGAAAGCAAGTGACAAATATCGAAAGGGAGAACACTAGAACAAACCTTGTAATGCTGGATTAAAATGGGAAGTATCAGCATCAACTCACAGTTTTTAATAAATAAATATACACATGATTTAGGAATACAGATGTCAGTGTGTGTATATTCACCTGCACACACACAAACATTCACAACACTTAGTTCCTAGCTCTTTCCACTGAGAAACCAGGGAACAGTGATATTCCAATAACAGCATATATAATTTCTAGGTCTCCATTTCTAAACACCATTCTTCAAAAAAAGGAAGCTGGGTCAGGTATTGAGCCTGGAACATCTTGTTATATGGAGGGATAATACTGGGACAACGGGTGAAACTTGAAAGGGGTCTGAGAATTAGATATTGTAATTTATCAATGTTCGGTTGCTATGAGAAAATCTGTTTCTAAGAACTATACATGAACCTACTTGGAAGTGATAGGACTTAAGGTCAGCAACTTACTCTCAAATACTTCAGAGAAGAAAAAAATTCCTTGTAACTTTTTTTTTTTTTTTTTTTTTGAGACAGAATCTCGCCCTGTCGCTCAGGCTGGAGTGCAGTGGCAGGATCTTGGCTCACCGCAAGCTCCGCCTCCCGGGTTCACACCATTCTCCTGCCTCAGCCTCCCAAGTAGCTGGGACTATAGGCACCCACCACCACACCTGGCTAAGTTTTTTGTATTTTTAGTAGAGACGGGGTTTCACTGTGTTAGCCAGGATGGTCTTGATCTTCTGACCTTGTTTTCCACCCATCTTGGCCTCCCAAAGTGCTGGGATTACAAGCGTGAGCCACCGTGCTCAGCCCAGTTCCTTGTAACTTTTCTGTAAGTTTGAGATTAAATGGATCAACAAACAAATGGAAATGGGAAAGGTGGAAAGGTAGTAAGGTAGAGGGCAGTAAGAACTACTCACTGAGGTCTTCCGCCAGTTGAACGCGTTTACCAGTAAGCAATTTAATCTTCTTCTCACCATCTTCAGCAAAATCTTCCAATACCTCTTTAACATTTTTCTCTAATCGCCTAACTGTTTAAAGAAAGTTAAAAAACCTGAGGAGCATCGTTTTTATAAATGAATAAAGATGATAAAATTAACCTATATATATGGAGAGTAAATTTTTTATCATGTTAGAACTATTGCTAATACTTTTCATAGTCATAGAAAATCTCTGTTATACAGTAGTTTTATCAGCATGAAACCTATATAGTCTCAGAGAATGTCATATTCTTAAGCTATACACTTTAATGGAAGTGCAGATTTCCCAAAAAACTAAGTGATACCTAGGAGTCCATTCCCAACAGAGTTTCATGCAATGAAAATAAACTCCTGGTATGTTTTATCACCCATCTTTTCCAATTATGATTTATTTTAAAAGCAAATAATAATTTTTGTCTTTTTTTTTTAAAGAGACAAGGTCTTACTCTGTCACCTAGGCTAGAGTGCAGTAGTATGATCATAGCTCATTGTAGCCTCAAAATCCTAGGGCTCAAGTGATCCTCCCATCTCAGCCTCCCAAGTAGCTAGAACTACAGATGTGTGCCACCATGCCCGGCTAATTTATTTTATTGTTTGTAGAGATAGAGTCTCACAATGTTGCCCAGGCTGGTCTCAAACTACAGGCCTCAAGCGGTTTTCCTGCCTCGGCCTCTCAACATGCTGAGATTACAGGCATGAGCTACCACACCTGGCCAGTTTTTCTAATAAATCTACTTTTGGGAAGTATTTTGGCATCCTTCTATTAAATATGGATATTACCACTATTATTTTTTAATGTCAAAATAAGACTGCAGTCCCTATGTGGCTTACCTTCAGTATTTGTAAGTTGTTGCCTTAAAGTATTTGCGGTGATAGCAAGCATGCGCTGTATACGCCAAAACAAGACCACATCATTGCATTCCAACTGAAATATTAAGTAACTAAGATTACCAGATGCAAAGTTAAAATGAAAACTATCATCGTAAACACATACAACTACTAGAACCAGTAGATATGTCCTAAGCTTAAAAAGTACTCAGATTTACCTAATGCATATACTGTAGATATAAGCTACAGAATCCTTTCTGTACGGAGCCATGAAATTCTGCATAATTTGGCTTATATCTGTCTGACACCTAGATAGCTTTGTTTCAATTCTAATGACAAAGTAAATAAGCTTGAGTAGTAGCAAATTACATTACATTGTATGTAAGTTGAAATTCACAGCATATACCCTCCATTTATATTTAGTTTCAGCTAACCATGTTTATCTTAAATACGTCCTTAGGTTAACCTCTTTTCTTTGAGTCTGTACTCAAGCCATTTTTAAAATTCAGCTGTGTGAAAATAAAGTGATGTATTTAAAAAGAAGCTTATTCTACAGAAGGCAGTTTCTACAGAAGTTTCTTCTTTCTACAGAAGTTTCTATAGAAAGAAGTTCACTCTACAATTAAAATTATGCAAAAAAAACTTGCCACTTTTAATTAGGTGCATTTAAATATAAATTTATGTTCATCTACTGAAAACAAAAGAACAGCATGTTAGAAGTCTCAATTAAATAAGATTGTTGATTAACTGAGCTTTATCAAAAGGATATTTAAAAGCATTTTTGCTTGTAAGAAAATGCTGAAAATATATCAGACTGCTGCCACCTAGGGGTTACTTTAAATTATGAATCATTTTAATACAAGAACTTTATGATTATTTAAAACAAGATTTAGTGATATGAAGAAATAATTATGACACCTGAAAAAAGCATGATAAAAACTGTTTTGCAGGATGATTTCCATTATGCAAATGGATGGTTATGTTACACACACAGATACACACACACTTTCTCTTTCCCTCTCTGTCTCTCTCCCTATGTACAGAAAAAGTTGAAAAGAAATACATAAAAATGTTAACTAAAATTCTTACAGGTCAGGGAATAAGGGACTATTTCCTGTTATTTATTTATTTTTTTTACTATTTATATTCACACTTTTTTTTACTATTTATATTCACATATTCTTATAAGCATTGGGGATAATATGCACGTATCACGAACAAAGTGGCAAATATCTTTGAAAATATAAGAGTTAGATTATTCTTTATAAATTACACATACTTTTTTTCCCCAGATGATCAAAGGACTTAAAATTAATGCTTAAGCTAAAGTTTACTTTTAAGCATATTTTGACAACTGTTGCTTAAAAATACTTCTCTTTGTTTTTGGAAACCTTACCTCAGAATCTACAAAATGCCTTTGGTAGTAATAAAAACCTCTTCGACAAAGGTTACAATGGTTTAGAGCTGTTTTTAAAAAATGTCTTCTATAAACTTGATGCCAAGTATCCTTAATCTAAAATGAGAAAAAAGAAAGCCCAGAGTTACTGTATATTCTTCATGTTGATCAACCACACTGAGAAGTTGTACAAAAATTATATTTACCAAAAAAGTTAATTAAAAGCAAAAGCAAGGTTATTCTTTACATAGTTATTCAAATTTTTTTATTCACTTACTTTTTTTAAGGCAAAGATTAGATTTACTACTACTCTGACCCATTACCAGTTTATGTACTTAAAAATTAGCAATGATTTAAACAAATGCTGTTACTATAATCAAATAATCATCTTGTGGAGTAGACAGGGTAGGTATTACCTTCCCCTAGTTAGAGGTGAGGAAACCAATGCAGAAAGAGGTTGAAAGCCTTATCTAAAAACAGAGTTAGAACTTAAGATGGTCTCAGATCATGTCTAGCAACTCAACATTTCCTTTCTGTTTATAAAATTTTACTGCTACCATACCAATATGATCCCTACCACTTTATTACTAGATACTCTGAGTGTCCAATATTCTTTAATACCCTCTGTCCTTTTTTGAGCAAAACAATAATAATGTTAACTAGAAAAACATCAACCCCTTTTGACAGATGAGGTAAGTGAGGTCAGAAAAGTGGTATCAATTATTAAAGGACATATTATTAGCTAATATAATGGAAATACACTAGAATTCACATGTCCTGATATCTAGTCCATGCAATATTCTTCTCGTGGTACTTTGCTACTTATTTTATAGCTTTGCAAAGTGCACTGAACAAACTGTCACTTAAAAAACCTGAGGTTTTCTTGGTCTTAGAAACTAATTAAGACATACAGTCAATTCATTGCCTAAGACATGAGCAAAAAGTTTAAAAAAAAAATCACGTAACATCTCTTCTATACCACTCTGAAGAGAAAATCCCTCCTACTGTATTCACCAACGTGCCACATAACGTTTAAAAGTGTCAAACTGAATATAACTTATTGTTAACGAGAGCTGGGACCAACAAGAATAAAACCTAAATCCACATTCAACTCAAACAGCTCATGTAATCATTAGCTTTCATCTCATTTTCAATATATAAATAATGCTAGATGTATATAACTGCTTTGAGTTTTACCAATTTTATTTTTATTTTTTTACTTGTTCTGACCTGTGGTGGAATTTAAAATAAGTATACTCATCCCTCAAGTACAGAAACATAAATAGCACATAATCTTTAAAAGAGTTTGTGTGGCTTTGAAATTTGTTAATGATTGCTTTCCCCACTAGACTTATTTTTCTAATTGTGTTCACTTAAGCTAATATTATAAGGAGCTTTTGAATTCCTTACATCTTAACTAAGCAGTAGAGAATGTAGTTTTTAAAAAACGTGGGCCCGAAAGTATTTTTTAAAATTCATCCTCAAAAAAAGCATCATGAAGGTAAGCAAAAAGTAGCCTAAAGTGTAGACTATTTTTATTCTCACATTAACAAAAGAGGACAATGGAGAAAGAACTCAATGGTCATATCCAATTTAATAAAAACAACATTTTTATTTTTTCTGAATCCACTCACATCTAATTGAGTTACATTTGACTGTAAACCACACACAAAAACACATATATATGCCATTTTTAAACAGAAATTCTATTTTGCAATCTGAAACAGCGTGACGTGGGGCAAAGGTCTAGGTCGGTTTCATCCCATTTTGCATGAACTGACTGTTGACCATTGAACTTGCCAAAGTAAATTTCTCCATTTACAAATTAAAGCATTACTCTTAAAAAAGCAATACTGAGAATAAAATTCCTTCTCTTCACGCAATCAAAATGACTAAGCTTTTACTGTCAGCAAATGTACACGTGACAAAAGTCAAATTAAGCACTTAAATATCTAACTAACACATGTAGTAACATTTACTGCAAGAAACAAATATTAAGGAAGCAGATTCCTGCTTCTCAGCAGTATTTATTACCAAGCTTGGATCTACTTCTACTCCTCGGGATTCAAGGTTCTTCCGGACTGTGGTTATTTCATCACTTGCAAGATAAGCTGGGTGCTCCTCATTACATTTCAACATCTTCTCCAATTCATTCTTGGTTTCATTGTGAACACACTTTAAAATGTTTAAAAAAGGACTGTGTTTAGATGGTTCATAATTTGGTGCTTGAAAAACAGTCTCAATTTTAATAAATACATTACTATTGCATAAAAGATAACACAAGCTTAATCACAACAAACAAGAAAGAAACACAAGAAAGAACACAGCACCCCGGCTTATGAATATGGTAAATGGCCTATGAACACAGAAGAATTTGCCTTATGAGAGGGTAGAAAACCCAGGGATTAGCCCTACTTGTTATGTATTTACTTTTGCTGAAATGTTTTTTCCTGTGGAAGTTACAGCACCAGGAATCTTACCATGTATTTTCTTTCTTTCTTGACCGTAGGGTATAATTTGAATCTAGGAAAAAGCACCCTGAATGCATAGGAAGAGCTGATGTTCTAAAATGCTTCATATCTAAGAACTATACTTAAGAACGAGATTACTGTAAGGACTTAAACTTGTTGACATGTTTCTTTTCCAATAAATATAAAATGCATAGCTTGATTTTTAAAAAGCTTTTTCATAAAAAATGGTACTTCAGACTGCTCCTGTGAGGTATCTGTCCTTCTTAAATTCACTTCCAGTCTCTTATCTGTAATTATTCATAATCTCTTTACCAAAGGAGGAAAACTTACCTACACTAGTTATGTTTGATAACAAGATTCTTATACTGTGTTAAATTAATCTTGTCATTTTTCAAACCTCCACTCAAAATTGTATATGATAGAAGAAACTAGCTTTAAATTCAATCATTACCCTAAATAAATTACTAGAATAGAAAATCTACCACAGCTACGAAACTGAGTGTTTTTTTTTGCCCCAAACTCTATCACAGCTATGAAATCTGAGTAGACAAGATTAACACATAAATGCAAACAATTAACTTGTAAATGGAACTACTAATTAATACTCTCTGAAAACTAATACTTCAGAAAAAAGAGCATTTGATAAAGAGAAAGTTCACTGTTTGCTTAAACATGTACTATTCAGTCTGAGATGGAAAGGAAATCGCTGGTAATGGTGTTCCCAAGCTCATCCTGCCTCATGTTTTACTTCCCCCTTTCTACCCATCATTTGACTGTCACCACACTTGGCCATTAGAAGAGAGAACTACTCTTGGATCTATCCTGACCAAAATTTCCATTAGTTTGGCTTAAACAAGGCGAGAATGTTTCAAAGGGATGAATTTTCCTAGAAAACAAAAGAAACACAAAAGCACAAAATACTTTTCAGAGAATGGATTTCTCATCTTTAAGTTTCTTTTCCTGCCAAATCCTGTCATTCAGCTAAGTGAACTTACGATGTGAGACCTAGGGATATTCTCAACCTCTTCTAGAATCCATGTCTCACTGTAACCTCCAGGTATGAGGTTGAAAACACTTGTCTTCAACTGGGAGTGGGAGGGATAGAAAGGATAGAGAAGGAGAGCTTGACTCAATGAGTCTGACATGAGGCTAGCTTTTGAAGAAAAAACAAAACACTATATATAAACACCTCCCCGGGTGATTCAGATGCCCCTCCCTTCTATATTCCAAATTATGGCCTCTGTTCTACAGTCAGCCTGGGTCTCACACATGCTGCCCTGAAATCCTGTGGGGAGAAGGCTCTTCTGTAAAGGGTTTCCAGATTCCTCTTCTAGGCTTACAGACCCTTTGCACTGACTTTAAAGCAAATTCCTTTCTTTCTCTTGAAGGGATTCCCCTATGGGTTTAAGTTCCTGACAAAAATAACTTACGAGCAGGAATCACTTCTTTCAGAGAGTGTTTGGCCAAAGCACATTTACCACCAGTCAGTTGCTGAGGCAAGTTCTGCCACCAACTGTTCTAGAGACTTTAGGCCTAATATCACTAAGTCTTGAAGGCCAGATACCATTTTTCTTTTGCAGTTTATCTCCCTTACAGCAGCTCTTTCTAATCAATGCATCTTCCTCTATCAAAGTCAGAAACCTTGGATGGATCTCTAGAAATTCTCTTCTGACAGACCTCCTTCTCTCGGCCCATCTGTAGAGCAGAGATAACCAACGCACCCTGAACACATGCATGACCCAATCACTAACTGTCTGCTTCCTCAGCTTTGCTTCAGTCTCTTAATGGCTCATTTTTCACAAAAGTCATTACCAAAAAAAAAAATAGTAAAGAAACACAGAGAAAAAGAAGACTGTCTCTTCATTATTTTGAGGAAAGTTGAGACTCACATCTGATAGAGAACTTATGAAACAAGAAATGTGGGAAACTAGGAAAAAAATAGGATATAGATTATACAATTAACTGTATTTAAAATGAAAATGAAAATATAAAATAAAGAAATAGGGACATCTCATTTGGTCAATTTTTATTCCCTTTGTCTCCTCTATTTTTCCATTACTTGATCTCCTTTCTCTAAATGAATTCAAGGAACAAAGCAAACAAGAAAAGAAAATGGATTGGATGCTAAATCTTTTTCATCTTCATTATTTCATTAATTTATGTAGTTAGATTCTATATTCTATTTAGATTCTTTCATTTAAGGAATGAACAAGGAATGAGACAGTGGTATAAGACTGAATGCTAGATAGGAAAAGAAGCTATAAGAATCGGAAAGGAATGAACAGGGGTGGAGGTGAGGGGTAGGGACTTTAATGGTAGATATAGATAAGATAATAAAATAAGGCAAGAAAAATTGTATCTTTTCCCGCCAATCATATTCATTGTACATCCTCTGAAAACCTTACTATTTTTTTCTATTCACAAGTTATTTTCCCTGCAGCTTCGATCTCCCAGGCTCAAGCAATCCTTCCCACCTCAGCCTCACTAGTAGCTGGGATAACAGGTATGCGCCACCACACCTGGCTAATTTTTTTTGACTTTTAGTAAAGAGGAGGTCTTGCTATGTTGCCCAGGCTGGTCTCGAACTCCTTAACTCAAGCGATTCCTCTGACTTGGCCTCCCAAAGGGTTGTGATTACAGGAATGAGACACCGTGCCTGGCCTGTTCATAACTTTAATCTTCCTTTTTACCTCAAACAGGGAATTGAAATGAACAATGTAATCAACCACAAAAGGGGCATGTTTCATCTCTTGTCTTTTAACAACATGGCTACTTCACTTAAAAAAAACTTTCTTATGTAGTTTATTCTTTATTCTAAAGATTCATTATATTTTAGAAAGTATGATATAAAACATTTAATATTCCTGAGACTGGTCTAGAGCCACAAAAAGGTTATATTTTAATGCCTGAATTAAAATGAACAAAATTATATCATCATAAGACTAGAGACTTGTTTATTTCTACCTGTTCTTGGGTCCGATTCTTCCAGTATAACCACCTCTTTTTCCAGTCTGGACCCACCATGTTTTCAATTGCATTTTCAGCTAGAAAAAAAAATTAATTAATCAAGAATTTTATCACTTACACACACACAAATTATAACTAATAATGGTCTTGCTTTCTTAACTATTTCAAAGTGCTATATCAATATGAAGGCAGTTGAAATAAAGGAAAAAACCCACATGACTGATATGGCACATGTGTAAGAGTTTAATTATATATGTGTTTAAGATACCTAAAAGTATAATTGCTTATAAAATTCCTATAAGTACAGTAGCGAACACACTAAAATATTCTGCATTATAGCTTTATAGAATATAAATGCATATAAGCATCATGTGTCCATTTTATTCATTGGTTTTAGTAGTTACAAAGCAGTTGACTAAAAAAATTCCACAAATAATATTCGACTATAGTATTAATGACAAAGACTTTGAAATGTTCAATCTATTTCTACAAATGTTCACTAAAGTTGGATGACTCCTTCACCACTGTGAACTCAGAACTCAATAAGCCGTGTCTCCACTTACTATCCTTGAGACGAGCCTGCAGAGCCTCTTCCATAAAATAAATAGCTGCATCCCATTGCTGTTTATCAGATATGGATCGGTCTTCCAAAGCATTGTGTTGAATAACCCTCTGAAAATAACAAGAAGAGAAAAAGCCAACTTGTTTTACATCTCATCATTTTAGTAGTTTTATTCAAATTGACAGCTTAGTAAATATGGAAAAATAACCATGTATATAAACCAGCATAAAAATATATCCTTCCTATAAAAATGCATAAGCTTCTTTTACTTGCCTGCTTATTTGTTAGCTTGCTATCTAAAAAATAAAGAGTGGAGATTCTCTCCTGGCCCAAATTAAACAAGCTAACCATATGGGGTGCGTGGGTAATATTACACATTTACATTATACAAAATATTACAAATTTAACTACATGAAATGCAACATCTAGAAACCTAAAATTCAGGGTTTAATAATTCAGATCATGTTCATCGCTTTTTGCCATGTGACCTACATGTTAGCCTTTTCAAAAATGAGGAGAAAAAAATTATTAACCATTATTCCCAGTGTTAACAGCAACGAAAAAAGTAATAAGGTAGACATTTAAAAGGTCTATAAAATCATAAAAGTTATTTATTACAGTTGAAAATTGGCTTCCAAATTTTATAATTTTTGGATGAATAAAAATGAAGCTGTTTTCTCAGTAAGCCAGTCTTAATAAGGCATTTAACAAGAATAAATATGGTTTTCTTTCTTTTTTTTTTTTTTTTTTGAAAACGGAGTTTTGCTCTTGTTGCCTTGGCTGGAGTGCAATGGCACGATCTCGGCTAACCGCAACCTCCCCTTCCTGGGTTCAAGCAATTCTCCTGCCTCAGCCTCCCGAGTAGCTGGGATTACAGGCATGCACCACCATGCCTGGTTAATTTTGTATTTTTAGTAGAGACGGGGTTTATCCACGTTGGTCAGGCTGGTCTCAAACTCCGGACCTCAGGTGATCCACCCACCTCGGCCTCCCAAAGTGCTGGGATTACAGGTGTGAGCCACCACGCCCGGCCATAAAGACAAACACTTCTTTAAAACAAAATTATAATTACAACCAGCTCTGCATTTTCCCAGAAAATCGCTCAATCCTGTAATTCAACAACACCTCTAGTAACTCTCTGAGCACAGCAGGCACTTAACAGATTTGATTTTGGTAGTGAGAGCAGTCTACATAACAAAAGATTTATCAGGTGGTGTCAGGAACCAGGCTTTGCCATTAGAGAGGGGCTTGAATCCCAGCTCTGTCAATGACAATAACAGGAGTGGTTAAGAATTAAATCAAATAATGCTTGCAAAATACCTAGCAGAGTTCCTGGCACATAGTAAGCATTCAATACATGGTAGCTGGTGTTATGATTTTAGGCGTCTAACATTTTATAATCCACTGAAAACCAACGCATGTAGTTCCTTTCATTATCACAGAGGGTAAAATTAGAAGCACCTATCTACAGACAGGCCCATAAAATGGCTAACAGATGACAATTTGTAGAAGTTTATCAGAGTCTGTTTACTGCAAAGTTTTACTTTTTTCTGAAATGATAGCCAAGAAAGAAACAGCAACAGGTGATTTTAGAAGGGCAGGGAAATATTAAAGGGCAGATTACAGATCATAAATCTGTTTCTTTACTTCATTATTTTTAATTCAGAATGTAATTTAGTCATATAAAGTCTCCTATGAAAAAGTATCAATTTGAGAAGTTATATAAAAATATGAGGCTGATACCCCAGTATACAAACAACATACCAAGCTGTCCTCCGCAAAGTCATTCCACTTGTGTCGTTTAATACTTTCTTCCTTAACAGCCTCTTTAAGTTTATCAAATATGTCATCATGCTCTTTCCCTTTCGGTTCTGTCATAAAGCGGGAAAATTCTTCTTGTAGGGTCTCCCAAGCAACCTATAATTATTTGAAAGAAAAAAAGCCATATTATTACTACATACTTCAATGGTTAACATGAAAAATAACACGAGCTCAAGCCAAACAGATGTGATAAATAAATCAGCTTATCAGAAAATATATGTGAAACTACATTAACAAAAAGGCAAATATAAACCATGATGTAGAGGTCTCACACGGGTTGCTGGGGACAGATATGGCTTCCTGGTATGTTTTCCTAGACATGTATAGCGGTTCTCATTTTTAAAATTGCATGCTAATATTTAAAAATTGAGAGATTTCATATAAAAGTCTGCATTTACGGCTTCTCTTGGACTAACTGAGAAGGATATACCCATATTCCTACATGACACCACCTACTGTAGCTGAACAGGGCTGTCTCTTCAAGATAAGGTATGTATTCTAAGCCTGCCACCCAAGTTAGTTCATTTATTTATTTCAACCTCTAAGACATGAGTCTGACTGCTTCTTTCACACTGCAAAAGGTTTTAAATGTCTTAATGATTCAGTCATCTTCATAGCTTTGTCTTTAAGCAAAGATATGAAGCAATGCACCAACACTTTAAAACATAGCCGAAGAGTATTCAGCTTTGTATTATAGCTAACTCCTAATGATCTGAACGGTGAAAGGAAGAGCACAGTGTCAAAAATAATGAAGAACAAAATCTACTTATAACTATGTGGGCTTTTTAATGCTGGATTTTAGCCCTCTCTCATTTTAAAAAAGAAAGTGACTGTCCAAAAATACGGAGTGAGTGGTGGGGTGAGTATTAAGATCCATGTTTCCTGACCTTCTCACCAGATCTACATTCTTTCCATGACACCTAGTGCTGAGGGACAGAAAGCAGCAGTGGAAAGAAAAATTGATGCTTTCATAACCACTTCCACTGCTTGAACCTTAGGATGTGAAAATATCCTATCATGGGACAGGGCGCAGAAAAAATGTTAGTGCCAGTAATGAGAGCTACTGAAGGGGTAGCAGCAGCTCTCTAACTTCTTCAGGGGTAAATGTGTCAAGAACTGCCAGGGCTCAGCAACGTGCAACTTAGGCAGGGAGGCTGCTGGAGTTCTTAGAAAGGGGCTTGAAGAAATTGAGAACAGAGATAAGGAAGTTAACACTGGAGCAAGATAGGAAAGGGGTGAAATCACATCCGAATAATTAGAAACTGACACTGCCTTTAAGATAGGTATGAAAAACAAAATTACTTTTAACATTGACTTCAATTTTGTGAGCAACCTCACACACAAGCACAGGACACACTGACTCTTAGCTTGAACAATCGCTGTTTATGGGGTGATGTACATGATGGATCAATTCAGATGATGAGGACCATAATAACAGCAGGTCCATTCCCTGAGCAGTTACCATGGGCTGGGCATTGTCTAAGTATTTTACATATAATTACTTACTTAATCCTTATAACAATGCTGTGAGGTAGGCAACATTATTGTCACCATTTTATAGATGAAAAAACACATAGGAAAGTTAAGCAACTAGGCAAAGGATCACACAGCTATTAAGTGATAAAGCCAAGATACATGGTAGCAGAAATAGATTCTTTAAGGTAGTTTTTTGTTTTGTTTTGTTTTGTTTTTTAATAATTCCTAGTTTAATCTTCTGTCAGGATCCTAAGAAAATGATAATTTAAGTATAACTGAGCTCAGATGAAATGCTTCATCTATTAAGTATTTTCTTTATGGAATCTCTATAATCCACAGAATCCACAGAAAATGTTCAAAATATTTCACATTCAAGCAAATACTCAAGCAAATATTTCATATTCAAGCAAAATTTGCTTGTTAAATATTGTCTTTGGAAGAAGTACCAATACCCTCAGGCCAACATCATACCAATTAGTAAATTTTTATAACCGTAGTAACTGGTAGCAACATTAAGGTTAGTCCCAAAACAGAGATGAGGAATAAAGAATAAATGAGATATAAAGACCTAAAAGAAAGATAGAGGCTGTGATGGGAATAAAATCTAAAATTCACAGCTCCTACTCCCTTCAGATAATGCTTCTTACCCATTTAATTAAATTATATCCTAACCTCTACTGCTTTATTAGGAAGTTGTTTATCAGTCCACTGTTTAAGCTTGATATCCACTGTGGTGTTAAAAGTTCCTGAATTCATGGTCTGCGCAGCTGGAAGGTAGATGTTTTCAATCACATGAGTTGATACTCTTTCCCACAAAGATTGTTGAAGGATTTCCTCCCTGAAATAAAAAAGTATCAAAAGCACCAAATCTAAATATAATATTGTTTTTAAAAACAGCTTGACTGAAGTATCATTAACTTATAATAAACTGTACATATTTAAAATTTTGATAAGTTTTCACATGTGTATATACCTGTAAATCGCACCAGTCAAGATAATGAACGCATCCATCATCCTCAAAAGTTGTAACCACTGGAACTGCTTTCTGTCACTGTGATTACTTTGTATTTTCTAGAAATTTATATAAATGCAATCATGTGGCATATACTCTTTTTTTGTCTTTGTTCTTCCACTCCAGCATAATTATTTTGAGGTTCATCATGCTGTTGTATGTATTAATATTTCACTTTTTTTTTTTTTGAGACAGGGTCTTGCTTAGTTGCCCAGGCTGGATGGAGTACAGTGGCACATTCATGGCTCACTGGAGCCTCAACCTCCTGGGCTCAAGCCATCCTCCCACCTTATCCTCCCGAGTAGGTGGGACTACAGGTGGACGCCATTATGCCTGGCTAATTTTTTAAAATTTTGTAGAGATGGGGTCTCACTATGTTGCTGAGGCTGGTCTTGAACTCCTGGGCTCAAGCAATCCTCTTGCCTTGGCCTCCCAAAGTGTTGGGATTACAAGTGTGAGACACCGCATCTAGCAATATTTCACTTCTTTTTATTTCTGTGTAGTATTATGTTGCATGAATGTGTTTATCCATTCTTGTGTTGATAGACCCTTAGGCTGTTTCCAGCTTTTGGCTACTACAAATAAAGCTGCTATGAGAATTCACGTACAAGTCTTTCTTATGAACACATGCTTTCATTCCTCTTAGGTAAATACCTAAGAGTGGAATGTTTGGATCATATGGTAATTACATGTTTAATTTTTTTTTGAAATGTTTGCCTCAGTTTACATTTCCACTAGCAGAGAATGAGAGTTCTAGATCCTCTACATCCTTGCCAACACTTGGTATAGTCTGTCATTTAAAATTGTAGCCATTTTAGTAAGTTTATAGTGGTCATTGTGGTTTTACGTTGTATTTCTCTAATGACTAATAATTCTGAGCATCTTTTCATGCACACTTATCTGCCTAGTATTAACATATACTTCATGTGCTTACGGGAGAGTCTGAGACTGAAAATTTCTTGGTATAAATATGACAACTTATCAGATCACAGCACAGAGATGTTATAGAATGCTGTAGATAAAATTTTTCAATAATTCATGATTAAGGTAACAATGTAAAAGATGCATAATCATGTTGAAAATTCTGCCTTGAAAGACATCTTAAAAGAACATGGGTCACTAATAAAAAAATACAACTATTTCAATTTGAAATCTCAAGGAAATATTTATTTGGGTAATAAACTTAGAATACTACAATATAAAAAAAAAACTCTGCTTATCAGGGGATCCTTCTTAAGAATAATCTCAACCCTTTAGGATATAGCCACAAATCTCAGGGTAGCAGAAATATCCTGCTGTCCAAAAGCCCAGCTGAACTTCTCTGGTGAGGAGAGTCAACATCTCCTACCCTCCAAGACTATTTACTAAACATTTTGTGTAAAATTAAGTCTACTGAATCAATCAACACAGATCCTGGTTTCCCACTGCTAACTTTCAGGTCACTTTCCAGTTACAACCAGTAAAGAAATCAGAGTCTGAGGAGGATATATGACTGGGGCCCAAAAGGACAAAGACAATTTAGTCACTGAGTTAATGACAGAGAGTGGGAGAATTTAAGGAGCAAGATGAAGAAAAGCAGCCTGTCAGGGCCTCCTCTTCAGATACCACTTTATACACAATCTCAAGAAGATTACTGAAAGTTGAACTGAAGACCAGGATCCAGCCTCTGACCTCCAGGGCTTTTTTCTCATCCTGCTTCAGAAGAGACATAGTCTGTTATTTTTCCCTGGAGTCTGTGGGCCAGGAATCCATATCCCTGACACCCTTTTTAAAATCCTGATTACCAAATCCCGAGAAGCTAAAGGCAACTTTCTCAAGGGAGGTTGCTGCTTTGACATCCACAGATGCAGCTGTTATCACTTCTCCTTGCCCAGCCTCTCCTGCCTTTCATCGCCAAGCTGCTGTCCTCTGTCTCAGACTCCCACTGCTCCCCTCCATCCCAACAATTTCTGTTGTGCTCCTGTAATACCCGGTTCCATGACAAACCATTTTACACTCTCATTCTCTTTCCCTATTCTTACCTCCAAACCTTTCCTTAAGGAAAGTGATTGTCCTCTGTCCTCAAATTCTGCTGAGATGAAGCTATTCAGCAGTTAAATGGCCTTCAGAGTTAGAAAGTAGAAGTTAAGTCCTCCTCACCCCAGTCTCTCTTCTGAACCATCAGTTCTCAATGTTCATATAAAAACCATTACACTGTGAAGCCACTTCATCTAGTTATGTCATCTGCTACCTTATTGCTTGCTGCTATCATCTAACAATTTTCCCAGCCTATATTCTATGGTTTTTTTTTTTTGTTTGTTTGTTTTCAGACAGGGTCTCACTCTGTCACCCAGGCTGAAGTGCAGTGGCACAGTCTCGGCTCACAGCAACCTCCGCTTCCTGGGTTCAAGCGATTCTCCCACTTCAGCCACCCAAGTAGATGGGATTACAAGCGTGCACCACCATGCCTGGCTAATTTTTGTATATTTATTAGAGACAGGGTTTTCACCATGTTGCCCAGGTTGGTCTTGAATTCCTGAGCTTAAGTGATCCGACCATAGGGGCCTCCCAAAGTGCTGGGATTACAGGCATGAGCCACCGTGCCTGGACTATATTCTGTGTTATTATAGGTGACTTCTCTATTCCAGGTTTTGCCATCAACCAGGGATAACTTCTACTAATACACAAAATATAATTAGCAAAATATAATAAAGGTAATAGTTTTATTGCCTTCTTTATCTACAGAAACTTTACCTACATTCCACTTTAATTAAATTCTTTTTAAAATGGATTTTTTTTTATTTTAAAGTAGAGGACTATTATACTCCATATAATAATTTCAACCAATACAGAAAATGTAAGAAGTACCCCATAGTTCCTCTTTTATAAGATAACCACTATTTATGGTTTTATTATTAAAAAAATTATGTCTACGTAACTATTTGTGTGTATTTACACAAGTGGTTCATAATTATACATACTGTTTTATAAATCCCTTTTTTAAATCTAAAAGTATATTGTATTTAGTTTTCCATGTCAACATCCTATACTTTTCAAAGGCTACTTCTATCCATAGAGCAGTAATCTGCTCTATATAAACCAAATACTATATAATTCCAAATGGGACACATAAATTGCTTTCCATTTCTTCACATTTATTTAAAAAATCAAGGTGAAAGGTCTTGTGTGTTCATCTTTGTCAAATATATCATTTGCATATATTCCTAGCAATGTAATTACTGAATATAAACATACTCATTATTTAATAGACTCTTCATTATCTACACAATCACTAAATCCTGTCAATTCTATCTTTTAGGTAACCTCTCAAGTATCTCACAAGTGTCTCTTCTCTACCTGTACTACCACTCACTATCCAAGTTTAAGCCATGATCACATCTTGCCTAAATTATTGCAAAAGCCAACTGCCTCCTTGCTTACAGTTTTCTCCGCCTGTATTCCATTTTGCCTACTACAAAGACCTTTCTAAAATGCAAACCTGACCTAATCCTCTTCAGTGACCACCCTCCCCCTACTGCTTATGGAATACACACTAAGCTTCTGAATATGGTTAATAAACCCAATATTTTGCTTACATCTACTGTTTTATCTCCTGCCTCTTGCCCCCATTTATGTTAAAGCCACAGGACACAGCTACCTGTGTCGCCTTTCTTGTTCTCATCTCGTGGCCCTTACCATATTCCTGCCTCTGCCTTAACACTTATTCATGTTTTAAATTTCAAATTATGATATTGCAAATCTTTGATTTCTGAAGTCCGAGAATTTCTAAAAATGTACCATAGTAGCATTTTTAGAAAAAATGTATTTCTGTGAAGCTAGCCAGCTATCCTTCTAGAAAAGATATGTCTACATTGCTGGTCACATGATGTTAATGATATATCAATATCTCCTTCTGAATGTCAGTGATTCACTCTTGAAAACCAGGCACAGCGTAAAAATGCTGAGTGAGTATTTCCTACTATAATGTATTATATGTCAAATCTATACCCCTAATAACCTTCCTAAAACTTAACTGAAGGACAGTGGAATGTCTAAAGGAAATAACAAACTGTCATGTTATGACATAAAATGCTTTTAACACTTTCCAGATAACCAAATATAGATCAAACAGTCTTATGACTTAAATAATTGTAAACATTTTAGGCAGTGTCCTAAAATATCACATAGGATTATTCAGCAAAAAGATACCAATAAAAACTTCAAGACAACATCAACTATGTCAAAATAATAAAATATGTGGAAAATATTTGGGGTGTAATGTACTTGAATTCAATGTGGTATGAACAGCTAAGGCTTGGACCTGCTACTCTGATTTATATTTGCGTTAACATAACATTTTTTCAGCCTCTACAGTCTGAAAACACAGAGAATCATATATGATCCGGCAGCTTACACAAGTAAATCTCTAGCAGCCAGATGTCCCAGATCTGACCGTTGCCTTTTCAATGGGCAATCTGGTGGTATGCGTTCACTGTCCCCTCACAATTCTCTTCAGTTACCTTTGTATTAAATAAATTACATTTATCTTCAAGGCTCACTTTAGTGAAGAAATACTTTGATTTCAGGGTTGCTCTGTCCAAACAAAACTAACCTTTCCATTTGATGATACCAAAAATTAATTTATAGAAGGACCACATTTTCTCCCCATAAACAGCATTATTAGTTGTTACAGTTTACATATCACTTTTATATACATTAAATGCCCTCATACAATCTAGCAAGGCAACTAGTATTATACTCAATCTGTAAACCTATATATCTCTTTGTAACTTGAAAGCTGACTGACACAAAGCCATGGAACTGGGCTAAGATACAAATAAACAAACATAAGTTGTGTCATAACAATGTTTGATTAATCAACAAGAATAGATACAATTAGATCTCTTTTTTTGGATAAGGAACGGAGATTAAAAACAGGCAAATGTGGACTACTTGAAGATAGAAGAGGTTTCACCACTGAGGAAGAAAGGGCACTGAAATGAGGAAACTAGTGATGCTGAATTCAAACAGACCAGATACTACTATCTAGGCTCACTTTTGATAACCTTTAACTGAGTGAATAGACTAGGTACAGAAAATATTTACAATGAATGGCAGTGAGGATAGCTCTGCTCCAAAAATAAATTCTTAAAAATACCACAGTCTTCATTAGAAAGATAATTTCTGCATGAGGAATTTGTTAATTAACATGTGACTACAAAAATGTCAAGGCTATTTATACATAGCTTGTTTTACCGTGTCTCATTCCACTGAATTTAGGAATGGCCAAACTTACATAAAATATAAACTGAAGGTAACAGTTTGCCTTAGAAAAGATTAACATATTTTTCAAAAAGGTGCATTTACTTGCTATTTTTAAAAATTTCAAGTATTAATAGCATTAAGTTCAAAATGTGATTTGTATACAACATATTAACCACATGTTACAGAAAGCACTAACTGTTCTTACTCAGAATGGAGAACCTGAAAATATATACCAACTCCCTTTATAAATCAATTTTGACAGGTTGATATTTACCTAAAGTATAATTTGACAAAACTTCTGCCCAAAGGATTTTACAGAAATCATGATTACGTATTTATTAGGTATAAGATAAAGAAAAGGCAAAGAGAATCAAGATTTAAAAAGAACATGAAGAAATTCAACTGGTTAGACTACAAAAGTAGTTAGATATTGCCAAAAAAATATACTATTACGTTTTTGCCTATGAGCCAAGGCAACAATAAATCACTGCTTTATCAATCTAAGTTTTAGCATTTCATTATAACCTGTACAGTAAAGTCTTTCAGAAAAGAGATTAATATCAAATACTTACCAATGTTTTGGTGTAACCTGGCTCAGACTGATAACTTCATCAAGGATTTCATTTTTAGCTTTTTCAAATAGTTCATTCTAGGCAATATAAATACAAGTAAGTAAGATTTCCATAAGACAGTAAATTTACCCTGTCATGATTTTCAGAGATAACCAAAGGGAGGTTTTTGACTAGGCTGAATTTGGGTTTAATTATACATGACTAGCAAAAATGCACTTCTAGTGTTTTTTTTTAGGAATGCCATTATGCAGATAAGGACAAAGAAACTGACATAAATATCTACCTTCTCAAGTTTGAATGCAGTTTTTCACATAACACTTGTTCACGTTATGTGAAAGCATCAATACATATTAATTTAGTACATCAGTAACTATATATTAATGCTGTGTTTTATTAACTAATGGGGATTTTAAAATCAAGGAAAAACAATGTTTAATTCCCACTAAATTACAGGAATACACGAATTCTACAAAACCTTTAAAGCACATTCATTACCTTCTCAGAAAACACTTTCAACACTTGTTTTGACATCTTATAATCCATTTTTAATGTTATATAATAAATAATTTAAATTACTGAAAGAGATAACTGCTCCTAGAGATGTATTCTTACAAATTAGTAGTTATAGTCAAAACCAAAGTACTTTAGCTTATCAGATTTTTCTCTCAACATAAATTTAGTTAGCAAACAACATTAAATTAAGATATATACAAAATACACGAGTATCCAAATATTACCCGGTCAAGTTCCCGCAGGCGAGGATAGTTATTCTTCCATTCAGTTTCAAGGTTAAAACGTGTTGCTGAGGAAGAAGGAAAAGTTCAAGTTTGATGACCCTCCTTCTTTCCAGATGTAGTGGTTAAAGTGGTTAAAATACATATCCTCTGTATTAACTGAATTTCTGAGAGTGCGCCTATGACCCCTTAGTACTCTGGGATCTCAACGTCTCAGAATTTCATTTTTGCAATAGCTTTCAAAACTATTCTCCCTGATTCTAGTTTCTCCATGTTAAATCCATTAGCACACAGCTGAAGTAGTTTAGTACCATAGAGCTGCTGAGAGAATGGACTCTGCAGTTGTACCACCAACAGCCAAATCCTGGGCCTATTACCCATGTTGTGTGACACTGGGTAATAGGATAAGTTATTTGGGTAAGTAACTGTCTTCTGTTTCCTCTTCTGTAAAATGGAAATGAAAGTAATACAAGATTGCAGAGGGACTAACTGGCATAAATAGGTAGGATCAGGTAGGATTTACATATGGGAAAAGAGAAAGCAAATATATTCTCTTCCGATAAAAGACACTGAGCAGGAAAGTGTGGGATTCAGGAAATGGTGCCAAGTAAAGGAAGTTCAGAGGGCTCTGCTTCCCAACACATCTGCTCCTTCATCCTCAACAGGGTGAATCTAGAATTCTCTATAGTTTATTGTGTACTTCCAAGCACTAGCAAATGTTCTCATCTGTTTGAACTCTGCAAATGTGTTTCTAGAGATGTTTCCTCTGAAAGGAAAAATCTTGTTCTTGTATAACAACTGAAGGTTTGTATTCTTCTATTTTCCAGATACTGTCTAATTGTAAATGAACTACCAAGCAACTGTTAAAGGAAAGAAGTACAGAATCGTATGGATGCCAAAGATTGCCAGCTAATAAAATGTCTTAATTTGCTTGCTTCTTTAAAAAATCCAACTTACCTTTGAAACTATCAGCCTGTTGTTCAACAGACTCTCGTACCATTTTCCAAAAGCAGTCTGATACTGCAAGGCTTAAATTTCTTGTAGTCACTTGGTGTGCCTTTAGCATGCTTGTCCTATTAAAAAAAAATAACAAGAGCTAAAGTATATTAAAATGACAAAAAGGACAACAATACTACCACCAAGTCTGCGAATGTGCTTGCTAACAGCCACTCTTACCTTTCATACCAGTGCTGTTCAATAAAAATTTATGTGAGGAGGAAAACATTCCAATACGGTAGCTACTGGCACACTGGGTTATTGAGCCCTGGAAATGTGTGGCTAGTGTAACTGAGGAACTGTATTTTGAATTTTGTTGAATTTTAACTAATTTAAATTTAATGTTATATTTTATTTTATTATTTTTTTGAATTGGAATCTTGCACTGTCGTCCGGGCTGGAGTGCAGTGGCGTGATATTGGGTCACTACAACTTCCGCCCCCCACCCCCTCGGGGTTCAAGCGATTCTCCCGCCTCAGCCTCCTGAGTAGCTGGGGTTACAGCTGCCCATCGCCATGCCCAGCTAATTTTTTTTGTACTTTTAGTAGAGATGGGGTTTCACCATGTTGGACAGGCTGGTCTCAAACTCCTGGCCTCAAGTGATCCGCCTGCCTTGGCCTCTCAAAGTACTGGGATTACAGGTGTGAGCCACCATGCCTTTAAAAAGAACATGAAGAAAGCCATCTTCCAGAAATTAATTTAATTCCAACTAATTTAAATTTTAATAACTACACAAAACTAGTGATACCATATTAGACAGCACAGTTCTATATGTTGTCAGTGCACTCCCCAAAGCACGTAAGATTATGGTTTGCAAGAACTATCTTGACTTACCGTACTAACCTAGGAACAAACATACTTTTCTATTTCCAGAAACTCAACATATAAAGTTTTAGTATACAGTAATACAACTGGCCTTTAGCTCTTTTTGCTTATCTTATCTCCTGTCAATATATATCTAGGGATACTTCTTCGACAACCCCACTCCAATCTTCCCCAATACTGTAAGAGAAATATGTACACGTTTAAAAGTGAAAGCGTCGATTTTCTAAAACCACTTTATAAGTAAAATAAAGTAAGAGGCAGATATCTATGTTGTCTTTCAGTGCCCACGTCCAAGGAAGCATGCCAGTATGTATTGTACCATGTGATAAACTGCTCTCAATTCTGCCAAAAAGTAGCTAAGGACTTGTTTATTAGATACAGTTCACTATTTGGGAAAAATTCTAGAAATCCGATGTTAAACTAATAGTTATAAAACCTGATGTTTTAAGTGAAAACAGTTCAATTTAAGCTACTCTCTTACTGTAAAATGTTTAAATGTTTTAACAAGATACCTACTTTAGGAGCTTTGAATTCTGAAAAAACTCTTCTTCATATTCTCTTATAGCTTCAATGCTTTCAGAGCTGTTCCCTGGGGAAGAATGATGGTCAAATTTTCATCAAGAAAATTACTCTTTATTATTTGAAAACAACAGAAACTAAAAATAAGTTATTATAATCCATCTTTGCATACCTTTTCCTGTTACAACAGCAAAATAACCTAAAGCTTTCATTGGGAAGAGCTTTCCTTCAATTATCTGCTGAATCTATTTTTAAAAGTGGGAAAAATTAATGTGAGATATAGTTTACATAAGTTTTAAAAGCGTAATATACAATTTAGAAAGCAAAATAATGCTATACATGTATATAGTTAAATAAATCTGCACAAAAGCATTTAAAATGTTTTTCCATTGCTATTTGAAAAAAATACATTTAATTTTACTACATTGAAAATGTATTATTAAAACACACGTATCGAAAACCCGGAATGATGTGTAGTTCTTTAAAGTCAGACAGACCTTAGTTTGAATTCCTGCTCTGCTGCCTAGTAGTTATGCGACCTTAAGTAAACAACTTAATTTTTTCAAAAAGGTTGGTGAGATTATGGGACAATATGATACAGTGCCAGGCATGAAGCACTCAATAAATGGTAGCTATTATTATTTTTCCATACTTTCTTCAAATATCTAAATTCTAACCAAGCTGGATTGTCTTCTTTTACTCCTTCCTCCCCTCCCACCTTCTTCTTTAATATTTGGATCCACTGCTTCTCAACTCTTTTAGGATCAAAAATCCATTTCTAAATGTGACTAAAAAAAAAAAAAGACTATGTACCCAGAAAAATGCATATTTGCATAGAGACCTTTCACATATGTTAGAGTTTCTACCCCCTGAAGCCCATTCAGATTAATAATGGGATGAGAATCCCTCCTTTAAGACAAGTTACACCTAAGCTAATGCTGAATCTTTTATACAAAAAGGACTGAAATAAGCTTCAGTTGCATCTCAGAAGAAATATAAACTCACTATCCTAGAGTTGAAAGAAATGAAAGGAATGAAGAAAGATGGGGAGGAGGCCACAGAAATTTGTTTCTACCTCACTTCTCCCCTTCTCCATATCAGAACCATTAATGCCACGGCAGGCCTTACCCTTAAAAAGAAAGCAGAACAGAGGTTATGGTGGCTACCTAGAAAAGGGTTAACACAGCAGGCCTGAGACTACTGTCCTTAAAAAGGCCTGCCTGTCTTTGGCTGGTATCTGAAAACTTAACTGGTAAACAGTTCCCTACACTGATATAAACCTTTCCTTATATAACAGTGGCTCACTACTGAAGTAATGTGGTTTAATTATAACATATGCTTTCCTTTTGGGAGTATGAAATAATTTTGGTACATGAGGGTGCCGAAATGACTAACCTCCGATGAAAACCTTAGGAGCTGAGTCTCTAACAAGCAGCTTGTTGCTGGAGGAATTAAATGTGCCCAGTAGAGTCTACTGGGAATGAACTAGTGGAAAAACGTGAGCCTGGTTTCCTTCAGACTTCATACCATGTACCATTTCCTTTTGTGATTTTGCTTTATCCTTTCATTGTAATAAATCTTAGTTGTAAGGTGTTTTTTTGTTGTTGTTGTTGTTTTTTTAAATAACAAATCCCTATCACAGCTGGAGCTTTTACAAAGAATCTATTCTCGCAACAAAGAATTTGACCTCACCCTGCTTGGACTGGCTACATTTTTCTCTGCCAGGTCTACTTTGGTCAAAACGAATATGGTTCTCCTTCCATGAGGGTCCATTTGACTGACCAAGTCTGTAACAATACTGCGTTCAGCATCCACAGATCCATCTGAAAAAAATAAAAAAATGACACTGTGGAATTTTAAGATGTAAAGTAGACTTTTAAAACTCAGTACAAATTATACCCCTGTGTCTACATTATAGCAAGAAAGATTTTAATACATTTACGTTATTTACTAAAAAGAAATCCTAGCCGATAAAAATTTCAATGATGCTTATGTAAAACTTATCAAAATAATTTCAACTTCAATTTAATTTACTAATAAAATGAATACGAAGAGAAGGCAAAAATGCATTTATCTTGTATGTTTACATAACACAAACTATTTAATGCAAAGCTTGGATTGCTAAAGAAGAAAACATATCAGTACATTAAAATCTTTTGATATGATTTACCTTGAATACACAGTATGATGGCATTAGGATTCTGCATGTAAGCTTTGCTGATACTGAAAATAGTTTCCTTTGTGTCAGGAGCCATGCCTGATGTCACAGTCTTAAAGAAAAAGGTTTTAAATGTCATTATAAATGCTTCACACAATAAGAATAAAATAAAATACATGTTTTGTATATACTTACATTAATCACACCTGGTAAGTCAACAAGCACCATCCTCTGTAGTCCAGGGCCTTTTACATTTAAGGATATGGTCTACTCAGGAAAAATAAAAATAAAACAATGCTAAAGTTTGGGGGGAATTTGTCAAGAATTTTTTTTGGTGAAATGTATTCTAAAAATTCTATATCTCATCCATTCAGATAAGACGCTCACAAAAATGGTATTCTTTCTCTGATCCTAAAAGTAATTATTCTGGAAAATTACCCACAAAATGATATATTATTTGGATTTTTTTTTAAAAGCTCTACATATCTAGATAGCAGCAATCTAAACATCAATACCTAGATTTTGATTTATTTGAAATCATAAACATTTAATTTCCATAAAACGTCACTGAAATGAATTGCAACCCTTACCTCAGGGCTAACGGTACAGCCTTCTTTCACATTTTTCCTCATTCGAAGTTCTATTTCATGTCTTAATGCTGCAAGCTAATGGAAAACACAAAATCCTAAGAAAATCTAAGAAAATCTTAATTCACAAATATTCTTTAACTGTCTTTTATAAGCTCATCCAGGTTATAAAATTACACATATCAACCTTAGATGAATTTTACTTACATCTTCTTCTTTGGTAAGATCAAACTCCCGAGAACTATCTTTAAATAGGGCCACATGGTGAGGACCTTCACTCAGAGTCACCTGATAGTAACAGAAAACTGAGAGGTAATGATGTATTTATAAGTAATATTAATTCCCACAGCCCGTATGTGGTCTAGACAGGGCTACTGCATTGCACAAATCCAAGAGTCCCTTCACACTACTGCTGGGGCACCCCCTGAAGCTGTCAACATGGTAGTTCTGACAAGACAATAATTTTGTATTTGTATTGTTTGTATATATGTCATATATGTTGTGATTTCCCAACAAGAATGCTGGTTCCTTTATATCGCTTATGACCTAAAATGCTGCTGCCTCTTTCTTTCCCCAGTCAATGCTATACACAGCACTAAGCCCAAAATCATCTCTCTAAAACTTGAAACACTAAAAGGAAACCTTGCATTTAACCTCAAAGATGAATTTAGGTAAAGGACAATTCATTCATTCAACCTCTATAGAGAGTGAACTATGTGTCAGGTGTTGTAGGTGGGGAAACACAGAGCTGACTGTCCCAGTTTTAGACCTCATCACATGCTGGGAGAAATATACACAGACATAATAGAAGAGAGTGACAAAACCTAGGGTGCCACAGAAGAGAATGGAACTGATGATAAGGGAGCTACGACAGGCTTCACTCAAGGAGTGATATTTGGGTAAGAAATTTTGTTTTGTTTGTTTTTTTGTTTGTTTTGAGACCGAGTCTCATTCTGTCGCCCAGGCTGAAGTGCAGTGGCATGATCTCGGCTCACTGCAACCTCCACTTCGCGGTTTCAGGTGATTCTCCTGCCTCAGCCTCCCGAGTAGCTGGGATTACAGATGCCCGCCACCACACCTGGCAAGTTTTTTGTACTTTTAGTAGAGACAGGGTTTCGCCATGTTGGCCAGGCTGGTCTTGAACTCTTGACCTCAGGTGATCCGCCCTCCTCAGCCTCCCAAAGTGCTGGGATTACAGGCATGAGCCACTGCACCCAGCCAAGAAATGTTATAGCAATGTATATTAACAGTCAGTGGTTTCACAAGAACTTCTAAATGCCTAATTGACACCTTTCTAGCTTCTCTATAGTTATTTTACTTTAAAAATACAATTCCTTCTACTGAGATTAGCTAAACAGGCTAAATTTAAAAACAATAAACAGCTGTTGGAAAGCTGTTTAGCTATTTTCCATCAGAGGATTTGCTGATTTGTAGCACAGGGCAAAGGCCCAAGAGAAAAACTTAAAATGTGTAGCAGTTTCACTGGGTTGAGTAGACAAGATTGGAATTCCGAGTTATTAAGTAGTCACGTCTTAAGGTGCCACAATCCCAAAGAAAAATGAACTGCAGAAATAAACCTCCAAAACAAAACAAAACCCTACATCCTGCGCACAATTTCCTTTCACGGCATTCACATTTTAGGAAACCAAGCAGAAAGAAGCTGCTAAGGAGGTTAAAATGCTAAGCTGGGGTTTTGGCACTTTCACTGCTCTAGGGAAACAAAAAACTGGAATTCAGGGTTGGTCAAGGAGAAGCTCTAGTAAACACTAAGGGACTAATGACAAACCGGAAAGAGACCAGCCTCATCTGTTTCAAGGAAACCTGTCCACACCCTGCCTGCCAAAACAAAATTAATTTCTTCTTGAAGTATCATCCACAGCTTCTACAATTAGGATGCTAGTAACAATGTAAAAGGTAGGTTTCTCTCCCATGTTTTTACAACTGATTATTGAACAGGATATGAGGTGTAGTCTGAGGTTCATTTTGTTTTTTTCTCTAGGTTAGATGTACCCCAAATTCCCATCGGTAGTAAAATGGATATGTAAAGTCTGGTACAGTCACACAGTACCACACACAGAACTAGTAACACATAACACGATTCAATCCATAGCTAGACCCACAAAAGTGCAATCTAGATGAATCACACTAGGCTGCCCATACCCTGTTGCACTTGTAAACAGATTTCATTTCTTGAAGATTTCAGCATCAGCCTCACTGTCTTTCTCCCACTATTCTTGCCATAATTCTTGGTAATTTCAATCTTCCAATTATTCTACACCTACCCCCCACCAGCTAAACATGAAAAAAACAAAACACAATCATAATGATTCATTTAAAATTTATGTCCACAGAACTTAAAGGGACTTCAGTCCACCTCAGTAATCCTAATATCACTTGACTTTCTCCACTGATTCACTCCTAGAGTCACCACGATCTGTTAACAGACTTCACTTTTTCTTCCTGCCTCAGTCTTTAATCTCTTCTCCTTTCTAATTAACAGCTGATCATCTGGCTTAGTATTTCACTGAGTAAGCGGAAGCAATCAGAAGGAAACTTCCACACGTTCCCCTTTCTTGCCTCCACTGGTGAACTCAACGACTGGTTTCTATGTTCACCTTCCTTGATGGATCAGCAGCATGTGACCTCACTGAGCACTCCCTCCTCCTCCATGTTTTCTTTTTGTTTACCTGACTTTGCGCACACTGTCCTGCTCTGCTTTCCCTCTTACTATACTGGTTGGGCCTTCACACATTCCTTTGTTATTTTCTCTTCCCTCAACATCTTAATGTTCAGAGTGCCCAGAATATACTGCTTGCTTCTGTGTTTTCTCTATCTCTACTCACTCCCTTGAAGATCTTCTCCAGTAAGATCATGACTTTAAATACTACTTTTAGATAGTTGATCATGACTCCTAAATGTATGTCTCTGGCCCACACCTCTGTCTAAACTTGTATACCCAACTGCTTGTTATCACCACTCAGCAAGTCCAAAACTGAACTCCTGATCTTCTTCCCCCAAACCTGATCCACTGACAGACTTCCATGCAAACTACATCCTTCAATTTGTTCAGGCTAAAGACCCTGGAGGCATCATTGATGATTGACACTCTCTCTCTCTCTCCCCATTGCTTTTCTTCTCTCCCCTCTCCATATCAAACCTGTCAAGAAATCCTGTTAATTCTACTTTCAAAACACATTTATAATCTATCCATTTCTTACCAGTTTCACTGCTACTTCCCTAGCCCAAGTATCACCTGGATACTCCAGTAGCCTAGACTCCCTGGTTCTACATCTTGGCTACAACTATTTTCAAAAGAGCAGCCTTTTAAAAGGCACTTTTGTTACTTTGCTCGAAATCCTGCACTGGCTTTCCATTTTACTTAAAACGGAAGTCTGTACAATGGCCTATAAGGCCTTATTGATCTGTTCCTCCCCGCTCTTCATTATTCCTCTAATGTCATCATTTGCCCCGACCATGGCTAGCTCTTCACCCCGACCTGACCACACAGGCCTCTTTGTTGTTCCTTGAACATGACAGCCACACAACCACCTCAGAGGCTTTGCATCAGCTATTCTCCTTGCTGAACACAGGATATCCTCAGGACTACTCCCTCACTTTCTGCAAATCTTGGTTCAAATGCCACCTTATCAATGCAATCTATGAATACTCTGGCACCCTCATTCTCCTTGCCTGGTTCTGCTTTTTCTTGTTGTACAACACTATTGCCTTCTAACCTACTATACAATTATGTATTATATTTATTATCTATTATCTGTCTCCCTCTACTAGAACATACCCTCCATTAAGGCAAGGTTCTTCTTTGTTGTTGCTGTTTACCAACATATTGCCTAGAATGCTACTGGTACATATTAAGCATTCCGTAAATATCTGTTCAATGAAAGACTCTGCAGCCCCATACCTTCTTCCTGTGACCCTGGAGAAATTGTCAGTGCTCCCAGATATGGACTAGTACACCAAGTCACAATCTCCTTCACCTCAGTAACTTTGCTCTTGCAATTTTCCCTCTCTCTTGCATCATTTCCCCCCTTTATTAGATCATTATAATCAGCATATAAACATCTTTAATCCTTTTCCCACTTGCTCCGACAATATTTGCCAGCACCGCTTGCAGCTGCAGCATTTGCCCCAACATAACTCTGCCATAAAATATCTTCACTTTTATGATTATTTTCACATAGCTCTAGTGTACTGACTTTGGAAACAAAAGACATTCTATTTCAAGCATTCTGTTTTTAGTAGCGGTACGTCCATTTACAAAATATAGTAATTTTCAATAGCTGAAAATGTCAAATCCTAGAAAATGCGGAATTCCTATGTGTGATGTTTACATCATTCTCAAAAAGTTGTTGGCCGAAGATTGATTTGATAAATCTGACTTTTAAAAAACAGACATTCTGATGATTGGGACGATTCTGATGTTAGTACTGTTTAGAAATAACTCTAAGAACAGTTTTTATATTTTATTTTCACATTGAAAATTAGTCAGATTTGCTTCAGCTTCAGAGAGTGTGTTTACGTAAAATTAAATGAGCACTGGTGTTGAGCTGCACTTTTTTTCTAAACAGGAAAAGGGTTAAAAACCTTCCCTTAATTCAACAATATTCAATTGCTACTGCTTCATTTCTCTGCTCTTTTGTCACAATAAAACTAGAAAATTATCTATATTCATTGACTCCACTTCCAATATTCTCATTCTCTTAACTTCTCTCTTATCTTATTCAGAATAAAATCCAAAGGCCTCCCAACTGGGTCTCTGTCATCCTCTCCTACCACTCTCCCCTCACTCAGCTCCTGCCACACTGGCCTCCTGGCTGTGCCTTCTACTGATTTCCACACTAGGGATCATTCCAAACACTATGTATCAAGTCTTTCTTTGGTTAAAAGTCCTCATTTCAACACAATGAACAGGTCTCACTGAAGCAGTTACTCTCCTAAGGAACCTCACTGAGACGGCCTATGTTCTTACCTTAACTGGAGAACGTGTCATCATCTCCCCAGATCCTCTTGGGAATATTCGAGCTTGGGCAATCATTTCCAACACACTAGTCTTTCCAGCACTCTGATCTCCAACCACAACAACCTTCCCACAAAACAAAGAACACTTATTCATATTTTTCTGATACCAAATTAAAATTAAAACCTATTTGTAATGCTGCTCTGAGTTTTTTAGTCTTTTAAAATTTCTACAGGTGAAAAAATATTTTAAAATCCGTAAAAAAATGGTGATTGATGCATGTGTGCACATTGAAAATAGGAACAGCAAAACTATAACTGGATCCACTGTTTATAGCCTAATTTTTATTTTAAAAACTTGTGCTAATTTAAACCAGTATTTCTAAAACCAGGTTATTAACTTTCCATAAATCTTTTCCATAGCTAGTTTACTGTTTACAAACACATTTTCAATTCTATTAGCTTAAATTTCACGCATATGGCTAATTTAATCCACTGTTCAGTATTTAAATATTACTAATATTAAGACATATAAAGCCAAATATCTTCCTTTATAACACATACAGTAACTCATAAATATAATGTACTTATATTTATTAATATTTATAATGAACTAAAATAGTCAAATAATATTGCTTAAGACATTACTTGGAACATGTAAGATTACATAAAAAATATAAATGCCTACATCTAGTATGTATATATGTGTATGTGTACATATATACACATAATTTTTAGGAAGCTAAGCTGCTTCTTTTTTTGCTAATTGGCAAGTTCACTATCAATTTTTCACATACCCGTGGCAGATGATCTTGCGTATTATAACTGGCATCATAATCAGAGAGAACATCAAGAACTTCAGAATACATGTCAATCAAAGATTTCTGTAAAAATTTTAAAAAGTTATAATATAAAACAGTAAAAGTAAAGAAAAAAATATAACAGATGTGTCAAGAGAAAAAAGTGATAAATTCAAATTGTTTTTCCATAATCATTGTACTGTTTTCTCAAATTACATAAATACATCTTCATCGTAAAAACTAAAACGGTACAGATTAAAAGTCCATTTCTCATTCAGTTTATTTAGATACAATGATTTAATAAAGTAAATTAATTCAGGATTTCCTAACATTCTAATTAAATAAGATGGAAATTATTACTTAATACTGATGAGCTAATACTGAATGCAAGAAAAGACCATTAACACCAAAAAGGCAAAAAAAAGGTGGTCAGGTAACCAACTGACAATGAAATTATTCTTTGCTAAGTTTGAGGCATGCATGAGAGAGAAAGAGAGAGGACAGAGAGCACGTGCAAGCAAGCATCTGAATAAAGGATAAACCAGGAAGACTGTTAAACCAGTAAGGGTGGTTAAGTATCCACTGACAACTGGGCAGGCTGAAATATGAGTGTAGCAAGGGCAAATATCCTGTATCGTTTCTTGCTGTAGAATCAGAAATGAATGTGGTGCCTTGCATTGCGTGTAACAAGCTTCATGTAAATTTGATGAATGAATGAACAAAAAAATACACAGGCCTGAAAAAAAGGGGTACCATCAAGCATTTAATAATTATGGATAAGTTTTAATGCTAAGGCAGGAGCAAAATGATGGCTTAAGGGTCCTTTCATTTCTTAATCCCTAGAAAAAATTAAATGGCAAGCAATTGCCAACCCACCAGCCTAAAAATAAACAAAAAATGTTAATTGCCACTGCATTTTATGAGAGAAAATACTGTTTCTGAGGTAAACTCTACATATATTAGCACTTGGAAATGACTTTTCTCAGTTCTAAGTGCCACTTGTAAATAGTCATGTTATCTGTTTTATGCAGTCATGATTTATAGTCAAAGCTACTAATGCATGTTTGTTAAGCTAGAACTGTATTATCTTTGGACCTTGACTACAGAATGTACATGCCATGATTTACTGCAGTTTTGCTACATATAAACTCTGCTTACTTATATGAGATTTAAGTTAAATAATTGTTTCAATTCAATTTAGCACATGTGGTTTAGTTGGGTGGGGAATAGTAAGACTTGATTTATTGGTAAATAAGTTCACCAATGTGCTGATAGTAACAATACCAGCACACACTTTTTCGAAAGTTCTTTGAAATGCCTAAGAAAGCTCTCCTTAGAAGAAAAGTGTTAATTTTTTAAAAACTGAAGAAAGTGGTCTAATCATTCACTGGCATACAAGTAAAGCAATGATGATAAGTCACTTACATGTCCATCAATTAACAATTCTGATTTTATATAAAATTTTATGTAAAAGTTAAGCCTAGAGATAAACTAGATATTTCAGAAAAATAAACTGATTCACACGAAATAACTCTTAAAAGTGTAAAGATTTTATGGGCATAGTATAAAACAAGTATTTGGAGACTACAACTTATAAAATGTCTTAATATAGGAAGAGATCCTCCATCCTCCAAGCACATTAGGTTAGAAAGAAAAGGATGACAGAATACTTTACAGCTCCTTAGAAACTGGTACTGATGAACACACAACGTTAAGCGGTAAAATTTTGAGAATAAACAAGACAAACTTAGAATACCTTAAGCTTTCTATGATGAATGCCTTTGTCATCTTTCTGCAATACTAATTTTCTCAATTCTTTGTTCTCCTTTTCTAATCGTTCCAAGATTCTCTGATACTTCAACTGCAATAAAATAATAAGTGTAACTATATAAGCAAAAGATGGGTTATCAAATAGTATTAAGTCTAAATTAAAATCTTCCAAAATCTTGAAGTCATATCTCCTATTTAAAATGTATTACATTTTAAAAGCATCTACGAAAACATTAGGAATAAAATAAACAATGACTATTATCTCTTACAAACAGTGGAAATCATTGTAATTTTCTATCATAATTAAGAATTTCACTTGGAAAATTCCTTGCTACTCACATTGAAAAAATTATTTTGAAATAGTGAAAACGTAAGAATTTAAAGAAGTAGTTCTTAAATACATTCTAGAAGGGAGTATTTCCTATTATATCAAAATTTTAAGTCTTCACATTACAGGGCCACTTAACAAAAATTCAAATTCTTCCCTTTCTTCACATTATTTTAGATTTTAATTAAGATGCTATAAAATAATAGCTAGCAGTACCCAAGCATGCATTATGTGACAGACTCCTTAGTAAGTGGTGCAAACGCATTAACTCCCTTAGCCTTCACAAAAACCCCATAAAGCAGGAATTACACAGACTAGGAATAAAGAGCGAGGAATATCTGAGAGCCTGACCAAGGTCACTTAGTAGAGGAGCAGGGTTTTGAATAGAGGGCTGTCAGAGGCTCAAACTCTTCTATGTTTTGTTATGTTTCCATGTCCAGAGATAATATATTACTATTTCAAAAAATGATATAGGCTGGGCGCAGAGGCTCACACCTGTAATCCCAGCACTTTGGGAGGCCGAGGCAGACGGATCACGATGCCAAGAGATCGAGAGCATTCTGGCCAACATGGTGAAACCCTGTCTCTACTAAAAATTAGCCAGGCGTCGTGGCGGGCACCTGTAGTCCCAGCTACTAGGGAGGCTGAGGCAGGAGAATCGCTTGAACCCGGGAGGCGGAGGTTGCAGCGAGCCAAGATTGCACCACTGCACTCCAGCCTGGCGAAGACAAAAAAAGCTGGGAAGACAAATCAGAAAGGACCAAATTTAATTGAGAAGGAAAATGTGTAGCCAAGCAACTACTTGACAAAAAAACAAAACAAAACACCAAAATCAAAAAGAATCATATAAAAACAGATTTTTAAAGAAGACTAATATGTCTAAACAGGTTTTTTTTTTGTAAGTAGTTGCTTGTCTACACATTTTCCGTCTCAAATAAATTTGATCCTTTCTAATTTGTCTTCCCAGCTTTTATTTCTTCTCTAAACATTAACAACACAGAGAAAACTATTAAAAATAACCCATTCTTACAACCAGCAGAATGTTTATGTCCAACTTATAATATGCCTTTTATAATAAAAAATATTCCTTACAATTTTTTTAGCTTATTGGAATCTTTCAAGAACAAAGTAATTAACAGGAAATCATGGTTCTATCCTTACAGCAAGTCCAACTCAAGCCAAATTAAAAGAACGCATACATAATTGAACACCTACATAGTATGAGACAGGCAGAACTACTGGCTAGACTCTACTATAAACATATTTTTACATAAACTCACTCATTTATATCTAGTAATAGTATATTTAACAAAATTCTGGTAGTATCTAAGGATTAGATCTGTGTTGTTTAACACGGCAGCTACTAGCCACATGTAGTTATCAAGCACCTGAAATGTGGCTGGCCTGAAGTGAGGTTGTGCTGTAAGTGTAAAATACCTCATTCATATTTTTTATACTGATCACATGTTGAAATGATACTATCTGGGATAGACTGGGTTAAATATATTATTAAAACTAATTCCACGTTTCTTTTTACCCCTTTTTAATGTAAAAATTAAAAATTACACAGGTGGCTTGTATATTTCTATTGGACATCATTGATATAGATAACCCAGTGAATTCTCCATAATACAGTCTATCAGTGCCTAGTGACTGACAATTACAATTGCACAAATTGAAGGGTTTGTATCAAGGCATATAAGAGGGTAGAATTTCCACTGGCTCATTTCTTTGTAAACACAAAATCAATTTTGGGGTCTACATTTTCTGGGGATGGAAACATTTTGGTACAGATGCCAATTTGTAGCCATCCTGAAGAGATGTGCTATTGAGCTGTCTCTCAAAGCTCTAGAACAATAATTCTCAAACTTTAGAATGCATCAGAATTATCTTGAGGGCATTTAAAAACAGATTGCTGAGTTTCATCCCAGAGTTTCTGATTCTTCAGAAGGTATGGGATGGGGTCAAGAATGTGCATTTCTAATGTGCTCCAGAGGCTATGCTTTGTGACCAATGACTCTTACCCCTGGTTGCAGATTGGAATCACCTGGCTAGGAACCCTTAAAAACATAGATATAGTGCCACTCAGAGCACAGGTGAGTCTAGCGTATAGTGAGGTTTGAGACTCAATAAATAGATACCAAAGAAACCTGTGACTCAAAACATACTACTGACTGATTATCCCTAATTCAAAAATCTGAAATCCAAAACACGCTGGCCCCAAGCACCTCAGATAAGAGATATTCAACTTGTAGTCGTTTCACTTTTTCACAAAAAAGAGATCCAAGATTAACTCTTTTTCTTATTCTTTTTTGTTTTCTTCCAGACAGGGTCTTGCTCTATTGGCCAGGGAGCAATCATGGCTTACAGTAGCCTTGACCTCCTGGGGCTCAAGTGATCCTCCCGCCTTAGCCTCCCAGTTGCTGGGACTACAGGCACAACCACCACACCTGGCTAATTTTTAAAAAAATTTTTATAGATACGGGGTTTCTCCGGGTTGCCCAAGCTGGTCTCAAACTCCTGGGCTCAAGCGATCCTCCTGCCTCAGCCTCTCAAAGTGCTGGGATTACAGGCATGACCCACCATGCCCAGCTGATAGTAACTCTTTGAACTTTAAAAAATAAGTTAATTAATGCATGTCAGTGTCACCTATATAGAAAAACTGATGATTGAGTAATAGGGTAACTTTTTTTTCTTTTTGAGATGGAGTCTTGCTCTGTCGCCCAGGCTGGAGTGCAGTGGCGCCATCTGGGCTCACTGCAAGCTCCGCCTCCTGGGTTCACACCATTCTCCTGCCTCAGCCTCCTGAGTAGCTGGGACTACAGGCGCCTGCCACCACGCCCAGCTAATTTTTTGTATTTTTAGTAGAGAAGGGGTTTCACTGTGTTAGCCAGGATGGTCTCGATCTCCTGACCTTGTGATCCGCCCACTTCGGCCTCCCAAAGTGTTGGGATTACAGGCGTGAGCCACCGTGCCTGGCTGTGATAGGGTAATTTTGTACTAGAATGTTACCCACTCATTACATTGCACAAAATAGGTCCTTAAAGTAATAATTTTATCACCAACTATAAGAAAATAGCTTTTCTAAGTAGTGCCAGAAAGAGCTTTAGATAAGCATTGTCTGACTGCTTTCAGACTTGCGAAGCAAAGTAAAGGTTCCTGAGAGCCCACTAGAACGATGTGGTAGACTCAACTCGAATTTCTTTAACTGTATTAGCTTATCAATGTAAAAATGCAAGCATAAGTTTATATAAGGACAAGCCACTTTCTCCCTTTTGGGCATAAGATTCACTCAAAATAGGTTTTTACATATAAATGAGTTAACTCCATACTTATCTAGTTCTGTCTTTATTCCTTATTTCTCAATTAGCTTTTGCATCTATCGATAATAATAAGGTTCTATCATTACACCTTCCAAATTTTGCTCTGTTGAAAAAATAAATGTCCATATCACCAAAGTTACATTCGAATATAATTTTTAAAAGTCCCTAGTTTTTCTTAGTCATCATGATTACCTGAGTGTGCAGAAGTTCTTCCTGAAGTTGGTCAATTTTCTCTTTGTCTGACACCTAAATGTTTAAAATAATTTTAGTTGAATAGAATTAGGTTTATACAGAATGTACAGCAAGTTAAATTTTTTTGATAAGTATTGAGAGTTAAAAACAACTGACTTTATATGCATATTTAATCAAAGTAATTTTAAATCAAGTGATTTAAGAAAGTAAAAATACCTGTATTTATCAATAAAAATGGTTCACCAAAATTTTATATTGAGAAACAAAAACCTTAAAAGGCAATCATTTCCCTGTTGCTATTCTAGTCATTTCTTATGAAAGACTAGTTAGAAAAACAAGAGATCAACACATATGGTTACTAAATTCTTCAGAAGTTGTTTTGTACTAAAGCATAGGGATTCAGATATTTGGGGAAATAAAGCACTGATATCCCTCCAGAAATGTGTTTTGAAAAGTCAAATACATGTTACTGATTACAGCTATTTAAAAAGCTCATTGGTCACAGTGTATCTTATAAGGAAATATTTTTGTATTGTATCCATTTCTGTACCATAAGTAGCGAATTATGTAATAAATGCAAAGAACAAGTTGCATTTTCAGAGATTTAAGTGGAGCCAAATGCTTGCTTTTAAATTCAGTTCCAAGGAAAGATCTGCTAACTCGTAACACAGAGAATGCATCCATAGCAATGAAGCCAAGTAAAGCAACTAAAATTAATTTCAATATAAAACAAAAATAAAACTCACAGGTATTGTGTAAACTACTTCAAATTGTTATTAATGCTAATAATTCTAAAATAAAATATTAAAAAACAATTTTATTTTATAACAGGTTTTAAAGTAGTCACAATACAATTATAAATACAAAATATAATAAAAATGATGTGATTTATGATGAATTCACATAACTGTGCTTTGACTTCTTGGTAAGAGGCAGAAGTTGTCATCCCAGCCTTTAAAAATAATTGTCTAATTTCTGAAAATCAAAACTTGTAAATATGAACTTATTTCACAGGAGAAAATAGTTAAATCCATATTCTTCTTCATTTAAATCCTTGTTGATCTTCATTCATTGGTTATTTAAGCAATCACAACACATCATGGCAGCAAATATACATGAAAAATTTTTAAATGATTTGCTTATTGAGGTAGACATTAATAAGTCTTGTCCATGCTATGAAAAGTTATTTTAAGATTTTAATTCCTATTTCTAAATACTTTGTCATAACTATCCCCAATTTTTTATTTCAATAATATAGATAACAACCTTTGTTAGAAACAAAAGGTACACTCTTTTTTTCTTTTTTCCTTAAAAGCGTATGCCTAAATAGCTCCAAAAACGATCTGGTAATTAGAAAAAAGATAATGCAAACTTCAATTGTTTTCCCATTTCTGTACAGCAAGCACAGATCTGCTGATAGAAGCTTTTTTTCATTTTGACTGTGTGTGTTTATGCAGGATGGACAAGAATTATAAACAGTCGCCTAAACTGTGAGGAGACAAGCAAGTTGGAGAGGAGCCCACAAACTAAAGAACAGAATCTTGAAAGCCAATGAAGAAATACATAATTCCACATTATGATCATTTGGCATGCCATCACACTGTAATAGTGTGGTCATAAAAAATTGTTATGTGGATTTAATTTCCAATTCATTTGAAAAGGTACTTTGATTTACTTTGTTCCATTAAATATTTATCCAACTGTAGCTAAATTAGTATGAAATGTATAAACTGTATTAGTATAAATTGTTTTAGTTTTAAATGTAAATACTAACTGACTTCATGCAATATATCCTAAATTATTATAGAAAATCCAACATTACTTGACATCTGGGGCAATAACTTAAAAACTAATACAATTAAACAAAAAAGTTAGGATGTTTAGTATAAGCCAAGGGCTATAAAAGGTTAACTTAATTTGGTAAAATAAAAAAGTTATATAAAAAGTTAAAATGATATAAGGTTAGTAGAATATTACAAATATAATTTCTTTTTTCTTTTTTTTTGAGACGGAGTCGCCCAGGCTGGAAGCTCTGCCTCCTGGGGTCACGCCATTCTCCTGCCTCAGCCTCCCAAGTAGCTGGGACTACAGGTGCCCGCCAGCACACCCAGCTAATTTTTTTTGTATTTTTAGTAGAGATGGGGTTTCACCATGTTAGCCAGGATGGTCTCGATCTCCTGACCTCGTGATCTGCCCACCTCAGCCTCCCAAAGTGCTGGGATTACAGGCGTGAGCCACCGTGCCCCGCCTACAAATATAATTTATATGCTAGATTAGTAGTATTTAATGATCACAAGTGTTAAGATGTTTATAAATTTGAATTTTAGGATAAAATGTATCATTTGCCTTTCTGGTACAATGAATAACTCACACATGGTTTACCAGCATGTTTCCTCTCCGCTTAGTTTAATGGAACATCACAATTAATCATAATGTTATATTAAAAGACAGCTGGCCAGGTGCGGTGGCTCATGCCTGTAATCCCAGCACTCTGGGAGGCCGAGGCAGGCGGATCACCTGAGGTCGGGAGTTCGAGACCAGCCTGACCAACATGAAGAAACCCCGTCTCTACTAAAAATACAAAATTAGCCTGGTGTAGTGGCATGTGCCTGTAATCCCAGCTACTCGGGAGACTGAGGCAGGAGAATCGCTTGAACCCGGGAGGCAGAGGTCGCAGTGAGCTGAGATAGTGCCACTGCACTCTAGCCTAAGCAACAAGAGCGAAACTCCGTCTCAAAAAAAGAGTAAAATAAAAGACAGCTGGTGGTAAAGTAAAAAATTAGACCTAATATTTCCTAGGAAACAATATAAAAACATTTAGATTTATAAAACAAACATTAAAGATTGATGAGATGATAATTTTTATATATTTTCTTAAGAGAATAACACAAGCTATTTTCAATCTGTCACTCTAGGTCTTAACTAGCAATTGGGGTATATTTTATTTTGATGTGCTTTACTGATAAAATTCAGCCACTTACAACAAGAACAAGTTCATGTCCTGTTGTTCAATATATTGTTTGCATCATGAAATAAATTTAAAACTCACCCTGACAGAAATGGATATCAATGGTCTTGAAACCAGAGCTTTTCTACAATTCCAGGGCTATGAAACTGATGGAGAAAGAGCGGAATCCTCCGCAGAAACAAGCTAAAGCTGAAAGAGAAAAACCTTTACTAGCTCCTCACAAAACCAAGCCCTAATTTAAAAATTTCAAGTATTTCTTCCTATTAAGGCATTGAGGCCATTCTGAAATTCTGAAATACATATATAAAAAGGTCATTGTAAAAATTTCTATGTATGTGAACATATCCATAGGAAGCAAAACTACCAATGGTAGTTCTAATCTTCTGTCTCTGCTTGAGTTCTTTTGCTGAGAAGATACAGGGAAAATTTATTAGTTGCTACTAATAAGACATCAAAAATGATGATCTACTTAGACTTTCAAGAAGATAAGAGAGAAAAAACAATTAAAAAACAACAAAAAGTACTTGCGGTTTTATGCATCAAGTAAACCTCACATGCCTGGAATGATAAAAATCTCATGAATTAGGATTTTGATCATTATGGCAGTGAAGAACCGAAAAGTCATCTCTATAGTAACTACAGGGGGAAAGGAGTGGAGGATATTGTAAGGTAACAGTCTTTCGGGATAGTAAGAGGGATAATTTCACTATAAAAGAGCATAAATTGCTTTTAAAGTCCCATTTACTTCCCCTCAAGGTAACTACAGTGTGGGCAGAAACAAGCCATGTTTGGTGCTCTACTCAGGGTAAAAAGTCTTGCCAGTCTCTAATTTACAAATCGGGAAAGGGAGATATAAAAGGGTTAAACAGATAACCCAATAAATATCAGAAAGAGGAATAACATCTCTAAGCCCAAATAAAGGCTACTAAAGTAGGCTTAAAATGAACATTAGCTTTCAGCAATGTAGAAAATGAATCAGTATTCATTATGGATATCTCTTGAATTGTCAGATTCAAAAGCTCATCATTAACCTTAAGTCATATCTTAGAATGTTAAATAGCAGGCCTATGGGACTCATTTCAAGTTGTCTTACGAAAAAAACTTAAGAACAATGTGTAACTACAGCTACATTCTTATTTCTAAGTAACATATAAGAACATACTTGCTCCTCTCCCTTCTTTCCATAACAAAACTAAAGTATAGGTGGCTCAGCCTAAGCATCCAATTTATTAGGCTATTTAAATGATATATTCACAGTATACAGAACAGGGATTGTTAAAGTACCATTCAAAAGAAGTCCTCCTTGGCTTAACACATCGACTTTAATTTAACCAGGTAGGAAACTCACTTCTTTTCTTTTTCTAGCTATGTTTTTGCTCACCGAAGCTAAATATACATATGAATTGATTCCACAGCCATGGAATTGAGAAAAACCAGGAAGTGATGCTGAAAACATAAATGAAACTATGGTGAGTACTCTGAAGTACTAACCACCACCAAATGAGATAAGGTTAGCCAGCAGAATTACTGCACTAAATCATAATCTATAATATTGGTTGATTTAAATAGTAGAATGTACAAGAATTACATGACTGAATCTTTTTTCCTGACTAGCATTTGTATATAACTTCAAAACTTTTCTGAGCTAATAAGATGTAACATAATTAGCTGATTTCAAGATCTCAGAGTATAATTTTAAATTCATTACACTGATTTCACTTTGACCCAAAAGTCTCTTCCAAACATGAACTTTGGGATCTCCGTTGTGGGATTACCTAACCATTAAAATCATATTTTTACGGACCTGCTGATTGCACCAACAGCCACATATTGGTATACACTTAAGCTTTTATTAGAACTTGTTCTTTAGCAACCAGAATTATATCAAATTTCCAGTGTTCAAACCCTCCGTGGTCCAAGGTGAAAATTTATTTGTGCTGACTTTGATTAATGTGAAAAATGTACGCAATGAGTTTGTCAAAGTGTATAAGAACTACATGCTTTTGCCCAAAAGTCAAAATAATTTTCTTCTACAAGAATATGAATGTTCCCTGTCCATATACTTTAGCTAAAACAAATAAATAAATGTTATTCTTTAGTGTAAACTGGTCATCTACAGCAATGCTTTTCATTTTAGAAATAAAAACTTGGGGAGCAAGTAGGTAGGTAAGATGCCTACAAACTTAGGGTGACTCAATAACTGGACCACATAAACAGAAATTCCTAATTTTGTTCTAAGTATAAATACAGGGACCCTACAGACAACCTAATTTTCAGAAACCAAAATTCCTCTGCTTGAATTTGTTTCTTTTGGCTTTACCTATACTACCCACTCCAGAAAAGTTACATATTTATATGATGCATCTTTTATATTTTCACTTTGTCAAATTAATTTCTTGTATTTGGAGTCCATGAACAGATTGAGGTGACATGATCTTGGCAGAAATGGCTGATTAGTGTGAATGTATCGGTAGCCCCCTTAAACCATCCATCACCTTGCGCTTCTGTTGGGCATAGCTCGTGCTATATTGGCCAGCGGCTCTGCGCGCTTCCTCTTCATGCTCTTGAATTTGTTGTTGTAAGAGAATGAGCTCACCAAGCAGACCCTGCCACGAGTTCACAATGAGGAGAAGAGGAAATTGGGGAGGAGAATAATGTTAAACCAAGGGTGCAACAAAGGAACAGATGTAAGCTAGGGAGGGATGGTTAACTTAAAACAGAAATGGAAACTCATTTAAAGCCGTCATACCCTTGGGCTCTGTACCGCATTTCCATTTTCCTCCTCAGTAAATCAGATGTCTCAGAAAAATAAAACAGCATAGTTTAAAAAGTGAAAAGGAAAGTGCAATAATAAGTGCTAAATAAAATGATCCAGATATATAAAAAATATGGAGAAAAAATACTGATTTTTTTTTTTTTTTAACAGTGTTGATCTTACTGGTCTAAATTTTCTAATTCTCAACCATGATTCTCTCAGGACTGATTGAAGATCATAATAGCTTACTTACTTATTAAATTATTATTCTTAAGTTAGTATTTTTTCTTGATATTTCATTTATTCAAGTAAAGGTCCCTAGGAACAGGTTTCCATCATCAAGTTAATAAAGGTTGTACATTAAGTCATATATTCTATGTGCCTTTGCATACATTTGATTAAAATTTGGGGTTCTTTATTTAAATTAAAAGATAATGTTTCAGGTTGTTTTGATTTCATATATAATATCAAATAACTAGTCTGACCGAATTTTCACTTTTTATGAGCTGTTTTGACAACATTAAATAGAAACAGCCTCTGAGAATACAGCCAAGCATATACAAATTACTAAACAAAAGTGCTATAAAAAAACACAATTAAGATATGGAGACAATATAGTTATTATGAAATTCTGAAATGAAAACAAAACACAGTTTGGACCTATGCACAAAAAATCACCTTTTCTATTTCTAAAATTCATTCCACTTCATAATTATAAAATAGTATATTGATACAATTTTTAATACAGGATATTCACATGTGGCATGATGTCATTTCCTGCATAGCTTTATTAACTGATGGCCTCTTAGATAATCGACCTCAAAAAACGTGGAAGAAAGACCACCAAGATTTGACAATGTTACAAGCCTAATGTTTTCTTAATTAGAAATCCTAAAAAAAGTAAAGTTCTAATGAAGGAGGTAACCATTTGTTTAAGAACAGCGTTCTGGGAAAACAATGGACTCAATTTTTACCAAGTTATAAAAATAAAAAGAGGAAAATGGGTATTTATTAAGATATTCTAAATTAGGAGTTTTAAATAGTTTCAGAGTTAAAAAATGACTGCCCAAAATATTTTATTTTATATAATTAGAAAGTGTCTTAAAGTCTGGATATAACTTGGAGAATTTTTATTCTGTTAGTTTTGATACATTAGGCTGTGTTCATTGCCAGTATTAGACAATAAATGAAAGTGGTTGATTTATTATAAATCAAAGGTTAAAACTAGTTGATTTCTTCCACATGACAAATGAAATTCAATATTTGTTTCCAGATACAACAGTATAAAATAGTTATAAAAAGACATGTCTTTAAATAAATCAGTTTTATGATCATTAACAAACCTATCAAAGAAAGACAATGCTAACTACTATCCTCATCATTCTCATAATTTTTACCTTTAAAAAAAATTATTGCTTTATCAAGCAGAAAGAAGAGTAACCTGATTTATTTTCTTTCATTTGATCATTTATCACAATCCTTTATTCAAATTATCCAAGTGTTCAAATTTCTCAAACAATTCCCTTTAAAGAAGGCTTCCTATGTTGGTTTATACAGTAGTGTACCTGCTGTATTTACATACCACTAGTATTCTAATTTATAAAATCCCAAAGCCGTGAGAAAATATTCCACATTTCTTTCTTAAGACTAGTCAAGAGCAATAGTGAGAAGGGGGCAAAGAGTAGAACAAAGAGTTCAATCTGTAACTGACTGTGATTAATCAATTGAGATAACTCATTCCCTTTGGATCAGCCATATTCCACATTTCTCACTCGCGTCTATAAGGCACACAATGCTTTTTTTTACAGCTTAAAAATTCCTCTCGAATTCACTGCTTATGTATATACACAACTGCATGGTAAATACTCCAATCATCTATTAGATTTCAAGAAAACACTCTAGGGACATGTCTCTTTCCTTCCATGCCTGTTACTAAAGCACTATTATGTAAAGATAGTTGAAATGAACTGAAATTGACCTCCTGAAAAAGTAGGAAGAAAACAAGAATTAGACATAGAAAAGCTATTTACATGATACTACACTTATACCAAGGTTACCTGTCTTTGATTTTGTGCACCAGTCTTACCCTAAATACCAAGTGATGGCCACACAGCCTCTAAGCTAAGGCCATGTGGAACAGGAAGAGGAAGAAATCTATGCACCTACTGTGCAAGATACACTCCTCAGATGTACAAACCACATTTTTCAATAAATATTTTCCCAAGCTTAGACATTTTTCTTTCAAGAAATGGTACAAAAATAATTTTTAAAACAATGTATATAATATATAAAATACAGTAGTATTTATAAATAACAATAAATAATCATTAACAATCACAGATGATATAGTCTCTTAATATCTCCTGACTCCTGGCTATTGTCAGTTTGACACTGCAGATCTCAATCTCTCATCTCTCTTTTTTTAAATCTCCATCTCTGAATCAGCTTCCTTATCTCAGTCTCATTTCACGTACAAAGTCCTGTTTTTTTTTAATTATAACATCAGATCAAGAAAATTAGTAATAACTCCAGAAACCAAAATATCAATGAAAATACTGTGCTAACCTAAAAGTTAATGAGTTTGGTAGAGAAGAGTTTAAGTAATCTTGAAATATTATACTATGGTCTGAATTTTTGTCTCCCACAATTCATATGTTGAAACCTAGCCTCACAATGTGATAGTATTGAGAGGTGGGGCCTTTGGGAGGTGATGAGGTCATGAGGTTTCTGGAGTTATTGGCCTTACAAAAAAAGGCCAGAGCTGCCTGGCCCCTTTTGCTATGTAAGGATATAGGGAGAAGGCATCATCTATGAAGCCAAGGGTCCTCAAAAGACATCGAATCTGCCAGTGTCTTGAACTTGGATTTCCAGTTACTACATTATTTGTTGCATAAGAAATCCCAGAAAAGCAAGTCCTACTTAAGCAACTCTGCTTAATTCCAATTCAGAATATCAAGTACATGAACTACTTTTACAGCCTTGTTCTCCTCAATGGTTGCCAAATATGAAGGCCAGGGAGAATTTGCAGGTAATGAGAGCAAAAAATTGAGGGGACCAAAATTTTGTTGGCATCAACCAGATTTATTTACTTTAATCAGCCTCTACTCTACCGAGTTAAATCAATCAACTGATTTTACTAAGACACAAGACTATCCCAGGTGCTCTGAGAAAAAGATTTAGTAACAGAAATGGCCGATTAGATAGTAAGAATGTAAGCCAAAGTAAATAGTGTTTCATATGGCAAGTGTTTTAAACACTCAGAAGAATATAATTAATGGAGCTACAAAGGTTATGGAAGGCTTCATGAAGTGACAATTGAGCTATGCTATAAAGATGAGTGAACACTAAACACGCGGGAAAAAAGAAAAGAGATACTTCAGCTGGGGAGGTACAACATAAACTATAAAATTAAGAATCAGACTGCTGGGTGGCTCACGCCTGTAATCCCAACACTTTGGGAGGCAGAGGTGGACGGACCATGAGGTCAAGAGATCAAGACCATCCTGGCCAACCTGGTGAAACCCTGTCTCTACTAAAAATACAAAAATTAGCTAGGCGTGGTGGCAGGAGCCTGTAATCCCAGCTACTTGGGAGGCTGAGGCAGGAGAATCGCTTGAACCCGGGAGGCAGAGGTTGCAGTGGGCCAAGATCGTACCACTGTACTCCAGCCGGGTGACAGAGTGAGACTCCGTCTCAAAAAAAAAAAAAAAAAAAAAGAATGAGAGTAATATGTTGCAAGAAAGAACATTAATGTATTATAATTTAATAATTATACTTAAAACAATACTACTACTTTTCATGATTTGGGCCATGAAAAAGTCCTTCAAATATTTTCTATAAATTATAAATGTGCTTGTTGCCTTCTGAATCGCCATATTTCTTACTTCTGTGAGATGCTTATGACCAATCAGAAACATGATAGAACAAAAGCACAGAAAATAAAATGTCTCATTTTGCAAATCAATTTCACTGGAACACAATAATCTTACAGAATCTAAAAAAGGGAATGAACTAAGTGGTCTTGTCACCGGTATATATGATGACTGATATACAGCAATCTGCTGACTCCCAAATTAAATTAGTCCAATTCTCTAAAGTAGGCAGCACTTCGATTCATCTTCAGGTAGTTCTGAAGGTCTCCGAGTCTCAGTAATATTCAGTTCACATCCAGGGCTATGTCTTTTTTCCTCCAGTGGACATACGTTTTCAAATTTTTGATTAACAAGAAGCATTTATTAAGAGGTGGTTTTAATGTATGTCAATCATACCTCAAGATAGTAGTGTAAGGTTAAAAATGGTTGGTTTTACTATTTTTTTCAATGTTTCATTAATCAAATCATATCAGAACTTTTGATCAACATGACATAAATAATTCAGTAGTGTCCACAAACTGAATGGATATAAATCCAGGCCAAACCAAAGAAACTTGATTAATTCGTTAGCCTGTGCAGCATTATGTGGAAATCTATGCTTTCTGTAGACTTTTTGAAGACCGGTATTATAACTTTCCAGGACACCTAAAACTCCAGTAGTAACCCCAGGCTGGGAATCACAGGTTATCGGTTCATCATGTTTATTCTGTCTGACTGAAGTCAAACTATCTGTGTTCCCCTCAGCTCCCCGTCACTTTCACTTCAGTTGATTCTGAATGGTCCTAACTGTTCTGCTAGTTGCCAGCACTTCTCCAGATGTGTTTTCCTATTAGAAAGGACAAATCTTTTCTTTAGTTCTAGTTGTAGAAATGTTTTTCAATTATTATTACTTTTTTAAAAAGCTGATTCACATGCACTTTTACATTTCTAGTAGAAGTCTAGCCAGAAACTTTGTTACAAACCTGACAACCATTAAACTAATACTTGACTGCTTCAAATTCTAAATACTGTTTAAATCTGGGGCTTTCAGCCCTCAGACTGAACCAGTTAAAAAAGTATTCAGCTAAAGCCTGGCCACCTTACCACCTCTGATTATTGCCCACATTTTCAAACTTGATGTCAGAGTGATTTCAAAAAGGGTACTGCTAAGCTAAGGTCTCTCTTTGCATGCTTACATTCAACCATCAATTTGTACACAAGTCTCAAAATCACTCAGTTTAGCTGAGTGACTCATCATTCTCAAGCATCACAAGTAACAGCCAAGCTTTGCAAACACAATGCTGCATATTATTAATAACAGAATTTGAAACCATCAGTTGGGGCTTGAGACACATTTTTGGATAGTAAATTTTTATAGTAGCATTTGCTATAATTTGACTTAACCAGTAATGAAAGTAGCTTAATTACAACTCTAGATTCAGTATGTGTAACAAATAGTTAAAAAAAAAATTGGTAAGTCTTTAATGGGGAAAATAAGCACCATAAATTGAGAAAAAGTTAAAAGGAAATAGTTTACAAGGACATGTATTGTCAAACAAGCAAATCAAAACAAGCAAAGAGTAAATTAGAACATAATGTAATAAATTTAATTCCATGTCTACTGTATAAAATAAAATCTGTAAATATAATTAAATTTCCAAAAATAATTATCTGGCTTCTTTTCTATTGCAGAGCTTCTGTTCAATTACTGATTATTCATCTATGACCTTAGCCGGGTTTTAAGGGAATTATCTGAGTCAGGCCCTGAGACAGGTTTTTCATTCACCACAGTGATCCTAGGCCATAAGAGAGAAAGCAGACACACAGACTTCTCCTAACCAATCTGGCAAACAGAAATCTTGTCACTCAAAGAACCACACTACCACACCTGTAACAAAGGCTCCTTCTCCCCATTAGATTAGCTCTTCTCTCCACAGTAAATTTAATTGCCTTAAGGGCTAAGGCCTTCACTCAAAATAAGCCACAACTATTAGGCTAATTTCTACTTATTTTTTTTTCCCCCAGTAGCATGAACAATCAAGAGTGTCCTTTGGTTAAAATAATGTCAATGCAAAAGAGGGTCAAAAAAGATCAAATCAAAAGACAAATACACGTACATACATTTTGACATACATTTTTCTCCAAAAGATAAAATTAAAAGGCAAAAGAAAAAAATCTTTTGAAATATAATTAAAATTTGGAATATAAAAAGTTCAAAGTTGAAGAACAAGGAAAGAGATGAAAACCTATTCATAGAAATTATTTCTTCTTTCTGCTTCCAAAATAAACATTATTTCTTTGATGTATTAAAACTATAATAACCTCCAGTATAAAAATTACATGTTCCATATTACATGAATGTTAAAACATTCATACAATATTTTTTCTATAAATCTATTATCTAGGTATTATTTAGAAAAAAACTTTCAAGGAATCAGTTATTTTACCAATTCCAAAAGAATGAAAAAAGTGAAGACTCAGAAAACGTCAGGTAAATATATGAGTATTATAAATACAAACAAAGTATGTTATTCTACCTCAGCAATTCTCCTATAACTTTCATATGGATTTTGTTAATGAATATGTGTTGAAAATAACATACCATAAATAACCCCATACATAACTTTGTTAACTATCAATATCAGGGAATTGATTTATTTCCTAATAACCCAATTCCTATTCCCTTTCTAGTTTCCCCAAAGTGAAATCTAGTCCCTATACGACGTTCCATGAGCAAAAGGGTTCTGTTGATAAATAATTTGGGAAAACACTGTATGCTTTGACTCCTTGGAAATTCACAATGCGCATGAGTATATTACAGTATGAGAGGTCCTAGGGAAAGAAAAGAAGTCCGCTTGCCTTGTCTAAACGAGCCTTTCTCCCCCCACACACTTAACAACACAACTCTTTCTTGGGGACAACCCTCGAAACTAATGCTTCACTGGACATATGTGAAAGAAATGGGCTTCTCAATTATATTTCCAGAACTGCCACGTAATACCTTGTACTTTGCACTAAGATTAGTAACGATATCTCTACTTGGATGTTTTTGTATTTGCTTCTCAGATGTTATCATTTTAAAATCTTCCAAAGAAGTAAAAACTTTAAAAAATCTTTCAAGACTACCTACATGAACAATTCTCTTTTACACTTACCTTTCTAAAATGCTTGTCACTTTCAGATCCACGATCTGTTGCTCTAAACGCCGTTTCTTCCGGAGAACCTTAAAGATAAATATGCAACCCTTTACATTCTCCAGTGATGTCAACAGCCTAAGCTGAATTTCAAATTACATCGAGTCAATGAAAAGGTGAATGGATTTTTAGAGCAACTCAGATTCAAAGAATCAAATCGCCTTTATTCTTATTTTAAGGAACATGACTGATAACCTGTGCAGAAAATAAAAAAAAAACTAACTATAGCAATCGCAGCATATGTTTAACCTAACAATTAAAAATATATAACTGAAAATTACAATAAAAAAATAAGACAATCTTTGGTAAGGATTATTTTACATGAGAGTACTTACAGTTCAGCCACATACCACTGGCATTACAGACCATGTATAGCAGGAAAACAATTTTTTTTTCTTTTCTTTTTTTTTTTGGGGGTGGGGGGCAGAGTCTCCCTCTGTCGCCCAGGCTGGAGTGCAGTGGCGCGATCTTGGCTCACTGCAACCTCCGCCTCCTGGGTTCAAGCAATTCTCCTGCCTCAGCCTCCCGAGTAGCTAGGACTACAGGCGTGTGCCACCACGCCCGGCAAATTTTTTGTATTTTTAGTAGAGATGGGGTTTCACCGTGTTAGCCAGGATGGTCTCGATCTCCTGACCTCATGATCCGCCTGCCTTGGCCTCCCAAAATGCTGGGATTACAGGCATGAGCCACCGCGCCCGGCCGGAAAACAAATTTAAATGTCAACCATGACAGGGCAGATGAGACAAACTAAAATTACTTTTCATTTCAATTATCAAAAACAATTAGATCTATTTCAAGAAAATATTTTTGCTAAGTAAATTTTCTTTTAATAGCTTTAATCTTATAATACACATACATATTTAAGAATTTTAGTGTTATCACAAAATAATTATTTTATTATTTCCACCTAAAGGATAATGAGTTTGCCTAATATAGTTCTGGGGTTTTAAAATTCAGCATAAGCAGCATTATAAATTTGGTCTGCAATTTTATTTGCAACTAGTTTATTAGAAGCATTTAAAAGGCATGTTAAGGTCAGCAAAAATGTCTGTTTACACACCTAACAAGAGAAGTAGGTCAGAAGCTCCTATGACTTCACTAACCAATTTGTGACCTGTGAAAAATCAGCAAAAGGGGAAATAGAAATGTAAAATTTAACAGAAATGAGCAAACAAAGATGTCTGAGATCTCAGATTTCATATTACGATAGGGCAATAATTGGGCAAATATGCCAGGATTAAACTTAATAAATGCTACTCATTATGGTCTATCATACTTAAATTTGTTTTAAAACCACCAAATTGGTCCAACCACTTATGAAAAGCAAATACATAGGAAGTCTCATCTACTTGTCAAGAACAAGTGATACATTTTTTCCCCTCACTAAAAGCCAAGTATGTTTAAGTGCTTAGGAACTGTCATTTTACTGGGCTACACAAAGATTAAAACCATTGTGTAACAAAACTTTGTGTTTATCTTTTTAAAAAATGTCCTGTTTTTCATTGGTACTAAATATTTTAATTTTAAAAAAATGGGAATAAACAAATAATCCATGTATTTTTCCTCCATGGTTCTTAAATTTTTAAATTAGATCAAACAGCTTCTTCCTTACCTGAGGTAAAAAAGTCCTTCAATAAGCTAAGGCTTTCAACAATCTTGTCAAAGTCTGGTGCTAACTTTACAAGGTCTTCTGAACTAGGAAGGGCTTTTCTAATTTTCTCTGGAAAAGATCAAAACATATAGAGTATGAAACTAAGAAAATATGTCAGATACTATTCTTATAAAGGGCTAAAGTATTAACTTGTTTAATCCTCATGACAACCCTACAAAACAGCTACTATTATCAACACCATTTACAGATGAGAAACTAAGGTACACAGCAAGGAAGTGGAGGAGCCCGGGTTCCAGCCCAGGCAGTCCAGCTCCAGAATACAGGCTCTCAGCCACTACGCTGTGGTACTGGCAAATACATCAATTTGAAAGCTCTCCTCATTAATATTAGAAGAACAATTTGAAAGTGTGCTTTTTTTGCAAATGGATTCGTCAACATAGAACAGTTTTATCTTTATAAATTCTGTGAATAAGTGCAAGTATAGATTAATTCCACCTCCACATACACCTAAACTAAGAAATCTGACAAAGGTTTTAAAAAAATTTGATGAAAATATATTTCTTAAAGATCACCATGAATTACTGGCAATCATAGCGATCCAATATACTTTTTTCTCATCCACCTATTGAAAAAGGGAGGGCAGTGGCCAACTAAGAAAAGAAATTACCCTGGATACTAACAGACTTTTAAAGAACTTGGCTACAAAAGGTAGAGATAACCAAGGTATCCAATCAAAAGGAGCTAGCTAGGTGGGTCACAATAAATATGCTCTGGGCAACATTACATAATGCAGAAAATGATATTATTAATAGAAAGGCTACTTGGCAGCATGGAAATGCTGACAAAATATGTTAGGTAGCAAAAGACAAAATACCAAAGTGAATATTCACCATGATTACATAATTTTTAAAAAGGGAACTAAAATACTATTCTGTGGTAGTATTCATGAAAAGAAAAAAATTAAAAGAAAAAAACTCAAGCCAGGCATAGTGGCTCACACTTGTAATCTCAGTGCTTTGAGAGGCTGAGGTGAGAGGTTTGAGCTAAGGAATTTGAGACTAGCCTGGGCAACATAGTGAGACTTCATCTCTACAAGAAATTAAAAAATCAGTCGGGCATGGTGGCACACACATGTAGTCCCGGCTACTTGGGAGGCAGAGTCGGAAGGACTACTTTAGCCAGTTCAGGGCTGCAGTGAGTTATGATTCCAAGACCGCACTTCAGCCTGAGTGACAGAGCAAGATCCTGTCTCAATCGATAAGTTAAAAAGATACTAACCACATATAGTAAGTATAATTAAAAGAAAATGCTCCAAACAGTTAGTGGCAGCTGTGGTAAAATTATGGGCTACTGGGTATTTCTTTTATACAGATTTTTTCATTGATATTCTATTACTTATATCATTAAAATAAAACCGTGATATATTAGGTTCATAAGTTAAGAAACTATCTCAATAAACTATTTCTCTTTCCTCGAGATGACCAAAAAAAGTATTTTAATGTTCATGATACAAACCAAAATCGATATACTCATCAATTTCCCACACAATGTCAGGCACAATCCATTTATATTCACTAAGGTCCGGTATCATATCTTTCCACTGATCAAAAGTCTAAAAGACAAGAAAGTGTGTCAATCAGATGCTCTGCATGCCAAATAAACATGTAAAGAAAAATTATTTAATTAAAACACATTAATCTACTAAGAATAATGTATTATGTTCAAAACTTTTAAGAAACAAAATTAAGTGGTCTCAGCAAACAAGCATATAAAACAAGTTAACACTCCTCTGTTAAATATGGAAAATGTAAAAATTCAGAATATACTCCTATTTCAAACAGGTTTCATAATTTTGCCCTAAATATTACTGTGGGGTAGAAGGAAGACAGACTGGGAGACAGGACGCCTTGCCTCTGGTCCCAGACCTGCCAAGAAGTGCTTGTGTGAGAATGCCACCTGACTTTCACATCTGTGCTACTAAATGTCTAAGCTCAAAATCAAACCTAGGTGTTCCTATTCCCAGCCCTGTGCTCCTTCCACTAGGCCATTTTAATTTCCTGTAATTATAACTAAGATTCTAAAGGCATCTTCCTATTAGCATCATTAAAACAATCTAGTCCATGGTAGAGACACAAAATAAATGTTTAAACATCCAATTGTATTCCACTACACAAAAATGATTTATGCTATAGAAACTTAATCATGATATAATAATTGGAAAACCAGGAGGAATGTCAAGTTCACCTTTTTGGCTGTGTAGCCACCCCCAACAGCCGATCCTAGTATGAGATAGCGAAGTTTTAAGAGTCTCGTAGCTAATCTTGCTGGCCAAAAATTCCTGCGAGGCTGGTAGCCATATTTAATTGGAGAGAATTTCAGTTTACGTAAAGGAAGGTTTGTCAGAGAAGAGAACTGCTGAAAGGATGTCCTTAATTGGGGTCGTTGAAGCTTTAAGGTAGGATGATGTGAATGATAAATGCTTCGTGAAACCAGATGTAGTTTTTGTAGTGGTAAACTTCCTTTTATTCCAGAGCTGTGTTTCACTAAAGACTGGCAGACCTCACTGAAAGAAAAATGAATATGGAAGAAAGATCAGAGAGGGTAACAGTACAAAGGAAATGACATTAAAAGAGCAATATACTAAAGGAAACACAGCCCCATACGTGACTAACCACAATGTCACACAATAGTTCACATTTACTAACCATTGACTATGTGCCAGACATGGTTACAGTATGTGCTATCTCATTTAATCCTGCTAACAATCCCATGTAGAAAGTACTAGTATTATCCTCATTTTACAGATGAGGAAAATGTGGTGCAAAGACTTAAATAACTTGCCCAAAGTCACACTGACATAAGAAACAAAGGCATGATTCAAACCAAAGCAGTGGGACTCCACTCTAATATGTGGGCTATGATCCTGGTCTCAGGAATTGAAACCAAAGAGAGAAAAGGCAGGGACTTATTTTATTAACTACTATTCACTGTAAGTAAAAGTTGAAAACAAAAATGCATGCAAACTTTTGCTTTCAAAAACAAAATTTCTAGCAGTTTAGAACACCTTCATCTATGTCTCCCGATCCTGACAGCACAGGGGTGGAAATTAAGGAAGTTAATCAATCCCAACTCAAGCACCTGGATCCCCAGAAGAATGAAAGTAGCAAAAAAGCTCGAAAGGGAACAGAATTTAAATGTACACATTGACTGTAGAGCTCCACCCTCTTCTTCTTCCTGAAGAGAATGAAAGGTTACCAACAACCATATCTTAACATACACTCATAGTTGCATACATAGTTGCTTGCTTACTATTAGTTGCTTACTAATAATCAGGGCCAGTCTGATTCTAAGTAGTTAAAAAATATTAATTCCTTTAATTACAAGGGACTGGAAACTTCTTAAGAAGGAGGCAGGGTGTGGTGGCTCACACCTGTAATCCCAGCACTTTGGGAGGCTGAGGTGGGTGAATCACCTGAGGTCAGGAGTTCAAGACCAGCCTGGCCAACATGGTGAAACCCCATCCCTACTAAAAATACAAAAATTAGCTGAGTGTGTTGGTGTGTGCCTGTAATCCCAGCTATTCAGGAGGCTGAGGCAGGAGAATCACTTGAACCCAGGAGGCAGAGGTTGCAGTAAGCTGAGATCACACCACTGCACTCCAGCCTGGGCAACAGAGTGAGACTCCACCTCCAAAAAAAAACAAACAAACAAACAAAAAAAAAACAAAGAAGGAGGAGGAGGAATCAAGGAAGACAGGAGCAATGCTGTGAAGAATGGTATGGGGATATGGGAAAAGCGGTATCTCTTGTGTTCCTATACATACCAGACATTACGCTAGCTGTTTTCACTACAGCATAACTATATAAATGTTAACTCTCAGAAACACCGAGTAAGGTTAAGTATCCTTATTTTACAAATTTTTTTTTTAAGTATTGTTAAAGCAAACTAAATATGGCCTGAGAAGGACTCCATACTTCTATATTTGTGTTCTTGTGGACAAACCATAACCTAGCACAATAGGCAGACAAAATGGAAAACCTGAGTAGTATGCATCTGTAATAATAGCTGAGTGTTGGCCAATCCCAGTGGCCATACTTCAAGCACTAATAGACTGCTAAGTGTTCAAACTGCATTCAATTCTGGAGGCTGCCTGATTTGCAAAGTGTTTATTTTCCTTGCTTAATTAAACTCCATCAAATTTAACTTGTCTGAAGTTTTCTTTTAACAGATCTGGTGTCAGAAGTGGGATTTGAAGAAAAACTCTGGCAACCCCCTGGAACACCAGGTGACCTGGTGAGGTACCCACTGAGGCCGTTGCTCTCACTGGTCTCTTGATTGTAACTGGAGGTCATGGGTGAGTTTTCTCTCAGATTCCGAGCTCCACTAACTTGTGTTTTGAGCTCTCCGAGTTTACTCAAGCAATACTTAGCCTGGACTGGATCCAAGATCAAATTGGATTTGATAATTAACTGGATTGGATTCAGTTAGAGGCCTCAGACCTCTGATAAGTACCTTATTTAATAATGGGATCATCTCAATCCAAGGAGTCTGGGACTCCATCTTCAGGGACTCCAGCTAATTTTACGTATAAAAATTATGGGCCCAGAACATGTGCATTTTCAGTAAAATGGGTTAACCTCACTAAAGAAAACTTAGAATTAAAATGGCCACAATGGAGAAGTTTTAATTTGGATAAAATTGTTTGCAAGGCATATTAGAAAAAGGGGATCAAAGCCCCCACAAATACAGTGGGATGTATTGTCTCATGGATACGCAAAGGCCTCCAAAAGACTAAGTGAATCAAAAAGTGCCTCCTTAAAAGATTCTTTGCAAAAACCAAATGAAAAGCTTAAGCAACAGACCAAGGACATGAAGAAAGAGGACTGTACTTTGACTGATCTAACTCGGACTGTTCCTTCTTTGTCCATCTCTACCTACATACTCTGAGTCCACTAAACTTTTTGTTAAATTACACTTTCACCCTGAAGATGATTTAAAAAAAAAAAAAAAAAAAAAAGGAAGTTAGACAGATGTCTTACAAAGTGAGACCTTATATCAGCCAGGCCTGCCTGCTGTAACTACTTTCACTCCATGGTCTAAAACTGAGCTTAGCCCCATTGTGAAGGACTTCCCTGGTCCAAGGGAAAAGTCTCAAAAATTTACTGAGGAATTTAGAATCCTAATAGGAGCTTACGATCCAGGACTTCATGAATTTACCAATTTATTCATATGATACTGGGGGCTGGTGAAGCTCAGAAATGGATGGCAGCAGCAGAATGGGACAAACCTGAGGAGGACATTTTAAAGGGCCCTCTAAGAGCTCCTCACAAGAAGGACCAAAAATAGCTAGAAAAATCGCTGAAAACCTTTTAACATTCAGTTCCTAAAATTTTTCCACAAAAAATTGGTCCATCATACAATCTTGTAAGCAAAAAAAAAAGAAAAGAAAAGATGAACCAGTTTCAGATTACAGAAGTCGCTTAGAAATATTTGTGAAACATCCTGGGCTCAAAGTACAGCAAGGAGTATTCCCTGCAGGGGCTGAAACAGCATTAACTGCTTTACTTATAAATGGACTCCATCCTGAACTTAGCAGTTTAACTAAAAAACATAAGTTGCAATGGGAAGTTAGAGATGTGACTGAATTGGTGGCCTTAGCTGAACTTTTTTTTTTTTTTTTTTTTTTTTTGAGGTGGAGTCTTGCTCTGTCACCCAGGCTAGAGTGTAGTGGCGCAATCTCGGCTCACTGCAACCTCTGCCTCCCAGGTTCAAGCAATTCTCTTGCCTCAGCCTCCCGAGTAGCTGCGACTACAGGCGTGTGCCACCATGCCCAGCTAATCTGTGTATTTTTAGTAGAGATGGGATTTCACCATCTTAGCCAGGATGGTCTTGATCTCCTGACCTCGTGATCCTCCCACCTTGGCCTTCCAAAGTGCTGGGATTACAGGCGTGAGCCATCGTGCCCAACCTAGCTAAGCATTTTGAGAAGACTCTAGAGCAAAAAAAACCTCAAAAGGCTAATAAGCTTATGCCCCTTCAATTGCAACAGTTACAGGGACCAGGAACCAAAGGGACCATCTCGTTCTCATTTTAAATCACAATCGGGCGGTTCCAAGATGGCCAAATAGGAACAGCTCCAGTCTACAGCTCCCAGCTTGAGCGACGCAGAAAACGGGTGATTTCTGCATTTCCAACTGAGGTACTGGGTTCATCTCACTGGGGATTGTCAGACAGTGGGTGCAGGACAGTGGGTGCAGCGCACCGAGCATGAGCCAAAGCAGGGCGAGGCATCGCCTCACCCAGGAAGCACAAGGGGTCAGGGAATTCCCTTTCCTAGCCAAGGAAAGGGGTGACAGACAGCACCTGGAAAATTGGGTCACTCCCACCCTAATACTGCGCTTTTCCGATGGTCTTAGCAAACAGCACACCAGGAGACTATATCCCGCGCCTGGCTCAGCGGGTCCTATGCCCATGGAGCCTCGCTCATTGCTAGCACAGCAGTCTGAGATCAAACTGCAAGGTGGCAGCGAGGCTGGGGGAGGGGTGCCCGCCATTGCGGAGGCTTGAGCAGGTAAAAAAAGCAGCTGGGAAGCTCGAACTGGGTGGAGCCCACTGCAGCTCAAGGAGGCCTGCCTTCCTCTGTAGACTCCACCTCTGCAGGCAGGGCATAGCCGAACAAAAGGCAGCAGAAACCTCTGCAGACTTAAATGTCCCTGTCTGACAGCTTGGAAGAGAGCAGTGGTTCTCCCAGCACACAGCTTGAGATCTGAGAACAGACAGACTGCCTCCTCAAGTGGGTCCCTGACCCCCGAATAGCCTAACTGGGAGGCACCCCCCAGTAGGGGCAGACTGACACCTCACATGGCCGGGTACCCCTCTGAGACAAAACTTCCAGAGGAACGATCAGGCAGCAACATCTGCTGTTCACCAATATTCGTTGTTCTGCAGCCTCCGCTGCTGATACCCAGGCAAACATGGTCTGGAGTGGACCTCCAGCAAACTCCAATAGACCTGCAGCTGAGGGTCCTGACTGTTAGAAGGAAAACTAACAAACAGAAAGGACATCCACACCAAAAACCCATCTGTACATCACCATCATCAAAGACCAAAGGTAGACAAAACCACAAAGATGGGGAAGAAACAGAGCAAAAATACTGAAAATTCTAAAAATCAGAGCACCTCTCCTCCTCCAAAGGAATGCAGCTCCTCACCAGCAACGGAACAAAGCTGGACAGAGAATGACTTTGACGAGCTGAGAGAAGAAGACTTCAGACAATCAAACTATCCAAGCTAAAGGAGGAAGTTCGAACCCATGGCAAAGAAGTTAAAAACCTTGAAAAAAATTCGACGAACGGCTAACTAGAATAACTAATGCAGAGAAGTCCTTAAAGGACCTGATGGAGCTGAAAACCAAGGCACGAGAACTACGTGACGGATGCACAAGCCTCAGTAGCCGATTCGATCAACTGGAAGAAAGGGTATCAGTGATGGAAGATCAAATCAATGAAATGAAGCGGGAAGAGAAGTTTAGAGAAAAAAGAATAAAAAGAAACGAACAAAGCCTCCAAGAAATATGGGACTATGTGAAAAGACCAAATCTACGTCTGATTGGTGTACCTGAAAGTGACGGGAAGAATGGAACCAAGTTGGAAAACACTCTGCAGGATATTATCCAGGAGAACTTCCCCAATCTAGCAAGGCAGGCCAACATTCAAATTCAGGAAACACAGAGAATGCCACAAAGATACTCCTCGAAAAGAGCAACTCCAAGACACATAATTGTCAGATTCACCAAAGTTGAAATGAAGGAAAAAATGTTAATGGCAGCTAGAGAGAAAGGTCAGGTTACCCACAAAGGGAAGCCCATCAGACCAACAGCTGATCTCTCGGCAGAAACTCTACACGCCAGAAGAGAGTGGAGGCCAATATTCAACATTCTTAAAGAAAAGAATTTTCAACCCAGAATTTCATATCCAGCCAAACTAAGCTTCATAAGTGAAGGAGAAATAAAATCCTTTACAGACAAGCAAATGTTGAGAGAATGACAGGATCAAATTCACACATAACAATATTAACCTTAAATGTAAATGGGCTAAATGCTCCAATTAAAAGACACGGACTGGCAAATTGGATAAAGAGTCAAGACCCATCAGTGTGCTGTATTCAGGAAACCCATCTCACGTGCAGAGTCACACATAGGCTCAAAATAAAGGGATGGAGGAAGATCTACCAAGCAAATGGAAAACAAAAAAAGGCAGGGGTTTCAATCCTAGTCTCTGGTAAAACAGACTTTAAACCAACAAAGATCAAAAGAGACAAAGAAGGCCATTACATAATGGTAAAGGGATCAATTCAACAAGAAGAGCTAACTATCCTAAATATATATGCAACCAATACAGGAGCACCCAGATTCATAAAGCAAGCCCTGAGTGACCTACAAAGAGACTCAGACTCCCACACAACAATAATGGGAGACTTTAACACCCCACTGTCAACATTAGACAGACCAACGAGACAGAAAGTTAACAAGGATATCCAGGAATTCAACTCAGCTCTGCACCAAGCGGACCTAATACACATCTACAGAACTCTCCACCCCAAATCAACAGAACATACGTTCTTCTTAGCACCACACTGCACTTATTCCAAAATTGACCACATAGTTGGAAATAAAGCTCTCCTCAGAAAATGTAAAAGAATACAAATTATAACAAACTGTCTCTCAGACCACAGTGGAATCAAACTAGAACTCAGGATTAAGAAACTCACTCAAAACTGCTCAACTACATGGAAACTGAACAACCTGCTCCTGAATGACTACTGGGTACATAACGAAATGAAGGCAGAAGTAAAGATGTTCTTTGAAACCAATGAGAACAAAGACACAACATACCAGAATCTCTGGGACACATTCAAAGCAGTGTGTAGAGGGAAATTTATAGCACTAAATGCCCACAAGAGAAAGTAGGAAAGATCTAAAATTGACACCCTAACGTCACAATTAAAAGAACTAGAGAAGCAAGAGCAAACACATTCAAAAGCCAGCAGAAGGCAAGAAATAAATAAGACCAGAGCAGAACTGAAGGAGATAGAGACACAAAAAACCCTTCAAAAAATCAATGAATCCAGTAACTGGTTTTTCGAAAAGATCAACAAAATTGATAGACCGCTAGCAAGACTAACAAAGAACAAAAGAGAGCATTCTTATATACCAATAACAGACAAACAGAGAGCCAAATCATGAGTGAACTCTCATTCACAATTGCTTCAAAGAGAATAAAATACCTAGGAATCCAACATACAAGGGATGTGAAAGACCTCTTCAAGGAGAACTACAAACCACTGCTCAAGGAAATAAAAGAGGATACAAACAAATGGAAGAACATTCCATGCTCATGGGTAGGAAGAATCAATATCGTGAAAATGGCCATACTGCCCAGGGTAATTTATAGATTCAATGCCATCCCCATCAAGCTACCAAAGACTTTCTTCACAGAATTGGAAAAAACTACTTTAAAGTTCATATGGAACCAAAAAAGAGCCTGCATTGCCAAGTCAATCCTAAGCCAAAGAACAAAGCTGGAGGCATCACGCTACCTGACTTCAAACTATACAAGGCTACAGTCACCAAAACAGCATGGTACTGGTACCAAAACAGAGATATAGGCCAATGGAACAGAACAGAGCCCTCAGAAATAACGCCGCATATCTACAACTATCTGATCTTTGACAAACCTGACAAAAACAAGAAACGGGGAAACGATTCCCTATTTAATAAATGGTGCTGGGAAAACTGGCTAGCCATATGTAGAAAGCTGAAACTGGATCCCTTCCTTACACCTTATACAAAAATTAATTCAAGATAGATTAAAGACTTAATTTAGACCTAAAACCATAAAAATCCTAGAAGAAAACCTAGGCAATACCATTCAGGACATAGGCATGGCCAAGGACTTCATGTCTAAAACACCAAAAGCAATGGCAACAAAAGCCAAAATTGACAAATGGGATCTCATTAAAGTAAAGAGCTTCTGCACAGCAAAAGAAACTACCATCAGAGTGAACAGGCAACCTACAGAATGGGAGAAAATTTCTGAAACTTCTCATCTGACAAAGGGCTAATATCCAGAATCTACAAAGAACTCAAACAAACTTACAAGAGAAAAACAAACAACCCCATCAACAAGTGGGTGAAGGATATGAACAGACACTTCTCAAAAGAAGACATTTATGCAGCCAAAAGACACATGAAAAAATGCTCATCATCACTGGCCATCAGAGAAATGCAAATCAAAACCACAATGAGATACCAACTCACACCAGTTAGAATGGCAATCATTAAAAAGTCAGGAAACAACAGGTGCTGGAGAGGATGTGGAGAAATAGGAACACTTTTACACTGTTGGTGGGACTGTAAACTAGTTCAACCATTGTGGAAGTCAGTGTGGCAATTCCTCAGGGATCTAGAACTAGAAATACCGTTTGACCCAGCCATCCCATTACTGGGTATATACCCAAAGGATTATAAATCATGCTGCTATAAAGACACATGCACACGTATGTTTATTGCAGCACTATTCACAATAGCAAAGACTTGGAACCAACACAAATGTCCAACAATGATAGACTGGATTAAGAAAATGTGGCATATATACACCATGGAATACTATGGAGCCATAAAAAATGATGAGTTAATGTCCTTTGTAGGGACATGGATGAAGCTGGAAACCATCATTCTCAGCAAACTATCACAAGGACAAAAAACCAAACACCGCATGTTCTCACTCGTAGGTGGGAACTGAACAGTGAGAACACTTGGACACAGGAAGGGGAACATCACACACTGGGGCCTGTTGTGGGGTTGGGGGAGGGGGGAGGGATAGCATTAGGAGATATACCTAATGTAAATGATGAGTTAATGGGTGCAGCACACCAACATGGCACATGTATACATATGTAACAAACCTGCACGTTGTGCACATGTACCCTAAAACTTAAAGTATAATAAAAAAAAATTTTTTTAAGTCACACTTTGGAAAATATTTTTAAAATTATATATTAAAAAAATCAAATCAAGAGGTCCCAGAACAAGAATTTCTTTACCCCAAGATGTCTGCCTGTATTGCAAACAACCAGGGCACTGGAAAAGGGATTGTCGGCTGATAAACCTCCCTCTAGGCCAAACTGTTTCACCACTAGAGGGAGCCCAAGAGACCTTAGTCCTCCTGACAATATTCAACTTAAAGGAGGCTCTAAGGGATTCTCCAGTGGATTGCTCCCCGTAATACCTTTAAAGGAACATGGGGAAACAGAGGTTAAAATAAATAGGGAGTTGTGTATAGTCCTTATGGATACCAGGGCTACTCTATCTACCATAAACCCCACCTTAATAAGCCAACAAATCCCTTAGAGTAAAAAGGTCATTTCTGTGACAGGGGTTTCAAATCAAGTTCCAGAGGTTCCCATATCTGAACCCATCCAATTAACTCTGAGCCCCCTTTCAGAAAAACACAGTTTTTTACTACGTGATACTGTTCCAGTAAACTTGGTAGGGCAAGATTTACTTTCAAAGCTAAAAGGGCACCTAAAATTTTCCTCAGAAACAGAAATAATCTTAAGAGTTTTCCTGATTCTCCTGAACTAGAATTGTTATGCTGTCTACAGGCAGAAATTGATAAGATCGAAACTCAAGCCTGTAATACCCCTGATCTTTCGAAAACACCTAATGTTTATGGGCCTCTTCCCAACTGATATAGGAAGAATTAAAAGTGTAGAACCTATAAAAGTACTAACAGATCATTCTAAACCTTTGCCTAATTACCACAATATCCACTAAAACCTGAAGCAATTTAAGGGCTCTCACCAATTGTAGAAGATTTAATTAAACAAGGACTCATAATTCCATGCACCAGCCCCTGTAACACTCCAATCCTACCAGTTAAAAAACAAAATGGATGAGACTGGAGATTTGTTCCAGATTTACAGGCAATTAATAAAATTGTAATACCAAGATTTCCTGTAGTCCCAAATCCTAATACTTTATAACCTAATGTACCCACTGATTCCAAGTTGTCCACAGTAATAGATCTTGGCTCAGCCTTCTCTAGCATTCCATAAAGAAAGTCAATACTTGTTTGCCTTTACTTGGAAAAATCAGCAATACACCTGGAGTGTAATGCCACAAGGGTTTACTGAAGCCCCTTCATATTTTCCCCAGGCACTGCATCAGGAGTTAATGACACTACAGTTTCCTCAAAATTCTACTCTCATTCAGTATGTAGATAACTTATTGTTATGCTCTCCTATTAAGGAGTGCCCGGAAATTGACTCAGTTTACCTTTTACAGCAACTTGCATATAAAGGTCACAGGGCTTCAATGGAAAAACTTCAATTTTTTCTTTTCTTTTTTCTTTTTTTTTTTTTTTGAGATGGAGTTTCACTCTTGTTGCCCAGGCTGGAGTGCAATGGTGTGATACTGGCTCACCACAACCTCTGCCTCCTGGGTTCAAGCGATTCTCCTGCCTCAGCCTCCCGAGTAGCTGGGATTACAGGCATGCACCACCACGCCTGGCTAATTTTGTATTTTTAGTAGAGACAGGGTTTCTCCATGTTGGTCAGGCTGTCCTTGAACTCCCGACCTCAGGTGATCCGCCTGCCTCAGCCTCCCAAAGTGCTGGGATTACAGGCGTTAGCCACCATGCCTGGCCAAAACTTCAATTTTCAAAAGAAAAAGTCCACTATTTGGGACATGACTTGGCTGCTGAAGGGATTTCCCTCTTACCTGAGAGGATAAAACCTATTTAAAGTTTTCCTCGACCTGCAACCAAAAGACAAAAGGCTTTCTTAGGCTTGCAGGATATTGCAGATCCTGGGTTCCAAATTTTTCCTTAATAGCTTCACCACTGTATGAGCTCACTAAAAATGCTGTACCAGAGCCTTTACCTTGGGAAGACAGTCATGAGCAGGCTTTTAGCCAAATGAAGTTGGCCTTACAACAGCCCCCAGCTTTAGGACTTCCAAATTACACTAAACCTTTCACTTTGTTTGTTCATGAATGTAATAATCAGGAACACGGTGCTAAACATAGGACCACTGCATACTATAGCCTGCAATTAGGCCCAGTCTCTAAGGCATATCCTAATTGTTTAAAAGCAGTAGCAGCAGCCAAGCTGGTAGAAGCTTCATCAGATCTGGTTTTAGGAAATGAACTTAATTTGCAAGTCCCACACGCTGTGGAAAGTCTATTAAATTCCAATCAAACCCAGCATTTTTCAGTGAGTAGACTAACATCTTATGAATTACTTCTCCTATCTCCTTCTTATCTTCATCTAAAAGGCTGTAATCTACTTAATGCTGCTACTCTGTTATCTCTGCCTGATGATGGTGAAGACCACAACGGTGTGAGTGTAGTATCAGAAATAGTGGCCCCTCGTGTTGCTATACAAGATACTCCACTGGATAATCCTGAATTAACACTTTTTGTTGATGGGTCCTATGCCAAAAACTCAGAAAAAAAAATATCAGTCAGGATATGCTGTTACCACCCAAAATGAGTTAATAGAGAAGCGAACTCTTCAAGTCAAGTCAGCCCAACCTGCAGAACTTTCTGCCCTTACCTGAACATGTCACACAGCTAAGGACAAGTCAGTAAATATTTACGGATAGTAGACATGCTTTTGGAGTAGTACGTGATTTTGGCATGATATGGAAACTACGAAGGTTTCTCACCTCTAGTGGGATCCCCATCAAAAATGGACTCCAAACAGATGAGCTCCTTTCTGCTATCCTGTTACAAATGCAGATTGCTGTTATTAAGACTGAAGCTCATACTTGTAGAAATGAACCCAAATATCAGTGAAATGCTTTAGCAGATTTTTATGCTCAATCAGCTAGTGCTGGAACCATCAAGATACGCAATCTGAATGAACTCCATAAGATTAATCCAAGCCAATTTCCTTACGATGACCTATTTAATAAACAGTGCAACGCATCTGATTTGCAAAAACAAAACTGGTATCTAAAAGGATGTAAATTTAACGTGAAGCAAAGACTCACAAAGGGCCCGGACGGCCGCCTGGTCCTTCCTGAATCTTTGAAGCTTCCATTATTGAAAGCTCTCCACAGCTCATCATGGAACAGACAAAGTGATCCAAATTATGAAAAAATACTGGTGGGGTGACTATTCTGACATTACTAAAATGGCTTATAATCAATGTTTGACTTGTCAAACTCATAATCCCAGAAAAACTAGAGGCAGTATATTTCCACCACCTGATGGACCATTTGAACATTTACAGATGGACTTCATTCAGTTACCACCCTCAATGGGGTATCAGTATGTTCTTGTAATAGTTTGCATGTTTTCTGGTTGGATAAAGGCCTTCCCATGTAGGAAAGCTGATGCTGTGACCATAGCTAAGAAATTATTAGAAAATGTTTTTCCTTTATGGGGGATCCCTCTAAAAGTCTCCAGTGATAGAGGAACTCATTTTACTGAGCAAGTTATAAAGCAGTTAAATAAGGTGTTACTGACACAGTTGCATTACCATTGTCCTTATTACCCTCAGTCTTCAGGAAAGCTTGAAAGAACAAATGGCATTTGAAAACTGAAACTGTCCAAGTTAACTGAATCAATTGAGTTGCCTTGGCCAAAGGTACTACCTTTTGGTTTTAATGGCAATCAGATTCAATCCTGTTGGAAAACATAAATTGACCCCTTATGAAATAGTCACTGGGAGGCCCATGTCCCTAATAATAGCATCTCATGCTTCTCCTGCTCTCTTAAACTCTGATATGACTAAATACTGCAAGGCTTTAATGTATTACGCCAAAGTATACTTCCACCAGGTAAAGGAAGCATTTCAAGATCCACCAACTGAGGACAATCAAACCCTCCATGGTCTGGAATTTGGAGACTGGGCCTTCCGGAAATGACATCAGAAGAAGATCACTCTTGAACCTCGTTGGATGGGACCATACCAAGTCCTTCTTACCACCCACAGTGCAGAGAAGCTTCAGGGCTTTGAACCATGGGTCCACATCTCACAATTCAAAAGGGCCCCCTCAGACTCCTGGTACTATATACCCGTTGGAGACTTTAAGGTAAAGCTGACCAGGGAAATCTCTTCCCAGAAGCAGACAGCATCCTGGTTACAGACAGCTTTCCCTAGATCACAGATCAAGACTTCTCTACCACCATGAAAGCCTTATGTGTTTTTCTGTTTTCCTTATTTTTTTCCCTAATCCTTTCCTTTTCCTTACATGAAAATCCATGGGACCATAATCAGTGGATGGCTTCAGCTCAAGCTTATGCTCTAGCACAAAACCAGGGTAACTGTTGGGTTTGTGGGCTAATGCCAAAAAATCAGGAAATGATTCCAAGGGTGCCAGTGCCCCTCCACGTTTCCCAATGAGTCACCCTGAAACCCCAAGGGAAGAATGGAAAGCTATTCTTGATACTCTAAACATCACTAGTACTTGCTTTCCTACACTCACTAAAAACAACACTCTTTTTCAACTGATAAAGTCGATCACACCAAATATAAAAAACAAATCCAAATGATGCCTACAAAACGTATATTGTGCTTGCAGGCATCACATACTCAAGATTTGGGAATTACTTATGTTAGTACAAGTGATTGCTTGTATATCCAGTAGGGTCTCTTTTTACTAGATGTGGTTATACACCCTTACAACACACTACAAAGGGGCCATAGAAAAGTAAATTTCCCACTGGATGTTATTCAGGAGCTACAGATTCATGGTCGAACAAACCTGAATGATCCCTGCTCAAATACAACTAGGTGGCCCCCTTTTCCAACCCCTGAGGGTCTCTATTGGGTCTGTGGAGAATCTGCATATTCTGTTCTGCCTCCTTGGTTGGTTTGGTTCTTGTTATCTGGCCTGGCCTGCTCCTGCCTTTCGAATTGCTTCCCCTGAAAATTCTCATGATAGCCCTTATACTTGGAGGCCAAAATGATCAATAACTGAAATTAGCACTAGCCTCGAAATAGACGAGGATAAGCTAGTTTCTACCGGGGAAAGATTCCACTGGGGTTCCTGGGGGCTCACTCTTGGTGGTAGTGAAGTACCATTTGTACGGAATTTAAAACTAATTTGTATATTGGGAAAATTCTTGGATTTGGTAGCCAATCAGACCTCCCAGGGTTTCAGATGGGTAGAAGCTACTCTCAGAAAGGCACATGACAACATACATATTCAACGAAAACACTTAATGGAAGATCATGCAGTCTTAGATCTTCTTTTTGCTCAAGCTGGAGGCCTATGTTTGGTGTTAAACAAAACTGAATTTTGTACTAATCCCTCCCCTGATTCTGTTACTACAAAAAGCTTAATTTAAAAGGTGGCTGATACTGCTGTTTCCTTAGACACTGCCACCAAGTACAATAAAGAAATCTCTCAAGAGAAAGGAACCCACGATATGTTTATAGGAGCAACTAACAGTTGGTTTGCAGGCATCCTAAGTGGTGAATGGCAAGCTTGGGTTTTCCAAGGGTTTCTAATCTTTATATCTCTTCTAGCAGGTTTTCAAGTTATTATGACTTGTATTAACAAGGTAACAATGAAAACGAGCACCTCTTTAAGTCAAGCTACTTTACAGCGAACTATGATCCTTAATCACTATCATACTCCAACTGAAGACTCTGACCAATCAGACCCCAATACTGCTGAACTGCTTATATTGTCTGAACCTTAACTTGGCTGATTTGGTTCAGTTCATTTCATAAGAACTTTTATTAAGGAGTACACCTTAGCATTTTGACGGTGTCCTCTTAACAGTCATAATAATAGTCCCCTTGGTGCACTGTATACTCTCAAGTCTTAAATGTTTTGTATGCAGCTGTACATTGACAGTTGAATGGTCTTACTCCAACTGGATCAGCAAGAACATAAAGAATCATTTAGCTGGTACAAAGTTGCAACTTGTGAATTCCCTATTAACACCAAAGAAGATGTGTGAGACTCCATACTGAAACTAAAGACGACTTGTGAGTTCCACACTGAGACCAAATAAGTCTTTATGATGGTGACAGAGAGTGGTGTCAACGCCTAAAGTTTTGGTCAATCTCTCTAAATTGAGGGGCTGACCAAAAGGGGGAATTGTTAAAGCGAACTAAATATGGCCCGAAGAGGACTCCGTACTTTTATATTTGAGTCCTTGTGGACGAACTGTAACCTAGCTCAAATAGGCAGACAAAATCGAAAACCTAACTTAGTAGTATGCATCTGTAATAACAGCTGAGTGTTGGCCAATCCCAGCGGCCATACTTCAACCACTCATAGACTGCTGAGTGTTCAAACTGCGTTCAAATAAGGCAAACGCCGAGCTGTAACCAATCTCACTGTTTCTATGTCTCAATTCTGATTCCTGTAGGTCACTTTACCTTTTCTGTCTATAAATTTGTTCTGACCACGAGGCACCCCTGGAGTCTCTCTGAATCTGCGGTGATTCTGGAGACTGCCCAATTTGTGGATCATTTTTTTTCTTTGCTCAATTAAACTCCATCAAATTTAACTTGTCTGAAGTTTTCTTTTAATTCTATGTTTTGCCCAAGGTAGAATGATTAGCAAATGGTGGAAAAGAGATTGAAACTAGGGTCAGCCAGACAGTAAATCTCAAATTATTTCCACAAGCGACACTTGTGGGCAAGAGTGTGGGAAGCAGCAGATGCAGAAATACATGTGGCCCCAGATAAGAAGCTAAGGTGACATTTTGGACTCCCTGCCACTTCCTCCAGAGCCCCAGGATGATACTGCACCTTGCTGTGGTTCAAAACTCCATAGGATGAAGTGTGATGGAGGTTTAATAAATAAAACAAAAAAAGAAACCAAAAAGAAAACCAAAAAAGTACAAAAAAAAAAAAGAATAAAAAAGAGAAAGAAGGGTGCAGAGCTGAGACAATGAAAGGGCAAGAGACCCAAGGAGCTGGCATAGAAGGCTCATAGGAGGAGTAAAACTGGACTGAATATCCAATTGAAGAGTCACTGAATATAAGGCTGAGGCTTAACTTTTTTTCGTAGGCAATGGGGAACTACAGAGTTCCTGAGTAGAATAAGACTAATGAAACATTAATTTAAAGAAAATAGTAAAGATAATGTTAGGTCAAAGTAAATCAGAAGGGGAACAAAAAGGTGATCTTATTTCAGTTACCCAGATGTAAGGGGAAGAGCCTAAAGTTAGGTGGCAGCAATGAGAAAGGAAAGGGAAAGGCAGATACTCGCCAGACTAGGCACAGGAGGAAGGACAAAGGAAAGTCACCAATCACCACAAGGTTTTATCCAGCGTGACCCATGTTATCACTTACAGAGAGGGATATCAACCAGAGAAAGAGCTCATGGTTCCACAACGTTTAGCTCACCCTTCTTTCAACTACATCCTTACATCCATTTAGTCTATTGAGTCAGAAGAACTCTGGTTCCAATCACATTTCCACTGCTTACTAGCTGTGCAGTTAGGGCAAATTATGAATTTTCTAAAGCCTTAGTTTCTTAATCGGTTAAAATGGCATAATAGCTGTATTAGAGAGTCGCCATCAATAATCAATAATCTGATATTTCTTTCTTCTCCTTACCTATTCACATCCTCCTTATCTATTCACCCACTTACCACCTTAGATTATGCGGTTCATCGTTTCAATAACTCTTTTGCAAACATTCTAAACTCCCTCGTCCTCTGACTTTTCTGTTTGACTTGTCCAACAAAATACAAACCCTACATGAGCCTTATTGTTTTTCTCTCTGCCTGTACCCAGGGAAATAAAGCACTACTGGAGAAAATCACACCCAACTGGAAGCACATCTCAACAGGGCCCTCAAAACTACTTAACAATCCTACTTCATCTCTCTTAGCAATTCATTCTTCCACTCTCTGCTAGAAGAGCTCTTCTAATCTCCCCTTATCTCTCTTGACCTCCCCAACTCTCAGTAGATGACCTTGCCCTCTACTTCACAGAGAATGGAAGCTATTAGAATGACACATGTTCAACTTCCTCATACAAAAACTGTTCACCTACTGTATCTCCACCAATCCTCTTCTTCCTCATGTAAAATTAAGCGATCTTTCTCCCATTAAAGGTGAATCACTGTTTGGAATTCTCTTTCCTCCTGCCCTTTGAGGAATCTAAGTCAAATCTCTCCTCCCATATTTATTTTTTATTTTTGAGACAGGGTATTTATTTATTTTTGAGACGAAGTCTTGCTCTGTTGCCCAACGTGGAGTGCAATGGCATTATCAGGGCTCACTGCAGCCCCACGTATCTGGGCTCAAGTGTGATCCTCCTGCCTCAGCTTCATAAATAGCTGGGACTAGAGGTGTGTGCCAGCATGCCCAGTTAATTTTTTTTGAATTTTAGTAGAGACAAGGTCTTGCTATGTTGCCTAGGCTGGTCTCAAACTCCTGAGCTCAAGCGACCCTCCCTTTCAAAGTGTTGGGATTACAGGTGTAAGCCACTGCACCTGGCTATGTCTCATCTTAAAAGGGGGAAAAAAAGTACCCCATTTCCCTGCTCTAGCTATTTTATTAAAATAAAAGCCAAACCATCCTGATTTCCATTTCTTTTTTTTTTTTTTTTTTTGAAACGGAGTCTTGCTCTGTCACCCAGGTTGGAGTGCAGTGGCTCGATCTCTGCTCACTGCAACCTCCGCCTCTGGGGCTCAAGCGATTCTCCTGCCTCAGCCTCCTGAGTAGCTGGGATTACAGGGACCTGCCACCACACCTGGCTACTTTTTGTATTTTTAGTAGAGACAGGGTTTCACCATGTTGGCCAGGCTGGTCTCGAACTCCTAACCTCAGGTGATCCGCCCACCTCGGCCTCCCAAAGTGCTGGGATTACAGGAGTGAGCCACTGTGCCCAGCCTGATTTCCGTTTCTATCACTTCAGCGAAACAGCTCTTACGGAGGGCACCATAGGCTTCCAATGGCCATTTTGCTCAATTCTGGTTTTATCTGACCTCTCAGCAATACCTGACAATGTTGACACCTCCTCATTGTTGAAAATTCCTCTCCCCTGGGCAGTCTCTAGCTTTACCTCTATCTCACTGGCCACTCATTTTCAGTATCCTCAACTACCCTTGGAAATGTTGGGAACTCATCAAGGCTTAGACCTAACCTACTTCTCACTCTCCCTAGGCAATCTCATCTACACCCATTTCCTCCATTACCATCCACATACCCATGTTTCTCAAAATTATGTCTAATACAGTTAAGTTCCCCCTTTTGGTCAGCCCCTCAATTTAGAGAGATTAACCAAAACTTTAGGCGTTGACACCACTCTCTGTCACCATCATAAAGACTTATTTGATCTCAGTGTGGAACTCACAAGTCGTCTTTAGTTTCAGTACGGAGTCTCACACGTCTTCTTTGGTGTTAATAGGGAATTCACAAGCCGCAGCCTGTACCAGTTAAATGATTCTTTATGTTCTTGCTGATCCACTTGGAGCGAGACCATTCAACTGTCAACGTACAGCTGCATACAAAACATTTAAGACTTGAGAGTATACAGAGCGCCAAGGGGACTATTATTGCGACTATTAAGAGGATACCATCAAAATGCTAAGGCGTACTCCTTGTTGTTATTCAAAAACAGCAATCAAAGAACAATAGAAAGTGTACAGAATTAAACATGTCTTTAAGAGTTTTCTTAAAAGTTCATGGAAATGAAAAGTTGCAATGCTCAGTGCTAGGTGTCCTCTAAAAGGAAAAATAAAAATAAAAAAATTAAGTTGCCGCCAAATGCAGTGGCGCACGCCTGTAATCCTGGCATTTTGGGAGGCCAAGGTGAGAGGATTACCTGAGCCCAGGAGTTCGAGGCCAGCCTGGACAACACGCCAAGATCCTGTGTGAAAGAAAAGAAAAGAAAAGAAAAGAAAAGAACAGAAAAGAAAAGAAAAGAAAAGAAAATTAAGAAAAGAAAAGAAAAGAAAAGAAAAGGAAAGGAAAGGAAAGGAAAGGAAAGGAAAAGAAAAGAAAAGTTGCGATGGCCAATATTAAAAAAATCAACAGTAAAACCATGAAATGAATTAAGGAAATTCCCCAGGACATAAAATGCAAAAAAAAAAAAAAAAAAAAGGTGAAAAACATAAGAGGAAAGTTAAGTGATGCAGAGCTGTGGTAATGTGGTATCCAAAGGGAGTGGGAGGATGGGGGCGGAATGCATCCCGTGGGATGAACAAAAGGATCTACTGGGATTCAGGAAGAAAGTACTGAAGCTTCTAGATGCAGTATGTTTTGTATCTTATCCTTTAAGATTATGTTAGGGTTGACTTACAATGTAAATAATTAGTACAGATACATATATAATTTAAAAATAAAAAAGTGTGCATATATACATAGGGTATATGTATGCTTTTCCTTTTAACAGACGACGAGTACAAATCTTACTTTGGAAATCACGGACATAACATATCAATCTAAGAGGACCACTATCCTCCTAAGAGATGTCTAGAAAGAAAAAGGACAGGAAAAATGAAAGGAAGATAATAAAAAATAAGAGAGAAAAACGTCTCAGAAATGAAGAAAGATAAAGGGAAAGGCCCACTGAGTGTGCCAAGTCAAATGAGTAGCAAAAGAAAACAAAACCAAACCCACACCTGGTCCAAGCCTTGAGAAATTTAGGATAAAGGATAAAGTCAAGACCCTAACAGATTCCATGAAGGGAAAAACAAGATAATCATGAAGATGAAAAAATCAGATTGTCATAAGAATTCTCAGCAGCAATAAACAATTACATTAGAAGAAAATGCAGCAATGCCTTTACAGTTCTAAAGGAAAAGAATTTTGAATATAGACTTCAATATTCAGTCAAAACTAAAAATCAAGTATGATGCAAAATAGGTTTCCCCCAGAAATCTACTCTCTTGTTCATTGACTATCACTTTTAATCAATATATCATTTCCTAATATGTAATTCTTTTAAAAATAATTTTACACAATTATTTATTGCACCCAAATGTTAGTATTGATCTTTTCACATGTCCATGAGCATGTATTTACATATGTATGCCCAAAGAAATGCTTATGCTCTCATCTGTTAGGGAGCAGGAATTTAACTGTATTCTTTCACAACATGCAAAGGAACTATAGCAAAAGAAAAACTGCAGAGCTTGGGGCTTCTGGCTTCCCACATCTCTACTTCTTTAGGTAGCTAAACTGTGCCATCACCAGGAGACATTTTTAAGCCATGACTCAATGGCATCCATGGTAACTTTAGAAATAATTTAGCCCAATGACAGCCAATTAAATAAATACCACTTATAAATCAGTTTGTTTTAAAACTCCGTCTTTGTAGTTCTTCTTATACATCTTAATTGCTCCAACAGAGAATGCTATCTTCTGCAGTCTTTTCTCTTTTTATTTAAAGAAAATCAGATATGTTTCCTCACTAAATATTGAGAAGTAGAAATGCAAGGGTTGTAAATAACTTACTTTAATACCAAGGGCTGTGAACTTACTCAAAGACTAAAATTCCATGAGATTAAAAATACCTATGCAATAATTCTAACTGACTAACACTGTTAACTATTGTTATCTCATCTAGTTCTGTATTTTGGACTCCAGTTAACCTATATAAAACAAATTGGGCCGGGCGCGGTGGCTCACGGTTGTAATCCCAGCACTTTGGGAAGTCGAGGAGGGTGGATCACATGAGGTCAGGAGTTCGAGACCAGCCTGGCCAAAATGGTGAAACCCCCTCTCTACTAAAAATACAAAAATTAGCTAGGCGTGCTGGCGCGTGCCTGTAATTCCAGCTACTCCGGAGGCGGAGACAGGAGAATTGCTTGAACCTGGGAGGCGGAGGTTGCAGTGAGCCGAGATAGCGCTACTGCACTCCAGCCTGGACGACAGAGCAAGACTCCGTCTCAAAACAAAACAAAAACAAACTAACGAATGCATTCCATTCCTTATAAACACGATAAATTATCTATACCACTTAAAAAGGTCTGGAAAAAATTCAAAACAACTGCTTAGAAGTTAATTCAGGAAAACCACGTTTTTCCAATTTTGCTTGATGCATCTTACTTCCTATCAAATGCCTGCAACAATGAGCTAAGCTTGAAGGTATCTAATGATACTAGAACAAAATTTCCTATAAAATCCAATTTAATCTCATTACAATGCATATAGTAACGCACAGAAATGAAAAGATTTCTATGATTTTCTATTTAGAATTAAACCACCCCAGGGCAACAATGATTGAGATTAGAAAGGTGGTGCCACGTTCACGACCTTGCATCAAAAAGTAAGTCTCCCTCCCGAAACACAGAAAAAAGCTGCTATTGAAAGGGCATCTCGAATCACCGTCTCTGACACCGTGTGCGTCATTGCTCTAGTTCTGACTTCTATCAGCGGGCTAGGGAAAGAGACGGACGCCCCTTTCCCCGATAGAAGAGCCCAGGTACCTGAAGATGCAATGTACACATGGCGTGGAAATGGAAGAAAAAGAAGACACCGAGAGTTAGGAGAAATGTGGAGAGAGGTGACTCATGGACAGAGCCAAACCTGGCAGGGAGAGGACAGAAAAAAGGCAAAAGAGGCAACCAGAGACAGACAGAACACTGAAGACACAAGGGTGTAAAGGGCAGAGACAAAAGGACAATAGAGACGGGCCAAGATTGAGAGGCGTCCAGAATTTTCGGGTTGGGTAGGGCCAGAGAAAAGGGCCAGTATTGAAGCCGGCTCCGAACGTAAGCCCAGCCAGGGCTCCTGTCATTCTGGGTCCTCAAGAACATCTGGGAATTCTCCAACTGCCGTCGGCCTGGCCTGAGAGTCACCTGCACATTTTTGGAGATAGAGATAAGACAGCCCCACTCTCAAGAGGCCCCAGAATTAACGGGGCCAGATTAGAGCCTGCACTTACCAGGCCACAGCGGCCCGACGTAGTCGCCACATCCCGCCGGCGGGGAGGTCACGCAGGCGCCGAGACGGCCACGCGGGAGCCCCCGTGTGAGCCCCAGCCCGGCTCCCGGTCCAGGAATGACCCAGGAAGTGGCCCTCAGCAGCAAGGGCACAGAGCCGCGGCCGAGGCCCTCCCAATGGCGCATGGACTTCCGCAAGAGCCTGACAGGCACCCGTACTCAGTCCGTCACGGAAACAACCACTTCACCCTTTCTAGGCGGGCAGCACGAACGGTCCGCGGAGGACCAGCGCATGCGCACAGTGCGTCGGGAACGGACTGGAGCAATCCATCGCCTCTCACGGGGCCCCGCCCTCTTGCTTCCGATTTGGAATTCGGAATTAGCCTTGCAGGTTAGAGATTTGGCCAGGGGAGGGAGCGAGAGTTGGGCGGGAACGGGAAGGGCTAAAGGCGTGGAATGAGAATTGATGAATGCTCACCGGGAGCCATGAATTTATTAAGAGTTGGATATTGAGGGAGCACGAAGGAAACTAGAGAGTGCAAGGTGAAATACAGTAATAGCGTACTACAAACTAATGCTTGCACATTTGCCTACCTTCTTTCTTGGGCATCTTTGTTTGAAAGCACTTTCACATCGTTAGGGCAATCATGGGAGGTGAGAAGCAGGACGAAGAGTCATGGATAGGCTAAGTCCCTTAGAATCTCTGAGGATCAGATGGGAAAGGGACTTAAATCAGTTAGGCCAGTAACGGGTTTGGAATAAGCTTGTGTGGTTTATAAAAGGCGTCAAAATGATTTGTTCAACTGTTTCTTCCGGATTTTAAGCCCACCAGTTTGTTGAAATGGTCCTCGTCAAGGCCTCCACCAGCTCCCTATTGTTTGTGGCCAGTGAGCCTGCCACAGCATTCAGTTCAGATGCCTAGTGCTGAGCACTCCTTCAACTACTTTTTCTTTTGGCTCTCTGGCCATCACATTCTCCTTTTTCCCTGGAACTGCTGCTCCCAGGCTTCTTTGATGGCTCCCCTCCCAAATTTCTCAATGTTGGACAGGCCCAGATCTCAGCCATCTTGAGCTCCTCTCCTCCATCACTTTAAATACTCCTTTCCCCTTCCAACACAAACCTTTTATGTTTTGTAAGGAAACCAGGGCCCGTAAAAGGGATGTGGCCTGTGAACGGTTATGAAGCCAATTTTTAGGGACTAAAATAAAAGGGTCCTGTGCATCCTCTTTACTTCAGGGACCTTTCACCTCCTCCCCACTACCCGCCCCCCACCCATGCCACACACATACACAAATACACAGAGCATAAAGACAATTCCTTTTCCCTTAATTGTCAGAATCATAAGTCTGGACCCATGCACTCACAATACCACCAAGAGTAGACCTAGCCATTGATAGTAAACTTCCCAAATGCAGGACTCTTAGAATTTTCTTTATTTATTGTGGTGACTGTTTCAATGGCAGGTCCAGAGAGCAATTTGCTGTACCAACCTGTGCAAACTGTAGATCTTCCTGGGATTGTAGGGTTGTACAAAAAGTGTCTTTGTAATCGTTACTTCCTTGTTATTTTAGAAAATAAAATAAGAGAAACCAAGAGACTTTAACAACAACAACAAAAAAGAAAAATTAGGGATAAAAGACTTTAACCATAAAAAAAGGAGAAACTAACCACCATCACCATTTATATATGGTTATCATATGTTTTATGAAGCCCTTGTTTTGCAGTTCTACTTCTAGGCATTTATCCTGTGGAATCATTCCCATGTATGCAAAGATGTATGCATGATGATGTTTATTTCTGCACTGTATGAAATGGGAAAAGATTGGAATCAGTATAAATGTCCATGTATAGGAACTAGACACATAAATTACATCCGTACTAGCCATGAAAACCTATGCTTTAGGTCTGTATGTCCTGATAAGGAATGATCTCCCATAGATACATAGTGTTGCCATGAAAAAAGGGCAAACTGTTGTATAATAAACTGCAACCATTGGACCAAATTCAGCCCACAGACCTGTTTTGTTTGGTTTAGACAGTGTTGGCCTATGCAGTGTTTTAAAAATAACACTACATTTGGGCTGGGCATGGCGGCTTATGCCTGTAATCCCAGCACTTTGGGAGGCCGAGGAAGGCAGATCACGAGGTCAGGAGTTTGAGACCAGCCTGGCCAATATGGTGAAACCCTGTCTCTACTAAAAATAAAAAAATTAGCCAGCTACTCGGAGGCTGAGGCAGAAAAATTGCTTGAACCCAGGAGGCAGAGGTTGCAGTGAGCTGAGATTGTGCCACTGCACTCCAGCCTGAGCGACAGATCGAGACTCCGTCTCAAAAACAAACAAGCAAAAAAATGCTACATTTGTTGCCAAATAAAAATCAACAAATTTCACATTTTAAAAAATCACATAAAAATATCAGGATGCCTAACAACATCAACCTTCAATTCTTATATACAAAAAATGTCTCGGAACCAGGAGCCAAGTAGTAGTTTTATCCTTCAGGCACTCATGTCCTCTCCGGTAGTTCACACTCCTTCATCTTTCTGAAATTGAACACATCAATTACTGTTTATCATGAAGCTTGTGCTTCTACTTTTCTTAGTAAAAATTAAGAGGAAAAACAACCACTACTTATATTGAAACTGCCTTGGCAAAATTATGACAAGAGGAACCTGACATAGTTGACTCCATCTTGCTTCTGACCTCCAAGCTGTCCTTGCTCATTCCTGGACTTAAGCCAAATGAACTTTGGGGAGGAATGTAGTTTATAGTTTAACTTGAAAGAAAGGATTATAATAGTCCCTTCCTAAAGCTAACTCCCTCGTTGCTCAGGAACCAAAAACCACCTTTGTAAGAAAGGCCAAGAGAACAGGATCATGAGAGGGGCCTGAACTGTGCTAAGACGTAGGTATGGTTTCTATAGTCCCTTACTGCTCAGGAATCAATGTGGCCAGAACTCACAAATCTTATGACTTCCCCAATTGCTCCTATAGATAACATCATTACTATAGAATCTAAGACTGCTTTTTTGCGGTATATTTCAGACTCACCCCATCGAGACTTATGACTCATGACTCAAGTGATCCTGTGGCCCCGCCCAGAGGTGGACTCAGCACACAAGGAATGTTTTCCTATTATTTCATCCCCAACCAATCAGCAGCATCCATTCCCTACCCCTTGCCCACTAAATTGTCCATAAAAACCTCTAACCTCAGAGCCTTCAGGAAGATTGATTTGAGTGACAACTCCAGTTCTCCTGCATAGGCTGGTCTTGAATCAGTTAAACTCTTTTTCTACTGCGATGCCCTGGTCTCAGTGAAATGATTTTGTCTGTGCAGTGAGCAGGAAGAACCTGCTGGATGATTACAATATGAAAAGTGAGAGAAAATGAAGGACTGAGAGGGTCAGCCATTTCCAAAACAATGAGAAAGAGCTTTTTTTTTTTTTTTTTTTGGCAAAAGAACACAAGTATGCAAGTAGGCAAGTAAAATTATATGAATAAATTATATGAATACAATTTAATATGACATTATACAACAGACATACTTGCATTACTCATTTATGTTACATGCCTAACCCACGAAAATATTTGAGTTGATAAGCCCTAGTGAAGGGCAGAGTCAAGGAAGGACTTGAAGTTAGTGGGTCATGAGTGGGAGGGAGGCTTACATTTATTGTAAACCCTTTTATACTCTGAACTTGTGTATTAATTACTTGTAAAAACATGTTAAAAATATTTTTCTGATCCAGAAGTCATGAAATAATTTTACTACTTTAAACTAAATTTTCCAGTTCAGCTGGGAATTGAGCAATTCACCAGGTAAAACTCTAAATATTTACCTTAGCAGGAAAAGGGACCCTTTTCAGAATTATCCAACGAATCAGAAATTTTCAGAAAGGAAGGTAATGAGAGATGTTAATGGAAATGGAAATGTTTAAAATTGATTTCATAAGTTTTATATTTAAATTTATACATAAAAGCTTTTGCAAAGTTCTTCTTGGGAGATCTCCAAGTTCCTTAACACTACTCTTTGTGGTTTCCTGGAGAAGCCAATAATTAGCTGAAGTCATACATGTTTGCACCATCATCATTATCAAACTCTCCCCAGCCCTCAGAAAAGCATGTTATAATCCTTATTAACAAACATTTACAGTCACTTCCTATGAACCCTAGTCGAGGATATAAATACATATATATACACACACAAATTATATACACACACACACACACATATATATATATTTGGTTTTTGTTTGTTTGTTTGTTTGTTTTGAGACAGAGTCTCACTTTGTCGCCCAGGCTGGAGCGCAGTGGCACAATCTCGGCTCACTGTAACCTCCACCTCCCAGGTTTAAGTGATTCTCCTGCCTCAGTCTCCTGAGTAGCTGGGATTACAGGTGCATGCCACCATGCCTGGCTAAGTTTTTGTATTTTAGTAGAGACGGGGTTTCACCATTTTGGCCAGGCTGGTTTCAAACTCCTGACCTCAAGTAATCTGCCTGCCTCAACCTTCCAAAGTGCTAGGATTACAGGCATCAGCCACCGTGCCAGGCCTGAGGATATATTTTTTTAAAAAGAGTAAACCACAGTTCCCACCCTCAACTAACCATGGTTTGGTTAGGAAGACAGACATACATAAAAGGTAAACATTAATGTGAGGTAGTACAAGCTGAGGACCAAGTAATGGGTAGCAACAGTTACTACCCACAGAGGCAGACTATAGTGTCATAAAGTGGGCTCAAAAAAGATAATCCTGGAGAAACAGAAAAGGATGAATTTGTAAAGAGGGAAACTGAGGGTCAGGAAGACTGGATAGGGGGCTGTTGAGAAAGTCAAGTGTGAGGGCCCTTAACCAAAGCCTGGTAATGGGAAGAAGTGAGAGATTCTTTGAAAGGATACTTCGGAGTATTTAAAACAATGAAAAGCTAAATGAAGAAACTAGGAAGAGGAATCAAAAGATAATGGGGTTGAAGCCAAAGTCAATTGACATTATTAGTAACAGTCACAAATATAGAAAAGCTGATTACAAGGGGATGATAATGCTGGCTTTGGAATGATGATTGGTGCTGAAGTGTGAATGGGTTATTCAGGTGGCAGTTAGAAATCAAGCTTTGGAGTTCCACAGGGAGATGGGGCTTGCAATACAGATTCGAGAGTTGTCTTTATAAAGGTGAAGCTTTGGGTCACATTAACCTTTGTGAAACTGTGCAAGAACTTGAAATTGTTTGTTAATGATTAAATCCACATTATTTTATAATGTTTGTTTATTTATTTATTTTGAGACAGCGTCTTGCTCTGTTTCCCAGGCTAGAGTGCAGTGGTGTGATCATGGCTCACTGCAGCCTCGAACTCCTGGGCTCAAGTGGTCTGCCCTTTTCAGCCTCTTAAGTAGATGGGACGGCAGACATATATCACCATGCCTGGCTAATTTTTAAATATATATATATATTTTCAGACACTGGGTCTCCTATGTTGCCCAGACTTGTCTTGAACTCCTGGGCTCCAGAGATCCTCTTGCCTCAGCCTCCCAAAGTGCTGGGATTATGGGTTTAAGCCATATTTTTGGGATTATGGCATAACCCATAGTTTTTACAATTTTTATACTTTTTGTATATTATGGTTTATATTTTTAAGACTAAATATATTACATTCAGTGCAATAATGCAAGAACAAGAAATGTAAGGCATAACATTTTCAGCTGATGTGACTGATTACATAGAAAATCCTAAGAAATTAATAAAAAGCAAACACCAGAAATAGTGAATTAAGGAGGGCCTCAGAGTACAAACCCAATGTAAGCAAATTGTGTTTCTATATACTTGCAAAAACACCTGTGCAGATATCAGATCTTAATCCTTGGAACTTGTGAATGTTACCTTACTTGGAAAAGGGCTCTTTGCAGATGTGATTAAGTGAAGGATATTGAGATGGGGAGATTATACTAGATTATCTAGGTAGGCCCTAAATGCCATCCAATATATTCTTATGAGAGGGAGATTTTCACACACATATTCAGAGCAGAAGGCAATGTGAAGACAGGCAGAGTTTGGAGTGATGTAGGCGTAAGCCAAGGAATGCTGGTAGCCACCAGAAGATGGAATAAGCAAACAAGGACTTCTCCTTTAGAGCCTCCAGCAGGAATGCAGCCCTGCTAGCACCTTGATTTTAGCCCAGTGATACAGATTAAAGACTTCTGATCTTCAGATTGTGAAGAGAATACATTTCTGTGGTTTTAACCCACCCAGTTTCAGGTCACTTGTTACAGCAGCCATTGGAGACTAATATCACCTGGAAATTAAATGAAAAAATGTCATTCACAATAGCATTAAAAAACCATAATATAATTAGCCATAAATTTACCAAAGATGTGCAAAAGCTCAACACAGAAAACCACAAAACATTGCTGAAAGAAATTGAAGACTGTAATAAATGGAGAGATATACTGTGTTCCTGGAATAGAAGACTCAGTATTGTTAAGATATCACTTTCCCCCAAATTAGTCTATATACTCAATCCATTTACAACACAATCCCAGCAGACACTAATTATAGAAATTAACAAAATATTCTAAAATTTATATAGAAATGCAAAGAGCTCAGATTGATGCCAGAGCATTTATAAACCTACCCTACCTCAATACTTATTATAAAACAATTGTAATCAAGACTGTGTGGTATTGGCATAAGGCCAAATAGATAAATGGACCAGAATAAAGGGTTCAGAAATAGGTCTCTATTTCTGCAGTCAATTGGCTTTTGACAAAATCACCAAAACAATTCAACAGTGAAAAAAGCCTTTTTAATGAATGGTGCTGGAACAACTGGATATCCCTATAGAAAATGTATACTATACACATACTACACACAAAATTTAGTATAAATTTATACCATACACTAAATTAGTAAGCATGCACAAAAATTGTATAAACTGGGACATAGCCCTAAATGTACAAGTAAACACTATGAAGCTTATTGAAGAAAATACAGTATCTTTGCAAAGAGGAATAGGCAAGGATTTCTTACGTCACGGAAGGTAACACCATAAAATTTTTAAAAAATCATTAATTGGACTTTATCAAACTAAAATACTCCTGCTCACCAAATAACACCAATGATAAGATGAATAGGCAAACCTCAAATTGGAAGAAAATATTTTTAGAACGTATATCTGACAAAGGATTTATATTCAGGATATATAGGAAATTCTTATAATTCAATACTAAGATGAACAATCCATTTAAAAATGGGCAAAAATGCAGACATTGCACAAAGGACGATATGCGTGTGTGTGTATATGTGTGTGTGTGTGTGTGTGTGTGTGTATGTGTGTATACATATACAGATATATATATATTTTATATACATATTTGGCCAATGAACACAAAGTGCTCAATGTTATTAGTCATCGGAGAAATGAAAATTTTGTCGAGGATGTGGAGCAACCAGAACTGTCAATAACCGATGGCAGGAATGTAAAATGGCACGACCACTTTGGAAAAATATTTGGCATTTTCTTATAAAGTTAAATATACACTTCCCCTTTGGTCTAACCATTCCACTCTCAGGGATTTATCTAGGAGAAGTAAAAACGTGTTCATGGAAAGTCTTGTACAAACATGTTCATAGCGACTTTTTCACGGTAATTGAAAACTGGAGCCAAATGAAACGTGCAGCAGTGAGAAAATGAAAGGAAATTTACACAATGAAATACTCCTCAACAACAAACAGAATGACCTGCGGATACATGTAACAACACGAATGAATCTAACAGACGCGCTGAACTCAAAAAAGAATGTACCATATAAACATTTAGAACAGGGGTGTCCAATTTTTTGGCTTCCCTGGGCCACATTGGAAGAAGAATTGTCTTGGGCCACACATAAAATAAACTAACAATAGCTGATGAGCTACAAAAAAAAAATTGCAAAAAACCCACAAACAAACCTGATGTTTTTTGTTTTGTTGTTGTTGTTGTTGTTGTTATTTTCTTTTGAGACAGAGCTTTGCTCTTGTTGCCCAGGCTGGAGTGCAATGACGCGATCTCAGCTCACTGCAGCCTCTGCCCCCTGGGTTCAAGTGATTCTCCTGCCTTGGCCTTCTGAGTAGCTGGGATTATAGGTGCCTGCCACCACACCCAGCTAATTTTTTTGTATTTTTAGTAGGGATGACGTTTCACCATGTTGGTCAGTCTGGTCTTAAACTCCTGATCTCAAGTGAGCCACGAACCTTTGCCTCCCAAAGTGCTGGGATTACAGGGGTGAGCCACCGTGCCTGGTCAAAACTGATAATGTTTTAAGAAACAGTAACAAAGTTTGCGAATTTATGTTCAGCTGCATTCAAAGCCATCCTGGGCCGCATGCAGCCTGCAGGCTGCAGGATGGACAAGCTTGATTTAGAGCATCCATTTATATGATGCTCTAGACCAGGAAAAATAGATATGGAGAGTGGGGAGGAACATTGGGGAACTTTCTAGAAACATGGGAACATTCCATATCATGATAGAAGTCTCAGTTACATGAACACATCCATTTGTCAAAATGTATAGCGAAGATTTGTTCATTTAAAATTGTAGATTTGCATGTGTACATTTTACATTAAAAAGCTATGAAGAATGATTACATGAGGAGGATGGGAAGTGGGTAGAGGTTAGATGAAGCAAGAATCACAAAATGTTAATAACCATGGAAGCTGCCCAGTAGGTATATGAGAGTTCATTATACTTTTCTGTTCACTTTGCATGTATTGAAAGTTTACATTAAACATTTTAAAATGTATCTTTTTTTGTTAAAAAAAAAAATAGAAGAAAAGTGAAATGGACCCAACAGAAGGCAGCCTCATTAGTATAGAGATGAGGAGCAGAAAATGAGCATAACAGGCAAAGAGCCTTGTGTGCTGTGTAGAATTGATTTCAGCTGGTATTCGTTTCCTATTGCTGCTGTAACAAATTACCCCAAATTAGTGGCTTAAAACAGAACAAATTTATTATCTTATAGTTCTGAAGGTCAGAAATAAGAAATGGGTCTCTAGGGAAGAATCCTTTTTTATTTTTCCTTCTCCAGTTTTGAGAGGCCACCCACATTTCTTTGCTTGTGTCTCATTTCCATCTTCAAAGCCAGCAGTGACTGGTCAAACCTTTCCAACACCACATCACTCCAATGCTAATCCTTCCACCTCCGCTTTCCACATGTAAGCATCCGTGTGATTTGATCAGCCTACCTAGATAATCGAGGATAATCTTCCTATTCTAGGGTCAACTGGTCAGCAAACTTAATTACCCTTTGCCACATGCACAGCTTCTGATTAGGATTCAGACTTCTTTGTGGGAAGCGTTATTCTGTGTACTACGCAGCTCCAGTGAAATTATTTTAATGATTTCTTTCTGATATGGAGTGTGTGAGTGTGATGGGTTGGGGAAAGGGGAGGAAAGAATCAGTTTATCCAGCCACACCTGAAACTAGCTGTAGTTTTCAAATTGTACTTCTAATCTTTGTTTAGAAATCTTCTATATTTATCATTTTTTAAAAGAACAATTTTTATACCTTTTCTGCAATCTACTGCATGTCACAAATTTCATTTTGTTTTGCAGTGACACTTTTGCCTTTTCCTGCTTTTTAAGTAGTTTTAAGGATTTACTCTTGAATTATAAAATTTGAAATATTTCCTTTACTTATTTTTATTGCTTTCTGTGCTTGTATCTTAGAGGTCAAGCTTCTTTCATTGTATTGAAATGCCAACTTATTGTCTGATTTTTTTTCTTGTCCCTGTAATAAATTCAAAGATACAATCTTCCTTTGGATCTTTCTACTGTAACAACTATTATGATTACATGCATAGTAAATACTGATTTAGTGTACCAGGTACTAGGCTACATCTCTGCATATGAGATCTCCTTCTATTATTTGATACAATATTTTTTACAGCTATCATCTTGTTTTTTCTTGTCATCTTACTATTTATTTATTTATTTTATTTTATTTTTGTTTTTCGAGATGGAGTCTGTCTCCCAGGCTGGAGTGCAGTGGCATGATCTCGGCTCACTGCAACCTCCGCCTCCTGGGTTCAAGCAATCCTCCTGCCTCAGCCTGCTGAGTACCTGGGATTACAGGCGCCCGCCACCAATCCCAGCTAATTTTTGTATTTTTAGTAGAGACGGGGTTTCGCCACGTTGGCCAGGCTGGTCTCAAACTCCTGATCTCAGGTGATCTGCCTGCCTTGGCCTCCCAAAGTGCTGGGATTACAGGCTTGAGCCACTGCACCCAGCCCCTTCTTTATTTTTATGTAGTAAAGTACGTATTGACCATAACTATGCCCTTCAATTCTGCTCCACAGTGATTATTCCTTTATGATACTGGCTAGAGGGTTTTCATTGTTATACATATATATTTTTTATATCTATATAATATACATATATATATTTTATATATATGTAATATACATATATATATTTTATATATATGTAATATACATATATATTTTATATATGTAATATACATATATATTTTATATATGTAATATACATATATATTTTATATATGTAATATACATATATATTTTATATATGTAATATACATATATATTTTATATATGTAATATACATATATATTTTATATATGTAATATACATATATATTTTATATATGTAATATACATATATATTTTATATATGTATTATACATATATATTTTATATATGTAATATACATATATATTATATATGTTATACACATATATAATATATATGTAATATACATATATAATGTATGTAATATACATATATAATGTATGTAATATACATATATAATATACATGTAATATACATATATAATATATGTAATATATATTATATGTATTATATATAATACATATAATATATGTAATAATATATAATGTACATATATTATTAATGTATACTTATAAGTATATACATGTATATATTATATGTACATGCATATATTAAAGTATACATATGGCCAGGTGCGGTGGCTCACGCCTGTAGTCCCAACACTTTGGGAGGCTGAGGCGGACGGATCACAAGGTCAGGAGATGGAGAACATCTTCGCCAACGTGGTAAAACCCCATCTCTACTAAAAATAAAAAAATTAGCTGGGCGTAGTGGTGTGCGCCTGTAATCCCAGCTACTCTGGAGGCTGAGGCAGGAGAATCATTTGAACCCTGGAGGGGGAGGTTGCAGTGAGCTGAGATCATGCCATTGCACTCCAGCCTGGGCCACAAGAGGAAAACTCCGCCAAAAAAAAAAAAAAAAAAGAAAAGAAAAGTATACATATGTAAGTATATATGTGTATATTATATATATATATATATATATATATGGAAGTCTTTTCAGGTATTTTAGTAATTAATTAGAAAATCTGCACCAGGGACTGCTAATCTAATATGTTATTGACTGAGAACATGTGACCCCATTGTCAGCATTCACACTGAAGCCTTGCTTCAGCTGTACCAACTGCTGAAGTGAGATGCATTCTCGGTTTATGTTATGTTTTCCAGACTTCTCTTTTCTGTCCTCATCGAAAAGACAGCCAGCTTTTGTAACCTTGCCTTGGGGATGTTAGCAGGAGAAATGTTGGCAATTCAAGGCTCTTCTGGTTTTATAAGAAAACCAGATTTTGCTGGGAGGCCTGGAGTAGAAGAGAGGGTCTTGGAGAAGCAAACATGGGAGGAGAGACATTCCCAGAGATCAGGAAGAGGTAAGTGTTTTCCCTTAAGTGTCCCTTCCTAACACTCTCTTGAGAGGTCTCAGGCGCCTCAATAATTCCTGCCACCTAAACAGAATCAGATTCATCAGATTCAAAGGGATTAGGAATGCTAGGAATTTGGGGGACTTCAGAGATTACCTGTGACTACTAAGCATAAGGAATTATTTTCTAGGCACGTGGTTATCACGTCCATTGCATTTGTATGGTGGAAACGCTATACATATAATGAGGTGCTATTGCGCCTCTCTTTCTAACTCTGCGTTCAGTGACATGTTGCTGGTATAGCTTGAAACTAGTCATGGTGGCAGTATTTCCACCATAGAAATCAGCACGCACTACAAATCAGGGCTTGATTTGTTTTTCGTTGATTGTCTAATCTTAAGAAAGTGATGGAAAAAAATAACACTACAGATTAAATTTTAAAGTGTGTTCTGTCTGTGGTTTTACATTGTGAATAACATACATAATTGAGACAATATTCTTTCAGTATTTGAACACTATTATCTAATTCAGTAAAGAAGTCTTGCACATCATCATTAATTTAAATTTTCCTAATGTACATCTTCATTGTTTTACTTTTCTCTTACTCACTAATGTATCGGAAAATACAACCCATATTCATGTCAGAGCTAAACTCATAGGTTAACGATGTGAGCAACTTCTTTGTTGAAATAGATAGGATTGATAGTAATGAAGCATTTATTCATAGTAAAATGTATAAGAAACTTATGCATATGAACACATCATTTTTGGAAGAGCCAGTTGTTAAACGATTACCCATACACCATTGTTTGAGCAGCACAACACTGCTTTTCTTCACTCTATTTCAACCTTCCCATCATTAAAAGCTTTTGCAATTTAGTTTTTTCTTTCTGTTTTGAAGTTTCTATGCCTCTTACAATTTATAATCTTTTAAGCCAATGTCATGTTCAAAACCGTACCTTTCCTTTCCTCCCCGCTCACCGGTTCTGAGGTTTTTCTCCCCCTACTCGCAGGTATTTTTTGCTCCACACTCTGGTTCATTTCCTCTTTGCTTCTGTTTTAGACTAAAAACATAATCCCTACCTTCATTCTATTCTGTAACTTGGCCTGTACAATAAAAAAATATATATACTAGGCTTTGAGTAATTCTGCATGGTGATTCTTCTTAGTAGTACGTATACTAGCTTGCTAGCACCCTCCTCTGTAAGAGTGAGTTGAATTGTGTGCCTTGCAGAAGGACCAGCTCCCACATCTTTGCTGCTCTTTGTCACAAGCTGTTGACAGTCTCCTTTCTCTCTCATACTTTGTATGGTCCTAAGAATCCTTGGTGGTAGGAAGGGCCAAGATAAACCAAGTTGAGGCTATATCCTGCTACAACTGCTATAATCCTGGTCCAACTCACAAACACCACCAGGACAATGGGACTTACTGTCTCCCAGTTTGGAGGCCCACCTAAACAGCAGTGGTGCTTGCATTTAGAGAAGACAAAATTAATCCACTTTCAGTAGTCAATTTACCAGGCTATATCAGCAGGAGAGGTTGTAGGAATCCACAGCTCTCAAGAAGCTCTTAATAAATAGATTGGATTCACATATTTATATAAAATAAACACACACGCTAGAACTTCTTCCTTTTTACTTTAACATATCCAGTTTACCACTTTGTTCCTTAACTGAAATAAAATTTAGGGTGAGATTTAGACAAGCAGAAAGAATGGGGAAGAAATACTGGAAGGATATGTGTGGTAGATTTGAGGTTCAATGCCATTTTAGGCATGTCCTTCTGTATCATTCTATTACCATGATGTTATGATATTTGCTAATATGTGTATCTCATTATAAAATTAGTTAACGTATGGGCACTTAGAGTAGTGCTTGGCACATAGTGTGCATTCAGTGATTCTATCAGTTGAGATAGAATGGGATATGCTGCTTGAGCAGGAGACGCAAGACCCAGGTTGTTCCCAGCTACACCATCTGAAACGTGGCTTCCAAGGTCACTTTGGAGAGCACGGATTGTCTGACATGATTTGTAAGGGCTGGCATAGAAATGACTTACTTCATTTCTCCCCACATCCTGTAGGCCAGAACCTAGTCATATGGCCAATTTAACCATAAGTAAAACTGGGAACAATAGTGGAAAACACAGAGTGATGTTTAGACTGCCTAACTCTGCCACCAAAAACACTACCTATAGTAAGAATAGGAATATATATATATATATTACAATACATATATATTCCCATTGCAGCAGGTTTGCTTCCAGAACACAGGTGTCATGAAAACCACCCCTAAAAGCCAAAATGGGAAAGAAAAAGACTCATATCAACATTGTCACCATTGGACACGTAGATTCGAGCAGGTCCACCACTACTGGCCATCCAATCTACACACGTGGTGGCATCAAGAAAGAACCACTGAAAAATTTGAGAAGGAGGCTGCTGAGATGGGAAAGAGTGTCTTCAACTATTCCTGGGTATTGGATAAACTGAATGCTGAGTGTGAATGTGATATTACTCACCATTGATACCTCTGTTTGGAAATTTGAGACCAGCAAGTGACTATCGCTGTTGCCTTAGGCCACAGAGACTTTATCAAAAACGTGATTACAGGGACATATCAGGTGGGCTGTGTTGTCCTGATTATTGCTGCTGGTGTTGGCAACTTTGAAGCTGGTATCTCCAAAACCGGACAGACCTGTGATCATGCCCTTCTGCCTTACACACAGGGTGTGAAAAAACTAATTGTTGGAGTTGACAAAATGGATTCCACTGAGCCATCCTACAGTCAGAAGAGATAGGAGGAAATAATTAAGGAAATCAGCATGTACATTAAGAAAACTGGCTACAACCCAGCCACAATAGTATTTGTGTCAGTTTCTGGTTGGAATGGGGAGAATGTGGAGTTCTAATGTCCAAGCATAGGAGAAGATGGGTGTCCAGCTCCTGGGAGGAGAAAGAGGGAGAGGAAGAAAGAGAGAGAGACAGACAGACAGACAGACAGAGGGTATGTTCCTTTCCTCTCCCTTTTTGTTCTGTCCAGGAACTCAGTGACTGGATGGTGCATGCCCACACTGGGTGAGGGCAAATCTCCCTTACTCAGTTACTGCTTCAAAAACCCGTCTCTTTCAGAAACATCCTCATGGATATACCCAGAAGTGATGCTTTACCAACTGTCATGGTGTCTCTTAATCCAGTCAAGTTGACACACAAAATGAATCACCACACTCTCTATAATGGGAGAATGACCTAATTTTATTTTTCATACTGAGAGAACCACCAAAATGGCAGCAGTTGCTTCCCAGAAACCAACTAAGTGAAGGTGTAGAGTTAAAATTAAGTCTATTTAAATAAATGCAATAGATAGATAGATAGATATAGATATAGATATAGATATAGATATAGATATAGATATAGATATTTCTGAGATGGAGTCTCACTCTGTTGCACAGGCTAGAGTGCAATGGTGTGATCTTGGCTCACTGCAACCTCCGTCTCCTCGGTTCAAGTAATGCTCCTGCCTCAGCCTCCCGAGTAGTTGGGATTACAGCACACACCATCATACCTGGCTACTTTTTGTATTTTTAGTAGATACAGGGTTTCACCATGTTGGCCAGGCTGGTCTTGAACTCCTGACCTCAAGTGATCCACCCGCCTCAGCCTCCCAAGTGCTGGGATTATAAGAGTGAGCCACCGCACCTAGCCCAAGAAATGCAATATTTATTATGCACTTGAGTTTGCAGTCTGAAAGTTGAGAATTTACTCCATTAAAACATATTCTCTATTCAGAGAGAATGAAAGAGATTGAAGTGTTTTTAATTTTCAGAACTGTTTCATGGAAGTGTTAATAAAGCCTCACTGTTTGAAAGCACTGGAAGAAAAGGTTATCATGAGATACAGTCTTCTGTATGTTAGATTGCAACATAGAGATCTATTTGATAAAGGGTGGACTTGAAAATGAGTCCTACTTCATCAGCAAAGAAGTCTCCAGAATGACTGTGCTCTTGCACTCACCCTCCTGGTGCCTCAGGACTACAGGTTTAGAGCTTCCAGTTCCACTATAGCACAGTGTAGACAGTATGGTTTCCTAATAAAAAGTTTTCAGCAAAATGTAGTACAAATGCAATGTTAATTGTATACATTGTGTAATACAAATACAAAATACAATGTTCCATTTTGTACTTATATAAGTTCAGAGCAATGTATTCATTTTCTCAAGATCACAAAGTAGGTTCGTGGTATTGTTAGGTGTTCTGTGAGTTTTGAGCTGGATTTTAAAGGATGAATGTGAGATTTAGATAAAGAGAAGGTGAAAAGGCATCTCAGAAGAAAGAATGGTAAGAGTAAAGGTGCAGAAGAAAGAAAACCATTTGCCAAGTATACTTAGGGCTCAATAAGCAAATCATTTGCCTGGATAAGTAGTGGGAGTGACGACTGGAATATAGGTCCAGAACAGATCACAGAGTGCTTTGAATGATGTCAAATTATGTTTGGATTTGTTTTGAAAGCTAATTTATGCATAACTTCTTTGAAGGAAAGCACCATAATCCAAATAGGAAGTTACTCTACCAGTGGATGTGGTGTTGGTTATAGGTGGAAGACTAAAACCAGGAGGCCTCTTAGGAGGGCAATGTATTTATCCAAGTGTATTTTGACTTGGATTACTATTATGGAGTCAACAATGACCCTGAGGTTCTGAGCTTACGTGGCTGAGTTTTCACTCTCTCATGTTAAGGCTGAAAGATATTTATATGTTTTCAAAATGAAACTTTGAGGTCCTGCTTCTTTTTGCTTATTTGGAAGCATCCATTCTATCTTGATTGCTAGAACATTCAGGCTTCCTTTATTCCAGCAGTGTCTGTGCCAGTGGTGGAGGCACCGATATCTTCATGGACGATTCTGTAGAATGCTTTTATGAGTTGTTTTTTTCTGCTTAGCCTCCAGGTCGGGTTCTTCAACCCTTCCAGAGATTCTATGAGCTGCCCAGTATTACCTAATACATTCCTTTTCTGCTCAATTTCCCCAGAGTTAGTTTCTGTTACTTGCAATTAAGAACTTTAACTGATTAGTTTTTCTTATTTGATGCCGTAACCCAGAGGTTAATTAGAATCACCCTCTTCCCAATAATTTACATAAGATTGATTCAAGGCCGGGCGCGGTGGCTCACGCCTGTAATCCCAGCACTCTGGGAGGCCGAGGCGGGTGGATCATGAGGTCAGGAGATCGAGACCATCCTGGCTAACAGGGTGAAACCCCGTCTCTACTAAAAATACAAAAAATTAGCCGGGCGCGGTGGCGGGCGCCTGTAGTCCCAGCTACTCGGGAGGCTGAGGCAGGAGAATGGCGTGAACCCGGGAAGCGGAGCTTGCAGTGAGCCGAGATTGCACCACTGCAGTCCGCAGTCCGGCCTGGGCGACAGAGCGAGACTCCGTCTCAAAAAAAAAAAAAAAAAAAAAAAAAAAAAAAAAGATTGATTCAAGCCACATTCCATGGATCGTGGAAAGTCTAATGTCTTCTTCAAGATTCCTGTACATTCTGCAGGGGGCTTAGGCTCTCATGGACACCTTTGATTCAGATCTTTGGCTTCCTCTAAATCAGGATTCCTCAATCTTGGCACTATTGACATTTTAGGCTGGAAAATTCTTCCTTGCGGATGGCTAGCCTGTGCACTGCAGGATTCTTGACAGCATCCCTGGCTTCTGCCCACTTGGTGCCAGTTGCTGTCCTTCTTCCCTGCCCCATCCCAGTCCCCGTCCCAGTCAAGACAATCAAAAGTGCCTTAGGAAATTACCAGGTATTCCTTGGGGGACAAAATCACTTCTGGTTGAAAATCACTATGTCTAAATTAATTCAGTTTAGGAAATGGCATCTGTTATCCTTCTTCTCTACCAAGTCAACCTATGAGTGGAACTCAGATACTTAAAAAAACTTCCACCTAAATTTAAAAACAAAACAAAAATGTCACAAAAGTTATCTATACTGGTAGCAAACTTTGTGGAAATTTTGGAGAAATAGAGATTTTTCAGGTATTGTAGTAATTAATTAGAAAAACTGCACCAGGGACTGCTAATCTAATAGAGATTTTCCTGATGGATATACAATCAGCATCAAATTTGTTAGATGCCCGTGTTTTTAAAAAGTCTTTCAGTTATTTTTGAAACTTGATCTCTGTTCCCTGGCCACGTTTCTCACTTCTCCTCCATTGCTCTTCCCTTATTTCTACTTGCTTCTGTATTCTCTGCTCTTTCCTACCTCCAAATTCCTGTGCAATTCAAATTCAAAGTGGTTTGATTATATCTTTTATTTCTCTTTGTCAACTCATCCCCTAGGGTCTCACCTTCTACTCCTAATGGGCTTTTCAAAGTATTTTCCTATACAGAAAAGCCTCCTCCTCCATAGTAATTCTAGAAACTTCTATGATGATAGTTAAAGTTTAATATGGCTGCAGTTCTCACTATAGCTCCTCTTATATAGCCACAAGGATAGTACTAACCCCTTTTACAGGAAGGAAACTTCCAATTATCTATTGCTGCATGACTAACAACCCAAAACTTAGTGGCTTAGAACAACAACCATTTTATTATATCTCTCTTCAAATGGTATATCCACATGGCTAGCTTGGGCTTCCTCACAGCAGACCATTCTCAGACTAGTTCACTTTTGACAAAGTGGACTCCTAGAGAAAGTATTCCAAGTGACAGGAAGTGGAAGCTGCCAGTGTCTTAAGATCTGAGCCTTAAATGTCACTGGTGCCATATTCTACTGGTCAGAGTAGTCACAGAGGCTTCCAGATTCAAGGGGATGTGTGGTCATCTTTATTTTACCATAGTCTGCCCACTGGCTACAAATTAATCACATTACTCCTGCATGCAAATTACCCTCTTGCTTCATACTCACCAACCACCCCTCTCCCCACACACACTCCTTTTCAACACACACGTTTTGTCCCATTACAGAATCAGACTCAGGCTTGAGATCTAGGTTTTTTGTTTTGTTTGTTTTTTGATGGAGTCTCACTCTGTCACCCAGGCTGGAATGCAGTGGTGTAATCTTGGCTCACTGCAACCTCCCTGCCCCAGGTTCAAGTGATTCTCCTGACTCAGCCTCGCAAGTAGCTAGGATTACAGGTGCATGCCACACCCACCTGATTTTTGTGTTTTTATTACAGACAGGGTTTCACCATGTTGGCCAGGCTGGCCTTGAACTCCTGACCTCAAGTGATCTGTCCACCTTGACCTCCCAAAGTGCTGGGATTACAGGAGTGAGCCACTGTGCCTGGCTGAGATCTAGGTTTTTGACGGACAGAGAACTACAAAAAGAGCTTAAGACAGCTTGGTGTTCCAAAATTTAAGGAAAAAGTGTTTCAAGAAGAGAGTGATCAGTAGGGTCAAAGATCAAGTACCAGGAACTGCAAAGAGGAGAGCTTGAGATGTGGCCAACAGAAAGCTTGTGTTCCCTACTTTCCTTCCTTCACTACGGGTGGTGATGCCGGAGGCAGACATCTTATCTGTTTCTTTTTTATATGTAATTTTCTTTTTCTGATTATATAAAACTTGTTTCTGAAATTTGGAAAATATGGAAAATTAGTTAAAAAGAAGAAATGATGCATAGATAATCATTAAAACTTTTTTAGAATGAATTTCTCTATTCTTTATATAAACATGTATGCATATATGCACATATATACATGTCTGTATGTAGATTAGTTCCTGTTTACTCTCCTCCCTCCCCTCATCATTCAACCACCCACAAGGCCTTTCTATGTGCATTCAGGGTAAGGTTATAGCAGGAATGCAAAGAGAAAGAAATAAAACAATTATTAGCACTTAACTTTTCTAAATCGATTTTTGAAGTTTCTGGAAGAGACCTTACCCAGAGAAAAAGGATTTTGAATTTTAAAGTCTGACTTTTGTGTACAAAGGCTAAATTTTATTTTATAAATAATCGATTTTGGAAGAATGAATGATATAAGAGCTGGGATTTGATAAAATTCCACAGCTGAGCTAGGAGAGATTTGGTAAGTGTGACTGGATTTGGGTGCTGCTGTAAATCTCAGAGATGATCTCACACCTTGTGGAATGCTAGAAGTCCTAGAGTGGTGGGGATGGGAACCTCGAGTGGAGAAAAACTATACTGTGATTCCTGGGGAAACCTGAGAAGGCAGGGAAGGAGGTTCACAGAGGAGCCCCTCATGCCAGCCTGTTGCAGCGGCAGTGAGAAGAAATGGGCAAGGCCACACTCCCAATTGCCTGTGGCCCAGGAGCCTTGGGAAGGTGCTCCAGAGAGTCATTTGTCACCAGATGGTGAAGGGCTGAGATAAGGCTGAGATAAAAGTCCTGGTGGGACCACAGATGTGTGTCTCAGATGCTGCTAGCATAGTAGATACAAATTATATATATATATATATATGTATATATATATATATGTGTATATATATATATGTATATATATATATATGGCTGTGGTATTCGTTAAAGTTCATCTGTGGTATTCCTTAAAGTTTTATATATTAATCTGTGGTATTTCTTAAAGTTTTGGTCACACTGTTTAGAGTTTTGCTAAACATTATATCATGAACATTTAAACCATGTCGGTGATCTCGGCTCACTGCAAGCTCCACCTCCCAGACTCAAACCATCCTCCCACCTCAGCCCTTACTCCCCTCCCCCCAACCCCTGCCCCCCACCCCGAGTAACTGGGACCACAGGTGTGCACACCATGCCCAGCTAATTTTTGTAATTTTTTTTTTTTTTGTAAAGAAGGTGTTTCACCATATTGCGCAGGTTGGTCTCGAACTCCTGAGCTCAAGTGATCTGCCCAGTTCAGCCTCCCAAAGTGCTAGAATTACAGGCGTGAGTCACACTGCACCTGGCCTATACACATTTGTAAGGCTTCCTATTCACATGTCAAACTGCCCTCCTGCCCTTTACATTCCCATCAGCTGGTTCCATCACGTGCATGTACTAACGTCTTCAGGGACCACTCAGCGGTGCATAGTTTCTGGGTATATGAACAAACTGGAGTACGATTCTAGTAGATCAGAGGCTCTGAGAATGTCTCCACTCTTGTCCAGACCTTGAAACATCAAGTGACTGAAGCTTGCAGGCTGTCCTTTGCCACTAAACGCAGATTGAATGTTAAGACACTAGGGGGCAGAGGCGTCCCACTAAACCGAGGATGTTCTGTTCGTTTTTTAAACCTAAACTGGTTCATACCATCCATCTAGATCCAAATTCGCACATTGCTATCATGGAGTATTCAATTATTTTAACAAATTAATAAACAAAGGCAAGACTGCTGTAAGTTTAAAATAGGTAGTTCTCAATTACTGTAACAAACATTCTATTCCCACTGCTTTTTTAAAACCTGAACTTTTTATATTACAATAGTTTTAGAGTTACAGAAAAATTATGAAGATAGGATAGAGAGTTCCCATATACCCCAAACAAAGTCAGTTTCCCCTATTTTTTTAGACAGGGTCTTATTGTGTCCCCCAGATTGGAGTGCAGTGGCATGATCTCGGCTCACTGCAACCTCTGCCTCTGGAGCTCAGGCAATCCTCCCACTTTAGCCTCCCGAGTAGCTGGGACTACAGGCATGTGTTGCCTGGCTATTATTATTATTTTGTATGTTTTGTAGAGGCGGGGTTTTGCCATGTTGCTGAGGCTGGTCTTGAACTCCTGGCCCAAGCCATCTGCCTGCTTGGGCGGCTTCCTGTTTTGTTAACATCTTACATTAGTATGGTGCATTTATTACAACAAGTAAACCAAGACTGATGTGTTAGTATTAACTAAAGTCTAAAGTCCATAACTCAGTTTTCTTTAGTTTTACCTAACGTCCTTTTTATTATTATTATTATTTTATTTCACAGGCCTAATGTCCTTTTCATGTACCAGGATTCCATTCAAGATACCACATTAGATTGATGCGTTATGTCTCCTTAGGCTCACCTAGACCATGACATTTCCTCAGATTCTCCTTGTTTGTGCCGACCTTGACAGCTTTGAGGGGTATTACGTGTTTTATAAAATGCCCTTCAATTGGGGTTTGTCTGATGTTTTTCTCATGGATAGACAGGAGTTGTAGGTTTTTGGGAGGAAGACTGTAAGAGGTAAAGTGCCATGCTTATCACACCATGTTGTCAGCATGACATATCAATTTTGAAATTAACCTTCATCACCTGACTGAGCAATATTTGGTAGGTTTCTCCACTGTAAAGTTACTTCCTCCTCACCCCTCATACTGTACACTGTGGAAGGAAGTCACTACCAGCAGCCAATGTTAAGGAGTGAATAGTTATGTAGCCCTTTCTGAGGAGCCCTGTGTGCATAAGTTATCTGGAATTCTGTACGGAAGATTTATCTATTCTCCCCATTTATTTATTCAATTGTTTATTTGTATCTCTCTTTGAACTCATGGATATTTCTTTTTTTTTTTTTGAGACAAGGTCTTGCTTTGTCACCCAGGCTGGAGTGCAGTAACGCAATCTCGGCTCACTGGCAACCTCCACCTCCCAGGTTCAAACAATTCTCCTGCCTCAGCCTCTTGAATAGGTGGGATCACAGGCCCACGCCACCATGCCCGGCTAATTTTTGTATTTTTAGTAGAGACGGGGTTTTGCCATGTTGGCCAGGCTGGTTTCGAACTCCTGACCTCAGTTGACCCACCCGCCTTGGCTTCCCAAAGTGCTGGGATTACAGGCATGAGCTACCACACCTGGCCAGATACTTATTTTCTACTTTGCTTTTACAACCATGTCTGGCCAAATTTTACACCCCTTTAATAATAATAATAGCTACCAATTATTGGGAATTTATATATACACTGTGCTAAGCATTGTATATATGTCATCTCATTTAATATTAGCAACCATCCTCATGGGAGATATTATTATCCTTTGGTCCCATATGATGAGCCTGAAGCTTGTAGAGATAAATAATTTCCCCTGACCACACAACTGGTACACAGGATGCAAGCTCTGGTCTGTGAGAATTCAGAGCCTGTGGGTTTCACCGCTATGACACTGCCTCCCTGCTTTACTCAAGAATAGGATATGCTAAGAGGCTGAGTTTAATTGTATGAGGAAAAAATAAAGATAAAGACTGTGGTGGTATTAGGCCTCTATTCCAGTCCTTTATCCTTCCCTTCTGTTCACTGTCACCCTGATAGTTTCCCCTTCTGATTTGTCAATGATAAAATAAAAAATTCAATAAAAATGCATTGAGATTTTGCTAGTATATAATTTATAATTAGCATGTCATACATGGTTCTAATGATAAATAATTAAGAAATAAAATACTTTTCCTGACAAGAAATAACCTATAAATCATGTTAAGACATAGGAAAACAACAATTTAGGCATATATTATGTGGCTTACTAAGCAAACATATTTTTTTGAGACAGAGTCTCAATCTATTGCCCAGGCTTGAGTGCAGTGGTGCAATTACACAATCACAGCTCACTGCAGCCTCGACCTCCTGGGCTCAAGCAATCCTCCCAGCTCAGTCTCCTGAGTAGCCGGAATTACAGGTGTGTGCCACCACGCCTGGCTAATTTTTAATTTTTTTGTTTTGTTTTGTTTTAGATAGAAGGTCTTGCTTTGTTGCCCAGGCTTTTCTCAGACTCCTGGGCTCAAGTGATCCTCCTGCCTCAGCCTCCCAAAGTGCTGGGATTACAGGCATGAGCCACCGCACCCTGCTGGCAAAGCATATTTGTATGCGTAATTTTTAAAAAATAAACTCTCCATTTTTGAATAGTTTTAGGTTTATTGAAAGATTGTGATGATAGCATAGAGAGTTCTCATATACCCCGCACCCGATTTCCCTCATTGTTAATATCTTACATTAATATGGTTTATTTATCACAATTAAGTAACCAGTACTGGCTGGGTGAAGTGGTTCATACCTGTAATCCCAGCACTTTGGGAGCCTGCGGTGGGAGGATTGCTTGAGCTCAGGAGTTCAAGACCAGCTTGGAAACGTAGCAAGACCCTGTCAGCACACACACAAAATTTTTTTTTTAATTAGCTGAGCGTGGTGGCGTGCATCTGTCGTTCCAGTTACTTGGGAGGCTGAGATGGGAGGACTGCTTGAGCCCGGGAGGTTGAGGATGCAGTGAGCTATTGTTGCCTGGGTGACAGAGCGAGACCCTCTCTCAAAACAAAAAACAAAAAACAAAAACAAAAACAACAACAAAAAAACCAAACCAAAACAAAAACCCAATACTGCTATGTTGCTATTAACTAGAGTTGATAATTTATTCAAAATTCCTTAGTTTTTATCTGATGCTTTTTATCCTGTCCAGGATCTCACCCAGGATACTAAGTTGCATTTAGTTGTCATTTCTCCTTAGGCTCATCTTGGCTGTGACAGTTTCTCAAACTTCTTTTGTTTTTGATGACCTTGTCAATTTTAAGGACTACTAGACTGGTATTTTGTACCACGTCCCTTTATTGGGATTTGTCGAACATTTTTCTCACTATTAGACTAGAATTCTGGGCTTTTGGGAAGAAGTGCACAGAGGCAAAATGCCATTCCTATCACATTATATTAAGGATAACACACTCTCAGCATGACTTGCCACTGTGGATGTTGACCTTGATCACCTGGCTGGCTGACATAGTGTCAGTCAAATCTCTCCACTGTAAAGCTTCTCTTTTCCTTCTTTTCTATACTATACTCTTTAGAAGGAAATCACTATGAATAGCCCACAGTTAGCAAGCGTGTAGTATCTACATAAATTGTTTGAATTCTTCTGCATGAGAGATTTATCTCTTCTCGCCCATTTGTTTATTTATTCTATAACTTATTTGTATCAGTGTGGATTCACAAATATTTATTTTATACTTTGGGTTATAAAACAATACTGATATTATTTTGTTGCTCAAATGGTTCCAACTTTGGCCATTGGGAGCTCCTTCAGTTTCTCTTGTACCCATTTGACCCATCCTCATTAATTTTTTTAAGCACTTTTTTATGTTCTGGCACTACAAGAGGCTCATCTTGTATATTTGTGTCCCCAGTCCTAGATTCAGCCATTTTTCCAAGGAGCTTTTGTTCCTTTTATTGGAGAATGGCATTAGAAACAAAGATCTGGGTGCTAGGTTTATGTATACTCATGTTATCATTTATGAACAATTTTTATTCTTTCAACAGTCCTTAAAGTTATTAGTCCTATTTTGTAGGTGAACAACCTTCACAGCCTCGCACATGCTCTCCTAGCCCATTCTAGAGCCTGGCTTTAAGTCCAGGTTATGGGAGGCTACAAATCCATGCTCCTTTCAATGTGCCTAGAAATAATGGCTAAAGTGGAAGAGAAGTGTCTGTTTTTTACTGCAATTAGATGAAAGCTTTTGCATTTAGTTCCATTTTTTTCCCCTAGAGAAAGTGGCAGCTTTTTTCCTGGAATCAACTGTTTGCCAAAGTTCTTTGGTAGTTAAAAGAAAGTGGTGGTGCTTGGCTGGGCACGGTGGCTCATGCCTGTAATCCCAGCACTTTGGGAGTCTGAGGCAGGCAGATCACCTGAGGTCAGGAGTTTGAGACCAGCCTGGCCAACATGGTGAAAACCCGTCTCTACTAAAAATACAAAAAATTAGCCGGGTGTGGTGGCATGTGCCTGTAATCCCAGCTACTCAGGAGGCTGAGGCAGGAGAATCGCTTGAACCCGGGAGACGGAGGTTGCAGTGAGCCGAGACTGCGCCATTGCACTCCAGTCTGGGCAATAAGAGTGAAACTCCGTCTAAAAAAAAAAGAAAAGAAAAGAAAAGAAAGAAAGTGGTGGTGCTTCAGGTGGCTGTGTTTTACCAAAGGCACAACCATGCAGGTCTATTCTGGCTCACGGGTCAGAAGAAGGGGAGTCTGTTTGGAGGCACCTCCAGGCAGGCTTTAAACAGAACCAGGGACAATTAGATTTGGGAGAGACAGGGGCTGGTGGGGAGGAAAGAAACCAAGGATATCACTGAGATAAAAAATCCTGGAAGAAGAAAACATCCTGGTGGAGAAGAGAAAACCTAACACATGGTAGCTAAACTTCCATTTCTAAGGACAGTGCAGGGAGTTTGGTGGGTCCTTAATGAGGATTCATTTCTTGGCACCAAGTGACCATAGGTTGCTTTATTTGCATATTTTCTGTAAATTGGAGGAAATTTAAACTCTCTTACATTTCTGGGTCCTCTTCTTTGGAAATAATATTAATTCGTATCCATGGACTGCATCGGAGAGATTGTGATGCTCTTGAGGATGAGCAGGACACTTGGGCTCTAGCAGAAATTAAGCAGAACTTAACTACATGATGCTATAGCAAAATATATTTTTAATACATTTACTTTTTCTGATTATAACATTAAAGCATGTTTATTGTGGAAAACTGAATGACAGAGACAGGGGAATAAAGTAAAGAATTCTCCCTCAGAGATATTCACTGTCAGGGTTTTGTCGTATCTCTGTCTCTTTGTTTTCTTTTTTGGTTTATGCATCCATGGATAATATCAGGCTCATTTTTTATATAAAAATATGCATATCTTGTTTTTCATTTAATATTTAATTATCATTTTCAAATATTAAACATTCCTGAATATTCTGATATTTAATGGTTGCATAATATTCTATTATATGGACATAATTCAATTTGAACAATGCTGTGATAAATTTTTGTACCCAATTTGAATAAATCTGAGATGATTCACAAGAGAATTCTAAAAGTGGGATAAAGTGGTAATAACGAAAGTATCTGTTTTATAGAGTTGAAGATAGGAAAATAAGATGAGTTAACAACAGTGTTTGGTTCATGGCAAACATTCATGTTAGGTATGATTATTATACATATAATCTCTTTGATAAATATTAACAGATAATCTTCCAGAAAACTTGTTTTCATTTTTAACATATGTGTGCCATCAAATATTTTAGTAGTAACTGAAAATATTGTTAACCACAACATTAGGCTTTGTGGGTGACATTTGGGGTCAGAGACAGGGCCTTGACCAAAAGGACTGAAGATGTTAGCAAGAGACCTTCCAAAAAGTAAGTGAAAGGGGTGAGGAATGTAGTGGAAAGGAATGGTGAGGCAACTGTTACCACTGGATCTAATGGAAGTGTGACCAGGGCTCATGCTCCAATAGTGTGTGTATGAGTTTGTGTTTGCGTATATGTGTGATGTTTTAGGGATAGAGGGAAAGGGGTGCCAGGCTCTTGTGATGCCTAACATGTTCCAGGGGTTGAGAGGCCCCAGCAAAGAAGGTTCCGGGCTGCATACCCAGGAGCAGTCACAGATTCTTGAGGACAGAATATAGGGCCAATAGGTCACTGGTACACTGAGTAAGGAGGCAGGCCAGCTGCTGCTTGGACATATGAAATGTTCAGATCTGGGGAAGGTATAAGCTGGAGACCATCTGTTCTATCATAGGGGCTAAAAAGATCAAAGCAAAGAAAAACCTGGAGATCCAAATTTAAGGATAATTACTGAGGTATTAAATTCAATACGGGAAAGTGGAATTTAGGGAGGTAGCAAAAAGAGTAGGTTAGGAGAACAAGGGCAGGTCCATTACCCCAGGAGAACCATTGTCTAAAATGTATCTGAATTATCTAGGGAGAAAGAAAGCCCTTTGGCCTTCTCCTGGCAGTAGCCGCACAGGTTCGTGAGTTGAGGACTTGGGCACTGCATTCTATATCTATCAATTTTACCTACTACCTCTCATGATGCTCATGATAGTCTCATGGCCTGGCATTAATGGAGCACTTAACTCTGTGCTGAGCAGAAACAAGCAATATCACAATAATAAACAATATCACAAGAGTAGGACAATAATATCAGTTCCATTAAACAGATTAGTCAACTGAGGCTCAGAGCAGTGGAATGGTGCGTTCAACATCACATAGTGAGATAGCAAGAAACAGGAAATGAATATGTTTCTCACGACCTGTTTTTAAATACTTAACCACTTAATAGTGTTTGGTCTGCAAGCCCCCTGGCTGTCAGATTCCAGCAGATTGCTGGCTGGGGAAGGAGCTCTCTGCAGGGGAACTGAGAGCAGGGACATGAGGAAAGCAGGGACATCTCATGGCTAGACTGGGACCACTGGGTGGAAATAGGACCTGTCAATCTCAAAATCTCCTTCTAATGCCAAGATTACCTGGCTCTCATTTTCTCTTAATTGAGTAGCAGAGGTTGCCCCAAGTTAGACAGTGAGGTTGCCAGAGGTTGATTGTGAATCTCTCTCCTTCCAGTACTCTTTGATGTCCTTTCAAAGGGTCCAGAAATTCATGACCCCAATTCTCTGCTCCTATGCCCAGTAGCCTTATATTAAACTACTCCTTCCAATTTTGAGAGCACCAAAGAAAAAGTACCCCAAAATAACAGTAATTGTTTGCCTAACAGTAAATGATTGCCACACATTGATTCCCTGCTAAGCACTTTATATGCATTATTTCACCTAACTTCATATTGACTCCAGGAGATCTATTAAAGGTTAAATAATTTGTTCTAGATCAGCAGTCCTCAACCCATTTGGTACAAGGAACCAGTTTCATGGAAGACAAATTTTCCATGGACTGTTGGAGTCGGGGGCGGTGGTTTCAGGATGATTCAAACTCATTAACATTTATTGTGCACGGTATTTCTATTATTATTACATTGTAATATATAATGAAATAATTCTACAACTCAACATAATGTAGAATCAGTGGGAGCCCTGAGCTTGTTTACCTGCAACTAGACAGTGCCATCTGGGAGTGACGGGAAACAGTGACAGTTCATCAGGCATTGGAGTCTCATAAGGAACATGCAACCTAGATCCTTCTCATGTGCAGTTCACAGTAGGGTTTGTGCTCCTATGAGAATCTAATGTTGCCGCTGCTCTGACAGGTGGTGGAGCTCAGGGGGTAATGTGAGTGATGGGGAGTGGCTGTAAATACAGATGAAACTTTGCTGGCTCACCTGCTGCTCACCTCCTGCAATACCTGTCCAAGGCCTAGGGGTCGGGGATCCCTGTTCTAGATCACACTGATAGTAAGTGGCTAAGCAATAATTAGAGCCCAAACTATCTGACATTATAGCTCATACTCTTTTCTACTTTATTGAAGTTGAAATAAAATCAACTGCACATATCCAAAGTATAAAATATGTCATGGTGTATCTGTGAAACCATCACCACAGTCAAGATGACTGCAGCCTTTACTCTTAACTACTAGGCACCAGTTTCCACCTGTTAATCCTAGTTCTTACCCTGGAATCACCAGATTAGTGTCAATCCCACCTTACATGATAAACAGTCAGATACTTGATGATGACCAACCTGTACTTCCTAAATCTCCTGTTCCTTGAGATAAACATCTTCATAAGTTCCTGCAAATGCATTTCATAGGACACAGTTGAATTTCTCTTAACAGCTTGCTTACCCTCATTTAGGGATTTTGCCCAGATCATGAATATTTGCATGGTTTTCCAGTCTGCCAAATGCCATGCAGCTTTTGCCACAAGGCATATAGGCTGGAAGCAGGCCTGTAGATGGCAGCCACAAGTGCTTCTAGCAAGGCCCAGCTAGGCAGGTAGACCAGGGTGGCAAGGCCTCTGGGTTAGCCAGGCCTTTTCTGAATGCTCTTGTTCTGATAGGCTGATACTCTTCGAGCAATCCTTCAGTAAACCAGGCATAATCTTTCTTATTCTAAAAATAAGAAAGATGAATATAATGCTGTTTAATTGTGTTTTTCTCCATTTTATATTTTTTTAGGGAAGAAAACATTTCTCAAGTACTGTTCAACTTCTAATACTAATTTAGAAGTGTTAGAAGGTAACTTTTCTGGCTCTCATTTTCTCTCTTTTGAACAGCAGGGGTTGCCCCAAGTTAGACAGTGAGGTTGCCAGAGGTTGGTTGTAAATCTCTCTCCTTCCAGTGCTCTTTGATATTAGCACGTCATACATTGTTCAGATGATAAATAATTAAGAAATAAAATATTTTTCCTAACAAGAAATAGTCTATAAATAATCTTAAAGAAATAAAATAAGAAAACAACATTTTAGGTATATATTCGGTGGTTTACAAAGCAAACTTTTTTTTTGAGACACTCTCAGTCTATTGCCCAGGCTGGAGTGCAGTGGCGCAATTACACAATCACAGCTGACTGCAGCCTTGACCTTGCAAGCTCAAGTAATCCTCCCAGCTCAGCCTTCTGAGTAGCCAGGATTACAGGCATGTGCCACCTCACCTGGCTAAAGTGGATGAAATCAGTATGTGTTGATCATTTACTGTTAAGCAGTGATTGATATTTGTGGGTACTTTGGTTTCTGTGGACTTCTTAACATTGGAATGAGTAGTTAGTAAAAGGATACTAGGCCTAGGAGTGGAGATTTGGGTCCCTGAGTTTCTGGCTTTCATTTTCTCTCATTTTGGCAGGTAGATTAGGCTGGTGAGATCTGTGGGTTAGCCAGGCCTTCTCTGCATTCCCTTGTCCTGATGGGCTGACACTCTTCAAGCAATCCTTCAGTAAACCAGGTATAATCTTTCCTGTTCTTAAACAAGAAAGATTAATATAAAGCTGTTCAATTGTGTTTTTCCCCATTTCATATTTTTTTGGGAAGAAAAAAATTCTCAAGTACCGTTCAACTTCTAACACTATTTTTTCCCTAAAAAATGTCTTATAATTTGTCTGACACGAGACTGGGCATGTATACAATCTTATTTGTTCTTCCAACAATACCGTATCATGGAGTAACGGGATTATATCTCATTTCAAAGATGAAAACATTGAAGCTTAGGATAATTTAGCAACTTGCCAAATTTTTCATGGCTGTCACATGATAGAGCCATAATACAACCACTATGATTTTTTAATTTTTATTGTTATTTTTATTTGAGATGGAGTCTCACTCTGTCACCAGGCTGGAGTTCAGTGGCACCATCTCAGCTCACTGCAACCTCTGCCTTCTGGGTTCAAGTGATCCTCCTGCCTCAGCCTCCCGAGTAGCTGGGAGTACAGGTGTCTGCCACCACACCCGGCTAATTTTTTGTATTTTTAGTAGAGATGGGGTTTCATCGTGTTAGCCAGGATAGTCTTGAACTCCTGACCTCATCATCTGCACACCTCGACCTCCCAAAGTGCTGGGATTACAGGCTTGAGCCACTGCACCCAGCTGACCAGTATGATTCTATATTTGAAATTGGTTTCACTGTATCTAGGGCCTGGGAGGCAAATGGCAAGGAGAACAGGGAACAGTGGCTAAAATCCCTAGTCTATGGACTCTTTTGTTTAAATATCCACCTATATATTACATCGCACACACAGATATTTCCCATTTTTACAAAAATGCCTGATGAATGCATTTAATAATATAGTGCATTTAATCATATAATAATAGCATTCTATAACAACTTGCAGTTAATGTATCGTGGACATCTTGCTATGACAATAGATCTACTTTATTCTTTTATTTTCCTTTTTATTTTTAAAGTAGTATAAGTACAACATAACCCACACTCATCAAAATGTAGTTTTTTTTTGTTTGTTTGTTTCCACCCCAGGGATTCAGGTTTGCTAGGTCTGGGTTTGGTAGCTCTCCGGGACCAGAGTATGTGGGGTCCAGGAGAGCTTCCAGGGTGACTGACACACACCACTGGTGAGGAACTACTGCTATTCTCTGCCATGTACTCTGGGGTCAATGAGATATGAACAAACAGAGCAACCAACAAAGCTTGCAGCTAGCCAACAGCAAAGCTCCCTGGTGCCAGAGAAAGGCTGGATGAAAGGAGGAGAGGATTGGACTCCATTTCCCGCGGAGGGAGAAGTACAGTGATGATCCCATGGTAGACATAGGTAGTCCGGTTGCGTGTTTCATAGGGGTGTGTAAAAAAGAGGCATGTGAAAAGACAGTGACAGCCCCCAAAGACCTCCATTGGGACAGAGATTAGATTGGAAGCTGGGGGGCTTATTTTAAAGTTACATTTGCATGGTAAGCACAGTTTTATTAAGATTGCTTATTTGAAGTGCTTTGGCAGGGTTGATGGACTGTGGGAGAGCTGAGAAACCTCAGAGATCCCCTCTGATGCCACACTAACTGGGAGAGGGTCTGAGTACTAGGAGGTGCATTAGTTCTATCTTATTACTTTCCTTTTTCCATTAGTAAATAACATTTCCCATTACCAGTTTGCTTAGGACACTGAACGACATGTACAGTACACAAATAAGAGCTCTGAATTTCTTTTGTCATTAATTTCAGTTTCACCCCTCTCTCAAAATATCATTGATTGATCCACTTGAGAGTCTCCTCCCTTTTGTGGAGCATCTTACTTGCTGATGAAAGAGGTAACCAGCATAAATAATCCTAAGTGGACTTTTGGAAGAATGGCAAGCAGAGAGGCCCAGTGGAGCCCCAGCCTTGCCGCTTTCTTCATCTGCACCAGGAACCTGTTCTTGATTTTCCCCAGGGGCCTCAGCCCAGTTCCTGGGTCATCCCAGGCCCACAGCAAGGGCACTGAATCCAGCCCAGCGTTGCTCTCTGCAGCTCAGCACCCAGCCACACTCTTGGTTAGTCTGCCCAGAGGCAGTGCCCTGATTCTGTTAATTGGGCTCTTGCCTCATTCCCAAGCCTGAGGTCCCCTGTGGGTACTACTGTTCCTAAGTTCCTGCCTGGCAGCCTGTCTTGAGCCCCAGATTTTTCCTAGGAGTGAAGAAGCCTTTCCCATGCCAGGCTCCCACTCGGAATTGGAACGCTGCCTCAGGCCCGAGGTTTCTGATTGGAGCTTAGCCACTAGAGGACAGACTCCATGGAGCCAGCTTCCTGTCTGGATTTCCAAGTATCACCTGCCCCATGGCTGGACTCTAACTGCTTGTTGGGAACATTTCTGCTTCTGTCTTATGGCCTTTCTCTCTTTCCCCCTTGGCCAACTGCTCCCCTGAGCTGTAAGCAGAAATTGCTGTGAGCTTCAATTGCCTGGTAGATTAAATTTCCTTTGCAAGCACCTGCAGTGTCATCAGCTCCCCAAGCACAGATTTTCACCCCAGTGGGTGGGCCCAATGCTATGTCCTAAGCCCTCTGGATCATGCCTAAGTAATGGGATGTGCTGTACAATTCAGTGATATGGCCATGGCTTTACACAATTGGTGGGTTCTGGAAAAGTTCTATTGAAATCTATGCTTGGCAAATGAAGTCCTCGTAAATATTCTAGAGATACTGTTTCAAAGTATCCTATTCTAATCCCTTTACAAAAAGTGAGTAGCAGCCGGGCATGGTGGCTGACACCTGTCATCCCAGCACTTTGGGAGACAGAGGTGGGTGGATGGCTTTTGCTCAGGGTTCAAGACCAGCCTGGGCAACATGTTTTTTGTCTTTACAAAAAACAAGAACAAAAATTAGTTGGGCATGGTGGCTCTTGCCTGTAGTCCCAACTGCTTGAGAGGCTGAGGTGGCAGGATCCCTTGGGCCTATGAGATTGAGGGTGCAGTGAACCATGATTGCACCTCTGCACTCCAGTCTGGGTGACAGAGCGAGACCCTGTCTCAAAAAAAAAAAAGTGAGTAGCAATATGATGTTGTGTGAAGTATATCATATATAAGACTTGAGAGTTTTAGCTTTCGCAGATTGTGATCTTGGACAAATCGTTACACAGTCATCCAGTAACTTTTTTCTCACCGAAGAAACAATGAAAGTAACTTAGTAATTTCTAAGGCCCAGTCTAATAGTCTCTGATTGTTAATAATAGCACCATAACTTGTATTGTTTTGTATATTCAAATTTTTAGGTTAAAAGTTCTCAAAATTAAGTACACTGACATGAAGCTTCTGCCTGGGGACCATCTCTTTTGGATTTTGTTTTTATAGGTTGTCCTTAATGACCTGGAATTGTTATAACAGCTGTCAACTGAGGTAAGCTTCACAGAAGGGGAGCTGCCTTACCTCCAGAGAGCAGCTTTTAATTTCCTATTTTTGGAAATAACAGAAAGCAAAGAGGACTCTTCTGAAAGGGAAACAACAGGCCACCCCAAGGCACTGGGAGAACAGACCTGGTGCTGAACGGGGATATTTGAGAGCAAGTCCTCTGAGAAGCAGAGACAGCATCAGCCTGCTCTTTTCTTCTGTAATTAATGGGGAGTCCCTGGATCTTTGTATTAGACCCTTTAATCTAAGGGTTGCTAAATGTTTTACAAACATTAATTAATTCAATTAGACTTTGCACCACCACCTTGAGGCAGGTAATTCCTCTTTGGGATATGGCATCTTTGCTTGCTACCACAGACTATTTTAGAGCAGATTAGGATAATTAATACTAAAGGTAAAGCCTTGAGTTTAGATAAAGTTCTATAACTAAAGGTCTCAAGTACTTTACAAATAGCAGATTTGTGTAATGAGGGCTGAGGAGGAAGACTGAGTCAGCTTATTGCCAGTGATGACAAGGCAGAGATATTGCACTTGTTTCAGGTTCCTCTCCATGGTAAAGACACATGACCTTGAACAGCTCTTTGTGACCTCTTTATGACTCAGTTCCTACAGCTTTCAAATGGGAGCAATGATACTACTCACCTCCCTACTTCACAGAGATGTTGCAAAAAACAATATTTGTAATATGCTGTGAGTTCTCAGATGAAAGATGGAAATTAACATATAATGAAACATTATTACCATTTATCATCACAAAACCTAAATGGGCCAGACAAGTGAAGCATCAGCATCCCCACGGCCCTGGCAGAGAAACCGGTCCTGCCATTATTTCCATTGGACATCTATTCTAGACAATCACAGAGGTTGAGAACTGCTCAGAACAACAGGCATGCTCCTAAGATAATCAAAAGCAAACCGAGATGCCAGATCAGCAGAGGTAGCTAAGTATTTGTCCTTTTTATTTTCCGTTCCCATTCTTATTTGGGAGAGAGTATTTGAGAAAAAATGAGTTCAGGGAGAGAATCAGAGAATGAACGAAGGTACTTTTCCTTTTGGACATTCCTCTCAATTCTGAGATATCAATATATGTGTATAATTTGTAGCCCCCAGAATGGGCTGTGTGCGAGCCCTCATCTGTGCTTTTGCTCTCTGTCTCCTTTGTTAATAATGCTTTCCTTTCCCACCTGTATTTATCTAGACAAGCATAAAACTCCTATCCTTGTGAGGGTTTCCTGGCCTAACTCCCTACTTGAAGTTCCTCTGTCACTCTTGTGTAATTAGCATATTATGTGGAATTTATATTTTGGTGTTGGTCTTGTTTCTTAATGGACTTAACTTTTCTGGGGCATAATTTATTAAATCTCTATTCTTCATCTATTACAGATCTGGGCATACTGAAGTTAATCAAACTAGTGCTAAGTGAATGAGTGAATGGAATCCTTCAGGAAAATGTCAAGATTAGAATTCAGACCACACCAAATCCTCATCTGCCATTCTTACTACGCCACATCACAACCCGTGAGGCACGTAGAGTATAGAATAGAAATATTGAACAGGCACAATTAAGGAAAGGGAGGGTGAATTCAAGAATAACTTTTCAAACAATGTTCCTAAGAGAAATAGAAGACTTAACTTAGAAGGTTCAAGAAAACTGTCTACATAAATACAGTATTGCATAGAAGGACTGAGTCGCTTTGGACCTGATTCCTATAATATGAGAGCACAGGCTGATCAGGAACAGTAGGGATATTTATGGAGTTCAGTTTGCCTTCCATGTTATTGTCACTCTGTGCACTAAGCTCAGACTCAGACCTGGCATTCAGGACCTCCATGCATGGCGTTGGTCCATATTTCCCTGCCACATGTCACTCCCCTCTTCTTCCTTCATGCAGCCCATGCTGCAGTGAGGCTGATGGGCTTGCTCTGAACATGACCATGTGTTTCTTCCTCTGATGATTCCCTTGCTTCAAATGCTCTTTCCTGCGGCCTTACTCTTTGTCCGAGCCTCAGCATCTCCACCTGTTGAAGCATTTTTGGCTCTTTCCAAGGCCTTTCTCAAAATGCTTCCTTCACAAAGAGGCTTTTCTGGTCATATAAATGCAAACCTCTTTGCAGAGCACTTTGGATGTGCCAAATAAATGTGTAGAAGAGGTATTAGTCCAGTAACTAGGATCACGGATTGGGAGAGCTGCATTGCCTAGGTCCGAATACTCATTCTGTCACTTACTAATGGTTTGAATGTAGGCAAATTACTTAATGTCTGCACCTGTGTTTCCTTGTCTGTCAAATAAGAATGACCAGAATAGTATCAACCACAGAGGCTTTTGTCAGGATTGTGTGCAACAGTGAGTGTAAACTGTTTAGAATTGTGCCTCATATGTGGAAGTGTTCTGTAAATGTTCTCTTTGCTTTCCCACACAACCTAGCCCTGTTTCTGGTTATGGTTATGTTTGTAGACCAAAATCACTAAATGAGGGTGAGTGCTGTCCATAAGCAGTGTTGCCATCGATAAAATCTAGATGTTTTACCAATAGAACTCCCAAGGAACCTGAGGAAACTCTCTCACTACTGGAGTCCTCAGCTCTATTGAACCAGGTTTGTGGAAAATAATTTTCCATGGACATCTGATTTTTATAAAAGCTTTTAATGTTCTTAAGGACTTACATATTTTCCTGTTCAAGTTTAGCTTAAATATTGTAGCAGCATGACCTGATTTATTTGATGGGGTAAGTTTGTGTACAGTTTCTCCTCTAGCTGTTAATCAGTTACACACTCATCTCAATCCCACAACGGTGCAAGAGTTGCCAAGTGCATTCAGGAACCCAGCCAAAAGGAAACTGCAAATATTGCCAGTGATAAACAGGAGAATGAATTACTTCTTTCTCACCTGCCCAGGAGCACTGATATAGTTTCACCACGTCACATACTAACACTCCTCAACCTCCATCAGTTGAGATGAAATTTGGAATATGCTTGTTTTATATTTTTTTCTGTACTAAATATATAATTACTGCCTAGTAAGGCTGTTAAATGTTCAGTTAGGTTTTTTTGAGGTATAATTTTTTATTGAGGTATGATTTTTAAATTTGTTATATCTCTTCATTGAGATATAATTCACATTTCATAAAATTCACCCTTTTAAAGTATAGAGTTCAGTGAGGTTTAGTATGTTCACAAATTTTTGAAGCCATCAGTAGTTCTAGAACATTTTTATTACCCCCCCCATAAACCCTTTACTCCTTATATTTTGACCTTGTGATAAAATGTTAATTTTATTTTCATTTATTTGGTTAAATTGTGCTAGCAAATTTTTGAAACCAAGAGAACTACATATATATATACACACACACACACACATACACACACACGTACATATATATTTTGTAATTACTATTACAATGGGTTTACTTAGCTTACTTTTTATGTTTATCCTATACTTCACTATTTGCTCAAGGTTTTACACATACAACATATACACACACACACATGCACACATTGATCTTGGTCACATTAGGGTTATTTGGGTCAGGTTGGAGATATCATTGCCAATGTAGCTTGAGGGACAGACAGTGGACATGGTGAAGGTAAAAATAACTATCTTTTGTGGAACACCTATTATTTCCCAGGCACTCTTTCTTAAAAGTCTGTTTTAGGACGTAGGTTCTATTATCATCATCTTTATGTTACATGTGAGGAAATAGAGGAGAATGGAGTTTGTATAACTTGTTATATCCCAAGGTAGCACAACGACCACCTAGTACAGTCCAAATTTGAACTCAGGCCTTCCAAATTTAGTGTATATGCCCTTAGCCACTATGTCCTAACACCTACTGTTCAAATGCACATTTAGTTTAATAATCCTAACAGCACTTGATCAGTGCTGTACAATGTACTTTCACAATGATCTCATTCCATTCTCTCAAAAGTCCTGTCGGGCGGTACCAGATGAGAAGAGCCGGTTCCTATAGTTAAATGATCACACAGCAAGGCCAGTGCAGACAAGCAGCTGGAATACAGGTATTTTGCCAGAGCTAGGGTAGGGGTGTGTTTCTCTACACCACATTGGGACTTCTGACAGTTTTCTTAGACTTCTGTTCCATCTCTTATAATAACAATCCACTTTCTATCATATTTGTTTGGATGTTTGAATCCTTACATCAACACGAGGGTAGCAAATATGACTTAACTTTTTTAGGTAGTCCCTGTGCTCAGGCACTGTTTATTGAATAAATGTGTAAACAAATTAAAAAAGAGTCTGGCCATATAGTCATTTGAATATTTTATTTCTAGACTTCCTTAAGTGTTGAACCATCAATATTTTAGTGAAAGGAGACTACATAGACTAGTTTGATGATACCTTTGTTCTTTTTCTACATGTGTTTCAAAAAAGTAAACTTAATTTCACATACACTTTAAATAGAATTTTTTTTGCATATACAAGGAAATGTGATTACAAATACCTTTTGAAGAGGATTAGTGATAATCTGTACCTTTTGTAAGCAAAATGAATGAGAGTACTATTAGAAACCTGTGGATTGAAGCTTTCATTCATCAAAGAAAATCTGCAGCTCTGTGCGCTTCCGCTCAACCCAATTCCTTAGGTCCTCTGAATAAAGCAGTGACCTGGGAGTTCTTGCACCCGCTCCTCACTCCTGAGAAGGGTCCTGCCAACTCTGTATTGTCCTGTTGGATTTGCAGTCAGAAGTCTGAGGCTGGCAGGCACTGGGCAGGCAATGAGTTCTTTCCCTGTAAGTTGGGCACAAAAAGATCGGCATGGGAGCAGCCTCCTTTGAGACAGCTGCTCTGAGAGAATGCAATAAGCAGGGAGCAGCCAGCAATTCCTCCTAGCAGAGGGCGACTCGTGGGAGGAGTTCAGTTTGCCAAGTATTGTCATTTGTTGAGAGAAGGTGTGTGCTCAAGGAGGAGTTTTAACCTGGAGGATCATTAACTCTTTTAGTCAGCTGAGGAGCTGCGGTGGCTCGGCGAGTTGGAGTTCATCCTGGAAGCGTCTGCACGACAAGGTCAGGGAGGAGGTGTGGAATAACTTTTTCATGGGACACTTTGAGAAGGGCCAGCACGCTCTGCTCAATGAAGGAGAAGAGAATGAGATGGTAAGATTCTAGCCACATTCCCTTCTTCCCATCCCACTTCTCAGCCTGCGAGACACACACACACACACACACACACACACACACACGCACGCATCACACACACACAGACTTTTCTAAAATTTCACTCTGGTATTACACGAGAAAAGGTCATGTTTGAGAAATCTCTCTATCCTGTAAATATAACCTCTGACAGCAGAAATTTGCTAGAATGAAAATATTGTATTCATCTTGTCAAGAATGTTTTCTTTTTAAAGAAAACAGAGAGGGAGAGAAGCACCATGCACTTTATGATTCTTGTTTGAGCCTCATTGGTATAGCCAGTTCTGTTCAAAACACCTAACAATTTTAGGAAATCCCTAATGTGAGGAGCAGTGTATTCCCTGATAGGAAGAAGCAGAAGTTCAGCAGTGAAGCAGAAGTGCAGCTGGGTCTTTGACCTTCTCTTCTCAAATGTCTTGTTCACCGAGTCTGTTGGACAGGGAAGACATGCAATATTAACAATTATCAGCCTACACACATTTCTGTTTTCTTCTAGAATTTTACTTTTGTGGCTTCCTCATTATAGAGATTGGTTACAGAAAACTTTCGGTAGTTCAGTATCTCTTTGATTTTAGATGTGCTTCTATCTTGAGAACTATAGGAAAATCAAAGATGACTTTCATGCTCAGGATGAATTTAAAACTGTATTTCTCAATTACAATATAATCAAGAGAGAGTTAGAAATATGTACTTCTGTTTAATAAGATCTTTCTGCTAATTGTGTAAGCATAGTCTTTTATGCCAGTAATGATGTAATTAAAATGTTAAAATGTGACGCTCTCATTCCATAATAGCATTTAATCTTCCTGGAATTAATATGTAAATAACAAACCTGAAAGATATTTACTTAAAATGTTTTCTTGGTTAATTGCTTTAGCCCTGACTATTACATTCTTTGTTCCTAAACTGGTCTTTCAAGTCTAATCTGCTTACCTGTTCCTATAGCAACAACATTTTTTGGACTTTCAAGAGTAGATCCCTTCTGCTATCAAAGCTGAAAAAATTATAAAGAAGTAAAATGTACATTAATTCAGGTGCCTTTCTTAACCATATCCTTTACTTCATTCAGATTTGACTGCCAAATGAATTGCCTTCAGCCCCTCCACAAATGTCACCAGAAATGGCTTGCTAGCCCACATTGGATATCATCTTTGTTTCTTTAAAGAGTTTTCTTTAGGAAGTGAATATCTCATTACTCTCGATATTAAGTTGAAAAGTTTATCTTCATCTTGAATACTCTTCACCAGAAGGCAGGGGCTCCTTCCTCTGAAACATTTTTTTTCTCTCTCATTTAGAAATACACTCACTCTTTTCCAGTAAACCCCTTTCTGCTCTCAGACAATTTGTCTTTCAAGTCTCAATAAGAATCATTTATTTTCCAGAAGACATTCATGGTTGTAGGGAAACTGTTACCTCTTCCCTAGCATACATATTCCACCAAAGCAATTTAGTTAACAGTTCATCTTCATAATGGCACCATCAGATGCATGGAGAACTCCACGTAGTTTTGTATGCAGCTGAAAGCCCAGTTAGGAGAGGCCCTTTAATATGGAAAGGGACACTGTGTTTTCTGGTAGGCAGCCATTTGGCCAGTAGTCTCAGCAGAGGTGCAGCAATTAGTATGCACTCCTGAGCTCTCCATCCTCTTCTGCCTACAGAAACCTGGCCACCTGCCTGTTGCTGTGTCTGACACTGTGTTCCTTTTTAACTCACTCCTCCATCCCTTGCCCAGAGCAGTAAACTTTAAAAATTATCAAGCTATATATATAGTCTACATATTTTGTAGTGATTTTTAGTATACACAGCATTTTCTTGGCCACTAGCTAATTTAGTTTTCCTCACAACCCTATGAGGTAGATGCTGTGATTCTAACTTTAAAGATGAGGAAATTGATGCACACAGGCTTTCCCTAAGGTTGCATCAACCAGTAAGTCCAGGAGCTGAGGCACCGCACAGGTTAGTTTAAGTTGACAGCTCTTTTGTCTCTGGACCTGAACATAGCCCACTGATACCTTTTCCAGTTCTTCCGGAGAACATTCCACTCTTAACAGAACACATTCCCTTCCTTCATAAAACAAAGCTAAGGAGAACATCAACATCCAGTCTTCTTAGATTCCCCAGCATCTGTTCTGTTATAGATAATTTGAGTTTCTTTTTTCTTCTAGATAATTCGAGTAGCTTAAATAAGTCTGTCTTCTCTGACTTCCAAGTCCAGAAATGTGTCACACCAAAGTGTTTAGTTTCATGCTTTATAATATACTTTACTTGAACCTTTGCAAACGTAATTTCTCTTGTGGTAGAAATTACTTCAAATTTCAAGAGAAAACAACATGCTAGGGTTTAGACCTCATGTCAAATAAAGAAGAATATTCTGAGGCCTAAAGATGCCTGGGATTATCTTCCATTTTGGAGTTAAAAAACCAAAAACAGGCTGGGCATGGTGGCTCGTGCCTGTAATCCCAGCACTTTGGGAGGCCGAGGCGGGCGGATCACCAAGTCAAGAGATTGAGACCATCCTGGCCAACATGGTGAAACCCCATCTCTACTAAAAACACAAAAATTAGCTAGGCAGGGTGGCGTGCACCTGTAGTCCCAGCTACTTGGGAGGCTGAGGCAGGAGTATGGCGTGAACCTGGGAGGCAGAGGTTGCAGTGAGCCAAGATCGCGCCATGGCACTCCAGCCTGGCAACAGAGCAAGACTCTGTCTCAAAAATAAGTAAATAGATAAAAATAAATAAATAAACAAGTAACAAACCAAAAGCAAACAGGAACTAAAGAGCAACCCTAGGTGACCTGAAAATAATATCTTTAACTGCGAAATGAGACAGGACCCAAAGGTAGAAAGAAGCTTTTGGAGGGAGAAGGAAGGAAAGGTGAGAAAGTGGCCTTCAGCGAAGGTTCACCTAAATGACTGCCTCAGAAAGGCTTCGAGGAGGAAACTCTGGGAGAGCACTGGGACGGGACGGGAGGCCTGGCTCTCACCGGCCTTGGGCCAGCCGCTTGCCTGCTCTAGCCTCAGTTTTTATACCTGTAAAATAGGACTGGTCCTTCTTACCCCCACCAGACTCACAGAGTTCTCATGAAGATCAGTGGAGATAATCCATATAAACATGTTTTGAGAAGTAAACAGTTCTGGCGAGGTGTGAGCTGCTATCATCTAAATAAAGGTAGGAAAAGCCAAGGGCTTAGCAATTAACCAATTGAGTAAATACTATCCCACAAAAATGAGGTCATCTCTTGCCATTCAGTTATACCAAAAGGAATATGTACTTTTTTTTTTTCTTTTTGTTACACGGAGTCTTGCTCTGTTGCCAGGCTGGAGTGCAGTGGCGTGATCTCGGCTCACTGCAACCTCTGCCTCCTGGGTTCAAGTGTTTCTCCTGCTTCAGCCTCCCGAGTACCTGGGACTACAGCTGCATGCCACCATGCCTGGCTAATTTTTTGTATTTTTAGAAGAGATGGTGTTTCACCGTGTTGGCCAGGATGGTCTTAATCTCTTGACCTTGTGATCCACCTGCCTCAGCCTCCCAAAGTGCTGGGATTATGGGCATGAGCCACCGCACCTGGCCAGGAATATGTACTTTTATTCATAGGCCGTAGAGACCACTTATAAATGGAGAGGAGCTGGGTTATCTTCTACTTACCTTGTGCATACGTTGGGAAAACACCTACCTTTTTTAGCTTCCTTATTTGTAAAGTGAGAGTATGAGAATGTCTGGGAGCACAAATCTCTTTGAGTCCTGACGTTTTGTATTTCTATTTTGAAGGAATTTAGAACCATTTCCTTATACCATGGCTGAACGAAGGTATCATGGCTTAATTGATTCTAACATTGCTCTTTAGTTACACCTTAACACAATCAATCTTTTGGGGAAGTGTTTTGTTCCAGTGAGACTTTTAAAAAGTAACGTTCCCTGATATTTTTCTCTAGGCCTTAACAAATAAGACAAAAAATAAAAAAACCTTTGAATTCTTTTCTGATTATAAAGGTAACATATGTTTATTGTAAAAATATTGAAATGGCAAATAAGGATCTAAAGAATGAAGTAAATATGCTTCATGAGTTTACCACCAGACATGTCAATAAAAAATGCAGGCTGCGCGCCATGGCTCAAGCCTGTAATCCCGGCACTTTGGGAGGCTGAGGCGTGCAGATTGCTTGAGCCCAGGAGTTCCAGACCAGCCTGGGCAACATAGTGAAACCCTGTCTATAAAAATACAAAAAAATTATCTGGATGTGGTGGTATCCACCTGTAGTCCCAGCTACTTGAGAGGCTCAGGTGGGAAGCTCGCTTTGGTCCAGGAGGTTGAGGCTGCAGTGAGCTGAGATCATATCAGTGCACTCCAGCCTGGGGGATAGAGTGAGACTCCGTCTCAAAAAAAAAAAAAAAAAAACCTAAAATTCACCACTTTCTAACTATTTTGCTCTATCTTCATACTTATCTGTGCTTTTGAGATTATTTGCACCTAATTTATCTGTATCATGGAAATACTAGGTAGTGGTATTACACAGCATGGTGCAATTGTATTTCTTCCGAACTCCTAATTCAGTGACATCACATTGGTAGCTTGAAATAAATAATGTTGGTGCTATTTATGCCACAGAAATCTGTGGATACTACAACGGGACTTCCACCCTGCCCCGCCTGAAGGCCATTTGTTAAATACTTACCAGCACATCACTGAACATATTGTTGCCTCATAATTTCCCTTTTCCCCGCTACATGTTGAAAAACAACATGAATATTGTTTTTGGATATCATCCGTTTGTTTGCATCATGGCAAAACAAGATTATTCCATTGATTTAAAAATTCTATTCTTAAAAAATATACATATACTTAGAAATATGTATCTTTTTCATGTTAGTTTTTTTTGGAGAAAGGGTCTCTGTCTGGGTTGGAGTGCAATGGTGTGATCATAGCTCACCGCACCCTCAACCTCCCAGGCACAGGTGATCCTCCCACATCAGCCTCCTGAGTAGCTGGGACCACGGGCGCATGCCACCATGCCTGGCTAATTTTCCAGTATTTTATGTAGAGAGAGGGTTTCACCATGTTGCCCAGGCTGGTCTGAAACTCCTGGACCCAAGAGATCCACCTGCCTTGGCCTCCCAGAGTGCTGGAATTATAAGCGTGAGCATCCACACCTGGCCAATATGTATTTTTTAACAAAAATGGAGTGATTCTATCTCTACTTTAAAAAAAATTAGACTTTCCATTATACTTACAAATGCTTTATGGATCTCTCTCTCTCTCTCTCTCTCTCTATATATATATATATATTTGATAATTATAGTGTCACATAACCATTTCAATGTTCAAGTTGTGTTTGGATGAATTGTGCTGTATTAGCAGGTTTCCTGTGTTGCACAGCTATTATTTCTAATTTTTTTTTTTTGCTGTGATGAACAACTTTGTACTTAGATATTTATTTATTTTTCAGATTATTTCCTTAAGGTAAAGGCCTAGAATTATTATTACTGCCTCAAAGGGGACATGCATTTTAAATTTGGATTAACACATCATGCCAAATTACCCTTCAGAAGTTATAGTTGTACCAATGTATACTCGGATTAGCAGTCTTTTTTGAGAATACTTGCTTTCTCCTCCATTCATGCTGACATTGAAAATTATCAGTCTTTTTAACTTTGGCTCATTCAGTATACAAAATTGATATTCTGTGGTTGTATTATTTTTACATTTCCTTGATTTGAAGTTGAACACATCTTTGTATGTTTATTGGCATTTATATGTTTTCAACTAGAATCTCTTAATTTTGTAACTGATATTATACCAACCAGTAGTGGGTAACTAAAAACTAGCAGTGGAAAAGCACGGTAAACTCTTTTTGGACTTCCATGTCATTTCGGAGAACCTAGTAATGGGCACATAACGTGGCAGCAGGGTGGTGTGTGGTCGTTACCACATTGGAAGTCCTGTCATGCCTTCAGCAGGAGCTAGGAACATTTTTTTCCACCAATTACTTGGCTCACTTTGATAGCTGATGTTCGTCTTTTCTTCTCTAACACCCGGGAGCAAAAGCACCTCCCCCACCTCAATAGCCACTTGTTTATTATGCTCCATGAGCACCTCTGAGTCAGTTGCCAATGTTAACTAGTGAACCCACAGATCTCATAGTGGGGGAATTGTGTTCAGGCTGAGACATTTTGTCATTTGAAATGTTCAGGAAGCTGGGCCACTGGCCAAGTCTAATGTCTTTATTCTCAATTCATTGCTGCAGAACTCCCATGAAGTCAACTCATCTTCGATATAAATTTTAGAGGAGTGAAATTTAATTGCTTCTTGAAGACAGGGACCCTGCTCAATTAACATTTTCTTGGCTTATCCCTTCCCCTTCCCATTACACCCAGAATTTAACACAGTACCTGGCACAAAAACTCCGGGCATGATAGCGTAATTGCAAGCTCTATTAACTGCAATTTTGCATTCTGAGAACAGGGATGCAGCAGAGCTCAAAAGTAGGAGTGGTTTGAGTAATTTAAAAATAAACCTAGAAAATGTTATGTTATTTATTTGGAGAGGTCAATGGTCAATAGTCTCAGGATTTTATCAATTAGTCCTCCTCTCCCCCAAGAATAACAAAAGCTTATTCTTCAGAGTTAATTAACCATACTATACTATTTTTCTATGAGATACTTTATCTTTTCATCCATTCATGTATAAACCCAACAAGTATTTAAGAAACCTCTACTTTTTGCCAGGAGTCCTCTGTGCTAACCAAGGAGGATTTTGAAAGAATAGCAAATAGCTTCTGTTTTCAAGCAGCTCACAATCGAGTGGCCGTGCTGAGTACATAATTTGCAAGACCCAGTGCAAAGTGAAAACGAGGTGTCCCTTGTTCAACAATTATTAAGAATTTCAGGATGGTGATAGCAGAGCATTAAGCCAAGTGTAGGGACCTTCTGAGCGTAGGGCCCTTCTGAGTGTGGGCCCTGTGTGACCACACAGGTTGTGTGCCCATGAAGTTGTCCCTGCAAGTTAGGAACCCAGGGCTACAAATATAATGAAAGTGTGATATAATAGGTATCATATTGAGAGCTATGCATACAGAACTGTGGGAACACAGAAGAAGGAACAATTTAGTCAAAGAAAACTTCAAGGGGAAAGATGACATTTCATTTGCCTGGAGGGTGGAGTATGATTTTGAAGAACTTTATAAGGCATTCTAATGAGTATCCTTTCCAATGATTCTCAAATATTGATCTATAGAATCAGGTGGGGGAATACACACAAAATAGATTCCTAGGTGCCATTCTAGACCTACTGAATTAGAATCTTTGATGGTGGAGCTGGATTTGGTCAGAATGATTGTGATGCCAGCCTGGATGACACAATGTGGAAGCCACTGGAAGTTTTGAAGCAGAGAGTAATATGGTAGGATATTTTAAAGGATGTTACATCATTGAGTGAGCAAAGTTGGTTGGAAGAGAGAACAGTGAGGAAGTATTTGAAATAGTCCAGGTGAGAGGAATAGGACTAAACTATATAGTCTTGTCAGACAGGACGCTGAGTAAAAAATGGATTTAATAGATATTTAAATGATAGAATTAAGAAGACTTCATAATCCAAAGACTGGGAAGTAAGAAAGAAGAGGTAACAGGATGAGTAGTTATTAAGGATGTCTCTAAGGTTCTTAGCTTGTCCAGTGAGGAAAGATGATAATGCCATTTAATCCCCAAAGGAAAAGTAGGAGCAAGCTGAGAGTAGGGATGGCAATAGTAAGAGCAAATACTTATATGGTGATTGATCTGAGCCAAGTTCGGGACTAAGAACTTTACACATAGTAATTTATTTAATCCTCTCAGCAACCCACTAAGGAACTGTCATCTCTCTTTTATGAATACGAAAATTTAGGCATAGGGAGGTTAAGTGACATTACCAGGTTCGTTTGGCAAAGTAAATGGCAGGCCATGGCTTAAGTCCTTGCCTTAAATAATGGTTTGTTGCCTCTTGTTTTTGTTAAATTTTGGAAGTGCTACTTTAGTTGCTGATGGTAGAAAAAACATTAGGGTGTAATTGAAAGAAACACAACATCAGGAGGCTGGAGACCAACATTGTTGTGTTGGCTCTAACATTATTTATTCTTACAACCATGCAGCACTTCACCTCTCTTTAACACTGGCCTATTTACAAGGTGGAGATAATGTTACCAAAACACCAGGGTTTCAGTCTAGGTCCTGCTGCTGGCTGCATAGAAAGCCAATCACTGAGACAACAAGTATTGCCAGGGAAGATGACTTTCATTTGGGTGCTGCAGCTGAGAAGATGGGAGATCAGTCTCAAATCCATATCCTGACTGACTACAATTGGGGTTTATGCAGCAGGAAAGGAATGTAAGTAACTACATTGGGTAAACAGGAATTAGGGAGTGGTAAGGAAATCATGAGGAATGAGGGACCTGGTTTCTCACTGTCTGAATGTGATGATCTGGTGAGTTTCAGTTCCTTGATACTATTCAGGAGTCCTGAGGGTGGGTTTCCTAAGGGAGGGCCAAATGTAAGTTTCAATCTTCAAGACCTGAGTCAATTTTAATATTTTTATTTTAAAAGACTATAAAGATCACTTCTATGAGACAATTGGGCCAGTTTCAATAATAATACCTTACTGGATTGAACCGAGGCTCAATACAGATGATTTCTTGGGGTCCTTGCCAAAACACACACACACACACACACACACACACACACACACACACACACACACACAATTTAAACATTTTGAAAACAGATAAAATCGCTGTGAAACATCTTAAGAAATTTAAGTAATACTCATTTTTTTTTCAAAGTGCTGTGAATTTTTTGGTCAAGGAAAGAAAAAGCATATCTGGAAACATTAAATCAAATGGGAACTGGAAATTTATGGCAGTTGTTGTGTCAATTACTCATAAATAACGAAATAAGGAGTAAATCTATTGGCAAATGATTAACAGTGCCGAACCGTATAGGGTCCTCAGGCCCATGGAAGACAGAGCACAGGAACTTGAGTTGGCACTTTGGTGAGGGAGTTAGTCATTTGCCGATGGATCCAGAAGAGATTCATTTTGGGTGCCCATTTCAAGGCTTTGTGAAGACTAGACAGAGTAGGTTGACTTGACAAATTGGCTCATAGCTACTTCTGAGTGCCCTTCATATAAACCTTGGTAAGCTGCCTGAAACCACAGGCTGGGTAGAGTTGAAAGGCAGCTCAGAATACCATCTCCTCAACTTTTCCCTCAGCCTAAGGCTATTCTTGTGGACAATGAGTACAGCTGTACCTGAAATGGCCCCTCAGAAAAAGAACAGAGAGGAGGCCCAAATGTCCTGAATGCTTTCCAGAGAAATATAATGTCCTCAGGCCAGGACACTCTGATTTCAGTGGGTACACATGCAGGGCCCTGGCTAAAACTGTAATCACTTCAGCATTTCCAGAATCTGTTGCCTTCTTGGGGGAACTATGGCTGAAGGATTTTGAAACTCTGGTACTTGAGTTTCAGAATCAGTACTTAGAAGATAATATTGTGAAAAATGCTTCATGTTTTGAGGCCAGTTCTAAAACAAAACTATCCAAGAATTAAGTTTGGGTAGATGGAGAGATCTGAGACTATCTTATTTCATGTTTATATTTAACATGTCACATTGACTTTATTTGATATATTTCTGATGAGATGAATTGAAAAATGTGTGCATATATTATGAGTTTCTCTCTTCTCTCCTGACTCAAGTGGGTTGTTAACCTCAATCTTACAAAAGGAGGCACTGAGAAACTATATAATATACCCAAATCTGGCATCTAAGAAGCAAAAAAAACAGAAATTAAGCATAGGCAGATTGACTTCAAACCTTCTGCTCATATCTCAGTGTACTTTATGCTTTTGATGTAGCCTGTTATTACCAGTACCAGTACTAGTACTGCTACATAAGCCCCACACAGTACTTATTAGTTTAGCAGTTATTTTATACTTTGGGCTTATTTTGAACTTGTGAGAAACAAAACCTCCAGATCCCTTTTTGTATAAGTCTTAAATCTCTGATCTTTTGGGCTTAGAAGTGATTAGGATCACAGGTGTTGAAATCAAATCATCTGGATACTCCTTCACTTTTTCGTCATCTATGCATTCCTGTATTGTAGAAGTGGTCTCTCTTTGTGCTCCTGTTTCTCTCCCAGTGGTATCCTCCTGGGCTTATGACTCAGTGCTAGGCTTGTAGTAGAGGTAGACAGGGTTATCTGTTGCACTTGTCCAGACTTAGTCTTAGGTAATCCCTTTGTATCTTAGCTTCAGGGAGTAGTGCTTTGTCAATATTCATATTCTCCCTCTCTGTGGCAGCCAAATCTGTCTTATACTTGTAGTTTTCTTAGGTGAGAGTTTCTTGCTTCTCCACTAGCTATTAATTTCATTTGATTTTAATGTAGAATCCTGGTTTCAGAATAGTGAATGGTAAAAGTTTTTGCCTTTATCCTTCATCCGGCTTCAATTGATTTTTGCTTGTGTCCTGGCAGATGGTTTCTTACTTAGAAGTAATTGGCCTTTGTCAGTTACTATCTCATTCCAGAAGCTTAAATAGTAGGAGAGAAGAGTCCAGAGAAGTAAGAGGGAAGTTGAGCCTGTCTCCTGGAGCCATTAGTCACCTCCTTCAGACCTATGCTGCCAAAGGGAGCTCTCTCTGATGTCCTCCTCTGCCCCCAGTCTGTCTGATGAACACCAACTGATGCTTGGGAAGAAGAGTTTCTGAGTGGATGCCAGCCTCTTTCTGAGTCTCAGACCTTTAGATATTCAAGCTAAACTGATGCTGTAGTCCAAACTTGGACTTTATAAATTTGTTAAAATTTTAGCTCATTTCTTCTTATCACTCATATGGCCAACATCACTTTCATGAGATGCAAAAGGTAAAAACATTGTTTTAACCTGTTTCTTTTTGGAAGAACTTGTTCTTTGGAATTTGGTTTACTTGATTTCCTTGAAACCTTAGCTATCTGATGAGTTCAAGAAAATTTATGACTTCGTGGATTATCTCTATTTTTTCCTGGTTGTTAGGGGGAGTGTGATGTTCTTTGTAGCATTCTACATTCAGAAGCAAAAATCCTCAAGAGAGACTTTTGAAAATCAGATAAAGTGTGTGTTAATGATTGTCCTAACCAGTTGGTTAAGATCGGCTATCAAAAGACTATATGAGGTTGGTTTGGCAAGACTAGTTTAGTGTTGCTTACTTATTCTTAGTGGTTTCTGCATTCTTTTCCATGTGCCCATTTGCCAATGGGGTTGTTTGTTTCTTATAAAAGTTCAAGTTCCTTATAGTTTCTGGATATTAGACCTCTGTCAGATAGACTGCAGACATTTTCATTCAGTCTGTAAATTGTCTGTTCACTCCGATGATGGTTTCTTTTGTTGTGCAGAAGCTCTTTAGCTTAATTAGATCCCATTTATGAATTTTTGCTTTTGTTGCAATTGCTTTTGAAGTTTTTGTCATGAAATCTTTGCCTGTGCCTATGTTTTTAATGGTATTGCCTAGATTTTCTTCTAGGCTTTTTTTTTTTTGAGATGGAGTCTTGCTCTGTTGCCCAGGCTGGAGTGCAGTGGTGCGATCTCAGCTCACTACAAGCTCCGCCTCCTGGGTTCACGCCATTCTCCTGCCTCAGCCTCCCCAGTAGCTGGGACTACAGGCATCCACCACCACACCCGGCTAATTTTTGTTGTATTTTTTAGTAGAGACAGGGTTTCACCATGTTAGCCAGGATGGTCTCGATCTCCTGACCTTGTGATCTGCCCACCTCGGCCTCCCAAAGTGCTGGGATTACAGGCGTGAGCCACCGTGCCTGGCCTCTTCTAGGTTTTTTATAGTTTTGGGTTTTACATTTAAGACTTTAATCCATATTGAGTTAATTTTTGTATAAGGTGTAAGGACAGGGTCCAGTTTCAATTTTCTGCATATGGCTAGCCAGTTTTCCCAGCACCATTTATTAAATAGGGAATCCCTTCCCCATTGCTTGTTTTTGTCAGGTTTGTCAAAGATCAGGTGGACGTAGATGTGTGGTGTACTTTCTGAGATATCTATTCTGTTTCATTGGTGTATGTGTCTGTTTTTGTACCAGTACCATGCTGTTTTGGTTACTGCAGACTTGTAGTATAGTTTGAAGTCAGGTAGCCTGATGCCTCCAGCTTTGTTCTTTTTGCTTAGGATTGTCTTGGCTATGGGGACTCTTTTTTTTTTGGGTACCATATAAATTTTAAAGTAGTTTTTTTCTAATTCTATGAAGAATGTCAATGGCAGTTTAATGGGAATAGCATTGAATCTATAAATTACTTTGGGCAGTGTGGCCATTTTCATGATATTGATTCTTCCTATTCATGAGCATGGAATGTTTTTCCATTTGTTTGTGTCCTCTCTCATTTCCTTGGGCAGAGTTTTCTAATTCTCCTTGAAGAGATTCTTCACTTCCCTTGTTAGCTGTATTCCTAAGTACTTTATTCTCTTTGTAGCAATTGTGAATGGGAGTTCATGATTTGGCTTTCTGCTAGTCTAGTGTTGGTGTATAGGAATGCTTTTGATTTTTGCACATTGATTTTGTATCCTGAGACTTTGCTGAAGTTGTTTATTAGGTTAAGAAGCTTTTGGGCTGAGATGATGGGGTTTTCTAGATATAGGATCATGCCATCTGCAAGCAGAGACAGTATGACTTCCTCTTTTCCTATTTGAATACCCTTTATTTCTTTCTCTTGCCTGATTGCCATGGACACAACTTCCAAGCTGGGTTTTATTGTTATACTTCACAAGGAGCCCTCTGATAACTCTAGGATTACACATCCCCAGGTACCACTTCAAGTGGAAAAAAGAACTTGCCTTTCTTTCAATAGTCTTAGCCAAATACTCTTTCTTCTCACTGGCTCTGACTGAATCATTTTTGCTTTTTAAATTTATTTGTGTGGCCATTGGAATACTATGCTTGTTGTCACATGCCCTCTCCTAGAGTTGGGGTCAGAGTCAACTCTGCATGAAGCACATCAGCTGCAAATAGTGAAGGGTGTAGTTTGCCAGAAGAATATTGGGGTATTGGATACTGTTACTTGGAGTGAGAAAAATGGGGTGGGGTAGTCCAAACAAACAAACAAACAAAGAAAGAAACAGAATTTCCAATCTGATGGTCAGTATATAATCAGTGAACTAACTGAAAAAATAGTATTTAAAGTTTTCAGGTCCCTGAAGGTGATTTTTTTCTCTTTTGTCAGAGATAATATCTCTGTGAAATAATCTGTAAGCAGGTTAATAATCTGTGATCGATAATCACAGATAGATAATCTGTGATCGATAATCACAGATAGATAATCTGTGATCGATAATCACAGATAGATAATCTGTGATCAGATAATATCTTTGTAAAATAATCTGTGAGCAGGTAGAAAAAGGCTTTTCAAAAAACACTATTTATTGTTCTGATTTTTTTTTTTTTTTTTTTTTTGAGAAGGAGTCTCGCTCTGTCGCCCAGGCTGGAGTGCAGTGGCTCGATCTCGGCTCACTGCAAGCTCCGCCTCCCGGGTTCACGCCATTCTCCTGCCTCAGCCTCCCGAGTAGCTGGGACTACAGGCGCCTGCCACCACGCCCGGCTAATTTTTTGTATTTTTAGTAGAGACGGGGTTTCACCGTGTTAGCCAGGATGCTCTCGATCTCCTGACCTCGCGATTTGCCCGCCTCGGCCTCCCAAAGTGCTGGGATTACAGGCGTGAGCCACCGCGCCCGGCCCTATTGTTCTGATTTTAAAAGTGAAACATGTTCAATGAATAAAATGTATAAAATATAGAAAATTATAATGTAAAAGAAGAATCACAATGATGCCGTCACCCACGGCAAATACCATTAGTATTTTGCTTGATGTATTTACTTTCCAGTCTTATTTTGTTTGTGTTCCACCTTTTTTTTCAATTAAATTTAACATCATACTGCATGATTTTATGTTGTTTCTCTTCATATGTAATTACGTATATTTCCCTCATATTAAAATACTTAATAAACATTCTTTTAATGGCTATATAATAGTATTTAATAATTGCCCTACTGATATACATTGATTGCCTTCTATTTGGCATTACTAGTAATATTGCAGTGATTATTTCTGTGTATAAATCTTGTCTTGTGTTTTGTATAAGCTAGAAGGGTTTTTTTTTTTTTTTTTTTTTTTTTTTGGCAGAGAGCCTTAGTGACCTAAAATCCTACCCTTTGGAGGTCTACACATTTGTGAGGCCAGTTTGACTTTTAATACTCCTGTCAGGAGTAAAGATCTAAGGTGGAGCTCATCTCTTCATTAGTGGCTCCGTTGTCATGAGGGATGCGGTTTGGAGGCACAGAATTGCCACATTTGCTATTCACCATCACGGAGAAGTATGAGGAAGAACTATGTGACAGACAAGTCATGAAGCCTCTCTTTCTTCAAGGAATTTCCAAGAAAGGCAGTATGTTCATTTAAAGGATCAATTATGACCAAGCAGAACATGTTACGGGGTGAATAGGGCTCTTGCAGCAAACTGCGGGGCTTCATATTTCATTTCAGAAATTTCCCATGTACCTTCTCCCTGCTGTTCCTACCCTATGAGGAATAAATAAAAGTGAAAATTCCTCTTACCTTGGTGTCGAATTCTATCTTCTGTGGTCACAATGGTAGTACTCGTTCTTTAATAAAAGCTTGATTGTGGAGGCTTTCAACCTTATGGGGAGATACATCCAATTATCTTCCTTCTGAACTATTATACAAGGTCTCAGTGCAGGAAAAAAATTAATTTTGAGTTTTAACAACATCGAAATAATTTCCCACAGAGTGTCCATGTATAAAGTAAGTGGCCAACTGAAAATAGCAAAAGAATATGCAAATATGCCTAATAATAATAATAGTTAATATGTATTGACTAACTACTACGTCCTATACCCATTGCTAAGCATTTTCATGTGATACTTTATTTTCGATTCACAATAACCCCATTAGGTAGGCACTATCACTACAGGTGCAAAGACTAACTGTTTCTGTTGTGTTCCATGGTGAGCAGGTATGTGCAACCCCATCTCCAAAGGCTCAGGGTGCTGAGAGGCTGAAGAAAGAAGCTGACAAATCTGGTTTCTCAGAAAGAAACATTTAATAGGGACTTAGGCACAGAAGCGATGTCTTAGGCAGCTGTGAGGTGGTGGATTCTTGAGCCCTCCAGAAAGTATTCTTTCTCCAGCCAGGTTTTAGGGTAGAGCATGTATCCTGTCTCAAACCCTCTTGTGAAACTCATGGCCACTGGGAAAGTTAGATAAGCATCTTTATGAGAAGTTGTCCATGCCACAGGCATAGTTTCTTGACCTTGCTGCAGGAACGCCTTGGTAGATAGGAGTCAAACATTGGCCATTGTGATGGTTTTGCTTCAAGATGGTGTTACTCTTGCCATGAACAGGTTGCTTTCCTTCATGTTGTTTCTTGATAGCAGAGGTCTGCAAACTATGGCCCTTGGGGACATATGGCCCACTGACTGTTTTTGTAAACTTTCTTTGAAAAATAGCCACCTATGGCCGGGCATGATGGCTCACAGCTGTAATCCCAGCAATTTGGGAGGCCAGGGTGGGTGGATCACCTGAGGTTGGGAGTTCGAGACTAGCCTGACCAACATGCAGAAACCCTGTCTCTACTAAAAATACAAAATTAGCTGGGCGTGGTGGCACATGCCTGTAATCCCAGCTACTAGGGAGACTGAGGCAGGAGAATCGCTTGAACCTGGGAGGCGGAGGAGGCCGTGCTCCAGCTTGGGGCACAAGACCAAAACTCCATCTCAAAAAAAAAAAAAAAAAAAGAAAAAACCAAGAAAGAAAGAAAAATAGCCACCTCCATTTGTCTGCATATTGCTTCTGCCTCCTTTTGCAGCAGATCTGAATAGTTGTGAGAGACAATATGGCCCACACAGCTTAAAACATTTTCTATCTGGGACATTACAGAAAATGTTGATTCCTGCTCATTTCCTTTTTGGTCTCATATTATTAATATTGTTATTATTATTATTAACCTTTCCTTTATTGCCCCTAGTAAAATGTTACTTACTAGAATTGTCCAAGTGCTTTCATCCACAAGTGCTGAAAGGGCCTGGGCTGAGTGGCATTGAAGGATTTGCACAGGCTGTCAGTGAAGTCAATAGATATTTACAAGCTGCTATGGCCCTGTTTAAAGCCTAGGGTTTTTTTTTTTTTTTTTAATGTGGATTCTTCCATTAACAATAAAGTTTGTGTGAGGAGCTTTCCCTTGCCTGCCCTCTGTTTTTTCCATCTCTAAAATAGATGTAGATCTCTAGGATCTGTCTGATTTGGTTACTTACCTGTCTTCATTTTGAGGTCACATGGACCTTTACACAACCAGCACAAACATTTTTTTCCAGACCTGTAAGAAGTTTCACTTGCTGGAAATAGTGCAGCCATTTATAACCAAGAGCCAATGGATCCTTAGGCTTTCAAAAGTGTTGAATTTCAGATATAAAAAATCACTTGGAGATACCTATTCCAGCTCATTTATTTCTTTAAAAAGATATTCGGAGATCCATATGCAGTTGTAAGAAATAATACAGGGAGATTCTGAGTACCCTTTACCCAGTTTCCCCCATTGGCAATGTCTTACAAAACTATAGTACAGTATCACAATTAGTATAGTGACATTGATACAGTCAAGACACAGAATGTTTCCATCACCGCGAGGAAACTCCATTTTGTTTTTTTTATAGCTACATCTCTTTCCTTCCCACCTGTATCTCCTCTGTAAGCCCCAGCAAACATGCATCTACTCTCTATTTCTATAATTTTGTTGTTTTAAGAATGTTGCATGAATGTAATTATATAGGACGTAACCTTTAACACTGGCTTTTTTTCCCCAGCATAATCCTTTGGAAATTGACCCAGGTTGTTTTGTGTATCGATAGTTTGTTCCTTTTTATTCCTGAGTAGTATTCCATGGTGCTGTGGTTGATTTAACCATTCACTCATTGCAGGACATCTTCTCAGCTGTTTCCAGGTGTGGTTTACAGATGTTTTCTCTCATTCAGTAGTTTTTCTTTTCCTCTTCTCAGCAGGCTCTTTCACAAAGCAAAGTTTTAATTTTGACAAAGTCCAATTTGTCAATTTTTCCTTTTATGGATAACACTTTTCAAGTCTTTTGCTCCTAAGATGTTTTCAAGTCTAGGAACTCTTTGCCTAGCCATACGTCCTGAGATTTTCTCCAACATTTTTTCTTAAAGTTTTATGTTTTATATTTAAATGTGTGATCCATTATGAGTTAATATTTGTGTAAGATATAAGACTTAAGTTGAGGGCATTTTTGCCTATGGATATCCAATTACTTGATGGCCATTTGTTGAAAATTCTATTTTTTCTTGCTTTTGCGTATGTGTCAAAAATCTGTTGGGTGTATCTGTGTATGTCTGTTTCTCAGTTTTCTCTTCTATTTCATTAGTCTATGTGCCAATGCCATACAGTCTTGATTATGGTACAGTTATATGATAAGTATTGAAATCAGGTGGACTGATTGTTTTCACTTCGTTATTTTTCAAAAGTGTCTTAGCTATTATAATTTATTGATTTTTTAATATAAATTTTAGCATTATCCTGTTTATATACAGAAAAATCTTAGTGGGATTTTGATAGGTATTGCATTGGATCTGGATATCAATTTGACAAAAATTAAAATCTTTACTATGTTTAGCTTTCCAAACCATAAACATGGTGTCTCTCTCTGTTTGCTTAGATCTTCCTTCATTTTTCTCATAAGCCTTTTATAGTTTTTGGCATATAAGTTCTGTAGGTGTTTTGTTAAATTTACATGTATTTCATTTCTTTGGAGTGATTGTAGTAGTATTTTTAATTTCAGTACCCATATGTTTACTACCAGGATATAGAAATACAATTAATTTTTGTATGTCTATGTTGTATCCTGTAACTGCTAAAATCACTCATTAATTCTAGAAGGTAGTTTTTGGTAGATTTTTGGGTATTTTCTACAGAGAAATGACATATGTAAACAGAGTAAGTTTTATTTCTGTATGCCTTTTATTTCCTTTTCTTATCTAGTTACAAATTCTAGAACAATGTTGAGTAAGAGTGGTGAGAGTGAACATTCTTGTCTTGTTCCTGATATTATGGGGAATAAAGTTAGTTTTTCACCATTACATATGTTACTGTAAGGTTTTAAAAATGCTCCTTATTAAGTTGAAAGAATTCTCTTTTATTTATATTTTTGAGAGTTTTAAAATCATGAATGGGTATGAATTTATCAAATGTTTTTTCTACTTTGGTGTGACCATGTGATTTTTCTTCTTTAGTCTGTTAACATGGTGGTCTGCTAAATCAATGATGATTAATTTTTGTGTGTGTGTGGCTGAAGTCGTTTTGCATCCCTGAATTAAACCCTACTTAATAATGGCTTATAAGTGTTTTAATATGTTGCGGAATTATATTTGCTAAGCATTTTGTTAAGGAAATTTGCTTCTCTATTCCTGAGGGATGTTGGTCTATACTTTTTGTTTTTTTACTGTCTTTGTCTTATTTTATTATCAGGGTAATGCTAGCTTTATAAATTGAATTGGAAAATAGTCCATCCTCTTCTACTTTCTGGAGGAGATTGCATACTAATAATATTATTTTTTCTTTCAATGTTTGGTAGACTTTTTTTTCAGTGGAACTGTATAGGCCCAGAGATTTCTTCTTTGAAAATTTAGGAAGTACAAATTCAATTTTCTTAATAGTAATAGGATTAATCAGATTATCTATTTCACATTGAGTGAAGTTGTAATAGTTTGTGTTTTTCAAGCAATTGGTTTATTTTATCTAAGTTGTCAAATTTATATGTGTAGAGTTGTTCATATTTCCTTATTCTTTTCTTGTTTTTAAATTTTCCAATATTGATGATTTGTCTCTTCTCTTTTTTTTCTCAGTCTTGCCAGTGGTTTGTCAATATTACTGATCTTTTTAAAGAACCAGCTGTTTGTTTTGATTTTCTATTCACAATTTCATTGATTTCTGTTTTTATCTTTATTATTTTCTTTGTTCTGCTCACCTTGGGCTATTTTGCTCTTCTTCTAGGTTCTTGAGAGGGGAACTTAGATTATTGTATTGGAAACTTTATTTTTTCTAATATATGCAGTTAGTGCTAAAAATTTCAGTTTCAGCACTGCTTTGAGTGTGTTCCACAAATTTTGATATACCGTGCCTTTGTTTTCATTCAATTTAATGTATTTTTTTTTGTTTTTTTATCTTGAGACTTCCCCTGTCACCCATGAATTATTCAAAAGTGTGTTGTTTAGTTTCCAGTGGTTTGGAGAGTTTTTTGTTAAATTTCTGTTATTGATTTCCAGTTCTATTCTGGTTGGAGAAGATGTTATATGACCTTAATTAATTCTTTTAAATTAGTTGAGGTCTGCTTTGTGGCCCAGGATATGGTCCATCTTAATGTATGTTCCATGAGAACTTGAAAAGACTGTATGTTCTGTTATTGTTGGCTAGATTCTTCAATAAATATCAGTTAAGTTCTGTCGGTTGATGATGTTCTTTACATCTTCTATATCCTTGTTAATTTTCTGCTTAGTTGTTCTATGAATTATTGAGAGAGAGGTGTTGAGGTCTTTGGCTTTTAGCTGGGTGTGGTGGCTCATGCCTGTAATCCCAGCACTTTGGGAGGCTGAGGCAGGTCATTCAAACTGTTTTTCTCCATATAGGTAGGTATCATTACTCTTTGGGTGCTTTTAACATTTTTTTTTTGTCTTTATTTTTTACAGATTTGACTATTATGCTTCTTTTTGTAGATTTCTTTAGGTTTGTTCTGTTTGGGGTTGACTCATCTCCTCAAATTTGTAGGTTTATGTCTTTTACCAAATTTGAGATGTTTTCGGCCATTATTTCTTTAAGTTTTTTAGTCATTTCCCCTCTCCCCTCTCCTTCTAGGATTCCAATGACATAGTAATCAGATCTCTTCTCATAGTCTCACAGACCTCTGAGGTGCTATTCAAATTTTTAAAGGCTACTTTATCTCTGTAGTTCATATTGGACAACTATTTTTGTTCTATTTTTCATTTTGCTGATTGTTTTCTCTGTCCCTCTATTTTGCTATTGAGTCCATTCACTGAGTTTTAAAATTTCAGGTAGTGTATTATTTAGTTCTAATATTTTCTTTTGGTTTTATGTATCTTCTATTACTTTTCTGAGATATTCTTTTTTTTTCATTTAAGTGTGCTTGTAATTGTTATAGTAGTTTTATAATGGCTGCTTTAAAATCCTTATCAGATAATTCTAACATCTCTCTGTTACCTTGGTGTTGGCATCTATTGATTGTCTTTTTTCTTTCAGTTTGAGATCTTCCTGGTTATTTACATATGAGTAATTTTAAACATTAAAACTTGAAACTTTTGGGTATTGTGTTATGAAACTGAATCTTATTTAAAACTTAATGTCATCGTTAGCTTCTGTTGACATAACTTCAATCAGGGAAGAATATGGCACTGCCTCATTACTCCCAGTTGTTGGTGGAAGTCCAGGTGGCCCACTCAACCTCCATTGATATTTGAAGATGGCAAGGGGTCCTTATTACTGGTGGATAAAGGTAGGAGTTCAAACTTTCCATTGGTTTTCCACTGATACCTCTCTAGCTTTAAGAATTAGGAATGCCTCACTAATGTTCCCCAGATGGTTTCCACTGATTATATGAAAGGGGGTAGTTAGGAAAGTTCTAACTCTCTACTGGGCTTCCTCTGACAACATCCCTTCGAGCACAGAGATGGAGAGGAGCCTTGTTAATGCTGGTGGGGGTGGAGGCCCAGACTCCACATGGTCTCCACTGATACCACAGGGAGTGGGGTGTTCATTACCATTTGGTAGGGATGAAAATCCCAGCTTTCTACTTGACCTTCTCTAACACTATCCTTGCAGGGAGGTTGAAAGACCTCATTACAGTCTGGTGAGGATGGAAGTTTAGGTTCCCCATTTGGTCGTTGCTGGTTAGGTGGGACCAGGTCATGTTTTTTCTGTGGTGTTTACCTAGAGTAGAGTGGTTATTGTCTTAAAGTTTTCTGTCTTACTCGGCCGCCCCTTTTCTGGACTTTTGGCTAGAGAGAGTAGGCTTTCTTTGTGGTGTTTGGTTTCTTTTTTTTTCTTTGGTCTGCTTCTGTTTCTGGATTACCAACTTCTTCTGCTCTAATCCTGGGATATATGAAACAGAACAAAAATTCAGGAAACTTTCCACTATGTCATTCATTGCTTTTTTAATTTTTTATTTTTTAGAGCAACATATGCTGGCAAAATATGTCGTTCATTTCTTAATTCCTAGAATCTCTAGCCTGTCTGCCTTCTTTCTACTGTTCTAAGCCTTCTTATGTTTGTTTTCTATATAAAATCCATGGATTTCAGTTGAACTCATTGAGAGAAATTGGAAAAAGTAAGTCTACTACTTGTTTCCAGAGGTGGAAATCTTATTTATTTATTTACTTAAAAATGTATATATTTTAGAGATGAGGTCTTGCTATTTAGCCCAGGCTGCTCTTGAACTCTTGGCCTCAAGCAATCTTCCCTCTTGGCCTCTCAAAGTGCTGGGAGATGCCAAAAAATACTTTTCTTTTTTACCTTATTTAAAAATATTTCTTTATTTTTATTTATAAAGTTTTGAAAACACAGAAAAGTATCAGGAAATAAACATTACTCATAGTTCTATCATTGTTAACATTTGGAATATTTTCTTCAAGTTTTTTCTTACACACTTTTTTTCTACATTATTGGACTCAAACTATAAATGCCTTTGTTCATCTTGACACAGTATTTCCTTATGCCATTAAAATTTATTATTAACATTAATTTGTTGATTGAATACTATTCCATTTTAAGAAGCTGTCATGATTTACTTAACTACTCCCCTGGTGTCAGATAGTTGAGTTTGTTCTGATACATGCTTATGATTTACCCTTTTGTATAAAAATATCTACAGAATTTTCATTTCAGATTATTTCCTTAAGATAGACTCCTAGAAATAATAATTGCATTACTGCATCAAAAATTATGAACATTTTTAAGACTCTTGATGGTAAATGGGCAGAACTGCTTTCCAGAAAGTCTGTGCCACTTTATGAATGATTCTATCAATTTTGTACAAGAATGCCCTTGTAACTGCCCTCTGGTCAGCTTTCAGCACTTGCCAAAAATCTTGACCAATTTAATACATAAAAATGGCAATCTTGTTTTTAGCTTTCCCTTCAGCCTTATTCAAAATCAATCAAAGTTTGGTGTAATTCAGTTTGTTGGGGGCCTATTATCTGTAAGTTTGCATACTAGATGCTAAAATGCCACAGTGAATAGAAAGAGGAAAAAGACATGTTCTCACCAGGGAGCTCAAAGTATAGGAATAGCATTGCCTAATAAGTGCCAAACAGGTGCCACTTGTCAGGCATTATGTAAGCACTTTACAGAAAACATTTAATTTTTACATTAGCTATTTGAAAGAAGAAGCATTATCTGTATGAATAGTAGTCTCCTTTTCTGTATCAGTCAGCACTTCCTAAATGCCATTGTGATAAGAATCAGCTGAGACGCTGAGCTGGCAATGCCCTGGTCCTCTGGCCTGACCCTCAGAAATTTGGGGTGATGACTCTGGAATCTGCTTTTAAAAAGTGCCCATGTGATTCTCATGCATATGGTTGGTAGTCTCACCTTTAGGCACATCAGTATAAATATTTATTATGGATTGGAAATAGGGGCTATATGATCATTGAGCAAGGAATTATTTTCTCATAATGGCCAGATAACTCATTACCTAGTGGGTAAAGCTGTTTCAACTGTTTTCAGGGCTTAGTTTATGTGGGAGACTCCAGCTTTTTACACTCTTGACTTTTCACTTACCAATAAGGAGGTTTCCCCCAAGAGAAACAGTAACTGCTGTAAAGGTAAATACATGGCAGTCACACCCAGTAAGGAGTAGCACTGAACACATTTGGACCACACACACTTGTACATCCATGCAACCCCTCTTGACATATCCCCCAGCAAAGACCTTCATGTCATCCATCTTTTCTCAGCCTTAGACAATAGCCAAACCATGTCAATTGAACAAATATCATGAGTCCCTGCAGCCTGGATGCTGTTGAGATACAAAGTAGATGCAGCTCTGTTTCTGCCTCAAGGAGCTCACATTCTAGTGAGAGAAGCGTATATTTAATTTAGCTAACTCAACCACCAACGTTACACAGAAGACAAAGTGATCCAGGTGAATTCTATCAACATTTTCCTTCCCTTCCCTCCTTCCCTCCTTCCCTCCTTCCTTCCTTCCTTTCCCTTCCCTCCCTACCTCCTCCTTCGCTCCTCCCTCCCTCCCTCCTCCCTCCCTCTCTTCCTCCCTTCCTTCCTTCCTTCCTTCCTTCCTTCCTTCCTTCCTTCCTCCCTCCCTCCCTCCCTCCCTCCCTCACTTATTGAGCCCTTATTGTGTACAAGTCCCTGTGCTAGGTATTGGTACACAAAGAAAAGTTCTATGTCTCAATATCTGGTGGGGACAGAGTTCAACGGGCTAGTGCTTTTACACCAGTATATGCAAGGTGCTGTGAGAACATAGGAGAAGCCACGACCCACTCCTGGACGGCTTCATTGAAAAGTGCTAACTGAAAGGAATCTTGATGGATGAATAGAAGTTTAACAGCAAGTCCAGATAAGGCAAAGGAGACAATGTACAAAGGTACTGAGATGTAAAGGGACAAAGCACATTCCATTCGGGGAACTGAATGTACCTTGGCAAAGCTGGAGTGCAGGGTGTATATGAGCGTGTGGTGGGGTGGGATGAGGAGAACAGAGAGTTGAGGCTGAAAAGATATTGTAGGGAAGATTAGGAAGAACTTTATGTGCTGTTCTAAAGAGATGTAAAGATTTTAAGTATGTGCCTAACCATTCTGGTTTGCCTGAAGTTCCTGGACATTAGCAATGAAATCACAACATCCTGAGAAACCCCTCAGGCAAACCAGGACAGCTGGTGACTCTAGTAGGTAAGTGAATTCAGATGTTTGTTTTAGGAAGATCACTCTGCGGCAGTGTGGACAACCTCAGAGAGAGGTGGAACTGAACCCATTGGCTCTTGCAGTGATTCCAGTGAGAATACAGGTTGAACCAATAAGGCGGTAGTATTATGGATGGAGCAAAGGAAACTAATTTGAGAAATATCTAGAAGACAATCAATAGACCTTGGACTCCTCAGCTGTTCAGGGAACGTGGGGAGAATATTAAAGGGAATGTCTAGATTTCTGAATCATACCAGTGGATGTGTAATTGTGGTGATGATGGTGATTCAGATACAGAGGAAGGTGCAGATAATGAGTTTGGTTTTGAACCTGTACCTAGTTCTGACTGAGGAGGTTTCACAAAGTTACATTTGAGTAGTACTTTTAAAGATTGCTAGAATTTTTTTTCCCTAGGAGAAAAAGTAATGAGGTTGAGACAGGATTTGAGAAACAAAAATAAAAGCAAAAACAAACAAAAACCGAAAAAAAAACCCACTTGGACAAAGGCATAGGGGTGAGAAAGCATAGGGCAAGCTTCCCTAGGAATGGTGAGTAGTTATAGGACATATTCATTTTAGGTGCAACTTTGCCCAATTTGACACTGATTAAACTGAGGAAAATGAGAGAAGGGAAAGGTATTTTGTTGCTACAAATGCAGGATAAGGAAGAACAACCCAACTGGGGTGCCATGGGTGGCCCTGGAATGCTTATAGGAATCTTAAGATATGGGTCCCTTCCCACTTCAAACAGACTTATGCATTTACCTAATCAGCACTGAGCAACTTTTTCTATGGGTGCTATTATATGAAAAAGATTTCAAAGCACTGTGCTAAGGAAATCTCGTTTGGTTTAGAGCCAAACTTAAATTGGTGTAAAATTATAACTAAATTTTTATTAGAATGCAAAGTAACAAAACAAAAATAAGGCTCCTTATAAACAAAAAATTTGGCTACTGTTATCATTCCTCTGTGGGATAAATGTAATTATTCCTAAAAAAACAAATGAATAAACAAATCATGAAAAGAAAGCAGCTGGAGATTAGGTCACTTGTCTCTTGTTTTTGTGTAACATGTGAAATTGGTGAGAGGTGTCGTTATTAGCATTTTGGCACTCTTGCACAATGACGAGTGGCCCTTCCATAAATCATCATCATGAAAAAGGGAAGGAGCTGGATTAAAACAAATGGCAAAAGTTCAATGATAATTATATGAGATGTCTGATATTTTGCCCCTTTCTTTTGTTGTGAAATATGTTCTTGTTATATATTTTATATAGTGTATATATTAATATTATATGGTATGCCTATATAAAAGTACATAAAATATTTATGTACAACTTAATGGATAATTATAAGTTGAACACACTAATTAACCATCTAGTTTAGGAAGTAGAATAATGCCAAGTCAATTTTTTTTTTTTTGGAGACAGAGTCTTGCTCTGTCTCCCAGTCTGGATTGTAGTGGCGCGATCTCAGCTCACTGCAACCTCCGCATCCTGGGTTCAAGCGATTCTCCTGCCTCAGCCTCCCGAGTAGCTGGGACTACAGGCATGTGCCACCATTGCCGGCTAATTTTCGTATTTTTAGTAGAGACGGGGTTTCGCCATGTTAGCTAGGATGGTCTTGATCTCCTGACCTCGTGATCTGCCCACCTCAGCCTCCCAAAGTGCTGGGATTACAGGTGTGAGCCACTGTGCCTGGCCCTGCCAAATCAATTTTTAAAAGCCAGTTATAGAGGACATCGGTAGGTCCATTGGTGATATTTGAATATGGTTTGGGTATTAGAAGAGCTAAAAGCTCACTGACCTGGAAAAATGGACCATTGAATAAAAAAGCAGATTGTAAAATAATGTGTATGGTATGGTTTCATTCTGGTAGAAGAAAAAGTATATGCAATGAGTTGTTAATTGTGGTGATCTCTGGGTGTGGTAATATAAAGTTTTTATTTGTATTTTTATTTTCTGATTAGTAAAATGTGCATGCATTGCTTCTGTAGTAATAAGAGCATTAAAAAATCCCCCTGAGATAACATTGTAATTGTCTTGCCCAGCATTTAATGTCTCGAATTTCCCTTCATCAGCTGGGTATGGCATCCCAGGGTATTTGAAAAAGGTAGAAATTATGGTCTTCCTTATGCCCCACTATTCTCCCAAACAATTTTCCATTCTTATCAAATCATTCATTTCCCCTTTACATATTCTAATGTCACCATTTCCACTTCTGTCCATTGGCTTGAAATTCTCTAGCATATCCAGGGCCCCTTTTCTGTCAGTCAAAACCTGAGCCATGCATCATGGCTTGATGGTGCCATCTTAAGAATTTCAAGAAACCTTCCACAAGGCTGTGCTTGAATCTAAATACAGTCATAGAAATGAATCCAATAGTCTTCGCACACTGGATAATTCTGATGCTCAGTTGATCAATATGGCACAGTAGCCAGAGTCACAGGGTGGCAGGCTAGCTCCCATTCCTGGGGCCAAGCATGGGGGTTCTCGCATGTGACATGCTCCTTCTCCCAGAGGACGCTCTGACAGTTCTTAAGCAGGTAGTCTGCACAACATGCACCAATTTGCACAAATGGTGCAACAGAAACCATTTGTATTTTTCCTTAAAGGAATATTGAATCCTGAGTGAAAACTACATGGACAGCTTTGAAGTGAAGGCAGGCATCTCAACGGACGAGAGTTATGACCTTAGACGTGCATCTGTAAGGGGGTTGCAAGCTGTCACATGTGTCATGTTCAGAAGGTTCCTATTGCTACAAGAATTACAGGTAGTTCTGTAGAGAAATACCTGCAGAGAGGGACTCAAGAGATCATTTAATTCAACCCTCTCTGTTACAGATGGACAAACAGGCCCAGACAGGGTGTATTAGTCCAGTTTCACACTGCTATAAACAACTTCCTGAGACTGGATAATTTATAAAAGAAAAGAGGTTTAATTGACTCACAGCTCCACATGGCTGGGGAGGCCTTGGGAAACTTACAATCATGATGGAAGGTGAAGGAGAAGCAAGGCATGTCTTACATGGCGGCAGGAAGGCAGGGGAGGGGGGAAGTGCTGCCCTTTTTTTTTTTTTTTTAGATGGAGCCTCACTCTGTCGCCCAGGCTGGAGTGCAGTGGCGTGATCTCAGCTCACTGCAGCCTCTGCCTCCTAGGCTCAAGTGATTCTCATGCCTCCGCTTCCCAAGTAGCTGAGATTACAGGCACATGTCACCATGCCCAGCTAATTTTTGTATTTTTAGTAGAGACGGGGTTTCACCATGTTGTCCAGACTAGTCTCGAACTGACCTCAGTTGATCTGCCCACGTTGGCCCCCCCATAGTGCTGGGATTACAGGCAAGAGCCACTGCACCCAGTCAGGAAGTGCCACACTTTTAAACCATCAGATCTCGTGAGATCTCACTCACTATCAGAAGAATTGCACAAGGGAAACCGTCCCCATGATCCAATCACCTCCCACCAGGTCCCTCCCTTGACAATTCTAGATGAGATTTGGGCGGAGACACAGAGCCAAACCACATCACAGGGGAAAGGGATTATTTAATAGCAGCGGAGTTTAGATTAAATCCCAGCCACTGATTTTTGCTTTTTCCTATACCAGCGGTTGCAAAGCTGTGGGCCGCAACTCTTGATGTCTTAAGAGTTATTGCTATGGGTCCAAGGACTCATATGACCAACAAGCATTGATGTGATCTCCATAAGTAAAAGTGGATCTCAATCATTTGAGAGTATGTGGCATTTTTTTTGAAGTGCCACAAAAATGTGCAAAAATTATATGCAACCGATTTAATAATAAAGTGAAACCTGTGTGGTCATTGTCTAAGTCAGAAGACAGAACACTGCTAGCATTCCAGAGGTTCCCCTGGAGCCCTCTCTAACTAAAGCCCATCTCTGCTGCTCTCTCCCCACCCAGAGATAATCTCTCATATGACTTTTTAAATAATTATTTCCTTGCCTTTTAAACATATTATTTTTTTCTAACTATTTATGTATCCCATAACAATATTTTTGAAGTTTACAGGATCAAAATCACACTGATTATATTATTATTATTTTAAAATTCTTTGTTATTTTACTTTAAGTTCTGGGATACATGTGAAGAACATGCAGGTTTCTTATGTAGATATACGTGTGCCATAGTGGTTTGCTGCACCTATCAACCTGTCATCTAGGTTTTAAGCCCTGCACGTATTAGGTATTTGTCCTAATGCTCTCCCTCCCCTTGCTCCCCACCCTGCAACAGGCCCCAACGTGTGTTGTGTTGTTCCCCTCCCTGTGTGCATGTGTTCTCATTGTTCAACTCCCACTTATGAGGGAGAAAATGTGGTGTTTGGTTTTCTGTTCCTGTGTTAGTTTGCTCAGAATGATGGCTTCCAGCTTTATCCATGTCCCTGCCAAGGACATGGTCTTATTCTTTTTTATGGCTGCATAGTATTCCATGGTGTATATGTGCCACATTTTCTTTATCCACTCTATCATTGATAGGCATGTTTATTGCAGCACTATTTACAATAGCAAATATTTGACTATATTATTTTGTGTTCTCATTCTTCTGATTATTATATTCCTAAGATATATCCGTATCATTTCATAAATGATATGGCCTAGCAAGCCAGGCCTAGCAAGCAGTATGCATATCTTGAAAGTTACTATAATGCCAAATTTCTTTCAAAACTAGTTTTAATCATTTATCTCTCACCAGCAATGTTAAGGAAGGGCTCCTCATACTAAGAAGGGTGGGAACCATTGCTGTATAACATGCTTTCCATTCACTTCTTTTATAAACTTCCTGTATATGGAAAAGATTCCAGACTAGCTCAACAGGGGATTTGGTTATATGGTGATTTCCAAAATGATTTCATCTACACAGGCCCTTGTTTAGGCACAAACTTTCAATGGAAGATTAATATATAAAATAGATAGACACAGAGTTGTTCTGGTTGAGAGAGACGTGTTTGTGTGCATTGGTGTGGGGTGATGAGGAGGGAACTTAGAGTCCTACATCTGGGCTTCAACCCAGTGTCTGGCACATAGTGTAATTATTAGTAGGATTACCTGAAAATGGAGCAGCCTTCCCCAGGAAGTAGAGTTTGCTTTATTGGAGGTGTGGGACCCAGGAAAGCATTTGTTATAGATGTTGTAGAAGGGGTCCATGATCAGATCATCTCTGATCTTTTCCTCTCTTAGTTCATAATAGATTTTTCATTTTCTAAAATCCTGTAGTTAGTGGCAAATGATACCCAGGGATAAAGGGAAATAATAATACTGGGGGATAAAATGTATTGCCAAAATATATTCTTCATTGGTCAAAGAGTGGAAGTGTGATTTTGGAAGGAGATCATTGCTTTTCCTGTGATTTCTCTCTGTATGTCCTTGTTTGAGAATTATCTTAAGATTTCAGCTTTCTTCTCTAAAAAATGATGAGTTCGACTAGATGTTTGCTAAACATTTATCAGGTGCCAGCACTCTATGATTGTCATTTTTGGCCTTTCTGTTTACTAGTCTATTAATATTCTTATATTCTTCCTTAGACTAGAATCCTTACAATAAAATTTGAGCCATTCATTCACTCAAAAAATATTTGTGGGCCTGCTATGTGCTAGGGATTCAGCAATCCCTGACGCATAGTTTGAACAGACAAACTGAAGCTGTTCTGCTCTTTTGAAGCTTACATTCTAACAGATTGCAAAAACATAAACAAACCAGAAAAAATCAGATAGAGATAAAGGCTCATAGAGACCTAAAATAGGATGATGTGCTAGAGACTGACTGGGTAGCTATTTTAGACTGTGTGGTCAGGGAGGTGAGATCTGACTTATATGGAGGGGCAAAACATGTCTGGCTATCACTGAGAGGTTATTAATCAGCCTGAAGTCTAATTTCCCCCATAATAATAACAACTTATATTTGAATAACTCTTTTACAACTATTATCCCATTTCATTCTCATAACAGTTTTGTGAGGTAGGCATTAGTATTCTTATTTTTTAGATATGGTAGTGACTTGTAGAATAAAATTAATAAGTGGCAGAACCAGGATTTGAACCCAACTGCTTTGTCTTTAAATATGTTGGCTTTCTCCTGTGCTACCCTCGCTTGAGTCTTTACACTGAGCAGTAAATAGGCTGCCTAGACAGGCTGGTATTCCCAGATACTGACCTCTGTATGCTCTTATTGTCTTACACCTCTCAGATTTTGAGCTGTTTTTTATTCACAATACTTCTGACATTAAATGTGTGGAGTTTTTCTCTTCCTGACACCAACCAGTTCTCCAGCTCTCTGGACACCAAATGGGTGTCCTATAATTTAATTCAATCTGACATTAACTACTCAGAGTTAGTGTCAGTCTCCACAGGTTTAAGGGCTCAGTCCTACAAGACTGTCCTCCTGCAGATGCCAGACACAAATAGGGGTTCCCAGGTTACCCACACTTCTGTCAGATTTGGCTATTAAGTTGGGAGGTTCCCATACCCCCACCCTTTCAGGTTCAATGATTTGTTAGAATTTTGGAAAACACTTTACTCATTGTCTTAGTCCATTTCATATTGCTATAGTAGGGTATCTGAAGTTGGGTAATTTATAAAGAAAAGAGGTTTATTTGGCTCATGATTCTGGTGACTAGAAAGTCCAAAGTTGGCAGCCACATTTGGGGAGGGCTTCATGCTGCTTTGACTGGTGATGGAAAGCAGAAGGGAAGTGGGCATGGGAAAAAAGATCATGGCAAGAGAGGAAGCAAGAAAGAGAAACTGAGGAAGCTAGATTCTTTTTTAACAACCGCTCTTGTGGGAACTAATGAGAGAGAGAACTCACCCCTCTGAGAGGGCATTCATCTATTCGTAATGGATCTGCGCCCCTGCACCAGACCCCTACCACTAGATTCCACCTCCCAACACAGCCGTACTGGGGGTCAAATTTCGATGTGAGTTTGGTGGGGACAAACCACATCCAAACCACATCCGAACCATAGCACTTACTATTACTGGCTTATTATAAAGGACACAAATGAATAACCAGATGAAGCACTGCATAGGTTGAGGTCTGGAAGACTCTAGCACCGGAGCTTTTGTCCCCATGGAGGGAGAGTACCATACCCTCCTGGTAAATGGTTGTGTTTGTCAACTCTGAAGCTCTGCGAATACCATCATTTAGGGGTTTTTATGGAGCTTCCACTACACAGGCATAACTGATTAAATCATTGGCCATTGGTGGTGGAACTCAGTCTCTAGCCCCTTTCCTTTCCCTAGAGGTCAGGGGGTGAAACTGAAAGTTCCAATGATCTAAAGATATGGCTGATTCCTCTGACCACCAGCCCCCATCCTGAAGGTCATCTCATTAGCATGAACTCGAATATGGTTGAAAGGGGCTCATTTTGATTTTTTTTTTTTTGAGACGGAGTTTCACTCTTGTTGCCCAGCCTGGAGTACAATGGCACAATCTCGGCTCACTACAACTTCCGCTTCCCAGGTTCATGTGATTCTCCTGTCTCAGCTGCCTGAGTAGCTGGGATTACAGGCACCTGCCACTACGCCTGGCTAATTTTTGGAATTTTTAGTAGAGACGGGGTTTCACCTTGTTGGCTAGGCTGATCTCAAACTCCTGACCTCGGGTGATCCGCGTGCCTCGACCTCCCAAAGTGCTAGGATTACAGGCGTAAGCCACCACACCTGGCTGAGAGGGGCTCATTTTGAATAACAAAATACACTCCTGTTATTCAGAACATTCCAAGGGTTTTAGTTGCTGTGTGCCAGAAACTGGAGACAAAGACAAAATATTTATTTATTATTATACTAAAGACATCATCAGAAAGAGAAGTTTTAATTTCCTCATCACATGAAAGCCTAGAAAATGCCTCTTGCCCAAGATTACCGGACAAAAAGATTAGGATGATGCCTGTAGAAACCACTGTCTGGCTATTGGGTGGAGTCCCTCTTGCCTATTTCCTCTCACTCTGTAGTTTGAAGCTTGTGAAAACCTGTTTAAGGGGAACCTACGAACCTGTCTGGGCAGCACATCCATTAGCTCAAATCTGGACAATCAACAAGTGTTCATGCACTGTCACTTGTGACACCTGCCAAACGAGAATATCAGAGAGCTAAGGAGGAGGAGGGAGTGTCTTCATGACAGGCAGCCTTGTTGGGTGAAAAGAATTTTAAATAAAAAGGACCTGGCTCTCTTACCTACTGGCTGGGTGACCGTGGGTACATTTCTTAACCTCCCCAAACGTTACCTTCCTTATTCTGATCCATGCCTGATACTACCTTCCTTACAGGATTGTGAGAATTAAAGCAGCAGATGACAAAATAGATATTTAGGGTGACTGGAACATAATAAAAAGTTATTATTTACATAAAATGTAAGTTTTCATGAACTTCAACCCAAGTTTGTGTGGGCAATTATCTACAGGGCAGGGTCTTACCTTCCTGCCTGCAGCTGATAGGTGGGATAAGTTGCTTTTCTGTCGGCCAATCTGTGTGACAAGGAGGAGTTTCCATAGGCAGTAGCTGACAACACACTGGGCTGAGAAAAGGAACCCTGAGTCAAAGGAAACTAAAGCCCCAAACACATCTGTTTAGCCTACTTCCATAATCAGACTGCAGCTCAGCTGAAATGGCCGTAGGCAGTGGCCTCTGTCACTAACTTTCTCTGGGAATGCTAACTTTAGGGTAATTATGACAGGTCCACCTGCTGACTGTGGAGGGGGAAAGATGGAGGTGCAGTTTTTTTTTTCTATTTTTCTATTTTATTAGTATTATTTTTTTAGATGCAGTCTCGCTCTGTGGCCCAGGCTGGAGTGCAGTGGCACCATCTCGGCTCACTGCAACCTCTGCCTCCTGGGTTCACACCATTCTCCTGCCTCAGCCTCCCAAGTGGCTGGGATTACAGGTGTGTGCCACCACACCCAGCTAATTTTTGTATTTTTAATAGAGATGGGGTTTCGCCATGTGGACCAGGCTGGTCTCGATCTCCTGACCTGAGGTGATCTGCCCGCCTCGGCCTCCCAAAATGCTGGGATTACAGGCATGAGCCATCGCACCTGGCTGGAGGTGCAGTTTTTAAGGGTTCAGCAAAGTTGATTTTCAAAAGCCGTATCTAGAGTAGCGTACACAAACTAGAATCCCGAAGTCCCAACCAAAGTTGTGTTATCTAACCATACACGATTAGGTTAATCGTAACATTAGAGTACTTGGAACTCCTGTAAGGCATTAACCTGACATTTTGTCATTAAATATATTCCTTGTATAGTCTACCTTTGCTCAAGGCTAATTCCTCCACTTGGAGTGCCCTTTCCTACTCTCCTTTCCCAGGTATCAAAATTCTACCAATTCTCTCCAAGTCAATTGCAAATTATTATTCTTTTGGAAAGTGTTTCCTATTAATTGTCTCAGTAGGAGATCTTCATCATTTGAAACTATTTTTTCCCTTGTGCTTTTCATATGGCATTTAATATTTTCTGCCCTGAATTATAGTTATTTTAAAACTCATCATCTCTTCTGTCAGCTCCTTGAGGGTGGAAGATTTATCTCTAGCAGACATACTTTACCCATTGTCTTAGACATAGTAGGCAATTTGAATTGAAAACTGAAGCAAAGATACTTTAAAGACTTTATGCTGGAGGTGCAGCACAGAAGCATTTTTACGATCGTTGCCTTGGTTCTTGAGCCTGACATCTGGGCCAGGTGTCATTCTATTGTTTCCCATAGCAATCATGAGAAAGAAAGTGTGGCAAGAGAAACTGGGAGTCAATGACCAGAGAGGTGACATTCCAAAGCTGGGAATGAGAGAGAAGTGACATTCCAAAGCTGGGAAGAGAATTTGATTATCATCCCAACTATCTGCCAGCTGTGGCCAGTTCATTTTGTTCCTCAGGATCCCCTCAAGGGCCACTCCTGTAACCACTGAATGGACGTAAACATTGTTAATGGAAAATGGGACTCAGCTGCATGCCAGTAGTCATTGTTGGAGATTATTATTTTTTATTTTTAATAATAATAATTTTTTTTTGCAAAGTAGTATACAAGACTGGGACTTCAGCACAATTCACACTAAAGTGATTGTGAACACACTTTTTGGACTAGAGCAGGAGACTGGAGAGTAGATATCTAACCAGTTTGTCCCTTCCAGGGCAGGCCCTTGGTTTGGCTCTGTTGAAGACAGAGAGTTTGTAAAACTCAGTCTTACCTTTAGCATCTTTTCAACTCTTGGAGACAGGCTAAAAAGAGAAAGAAAAAGCAAAAATCCTAGCACTCATTCAAGAAACCTAGACTTAGAGATTAACTTGATGTAATGCAAATGATGTGACTAGTTTAACATTTCCTAATGACCAAAGGCACAGAGCAGCATCTGGGAGTTGCTATGTTTTCTCCTTCCTCCCCTCAGTGGACTGATTTTATTTTTAGTGTCCAGGGAGATAATACAGTTAAATTTGTTGGGCTAGGAACAAGGAGAGTACGGGTTTATTAACTTCCCTTCCCTCCTTCTCTCTTGCCCTTCATCCCTCTCTCCCTCCCTTTCCCACCTTTGTCTCCTTCCTTTATTCTTTCCTTTAATATAGCCACTCATTTATATATTGATTGATTCAGCAAGTATTTATTGAGTGCCCACTACATGCAGATAATGTATGTGATGCTGGGTAAACAACGTGGGAGGAAAAAACTTGAATTGATCCTACTATGACATAAATTAAAGCCTCGTTGTAGGGGAGCAGAAAGGAGGAAACAGAAAAGCAAGCAAAAAATAGAAATTGCAGGCCAGGTGCGGTGGTTCACGCCTGTAATCCCAGCACTTTTGGAGCCTGAGGCGGCTGGATCACCTGAGGTCGGGAGTTCGAGACCAGCCTGGCCAACATGGTGAAACCTCGTCTGTACTAAAAATACAAAAATTAGCTGGGCACAGTGACGGGCGCCTGTAATCCCAGCTACTCAGGAGGCTGAGGCAGGAGAATCACTGGAACGCAGGAGGTAGAGGCTGCAGTGAGCCGAGATTGCGCCACTGCACTCCAGCCTGGGTGACAGAGTCAGAGCAAGATTCTGTCTAAAAAAAAAAAAAAAAAAAAAAAAAAAAAAATTACAAATTGCAAATTGTGAAAATTCTACAAAAGTATTATAAAGGGCACATGAGATTAAGGGCTTAATTATATAGGATGGTTGGCTGAGACCTCTCTGAAAAGCAAATATTTAAAGGAGACTGAAAGAATGAGAAATAGCAAGCCATGGGAAGACCATGAGGCAGGAAAGGGCTGGGTGAATTCAACAAAATGGAAAGAGTCCTCGTGGCTGGTACAGAGTGATATAGAGGGAAAGTGGTCCAAGATGGAGTTGGAGAGGAAGGCAGGTGGTAGATCACATGGGCAATCTGCTTTCTGTCTTAGTACCTCAGTTTCCTTATCTGTGAAATGATTTGTTGGGCTGCATTGCAACCATTACCTACTTTGTTGGTCATTTAGTATTAAGTGTCAATCCTCTTTTACCATGGGTTTCAAAATCAAAATTTTCTAGTTCTTTGGGTGCTGAAGATGTCATCCTAGGCACTAGGACCTAAAGATCTGCCTAGTTTAGGTGGGAGGAAACTAAAATGCCTAAAGCAGGTTTTATCAATCTTGGCACTATTTTGGACCAGATAATTTTTTTCTTGTGGAGGGTGGAGGTAGGAGAATGTCCTCTGCATTGTGGGGTGCTTAGAAGCATTCCTGCCTCTGAGCACCAGATGCCAGAAGTTGGGTGACCCAAAAATATCTCCAGACATTGCCAAATGTACCCTGGGAGACAAACTCTCCCTTGGTTGAGAACCACTAGTTTACAGGGTGAGACTGTAGCTCCAATGAGCAGGTCTGGCATGAGATGTGAGATGGAACCTAACATATAGCCTCAGTGTTGGGGAAAAAAGAAAGCAAGGCAGGAACCACAGAAAAGAAGTGGGCACCTGCTCATTTAGAGGGGGCATATGGTACTTGCTCTGGCTGGTTCTTTTTTCTCCTAAGACTTGAGGTACTCACAATTAGATTGTCCATAATCTTTGGTTCGTGACACACTCATATTATTTGCCCATGTTGTGTTGCATTAATTTGGTTAGCTACTTTATTAGTTCTTTATAATAATGTGCTGAACCCATCACCACAAACAAAAGCTAGGACTTTGACAATAATCTGCATGTAACAGTATGGCCTCTCATTCCTCTGCCTTTCCCCAACAGAGGCAGCCACTGTACTAAATCATGTGTTCATCATTCCCTTGCTTTCCTTCCTATATGGTTTTCTTTTATCTAGATATATCCCCCAAATAATTGAAATGCTAGCAGTTTTTAACTTTATAAAAAGGTTATGATGCTATTACAATCCTTTGCACTGACTTTCTTCACTTCCTATTCTATTACTAAGAGTCATCCATATTGATGTGTGTTGCTGGAGCTCATACATTTGAAGTGCTGTATTAAATCTCATTGTGTGGACACACCACAGTACATCTCACTCACTGATGGCATCTGGGTTATTTTCTGGGTTATATTACACATGGTTTTTTTTGCTCTCCAACTGATTACTGCAGTGCAAGAATGTGGGAACAATATTGTCACCATTTTAATTTATTTTAAGGAAAAAGTAGAAATCTTAATTTTTATGTGAAAATAACTGGGGGACAAATTTAAAGTTTTAAGAAATACCTAACAGGTAAAAAAGAAATGAGACTGTAGGTCATTCCTTTTGAGCCTCCAGTTTAAGATTTCTAGATTAGGTCATTCATGTTGAGAATTTTTCACCTGAATCTATAAGTCAAATTAACTTGGAAGAAACTTAGAAAAATGTTCTTTAGTATTTAAGAGTGGCAAAGAAGAAACTGTACAGAGGCAAGGATTTTAATAGGTGTCCAGATTGGATGAGCAGCGAGGTAAATCCATTGAAATGCATTCATTTAAAACAGTCGGTTGTAGGCCGGGCGTGGTGGCTCCCAGCACTTTGGGAGGCTGAGGCGGGCAGATCACGAGGTCAGGAGATGAGACCATCCTGGCCAACACGGTGAAACCCCGTCTCTACTAAAAAAATACAAAAAAAATTAGCCGGGCGTGGTGGCGGGCGCCTGTAGTCCCAGCTACTCGGGAGGCTGAGGCAGGAGAATGGCGTGAACCCGGGAGGCGGAGCTTGCAGTGAGCCGAGATCGCGCCACTGTACTCCAGCCTGGGCGACAGAGCGAAACTCCGTCTCAAAATAAAATAAAATAAAACAAAACAGTTGGTTGTAGTGCCTGGAAATTACAGTGAAGCATTCGCTTCACACCCACCTACTCCTGTTGTCCCAGTGTTATTATTAATAGCACCCCATTCAGGTGACAATTTATATGGTTATCTCTCCATGTAACCCTTTATTGCTCTAACCTTGTTTAATCTTAGCTGTTTGTGTGACTCTCTTCTCTACTAAACTAATGAGCTCCTTGAGACTGGAGATATTGTCTTATTTATCTCTGCGTCTAGCACATGCCTGCCATTTGGTGGACATGTAACAAACATTTGTTAAATTGAACTGAAATAAAAGAATAAAGAAGAGCATAGGAGTAGAAATGGCCAGCCCACATCATCTTCCATGTGCTGCAGAGGTCTAGACTGGAGGCCCAGTTTTGAGTTAGTTATGAGCTTTGTGGCTTGGGAAACTAATTTAATCTTTTTCAACTAAATGGGAGAATATGTATCATGTGCTTAGTGAAAGGCTATTAAGTGCCCAATAAGTGTTAGCTGCTAGCACTGTTATCAATAATTAGTTGTTAATAATCACTATTATTACTATTAAAGGTATTATAGTAACTTTGAACTTTAGTTTTCTTAATGGGGAATTAAGATAATAATTTTTGTTTACTTTATGTTGGCAATGAACACAAAGACACTTTGGAAACTGTAGAGAGCCCTCACTGCGTAGCCCAAAAAAGAATGCATAGTAACAGAGAGGTTTTTGCTATAGAACCGAGTAACTCAGGCATATTACATGGGGGCTCAACTGACTGGCAATATAAGGAAACTTTTAAATATAATATTTTAAAAAGATGAAAAAATGGCTGAGTCGGAAGGTACAAATTGATCTATGCCAAAGTGTTGAAACATAGAAAAAGCACATGGGAAAGAATGGTAGCTGGACTCAGGACAAGTAAGGAAATTAAGACTAGGGCACTGCTCTGTGTGGGATTAAGAGAGCATTGCTGCCAGTGTGTTGAGGGGACAGAGCCATTCTAGGCTTGGCATCTGGAGAGCAATGGCTTGAGCTTGGAGCAGAAGAGTATTCATGTCAGAATCTACATTCTACTTTGCAAAATTAGTTAAGAGATTGTATTTCTGAGTTAATGAGAACATTTTATCAGTTATGCCAAATTTGGACAATGCCTAAGAAAGCCATTCGGCACCTGTATGTGTTGCTAATAGTAGAAAGGAATCTAATGTTTACACACAAAAGCAACCTTCAGCCAAGCATCACAGAACCTTTCCTGGCAATGTAATCTTTATCAGGTGAGATAAAGAAGTTGATAGATTTAAAGTTTTATGTTCCAACTCCCTTGTTATCCTAAGAGACAATTCTAGCAAGAGCAGAACTGTTGACACTAGGAATTCTTGTACCTAACTGCCAATAAACTGGTGGATAGAATTTCAGGTCTATTTCAGAGACATGTGATCAAGTAATAGCAGCAACAGCCGTAGTAAATGCTTACATAGGGCAACAACCCTGTCATGTGGGTGCTATTACTATCCCATTTTATGGAAGACAAACTGAGGAATAAAGAGGTTAAATAATGTACTGAAAAATCACACGCCCAGTAAGTGGCAGAGCTAGTCTCTGAACCCAAAGAGTCTTGGTCTGGAGAATGTGCTTTTAACCAGGACACTCTACTACCTCTCAATTTTAGCTGTCATAACCAGTGTAAAGTATACCCATGACTTTGTGGGATAAAGTTGTGGGACTAAGACCATAAACTTCAGGGATGGTTTTCTATTCTATCTCAGGATTTCCTTGGAAGGAAGACGTTTGTCTAGATTATATATTTATTAGAGGTGAGACTCTTATCTTGTCTTGTATGTATCCTCTGGGGTCTAATAATATCCTCTCATGACGCATTGGTGCTCAGTAGAATGAGATGAAGTAAACCAAATAGTCCCTATGGTGTTTTCCTCTTGACATAAAATTGTTTGTTGATGAATGAGGAAGGAACATGGGAAGGCACAACTCTACCCCAAACTCCCAAGGGCAAGCTGGCATTTACTTGTTAATCCTCTTATGGTCAAATACTTTCACCCAATCCTGACTCAGATTTCAAGGCCTGGTTCTTTTCTCTCCCTCTCCTGTGTCTGCTGATCCCAGCCAAGGGAATCTCTTGGTGCTGCTGTCAGCTCGCCAGCTGACAGACCTGGATTGGAATCTTAGCAGTGGGACATTCTAGCTGTGCGGCCTTGGGCACATCATCCCATTCTGCCACTCTAAGCTCAGTCCCACCATGTATGAAATGAGGATGATTATCTCACTTCAGGGAAAACACAGGGATAGGCATGATTGGGAGAGTTAAACAAGACAGCACATCTAAACACCTAGCACAGTGCTTGGCACAGGGTATCTAGGTGCTCAAATGATAGAAACTGATTTCCTAGTTAGACTGTGACTTCCTTGCTTCCTGGGATCATGTCTTACACTTCTTTGTCAAGATTTCCTCTCCACTCTCTCCATGCCTCACCCTGCCCTCTCCTCACCCTCCTCAACTCCTTCACTCTGCCCCCATTTCCATCACTAAAATCAGTATTTGTTCATTTATTGTTTATTGTGCTTAACCAATATTTGGTATCATTTTGATTCTGTCCCAGGAGATATTTGGCTATCGGACTCAAGGCTGCCGGAAAAGTCTCTGCCTTGCCGGATCCATCTTCTCATTTGGAATCCTCCCCTTGGTGTTTTACTGGAGACCAGCATGGCACGTATGGGCACATTGTGTCCCATGTTCCTTGCAAGAAGCAGACACTGTGTTGCTGAGGACAACGGTAAGTGTGTACCTGGTTATGTCGCTGGTGCCCCCCTTTTGTTTCTGGACAATGTGTTACGGGATGGCTGGGGGGAGATGTGCACAAGACAGATAGCAGGTGGAGGCTCCAGTCTTTGGTTCCTTAGGTTTCATCACAGCCTTGCATCTAGCAGGATTTCACTAATTTGTGTATGGTCAATAGCAAAGACATGGAACAAACCTAAATGCCCATCAGTGATAGACTGGATAAATAAAATGTGGTACATGTACACCACGGAATACTCTGCAGCCATAATAAAGAACGAAATCATGTCCTTTTCAGGACATGGATGGAGCTGAAGCCATTATCCTTAGCAAACTAACGCAGGAACAGAAAATCAAATACCGCATGTTGTCACTTATAAGTGGGAGCTAAATGATAACACATGGACACATAGAAGGGAACAACACATACGGGGGTCTGTCAGAAGGTGGAGGCTGGGAAGAGGGAGAGGATCAGGGAAAACAATTAATGGGTACTAAGCTTAATACATGGGTAACAAAATAATCTATACAACAAACCCCCATGAAGCAAGTTTACTCATATAACAAACCTGCACATGTTCCCCGATCTTAAAATACAAGTTAAATTAAAAATTGTGGATGGTGAGGTTTGATCAAGAAGAGCGATTTCACAAGATATTTCTTTTAAAGTTGTGAGTTTCGTGAATGCTAGAGCAGGGAACAACCACATGTTAATAGCTAAAAATAACAGGAAATGTGAAGTAGTCAAGTCAGGCTATAGGCTACTAAGTTCACACTGACCGTTCCTCTCGATTCCTGACATATCCCACTCCCTGCACTGGAGTGACTCCTGAGGAAAAGAAGGGAAGGGGTGGGGAGCATCACTCTGAGGAGGATGCTGTCTGTCCCAGCTGATTGATGAGAGCATGTCACATTCTGCAGATACACTAGGGTAAAAAGTGCAGCCATCTTGCCCTTGAGGCCATTGCCTCTCTCTGTTAATAAAAGCCTCTGGCTTTGGGTGAGTTTCCCTGTATTTCCTTCCATACCAATTCCTTGCAGCACTCATGGCACTCGGACAATGTGCATCATCCCTGCGGGACTGTCAGCTTCTCAAAGGAAGTGAGCATTTCTAACGTGTTAATTGCTGCACCCCCAGTTCCTGCATGTGGTAGCGATTCTGTTACTATGTGGTGGCTGACAGGCTGAAGTGGATGTTTCTATTAAAGAGAGTGGAAGGACAGTCTCCTAGAGGACTCTCTTCTAGTTGACTTTTACTGAGTGTTTATAAGAATGCATCAGCCCATGGCCCCGAATGACAACCAAATTGTTGATAAATCAAACTCTGTTGGGAGTTTAGCTTCCTTTTATATATTACAATCTCTCTAGATACATATTCTATTTAATGCAGTAAGAGAGAAGGATAGCAATCAGCCTTATAACTGGCCAAAAAGAAATCTAACAGAGGTGAGGCTAAACTCCAATGAAACTGAGAACTGGAGGAAGTTGGTCTTTGTTGACTTGCTCCATTGGGGCCAGCCTCACCTTTCATTTCTGGATCTTGGTCCCTTCAAGAAATACTTGTTCTATGTTCTAGCTTAGCTGATATGTGAGCCATGATACAGGTAATAGCTGAGGCATCTTCTCACAAGTTCAACTATAATTTTACTAGAGACTCTTGGAGAATAAGCTTTAAGACTTTAAGGAAGCAAGAGGTTATTGTGGAATAAGAGCAAGTGATATTGGTGATGTTGAGCTGGAGCTGTGCTTCGTTGATGCCTCGTGTCATCCTTCCTGAAGACTCACAGGATGTGCACAAAAGAAAAGTGCCCGGCACCCCACATAAGACTTCTTCATTTGATGGGTGAGGAAATGGGGCTAGGGAGGTGACACAATTTCCCCTAGCTCACGTGTGAGTGAGGGGCCTCACCAGGACTAAGTCCCATGAGTCCTGGCTCCTAGTCAAGGGCTTTTCCATTGCACTGTACTTAGACCAGGGTTCACACACTTCAACTGGCATCAGAATAATCTAGAGAGGCTATCGGAACAGCTTGCTGGGTCCCAGTCCCAGAGATTCTAGTTCATTAGATTTGGATTGAGACCCAAGAATTTGCATTTTAACAGGTTCTCAAGTGATGCTAATGATTCTTATAAGGGGCCATATTTAGAGAAAAACTGCTGTAACTAGTTTTCACTTCCATTTGTGAGCTCACTTGTTCACTTGGTCCTTGGGAGAGAAATAGAGACCTAGACATTTGATGTATGGCTCAGATGGTATATATTTATAATCTGAAAGAGAAGAATCCAGATTTAGTAAAGTGCTATGAGTGGCCCTCCCATACATAGCCTGAGTGCCTTTCTAGGACAGGGATAAAATTTGCTTTCTGGGGCTCAGAGCAGGGGTGTGAGTATCTATGGAAGACTCCATCTTTGGGCCCTTTTATAGATCAACCCCTCCACGCGAACTTAAGAATCTATCAGATTATTATTTTCTGGCATGAACGTAATTTAACTGTACTCTACAAGTCCATCTGTATGCCCTCAACTAGTTCTCAGAGGGTAACGCTTTTGCTACAGTAGAAACAGAACCACGCTCTGCCTTGCAGGGTCCATCAGCAAGCTCTTCAGATCTCAGATGGTCTGCTCAGCTGAGCCGTGCTCTCTGAGGTGCTGGCAGAGTTATGGCACAGACAAGAATAAGAGGAAATGGGCAAGGAAATGGAAAAGGAAGGGAGGAAAATAGGTAAGAGGAAAATGAAGAGAGAGAAAAGAGAAAAAAATCCACTAAGAGTGAATTAAAAAAGAGTGTCACTAAATGAGGAGATGATGTGTTTTGGGATTTGGAGTCAAACGTTTTGATTTCTTGTCCTAGTACTTTAGGTTTGTTACCTAACTTTTTAGGACCTCAATTTCACCACTTGTAAAATGGGGCAGTGTGAGAATGAAGGAGTCAAACGTTTTGATTTCTTGTCCTAGTACTTTAGGTTTGTTACCTAACTTTTTAGGACCTCAATTTCACCACTTGTAAAATGGGGCTAGTGTGAGAATGAAGGGCTATTGTCTATGTAAAAGGCATTTGCAAACTGTAAAATGCATTGTCAAACACCACTTTGATTGTGTGTGTGTGTGTCATTGCTCAAGCCATTCCAAAAGTGTTCTATACAAAAGAGCTTGCTATGCACAAGGTGCACCCATATCTAATGGTCTTGCTTATCTGGATGACGTGCCTTTTCCTAATTACCCACGAGCCTGGCATTCCCCTCTGGGACAACGGACACGAGGGAAGGTTTTCTGTGACTGGGAGTCTCCAGCTCTCATCCATACTCAGTCGGGTGATCTCTCCTAGTTGCGTGTAGCCAGCTTTGCAAATGGACATATACTGGAAAGACTCAAAACAGCTTTGGTGCCCCTGGGAGCTTCGTTCCATCATCCTGCCTCTTTCTTTGCATCCTTGACAGTCTGTCAAGCCCTTGTCGAATTTCACTGCCCCTCCACAGCTAATCAGAGCAGTCTAAGCCGGCTTCAATCTTGCCTTTTTCATCTTGATTTCAACTTTAATTTTTAATTGCCTGCTCTTGTGTGTCATTTTAAATGGATCTGCTATGCCAGAGACTCTCCAAATAAATGAAGTTCTGAATTAGTCTTTAGGTAATTAGACAAGAACTCAATTATTTCAAACATTCTTACTATCTGAGAGTTAGATAAAAATAAGCTTTGGGCACCAATAGTTTAAAAGTTTGCTGCTAGGTTATTTGCATTAAAATGACATCTTAAAAAGATTTTATTTGAATTATATTACAATAGCTGGACTGTGATGATTTTCCATTAAGGAGGTCTGGATGACTCCTACCTGAAAATGTGTTGTATATCTGTTCTTCATGTTATTAAAAAATCAGTACTTGCTATTTATCATCAATCTCACGCTGGTAAGATTACAGATCATTATCACAGATACTGATTAGGCAGTCATTTCTTGACATTAAAAAAAAAGACGGTGATGTACTGACTGAAAGTCTACAGTACACAGTTTATTTTCAGTTCTTCTTCTCTTATTAAGGACTCTGAGAGATTTTTCCAAAAGATAAGAGTAATTAGGTTTTTATTTTATAATTTTAAAAGCAGCATTCTGTTCATTATTCATCTACTTCTGATTTTTAACCAATATCAGTAGCAATGCCACGTTTCTATGCAAATGACATGATTTATATGCATTGTTTTGAATTCAGATGCTCCTGATTTTCATAGCTTCCATCTTTATTGTAATTACAAACACATTTTCCCCCTCATTGTCATCGTAGGTTACATGTTGTCAAAGACCCGTGGTGTGCAGAGGAGAACTTTGTGATGATTAGCAATGCGGCCTGACTCAAGGCACTTCCGTTTGATGTTTTAATGGGGAGTATTTTCGCTTCAGTTTCAATTAAAGATGTCAGGGCTAGGAGCGTTAGTTCAAAAACTTAGAAACTCTGCCAATCAGCCACGCGAATGTCATCTTAAAGTCTGCCAGTGTACCAGTATTCTCGTCAGGCGGCAGCATCTGTGTTCACTGGGTCGCTTACCTCCTCTCCTCCCCGCTCCTCCTCTGCAACTTGGTCTCTCACAGCCCACGTTTCCCACACCAGGACCACTTTCTACTGGAACAAGACACTGTTTTGTGCCTGCTTTTACCCATAAAGTTTCTTCTGATAATTCCTTCTCCCCTCCATTCATGCATGCATTCATTCACTTATGTTTTCAGTGAGTTAGTATTTACCACACACCAACCATGTACCAGACATTGGCATAGGCACTGGGAATATAACTATGAGCAAAACAGATGGAAATCCTTGTCCTTACAGAGTGATTTTCTAGTGAGGAGTCAACACACACACATGCTTTCTCTTTCTCAAGTAAATGTAGAAAGTAGGTGTTGTCTCTACTTATTAAATTCTCCTCATTCCTCAGCCACATATCACCTTCTCTGTTAAGTCTTTGTTGATTCATTCTTTGCGCCAGTTCAGAAGGGAGGGAGTTAATTGCCTGTCCTGCATTAGCTCTGTGTTTTCATTTGTGACCGCTGTAGTGCTTTTTACCGTGTATTAAAATACTATTCACTTTACAGTTTATAAAGCAGTATGTCATTGATTATTTAATTCTCATAACAACCCTGGAAAATGGGCATTATCATCTCCATTTTACAGATGAGGATACAAAGAGACCAAGTGACTTTACAACCCAGTAAATATCAAAGCCAGGCTTTCCTTCCTTATATCTCTCTCTTTTTTATACATTTGAGGAGCACACATTGTATGCCAGCCAACAGTGCTGGCTCATGGGCAAGTGTGTAAGTGTGTGTGATTAATAAAACCAGGGTTCTTGACCTCATGGAGTTAATCAGATCGGTACACAAATAAATGTAAAAATCCACCTCTTAAAAGTACTCCTTAGGAAAGGCTCCAGGTTATGGTAGGATTACATAATAGAGATTTGGCCAAGTCAAAACAGTCAGGGAAGGCTTTCTGAGCACCAAAGGATAAGAGTTAAAAGGTGATGGTGGCTGCTGGGGGCAGGCACATGGAGAGTGATGCAGGTGGAGGGAATATGGGGGCAAAGAACTTAAACCTAAGACTTTCTCTAAGTCCCGAATCTTTTTTTTCTCACTGTGCTGGATTCCTTTTTGTAGCTTTTGATCCTTTAAAATTATAAGCTTTCTATTCCTGGAACTTCTCAGCTTTTTTTTTTTTTCCTGGACAGTCTAGATTATAAGCTTTTTGAAGACAGTGATTGTGGTATACATTTCATTCCCCCTGGCACCTAGCACATGGCCACAGCAGGACTTAGTTATTTAATTTAATTTAATACGTTGAATTAAGTTGAATCTATAATAAATAGTCTCACTGTTTCTACCAGAATTTTATCTCAAGGATACTAAAGTGGAATGTCACAGTTGAGAAAGAGAATATAGCATTATGTTTCTTTCAGGTACACATTCCCACTTCTGAATCCTGCTTTCCTACCCACTCCCCAACTCAGTCCCATTTCAACCTGGTCTTTCATTAGACATCTCACCACAAATCTCTGAGATTCTGTGAGCTGGCCTCTGAGAAATGACTCAATGTTAAGATAAATCGTTTTGAGACTATTATCCTTTATAATACAGGGCCATTTATATTACGATTTAACAATTTACATATAGTTGTCTCATTTGGTCCTTACCAGTAGAGATTTTTTTCTCCAGTTTTACAGATGGAGGCATAGAGAAATTAAACAAAATTCTCAGGGTCCCATAGCCGGAAGATGAGAGTTGAACTAGAGTTGGAACTAGAGATCTAATTATTCTCTGTCCAGTGACCAGATTCTACAGAGGCAGCATTGTGAAGTGGTTTAAGAATAAACTCTAGGTTCTGAGTACCTGGATTTGATTCCCAGCACTGCTCTTGACCTTGGGCAGTGTATTTGCCTGCTAGGCTTCTATAGCAAAATACCACACACCAGGTTTTGCTGAAATAACAGAAATTTATTGTTTCATAGTTCTGGGAGCCGAAAGTCCAAGATCTAGGGCCAGGAGAGTTGGTTTCTGGTGAGGCCTCTCTTCCTGGCTTGAAGAAGGCTGTCTTCTCACTGTGTCTTCATGGGGTCTTTTCTCTGTGCTCTTGCACACCTGGTGTCTCTTCATCTCATATGGACATTAGTCCTTTTGGATTAGTGTGTACCCTTATGGCCTCATTCAACATTAATTACCTTCTTAAAGGCTTTATCTCCAAATATGTTGGAGGTGAGGGGTTCAACATGAGAATTTTGAGGGGACACAACTCAATTCATAACAGGCAGGTTATTTAACCTCTTTTTGCCTCCATTTTTTTTCTGTTAACCGGGGCTGATGATAATACCTATCTCCTTGTGAGAACTAAGGATGTGATATGTGTAAAGTTCTGAAATAAAGACTGCTTGGCATGCAGGCATTCCATGGGCATTAGTCAACTTTTTACTACACACTATATCTCCAGAAGTTTCAGACGATGACCCGCTAATCCACTGCTCCATTTCCCCTCAGAAAACAGCTACAAAAATGAGCAAGCCCCAAATCCCATCCCTCCAAAAAAATGTATGCTGAGTTTGCTAGATTTCCTTGTTTTGTACACAAACATAAACATAGCCTTTGCTTTGTTAATAACCTCATTGTGTTGTCCCTCCCTCCTCTTTTTTTTTGGACAACATATACTGAGATAATAATTATTGTGAGAATTTCTCCAAAACTTAGAACTTTATGTATATTATAACTAAATCCTATATTCTAGCCAATGTCAACTTTTTTCCAACTAAAAGACATTGGGAATATGAGGTCGGGATGTTAAGAGCATCAATGAGTCTGGCCAGGAGAGGGAAAGAGAAAGAAAAAAAATGATAGCTGTAAAAATAAAAGAATTTTACCAAAGTTATGGGTCTATAAAGGCAGTGCAGCATTTTAGAATAGCCTGAGAAATTTATTATTACATTATCCATAATCCTCTAGGTATTTCACATGAGCTAGAGTTCAGCCTTTTAGCATTGCAATGTATCCATCTCCAGGAGAAAATTACTCACTTTCTAATGTCTCATTGGAACTTTGAAATGGGTTCTTTTTAAGGCAAGCCAGAACTACATTTTTTTGTGTAGTGAACTATACAAGAGAGGTCACAGCATTGGCCTGAACTTGAAGCAACCATTATATTGCTTTTAAATTTCAAGGGATGAGGTTCTTATTGTAAAAGGATAGAATTAGGTTAAGCAAGATGTGTTAGTCTGTTCTCACGCTGCTAATAAAGACATACCCAAAACTGGGTAATTTATAAAGGAAAGAGGTTTAATTGACTCACAGTTCAGCATGTCTGGGGAGGCCTCAGGAAACTTACAATCATGGTGGAAGGGGAAGCAAACACATCCTTCTTCACATGCTGGCAGCGAGGAGAAGTGCCAAGCAAAAGGGTGAAAGCCCCTTATAAAGCCATCAGAGCTCGTGATAACTTACTCACTATCATGAGAACAGCATGAGTGTAACTGCCCCCATGATTAAATTACCCCCCACTGGGTCCCTCCCATGACATGAGGGGATTATGGGAACTACAATTCAAGAGGAGATTTGGATGGGGACACCGCCAAACCATATCACGAGATAGCTTGCTTCATTCAAGTCTAAAAGTTTATCTGGCATTTCCAGGGTCAGAAAGTACAAAACCACAGGAAATAAAAAATGTCCAGGTTTCTCCCTCTGTTTTTCAGTCCAGGTCAAACACTGGTCCTTTGTATACATTCGACTTTTGAAATGCACTCTTGAATTTTTGTAAAACCTATTTTTTTAGAGTTCAAGGACTGATCCGGTTAATATTTTTGATAAAGAGGAGGTAAAGCCTTCTCAATGAGACCTGAGGTGTAAAAAGTCCAGATTTGCCAGGCAAGCACTTTGCATTATTTGCATTATAAACCAATTATTTAAAATGGTAGCTCCTCTGGTACATTTAAGTATTTTACAAATCATTACCTGCTTTGAAGAGAGCTGGGAAACAGACTAAAGTAGAAGAAGCCATTTACAGGCAAAGATGCTGCTTTTCCAAAAAGGAAAAATTGAGAGACTTTTAGAGTTTCCTCAAAGGGAGAATAAGTTCCTACTTACAGAAAGAACTCAGAAACAACATGCTATGAAAAATGAGGCACAGAGCCATACCATTTGTTGCCTCCCTGCTATGGGCCAAACCTTAGATCAGACACATTATGTATACTTCATTTAATCCTTCAAACATCCATGAAATTTGGTATTACTTCCATTTTCTAAATAAAGAAAATTAGCTTCAGACAGTTGTAAGACAGTTTAGAGCTGGGATTTGAGTTCAGGCCTCAAGCCTGTGCTCTTGCCATATTGGACAACCCCAAAATGAAAACTGAGAAGTCAATGATTTTGCCTGAAGTGACCACTTCACACTGGTGTACTTTCCTTCCATTTCTTTGCTTTTTTTCCTTAAAAAGCTGGGTGATTTGACAGAGTCCTCAACAGGGTAGTATACAAGAGAGAAGTCAGTGTCACTCCCCTACTCTAAGCAAAAGGGTCATCTAGCTGTCCTATCTTTTATTTTTTCTACTTTGTATCATACAGAATTATGTATGATACATAATTAGTAGAATTATTTTATTCTACTTTGTATCATACAGAATTATGAGTATTGGGATTGGGAGTAAATGGGGATGTTAGGAAATGAGCTTAAAGGCAAATATATCCAAGTACCTTTGATTTGATAATATTATGAGCTATAAGAAGAGATAGGTGTATAGATGAATGTCAGTTTTTAATACACACCTAGACTAAGGCATACAGTTAGTTGGTGCACTGGATTAATATGGCCTTTGAGAACCTGGACACTTTGCTTTTCCCTCTTTAGGCATTACAGTCTGGAGGTCTGTCTGCTGTCACACAGGGCCAGAGGGTGACAGCTTGATTTCAGGAATTAGATTCTATGCTGTCAGGAGAGCAGAGATTGTGAGAAACTGGATACTATTTGTCAGTTGGTACAGAATTCAAGGTGATTTTTACATGCAAGCCATAGACACCATGGGACAACTTGTTGAAATAAAGAGGAAGGGACCAAGATTTGGAATGGAAAGATCTGGACTCAGGTCTCAGTTTTATTCCTACTACCAGTTTCAGACTGGCTTGAGCAATTCTTAGCCTTGCTGGTGGTTAGTTTTCTCATCTGCAAAATGGAGATAATTATAATACCAACACTGGAGAATTGTAAGCCTAAAATAAGATAACATAACAAAATTTCTACAAACTGCTATGTAATCATATGAAAATTATGAAACTGCTAGGTAAACATATGAAAGTTGTTAATATTATTTTAATTCACTGGAGACGATTAATAGTTGCTGTCTTCCTAATTGTCCCTACTTGGTGGCAAGAGGTCTCTGGTCTTGATGGCTCTTTTATAATTTGTGTTCCTATTTACCTACAAATTATACATTTTCTTACCAAATTTTTCATTGAAACTATGTTTTTTAGAAGTTCCAGTTCAGGCTCGACATAAAAATGGCAGTCCAATCAAATTATATTTTTTAGCAAAATGTAGAATAAAGTGGAAGGTTAGAGGGGACTCTGGAGGAGGCAAGCAGGAGTGGGGAGGTGACTGTTAAGTGCCTGCTCTAATAGTTACCAAGTATGTCTTTCTTTCCTTGCCAACTAAATGGGAGAATAATTAACTGTAACAATTCCATAGTGTTTTTGACATTAAATGAAATAATACATATGTAGCATTATGTGCTTAGAACATAATAAGTGTGAAATAAATATTAACTGTTATTAGAAATGGAAAGTTCTTACTTAAAAACTGCTTTGATAAAGTCAAAAGCAAAGCTATATAATGCTGAACTGTGTCAAGGTTTGTTCAAGAGAGTTGGTTGCCTACTCTACCATACCTAGACCATGTCTATCATCAGATCGGTGACTTAGTCATTGAAAATTTAGCTCCCTTCCACCATTCTTAGGCTCATCATTCTTAACTCCATACAATTTGATTTGAATTGATTTAGTCACCTTTTTTTTTAAATCCACAGTGTAACAGCCAATTACATTGGCTTTTAAAATTGATTAATTAATTAATATTCCAATTTCTATTAAGGTTATTTTCCCCTCTTGTTGGCTTCCTTCCCTTCTTCATCTCTCTTTCTCTCTCTCTCTCTCTCTCTCACACACACACACACACACACACACATGCACACAGAACCTGTGCTAAGCCTGGCTGAAGTGCAGACATGCATCATACACAATTCCTACCCATAGTCCAAGAGAAGTGGTAAGGTGGATAGGCAAAGGGTAAAATGTGGTAGGAATCTTGAGTATCCTGATGATTTAGAGGAGAGATCACCCAGAGTAATTAGGGAGGTTCTCAGGACATAAACTCTGAGCTGGACCCTGAAGGATGGTAGAATCCAGCCATGTAAAGACTTAAGGAGAAGAGAGAAGAATGTGTACTACAGGCTAAGGAAGCAGCAGGAGCAAAGGCATACAGACGGTCTTCTCTTAGGAGGATGAATATAAGAGATTAGCTACAATGATTGTATCTTCCCCTCTCTGCCTTTTGCAGAGTCAGCTAGGGCACTCTTCATAGCAAAAATGGGTGTGGTGGTGGAGACAATTTCCAGCTCTGACCTACATTTCCCAAGCATCAAATTTTTCCCACGTTTGACTTTTTCTGTTATACTTCTTGAATCCTGAGGTTTGTCAGTCATCTGAGTGGGTTTTATGTTTAGTATTTCCCTATTCAGACAATAACCACTGTCAAATAGGTCTCTAAGGGACCATTGTGGTATCTGTTTCTCAATCCTGTGCTTCTCCCTCTAATTTTACTCTGTGTGAAGTAATCAGTGAACTGCAAATGGAAGCAATTTTAATTAGGGTCATGCAATAAGGTGCCTTCTTCAACCCCACCTGTGCTAACATCTTGGCAATTACCTTGGGCAGGTTCAGTCCATGGATTCAGTTTTTTTCTTCCATTCTTCAGACTCTGACTGAGCAGGTCTCAGTGCTCCACATGAATGGGAGATAAGGAACAATAAAACGTGATCCCTGCATTCCAGGTAGTCTAGAAGGACTAGAAAAAGTGATTAAGAGCACAAGAGAGGGACACTTAACATTTTTTTGGAGTTAACAAAGTGATAGTTCCCCCCCCTGCCCCGCCCCGGTGGAAGGGTGTTAATGAGGCTGTTCTGTAGGAGGTGGAATTTGAGTTAAGCCTTGAAAGATGGGGATGGTCATCAGGTCATGGGCTGAAAGGTGGTTGAAAGGTGATGCAGTGAACTAGTTCTTACCTGCGAATGAGCCTCCTGATTCTCAAGCTTTGTTATGTGTCAGTGCCTCATCTTCATATCCAGATTCCTCAGTCAGTGATGACAGGTCTTTTTCCCTCAAGGTTCTAGATCCATCATCTTTCAGAGACAAACCGTTCTGTCTAGAATATTCACTAACGCCAAACACTTACAGAATTATATTAAAATGATGTTTCTCAGGTTGAATTGTAGCCTGCTGACCTCTCTTAACTTCTTGGGGGTTTTGATGTCTATCTCCTCAGGATGAATTCCAAATTTACTCTTGGAAAAAGGTAATATGGATCTACCTGTCAGCATTAAACAGCGCATTTGGTCTCACTCCTGACCACCCTCTCATGACAGATGAGGAGTATATCATAAATAGAGCCATAAGAAAGCCAGACCTAAAGGTAAGTAAACTTATGGCTACTGCTGATGTCAGAGAGATTTAATCTTTTTCCCCTCAAGTATATAGTTAAATGTAGCTCCTCTACTGTGCCAATCCTCATTTGATAGTGTATATTTAAAATGTGAACTTTGGAGCCAGACAGTCCAAATCTCAGCTTGCTCCTTCTAAATAGCGCAACCATTGATCTTAACTCTGCTGAGCCTGTTTTCTCATCTACAAAATGATGATAATAATGTCTATTTCTAATATTAATTGATAAAATTCAATAAATTTAGAAATACAAAGATTAAAGTAGTTCCAGGTATATAGCAGATGCTCAATACATACTCGCTCTATTTTCTTTTCCTTTTGTTAGAGGTAGGATCTCACTATGTTGCCCAGGCTGGAGTGCAGTGGCTATTCACAGGTGCATGATTATAATACACTACAGCCTCAAACTCCTGGGCTCAAGTGATCCTCCTGCCTCAGCCTCCCTAGTAGCTGGGATTGCAGGCATGTACCGCCCAGCCCAGCTCTTACATATTAGCTCTAATAGTATCGTTCCCCATATTACAATCTATGTAACAGGGTTAATCTTATAGTAAAAGTAATCACCCAGGAATATCCCAGGAGGTTTGCTTATGCCTACAAAAATGACCTTATTTGAATTCTTGTCATTCAAATGTATTTGGGTTGCTCCCTCTTCACCCTATTAAATTAGTTCTGCTTGGATTATGACTAGTTAACATTCATATTAAAAACATTTTATAAGACAGAATGTTTTGTCTTACATTTATGTATGTGTGGTCAGCTGTTTAAATTAGTTTTATGAGCTCAAGTTCAGTTATTTAAAGTAATAAAGTAAATTATGAGCAATTTTCCTATTGTCAATTGTTATCACCCAGTTGTCTTTTTTTTTTTTTTTTTAAATGGAGTTTCACTCTTGTTGCCCAGGGTGGAGTGCAATGGCGCTGTCTTGGCTCACTGCAACCTCCACCTCCCGGGTTCAAGCAATTCTCCTGCCTCAGCCTCCAAAGTAGCTGGGAATACAGGCACCTGCTACCACACCCAGCTAATTTTTGTGTTTTCAGTAGAGACGGAATTTCACCATGTTGGCCAGGCTGGTCTTGAACTCCTGACCTCAGGTGATCCACCAACCTCAGCCTCCCAAAGTGCTGGGATTATAGGGGTGTGCCACTGCACCCCACCCACTCAGCTGTCTTAGCTGCCCAAATAAACAAAAACAAAGGAGGTCAAGTACCTCCAAATAATAGTTTCCCTAATCTGTTAGATGTCCATTCACCTGGAGAAATAAGCTTCCCAGATAGCCTATGTTCTCATAGTTTTATTGCTCTGAAATTCTAGCATCTTTAGTAGCATCAAATAAATAAGTGGACAGATAAATGAAGAAATGGCCAAGTCAACACACAGAATTGTAGGAGGGGCAGAGGTCTTGAAATGGAAAGTTGTGATAGGTGTACTATCTTCATTTACCAGCTACGGCATAGGCAGTTTGGTTAGTTACTGCCTCTCTGGTCTTGAGTTTCTTATTTATAAAATAAAAGTAATACCCCTTCTTTGCCTTTCTCAGGGCTGTTATGAACACACAATGAGACGATGGATATTAAGGTCATTTGTGAACTTCAATGAGCTATGCTAGTAACAAAACTTTCCTTAAAGTCAGAGGAGCTGTCATGGGCTCAGCCTTGATGACAATAACAGCATTACCAAGAGGGTAACCATTTAGGGGCATTTAAAGGAGGGGTCCCCAATCCCCAGGCCACCGATTGGTGCCCTGTCCATGGCCTGTTAGGAACCAGGCCACACAGCAGGAGGTGAGCTGCTGGCAAGCCGGCGAGCATTACCTCCTGAGTTCTGCCTCCTGTCAGGTCAGCAGCAGCATGAGATTCTCATAGGAGTGAAATCCTTAATATTGTGAACTGCGCATGTGAGGGATCTAGGTTACGGTGCTCCTTATGAGAATCTAATGATTGCCTGATGATCCGAAACCATCACCGCATCCCCAAGATTCGTGAAAAAATTCTCTTCCACAAAACCGGTCCTTGGTGCCAAAAAAGGTTGGAGATCGCTGGTTTAAAGGAAGTCTGAAGACTACAGCAAAGAACTATGTCAGGTTTGGAAACAGGCTAAGAGGAGATGCTAAGGACCATCTTGCAGGATTACAGGCAAAGCTAACACCCAGTGCTTAACTTGTTAAACAGGATGCTCTTATAACATGTTCTAACAAGAAATTACAAGCAGAAAGCCCGGGGAGAGGAAATCTTCCTTATTCCTGAGCAGAAAGATGAAATTCACCCCGCAGCAGATACTTGGTTTCCTAATTGCTGTTTCCTGGTCTGAATTTCCAGGAAATAGGCAAATAAACCTCATCTCTTGCAAATATTGTACTTAACATCCTCTTACCAGCTTCCAGAGGCTCTGAGAGTGATGGGGGAAGCAGATAAACTCCTGGCAGAGATGTTTTCTCCTGCGGGAATCTCAAATATGCTCAAAAGGTCTAGGATGGAGCCATTCTTCTCACTCTGTGAGAAATGGCTTAAGAAATTGTCAGAAGATAATGGAATTTTCTATTTTCTGGCCTGAGGTAAAACTTATCAGTAGCCTCTTTATTTCTCATTATTGCTGCGTTCATCTACAGATGTTTCATGTCTATTATGTTTTATACATTTTTCAACCTCAGTGTGTGGTTTCTGCCTCTTGATAAGAGGTTCTCGAACTGATCAGGGGCCTCACATTGGAACCACAATTTGTCCTTTAAAATATTTCTAACACAGATTTTTGCATTTATATAATTAATAAGTAGATAGCCATCACTTTATACAGCTTGAATCCTGAAGTCAATGGATTTTCAGATTTTCCTTTGGGACTAGCTTGAATATGATATCCTTTGAGAGATTGAACTCTGGAGCCAGATGGGCTGGAGTTCAAATTCCTGGGAAGTTACTTAAGCAAAATGAACTTCAGGCGCAAAGTGAAGAGGAAAATAATATCTGCCCTACCACAGGATGATGGAAAAGACTAAACATAACGTGTGAAAAGTCCTAACATGCCCAAAAAATAGTAGCTGTGATTACAATCCTGCTCTATTTGCAAAATTGCAAAGAATACTGAAGAGAAAAGTAAATTGTGAGGCAAGATGCTTGAGATTTCAACATGTGTCATGATGGCTAACACACCCTAGAGCCTGTCATTTACAAATATTTCCTTTGCAGATTGTGAAATCTGCAAATTAGAGAGAGATTGTGTGTCATTCCTACTGGAAATTCACTCTAAATCGGCAATAAGATATACTTTTTAAATGCATTATGTTTCAATCAACCTTGCTGAAATAAATCCATTCTGTAAAATAAAAAAATACAGCATTTTACATGCTATTTGGTAACTTTGAATGTCTGTGTGTGTGTTTGCACACGTGCACATGTGTACCTGTACATACACCTATTGCATAGAGTTAGCATTCATTTTTGGTAACCTAGACCTTAGAGCTAAGGGATTTAAACTGCATTTCTAGTTGACACGGTTTTACAAAGCTTTCATTCATTTATTTAATAAAAAAATGTATTGAGCACTTATTTTGTGCCAGCTATATGGTCTTTCCAGTTTTAAAATGTATCTAATGGTTATAATGACTATAATATTCTTGCACATAGAATACCTAGAGAGAAGCTGAGGTAGAATATAGACATAATCTGTCCAATTGTCTAAATTTATTCATGGGGAAACTGAAGCACAGGAAAATTTAGTTGAAGTTCTCAAATAGGAATCTAGCAGAGTAGCTACAAAAGGAAGCTCTAGACACTGTTGGCTGCACATTAAAATTATGTGAGGAAAATTATAAATATTATGCCCAGAATGCACTGCAGACAAATTAAATCAGAATCCTTAAGGGTGGGGCCAGACAGCAGTCTTTTTCAAAGCTCCCCAGATGATTCCAATGAGCAGCCTGAGAGTATAATAACCATTGCTCTGTGACAATATGGCAGTCTCGCTGTTTCTTTTTGTGTTCAGTTAGGTCATCAGTTCACGGAAATTCACATTCACATATGAACTTGCTTAAAGAATCAGAAGCAAGAACACACAATTGTCATAAGCGTCAACCCTTCCCTTTTCTCCCACTGCCAACAGTCTCAGACCCTCACTTCCTTTTTTTTTTGTAATAACCTCCTCTTTGTTCTTTAGTATTTGCTGCCAGCCTAATCTTTTTCAGTATTTTAGTATCTTTTTCTTTTTCTTTTTTTTACTGGTTTAATCTGGCTACCAGGATTTTTAAAATTTTGTTTTTAATTGACAAATAATAATTGTACATATTTATGGGGTACAGTGTGATATTTTGATACATGTATACATTATGTATAAATCAAATTCGTATATTTGCATATCTGTCACCTCATAGGTTTATCACTTCTTTGTAGTGATAATATTCAAAATCCTTTCTTCTAGCTATTTTGGAATATACAATACAATATTATTAAACATAGTCACCCTGCTCTGCAAAAGAACAACAGAATTTATTCCTTCTATCTAACTATAACTTTGTACTGTTGACCAATCTTCCTCTATCCCTTTGTCTATGCTATTCCCCCCAACCTCGGATAGCCAATATTGTACTCCCTACTTCTATGACATCAGCTTTTTTAGATTTCACAAATGAGTAAGATCCTACAGTATTTGCCTTATTGTGTCTTGTTTATTTCATTTCACATCTCTTCAAAGTTCATCCACATTGTCAAAATTGACAGAATTTCCTTCTTTTTAGGGCCAAATAACATTCCACAAAGAAAATGTACATGTACATTTTCTTTATCCATTCATCCATTGATAGACCCTTAGGTTAATTCCATATCTTGGTTATTGTGAATAGTACTGCAATAAACACGAGAGTGCAGATATTTATTTGACATACTGATTTCTTTTCCTTTAGATATATACTTATTATTGGAATTGTGGGATCATATGATAGTTTATTTTTAATTTTATAAGGAACCTGTATACTGTTTTTCATAATGGCTGTACTAATTTATAGTCTCACTAACAGTGTACAAGAGTTTCATCTCTTTATATCCTTGCTAGCATTTGTCATTTTTTTGTCTTTTGATAATAGCATTCTAACTGGAGTGAGGTGATAGCTCACTGTGGTTTTGACGTGCATTTCCCTGATGATTAGTGATGTTGAGCATGTTTTCATTTATCTGTGAGCCATTTGTGTGTCTTCTTTTGAAAAATGTCTGTTTAGGTCTTTTGCCCATTTTCTATCAAATAGTTGTTTTGTTGCTCTTGAGTTTTTTGAGTTCCTTATGTATTCTGGATATTAACCCCTTGTCAGATGCACAGTTCGCAAATATTTTCTTCCATTCTGTAGGTTGTCTTTTCACTTGGTTAGTTATTTCCTTTGCTGTATAGAAACTTTTAGCTTGATGTAATTTCATTTGCCTATTTTTGTTTTGGGGTAGCTTGCACTTTTTGGGTCTTATCCAAAAAATCCTTGCCCAGACCAATGTCATGAAACGTTTCCCCTATATTTTCTTTTAGTAGTTTTATCATTTCCCATCTTCCATTTAAGTCTTTCATCTATTTCAAGTTGAGTTTTGTGTATGGTAAGATACAGGGGTCTAGCTTAATTCTTCTGCATGTGGATTGCCAGGTTTCTCAGTTTTATTTATTTATTTATTTATTTATTTATTTATTTATTTATTTATGTATTTTGAGACAGAGTCGTGCCCTGTCTCCCAGGCTGGGGTGCAGTGGCACGATCTCGGCTTACTGCAACCTCGGCCTCCCAGGTCCAAGCGATTCTCCTACCTCAGCCTCCTGAGCAGCTGGGATTACAGGCACCCACCACCATGCCCAGCTAACTTTTGTACTTTTAGTAGAGACATGGTTTTGCTATGTTGGCCAGGCTGGTCTCAAACTCCTGACCTCAAGTGATCCATCTGTCTCAGTGTCCCAAAGTGCTGGGATTACAGGCATGAGCCACTATGCCTCAGGGCCTATCTTAGCATTGTTTATTAAGGAGACTATCCTTTATCCATTGTGTGTTCTTGGCGCCTTTGTTGAAAACTAGTTGGCTGCAAGTGTGTGAATTCGTTTCTGTTTTCTCTATGTGGTTCCATTGGTCTATATGTCTATTTCTCTGCCAGCACCATGCTGTTTTAGTTACTATCGCTTTGTAGTGAAATTTGAAGTCAGATAGTATGATGCCTTTAGCTTTGCTCTTTTTGCTCTATTTGCTTTGGGTATCCAGGGTCTTTTGTGGTTTCATACAAATTTTAGGATTGTTTTTTCTATTCCTGTGAAGAATATCACTGGTATTTTGATAGAAATTGAATTGAATCTGTACATTGCTTTTGATAGCATGGGCATTGTTAATAAGATTAGTTCTTTCAATCCATGAGAATGGAATATCTTTTCAATTATTTTTGTCTTCTTCAATTTCTTGCAATAATGTTTTGTAGATTTCAGTGTAGAGATTTTTCAAGACCTTGGTTAAATTTATTCCTATGTATTTTATTATTTTTTTGTAGCCATTGCCAATGGGATAGCTTCTTGATTTCTTTTTCAGATAGTTTGCTATTAGTGTATAGAAATGCTGCTGATTTTTATACATTGATTTTGTATTCTGTAACTCTACTGAATTTGTTTATTAGTTTTTTTTAGTGGAGGCTTTAGGACGTTCTATATATGATATCATGTAATCTGCAAAAAGGGGCAATTTAAGTTCTTTTCCAATTTTGATGCCTTTTACTTCTTTCTCTTGCCTAATTGCTCTGGCTAGGACTTCCCGTAGTATGTTGAATAAAAATGATGAAAACAGGCATTCCTGTCTTGTTCTAGGTCTTAGAGGAAAAACTTTCAATATTTTCCAATTTTGTATGATATTAGCTGTTGATTTGCATGGCTTTTATTGTGTTGAGATGTGTTCCTTCTATATCTATTTTGTTGAGTTTTTAACATGAAAGGATGTTGAATTTTGTCAAATGCTTTTCTGTATTTGTTCAAATGATCATATGGTGTTTGTGTGTCATTCTGTTAATGTGATATTTTATGTTTATTCATTTGCATATGTTGAATCATCCTTGTATCCTGGGATGAATTCCACTTGATCATGGTGAATGATCTTTTTAATGTGCTGTTAACTTTAATTTTGTTGACAATTTTTGCTTCTAGGTTTGTCAGGAATATTGACATATGATTTTCTTTTTTGTTGTGCCCTTGTCTAGTTTTGTTATCAGGGTGATGCATATCACCTGATGCATATTAATTTGGAAATATTTTCCTCTCTTCAATTTTCTGGAATAGTCTGAGTAGAATTGGTATTCTTCTTTCAATGTTTAGTAGAATTCAGCAGTGAAGCCATCAGGTACTGAGCTTTTCTTTGATGCAAGACTTTTTATCACTGATTCAATCTCATTGCTAATTCATCTGTTCACATTTTGTATTTCTTCATGATTCAATCTTGGTAGCTTACATGTGTCCAGGAATTTTTCCATTTCTTCTAGATTTATCAAACTTGTTGGCATATAATTGTTTATAATAATCTCCTAGGGTCTTTTTCAATTCCTTTGTTATCATTCGTAATGTCTCTTTTTTCATTTCTGACTTTATTTGAGTCTACCCTTTTTTTCTTTAGTCTGACTAAACATTTGTTAATTTTGTCTATCTTTTAAAAAATCCAGCTCTTTGGGTTTTTTGACCTTTTGTTGTCTCGTTTTATTTACCTGTGTTCTGATCTTTATTATTTCCTTCTTTCTATTAATTTTGGATTTAGTTTGTTCTCATTTTCCCTGAGGTGCAATGTTAGATTGTGTATTTGAGATCATTCTTTTTTGTATATAGGTGTTTACTGCTATACATTGACCTCTTAGAACTGCTTTTTCTGTATCCCATAGGTTTTTGGTAAGCTGTGTTTTCATTTTCACTTGTCTCAAGAAATTTTGAATGTCTCTTTTAATTTCTTTGTTGACCAATTGGTTGTTCAGGAGCATGTTGTTTAATTTGTATGTATTTGCAGAGTTTCCAAAGTTTTTCTTGCTTCCTTAGTGATTTCTACTTTTATACTATTATAGTCAGAAAAAAATACTTGATATGATTTTAAAATTTGTTAAGACTTTTTTGTGACCTAATGTATAATCTATTCTGGAGACTGTTCCATGAGCAGTTGAGAAGAATGTATATTCTGCAGCTGTTGAATGGAATGTTCTGTAAGTGTCTATTAGGTCCATTTGGTCTAGAGTGTAGTTTAGATTTGATATTTCTTCGTTAATTTTCTGTCTGAATGATTTGTTCTTTGCTGTGAGTGAGGTGTTGAAATTTTTTACTATCATTGTATTTCAGTCCATTTCTCCCTTTGGTTTTATTAATATTTGCTTTATATATTTAGGTGCTCCAATGTTGGGTGCATACACATGAGTGTTAATCTCTTACTGAGTTGACTCCTTTGTCATTATGCAATGATCTTTTTTGTCTCTTTTTATAGTTTTCATTTAAAGTGTATCTTATCTGATATAACTATTTCTACTCTTTTCTGGTTTCCATTTTCATGGAATGTCTTCTTCCATTCTTTCATTTTCAGTCTCTGTATGTTATTACTAGTTAAATGATTCTTTGGAGGTAGCATATAGTTGGCTCTTTTTATGTTAGAAAGGAAAATGACTGGGCACTGCTTTTCATTAAAAAGAAAACCTTACCGAGGACTTATGTAGCCTCATTATCTGCCCAAGTAATTTCTTCTTAACTCCTGTATCAATACTTTGGTTTCAGTTTACCTTTCTAGCTTCATTCTTCATTCTACAAACAGGCGTGCTCACTTGCCTTCTTCCCCCAAACTAACTTGTGAACAATCTCTTTAAAATACTTTCTATTTTCTCATCTGAGTATAAGTCTTCCAATCCTTCGACACTGTAACTCATACATCATCTCCATCATGATGCCTTCCATCATCTTCTCTCTCTTTACGTCTACAGCATTTCAAGACCGTATTTTTTATGTTATTATGTTTTTATTTTTTGGCATGGTACATATTGGACTGTATGCCTTGTTTTTGGAATTTTTTCCTCCTTAGTTTATAAAGTAGTAGAATGCAGAGACTAAGTTTTATTCATATATATTTTTCTATATAGTAGGTCCATGATACATGTTGATTGAATGATGACTTCTAATAAAGAATACCATTTGTATGGTAGAAAAGCAAAGGGTAAATTAGAAAAGGATAAAATCTTAAATAAGTATGTTAGAGTTTTATCTTTGCTTTTCAAACAAATGCTTCTTTAGCCACTGGGTTGCTGTTTATTCTCTGATCCTCAAACTAGAGGTTTTCTTAGTACTTTTCTTTTGCAGGTGAGATGCATCAAAGTGCAGAAAATAAGATATGTTTGGAACTACTTAGAAGGACAGTTCCAGAAAATTGGGTAAGTTGTTTTAGCAAGTACAGCCAAAGAAGAAAAATGTTATCTCAAAAATATTATTGCTAAATATGTTCTTTTCATTATTATTATTTTAGTTCTTTGGAAGACTGGCTTAGTTCTGCCAAGATACATCAAAAATTTGGATCAGGCTTGACAAGAGAAGAACAGGAGATTAGGTACCATGCATATTATTGCCTATACTAGCTCAAAAGGATTATTATCAGTTAGCCAAATAGACAGCTAGTAAATAGTTATCTTAATGGATTAATATCAGAAAATATTATAATGCTCTATTTAGTATTATTAAATTAAATCTTTCACATACATTATATTACATCATCTTCACAGCAACCTTATGGGGCAGGTAGAACAGACATTATCACCATTTCCACACAACAAATGAGAAATCTGAGGCTCAGAGGGGTTTCATGGCCGGAACGAGGTCACACAGATGGGAATTAGTAGCGGAAGAACTGAGTCCCACACTCCTGACTGCAGATGTAATGCTCTTTCTACTCCATACAAAGTTTCTCAAGGTTATTATAATATAAAGTTGAGCCATTTTAGGTTAAAATCAAGAAATACATATTAGACCATGATAACGCAGTTAAATAATAACCATGGAGCAGCAGCAGAACACCATGCAAGATGTGTAGCTCCACATTTCCAAATCAGTTATTAGGCAGAGGAGAGAGGTTTAGGGAGGGCACTGGTATGTCAAGAGTCTGTGGGCTTTGAACAAATACCTTTTCCTCTCTGGACCTTTGTTTCCCAATCATAGACATGGGTAGAAGGACTCTTTAAAGGCCTTGCTGTTCTAAGTTTCTATGATTCACATGCTTCCCCCTTCCCCATTTCTAGTACTTTGAAGAGATGTACAGCCTAGCAGAATCAGCATCACCTGGGAGCTTGTTAGAAATGAAGGATCTCAGACCACTTTTCATCCCATTGAATCAGAATCTTCATTTTAACAATATCACCACATGATCTATATAAACATTAAAGTTTGAGAAGCACTGCTCTCATACATTTGACCAAGCTATTTAATCTGAGCATCGAGGTGGAAGACACAGAGAAAGCGGTTAGTGTTTTCAACAGTAACATAACTCATAAAATGTCTTTCCTCTGCATAATCAAAGAAACACATCTCTGGGTTTTAGAGACACTGAATCAAAAAGCTGAATAATTATGTGTGTAGAGCTATTTTTGAGATCACAGAGCCTTTCCACTCACATTAAAATACATTCTGAAGTTTTCCAGAACTTCTAAATAGGGGTAGGAAAGTAGAAACAGCATTTCCTTATCAATAAAAGTAATTTCTCTTAACTACCTCACTGTCTTACAGTAATAAAACCGGAATTGAGGAGAGACAGAGTTGGGAACATGCCAATCCTGAAAGTACTTGAATGAGACAATATTTAATATTAAATACCCAAAATACCATTTAGGAAAATATTTAGACCTTGGAAAGAGTATGCTTCTAGAAGCAATATGGTCATATTTATCGTTTTTGCAACTGGGAACCCTCACCTCCCATTATTTTGAGAAGGATCAGAATGGTATTTAACAAGGGAGACTTATGTTGGTCTCACAAGTGAGAAAGTGAACATGGAATAGACCTTTTTCTGAATAGGTGAGGAGTCAGTTTTAATTTTATTATTTGTGACAGAGTGATCTGTGATTTCTTTCTATAGGAGGTTAATATGTGGGCCTAATACTATCGATGTTGAAGTTACACCAATTTGGAAACTGCTCATCAAGGAGGTAATTTCTCCAGCATTTTCTCTTGGTGTTGGACAGAAAATAAGGAAGTTTGGCTCTAGTGAAATAATCAGGAGTGCTAATTGTTAATAAGTAACTTCACATAGAGTATATTTTGAAAGTATGCCAAGCATATTATCCTCATATCTCTTGCTTACTCTTTTTCTTCAAGTGGTTCTTTTGCACATTGCCTTATGCAATATAGGGTGTGAAACTCATTGTACTTATTTACCATTTAATGGCTGGATGAATATAATGTTTCTTTTCTTTTTTAATACTATGCTGCTTAACTTGTTTTAACTTCATGAAACTCAATTTTTTTTAAGCTAATCCTTTTGTTAGGTAACAGATACAATTTCCTTGGTGCCTAAAATTGTAGGAAGAAAAAAACCATTTATTCAGCCTTCTCAGTACTGCTGATCTCAAGGTATAAGATGAAATTTTCCTTTTGGACCCCATCACTGAGCTCATCATTGTTTCACTTTACAGCGATTATTATCAAACCGTAGCCCTCTAGCTGTCCTCTGGCTTCCCTGTGCTCTCTCTCGACTCCTCCTTGCCTTAAAACAAGCTTACTAAACTTCAGGTACTTTCAAAATATTTCCAACAAGCCGTCAAGCATGAAAGAAAGTAAAACAAACCAATAGGGAATGTTTCTGTGTGCTGCCTTTCTAACCAGAAGAAAGGTTTGCCATTCCTGTTTTAGAGAGAGGGAAACCAGCTAGGGGGAATTTAAGTAAAGGCACAGCATGTTTTTGACCAAAGCAGAATTAAAGCTGTTGAAGTTCACAGCTACTCTCTCGCACAGTGTTCTAGATGCTCTATTACAGCTTACTGCTTTCAGCACAGCTCTCTACTTATGAGAACATGCAGTCTTCAACTCACCCATTAATCAAGTTCCTTAATGACTTCAAATATGGCAGGTGTTATATCATAGAGAAGAAGAGACTAGAAAGTATTTTAACTTTATAAACCTGAACTAATACTTCACCTTTCTGAAGGCCAGTAAATGTAGACAGGAGGTGACAACATCTACTCCTTAAATAACTATTGTGATGGCCGACATGTCAATACATGAGACACTACTTTGTAAATTATAAAGTGAGGCAGTGATTAAAAGTAAGTGCTCTGGGGTCAGATTGCCTGTGTTTAAGTCTTGGGTCTGTGGCAATCATAGTCGCATGACTTTGGACGTATTTCTCAAGCTCTAAGTTTCAGTTTCTTTATCATTACAAAGGAGATAAGTAACAACTTCTGGTTAATAAGGTAACTGTGGGAATTCAATGAGAAAATTCAAGTAAAGTTGCTTAGAGCGGTGTCTGGCACGTGTCAATTGCCGAATAAATATAATAAGAATATTGTGTGGGATGATGTATGTCATGAAGATGATTATGAAAACAAGTAAATGAAGAGCAGAGTGAAGCCTAAAACTCTCCCTTGTCTTCCTGTTTTTATGTCTGCCAACAGGTTCTAAATCCATTTTATATATTTCAACTCTTCAGTGTCTGTTTGTGGTTTAGTGAAGACTATAAGGAATATGCTTTTGCCATCATAATCATGTCCATAATTTCCATATCTTTGACAGTATATGATCTCAGAGAGGTGAGTTTTTCTATTAATTCTATGGTTTCATAAAGGGAAGGATAATGACTTTATTAAAAATTTGTTAGAAAGGAGAATCAGGAAATAGTCACTTCCTACTCCGTAGTAAATGAGAGCAAGTTTGTAAATACCTAGCACAGTAACCAGTGTTCAACAATTTAGTCCTTTCCCTTTCCTCCCATTCCAATCCCTAACCTTTGTAGTTATTTTTCCTCCCTCTTTAATTTACTCAAGACTAATTAGCCAGAACAACATCCAAAGGTTTATGAATTGTGAATATGTGAAAAAATTTATGTAGAGAATACTGATGGGACTTGAGGATGGTGGCAGAGAGCTGGAAGGTGGAGGAGTCTATTTAATATGAACTCCTTTGCTGTTTATGTTTGGCTGGTACTCATTTGTCAAGGCCCCAGTCCAACTCCTGACTTTCTTTATGCCTACACCAGGTTTCTAGATACTGTTGGAAAAAAAAAATTACATAGAACAGATTGGTTGGTTGCACTATAAATCCGTGAATGCCAACCTCATCCGGACAAGGCTTCTGTTCATCTCTAATCAAGGTGCTCTTCTGTTCTCTGAAATTAAGGTTTCAAGCCATCTCTGTCCTCTGGTGTCTGAGACGCCCATCTTCTCATATTCCACTCTTTCTTTAATTCAGCAGATATCACTATTTCACAAAAAAAGATGGAAGCCATAAGACAGAAAATTGCCCAACTCCCCACTTTCCGAGTGCCAAATGACTCATCTCCGCAGCCCCCTCCTTCCCTGAACTCTCATTCCAGTGAAGGAAGTGCCCTTCGCCAGTGCTTGAGAGACCATCCACTCCCACCTTCCTGGGGTGCTTGTGCAGTCCATGAATGACTCCTCTCTTCTCTCCTCAAGAGCCTTCCCATCAACTTTTAACATTCTCAAGTTCTCCCAACTTAAAAACAAAACTCAAACAAACAAAACAATTTCTTCTCTTGACCGTGCTTCTGCCTTCAGCTACTACTATATCACTCTTCTTCCATTCACAGTAAAACTTCTAGAGTCTTTGTGTCTGTTATCATTACTTACTCATCTTCCTCTTACTTTTCACTCATGCCGACATGTCTTCCTCCCTCATGACTCCATTTAAACAAATCTTGTTAAGGTTGCCACTGTGATCCCAAAGCCCATAGATCATTTTAAAATTTAAAAAGTTCTTTTAAAATTAGCTGTTTTTTTCCTTAACAGAAAGGGCAATATATGGCTATGATAAAAATAAAATTCAAACCGAACAAAAGAGTGTGAATAAAAATTAAGGCTCCCTCCCGCTGGGAAAACTTCCCAGTGTTCAGGTCCTGTTTCAAGATACATCCACTAGGACCATATTTTCTGTATACTTTTAGTTATATTAAATGCATATGCATTAATTTGTTTAACAGAATGAATATATTCTATGTGTACTGTTCTGCACTTGAATTTTATTTATTTATTTATTTTTGAGATGGAGTTTTGCTTTTGTCACCCAGACTGGAGTGCAATGGTGTGATCTTGGCTCACTGCAACCTCTGCCTCCTAGGTTCAAGCAATTCTCCTGCCTCAGCCGCCTAAGTAGCTGGGATTACAGGCATGTGCCACCACACCCGGCTAATTTTTGTATTTTTAGTCGAGACGGTGTTTCACCATGTTGGTCTGGATGGTGTTGATCTCCTGACCTCCAGTGATCCACCCACCTCAGCCTCCCAAAGTGCTGGGATTACAGGCGTGAGCCACCGTGCCCAGCCTCCACTTGAACTTGAACCTATTATATCCTAAATATCTTTCTGCATCTGCACAAATACATTTTCTCTAGATGTACCGTAATTTTTAACCAGTCCAATGTTGATATGTATTTGGTTGTTTCTAGTCTTTTGCTACTAAGACAATGCTGCAAGAACATCCTTGCACATATATCTTTTCATGCATCTATATATACATATACATATGCACACATATTACATACCTATACATATGTATATAACAAGTATGTATGCTTATAAATATCTGTATTGATATAGAGATAGAAAATTTCTGCAATTGAAATTACCTAGTCATAAGCTAGGCACACTATTTTAAACATATTGTCAAAATGCCTCTTTAAAAAGTAATACTGGCCAGGTGTGGAGGCTCACACCTGTAATCCCAGAATTTTGGGAGGCTGAAGTGGCAGGATAGCTTAGACCCAGCAGTTCAAACCAGCCTGAGCAACATAGTGAGACCTCGTCTCTCTATGTATATAAAAAAGTAATACCAGTTTACATTCCTTACAACAGTAGATAAGTGTTTTTCTTATCTTTGCCAATATAAGTGAAAATAGAATTCAGTAACTCTAATCACGTTTTCCATTACGAGTTGAGCATTTCTTCACACTTTAAGCCATTTGCATTTCTTTGACTGGGAACTGTTTGAGTCCTTTATTAATTTTTATTAGGTCTTGGTGTTTTGCTTACTAATGTTATGGTCCCCCTGCAGTGGATATTTTTTTTTCCCCAGTACCGATATCGCTAAACCTCTCAGTTGGATTTGACACGGTTAACTGCTCCATTCTTTCTGAAGCACTCTTTTCCCTGGCTTCAGGGACAACACACTCTCCATCCTCTCCAGTTGCTCTTTTCCGTTCTCTTTTGATAGCTCATCCTTCTCTATCTGACTTTTAAAAAATGAGTGTTCCAAAGTCAAAACAACATGAAAATGCATTTAATGTAAAGGCTCCATTTTTCTCTCCCACTCCACTTGGCCGACTGCTTACATTAGTTTCTTGTGTAATCTTCCAAAAAAGTTTTTAGGCAAATGAAGCAAATATATGTACTTTCTTTTTTTCTTATGTAAGTGGTAGCATAATTACATTATTTTCTAACTTGCTATTTAAAAAATTACTATTAATATATCTTGAGGATCTTTTCATGTAAGTGCATAAAAGATTCTTCATTATTTTTATAGCTGTACATGCCAATGACTTCTAAAGGCATATGCTAATAGCTTTCAAATTTGTATATGTATCTCAAATCCAGATACCTCTTTTCAGTTGCAGACTCATAGCTTCAACAACCTATTTGATATCCCCACCTTAATATCAAAAAATTACCTTAAATTCAACACTTTTGACATAAAACTCAAGAACTCTTCTCCTCAAATCTGCACTTAGGTTTATCTGATGTGGTAGCAGATACTGCTGACCATTCTGTTGCACAAGCCAGAAATCTGGTTGCCAACCTTGAAACTTTCTCTCTTCTTCCCCTTCAACTACACAGAAAGTCCTTTGATTTTTATTTCCTAAATATCCCCTGGCATCCTTCACTGTTTTCCACCCTACCACTATTACGGTTCAAGTTAGCATAATTTTCTACCTTGCAATCACCTCCCATCTGGCCTCCATACATCATTCTTGCAGAATATGATTATTTACATGCTTTTATCACTAAAATGCTTCAAAATATTCCCATTGGTCTTACAATAAACTTCTAAATCTCATCGCAGACTTTAAAGCTTTCCCTGGAGGTTCACAAACTTTTTAGTTTCTAGAGCTCTTTAAACTCTTAAAAATCACTGAGGATCTCTAAGAGTTTTTAATCTTTTAAACATTTGGTATTTACCAAATTAAGAATTAAAACTCAGAATCATAAAATATTTATTAATTAATTTAAAATAATAATAACATATTTATATATACATATATATTTAAAGACAACTGTATTTTCTGAAATAAAAATAATTTAGCAGGAGAATGGCATTATTTTACATTTTTGCAATCTCTTTTATGTTTGGTTTAATAGAAGACAATTGGATTTTCTTTTTTTTTTTTGGCTTATAAGCAACAGAATTTATTTCTTTAGTTATGGAGGCTGGAAAGTTCAAGATCAAGACACCAGCAGATTCAGTGTCTGGTGAGATCTCTCTTCTGGGTTCAGAGATGGTACCTTCCTATTGCATCCTCACATGGTGAAAGAGACAAGGCGTCTCTCCTGGGTCTCTTCTATAAGGGCACTGAAATTATTCATGACCTAATCACCTTTCAAAGGCCCCTTCTCCTAATATCATCATCTTGGGGGCTAGGATTTCAACATAGGAATTTTGGGTCACATTCAGACTGTGGCAGTCTTTTAAAAAATTTCTATGTCAATTGATTTTAATACTTTGATAATCGTATTTCTTTTTTTATTTCCGACAATTGGATTTTCATAACTGCTTCTGCATTTAGTCTCTTGTGATATTAAACACCACTCAGCCTCTGGACGTCTCCACTGTACACTTGTGCGAGAATAAGATGCTAAAAGGCAATTAACACCTTAGTGCCATTATGAAAAGGGTATACCTGCTCAGCCCCTGTGGGACATTCCTAAAAACCCCCAGGAATCCTCAGGCCACTCTCTAAGGACTGCTGCTCCACCTGTACGTGTAACTGCTGCTCCACCTGTACGTGTAACTGCTGCTCTACCTGTACGTGTAACTGCTGCTTTGACTTATTTCTCCTGCCTTCATTCACCCAGCATCTCCCTTGCTTTCTGCCTTCCAGATGCGCTAGGCTTTTTGTTTCCTGAAACATACTCTTTTTTTGCTTTGACTTATTTCTCCTGCCTTCATTCACCCAGCATTTCCCTTGCTTTCTGCCTTCCAGATGCACTAGGCTTTTTGTTTCCTGAAACATAGTCTTTTTTTCGAACCTCAGAACATTTCGATATGTCACCTGGAATTGTCCATTTTTTTTTCATCTTCATGATTTGCCCTTACCCCTTGGCTAAATAACTCCTACTCAGATCTTAGGTTCAATGTCACTTCTTCAGGGGAGATTTCTCCTGATTGATTCCCTTTGCTATAAATGATCCAAAAGTACTTTATTTTTTCTTCTTATTCCTGATTGTCATTATACATTTATATATGTAGTTACTTGATTAAAACCTACTTTTCTCAGCAGGCTGTAAATTTCTTGGTGTTAAGAACCATATCTCTTTTGTTCATTCTATTCCTGAAATATTAAAATTTGCTCAATAAATGTTTGTTGATTAATGCACAAATGGGTAAAAGAATGAGTTACTCAAAAGCAGAACACCCTGTCTTTTTGACATTGGCTTATTCTGTTAATCATTTTTAGAACATATTTATCAGATTCGCAAATAATTTGAAGCTAGGGAATTTAGGAAGTATCTTAAATGACAAAATCAGGACGACAAAATGAACACACTAAATGACTGGGACTTTTAACCCCCAGAATCAAGTAGAAGGTCTTTTACACAATAGTTTCCTAATAATGTGGAATCAAATATAATTGTGTTTTTTGTTTGTTTCTGTTACTGACTCACTCTCAATATCCCACATATTTCATGTATTAGAACAGCAAATATTATGAGGAAGTAGCAGGAACCACCATACTCCTTATTTATTTATTTATTTATTTATTTATTTATTTATTTATTTATTTTGAGACAGAGTCTTGTTCTGTCGCCCAGGCTGGAGTTCAGTGTCAAAAACTCTTCTGAGTGGAAAGAGCATGCTGGGAAATTCCTTTCTGCTGAAGAAAACATACTTATTGCTGGGTGAAGAGCACTAGAAGTTGGATGCTTTTTCAATTAAATAATGAGTACTTAGTCCTTTGTTTTTAGCCAGTACATTCCATTCAACTGGCAGTAAGACAGTGCTCTATCTTTAAAGAAGCCTAGCACCTTAATAATACCTAGAAACTATGCTCAAATAGATAAGACTTTTCCATTTTTCCTTCTTTTTCAGCAATCTGTAAAACTCCACCATCTCGTCGAGTCACATAATAGCATTACGGTCTCTGTATGTGGGAGAAAAGGTAAGTTCCATTATTTTAGATCTATATGCTATTCACATGGAATCAGAAAAGAATTTAAATTTGTATTTCTGATTGCTGCTGTTATTCCCATCTTCATATTCATTTCTCCTTAGGCATTTGTTCAAAGGGATGAGGAACTTAAGTTTTTTTTTTTACCTTAAAAACTACTTTAGACCGGGTGCGGTGGCTCACGCCTGTAATCCCAGCACTTTGGGAGGCCGAGGCGGGCTGATCACGAGGTCAGGAGATCGAGACGATCCTGGCTAACACGGTGAAACCCTGTCTCTACCAAAAATACAAAAAATTAGCCGGGCGTGGTGGCGAGCGCCTGTAGTCCCAGCTATTCAGGAGGCTGAGGCAGGAGAATGGCATGAACCCGGGAGGCGGAGCTTGCAGTGAGCCGAGATCGCGCCACTGTACTCCAGCCTGGGTGACAGAGCGAGACTCCATCTCAAAAACAAAACAAAACAAAACAAACAAACAAAAAAACTACTTTATTGGGGTGGAATTAACATTTGGTAAACTTAACATACTTATAGTGTAGAATTTGATAAGTTTGGCATATGTATATTCCCATGAAACTATCATAATCCTCAAGGTAATGACCATTCATCACTCCCAAAAGTTGCCTTGTTCCTGTTTCTAGTTTTTTTCTCTCCCGCTTCCTCCCAACTCCCCCATCCCTCAGGCAATCATTTATCAGCTTTCTGTCACTGTAGATTCATTTCCAGGCTCAATATTATACATAAATGGTATTTTACAGTATGTATTCTTTGGGTCTTTTATAATATATTTTTGGTTAATTTTGGGGGGGATCAAAGTTCATAGTTATTTTGGGATTTATCCATTTTTTTAAGTGTATCAATCATTGATTCCTTTTATTTCTGAGGCTATCTCAGTGTATAGACATACTAGTTTGTTCATCCATTCACCTGTTGATGCATTTTTGGGTTCCAGTCTTTGGCTATTCCAAGGAATGGTGTTATGATCATTTGGATACAAGCCGTGTATAGACATGCTCTTTCATTTCTTATGGGAAAATACCTAGCTATAGAACAGCTGGGTCATGTACTAGATAGATATTTAACATTTTAAGAAACTGCCAATCTTTGGTCCAACGCAGTGGCGCCGTTTTACACTAGCAGTGTATGAGAGTTCCAGGTGCTCCACATTCTTGACAACACTTGGTATGGTTACTCATTTTAATTTTGGCCACTTTGGTGTGTGGTAGTATCTCATCGTTGTTTTAATTTGTGTTTCCCTAATGACTAATGGCATTGAACATCTTTTCAAATACTTATTTGCTGCTCATATACCTTGTTTGGTGAAGTATTTGTTCAAATCTGTTGTTTATTAGATTATTTTTATTATTAAAATTGAGAGTTTATTCTACATTTTGGATACAAGTCCTTTATCAGATAAATGATTTGCAAATATTTTCTCTCAGTCTATGACTTACCTTCCCATTCTCTTTACAGTGTTTTTCAAAGAGCAGACATTTTTATTTTTGTTAAAGTCCAGTTTATCAATGTTTTCTATTGTGGATCATGCTTTTGATGTAATTTCTAAGATATTTTGTTAAGGTCACCATGATTTTCTGTATTGTCTTTCAGAGTTTTAGGGTTTACATGTAGTTCTATATTACATTTTGAATTTTGTTTTTGTTTTTTTTCGATTGAGGGTCATCTTTTGCAAACAGATATCCAAATGTTCCAATACTGTTTGTTGAAAAGATTATGTTTTCTCCACTGAATTGAGTTTTCATCTTTTGTCAAAAATCAATTGTTCACATATAGGTGGATCTATCTCTTGATTTCCTACCCAATCTTATTGACCTATTTGCTTTTTTATAGCAATACCATACAAAGTTGCTTTATAATAAGTCTTGAAATAGGGTAATGTTAGTCCTACAGTTTTGCTCTTCTCTTTTAGAGTTATTTTGACACTATTGAGCCCTTTGGGTTTCCATATGACTTTTGAACACAACCTGTCAATTTCTTTAAAAAATGCTGGGGTTTCTTTAGAATTACAATAATTTATAGAAATACAGGCTTAAGTTTGTAAATCTTTAGAAGCTCATTTAAAAATCTGTTAGAATTCCTCATTCAGTACTAATATGAAATGTACAATAACATAAACAATGGTCACAAATAAGATTCAAAGATGCCAATGTTTTATGAGATATTTTCCATAACCTGGGGTTGCTTCCTTAGAGTATTCCTAAGATGTCTACTGATCTCTCTGTTAAAGTCATGCAGTGGGAACAAATGTCGATTTTCTTTGCCAAGAAAATACCATAGATGAACATTAAAAACAGTTCTGTAAGCCAAAATTCACATCTGCACACACTTAAAATGTAGCTCTGTTTTAAAAAATAATAATTTGTAATACATCCTGAAAAACACAAAAATGCTCTACACCTGGCTGGGTTACCAGTGTTTAGCCATAAGTGCAGTGATACAGGTTATGCAATTACTGAAACTGGTAAGTGTATTCTAAATTGTGGAAATATGTATGTGTTTTTGTATTATAACCCTTTTTGGTATCTATTTCAGGCTTGTTTATATTATATACATATGTAGAATATAAAGTTCAAAACATGCTCTAGTGATGTAACCAACCAATTAAAGGAAATAAAATATTTTTAAGGGGAATATAAGTTTTTTTCCTGGTTAAAAATTATTTATTTATTTTGGTATATGAATAAGTTCTTTCGTGGTGATTTCTGAGATTTTGGTGCAGCCATCACCTGAGCAGTGTACACTGCACCCAGTGTGTACTCTTTTATCTTTCACTCCCCTTCCACCCTTTCCCCTGAATCTCCAAAGTGCATTGTGTCATTCTTATGCCTTTGTGTCCTCATAGCTTAGCTCCCACTTATGAGTGAGAACATATGATGTTTAGTTTTCCATTCCTGAGTTACTTCGCTTAGAATAATAGTCTCCAATTTCATCCAGGTTGCTGCAAATGCCATTATTTCATTTTTTATGTCTGTATGGTATTCCATGTTACATATATGCCACATTTTCTTTATCCACTCATAGATTGATGGGCATTTGGGCTTGTTCCATAGTTTTGCAGTTACAAATTGTGCTGCTCTAGACATGCACATGCAAGTATCTTTTTCATATAATGACTTATTTTCCTCTGGGTAGATACTCAGGAGTGGAATTGCTGGATCAAATGGTAGATTTACTTTTAGTTCTTTAAGGAATCTCCATAGTGTTTTCCATAGCAGTTTTACTAGTTTACATTCCCACCAACAGTGTAAAAGTGTTTCTTTTCACCACATCCTCGTGAACATCTCTTATTTTTTGATTTTTTGATTATGGCCGTTCTTGCAGGAGTAAGGTGATATCGCATTGTGGTTTTGATTTGCATTTCCCTGATCATTAGTGATGCTGAGCACTTTTTCATATGTTTCTTGGCCATCTTTATATCTTCTTTCAAGAGTTGTCTATTCATGTTCTTAGCCCAATTTTTGATGGCATTGTTTGTTTTTTTCTTGCTGATTTGTTTGGGTTCCTCGTAGATTCTGGGTATTAGTCCTTCAACAGAAGTATAGATTGCAAAGATTTTCTCCCACTCTGTGGATGTTCTGTTTATTCTGCTGGTTATTTCTTTTGCTGTGCAGAAGCTTTTCAGTTTAATTAAGTAATTAAGTACCATGCATTTATCTTTATTTATTTATTTATTTGCATTTGCTTTTGGGTTCTTGTTATGAAGTCTTTGGCTAAGCCAATGTCTAGAAGAGTTTTTCTAATGCTATCTTCTAGGATTTTTATGGTATCAAGTCTTAGATTTAAGCCTTTGATCCATCTTGAGTTGATTTTTTATAAGGTGAGAGAAGAGGATTCAGTTTCATTCTCTACATGTGGCTTGCCAATTATCCCAACACCATTTGTTGACTAGGGTGACCTTTCACCACTTGTTTGTGTTCGCTTTGTCAAAGATCAGTTGGCTGTAAGTGTTTGGCTTTATTTCTAAGTTCTCTATTGTGTTCCATTGGTCTATATCCCCATTTTTATACTAGTACCATGCTGTTTTGGTGACTGTGGTCTTATAGTATAGTTTGAAGTTGGGTAATGTGATACCTCCAGATTTGTTCTTTTTGCTTTGTCTTGCTTTGGCTATGCAGCCTCTTTTTTGGCTCCATATGAATTTTAGGATTATTTTTTCTAGTTCTGTGAAGAATGATGATGGTATTTTCATGGGAATTGCATTGAATTTGTAGATTGATTTTGGCAGTATGGTCATTTTTACAATATTGATTCTACCCATCCATGAGCATGGGACATATTTCCATTTGTTTGTATCGTTTATAATTTTTCAGCAGTGTTTTGTAGTTTTCCTTATAGAGGTCATTCACCTCTTTGTTTAGGCGTATTTCTAAGTATTTTATTGTATTTTGCAGCTATTAGAAAAGAGGTTGCGTTCTTGACTTTTTTCTCAGCTTGGTCACTGTTGGTGTCTAGCAGAACTAGTGATTTGTATACATTAATTTTGTATCCTGAAACTTTGCTGAATTCATTAACCAGTTCTAGGAGCTTTTTGGATGAGCCTTTAGGGTTTTCTTGGTATACTATCATATCATCGATGAACAGCAACAGTTTGACTTCCTCTTTACTGATTTGGATGCCCTTTATTTCCTTCTCTTGTCTGATTGTCCTGGCTAGAACTTCCAATATTATGTTGAATAGAAGTGGTGAATGTGGGCATCCTTGTCTCATTCCAGTTCTCAGGGGAAATGCTTTCAACTTTTCCCCATTCAGTATAATGTTAGCTGTGGATTTGTCATAGGTGGCTTTTATTACCTTAAGGTGTGTCCCTTCTATGCCAATTTTGCTGAGGGTTTTAATAATAAAGGGATGCTGGATTTTGTCAAATGCTTTTTATGCATCTATTGAGATAATCATGTGATTTTGTTTTCAATTTTCTTTATGTGGTGTATCACATTTATTGACTTGTGGATGTTAAATCATCCCTGCATTCTTGGTATGAAACCCACTTGATCATGGTGGATTATCTTTTTGATATGCTGCTGGATTCAGTTAGCTAGTATTTTGTTGAGGATTTTTGCATCTATGTTCATCAGGGACATTGGTCTGTGGTTTTCTTTTTTTGTTATGTCGTTCCCTGGTTTTGGTATTAGGGTGATACTGGCTTCAAAAAATGATTTAGGGAGGATTTCCTCTTTCTCTATCCTGTGGAATAGTGTCAATAGAATTGATACCAATTTTTCTTTGAATGTCTGATGGAATTCAGCTGTGAATCCATCTGGTCCTGGACTTTTTTTTTCTTGGTAACTTTTTAAATACCATTTTAATCTTGCTGCTTGTTATTGGTCTGTTCACATTTTTCCTGGTTTAGCCTAGGAGGGTTGTATATTTCCAGGAATTTATCCATCTCCTCTAGATTTTCTAGTTTATTTGCATATAGGTGTTCATAGTATCCTTGAATGATCTTTTGTGTTTCTGTGTTATCAGTTGTAATATCTCCCATTTTGTTTCTAATTGAGCTTATTTGGATCTTCTGTCTTCTTTTCTTGGTTAATCTCACTAATGGTCCATCAATTTTATTTATCTTTTCAAAGAACCAGCTTTTTGTTTAATTTATCTTTTGTGGGCTTTTTTTTTGTTTCAATTTCATTTAGTTCTGCTCTGATCTTGGTTATTTATTTTCTTCTGCTGGGTTTGGGTATGGTTTATTCTTGTTTCTCTAGTTCCTTGAGGTGTAACCTGAGATTGTCTATTTGTGCTCTACCAGACTTTTTGATGTAGGCATAAAAAAGTTGGGATTTTTATTGGTATTGTGTTGAACCTATAGATACATTTATGGAAAATTGACTTAGTAACATATTTCAATCTTTCTCTCTATGAATATAACACTGCTTCGTTTGTTTAGGTTTTTTATTTCTTTGGCAGTGTTTTGCAGTTTTCAGTGTGTGGGTCTTACACATTTTTTCTGATTTATTTTTAAGTAATTCATATTTTTGATGCTATTGTAAATGATATTTTAAAATGTAAATGTTCAGTTGTTCATTTGCTAGTAGTTCCATCATGGAAACATGCTGATCAGTAGTTTGCTTCACACTAAGGAGAGACCCTCGGCAGATCTTCGTGGCTCTCCCCTGGACAGTTACCTCCCCAGCACTCTGCTCTATGAACTCAAGCTGCCAAGATCTCCATCGATGCTCATCTTTGTGTTCTGAACTCAGTAGTCATCTGGACTTGGTCTGGTTTCCCTTCTCTGCATAGTGGCTTGGAAACTCTTTAAAGACAGTAAGCGTGGCAAATGTAGAACACCTTTATTTGTTTCCCATCTCTTTCGTTGTTTGATGTTCAGTGTCTATAACCCATTGTTTCATATATTTTATATGGTTGTTTCCAGTGGGAAGATAATTCTCATCCTTTTTATTCTCTCTTGGTTGGAAGTGAATTTTTACCTTTTAAAAATATAATTGGTCATTTTTTGTCCATATTTTTTATGATAAAACACTTTGAACATATACAACTGTAGAGAGAATACTGTAATAAATCCTCACGTACCTATCACACAGATTAAATAATTATCAACTTAATGAATCTTTTTTCATCTGTTCTATTAACTCTCCACCCTAGATTATTTTAGAACTATCCCAGATATTATATTTTATTTGAAAATATTTCAGCATATAGCTCTAAAATATAAAGAGTCTTTTTAATTCCTTTGTCACATCTTTTAAAACCTCATAATTTTAAAATAGTTATACAGGCAATGTTCAAATTTCCTCAATAGAATCAAGTACTGTGTAGACATACTTATGATACATATGCAAGCACGCTTTGTTTTATTGCCCCTTGCTTTATTGTGCTTCAAAGATACTGCATTTTTTTTTCCAACTGAAGATTTCTGACAGTCCTACATTGAGCAAGTCTATCCGTGCCATTTTTCTAAAAGCGTGTGCTGTCTTCATATCTCTGTGTCACGTGTTGATAACTCTGGAAATACTTAAGACTTTTTCGTTGTGATTATATCTGTTAAGGCAATCTGTGATCAGTGATATTTGATATTACTATGATAATTGTTTTGGGGCACTATGAACCATGCTCATGTAAGATAGCAAACTTAATCGGTGTCAGATGTTCACCAACTGGCCATTCCTGTCTCTCTCTCTCTCTTTCCTCAGGCCTCCCTACTCCCTGTGACCCAACAGTATTAAAATTAGATCAATAAATAACCCTACCCTGGTTTCTAAGTGTTCTAGCAAAAGGAAGAGTTACATGTTTCTGATTTTCAAGTAAAGCTAGAAATGATTAAGCTTAGTGAGGAAGACATGTTGAAAGCTGAGATACACTGAAAGCTGGGACTCTTGCACCAGTTAGCCAGGTTGTGAATGCAAAGGAAAAGTTTTTGAAGGAAATTAAAAGCGCTTCTCCAGAAGTGAACACACAAATGATCAAAAGCGAAGCAACATTACTGTGGATGCGGAGAAAGTTGTAGTGGTCTGAATAGAAGCTCAAACCAGTCATATTTCTGTAAGGCAAAGCCCAATCCAGAGTCAGGCCCTAACTCTTTAATTCTACGAAGGCTGAGAGAGGTAAGAAAACTACAGAAGAAAAGTCTGAAGCTAGCAGAGTTTGGCTTATGAGGTTTAAAGAAAGAAGCCATCTCCATACATAAAAATGGACGGGGAAGTAGCAGTACCAGATACAGTGCTTATAAACCTCAATAAGAATGTTGCAAGTACTCATTTTAATGGTGTTAGTCATTGTTTCTAGGTCTTTTTAGAAAACATACTTAGGAAATAACTTTTTAAGATAAAATGCATTATGAGGTCATACTGACCTCATAACTTCCAATTCAAGTTTAGAATTCATAGTTATACTGACCTTATAATTTCCAATTCAAGTTTAGCACTATGGGCTTTTTACTTTACTTTATTCATTGTACTTGTGTTTCTCTTTTCTCTATACCCAAAGTTCTGGTTCTCAATGACAGGAAGAGATTACTCTTTTGCTTTATCCCATTGTATATAATAACCTCAGAGTGACAAACTAATGCACTCAGCATTAATGTAATTCCTAAAAACAATTTAAGATGGTTTTAGAATTCTTTTTTTCCTGTTTGTAACATCCCATTAGAAATGTACAGTCAAATTATACATTGTTCATTAAAGTCACTCAAAATAGTTTTCTGTTGGTTATGCCAGCAACTTGATAGGTTTATTTTGCTCCTTTTGCTTTAGATTTTAGTGTTAGCTTTTCAAACTTATATTTGTATTATTTTGTATAGATATAGAAAATATCTACATGGTTTGAAAGTCAAATCTGTAAGACAGAAGACATTCCAGGGAGTCTGGTTCCTATTCCTCTCCTTTCTGACTTATGTCTTCATTCTCTCTATAATCATCACTTTGGTTTTTATTTATTCTTACATTTAAAAATATAAACAGATTATATATAATATTCATAGCTATATATTACATATACAAAATACAATATATATTAATACTGCTGTTTTCTAGATGAATAGAGGTATATCAAACGTATTTAACTGTATTTCCTGCTGCGTATATTTTACATACGTAACTATGTTTCCCAGGGACCATTTAGTATATACAGATATTCTTCATTCATTATTTCAGCTGCATGGTACTCTCTTGTGTGGAGGAGCCATTGTTTATTCAGTCAATCCTCTATTGAAAAAACATTTCTCAGTTTTTTACTACTACAAATAGTGCTGTAATAAAAAGCTTTGTACATATGTCTTTTCATATTTTTGCCAGTATATCTTCGGCACAGATTCTGAGAAGTAAAATTGCTAGGTTAAGAAATAAGTGCTTATGTACTTTTGCTAGAAAAATATTGCCAAAATTTCTCTCCATAAAGATTGTGCCAGTTTACATTTGCACCAGAAATGTGTCAGTGACTGATTCCTCGCAGCCTTGACAATAGAATGCGCTGGAAATTTTGCACATTTTTCTAATCATAAGGTGAGCAATGTTATCTCATACATATGTCTCACTCTCTTTTTTAGAAAGTAATTTAAAACTTACAAAAAAGTTGTAAGAATAGTTTAAATAACTTTTTTTCTAGAACTTCTTGAGAATAAGTTGCCGACATGTAGCTCCATGATCATGACCCGCACATCCTTTCATGTACTCCTTTTCTCTGTTTCTTTCTTTCTTTCTCTTTCTTTCTTTTTCCTTTCTTTCTTTCTTTCTCTTTCTTTCTCTCTCTCTTTCCTTCCTTCCTTTTTTCTTTTTCTTTCTTTTTTCTTTCTTTTTCTTTCTTTCTTTCTTTCTTCCTTTCTTTCTTTCTCGTCTCTCTCTCCTTCCTTTCTTCCTTCCTTTCTTCCTTTCTTTCCTTCTTTCTTTCCTTCTTTCTCTCTCTCTTTTTTCTTCTCTCTCTCTCTCTGTCTTGACAGGGACTTGCACTGTTGCCCAACTGGAGTGCAATGGTGCAGTCATAGCTCACTGCAGCCTCGACCTCCTGGTCCCAAGTAATCCTCCTACCTCAGCTTCCAGTGTGCGCCACCATGCCTGGCTAATTTTTGTATTTTTTGTACAGATGGGGTCTACTGTGTATTTCTTTTCTTTTTTGTTTGTTTTTTTTTTTTTTTTTTTTTTTTTGAGACGGAGTCTCGCTCTGTCACCAGGCTGGAGTGCAGTGCAGTGGTGCGATCTGGGCTCACTGCAACCTCTGCTTCCTGGGTTCAAGCAGTTCTCCTGCCTCAGCCTCCCGAGTAGCTGGGACTACAGGCACGTGCCACCATGCCCAGCTCATTTTTTGTATTTTTAGTAGAGACGGGGTTTCATCATGTTGACCAGGATGGTCTCAAACTCCAGACCTCATGATCCACCCGCCTCGTCCTCCCAAAGTGCTAGGATTACAGGTGTGAGCCACCGCGCCTGGCCTCTACTGTGTATTTCTGAAAGACAAAGACATTTTCCTACATGAAGGACTGTGCAACCAGGAAGTTAATATTGATGCATTTCTCCCAACTAATGGTCAGACCTCGTTCGTGTTTTGCCAGTTGTCTCAATAATGTTCTAATAGAAAAGAGATACAGAATTACACAATGCTCTTGTTTGCCATGTCTCTTTAATCTTCAATTTTTAGTTGAATTCTGTGACTTTGACTCTTCTGACTCTGGTTATTTTATAGAATGTCCTTCAGTTTGAATTTTCTGATGTTGCCTCATGGTTAAATTCAGGTTATGCATTTTTGGCTGGAATATCACAACATGATGCTGTGTTTTCACTGCTTCCTCTCAGATGGTACATAATTTCAATTTGTCCTATTACTGGTGATGTTAACTTATATTACTTAATTAAATGGTATCTGCCAGGTTTCTCCATTGCAAATTTATTATTTTCCTCTTTGTAATTAATGGTTATTTTGTTGAGAGATACTTTGAGATGATATAAATAAACCATCTTCATCAATTTTTCACCCACTAGTTTTAGTATACATTGATGTTTCTTGGCCAAATTAATTATTACTTTGATAGTTGCCAAATGATGACTTTTCTAATGTTATCTCTCCTTCTACATTAATTAGTTGCCATTTTGCTGCAAGGAAAACCTGTCTCTTCTCCTTATTTATTTATTCATTTACTGAAGTCATTATGGACTCATAAATCCTTATTTTATTTGATGGTTATAGTTCTTTCTTATCATTATTTACTTTGATGTTCAAATTGTTACAGATTTAGGCAGTGAGAGCCCTTTAAAGTTGGCTTTGATATTTTTGTAATATGTCCCCAACATTCTTTGAGCATTTCTTTACTTAATGGCACAAGAAGATGTTCTAGCTTATATTATACTTTTCTTGGCGCAGCCTGTACTCAGTCCTCTCTCTAAGGAAACCTTTTTATTGGGAGAAAGGGAATTTAGAAACCAAACTTTGGGCACTGGATGTGCTCATTACTATTGGTGTATAAACAAGAAGACTAGCAAACATGTTTATATATTCTTATAATCACACATACTTACATCTATATTGTTTCTCTCTATCTAGTACATTGATATTTTTCATTGGAATCTACTATCACAGGGTTTATTGTAGTTGTATCTCTTTCTCTATTTGTAACTTCCTTTCTTCAGTGAGAAACCTGGCTGATTAACGTCATTTTATCTACAGGAGTCCCCTCTTATCTGCGGGAGGTACATTCCAAGACCCCAGGTAGATGCCTGAAACCATGGGTAGTACTGAGTCTGATCACCGTCATTTGGAACACGTTTCTGTTCCTGTCTTCCACCCACACATTTAATGCCTTTACCATGTTATCTAAGCACTTACACACTGTGGTTGTAACGTTTGCAGTTTGAGGTGCGACGCACAACTAACACAAATTTCTTTTTCCTTCTTCACAACTTCACAGATAGTTGATTCGTTCTTACTATAGATCTTAGCAACCTCAGCATACAGTTTTGTTTTCTTTAAGTCGAGAACGTTCACCTTTTCACTTAAAGGAAGCACTTTGCTGCTTCTCTTTGATATAACTGAATTGCGAGCATTACTACTCTTGTGCTTTGGGGCACAAGTAGTAAAATGAGGGTAACCTGAAACAAGCACAGGGGTACTGCAACAGGCAAGGTACTACCCAGGTGACTGACAAGCAGGGAGTGTATAAAGCATGGATTCTGTTCCAGGTGGGATGGAGCGCATAGCCCTAGATTTAATCACTACTCAGAATGGTGCACAGTTGGAAAACTTATACATTGTTTATTTCTGGGATTGTCCACTTAATGTTTTCTGACTGCAGTTGACTGCAGGTAACCGAAACCATGGAAAGTTCAACTGGAGATCAAAGGAGACTACTGTACTTATTGTACCATTTCTGCCTGGATGCAACCAATCTTTCATCACCGCTGATGCTCCCACTGCCCCTCATCCCACTCCTATGTAGACACCCTTTTCACCTTGCTCGGGTCCCAACATCCCACAGCGGGCCACTGCCACCATGGGGGCCCTTCTGTCCTTGCTCAAGCTCTGACACCCTATACCAGGTCATGTAAACACCCTTCCATCCTGCTTAGGATCCAATACCCCAGAGCAGCCTGCCACCCCACCCAGCCCCCTGCAGGAATGCCTATCTTGCACAGGCCCTAATAGCTTTAAGACTGAATAAGGAAGAAAAGAAGTAAAGGCAGGCAGGCAGGCAATCAGGAAGCAGGGAAGAACTTTCATTTCTCTTATCATGGGTAAGAATGAACAGCTTTGCAGACACTTAACACACCACTTGTGTTTGTGTTTGTGTGTGTGTGTGTGTGTGAAGTGACAATATCTAGCAATTTTGCTATACAGTTATTTGCTGGAGATCTGTTTTTAAAAGGAACTCTTTATCTATTAGGATTTTTTTTTTTTTGAGGCAGGATCTTGCCCTGTCACCCAGGCTGGAGTGCAGTGGCACGATCATCACTCACTACAGTCTCGACCTCCTGAGCTTAAATTTAAGCAATGTTCCCACCTCAACCTCCCAAGTAGCTGGGAGTACAGGTGTGTGTCACCATGCCTGGCTAATTTTTTTATTTTTTATTTTTTGGTGAAGATAGATAGGGCTCCCGCTATATTGTCCAGGTTGGTCTCAAACAGCTAGGCTCAAGTGATTCTCCCGCATTGGGCTCCAAAAGTGCTGGGATTACAGGCATGAGCCACTGTGCTCAGCTGGGAATATTAACCTTTTATCTGTAATGTAAGTTTCAAATTTGCTTCTGAATTTGTCATTATTTTTTTCTTATTACTTTGCCACACAAAGATTTTTATTTTATGTAGTCTAATTTGTTACATTTTTTTCTTTTTGTTTTCAAATTTTGAATCAATGTTGAGGAATGTTCTCCTTTCTAAAAAAAAAATGTCTTGGTTGCTTTTTCATTGATATCCAAGTTAAATAGATGTTGGATTGTATTTTTGTGGGAAAATAACCTGACTCAACTCTGTCTCCTCCCACTTTCAGCTGGAGTTCAAGAGCTGGAATCACGCGTCCTGGTGCCTGGAGATTTATTAATTTTGACAGGGAACAAAGTGCTAATGCCATGTGATGCCGTTCTGATTGAAGGCAGCTGTGTGGTGGATGAAGGCATGCTGACAGGTACAGTTCCATCTCCACAGCTGACAACCTCTGTGGGCTGGCCCACACTCCACGCTGCTATGGTCCCTACGCCTCCTCCTCTACCTGAATGACAGTGGCTGGCTGTAAAGCACTGGCTGCTATGGGACCTTCCCGTTGCCACAAATCTTACTTAGTCCTGCTGCGAATGGATCTGAGGGTTCAAATTAAAGCTCTTTCTATGTGTTAAGTTTGATACAATAATAAGTTTTTGAGTGTTTAGTATTTCTTTCTTGAACAAAAGATTATTACAACCCTCTCATTTACCTTAAAAGATTGTAGAGATCATTAGATCTTTCAGAATTGTCTGTGACTTTTATGTTTATTTATTTTAAATAAAGCATGTTTTTAAATAAACTTGGAGGGTTTGAAAATCATCAGTGACATCCTGAAACCCACAGGGGTCATCCAAATTCTTCCTGGCCTGGCTTGAAAATGTTAAGAAATTCATGATGCAGCATTTGGTAAAGCTGCTGCTTCCAGTCCAAAACTGGGTGTTATGGACTAACTGTAGTTCATTTTCAAATGGCAGTGCTGGAGCTGGGTGGGACCTGTGAGGTTATCTCATATCATAGGCATGGCAACTGAGGTCCAGAGAGGTGACTTGCTTAAGGTTACACTGCCTTGATTTCTCACTCACGTGGCATAATGATGAGATGTTTGGCTGACATTGCTGTAAGATAAAGAAGAATCATAAAATGTTTCTCAGAGATAAAATGAGAGGCTGTGAACGCACTCTTATTGGTGTATCATGGTTCCCATTCAAGTTCAGATCAAATCCATTTCTCTCAGGCAGCCCAGAAAGACAGGTAATGGAGACAAGTGTACACACCTTCTTCCTATGTTAGCTTACAAAGAATAGATGTGTCGCAGACCATGGCAAAGCAGGTTCTTTTCCCTCAAAATCCCATAGATTCATAAAAATCCTGTAATGCTGGGACTTCTGCAGTGCCAAGTACCATTTTCCTAATGAAAGTAGCCTTAATATACTGTAATGCAACTCCGACTTTCTATTGACCACTCTGCAGAGACCATCAAAAGACTTTAGAAACTTGTTCCTCAGAACAGGCCACAGTTATTTCATGGCTTCATTCATTACCTTGTATTAGCACTTCAAGCCTCTGCAATAGTCCCCTCCCACTGCACTGGTAAAAGTTGCCAAAGTCCCAATTGCCAAACGCAGTGGACTCTTTAAATTTCTTTATTTTTGAGACATAGTCTCACTCACTCTGTCACGCAGGTTGAAGTGCAGTAGCTTGATCTTGGCTCACTGCAATCTCTGCCTCCCGGGTTCAAGCAATCATCTCATCTAGGCCTCCATCAAGTAGCTGGAATTACAGGTGTGCACCACCATGCCTGGCTAATTTTTGTATTTTTAGTAGAGGTGGCGTTTCACGATGTTGGCCAGGCTGGTCTTGAACCCCTGACCTCAAGTGATCCACCCTCCTGGGCCTCCCAAAGTGCTGACATTACAGGCATGAGCCACTGTGCCCAGCCTGATTCTTTAAATTTCTCAACTTATTGTCCTGTCTGTTCCATTTGACTATTCTGACCAGCTCTCTTTCTGAAAACTATCTTCTCTATAACTTTCTAAGATAATTCTCTCTCTCCAAATTCTTCTACCACTGACTATACCCATTCAGTTTCTTCTGCTGCTCCTCTTCCTCCATCTCCTGAATTGTTGGTGCTGCTCATGGCTACATCCTTGGCCTTTCCTCTTCTCACTCTATACTTGGTCTCTAAGTAATCTTGTCTGCTTCTGTGACTTTAATTATCATCCATAACCTCATGAGCTCTGGCTAAATATCTCTCGTCCAGGCCTCTCATCTGAGCTTCAAATCCAAATAAATCTCAAACTGCCTACAAGGCTTCTCAACATGGTATTTCTACAAGGCAACTTCAACTTACAGTGGCCAAAAGACAATTCTTTCTCTCCTCCTGTAATCCCTGTGTTGAGGAATAATGTTGCCTTCTGCATATTCTCCCAAGTCAGAACTAGAAAGTCATTGTAAATTTCTCTGTCCCTATGACCTGCCAATACAAACATTTTCTCAAGTTTTGTAGCTTCTTACTTCCTTGTTTCTTTCCTTTTTTGAGACAGAGTGTCACTCTATTGTCCAGGCTGCTGTGCAGTGGTGTGATCTCTGCTCACTTTCACCTCCACCTGCCAGGCTCAAGTGATTCTCGTGCTTCAGCCTCCAGAGTAGCTGGGATTATAGGCATGCACCACCACACCCGGCTGATTTTGTATTTTTAGAAAAGACAGGGTTTTACCATGTTGCCCAGGCTGGTCTTGAACTCCTGGCTCAAGCGATCTGCCTGTCTCTGCCTCCCAAAGTGCTAGGATTAAAGGCGTGAGCCACTACACCCGGCCACTTCCTTGTTTCCTGAATGCAGTGCTTCCTTTCTATCCCCACTGCCAGCTGTTATAGTTCAGACCTCATCCCTTGCAACTGGGATTCCTGTGATTATTTCCCAATTGGATACCCAGCCCAGCCTCCAACCTCACCAGACTTTGATTCATTCCCTGTGCTATGGACAGAGTGCTCTCTCTTATACATAAATATGATATTACTCTCCTGATTAAAGTGGTTAAATCTCTCTACATCCTCCTTCAGTCACCAGTGCCTTTATTTATTTATTATTTATTTATTTATTTTTGAGATGGAGTTTCACTCTTGTTGCCCAGGCTGGAGTGCAATGGCACAATCTTGGCTCACCACAACCTCTGCCTCCTGGGTTCAAGCGAGTCTCCTGCCTCAGCCTCCCGAGTAGCTGGGATCACAGGCATGTGCCACCACACCTGGCTGATTTTTTGTATTTTTACAAAACTGGGGTTTCTCCATGTCGGTCAGGCTGGTCTCGAACTCCTGACCTCAGGTGATCTGCCTACCTCGGCCTCCCAAAGTACTGGGATTACAGGCATGAGCCACTGTGCCCAGCCCACCAGTGCCTTTAGACATATCTGTGGACAGTTAGGGTTCTCCATGCTTTGGCTCCTAGATAGCTCTCACGGCCCTTTATTCTCCACACTCCACATTCTTGACTGCACAGCCTGTGGTTCCCTAAATAGTTATTTCCAGCTATCTTGACATCTGTGTTTGATTTACAGTACCCACAGTATTTATAATACTGTATTATACTTATCAGTTTACATATCTGTCTCCTATTCTAAACTACAGACCTCTTAGAAGTAAGAACTATGTTTATGCTTGTATCCCCAATACCTAGGGTTGTCTCTGCCACATGGTAGGCTCACAAAAAAAATGTCTGTTGTATGATGAGTGGGTGCAGGCATGATTTAAATGAGGGAAGCCATCCTGCCTCACAAAACAAGATGCTTGTTTTCTGTAGGAGAAAGTATTCCAGTCACCAAAACTCCGTTACCCAAGATGGATAGCTCTGTGCCCTGGAAAACACAGAGTGAAGCGGATTACAAGCGGCATGTCCTCTTCTGTGGAACAGAGGTTATCCAGGCCAAGGCAGCTTGCTCTGGGACCGTGAGAGCCGTGGTACTGCAGACTGGTTAGCATCCCCTCCTTTTTCTTATTTTTAATGGTATACTTTTGCCCAGTTTGTCTAGTGCCTTAAATTTATTAGGTAAAGAGAAGCTGTTTTTTCTTTATAATCATATTTTTTTAATTTTTAATTTTTGTGGGTATATAGTAGCTGTGTATATACTTATGGGATACCTGAGATGTTTTGACACAGGCCTGCCATGTGAAATAAGCACATCATGGAGAAGGGGGTATCTATTCCCTCAAGCAGTTGTCCTTTGAGTTACAAACAATCCAATTATGCATTTTAAGTTATTTAAAAATATATAATTAAGTTATTATTGACTATAGTCACCCTTTGTACTATCAAATAGTAGATCTTATTCATTCTTTCCATTTTTTTTTGGACCCATAGACAAGGAGAAGTCTTACCTACAGGTACAAAACACATCATATATATATAAATCCATATATTTTAAATACCAATTGAACTATGGCATATGCCTGTTAGTAAAAATGATAGTACTGATAACAATAATTATTATGTATGTGCCTTTGCAGTATATAAACTATTTTCACAATATCAAACAAGCAGAGCAGAGATGCTTACTGTTTCTGCTATGTCCATGAATAGGCTGAGGCCACACAATTCAAATGAACTTAAAAAAATACCATGGCCAGCAATTGACAGAGCTGGACCTAGAACTCAGGTCTCATCCTGAATCCCAAGTTCTTTCCAGGGTGGGCTAGAAACTGAAAATTTAACATTGCAAAGTATTAGAAAAGTGAGTCCATCAGTATTTACTGGACCACTTAATTTCAATTCAGTGACATGTGTGTGCGTGCACACGTTTGAGTCATTTTCTTAAAATAAAATGCTATTTGGCAAAGCTGTGCTGTGCACCCAGTACGGCGGTTTTCTATCTCCAGGATGCATTGAAATTGGAAGTAGAGGGAAGGAAGGCCAGAGAGAGTACTGGGCTCTGAGATAGAGATTTCCGTTCCAGCATTTATGTATTTTTCTAGTTATCTTTCAATTGCCTTTGAGCTTAAACACTGTTCAAATATCAGCAGAGAAAAACAAAGGCAGTGTTGAGGTTTGGAAGAGCTAGCAGTAGCGTTGGTCTCCTGAGAGTGTGGGGTGTGTGTTTGTTGTTCCAGGATTCAACACTGCAAAGGGAGACCTTGTGAGATCCATTCTCTACCCTAAGCCAGTGAATTTTCAGTTGTACAGGGATGCCATCAGGTTCCTCCTGTGCCTTGTAGGAACAGCCACCATTGGGATGATCTATACTCTGTGTGTCTATGTGCTTAGTGGGGTAAGCTGTCTTTGCTCTTTTATTAAATGCACACACACTCATCTCTGTATATTTTGTACTGTGCATGTTGGCCTTAACCTAGGATGTGGTTTACAAACCTGGGAAACAAAACCAAGCACTGATGCCTACGTATAGACTTCCAGATCCCAGTCAGCAATTGATCACTAAGTTCCATAATAACAAACAGGTTTCATGGGATAATGGGATAAAACAATCTGTTTATTGATATATCAGTGTACTTCTCTTTTCCTCACACTTTATACCATTTTTTCTTTTCAATCTGAGAATATATTTCTTTCAATAAAGTAGCATATTTAGAGCTATTGAGCAAGGGATTTTAAATAAAATCAGACACCCAGTTTTGGTGAGGTCATGGCAGACTAGTACGTTATTGTTTTGCTGGTAACAATATAAATCACATGGGTTTTTTATTGCTATTTGGTGAAAGATAGTGAGAGCTATAAACATGGTCATGCCTTTAACCCACTGATATCATTTCTTGAAATTTGACCTAAAGAAGTAAACAAAAAGAAGGAAGGCCGGGCAAGGTGGCTTATGCCTGTAATCTCAGCACTTTGGGAGGCCAAGGCAGGTGGATCACCTGAAGTCAGGAGTTCAAGACCAGCCTGGCCAACATGGCAAAACCCCGTCTCTACTAAAAATACAAAAATTAGCCAGGTGTGGTGGCGTGTGCCTGTAATCCCAGCTACTCAGGAGGCTGAGGCAGGACAATCGCTTGAACCCGGGAGGTGGAGGTTGCAATGAGCTGAGATCACACCACTGTATTCCAGCCTGGGCGACAAGAGCAAAACTCCGCCTCAAAAAAAAAAGGCAAAGAGTCATATGCTGTTCATCAGAGATTTGTCTGTAATAATTAAAGAATGACTGTCGTCCAGGAACCTCCAGAGGAGGTGGTGAGGAAAGCCCTTGACGTCATCACAATTGCGGTTCCTCCGGCTCTACCTGCTGCTCTGACCACAGGCATTATCTATGCCCAGAGGAGGCTGAAGAAGAGAGGCATCTTCTGCATTAGCCCCCAGAGGATCAACGTATGTGGACAGTTAAACCTTGTCTGCTTTGACAAGGTATGTGTGTTTCATCCTTATTCTTATCATCATTTTTACCATTGCTGTCATCATGTATATCTACTTTTACCCCCTTGCAAGGCAGGAGACATAGAATGTGGGTGCCTGTCTTCATTTTATCCCTGGTTAGATGCATGATCTGGGAAAGATATGTCTCTTGAGCTCGCAGAGTCCAAGGTTTAGAGGAGAAGTGGGTACTAAATAGGAGAATCTTTTTGGGTCCTTCCAGCTTTGATATCCTATGAAAAGCAATTAAAGTAGCATCCTGTTTCTCTGCAGTCAAAACCTTCATACAAAGACGAAAATTTAAACCCTTTGCTATCGTCACTGCTGTATCCTTGATGCTGAGAATATTGCCTGGCATATAGTTAGTGTGCAATAAATATCGATTGAATTAATGAACAAATAAAAAAGGAAGAGTTTATTAAACTGTGCCTTACTATGATACTCATATCAAGCTTTTGCTGTATTTTCCCATCTGTACTTTATTGCTTAAAATTACCCTTGATTATTTGCCAGTTATTCCCAACCAGCCTCGTATTCTACCGTCTTTTTATTGTATTTATTTAGTCTGTACACACATATGCTGGGGTGAAGGTGGGAGTTGTGAGAGAATAAGATGGAAATGCCTTTCAGGGCATTGTGAACAGGTGAGCATGGGTAGAGGCCTGGAGGCAGGAAAGCAAGAGAGTGTGGTTTTGACTAGAGCAGGATGTTGGTAATGGGAGAAGCTATCTGTGGACCTTGAATGTGTGGCTAAGAAATTGTTTACATATATTTTAAGCAGTGGAGGGTTATTTGAAGGCTTTTGTTGCTGTTGTTGACTTCTTTCTTTAATTTACTTTTTAAATGTGGTAAAATACACATAACATAAAATTTACTATTTTAGCCATTTTTAAGTGTACTGTTCACTGGCATTAAGTGCCTTCTCACTGTTCTGCAACCATCACTACTATTCATTTTGAGAACTTCTTTTATTTTCCCAAACTGAAGCTATATTCATTCAACAGTACACTGAAGGTTTTGATAGTTGAGAATTAATGGGATCAGGGCTGTATTTTATAGTTATTGGAATATCAGAAAGATCTACCAAGAACAGAAAGTCAACATGACTCTTGCCACCATTTTGTATATTATTTTGTGATCAAACTAGCAATGTAAGAAATGACATTCTATTTATGAGATTATATCCTCGGACCTGGAAAAAGAAACAGGAGTGGGAGAGATAATTGTGACCTCAATTTGTATAAAAAATGAGCAATAATTATGAATAATTATGATTATTATTAGCTTTTACTGTATGCTAGATATTAAATGAAACACTTTATGTTATCCCATTTAATCTTCACCACAGCTCTCTGAGATTATGACCATGTTACAGATAAGAGCTCTTATATTTAGGGGGATTAATTTGCTCTGGTCACACAACTGGTGTTTAAACCTAACCTGAATTCTTAACCATAATATTGCACTGAGAGAAATACCACCACCTTTTTTTTTTTTTTTTTTTTTTTTACCAAATAGCAAACCATTTCTTTCGAGTCTGTTCACAGTGCCCTGCAGGTAAAAATTTCACTCTATTCCTTATTTTAATGACATATTTTAAACTTCTGCTATGAAACTAGGACTCACCCATTTTATATCGAGGACTTTCACATCCATTCAGTCTACCATTAGATCCTCAAAACAATCCTCTGAAGTTGTGAGGAAGATACTTTTTTTGTTGTTGTTATGGAGGACACTAAAGTTTGAAAAGATTAAGTGCCAGCTTGTTAGACAACTGGCATGAGCTCATCAACGCTTCCAACGGGCACTCCAGAGACCCACCCATTGTGCCCCTCCTTGAAGTGCTGATCTTGTTAATATGTTTGTGAAGTATTTTCTCATTACAAAAATACCTTATTTATCTGCACTACGGAGTCTTCGCTATGGGGCCACTGGATTTTTTTTTTTTTAAAATAGGGAGGTGGTTTCATTATGTTGCCCAGGCTGGTCTTAAACTCCTGAGTTCAAGTGATCCTCTTGCCTCCGCCTCCCGTAGTGCTGGGATTACAGGCATGAGCCACCGCTCCTTGCCTGGATCTTCAGAGTAAATGGAGCATTTGTTTCTGTTTAGACAGGCACCTTAACAAGGGACGGCTTGGACCTCTGGGGAGTCGTGTCCTGTGATAGGAATGGGTGAGTACCTTGGACTCTTGGACTAAATGCATTCTAGTGTCTCTTTTTCCAAAATTCCGTGTTTTCTCTTGAAATTAAGAATGGAGACATTTGGACTTTGGCTTTGGTGGACAATGATTGCCAAAGTATCTTCTTTTAACTTCTCATCTTTAATTCTTCAAAGCCTCCCTAAAACACACACATTTCCCCCCATCCCAACCCAGTCCCATGCCACTCACAAATCCTGGAGATGAAGCTTTGACACTGCATTCAAATCCTTGCTAAAATATAATTTGCTTCCAGCATGAAGTTGACGCAGTATAAGTAATTTAGACATTACCAGGACACTGTCCTTTAAGGAGGTAACATTCTTTGTTCAAGCTGAAGCCTCTTGATGTGCTAGGAGGAAGGACACTGCTCTTACTTTTGTACCCTGAATTTCAGGAAGAGGAACATTTGTAGAACCGTAGCTAGTGTACTCATGTTTCTTGGTATTCAAATTTTGAGAACTCTACTTTCTGGCTGCTGGAAACTCTCTTTTTTCTTTTTTTTTTTTTTTTGAGACGGAGTTTCACTCTTGTCGCCCAGGCTGGAGTGCAGTGGCATGATCTTGGTGCATTGCAACCTCCGCCTCCTGGGTTCAAGCGATTCTCCTGCCTCAGCCTCCCGAGTAGCTGAGATTACAGGTGCCTGCCACCATGCCTGGCTAATTTTTGTATTTTTAGTAGGGACGGGGTTTCACCATGTTGGCCAGGCTGGTCTCAAACTCCTGACCTCAGGTGATCCGTCCACCTCGGCCTCCTGAAGTGTTGGGATTACAGGCATCAGCCACTGCACTTGGCTGAAACTCCTTTTTCCTAGCAAGAAAAGACGGTTTTGACAGTTCTCAGCATGGTGTGGTAAAGATTTGCACAGTCCTCTCCTGTGGCCCTCTTGTGGCCATGTTTGAGTTTGCGTCTCTGCCCGCTTTTTCAACTCACTACGAACTCCCGTGGAATCAGAACATGAAATCTCTGATGCACTTGACGTTTATGTTTTGTTTGAAAATGAAAGTTTTTTCCTCTAACACTTATAACTTAAATCACAAAGCATTTTGTACATGAAAGGTTCTTTGTGGTTCTTTTGCATTATGACATGTAATTTATCCATAAAATGTTAATTACACATAGTTTAATAATTGTCATATTAAAATGCTATCTAGAAACAAGTCTAATTCCTGGATTAAAAAAGTGATCCTCGTGCTTCTAACCACTTTAGTGTACAGAAGAGGCCTCTGAAAGTGTTAAACTCTAAAGTTCTTTCATTTTTCCTAGAAGATAGATTTGGATATATACTTTGTCTCATGGTTCATTAGTGTTTTTCTGTTTCAGCTTCTGCAAAATATGTGTACATTTGTTCAAATATGTGAGCATCTTGAGAGCAGTCTTGTTCTTATTTAGATTTGCATCCTAAGTGCTGTAGCTCTGTACTAGGCACAAATAGTAGGTGCACAGTAATCGCTCATCTAAAATGAACTCAATATGTTCTGTCTTTTGAATGTTCTTCTTATTCCATTGACACCAAACTATTCATAAAACTTTGGAAACTTTGTTTCTAAAAGTGACTTGTTACATTTAAGGAATAACAATTAATATAATGTTTAGGTAAATGATTCATTTCCCTCCCTTCCTTCCTTCCTTCCTTCCTGCCTTGCTGCCTTCCTGCCTTCCAATCAAAGTTGAATTCCAATGATTAAAACAATTTAAAATAAAAAATGACAAATTTAATTAATAAAATGAAACAAAACAGAATTAATTCTAGGTAAGAAGTGAGCACCTGACTTATAGACTATTCAATACCTTCTTGTTAAAGGTGAGCTCATCTCTGATATTTCTTCCTTTCCAAAAAGCCCTGATTGTTGTGTCAGATACTTTAAGAACTATTAAAGGCTATCAGGGATTGATAACCAGAAATACTCAGATAAAAATGGGTGGACAGGAATGATAGAGAGCTTTATGTATTTGCTGTGCTAAACAGAGTCTGGCCCAATCCTCTCGAATGCAGAATTATACACTCAGAATTACGGACTAGTGACAGTGTACGTCTCATAGTAAAAATAAGATTTTTTTTCTGATCTGTATTTTGCTTTTCAGTGTGCGTTTAAGTTTCTGTGTTAACTGTCCTGCTGGTGGTCTCTTCCTTTTAGATATTTACTAAAATACCATTGGGTATGTGGTAAACCACCAAGATGAGCTGCTCTTTTAAGACATAGTAATAAGTATAACTAACAGGGTCAATATGAAGCCAGGACATTTTTGAACTCTTAGTGTGACAAAAGGAAGCTTGAATGCAAAAGCCAGGAAGCCATGTGGCTGAATTGTGAGTTAACACTGAGATGTGTTTGCTTTCAAAACAAAGGGCTACAGCAACTTAAGGTTATCTTTAAATAAATTCAGGGTCCATATTATCAGAAGTAATTGTCTGTCTTGAAATGTGGTCTCCAGGATCAGACAATGACAAATTTAGGAACTTTTCCAAAAAAGAAGAATAAGGAAGGTGAGAGGGAGGCCTGATCAAGCTGTTATTAGAGGAACAGCCGGAGGTTCCTGTGCGACACCAGAGGGAGAGAGGGTGAAGGGGACGGCAGAGTTGATCCCTAAGTTTGAAAGAAGTTGGCATGTGGAGGAGGGGGAGCAAGTGGACCCTTACTGGCTCCCAGGAGCAGATTCTGCCCCAATGTAGGATGAAGCTTCCACCGTTCAAACGTCCTCCTAATAGGGTAAGCTGCTTTGAGAACCAACGCCTGTGCTGCACATTTGAGAAGGGGCTGTGACTAACCAAGCTGCAGACAACATTCTTCTTGTGACGCCAAAGCTGAACTTAATGGCCTCCACTCTGAATTAGTGAAGGAAGCCTGCATATGACATTTGAGTTGTATTTTAATAGCTTTTTAGATGAGACTATGTTCTTATCTAAAATGAGATGATGGGGATAATGGTTGGGATATGGACACAAGAGGCCAGGGTGGAAGAGGGGGATGCAGTGTTCATTTGAAAAATGTTTTTAGCCGGGCACAGTGGCTCACGCCTGTAATCCCACCATTTTGGGAGGCCGACGCAGGTGGGTTAGCTGAGGTTGGGAGTTCAAGACCAGCCTGGCCAACATGGTGAAACCCCATCCTTGCTAAAAATACAAAAAATTAGCCTGACATGGTGGTGGCTGCCTGTAATTCCAGCTATTCAGGAGGCTGAGGCAGGAGAATCGCTAGAACCTGGGAGGCAGAGGTTGCAATGAATCGAGATCACGCCACTGTCCTCCTCCAGCCTGGGTGACAGAGTGATAGAGTGAGACCCTGTATCCAAAAGAAAAAGAAAAAACTCAGAGACCTTTCTCATACTCAGTGAACTTACTTGGCTGAATGAAGCACTATTAATGTGGGAGGATTGGAGAGTGGCTATTAATGCAACAAAGCATATTAAATTATTTTTTTATAAAGATGTTTGTTCACCTCCAAGATGCTCTGTTTTGGCATGAGGCGATGGAATGGAAACCCATTTCCTTTTCTCCTTAAGCTTTCAGGAAGTTCACAGCTTTGCCTCAGGCCAGGCTTTGCCATGGGGCCCACTGTGTGCAGCGATGGCCAGCTGCCACTCTCTGATCCTTCTTGATGGGACCATCCAGGGAGACCCTCTGGACCTCAAAATGTTTGAAGCCACCACCTGGGTAAGCCTCTGCTCTTCAGAGAATCTGAGAAGCTTCTTCAATGCCAGAGCAACATAGGCAATATCAGAGCTATCTAATTCTTATAAAAGGTGAGGTTTCCAATGTGGAGTACATTTGGTAGTGAAGGGCAAACCAATCTAAGGCTGGTTTCCTCATCTGTGCAATGAAGCTAATAATAGCATCTACATAATGAGATTGTGAGGATTAAATGAGATGATGCAGTAAGAAAATCCTTGGCACTATGCCTGGCAAATATTAAAGGTTCGATCATATTAATATAATTGTACTTATTATGCAGTTATTTCTTGTCTCTCTGTACTGTTCTCCGAGCATTGTCTGGTTTCGAAGATTTTCCAGAATATGGGGATCAGAAAACATTGCTTTCTCCAGTGCTCAGGATAACTCATAGATTCACGGGGACTATAAGTCTTATTTCTATTAATTTCATATTGATTTTATTTCCAAGACTAGAAAGAACAAAAAGGAAAACCACTAAAGAGCTTTTGTTGAGACTCTAAACTAGATTTAAGAGCCAACAGTGTCGTTCAGGAATCTGGCTTTTCCGATTCTAGTTTTGTCTCTGCTCTAACTGACTGCTGAATCCCATTAAGCTATCTCTCATGTTGGGGCTTTGGCTCTCATGACCATAAAATGAAGTTGAATTAGACCAGTGGTGTTCACATAACACAAAACAAGACAAACAATCTGGAATCTTCTCGTAAAAGGAAACGTTCTCCAGAAACACTCTAAAGACTAAATAGCTGGAGTTACTCCAGTTGAAATAAAAGGTGGGATCTAAAGATGAGGACTAAGGGACCTGCATCCCTGACTACTTAGCTATAATCCCTTCCTTTCTCCTGAGCTGCATATAGCTCTCGCCTCTGGTGGCACACTTTGAGCACCACTGAAAGAGACAATCTTCAGGGTCCCTTCCAAATCTCCTGGAGCATTATTTCATAGCAATCTAATATAACTTTGCCAATCCTCCATCTTTTCTGGGTTACTGATTCCATATCTTTAAATAGGGATTGCAGTTTTCTCTCTGGGACCTTGTCAGCCACTCAGTGAGATGATTACAAAGCACTGTGTTGTCTTTGGGTAAAAGGTCCCTTTGACTATAATTTAGGGTCATTATTATAGCAATTACTGATTATTAACCATGTATATCACAGTCTCTGCCCTGCCCTACCCCAGCCCTGAGAACCATCCATCCAAATTAGACACACATGCAAGGGCAGGAAGAGCCGTGAAGTGCAGGAAAAGAACGACAGAAAGGTGCTTGCTTCACACAAAAGAAGTCTGGCCCTTCATGTGCATGGCTTTCAAGCTAGGCTCTTCAGAAATGGAGACTGAGCCTTTACACAGCACATTCCAACAGAGAAAACAAGATAAATTGCATGAATAATTCAAAAGTGTCTGCCCTTCAAGTTGTGCAGCATTTTCAATGCATTCTTTTTTTCTGTGGCGGAATAAATCTGGTTCACCTCTGAGGGAAGAGACACGGAAAACACATTGAGGTGGTCTGAGGATCTTCTCAAGGGGAGGGTTCAAGCATAGCATCAGTGGGCAAACAATAAATAAATCTCTGCAATGAAATATCCTATTTGTGAAATAGGAAATGGCTTTTTCTGGGGACGATTTCCACATCAAGGGAGTGCCGGCACATGCCATGGTAGTTAAGCCCTGCAGAACAGCCAGCCAGGTAAGCCCTGCTTGCTCTTCACCCCACAACACCCAAACTCAAAGAGAAACTCTTCTGGCCCCCAGTTTTTGAAAGGTCACAGATGTGTCTTTGAATTTCAGGTGTGAAAATGGGTGAGACCTTCCCCCTTATTTGTTAAAATGAATATTACGGAAGGAGTGGTTAATTCCCAGTAGCTAGAAGCTGTATCAGCATGTTCCTCTCCTTTCCCCATCCCTCAACCAGGTCCCAGTGGAAGGAATTGCAATCCTGCATCAGTTCCCATTCTCATCGGCACTGCAAAGAATGACAGTCATTGTCCAAGAGATGGGAGGTGACCGACTGGCATTCATGAAAGGTGCACCAGAGAGGGTGGCCAGCTTTTGCCAACCTGAGACAGGTCTGTAACTTGACTTGGATTACACCTGGCAAATCTGTATCTCCAGATAAATATGTTCCCACTGCATTTGATCTATTAATTCAATCGCCTATGGGTCATCACCAATTGGGTGGCTCACTGGCATTCCAAATTCAATACGAAAACCAAGCGTGTCTTTCTCATTTCCTGTATTTCCCAGTTTCCTATTTTGGTGCACGGTACCACCATCCCCCGCCACCACCCCATTTACGTGTCATCTCTGATTTCTCACTCCCCCTTAGTGCCTCTGTCTCATCAGTTGCTAGTCCATGGTCCTTCTCTGCACCTGCTCATGCTTTCATCATTCTTCATCACTTCAATAGTTGGTGGATTGACCCTCTGCCTCCAGTCTCCTCAACTTTGATTTGCCCTCTGTACTGTGACCAGATTTTTTACCTCACGATTATTTTAGTTGCTCTCATAGGCTCCAGTATAATCTCAAATTTCTTTAGGATCATATATAAGGCTTTCAGGTTTGAACTCCCAGTGAACTTTCCAGATGGGCCTTACCACTCCTCATCCTGTGCTTTTCCTGAGCTGAACTAAGTCTTCACAGCTTACTCTCATGCCTCCATGCCTAAGCTCATGATTCTCCCTCAGCCCCAGAATCCTTCCTTTACTGAACCACCTCCTCCCAGGCTGGTATGTACACCACCAAACGCTTTCCATAGCATGCTGCAGTGGCATGGATCATAGCAATGATCTCATTTGATTGCATTGTTAGTCTGCTGGCTGTAACTCAATTAGACAGAAATCCTTAGAGCAGAACTTGTGAGTTTTTTTCAATTTCACTCCTTTTTTTAACCTATATTTTAAGTTCAGTGGTACATGTGCAGGTTTGTTACATAGGTAAACTTGTGTCATGGGGGTTTCTTGTACAGATTAATTCACTGTCCAGGTATTAAGCCTAGTACCCATTCGTTATTTTTCCTGATCCTCTCCCTCCTGCCACCCTCCACCCTACAACAGGCCCCAGTATGTGTTGTTCCCCCCTATGTCCATGTGTTCTCATTATTTAGCTCCCACATATAAGTTTGGTTTTATGTTCCTATGTTAGCTTGCTAAGGATAATGACCTCCAGCTCCATCCAGGTCTCTGCAAAGGACATGATCTCATTCTTTTTTATGGCTGCCTAGTATTCCATCATGTATATGTACCACATTTTCTTTATCCAGTCTACCATTGATGGGCATTTAGGTTGATTCCATGTCTTTGCTATTGTGAATAGTGCTGCAATAAACATATATATGCATGTGCATCTTTATAATGCAATGATTTACCTGTCTTTGGCTATATACCCAGTAATGGGATTTCTGGGCTGAATGGTATTTCTGTCTTTAGGACTTTGGGGTATCACTGTGTTTTCTTCCACAGTGGTTTAACTAATTTACACTCCCACCAACAGTGTATAAGCACTTCTTTCTCTCTACAACCTCACCAGCATCTGCTGTTTTTTGACTTTTTAATGATCACCATTCTGACTGGTTTGAGATGGTATCTCACTGTGGTTTTGATTTGCATTTCTTTAATGATCAATGATGTTGAGCTTTTGTGTGTGTGTGTGATTGTTGGTCTTATGTACGTCTTCTTTTGAAAAGCGTTCATGTCCTTTGCCTACTTTTTTTTTTTTTTTTTTTTTTTGAGACGGAGTCTCGCTCTGTTGCCCAGGCTGGAGTGCAGTGGCGCAATCTCGGCTCACTGCAAGCTCCGCCTCCCGGGTTCACGCCATTCTCCTGCCTCAGCCCTCCTAGTAGTTGGGACTACGGGCTCCCGCCACCTCGCCCGGCTAATTTTTTTTTGTATTTTTAGTAGAGACGGGGTTTCACCGTGTTAGCCAGGATGGTCTCGATTTCCTGACCTCATAATCCGCCCACCTCGGCCTCCCAAAGTGCTGGGATTACAGGCTTGAGCCACCACACCCGGCCCTTTGCCCACTTTTTAATGAGGTTGTTTGTTTTTTTCTTTTTGTAAATGTTCTTTAAGTTCCTTATAGATGCTGGATATTAGACCTTTGTTGGATGCATAGTTTGCAAAAATTTTCCCCTGTTCTGTAGGCTGTATGTTTACTCTTTGACAGTTTCTTTTGCTGTGCAGAAGCTCTTTAGTTTAATTGGATCCCATTTGTCAATTTTTGCTTTTGTTGCAATTGTTTTTGGCATCTTTGTCATGAAATCTTTGCCTGTGCCTATATCCAGAATGGTATTGCCTAGGCTGTCTTCCAGGCTTTTATAGTTTTAGGTTTTAAAAGTCGTCAATCCATGTTAAGTTAGTTTTTGTATATGGTGTAAGGAAGGGGTCCAGTTTCAGTCTTCTGCATACAGTTAGCCAGTTATTTCAGGACAATTTATTGAATGGGAAAGCCTTTCCCCATGCTTATTTTTGTCAGGTTTGTCAAAGATCTGATAGTTGTAGGTGTAAAGTCTTATTTCTGGGTGTAGAGCTTGTGATTTATTCTCTGCATAGCCAATGCCTGCCAGATGGTAGATTCTCAATAAATGTTTGTTGGTTAAATTGAAGAAAAAAGAATTTTACACTTTTCCTATCTTTTTTTTAAGTTTTTCAAATGCTTCCTTCTCATTTTAGCTTCACTACATCTGAAGAGGTCAACCCTGACAATGTAGTTATGTTTAGAATTTTCAACTGACTTGTTTACATATCTTTGTAGAAGTGTGTTTTCTTGGGCAAAAGTTGGATGTTTGTAAAGAATTTCTTTGCCAGTACTGCCTAAGCAAATAACTGCGTACTAACCCTGTGTTTCTTTCTAAACAGTACCCACTAGTTTTGTTAGCGAACTTCAGATTTACACGACACAGGGCTTCCGAGTCATAGCACTGGCCTACAAGAAGCTGGAAAATGACCATCACGCTACTACCTTGACGAGGTAAATGGGGATGATTTTGATAAAGCAGAAAGGTTTGATGGAAAGATGTACCAGGTTGGAATGTCAAGTGCATTAGACTGGGATGGACTTAGGGGTTCTGGGTGGTGGACAGAGCAATGTAGCTTGCTGAATTTGTGTGCATAACATGTCTCTGAACACTGGTAAATAGGGATATAGTAATCCCTGCCCTGCCTAAATCCCAAAGATAGTGTGAACACTCACTGGGGGATTTTATGAGAAATAGTCATATAAGATGTTTAATATGATGTGATTTTTACAGCTTTGTGAAAACAGACATAGAAATATAATCAGCGTTTCAGAATTTGAAATTGTGGTCATGCCCCCATTTAAAAAAAATTATAGTTGGTGGATTGGTTGGGAATTATGAAACATAACATTTACCAGAAAAAATTTTTGATTGGAAATACACAGCTTAATGAAACAAATAAATACAGCTTAGATGATATAATCTTGGTGACATCTACAAAAAAAACAAGGAAAACTTCTGAGGTGCCATACTAGAGAAAGATTTTAACCTATAGATTAAATTTTACATTTTAGGATTAAAATAGAGATGCGTAACAGCTCCAAAACTGCAGTATTTATGAGTTCAATTTTATTTTTTTTAATTCCACTCTTTTCAGGTATCATGTTTATTTCACCTTTCATGTCATTTCTAACACTTAATGTCAGCCACCACTGCTTATGCTGTTACGGAGCTAATCTAGGCTCATTTTTAAATTTAGGATTTTACATTTGGGAAGTCTAACCTATTTGTTTCAATCTAATCAGAGTCAACACTCTCTTGTAACTATATTTTTGAACTCAATATTCTAAAATAAAATTCACATATTATCTGCACATATTCTTTGTAAAAATATATAATAACCCATTATATAGTAAGAATGAAAGCAAAACATATAATGTTTCACACAGGTGATAGTTTAATAAATGCTCAGCTGACTCCACTAACACAAAATGAAGTAACAAGTTGCTTGTACCTGTGTATAGAATAATTGAGGCTGCAACATCTACAAATACAGACTGATACAGGTGTGTTATGTATTGCAGACTCAAATACCTCAGTCTTGCCGCCAGTAAGGTGACTGTGAAGTGGTTAACAAGTCTTGGTAAAACTCTGAAAAAAACAGTACAATCTCCTCCCAATTTATATAGTACAGGTAGTTACATTTCTGCAAAATTCAAAAGAATATAAGTGTGAAAAATACTTTGTGTTTATATGTAACACATATAAACTAGGAAAATTTTAATAAACAATTTTGTAATTGTTTAATATAAGATAATATTATATATATAATAATAGTACAGTATATTCTATAATAATAGTAAAATATATACAGTATAAGCCTAAAGTATATTATTATACTTAGAAAAGTATAATAACTTTTTTCAGTGTTCATGAATGTCCAGTAGGATATTCAAAAGACATGTGTGATGCAGGATAATTATTCATTGTGCATTGGTCTTTGCAGAAAGTCTTGCATAGATGCAAAAAAAAAAAAAAAAAAAAAATTCCACAATGTCCTCTAGAGGGAGGACTGTTTCTGCTTAGAAGGACTGCTGTGACCCAACTCTCTCACTTTGTGATGGGTAAAATGAAGCCCACTGTGGGAAGTGGCTCATTGTGTTTGTTTCCTGGGCTTGTTGGACCATTCTTCCTGGGGGTCCAGTTTCATGCTACCCCTGAAACTCTGGCTACTACAATTCTGTATATTTGTTGTAATTTGATCAACTTAGTTCAGGGTCACTCAAGTAAGGGAGCTAAAAGTAAACTTTGAGATTGGATATCACATTTTGAAGGAGAGGCAACTTGCGTCCAGGGAAGGGAAGGGACAGAGCAGAATTGGGAATGGAACTTGGTTTCCTGACAGGCTGTTGCCAAGGGCTATGGTAAGAGTCTGGCTACCATGCTGCTGCTTCTCATTGTCATAATATGATATTTGCATATTACAAGTTGCAAACTCATGGCTTTGAAATGCATGCACGTAACAAAGCACTTACTGTGGAGACACATGAGCAATGGGGAATAGTGAGGGCTGTGGCGCGCAGGAGAGGACATGTCCTGGTTAAAGGTACTGAAATTCTAACTTCTTAAAATCTTGTATGGTCTAAACACAAATCACAAATTCTCAACTAGGATTTGATCTCAGGTCATCAATCTGCCTCTCCTGTCTTAAAGCACATCAGCACCATGCATACACACAGCTAAATTAATTTAATGATCCTTTGTGAACTCCTGATTAGGATGGAACATTCTTGCTGTTGTTTTGGGGTTTTTTTCTGTGTGGTTACTCAGGGTGCTTCCAGCATTGGTATCATAATCTCTTCAAAGGTTATTGGCCCACTTCATGCATATTTCATCCTTTAAAAGTCACATGGATTTTAAGAACATGAGATGTAATCACAGGGATGACAATGCTTTCTATATATTACACTTATCATTCTTTATTATTTTTAGATACTTCAGGAGGAGGCATAATATCTGTGCAGGAAGCCAGAAGAGATAGAAAGCCATTCCAAGTTTCAGGGCTTAAGACCCCTTAAGGAATTACTCCTTTTAATTTTTTTGGTTCAGATTAAATGCTCATGAAAGGAAGAACTTGTTTACCAGCCAAAGAGAGTGATTTAGTCATGCTCACACAGCAAGGCAGTGGTAGGGCTGACATTAGAACTCCAGCCTCCTGATTATTGTGCCTTGAACCATACAAAGGCCATAAGCCAGAGGAACTAGAAATACTAGTGCCAATGTAGGCTATAGGCTATGGCAGATGTTTGACCCTGCAGCCATTTTCTTGGCCTAATCTGGCACTTTGTGGTTGGCTCAGGTCATGTCTTCTGCAGAAATAACCAAGGCCTGGGGCCTGAGTACCAGGACCATGAGAAAGATTGGAAGACCTATTGTGCCAAACCCCCATGCACTTCAATAGGGAAGGCACCAGGTTCAAGAGGCTGAAGAAGAGACCCAGAGCCAGCAAAGGAGGCATGGGGTTTTATTAGGGGCTCACCTACAGGGGAGAGAGTCCCGTAACAGCCGGCTGGACAGGAGAACCACCTTACATATAGAAACAGTCCAGTGGCAGCAAAGTGGACAACATATCTGCCTTCCTATACTCCAGTGGTGGTGAGCTGTGCAGGAAAACCGCTGCTGCCTGCAAACATCATGCAGTTTGTATAGTGTTTTCACTTGACTCCTTAATGACCTCCACCCAGCAACCTTCATCCACCTCACAACTCAGGGCCTCAGCTCCCTTTATGGCCTGGCACATCTTCCACTAGATGGGACGGGGGCTCAGAAGTTCCTCAGAGACAAGGAACAGATCTCCGGGTTGGCCACGGCCAGATTTCCTAGCTTGGAACATACATTTAGGTGCGTCTGCCATAGAGGTTCATTCTAAGGGTATGCTAAGTAGTTATTGCTATCAGGTGCATTTACCCTATAAGCCCTCAATCAGGCATCAACCAAGTTATCCTTCAAACCCCAGATTAAATATCATCTTCTACAGCAAGCCTTCTCCAATCACTCCACCCAGAAATGAGAGCACCCTCCTCTCTGACTCCATGGGACTCGGATTTGGACATCTGTTTTAATACTTTTCCCAGTCTCTGCTACTACAGTCTCTGCATATTCTCTGCCACTTTTTCTCAGTGCTGTTCCTTGAACTCAGTAAAATTTCTGGATGAGGAATTTCCATAGATTACCTGGCAAAAAATGGTCCCAACAGGCCTCAGAGCATTTCAACTAGGCACACATTTGCTGAGCACTTGCTGTGTGTTGGGCACCGCATGAGTGGTGTTGAGCACAGCATTGAATCAGGTGGGATTGTTCCCAAGGAGCTGAGACAGTGTGACAAAGCAGAAGCCCAAGAATAAAACATGGGCAAATAAAATGTGAGTTACAGTGAAATATAAGTAATATGACAAGGGAGCAATTATTCCTTTTCTTTTTCTTTTCTTTTTTTTTTTTTTGTGAGACAGGTTTCATTTTTGTTGCCCAGGCTGAAGTGCAATGGTGTGATCTCAGCTCACTCCACCTCCTGGCTTCAAGCAATTCTCCTGCCTCAGCCTCCCGAGTAGCTGGGATTACAGGCGCCTGGCACCATGCCCAACTAATGTTGTATTTTTAGTAGGGATGGGATTTCTCCATGTTGGTCAGGCTCGTCTCGAACTCCCGACCTCAGGTGATCCGTCCACCTCGGCCTCCCAAAGTGCTGGGATTACAGGCATGAGCCACCACGTCTGTCTGGGAGCAATGATTTCTATCTGAGGGAGCCTTTGTGGGGGACGTGGTATAAGGCTCAGAACATTGGGAGGGTTTCAATAGCAGATCATGGGGAAATTACAACCTTTTCTATGAAGTAAGGACAAATGTCTTACAGCAGTCTAAAGCAAATGTCTAGAGATGGTTAAGTAGACAGAAAACCCATGGCTAGTGGTTCAACTTGGCTGGAAATGAGGGTGGGTGAGGAGTTTAGTGATAGCTGAAGCTGGAAAGATAATTTGGAACCAGATCATAGAGGGATTTAAATGATAGATTCAGAAAATGGGAAGTGCCATTCTTTCAAGCCTGCTCTGAGGTGAGTAGTTCAAACTGTGTCCACTTCCTGTGGCTCCATGGAGGCTTTAGCAGTTTCCTGGGAGCATCACTAACGCTAGTTCATGACTGTAGCTGATGTGAGACCCACTATTGAGACAGGCAAGGAGTCTGAGTGGGTGCCACTTTCATCTGTATTTCAGCCAGAGTTAGGCAGTGCTGGTGTCTTGTTCTCGATCTGTGTCTAAGATAAATAAATGATGGAAGAATCTTTGAACTCCTGATCCTGAATGTATTCCCTGCACTCAGTTCTGTAGAATATCCCTGAAAATATTCTTGGGGTGGATAGGAGCCTTGAAGGCTGCACCTATTTGCAGAAACATTCACGCTTGATACAGAAGATCATTGCTACCAGCTGGTGGAGAAAGAAAGGGATGAGCTTTACCTGAATAGAGAGGCCTGTTTGTTGAGATTATGACCTCATATCTCCTGGGGCTAAAATAATATTGATTATAGACTTGCCTGCTGGAGAAACTGGCATTTTATTTTATTTTTCTTTGCACCTCCGTTTTTTTTCATGCTTTGTGCCAGAACTAAAACTCCCCTTTGTGGGTAACAGGTGAGGCAATGAAAATCAGGCTAGCCACAACAGATGGAGGAGACCCTTACAGGCTTTCAGCTCATTTTCTGCAAAGGTTAAAGCAAAGCTTTTGCTTAATGAACACTCTCTTCCTCTTCCTCTTCATTCAGTTAGAGTTAAACATCTCCAGAGCCTTTGTGTCCGCTTCTGTTCTCTTTCTGGATCACTCCCAGTCCCTAATCAGCCCCTAACAGTGCTTGAATGAGTGAATGGAACCACTATGACAGGGGTCTTTTTCTTTTTGTTTTACTTCCTGTAAGAAAGCTATAATGTGGCTGGGTGCAGTGGCTCACGCCTGTAATTCCAGCACTTTGGGAAGCTGAGGCGGGTGAATCACTTGAATTCAGGAGTTCAAGACCAGCCTAGCCAACATGGTGAAACCCCGTATCTATTAAAAATACAAAAATTAGCCGGGCGTGGTGGTGGGCACCTATAATCCCAGTTACTTGGGAAGCTGAGGCAGGAGAATGACTTGAACCACTGTCCTCCAGCCTGGATGACAGAGCGAGACTCCGTCTCAAAAAAAAAGCTGTAATATGTGTTATTTCTGTTCAATACATCTATATATGTATTTTCAGGGAGACGGTAGAATCAGACCTGATATTTCTGGGGCTGCTGATCTTGGAGAATCGATTGAAGGAAGAGACAAAACCTGTCTTGGAAGAGCTCATCTCAGCCCGGATAAGGACTGTAATGATCACAGGTATGAAACAAAGTATACAGTGAAAACAGTAAGAATTTGATGTGGAAATAGACATGGTTCACTCATTTAATAAATGTTGTTGACTACCTACTCTGGGCCAGACATCATTCCAGGTGCTGGAGATGGGCAACAAAAAGGCACATTTACTGCTTTCCCTGAGTTTCCATGTGAGTGGAATGAGAGAAGATCAACCAATCAGTCAAATAGTATCAGCGTTTTGAGGTACACAAATAGGATAATGCAGGAAAGTGTTTGACCATCTGTTTTAGATGAGATGGTTAAGAGATGCCTCTCCGAGATGTGACATTTGAAATAAGATCTGAATGGCAAGAAGACATGAGTCAGGCAAAGGTGATTTTTATTGTCAAGTGCTAGAAGAAGAAGCATCCTCAGTTGATGGGGTCTATAAATATGCTGAAAACCCATCAATCATAAAATCCACGATTCTAGAAATTTAAGAAAATGATGTCCTCTCTACTCCCAATCCCAACTCCAAATCATACAAACAAGAGAGCAATGAGAGTAAATCACACAAGAGAAATGTGTGAAATTTCTTAATGAAATTAAGTGTGACTTTATTAATGAAATTTCACACTGATGCTATAATTTTTTAATTGGGAAAGAGACGAGGTGAATAAATGATTTCCTAATGAATTCATGTTCATATTTTTGGGGTGTGTTGCCTTTCTTTTCCCTGCTCTTGTAGTCAGATGCTTTTAACTCTATCATTTATGTCACGAAGATACATTATTTCCCCATCAAAGCACGCATTTTCTGTTCCCATTTCACCTGAACCCAATTCTACAGTTGCAAACTCTAGAATACTTTTATTTCCTCTTTTGTACTTCTCTGTCCCCTGTTCTACTCCCCACAATCCAAGAGGATCTTGGACTGTTTTTACTTTCTCCCTTTCTAACACCCCAGTCCAACTTTTTGAAGTTGCTGAGTTCATTTACTACTGGTTAGGATTTCCCTTACACTGTGACCCTTCTGTTTCAAAAATCTTTATTTAGCACTTAGATGACACATTCTCATAATCTATCCTTAACTTAGATTTATGTACAAGTGTTCCTCCTTCTCCACCCTCTCTCTTTACTTCCTCTTTTCTCATATTGAAATTTCTGCCGTATTTCTTTCCTTGCTTGTTTACAAATTTTTTTCGCTGAAGTATTGTCCTTGGATGGAATGAAGGGGTGCTCTTAGATTTCTTACATATGCTTGAATATCTTTCTTTGCTCTGACACATGAATGACATCTTGCTCAGATATAAGATTCTTGAATTATTGTTCTTTTTTCTTAATGATCTGTATGTAGGGGCTATTCCTTTGCCTTGTGGCTTCTGATATTGCTCATGACAAGTCCAGTGAGAGTCCACTGTAAGTAACTTACTCTTTTCTGCACATAAACTTTTTAACTTTGAAATTTAGAAATGTTTGCCTTTGTGTTTCCCTTATTTCATTAACTTAGTCTGGAACATGGACAGCGCTTTTAGAAAAATTTTTATTTTTATTTTTTACCATTTTTTGACATATTTATTAAGTCATCATAATATCTGTCACTTTGAATGTTATACATATGATAAAACAGATTATGAAAAGTATCATATTTATAGCAAGAACATTGGTTTATATAACTGAATCACCAAATACGCAACCCCTTGTGACAATAACTTAATGGACTCAACTCTATCCTCTGAATGGACCAGTTTTATGATGATTCATTCACTTAAAAAGTTTTGAATTGATTAGAATTTCTTGTTGCTTCTTTCTGTGACCCAAGGCCTTAGAATCAATCCCTGGAAACCAGTGATCAGAACCAGACTTCCCCAGAATCAAGAAGAGATCGGAGTGGGAGAAACATGGACAGCACTTTTTAGTCTTTCTTCCTACCAGAAAAGATTTCCCTATTGTTTATTTAATTTTTGCCTCTGTTCTCTGTCTTTCCATTTTTACTTCTGGTAGTTCCATTGTTATCTATCCTCTCAGTCTATCTTTTTTCTTGTAGTTGTCTTATTTATTTGTTTGTTTATTTACTTATTTTTTAGAGACAGAGTCTTGCTCTCTTGTCCAGGCTAGAGTGCAGTGGCAGGATCATAGCTCACTTCAGCCTTGAACTCCTGGGCTCAAGCGATCCTCCTGCCTAAGCCTTCTTAGTAACTGGGACTGCAGGCATGCACCACTTGCCTTGCTTTAGATTGTATCTTTTTATAATTTTGCTTTAAGACTTTTTTTTTTTTTGCACCCAGTTTGTTCAGACCACAATCTCAGGTCTCAACAATGCTCATTATCTTTTTCAAATCCCCTTTTGAATCGTTCAGTTGTTAAATTGTGTGTGGGGTGGGATTTGAGTTTTCTTAAGTTGAATCGTTCAGTTCTTAAATCGTGTGTGGGGTGGGATTTGAGTTTTCTTAAGTGCTCTCCTTATTTATTTTTTATTTATTTGTATTTTTTGAGATAGAGTCTTGCTCTGTCACCAGGCTGGAGTGCAGTGACCTGATCTCGGCTCAGTGCAACCTCCGACTCCCGGGTTCAAGCGATTCTCCTGCTTCAGCCTCCCGAGTAGCTGGGACTACAGGTGTGCACCACCACGCCCAGCTAATTTTTGTATTTTTAGTAGAGATAGGGTTTCACCATGTTGGCCAGGATGGTCTTGAACTTCTGACCTCAGGTGATCCTACCACCTTGGCCTCCCAAAGTGCTGGGATTATAGGCATGAGTCCCCACGCCCAGCCAGTGCTTTATTTATTTATTTATTTTTTATATATTTTTTTGAGACAGAGTCTCACTGTCTTGCCAGGGCTGGAGTGCAGTGGTGCGATCTCGGCTCGCTGCAACCTCCGCCTCCTGGGTTCAAGTGATTCTCCTGCCTCAGCCTCCCAAGTAGCTGGGATTACAGGCACGCAACACAACGCCTGGCTAATTTTTATATTTTTAGTAGAGACAGGGTTTCACCATGTTGGCCAGGATTGTCTTGATCTCTTGACCTCGTGATCTGTGTGCCTCGGCCTCCCAAAGTGCTGGGACTACAGGTGTGAGCCACTGCGCCTGGCCAGTGCTCTCCTTATTTTTAAAGCAGGTTTCATCTGTCTCCGGCAGCTTCTTGACTTCTCTAGTCATGTGCTCTGGTTGTTCCTCCTGATCTTTTCCTGTCCAGTGTCTCGGATTTCTTAGACAGGTTGTTAGATTTTTCTGTCAGATGATTGGAGCTCAGGCCTGGGCTGTTTATCCCGAACACTGGATCTCTGACAGGTGGTAGAGGGCAAAAAGCAGACAGGCTGTCAGGGGCCTGCTGTGGAGCATGGAGGAAGCCTATGAGCGCTCAGGGCTCCCTGTATCCTTCCAGCCTCAGGTAGCTCCTTCCTACCACTTCGGCTCTTTTGAGGATCTTCATACATAGTTTGGTAGAAACCTGGGAGAAGCTATGTTAAGGATAGCCAGCCAGATGTTATATGATTAATTTTTAATGGTTGCTCTAGGCATCACAACATACATACCTCTCCTTTCAAGAAGCCTTATAACCAGGAATGTCTCTTGCTTTCTCTTCTTTATGTTATTATCGTCATAACTATGACATATGTTGAAAACCCCCACCAGATGATGTGATAGTCTTTACTTTCAACAGGGAAGAGTTAAAGAACATGAGTAAAGAAAATTAGACTTTTATATTTACCCAGATCATTATCATTTCTGTTTCTGTGTTTTCATTCCTTAAGTTACAAGTTAACATCTGGTATCATTTCCTTTCAACCTGAAGAACCCTGTAGCTTTTGTTGTTGTTTATTTTTTGAGCATGTCCACTGTCAACAAATTATCTTCAATTTTCATTCATCTGATAAAGTCTTTATTTCTCCTTTATTCATGAAGAATATTTTTAGAAGCTATAGGAGTCAGAGTTGACACTTCAAAGTGAAAGATGAAGTCAGCACCTCAAAGATGTTGTTCCACTATTTTCTTCTCTCCATATTTTTGATGGAAATCTGTGATAATTTGAAGTATTGTTTTCTTATATGTAATGTGGTTTTCTCTAACTGCTTTTTTTGTTTATCTTTGATTTTTAGCAGTTTGATTACTATATGTCTGGTTGTGATTCTCACTAAGTTTATCTTGTTTGGAATTCACTGAGCTTCTTGAATCTGTAAATCTAAGTCTTTTATCATACTTGGGAAAATTTCTCCTATTATTTTGTCAATTTTTTTTTCTTTTTCAACCTTTTTTCCTCTCCTTGGACTCTAATGACATGAATATGAATTATTTTGGTATCTTTGAGTCTGTTCACTAAAACGATTTTTTCTCTCTGCTCTTCAGGTTGTGTAATTTCCATTGATCTATTCTGCTATTGAGTACATTCAGTGATTTTTTTAAATTTCAGGTATTATATTTTTTAATTCTAAAGTATCCATTTGGTTTTTTCCCACAGTTTATATTTTCTTGTTGAGAACTTCCGTCTTTCCACTTATTTCAAGAATATTAACAGTTACCACATGAAGGGGGCTTTTAATAGCTGCTTTAAAAACCATTGTCTGATACTTCCAACATCTAGGCTATCTATGGATTGGCAACTGTTGTGGCTTTTCTTGAGAATTGACCAGATTTTCCAGATTTTTCATATTGAATATCCCGAACATTTTGAATATTATGTTATGAAACTTTGAATCCTGTTAAAATCTTCTGGAGAATGTTGAGAGTTTTCTTGTTTGTTTGTTTTGGGCTAGCAATCAACCATAAGTTCTATCTTTCCTGTTGTAGGTGGCAGTTTCAATCTTAGCTAAAATATAAAATCTTTTGCTATGATGTTTGGGTCTGCCTCACTCAGAGGTTACTCTCACAAACGAGGGGTGATTTATATCATAGTTCAATTCCTGAAGTTTTTGGGGTTATCTTTCTTTGGATCTGGTCCACACACGCACAGCTCTAGGCTGAACTTGGGACTTACGTAATTCATATACTGAATTAGTCCCTGTGTCTGGCTCTCTCCTTTCCAGGATTCCGCCCATGCCCTTTAGCCTACAAGGGTCCCTTTTCCTGGCTCTTCTGGCCAGAAAGACTGGGTGTCTTTTGGAGTTCTACTGCCCAAACAGCTTTTTAACTGAGGCCCACACGCCAGTCAAATATGGAATAGGGAAGAGAAAAAGTGCTGAGAAACTCATCCCCTTGTAGGTTGCTTCTCCAAATTTGACTCCCTCCCACCATCTGCCTGCTTTTGTTTACTTTTCAAAGTCCTTGGGGAGTTGCTTCTTGGTTTTTGTTCAGAGTTTTCCATTGTAATCAGTGGGAGAGATACATCCTAGTGGGTTTACTCCATTTTGCCTGGAAGTGGAACCACCAGATACTCTACTAAACCAGAGGATTTGCCTAAACATTTGCAAAGCTGCTAACAAATGATGAAAATAGATTTGAATTTTGCTTTTTAATTTTTTCCCCCAGTCTGGCAAAAATACACTGGTAGATCATGAAGCAACCTGACGAAAAGCAGTAAGAACCAGAAAAGGGATCATGGAGTCACAGAAGGTCAGGGCTGAAATAGATATCAGAGATCATTTCTCTTCATACCTGAAATAAGGACTGAACTCCCTGCTCTGGTTTTCAAGGCTCTGCATGAATTAATTCAATCTTGTCAACCTCATCTTGAGATACTCCTCCTTTCCTCTAGGTGACAATCTTCAGACTGCAATAACAGTGGCCAGAAAATCTGGAATGGTTTCTGAAAGCCAGAAAGTCATTCTCATTGAGGCAAATGAAACCACCGGGTCCTCATCAGCATCTATATCTTGGACGTTAGTAGAAGAGAAGAAACACATTATGTATGGGAATCAGGTACTCCTGAACACAGACCTTCTGCCACATTATCAATGTGTCTTGCAGTGTTGGTGACTGAGCAGCTTTGACCTAGAGTCAACATATGCTTCCAAATGTCTAGCATTCATGCTTTTGAACGAACTCAGTTACATTGGTTTTTCCATACTTTTCATACAGAGATTGAAGGTATAGTGCTTTCCTGTGTGCTGGAAATAATCCATCTTTTAACCTTAAAAAAGTGGTTGTCCCTATATGAGAAAGAATATAGTGCGTGGAGTTGAATCTATTTTCTCCCTTTCCCCTTGCTTGTCAATCACCCCACTGGGTTCTAAGGGGATCTAGTCTTTGGGAGAGATGCTGCTCTGTGTATCAGAAAATCAGACTATGTTTTCAGGGTGAGAAAAAAGTTTCATTCATTTATCTCCAGTCTTGTCAGTATTCTATCTCTGTTGTGTCCTTGTAGAACAATATTAGTTCCCTAAGGACAAAAAAATAGTAAGTTCTCATTTCAGGGAGAAATTTGTTAAGCTGCAGTGCTTTTGTATTTTACACTTGATATGTGTGAAATGTGCTCTTCTCTGGGACTCACCAAGATCAAATCACGATGAAAACAGGACATGAGTAAGTGTTATTCTCCTATTCACTGGTTGTCTGTGATGTGCAAAGATTGATCCAGCAAAAAGAAAATGCTTCTCTGAGGAATCAGAGTGACTTTTACAGATAGATCCTGGTCTGTCTTCATTAACTTCTCTCAGATATGCTTATGGTTCTAACCACTCTGTCAAATGAAAGAGTCTAAAATAACTGTGTCTTGCTTTGTAGGACAATTACATTAACATCAGGGATGAAGTCTCTGATAAAGGCAGAGAAGGAAGTTACCATTTTGCCCTAACTGGAAAATCCTTTCATGTTATAAGTCAACATTTCAGCAGCCTACTGCCAAAGGTAAGTTCTAAGAGGGTGACAATCTCCCTATGAAAATGCTGATGATGTCACTTACAGAACATGGTCCTAAATTATTTCAAATCTTGAGACAGGTAAAATATACTCAGTGAGTTTTCTGTATCTTAAGAGAGACAGATATTTTTGCAGAAGATACTATTGTCTCATTTCCTACTAGATTTGAAATAAATAAACTTGATTAGTCAATTTTCCACCATCTATAGGATTGAAGTATCAGTGATTTCTTGAATTATACAGATGATTTTGGGTGGCTGTCACTATATTGCCATGGTAAGGGGTCTCAGAGTATAGTGGAAACCCTGCAATTACACAGGAAAGCAGACCAAGAATAAAGGAACACCATTAGTTTTTTGATAGATGACCTCTGTACTCAAGAGGGTCAAACTTAAAGCTTTAGTCGGGGGAGGTAAGTTTTAGATATATATATATAGAGAGAGAGAGAGAGATAGATCGATAGTTTAGATATATAGATCAACCTTTTGCTGTTTTGCAGTTCAAGGTTCCATTAAGCTCAAGATTTTTCAGGACCACATTCCCCGTGACAGCTGAGGTAAATTCCTGTAGGTCATCATTTTCATAAAATATTTTTTGTTAAGTAATTATCTTTACTGATTTTTGTTTTTCACTGATCACTTATCTGATGACCAAAACCTCAATGTTTGTCTTAAAATCCAAAGGAAGGCTCATTGGAAACTTTTTTTTTTCTTCATCGTAAGTGTCATGATGCAGTCAACATTCTGAGTGTTAGTAATTATTTCATGTACAACCAGATGACTTGATAAAAAAATCTCCATTTTGGGTTCCTTACAGATATTGATCAATGGGACCATCTTTGCAAGAATGTCTCCTGGGCAGAAGTCCAGTCTGGTGGAAGAATTTCAGAAACTGGAGTAGGTTCTTTGCCAGTGCAGGTGGCATGAACTGCATGGAGGCATAACAGTCAGGGGGAGTGGAAGAGGTACCAGGAGTCACTCAGTTTGACAAGGGCAGTGGTCCGTACTTCGGCTGCATGAGATAATCACTTGGGAGCTTTGGAGAAAATAGCAGTACCAAGGGATCTCACCATTCAGAGATCCTGATTCAGTTGTTTATATGGGGCTTAAAAAATCAGTATTTTTTTTCACTTAAGTCAATTTTGCATTCAATGCTGAGAACCACTGGACTAGAACCTAAGGGTCCTGAAAGAGTGTGGGGAGAAATAAGAATGGAAAGGTGGCTTGAGCTCAGCTCCTGGAGGGACAGTGAGAATTTATTTGTATATGCCGTCATCACAATGATGATATAGGGATATTCATATGACAAGAGATTCATGCAACATTAAAAATACTAAAATACTTGTGTGCCAAAGCATTTTTCCACCCTAAATCAGAAAAATCATTCTCTTCTAACACAAAGGGTCTCCATTCCTAGACAGAATGGGCAGTCCAAATGAAGTGCCCATCGCTTAGGACCCTTTGTTTCCTGTTAATAGAACCCCACAGAGTACCAGAGGCTTTCTCCATCTTGGTCATCGTGTCACAACAACATGACTCCGACTCCTACTTGTTTCTGCTCTGCCCTCCTATTCATTTGATTCCGTTATCAGGCTAGCTTCTCAGCTCAGAAAGCCCTATCTTCTCAACATGGCTGAAACCTAGAGAGTCAACGAGTTCCCTCCATATGGCAGTGTGGAAGAAAAGTATAGCATGTTTTATGAATGCTGTCAGAATGCTCATAATTTAAAAAGTTGGCTCTCAATAGTCCTTGTCAATGATTCAAGAGAGTATTCACCCAGCCTCAAAAAGTCATTCTGAAACAAGGATGTGTTTTCTTTCTTCAACTTCTAGGCCTGGCATTACATACTTGAGTTGAGTGACTGTTGACAGGATGGATTTCCTCTCATGCTAGTATTAACAGCACAAACAACTATGACTTGTTATCATTTTAGACTTTATAAGTACTTTCCCATACAGCACCTCATTTAATACTCATAGCCCTTCGTAGCAAAATAATAATAATGATGGGAATAATAATAATAGTGAAAATGTTAAGATGACCAGGTCAACATCTGCATCTGGTTTCAAATCCTGTGCCCTCTCTGCCATGCCAAACTTACATCATAGAATTGTGAGCACCTCTGTCTTACAGCTGAGAAAACTCTCCCTACGCAGTGATGTGCAGTGTCTACATGAAACACTTACAGTCAGGAATCACGTTCTGAATTTCTAAATCCATTGTATTAACTGCTGAATCACACTTTTTTCAGTCAAACTAGACTCTTAGGAAAATTCCCTTAAATAATGAGTTTGAACCCTAAGTAATGATGGTTACTTTGTTTTTTTAATTAGAGAAATTAGCAAGATAGGTTTGATCTCATCTACAATTAATGTGGTTCCCTCTTAGTTACTTTGTAGGTATGTGTGGTGATGGAGCCAATGACTGTGGGGTAAGTAGCTACCAGTTTGTGTGGCCATAATCTCACATTCGATTACACTTAAGCCCTTTAGAGTAGCTGCCAGTGTGTGTAGTCATAATCTCACATTCATTTATACTCGAGCCCTTTAGAGGTATACTCCTGGCATATATACCATTTACATTCCTCTTGACGGATAAACTGTTGCATTGGGAGGCTTTTGACCAAAGTCACACGATTCAATGGTTAGTTCAGGCTACACAGAGTAGAATTTGGTTCTGGAGTTCTCATTTCTTTGGCTAGGTATCCTAATGCCATCTTTTTCTCATGTTCCAGGCAGGGTTAAGTCTCTTGGTTAGAGTTTGGGCACACAAACCACCTTGTGGCCAGCTTAACTGGCCTTTTCTTATGAGGCTTTAGTAGAGACGTACGTGAGTCTATGTGAGGAGTAAGCTGATTCTTTGCTTTCAGGCTCTGAAAATGGCTCATGTGGGCATCTCATTATCAGAGCAGGAGGCATCTGTGGCCTCACCTTTCACTTCCAAAACTCCAAACATTGAGTGCGTACCTCACCTTATCAAGTAAGTAGGCACTTCCTCAAACATTGTTTTCTCTCTCTTGACTTCTGGTGCAAATCACATTGTTCTGCCTGGGAAAGACTAGAGAAACTTTCTGTCCCTGGGTGCGGAGGGTGTTTTGTGGAAGAATGCAGTCAAGCATTCTACTTCCAAATGGATTTTCCAGAAGTTAACAATAACATTGGGAGAGCAGTGGCATTTCCAGTGAATTCACTGATTAGGTTATTTTTAGAAGATTGGAATCTGGAACTTGTTATTGCTTTGAAAGTGTCAATCATCCCCATTTTTCAAATGTAACTATCTCCTTTTCAATTTTTATTTGAAAAATAAAGTTTTCAAAATCTTTGGCCGGGCGCAGTGGCTCACGCCTGTAATCCCAGCACTTTGGGAGGCCGAGGTGGGCAGATCACGAGGTCAGGAGATTGAGACCATCCTGGCTAACATGGTGAAACGCCGTTTCTACTAAAAATACCAAAAAATTAGCTGGGCGTGGTAGCAGGCTCCTGCAGTCCCAGCTACTTGGGAGGCTGAGGCAGGAGAATGGTGTGAACCTGGGAGGTGGAGATTGCAGTGAGCCAAGATTGTGCCACTGCACTCCAGCCTGGGCAACAGAGCAAGTCTCTGTCTCAAAAAAAAAAAAAAAAAAAAAAAATCTTTATTGGCTTTTGCTGCTCTCACTAAAATTTGCTTTGATGTCCCCCACCACCCTGCCGAAAATGTACTTCTGCTCCATTATATTTGAATGATAGAGATAGTGAGCATGGTGGCTGCTCTTGGTTATTGTAACTGACATGTGTTTCTAGTTTAAAAATGCTATAATGCCTACTATCTCACACTTCAAAACAGCCTGGAGATGCAGGAATGGCTATTTTTTTAACAAACAAAACAATTGAAGTTCAGAAAATTTAATTGATGTGCCCAAGCTCATACAACCATATGAGGTTAGAGATTGTCTTAGAATTAATTTTATTCAAATGTATTTTATCTACAGATATACTATTTCCACCACATAAAAATAATAATTTGGCTAGGTCCTCCCAATTTTTTATTTATTCATGCATTTGACAAATCTTTAGTGAGTAGGCATTTAGTGCCAGAAACTAAGGGAGATAAGGATGATACCTACTGATTTTGATAGGTGCTGTCCAGGAAATAAAAAGGGTAAAAGGGAATAAGATGGCTATATAGGTGGAAGCAGCTGCTTCAGATGGGGTGGTATGGGAAAACCTCTCTAAGGAGAACCTCTCCTTATTGCTTAGAGAACCTCTCTAAGCAATAAGGAGAAACTACCTCTGGGCAGAGGAAATGTCACGGCAAAACTCTGATACAGAAAAAAACCTGGTTTGAGGATCAGGTTTTTTTTTTTTTTTTTTTGAGACGGAGTCTCACTCTGTCGCCCAGGCTGGAGTGCAGTGGCGGGATCTCGGCTCACTGCAAGCTCCGCCTCCCGGGTTCACGCCATTCTCCTGCCTCAGCCTCCCAAGTAGCTGGGACTACAGGCGCCCGCCACCACGCCCGGCTAATTTTTTGCATTTTTAGTAGAGACGGGGTTTCGCCGTTTTAGCCGGGATGGTCTCGATCTCCTGACCTCGTGATCCGCCCGCCTCGGCCTCCCAAAGTGCTGGGATTACAGGCGTGAGCCACCGCGCCCGGCCCCGGGGATCAGGTTTTAACACCCTAGGACATCATAGTGGGCATGAGTTTAAACTTAAAGAAGTATGATCTAGGCTGGGTGTGGTGGCTCATGGCTGTAATCCCAACACTTTGGGAGGCCGAGGTGGGTGGATCACTTGAGGTCAGGAGTTCGAGACCAGCTTGGCCAACGTGATGAAACCCAGTCTCTATTAAAAATACAAAAAAAAATTAGCTAGACCTGGTGGAGCATGCCTGTTGTCCCAGCTACTCAGGAGGCTGAGGCGGGCGAATCACTTGAACCTGGTAGGCAGAGGTTGCAGTGAGCTGACATCATGCCACTGCACTCCAGCCTGGGTGACTAAGCAAGATTCTGACAAAAAAAAAAGTATAATTTAAATTTAAAAAGTGTAACTTAAACTTTATTTTTCACCGAATGAAATAGAAGATAAAAGTGACATTTCATGTGTCATCTATTTCATGCTTTAAATGTGTACTATTTATTCAAATCAATCAACAATAACACAAATGAAAATGCTCATCATTTCCAGCCTATTTCAATTTGATATATGACTAATTTGAGTGTGTATTGTTTTGGTCCAGTTTTAGAAAAAGTTGGGACTGCCAAAATGAAATTTGAATCAAATGCTTGCCAAGCTCCTGAAGCTCCTGTATGAAAATAACCCCTGAATCTGGAATTTTATTTAAATCCATTAGTTCACAGATGAAGAAACTGAGACAAGGGAAATGATCTTCTGCATCTCATTAGTGAATAGGTAGAAGATCTGGCACTAGCTCCACTGATCTGAGTTCAGGAGCTAAAACAATGCCTGCTGAAAGGACAAGAGCAACTGTAAATCTGGACTCCATCACCAGATCAAGGCCCTTGGACCTTGGCCTGGAATTGGCCTTTCTTGAAAATTGGGTTGTGTAGTTTACTGACAGCCAGCATCCATGAGCTCAGGGCTGTCCATTTTCAGACAGACAGTCGTATAATGACTTTTGATTTTTTTTCTCCTGAGCTTAGCTGAACAGCACAGAATGACTGACCTTATGTCTTTTCATTACTTTCATGTCTTTATCATTTCTTTTCTTACACAGGGAAGGACGTGCAGCTCTCGTTACCTCCTTTTGCATGTTTAAGTACATGGCTCTGTACAGCATGATTCAGTATGTTGGTGTTCTGCTGCTCTACTGGGTATGACTTGGGACTTAGCCTCTTGGTTAGTGTGAACTAAAACAAGTAGCGGTGCACTCTCAATTTACAATGCCTCTCAAAGAAAGAGTACAAATAGGATATCTGAACAACAACAGCCCCTCCAAAAATATCCTTAAGAATTTGTAAAGTAAATCACAAATAGACAGATTTGTACAGGAAAAGTTGCTGATGTCAATTCTCTGATGTAGAAACCTTTTATCTAGTAATAGCTGAAATCACCACTGAATATATTGCTGCTACTTTTACCTGATTGGACAAGGTCTTTATCTTCTTAATTGCAACGTGGCTCTACCCTAGTCTACCACTCACTAAAGAAATGGTTCTCTGCATTGGGGTGTTGCTAAATGCTTCATTTAGCATGAAAAAAAAGACCTGATTATTAATGTTTGCCCATTTCAGTGGCGTAAATACTCCTACCATAACCAGTTGCAAGCTGTCTGCCTATTGTCACTGAACATGAAGTGGGGAAAGATGTATAGTAGCATATGATTCTATAATACTTGCCCCATATAGATACAAGAGTCGTAAATAACCTTAAGGGCAGAGATAGCAGTAAAATGTAGAAAAATATTTAGAAATAGCTGAGCTTTGAGTATTTATTAACTTTGGTTTTAGTATAATTTATTTAATGGTACACTTGTATAATTTAAGTTTTTGTATTGGCTTTGTTTAACAACCAGCTCACAACATCTCTGAAAATTTAGCAATTGACTTTTAAGTGTTAGTATAAGCCAGCATGCCACTGGTTCCCTGAATATAGGGATGTGAAAACTGGCATATCATACCACAAAAATACATAGGTCTTGTGATCACTTTTTTTTATTTACCAAGATATAAAAAGAGAAAAAAACATGCACATCATCTGTGAACTCAACATGTGAGATTACCGTATTAACCAACACCAAGGAAAGAAAGTTCGTCTGGATATCTGTGTGGCAGATATCCAGATTCATCTTTATATACTGCCTTCTTTTTCCTGGGTTAAAGATTTTAGTTCTATTGCTCTCCGATAAACTATATCTTTTCCTACTCACTGATAAATGGGCTAGAGAAGGATAGGCTATTTCTGGAAATTGGCCTCTATTTTAGAATTCCCAAATTATACTCAAAAGTAGAATTAAACATTGAACATTATCTCCTTTCCACTAAGGGGTGGGGAGCAAGAAAGTGAGTGAGTTTCTTAAAATCAGTAAGACATAGCACTTTTTCCTCTAGACTATTAAGATGTTTTGCTAGGATTTTCTAAAATTTTGTCTAAAAACATTCAAGAATGCAAATAGTGAGTTTACTTATTCTTATTTTCCATCAGTAAAACTTATGTAAGGTTACCACACATTTGTCACTTGGGGATGTATTTTTTTATTGTGTGAAATGAAATCCTAAATTTTCTGTTAACAAGTAGAAAAGAGAGCAGAGATGAATCTGGTAGGGGAAGATGTCCTCCTCAACAAAGTAATAAGGATGCACAAACAATCCCACCCTGAAAGCACATGATGATAGGCCCCCTGCATAGAGAGGGTTTCACAGGTTTGGCTTTGATTACTTCCACCAACACCATCACTCACCAACTCAACCAGGCCCCGAACACAGCATCTCCACAGTAATTTACTTGAAAAACCCTATGTCACAGTGAGAAAATAAATGTAATCAATATCTAATTTCATCCAGAAGGTCACAACTTTTTTGATCTGCTTTCTTTTTATTTTCAGGAGACAAACAGCCTTTCAAATTACCAGTTTCTGTTCCAGGATCTGGCCATTACAACTCTTATTGGTGTAACAAGTAAGACATTTTAAAACTTTCTTACCAGAGGTGCTACCCTCAGCTGCCCTCCCTCTGCCTTGGAAAGATTTGTCTACCATGAGGAACAGCAGCTGCAACAGCAGCAATGATCTGGAATTTATTCCCAAATATATACACAGAGAGGAAATAGAATCCTCATTTTTAAGTATTGCAAGAAAGTATTAGCAAAAGAAAAGCTTGCTCGTTATTTTGCTGTTTTCTGCAAAATGTGGAACTTCTATAAATGGTCACTAAACACTTAAAATGAAAAAAGCAGCTTGAAAATCAGGAACACTAACTTCAGAGTGCTTTTAGATACAGTTATAGTTAAAATGTACCCAATTTATAGGAGCCAAATGGCTTTTATATTTCTCATACCTAAATCTTAGCCTCTCAGGATTTAGAATGAAGCTTAAAGGTAATCTTGCCATTATACCTCTCTTACCCTCCACCTTCTAATGAATAAATTGTCTCCCTAATGTTCCTGCAATGGAAAATTTTTTTATTTTTGACTTTATTCTTTTTTAGGGCTGTCTTAGGTTCACAACAAAAATGAGAGGAAGGTACAGAGATTTCCCATGTACTTCCTTCCCAAACACATACATAGCCTCTGCTACTATCAGCGTTCCTCACAAAGTGGTATATTTGTTGTAACTGATGAAATTCTATTGATGAATGATTGAAGTTTTGACATGTCTTTGTTGTTTTGCTTTTGTCTTACTAGCTCAGCTAAAGGAAAATCTCAACCAACATTCATGTTGAAACTAATTCAGTCATCAATTGCAATCATAGGTTGATTATGGACACAAGAGTTTGGCAAAACTCAATGAAAGCATTTCGTGAGAAACAATTAATAATAACATCATTATTATCCAAAGTCCATCGTTTACATTACAGTTCATTCCTGGTCTTGCACATTTTATGGGTTTGAACATATGTATAATGACATGTATCCATCATTATATTATCACACAGAATATTTTCACTGCCCTAAAAATCCTCTGCTCTGCCTAGTCATCTTCCCCACTTCCCCAAAGCTCCTGGCAACCACTGTGATCTTTTACCGTCTCAGTAGTTTTGGCCTTTCTTTTCTTTTCTTTTCTTTTATTATTATACTTTAAGTTCTAGGGTACATGTGCACAACATGCAGGTTTGTTTGGCTTTTCTAGAATGTTATATAGTTGGAATCATATATAGGCTTTTCAGATGGGCTTTTCTTCACTTAGTAATATGCATTTAAGGTTCAACTATGTCTTTTCATAGTTTGATAGTTCATTTCTTTTTAGTGCTGAATAATACTCCATTGTCTGTATGTACCACAGTTGATTTATTCATTCACCTACCGAAGGATATCTTAGTTGCTTCCAAGTTTGGGCAACTGTAAATAAAGCTGCTATAAACATCCGTGTGCAGATTTTTGAGTGGAAATAAGTTTTCATTTTCACTGGGTAAAGGATTATGTAGTAAGAATAAGTTTTGTTTTGTAAGAAACCTCTAAACTGTCTTTCCAAACAGCTATACTAGTTTGCATTTCTACTACCAATGATTTAGAGTCCTTGTTGCTTCACATACTCACCAGCATTTAGTATTGTTAGTGTTCTGGATTTTGGCCATTCTAATAGGTTTGTAGTGGTTCCATTTATGCTTTTACTCCTACTTCCTCCAACCTTCTCAAGGATTTTATTCGTCTAATAATCTATTTCTCCATTATTATCAACCTTTCTCTTGTTTACTAGATCATTCCCAATGATGGCATATAATACATTCTCATATCTTCTTTCTTTTAAAAATTCTTATTTGACCCTGAATCTACCACCAGCTACTGCCTCCTTTATTCTTAAACTTCCCAAACAGTTATGTATACCCACTTTCTCCATTCTCATCCCTAATTCTACTACCATTCCATTTCCATTAGCCAGATTCTAACATCCAGGGGCATGAATTTGAATTTTGGGCTTATGCAGTTGTTCAGTAGGAGGCAGTGGTATACTTGCAAATGTTTAACATGTTGCTCCCCAAAACAGTTTGAATATACATATATATTTACTTGTTTTCATATATATAATGGAAACATATATATATATGGGAAACATATATATGTGTGTATATATAAATATATATAGAAACATATATATGTGTGTATATATAAATGTATATATACCCACATATACACATACACACCCATATATATTTGGAAGCATATTTATATATAGTAAACACACACACACACACACACACACATGCATATATAGAAACAAGTAACTTTACTGAAAAGAAATGTGTAGTGAGCAATTTGCAAATATACTTGTTCTCTAACTTTTGGAGTATTTCAAGTCTTGTTCTTGGATCCGCTGTCTTTTCAGCCTATACCATCTCCATAAGTAATCTCAACCAGCCCCATGACTTTAATATTATCTATCTGCTGATGAATCCCAAATTTATATCTCCAGCCTTGATGTCCATCCAAAGCTCTGGAAATGTAGCTACTCTGCATCTAACCATGGGTATTTAATAGGAATTAAACTTCACATTCTCAAACAGAACTCTTAATTCCCCCAGATCTGATATTCAATATAATCATTATGTACTTACTGAGTCCCTAGTTTGTGCTACTTACTGATCTAGGAACTTAGAATAATACATCAGTGAAACAAAACAAGATTTCTTTCCTTATGGAGCTTACATTCTACTGGAATTGCACTGTTATCTACCTAGTTGTTCAAGTCAAATAACTAGAGTCATCCTTTATTTTTCTTGTTTCTTCACCCATCACATCCTATACATTTGAAATTTCTGTTAGCACTGCCTCCAAAACGTACTGTGATTCCCCCCCTCCATTTTCAATGTAGCCGCCATCATTAGTCACTAAGCAATGCCAGCTCCCTTGTGCATTACTGTAACAACTTTATAGCTGATCTTGCTTCCACTGTTGCTGCCCTCTCCTCATTCCCATTTACACAATAGTAAGAGTATTGTTTTTAAATATAAATTTTATTATTCATTCTCTTGCTTAAAATGCTCCAATGCTTCCCATTTTGACTCAATTCAAGTCTTATATGATTGGGCTCCTGACTACTTCACCAACTTCACCTCTACCCACATTGCCACTCACTGATGTGACTGCTGTACTGGTCTTACTGTCTCTAGTACATTGTCAAGCTGTGGTCAACTCAAGTACCCTTGCATTGGCTATTCCTTTTGCCTAAAATACTCTCCCCTTGGATCTTTATATGTCTTTGACTTTTTTCATTATTCATATTTGAGCTCAAATGTCACTTCTTCAGAAAGATCACTTTAATAGTGAAGAAGCCAGTTCTCTATCACACAACCCTGCTTTATGTTTTCACAGTACTTTCCACAATCTGAAGTTACTATATTTATCTTTGTTTTCATTAGCTTTTTGCCTGCTTCTCCTCACCCAGAATGTGTGTTTCATGAGAACAACATTTAGTCTGTATTGATCCATGCTGTAATCCCAATACTTCTGACATATTAAAGGAGCTTGTTAAATATTTGTTAAATCTATTGAAAGAACAACCTCGTACAGGCTTTGTTAACTTTGTCAGCAGAGTTCCCCTTCACACGAAGCCAAATTTATCTCTAAATGTGTAACTTTCATCCATCCCAGTTTTGCCATTTGAGGTGTCACAGAAGAGTTTAATTTTTTCTCCAGAACAGTCCTTCTGTTTGAAATTTATTTCGAATAGAAAATTCTATTTGAAAGAATTTGGAAGCAGCTTTTATTTATTCTGTGATTGTTCTCTTCTCCATAGCAAGTGCCTTTAGGATTTTCTCTATTTTTTGTTAAACAACTTGATTCTTTTCTGTTTAACATATATTAAGTGTATATGTTGTTAACATATATTCACTGTGGAAGATGGAAAACATTTCAAGATATAACAGAGAAAAACCTATTTTTATCTTACTATCCAGAGCTAACCAATTAAAGCATTTTGATGTATTTCTGTCCAGTCTTTTTTCTATATAAATTAAGAAATTAGAATTATGTCTTCTATATAGTGCATCTTATTTTCATTTTAATTTTTTTCTTGTGGTAAAATTATATAACAAAATTTGTCATTTTTATTTTTTTCTGTGTATAATTTAGGGACATGAATTACATTCACAATGTTTTCAATCATCACCACTATATATTTTCAAAAGTTTTTCATCACCTCAAACAGATACTCTATCCATTAAAGCAATAACTCCCCATCCTTTCTCCCTCCAACCCATGGTTAACTCTAATCTATTTTTTGTCTCTATGAATTTCCCTATTCAATATATTTCATATAAATGAAGTCAGGCAGTTTGTACCATTGTATCTGGTTTCTTTAGTATAATCCATTTTGTAACATGCATCAGAACTTAATTCGTTTTTATAGCTGAATAATATTCCATTATATGTATATACCACATTTTATCTATCCATTTATTTGTTGATGGACTTGGGTGCTCCCACCTGTTGGCTGTTGTGAATAATGCTGCAATGAACATTTGCATAAAATATCTTTTTGAGTCCCTGTTTTCAACTCTTTTGGGTATAAAGTGGAATCTGGGTCATATGTTAATCATATATTTAACTTTTCAAGGAACCACCGAACTATTTTCCTAATGACTGCATCATTTTACATTCTCACTAGCAATGTATAAGGGGTCTAATTGCTTCACAGCCTCATCAGCTCTTGTTATTTAATGGACAAAGATTATTTTAACCATCCTAATAGGTTTGGAGTGATATCTTATTATGATTTTGACTTGCATTTCTCTAATGACTAATAATAGTGAACATATAGTCATGTGCTCATCAGCCATTTACATGTCTTCTTTGGAGAAATGTTTATTCAGGTCCTTTGACCATTTCCTAATTGAATTTTTGTCTTCTGGGTTTTATTATTATTATTATTATACCTTAAGTTCTAGGGTACATGTGCACAACGTGAAGGTTTGTTACATATGTATACATGTGCCATGTTGGTGAGCTGCCCCCATTAACTCGTCCTTTACATTAGGTATATCTCCTAATGCTATCCCTCCCCCCTCCCCCCACCCCACGACAGGCCTAGGTGTGTGATGTTCCCCTTCCTGTGTCCAAGAGTTCTCATTGTTCAATTCCCACCTATAAGTGAGAACACGCGGTGCTTGGTTTTTTGTCCCTGCAATAGTTTGCTGAGAATGATGGTTTCCAGCTTCATCCATGTCTCTACAAAGGACGTGAACTCATCCTTTTTTATGGCTGCATAGTATTCCATGGTATATATGTGCCACATTTTCTTAATCCAGTCTATCATTGTTGGACATTTGTGTTGGTTCCAAGTCTTTGCTATTGTGAATAGTGCCACAATAAACATACATGTGCATGTGTCTTTGTAGCAGCATGATTTATAATCCTTTGGGTATATACCCAGTAATGGGATGGCTGGGTCAAATGGTATTTCTAGTTCTGGATCCTTGAGGAATCACCACACTGTCTTCCACAATGGTTGAACCAGTTTACAGTCCCACCAACAGTGTAAAAGTGTTCCTGTTTCTCCACATCCTCTCCAACACCTGTTGTTTCCTGACTTTCTAATTATCACCATTGTAACTGGTGTGAGATGGTATCTCACTGTGGTTTTGATTTGCATTTCTCTGATGGCCAGTGATGATGAGCATTTTTTCATGTGTCTTTTGGCTGCATAAATGTCTTCTTTTGAGAAGTGTCTGTTCATATCCTTTGCCCACTTTTTAATGGGGTTGTTTGTTTTTTTCTTGTAAATTTGTTTGAGTTCTTTGTAGATTCTGGATATTAGCCCTTTGTCAGATGAGTAGATTGCAAAAATTTTCTCCCATTGTATAGGTTGCCTGTTCACTCTAATGGTAGTTTCTTTTGCTGTGTAGAAGCTGTTTTGTTTAATTAGATCCCATTTGTTAATTTTGGCTTTTGTTGCCATTGCTTTTGTTGTTTTAGACATGAAGTCCTTGCCCATGCCTATGTCCGGAATGGTATTGCCTAGGTTTTCTTCTAGGGTTTTTATGGTTTTAGGTCTAACATTTAAGTCTTTAATCCATCTTGAATTAATTTTTGTATAAGGTGTAAGGAAGGGATCCAGTTTCAGCTTTCTACATATGGCTAGCCAGTTTTCCCAGCACCATTTATTAAATAGGGAATCATTTCCCCATTTCTTGTTTTTGTCAGGTTTGTCAAAGATCAGATGGTTGTAGATGTGTGGTATTCTTTCTGAGGGTTCTGTTCTGTTCCATTGGTCTATATCTCTGTACCATGCTCTTTTGGTGACTGTAGCCTTGTAGTACAGTTTGAAGTCAGATAGTGTGATGCCTCCAGCTTTGTTCTTTTGGCTTAAGATTGTCTTGGCAATGTGGGCTCTTTTTTGGTTACATATGAACTTTAAAGTAGTTTCTTCCAATTCTATGAAGAAAGTCATTGGTAGCTTGATGTGGATGGCATTGAATCTATAAATTACCTTGGGCAGTATGGCCATTTTCATGATATTGATTCTTCCTATCCATGAGGATGGAATGTTTTCCATTTGTTTGTGTCCTCTTTTATTTCGTTGAGCAGTGGTTTGTAGTTCTTCTTGAAGAGATCCTTCACATCCCTTGTAAGTTGGATTCCTAGGTATTTTATTCTCTTTGAAGCAATTGTGAATGGGAGTTCACTCATGATTTGGCTGTTTCTCTGTTAGTGGTGTATAAGAATGCTTGTGATTTTTGCACATTGAGTTCTAGCAGTTCTTCATATATTGTGGAGATTAAACTCTTATGAGACATGAAATCACAAATATTTTCTCCTATATGTTATCTTTTCACTTTTTAAATAATGTCCAAGTTTTTTATTTTAATGGAGTCCTATTTATTTATTTATGTATTTGTTTGTTCATGTATTTGGTGTTATATCTAAGAATCCAATGCCAAATTCAAGGTTATGAATATTTCTCCCTAAGTTTCTTCTAAGTATTTTATGTTGTTAACTCTTACATTTAGGTCATTGATCCATTTTTTGTGTTAATTTTTACATGTGGTATGAAGTAGAGGTCCAAGTTCCTTACTTTGTGTGTGGAAATCTGGTTGTCCCAGCTTGTTGAAGAGACTATTCTTTCCTTCATTAAATGGTATTAATATGCATTTTGAAATCAGTTGGCCATAGATGTATGGGCTTATTGCTGGACCCTCAATTCTATTCCATTGGTCTACATGTATTTCCTCATGTTAGCACCGAACTGGTTTGGTTACTGAGTTTGGATTTGGGAAGTGTGAGTCCTTCAATGCTATTTTTCTTTTCAAGATTTTTAGAAACGATTTAGGGACTCTTATAATTTCATATAAATCTGAGGACTGACTCCATTTCTCTAAAAATAGCTATTTAAATTTTGATAGAGATTGCATCAAATCTGTAGATCACTTTGGATAGTACAAACATCTTAATAATATTGAGTCTTCCAATCCATTAATATGAGATTTTAATGGGTTTTTCCATTTATTTGTGTCATCTTTAATTTCTTTCAACAAAGTTTTGTAGTTTTCAGTGTGGAAGCCTTTCTCTTTCTTGGTTAAGTTTATCTCTAGGTATTTCATTTTTTGGAAATAGAATTTTTTTAAGTTTGTCTTTGAATTGTTCACTGCTGGTGTACAGAAACACGATGATTGTTTTTGTGTTGATCTTATGCCCTGAAACATTGCTGTATTCAATTATTAATTTTATCAGCTTTCTTGTGAGTTTCTTAAGATTTTCAGTATGTAGGCTCTTGTCATCAGTGCATAGAGATGGTTTTACTTCTTTCTTCCAATTGGATGATTTTATTTCCTTTTTCTTTTCAAAAGATACAACTTATTTTTAATTAACACATATTTGTACATATTTATGAGGTACAATGTGATGTTTCAATACATGTATACGTTGTGTAATAGTAAAATCATGGTAATTAGCATATTTATCACTTTGCACATTTATCATTTTTTGTAGTGAGAACATTCAGAATTCTCTTTTTTAGCAATTTTGAAATATAAAGTCTGCTATTGTTAATGATAATCATCCTACTATGCAATAGAACAATAGAACTTATTCCTCCTATTGAACTATAACTTTGTACATACTGACAACCTTCTCTCCATCCCCTTCTCCTCTCTATCTCTATTCTTTCCAGCTTTAAGAAACCACTATTCTACTCTCTACTTCTATGAGATCAACTTTTTTTGATTCTACAAATGAGTGAGGTCATGTGGAATTTGTCCTTCTGTGTCTGGCTTCTTCCACTTAGCACAGTGTCCTCAAGCTTCATCTATGTTGTTGCAATCAACAAGATTTCCTTGTTTTTTTAAGGCTCAATAGTATTCCATCGTGTATACCACATGTTCTTTATTCATTCACCTGTTGATATACCCTTAGGGCAATTCCATGTTTTGGCTATTATGAATAGGGCTTCAATAAACACGGGAGTGCAGATATTTCTTTGACATACTGATGTTATTTTCTTTGGATACATACCCAGTAGTGGGATTGCTAGATCATATGGTAGTTCCATTTTTAATTTTTAAGGGAACCTCCATGCTATTTTCTTTAATGGCTGTATTAATTTACATTTCGACCAACAGTATGTAAGTGTTCTCTTTTCTTTACATTCTCACTAATATTTATTATTTTTTGTCTTTTTGATAATAGCTGTTCTAACTGGAGTGAGATTATATCTCACGGTGGTTTTGATTTGCATTTCCCTGATATTAATGATGTTGAACATTTTTTCATATATCTGTTGGCATATGGCATACCTATTTCTATGGTTTTTTTGGAGAAATGTCTTGTCAGGTATTTTTTCCATTTTTTAATTGAATTATTTTATTATTATTTTTGCTATTGAGTTTTTTTTTGAGTTCCTGATATAATCTGGATATTAATCCCTTGTCAGGGGCTATTTTATTATACTGCATAGTTTAGAAATATTTTCTCCCATTATGTAGGTTGTCTCTTCAATCTGTTAACTGTTTCCTTTGTTGTGCAAAATCTTTTTAGTTTTATGTAATCCCCATTTGTCTATTTTTGCTTTTGTTGCCTATGCTTTTAGGGTTTTAGCAAAAAAATTATTGCCCAAATCAAAACCATGAAACATTTTTCATATGTTTTTGTTTAGCAGTTTTATAGTTTCGAGTTTTACATTTAAGTTTTTAATCCACTTTGAGTTAATTTTCTTATTTGGTGAGAGATAGGGGTCTAGTTCATTCTTCTGCATCGATAACCAATTTTCTCAGCACCATTCATTGAGGAGACGGTGCTTTCCCTAATGTGTGTTCTTTGCACCTTTGTGAAAATCAATTGACTGTAGATGTTTTTATTTCTGGAATCTCTATTCTGTCCCATTGGTCTATGTGTCTATTTTATACCAATACCAAGCTGTTTTAGTTACTGTAGTTTTGTAGTATATTTTAAAATCAAGGATATGTGGGGCCTCTGGCATTATTCTTTTTGCTGAAGAGTGCTTTGGTTATTCAAGGTCTTTTGTGGTCCCTATACATTTTAGGATTTTTTTTTCTATTTCTGTGAAAAATTTCTTTGGTGTTTTGATAGAGATTGGATTGAATCTGTAGATTGTTTTAGGTAGCAGGGATATTTCAACAATATTAATTCTTCCAATCAATTAACATGGGATGTCTTTTCATGTATGTGTGTTAGCTTCCATTTTTTTTCACCAGTGTTTTATAGTTTCCAGTATAGAGATTTTTCACCTCCTTGGTTAAATTTATTTCTAGGCATCTTATTTTTTGTGGTGTAGCTGTTGAAAGTGGCATTGTCTTCTTTATTTCTTTTATAGATAATTCATCATTAGCCTATATAAAAGCTACTGATTTTTCTATGTTGATTTTGGGTTCTAAAGATTTACTGAATTTATTTATTAGTTCTGTTAGTTTTCTGGTGGAGTCTTTAGGGTTATCTATGTATAAGAGCATGCCACCACCAAACAGGGACAATTTGACTTTCTCCTTCCCAATTTGAATGTCTGTTTTTTTTTTCTCTTGCCTAGTTGCTCTGGCTAGGACTTCCAGTACTATGTTGAATAGAAGTGGCAAAAGTGGGCATCCTTTTCTTGTTCCAGATTTTAAAGGAAAAGCTTTTAACTTTTCCCCGTTAGTATGATGTGAGTTGTGGATTTGTCATACATGACCTTTATTGCATTGAGGTGCATTTCTTCTATGCTTAATTTGTTCAGAGTTTTTAGCAGAAGGGAATTTTGAATATTGTTAAATGCTTATCTATTGAAATGATTATATGGTTTTTGTCCATCCTATTGATGTAATGTATCATGTTTATTGATTTGAATATGTTGAACCATCCTTGCATCTTGGGGTGAATCCCACTTGATCATGGTGAATTACCTTTTTAATGTGTTGTTAAATTCAGTTTGCTAGTATTTTGCTGAGGATTTTTTTTTACATCTATATTTACTAGAAATATTGGCCCTTTTTTATTGTGTCCTTGTAGTGGGGGACTCATAGAATGAGTTTGGAAGTATTTGCTCCTTTACAATGTTTAGGGATAGTTTGAATAGAATCGATATTAGTTCTTCTTTAAATGTTTGGTAGAATTCAGTGGAGAAGCCATCAGGTACTGAACGTTTTTTGATTGGAAAAGTTTTATTACTAATTAAATCCTGTTACTAATTATTGGTCTGTTCATGTTTTCTGTTTCTTCATGATTCATTCTTGGTAGGTTGTATGTGTCCAGGAATTTATCCATTTATTCTAGATTTTCTAATTTGTTGGCATACAGTTGTTCATAATAGTCTCTTATGATACTTTGTATTTCTGTGTTATTAGTTGTGATGTATCCTTTACCTCTGATTTTATTTATTTTAGTCTTCTCTCTTTTTTTCTTAGTCTGGCTATGGTTTGTTGATTTTGTTTATCTCCTCAGAAAACCAACTCTGTTTTGCTTATCTTTTGTATTGCTTTTAGGTCAATTTCATTTGTTTCTGCTTTATCTTTATTATTTCTTTCTTTCTACTAATATTGGGTTTAGTTTGTTGTTGTTCTTCTACTTCCTTGAGGTTCAACATTAGGTTGTTGTTTGTTATTTCTTCTTTATTCATGTAGGCATTTATTGCTGTAAACTTTCCTTTGAGTACTGCTTTTGCTGTATCCCAAAGGTTTTGCTGTGTTTGTTTCAATTTTCATTTTTCTCTAAAAATTTTTTAACTTCTCTTCTAATTTCTTCATTGACTCATTGGTTGTTCAGTAGCACCTTGTTTAATTACCATATATTTGTATAGTTTCTGAAGGTCCTCCTGTCATTGATTTATAGTTTCATATTATTGTGGTTAGAAACAATACTTGATATGATAATTGATTTTTAAAAAATGTTTTAGTACTTGTTTTGTGAACTACCATATGATCTAAACTGGAGAATGTTCCATGCGCATTAGAAAATAATGTGTATTCTTCTGTTATTGAATAGAAAGTTTTGTATATGTCTGTTAGGTCTATTTTGTCTAATGTACAGTTCAGTTCCCATATTTTCTTGTCAATTTTATGTCTAGTTGATCTGTCTCTTGTTGAAAGTGGGTTATTGAAGTCCCCTACTATTATTGTCTTGCTATTTCTCCTTTTGTGTTCATTAACATTTGCTTTATATATTTACGTGCTTCAATGTTGGATGCATTGTCTCTTGTGACAGTTTTTGACTTGACGTCTGCTTTATCTGACATAAATATAGCCAATCTTGCTCTCTTTTGATTACCATTTGCATAGAATATCTTCTTCTATCTCTTTATTTTCAGCTTATTTGTGTCTCTAAGGATAAAGTGAGTCTTTTATAGGCATTATGTAGATGAGTCTTGTTTTTTAAAATCTATTCAGCTACTCTATGTCTTTTGATTGGAGAATTTAATACTCCATTTACATTCAAAGTAATTATTGATAGTTAAGGACTTACTATTGCCACTTTGTTATTTGATGGTTGTTTTGTAGTTCTTTTGTTCCTGTCTTTTTTTCTTTTTATCTCTTTGATTTGGTGGTTTTCTCCAGTGCTGAGTTTTGATTACTTTCTCTTTATTGTTTGTGTATTTGCTATAGCTTTTTGCTTTGTAGTTACCATGAAGCTACATAAAATATCTTATAATTATAATGGACTGTTTTACACTGAAAACAACTAACCTCAGTCACATACAAATCTCTAGACTTTCATCCTTCCCCCAATTTATATTTTAGTGTCGCAATTTACATCTTTTTATTTTATGTACTTCTTAACAATGTATTGTAGTTACTATTATATTTGACTGTTTTGGCTTTTAGACTTCATACTAGAGATATATATGTTTTATAGAGCACCATAACAGTATTGGGATATTCTGGATTTCACCATATATTTACTTTCATCAGTGAATTTTATACTTTCATATGTTTTTATATTTGTAGTGTCCTTCCATTTCTACTTGAAAAACTCTCAAGCATTTCTTGTAAGGAAAATCTAGTGGTGATGAATTCTCTCAACTTCTGCTTGTCTAGGACTTTATTTCTCCTTCACTTCTGAAGGACAGCTTTACTTGTATAGTATTTTCAGCTGCCAGTTTTTATTTTCTTTCAGCACCTTGAATATATCATCTCACTCTCTCCCGTCCTGCAGGGATTTTGCTGAGAAATCTGTTGATAGTCTAATGGGGATTTCCTTATTTGTGATTTGGCACTTTTCTCTTGCTGCTTTTAAAATTCTATCTTTGTCCTTTATTTTGACAATTTATTATAATGTGCCATGATGAGAATCTCTTTGGGTTGAATTCTTTTGGGGACTCTGAAATTCATATATCTGGATTTTCGTATTTCTTGTAGGACTTAGAAGGTTTTCAGCACTTATCATATTAAATAAAATGTTTTGTTTCTATCTTTGTCTCTTCTCCATCTGGCAATCCCATAATGCTAATGTTTGATCATTTCCTGGTGTTTCGTAAGTCCTATGGCTTGTCTTTGTTCTTTTATATTCATTTTTTCTTTGCTTCCTCTGACTGGGTAATTTCAAAAGACCTAGCTCCAAATTCAGAGATTCTTTCTTCTGCTTGCTCTAGTCTGCTATTAAAACTCTCTATTAATTTTTTTCATTTCATTCATTAAATTCTTCAGCTCCAAAGTTTCTGTTTGGTTCTTTTTAAATGATATTTATCTCTTTGTTAAGTTTCTCATTTAAATTCTTTAAACTCTTCTCCTAATTTTCCTAATTTTCCTAAATTTGCTGAATTAGGAAACTCTTTTCCTAATTTGTCTATCTGTATTCTCTTGTATCTCACTGAGTTTCCTTAAGATCATTATAAATTCCTTTTCAGGAAATTCATAACTTTCCTTTTCTTTGGGGTCAGTTACTGGAGAATTATCGTGTTTCTTTGTTGATATCATATTGTCTCGCTCTTTCGTATTTCCTTTTTGTTTCTGCATCAATGTCTTTACACCTGGCAGAACAATCACCTCTTCCAAACTTTACACAGTGGCTTTCACTTGCAGATGAGTCTTGGTATGCTAATTGTGAAGATTGTGGTAACTCTGATTCCGAGAAGATGCAGTAGTATAGACTTTGTACAAGTTTTTCAGCTAAGATCAATGCCAATAATGACTGAGTGCCTCAGTGGCCATTTTACAGATGATGGGGAGACTTGACTGAGGGACCCTCTCGGTGTCAGGTCTGGCATGACCTATAAGCAGCTGCAGTAGTGCTGGGTTATAGCAGGGAGACCTTAGAGAGGCTGTGAAGCTAGGCTCCTAGGTTCAGGATTTTTCTCCTTGGAGAGAAGGACTGCTCTGGAGGTTTGGGACCAGGGAGCAGGGTACAGCTGCAATTCAGGAACTAGGGCTAATAGGATATAATGGCAACGAAGTTCCCTGGGAGATGAAGCACCATCCAGTGGTGACCTTGGACCCTGAGATGATGGGGCACAGTGGTATTCCATACTCTGTGAAGCTGGGGTACGGCAACAGCAAAGAACCCAAAATGGCACAGCTATCACTTGGGCCCTGGAGGGGCAGTGGGTGGGGGACAGGGAGCAGCACAGTGATGACTCCACTTACCTGGGAAGGAGGTATCTCAGCAGTTCAGACTCTAGTCCAGCTAGTCAAGCTCTAGGGAACCAGGGAACTAGAGCTATTTTTCCTGTTGGGGGAAGGGATGTCTCTGCTCAGCCAGTGCTTTTCCCTGGGATGTGGAGTACTATGTCAGCTCAGGCCTGGAATGCACAACTGCGAGCTCGGCCAAAGCATTGATTCCTTGGGAGGCAGTGCACTGCTTTAGCTCAGGCTTGGGGGTAAGTATAGGGGGTCGGGGAAGTGAGGTATGACTGCTCTTGGCCAACACACCAGTTCCTGGGAGACAGGGCACTACTTCAACTCAGGCACTGGGGAGGCATGACTACTCTGGGAAGCCAAAGTACCATTTTCCCAGAAGGCAAGACACTACACTTCAGCTCAGGCATGGGGGCAGGGGCAGCAGCAACTGGGAGGGGTAGTTGGACCACTTTGCCAAGGCATTGTTTCTTCAGGAGGCAGTGCACAGCGTCATCTCAAGCTCCAAGGGGCAGGGCACAGCAGGGACTCAGAAGGGTATATGGAGCAGCTTTACCATAGTACTCTTTTTCTTCCACTGCATTACCAGAGGCAGTGCACAGGTTCAACTCAGGTCCCTAGGGGCAGGGTGCAGCAGTGACTAAGAGGAGTAGTTGGAGCAGTTTCATCAAGGCAGTTTCTCTGGGATGCAACGTACAGCTTCCCCTCAGGCCATGCAGGGCAGGGTGCAGTGTTGACTGGGAAGGGCAAATGGAGCAGCTCTGCCAAGGCACTCATTTCCTGTGGAGGTAGTGTGTAGCTTCAGTTCAGTCCCTAGAGGACATGGTACAGTGGGAATAAGAGGGGTAAATGGAATAGCTGCATAGCAACTTGGCTCTCAAGGTAAGATGTAGCGGCAGATCAGGGATGGCAGGGCACCAGGCAGGAGTAGTCCAGCAGCCGTTAAGCCTCAAGGCTGGTAGGGGGTCATGCCACTTGCCCTCAGAGCAGGACACATTCCAGCAGTAGTTTATGTTCCAAGATGACATAGTGCAGTAGCCTTGTAGGCCACAGGGGGAAGGGCACACTGTTGGCTTCTACTCTGGGGTAGCACAGCTGTGTGGACTTCAGGCAACTCCCTCAGCTGGTTCAGTGCCTGTGAGGACTGTAGGTGTCCAGGGTGTTGATGGGGGCTGCTGGGGTCCTCTTGCTTACCTTTTCCCCACAAGGAGACATCCTCTTGGTTCTAAGCTGATCCTGGCTAGAGAGTGGGGTGTTGGATGCCAGATATTTCCTGGGATGTGGAGTACTATAATAGAAACCAGTATGTGGCCATACTGGTTTTCTGTGCTCTACAGGGTTTCTGCTACTCCTTTGATGTATTCTGACACTCTCGTTTAGTTATTTTCATCAAAATATAGTGTTGTTTTGGTTGTCTTTGTGGGAGAGATGAGTACTAAGGGCTTTTAGCTGGCCATCTTGCTGACATCCAGTTGACTTTAATTTCTTTTTTTTTTTTTTGAGATGGAGTCTCGCTGTTGCCCAGGCTGGAGTGCAGTGGCGCAATCTCGGCTCACTGCAGGCTCTGGCCCCTCGGGGTTCACGCCATTCTCCTGCCTCAGCCTCCTGAGTAGCTGGGACTACAGGTGCCCGCCACCTCGCCTGGCTAATTTTTTTTTTTTTTTTTTTTTTTTTTTTTTTTTTTTTTTTTTTTTTGAGACGGAGTCTCGCTCTGTCGCCCAGGCTGGAGTGCAGTGGCGGGATCTCGGCTCACTGCAAGCTCTGCCTCCCGGGTTCACGCCATTCTCCTGCCTCAGCCTCCCAAGTAGCTGGGACTACAGGCGCCCGCCACTACGCCCGGCTAATTTTTTGTATTTTTAGTAGAGACGGGGTTTCACCGTTTTAGCCGGGATGGTCTCGATCTCCTGACCTTGTGATCCGCCCGCCTTGGCCTCCCAAAGTGCTGGGATTACAGGCGTGAGCCACCGCGCCCGGCCGCTAATTTTTTGTATTTTTAGTAGAGACGGGGTTTCACTCTGTTAGCCAGGATGGTCTCGATCTCCTGACCTCGTGATCCACCTGCCTCGGCCTCCCGAAGTGCTGGGATTACAGGCATGAGCCACCGCGCCTGGCCAATTTCTTTTTTGTCTAATGTCTCTGGGTAGAACTCCCAGCACACTGTTGAAAGCAGTGCTGACAAGGGCATTTTTACCTTGTTCTGATCTTAAGACAAAGTTCTCAGTCTTTTACCCTTGAGTATGATGTTAGCTGTGGGTTTTTAAATTACATAAAATGTAATTATGGAGATGACATGAAACATTCTAAATTTATAACAGTGTAGTTTGAATTAACACCTTCACTTTAATAGCATGAAAACAACTGCTCCTTTGCAGCGTTATCTCCCCTTTTATATTGTTGATGTTACAAATTACATCTTTTTCCATTGTGTACTAAATAACATGGATATATAAAGTGAAATTGCAAACCAAAAATACACAAATATCAGCATTTATATTTGCTGATAGCTGATATAGTTACCTTTACTAGACATCATTATTTCTACGTAAGTGTTTGAGTAGCTATCTTGTATTCTTTCATTTCAATCTGAGCCCTTTAGCATTTCTTTTAGGGTAGGGTTACTGATAACAAACTCTTTCAGCTTCTGTTTATCTGGGATGTCTTAATTTCTCCCTCGATTTTGAAGGACAGTTTTGCCAGGTATACAATTCTTAGTCAATAGTTTTTTTCTTTTTCTTTCAGCATCTTAAATGTTATCCCTTGACTTCTGGCTTCCATGGTTTCTGATGAGAAATTGGCTGCTAATCTTACTGAAGATCCCTTATAGGTGATGTGTCACTTATCCCTCACTGCTTTCAAGATTCTTTGTCTTTGTTTTGTTTTGTTTTTTAATAGCTCAAATATGATGTCTTGATGTGAATCTCATTGGGTTTGACCTATTGTAATTACTTGTACTTCTTGGATATGCAGATTTATGCCTTTCATCAAATTTGGGAAGTTTTCTGCCATTATTTCTTATTCTTTTTGTCTCTTTCTCTTCTCTCCTTCCGATACTCCCACAACGTACATGTTGGTCTGCTTGTTTGTGTTATACATGCCCTTTAGGCTCTGTTCATTTTTGTTTATCATTTTTTTTTCTGTTCCTCAGGTTGGATATTTTCAACTATCCTACCTTCAAGTTCACTGATTCTTTCTTCTGCCTGCTCAAGTTTGCTGTTGAGCAGCAAACTGCCTGCTCAAGTCTGCTGAAGTTTGCAAGTTTGCTGTTTTCACTTAACTTACAGTACTTTTCAGCTTCAGAATTTCTTTTGACTCCTTTTTATAATTTTTATCTTTTTACTGACATTCTCATTTTGATCATACATTGTTTTCCTAATTTCCTTTAGTTCTTTGCCCGTGGTTTCCCTTAGTTATTTCAGCATATTTAAGATAGTTGTTTTAAAGTCTTTACCTAATAAGTCTAATATCTGTGCTTCCTCAGGGACAAATTCTGTCCATTTATTTTGCTCTGTTGAATATTATAATGCTCTAACTCTGAAAATTAGATTCTTCTCCTATTTTAGGGTTTGAATTTTTTGTTTCACTCTTTGTTGAAGGCTGTAATAGTCCATTTGTTTAGTGACTTTCCAAAGCTTTTTTTGGAAAGACTGTACTAGTTTTCATGTGAGATCGCATATGTCCCTGTTCCTTCAGCTTTTGTTCAGCTAATGTTTTGATAGAGATTTGCTTGACCTCTAGGAGTGAAAAAACAAACAAACAAACAAACAAAACCTTCTCCAGTCCTTACAGATTATTTCTGTGCTGGAGTACTTATTCAACACTTTGCCAGGCTTACACTGAGTCTGGAGATAATCCAGAGCTGAAGGCTTTGGGTTTTCTCTGGTCTTTACTGAGCATGTACTATGCCCTGGGATGCACATAGCTTTTGCCCTGGGCATTTACATAGCATTCTACATTTCCCAGCATACACAGATGCTTTAGACTGCCCTAATTCCTCCAAGGAAATTTCCTTAGCTTTTCTTCCAGGCTTTAGATGGTTATTTTATGTATCAACTGTAATTTTTTTGCCCTAGGCAACTGCATTTGTTAGCCTAATAATGTTTTCAAGCAATGTGCACTGCTTTTCTGCCCAGAGTGAGTTCTGTGTTAGGTGGAACAGAGATGAGTGCCTGCATCAATCCTTCAGGTAGTTCCCAGACAGGTTGGGACAGACATATGTAACAATTTGTAAATAAGGCCTGCTATGCTCCTTTTGTAACCAGGGACCAGGGTCTCCCTCTGGGAATGCAGGCTATCTTCAGGATTGTCACTAAGCTGAGTAGGGGGTGGATCAAGTGCAAGTAGAAATGCCACAAAACTTTCCTGTGATCCTAAAGTTGTCTTTTTCTTGATTCAGTGTTCACTTGGTTGCAGTATACTTTTCTGTTTTTCAGATTTTCAGATTTCTGACAGTTTCTGCTTGTATTTTGATATTTCTGTGGAGATGTGGGAACTTGGAGCTGCCTACTTCACCATTTTGCTGGATATCACCTATTATTTGTCATTAAGTGTTTTAAAGCATTGCTGTTTAGTGACTACATGTTGTTCCATTGTATAGATGTACCATAACTTATTGTAAATGATGCCATAATGAATATTTTTTCACATCTCTGATTAACTTTTTTAGCTTAGGATAAATTTCCAAAAGTAGAATAACTATGTCGAAAGTTATGAACATTTTTCAGTCTCTTCACATTTATTGCCAAATTGCCCTGCAGAAGGTTTGCATCAATTTATTTTCCCACAAGCAATATATGAGAGAGTATATTTCATCCCTCCCTTCTCTGTAATTTAATAGTTTTTCCCTATTTATAAGGCCAAAAGTGACATCTTGTGGCTTTGTCTGCTCTTTTAAGAATTCTTTACATGACTTGAATTTGAGTCCATTAATTGTTTTATTCCCTCAGTTTGTGATGTACTCCAGTTTGTCCATTTCCTCAAATGTATGGGCCAATGAACTTATGCCATTCTTCTGATCAAGAATACATTTTCCTGCTCTCATAAATATAAAATTCGAATTTATTTTATAGTGAATCTGAATGGTGCCTACCCTAAGCTGGTGCCTTTCAGACCTGCAGGACGGCTGATCTCTCCACCTCTGCTACTCTCTGTGATTTTCAACATTCTTCTCAGCCTGGCCATGCATATTGCAGGCTTCATCCTGGTTCAGAGGCAGCCTTGGTATTCCGTGGAGATACACAGGTATGAGTATAGTCTCAGCTTCTGCTTCTCACATTCTAATTTCTATCAAACATCCTCTGGCCAATATGATGGGAGGCACATGGGTCTTCATTCTGCCAAAGGTTTTGGCTTTTTAAAGTCCCTTGGGCAAATTTTCAGTGATTATTTCTTCTCTGTAGCATGATTTAATGCTAATGAATGTATCATTCATTCATTAGCACTTATCTTTGTCTGTCTTATATGATAATGATCTATGACCATCTTTGATATCTAGGGTGACCATGGATTATAATTTGCCTGAGCAGCCCCAGTTTAAGTAGCCCACTTTAAATTAAGTGATGTCCCAGTGAAATTATTAACATCTTTCCTTTTCACCTTCAAAACTATCTTTGTTAGTTAAGTTATATATTCAACTCACTTACAAATTATCAGAGATTTGTTGTTGTTGTTTATCGGGGGAACCTGCCCCCAATATTTCAACATAGGTTCTAATTTCCCTAAGTGTCTGCTGGCTGAGAAATAAAGAGAAAGAGTACAAAGAGAGGAATTTTGCAGTTGGGCCTCCGTGGTGACATCACATATCGGTAGGACCGTGATGCCCATCTGAGCTGCAAAAACAGCAGGTTTTTATTAAGGACTCCAAAAGGGGAGGGGGTGTATGAACAGGGAGTAGGTCACAAAGATCACATGCTTCTGAGGCCAATAAAGATCACAAGGCAAAGGGCAAAGCAAAGATCACAAGGCAAAGGGTGAAATCAAAAGCTCCTGATAAAGGTCTATGTTCAGCTGTGCATATATTGTCTTGATAAACATCTTAAGCAACAGAAAACAGGGTTCAAGAGCAGAGAACCAGTCTGACCTCAAATTCACCAGGGTGGGGTTTTTTCCCCCATCCTAATAAGCCTGAGGGTACTGCAGGAGATCAGGGTGTATTTCAGTCCTTATCTCAACCACATAAGACAGACACTCCCAGAGCGGCCATTTATTGACCTCCCTCCAGGAATGCATTCCTTCCCCCCAGGATATTAACTATTAATATTCCTTGCTAGGAAAAGAATTCAACGGTCTCTTCCCTACTTGCATGTCCATTTATAGGCTCTCTGCAAGAAGAAAAATATGGCTCTATTCTGCCTGACCCTGTAGGCAGTCAGCCCTTATGGTTGTCTTCCCTTGTTCCCTAAAATTGCTGTTATTCTGTTCTTTTTCAAGGTGCACTGATTTCATATTGTTCAAACACACATGTTTTACAATCAATTTGTACAATAGTGGTCCTGAGGTGACGTACATTCTCAGCTTACGAAGATAACAGGATTAAGAGACTAAAGTAAGACAGGCATAAGAAATTATAAGAGTATTATTTGGGAACTGATAAATGTCCATGAAATTTTCACAGTTTATGTTCAGATATTGCAGTAAAGACAGGCATAGGAAATTATAAAAGTATTAATTTTGGGAACTGATAAATGTCCATATTAAAATGAAATCTTCACAATTTATGTTCCTCTGCCAGAGCTCCAGCCAGTCCCTCTGTTCAAAGTCCCTGACTTCCTGCAACAGTTGTCGTTGTTGCTGTTATAGAGATGGAGTCTCTCTCTGTTGCCCAGGGTGGAGTGCAGTGGTGTGTTCTAGGCTCACTGCAACCTCTGCCTTTGGATTCAAGCAATTATCCTGCCTCAGCCTCCCCAGTAGCTGAGATTATAGGCACATGCTGCCATGTGCAGCTAATTTTTTTGTATTTTTAGTAGAGATGGTGTTTCACCATGTGGGCCAGGCTGGTCTCAAACTTCTGGCCTCAAGTGAACCACCTCGGCCTCCTAGGGATTACAGGTGTAAGCCACCACACTTGGCCAAATTATCAGAGATATTAAGCCACTTGAGGGAGGAATCATGATTTACCAATCTCTTTCCCATATAGCCTTAATGAATGTGCATAATTTGTTGAATACATAATTGGCTGAATCTCTCTCTCTGTCTCTCTCTCTCTCTCTCAATGTATCCAAAATACGGGTCTATCTGTGCTTGTTGATTTTTTCCCCTATTTTTCAGTGTGTGTGTGTGTGTGTGTGTGTGTGTGTGTGTGTGTGTGTGTGTGTTTTCCAAAGCACAGGCAATTGTAGAAGCATTGAGTGCCTGCTCTGGACACTGTTTGGTATGGAATCTTCTGGATACAAATGCTCCATAAAGCCTTGCAATCTTACTTCATTAGCTTCTTTGGTTTTCCCTTTTAGTGCCTGCACAGTACAAAATGAAAGCATCTCAGAGTTAACCATGTCTCCAACTGCTCCAGAAAAAATGGAAAGTAATAGCACCTTCACAAGTTTTGAGAACACTACAGTCTGGTTCTTGGGAACAATCAACTGTATCACTGTGGCTCTTGTGTTCTCTAAAGGAAAACCATTTAGACAGCCAACTTATACAAACTGTGAGTAGAACTGTACTGCATCAGAGGTGAGAAGTCATCAGAGAGGGGAACAGACATGTCCAGGTCACTTAGGGAACAGCTTTAGAGTTGATTCTTATCTAGCATCTCTTGACTTCCACTCTAGGACTCTGCAAAACACATCGTACAGCCTCATTTTCACGGTTCTTTGCTCTTTCCTTCAAAGCTACATTAAATACTAGGGCTTCTTTCTCCCTTTCCTTCGCCAGAAGTTTGCCTCTGGGTGTCTTTCTTGGGATCACTCCAAATTGAAAAGACCAATTTATTTCTCTACTTGTCAGTACTTGTCAGAATTCACCCTGGAAACAGTGGAGAGAAGCGTAACAGAACTCAAGTGGATCCTGTCTCTTGCCATGAAGGCAATAGTCAGGGTGGCATTGTGTGGTGGCAGGCTGCTAGTGGGTCCAGCCTGGAGGAACCTGACTAGAGAGGGTTATGGAGGCTCTCGGCCAGAGTACCTCCCTCCTACTTCCTTACATTCTGGAGTAGGAAGGTATGTTTGGATGAGAAATGAGTGACCTGTTTAATCTTCAAGACATTTATTTGTATATCATCACTACTCTTCTTATTGAAAAAATTCAAAGCCCAAATTGAGTTCCTTTATGAATATTTTCATAAAAATTTATTTGTTCAGAGAAAATTATTTAGCTTTTCTTCTTCCTGGGATGAGGAAGCAGCTAAATACTGACCTCTATATGATAACAATTTAAAAATTGGTTTATTGACAGGCTTCCTTTTTACCAGAAAATGATTTGAGGTAGATAATTTGCATTAAAGTGACTCAGATACTTGGATGTCTTCAAGGCATTTATTGAACATGTATTTTGTCAATGTTACCCTATGTATATCTACTACTTTTATTAATTGAAACTTAAAATGTGCATGTGAAAATTTTCACTTGCTTCAAGGACATGCATAGAAATTAAAGAGGTGAGACCCATTGCTTAGAAATGAATACTTTCCATCTAGTATTTGGATGTAGAAATCAAGTAAATTAAATCAGTGTTAATCTAGAATACATCCGTCAATATATGTGACATTTTTCACTCTGATTTCTCAAAATAATACCTTGTGTTCTTATTTCCTCAGATATATTTGTCCTTGTGCTGATAATACAGCTTGGTGTATGTCTATTCATTCTATTTGCTGATATACCAGAATTATATAGACGTTTGGATGTAAGTCTAATCTTTGGGATATGATGATGCTTTACAGTTATGTAACAGTTTAACTTTAAAAAGCAGATCACAATTTCAATTGACATGATTTTTGACACAAATTATTCTTTTGGGATGGCAGAGCTAAAAAAAATGCTAAATTTATCTATATTTTTTATTTAAACTGGTCAAGAAATAAAATTCTACCCAGTTTTGATTTCATGAGATTAAAGACAGCCTTTAAGTATTGAATACTTTAATTTTGTTTTCTTCTTATTATTTAAGAGACAGGATCTCACTTTGTTGCCCAGTCTGGAGTGCCATGGTGCAATCGTAGTTCACTATAGCCTCAAATTTCTGAGCTCAAGCAATTCTCCCACTTCAGCCTCCCGAGTAGCTAGGACTGCAGAAGTGTGCCATGATGCCCAGCTAATTTTTTAAAAAAAAATTTTTGTAGAGATGAGGGCTTGCTATGTTGCCCAGGCTGGTCTCAAACTCCTGGCCTCAAGCTAGCCTCCTGCCTTGGCCTCCCAACGCGCTAGGCTTACAGGCTTAAGCCACTGCATCTAACCAAATATTTTTATTTTAAAAGATCTCCTATGAGAAAATGTTTTTCTATATTTTCTCTTTCAAATATGAGAGAATTTTTTCCTAATTGCTTCTTTTTTTGAAGTTGTTTAAAACTGTTTTGCCTATAGCTTTTTTTTTGGTTATCATATATTTATGTATTTTTTTACGGCTTTAAAAATGTTTTCTGTGTGTTCATACTTAATGTCTGTAAAACTCACTTTCCAAGAGCCATATTTTTCCTCATAAACTCTCTTATATTTTATAATATTGATACAGCTGTAAAAACCTACAAGATACCAAAAGTTTACATATCCAAGCCAGGGAAAAACATATTTTGATCCCCTTAACCTATCCTACTTTTATTACAATTTAATCACGGCTAAATGATCTTTAGATCAAGAAATGCAATATTGAAGAGATGACTAAAGAAACAGCTCTTTTAATTGAGTGCTTTGTATATCTGGTTGCCTCTCCATCTCAAAGATGAGTCTCATGAGGTCCAACAGTGTATCTTATTCATTCTTGTATTACCAGTGCCTTCCACAAAGAATGTCAAAAAATGACAAAGGAATGACTGACTGATCATTGCGTATCAGACTCCTAAATATAAACAAGCACTTAGAGCATACAGTGCATTCCCAACCAGCAACACCTGCACAAACCCACAGTGACATTTGGCATACTAACTAATATCTTTAGTTTGACATACTAATATGTTTAGCATGAGTCTTCTTATTTTTGTAACTACATCACTGTGGTTAGCAGTGTAATTACCACTGTTGTTAAGTGCCTTCGTGAATTAAATTAAGTATTCATGGAAATAAGTAGGCTTTGCCCACTGGTCTTCTAAGTCAGTTAAAACTTCTTAATCCTACAGAAGTTAAGGATGAGATGTGGTGAGTTGAATGTCACTTTTTAATAGAAGAAGATTCTTACAGAAAGGCTGGGTCCTCTGGTATAACAAAATAGGGAACATATTTAATTTGGAGAGAACCTGGGTAGGGTCATTGCCAGCATGACTGCAAAGGATTCTGCAAAGAATTATTGTTCACTTTTAAAACAATTATTTTTCTTATTATTACATAAAAATATGTGTTCTTTTTAGAAAATGTAGAATGTGCGGGCAAGGAAAATTATAACATTATTCACTATATTCTTCCTTCTTTTACAATTCATATACTATAAATGTGTTGATTAATTTTTAGTTTTTTTTAAAAGGATGGAATCATGTTGTTTTGCAACCTAGAAACTGCTTACTTAAAAATTTATAAATTATTTTAATGGGGAACACATTCATTTGGTTCACAATTCAAATGTTTAAAAAGCCATATAGTGACAATCCCCATCCCATCTTAGATTCCCCGTTACCAGTTCCTCTCCCTGGAGGTAACCAATGACACTAGTTTATTTTACATACTTTGGGACATATTTTGTATATTCTTCTTCCACATTTTTACATAAACAGTAGAAAACTATTATATTTGTTCAGGTCTTCTGAGATGTAGATGACAAGTTGAGTTTAGTTATGCAAGAGATTTGCTGGAGGAAATTCTCGGGGTAGGGGTAAGGGAATAGAAAGCCAGAGGAAGTGGGGAGAGGCATCACACTGTGATGTGGGTTTATCCTCTAAAACGAAGGGAGGGAAGAAGGAGGGCTAGATGTGTAGCATCTCAGACTGCAGTACACTTCTAAGAAAGTCAGGCCAAAGTTGCCCATCAGGAGTTTCTACGTCTCGTAGGAATGAGTCTGATGAGAATCCGTGGTGTCCTCATTTCTTGGCTATGTGCAGCTTATGACTTTAGATATGCTTTACAGTGGATGTGGTGGTGGATTCTGAGCATAACAGTTGGGGTATCCACCATTTATCCTCCCAGCAGCAGAAGATCTGAGTGGAAAATTTTCATGGCTGCTACAACACATACATTGTCCTGCACCTTGCTTCTTTCATATAACAGCATTAATTGTTCCATATCAGTACATACATTTTCCTCATTCTTTTTAATGCTAATATAATATTTTATGTAAATGCATATTATGTATATGTCATATGTATACCATGCTTTATATGTAGTCCCATATTGATAGACATTTAAGATGTTTCCAAGTTTTTATTACAAACAAAGCTGCAATAAAAATATTGTGCATATATCATTTTAGCCATGTACAAGTATATTTCTCAGATAAATTCCTAGAAGTGGATTTGAATTTTTAACTTTGAGAACACTGTCCTCTATGGAACTGTTTCAGTTTTTACTCCCACTAACGTATGAGGCAATGCATAAGTCAGTGCCAGATACAATGGGATGCCCTTGGCACTTTTTCATTCATTAATTCACCCATTGATTCACTCATTCACCATACATATATATCAGGCATGTGCCTGGAAGGGGTTGGGGAAGACACAGAGAAAATGGGCAAAGGGACAGGTCATGACAAGCTTGATTTCAGCTCCATTTGCTCCTTTGGCAAGGGCCCTTGTGAGGGCACACTGTGCAGCTGGATGCACAGTCCTGAGGGTGAAGCCCTGAGCCAGTGCTAAAGGCAGGGCTTGGCTGGGGAGAGACGGGACACCAGGGAGAAGAGGGCAATGCTGCCCAGTTGTGAAGGTTTGACATGGGTACCATCAGGCCTCCTGGGGATAAAGCCACATTCCTGCCTCCCTTTTGAAAACAAAACAAAGCAAGCAAACAAAGAGTGATTTTCCTCTTCTTTTCTAATTGCAAAGTGACCAAAGTTATTTTAGGAAATTTAGAAATCATAGAGAAACACACACACATCACAAGAAGAAAAAAAGATAAAAGAAGAAAAGCAACACTCATAACCCCCCCAAATCATTAGGATCATAAGTATAACCTTTCCGTACTTTTTCTGTGCATACAAGCATAGAAATTTTTTATATATATAAGATATATGTAATATACACACATATATATTACATATGAGATTTATAACCTAGGAAAATATATGCTGTGAACATGTGAGCATGTTTCCAGCATCTGCGTGTCTTCAGACTAACTGTGCTTCATCATCTCCCGCCAGCTGCTCTGCACTCCCGTCCTGTGGAGGGCCTCCATTGTCATCATGCTCAGCTTGAATTTCATTGTGTCCCTTGTGGCCGAGGTAAGTGTGCTGATCTTGGGCTGCTGATCTTGTGTGTGTGCACGCATGTGTGTAGGGGGACTTCTTTGGGACTCTGAAAACAACAACTTTAGCTGACATGGACTCAGCAGTGCAGGGGCTCCCTTCCTTCACAGTATAAGCAATGGTGCCTTCCTCTGATGAGTCCCAAGCAGGACGTTAGTTTTCTCATCTGTCAAGTAGGGCGGGGGAGAATGGAATTATGGTCTCTAAGGTCCTGTTCATTTCTACAATTTCCAAATAAAGACCCAACACAATTTACTTTTTAAAATTGAGATATGATTCACGCACCATAACATTCACCCTTTTAAAGTCCACAATTCAGTAGTGTTTAGTGCACTCACTGAGTTGTACAGCCATTAACGCTACTTAATTGCAGGACATTTTCATCATCGCTAAAGAAATCCTGTACCTACTAGCCGTTGCTCTTCATTGCCCCTTCTGCCTTCTCCTGGGCCTTGGTAATCACTATTCTACTTTCTGACTGTGTGGATTTGACTTTTCTGGACATTTCATATAAGTGAAACCATACAATATGTGGCCTTTTGTGTGTGGCTTCTTTCACTTAACTCATATCATTTTTGCCTTGCGGATGGGAAATAACATTCATAGTGAGCTTTTCCGGCTTTCATTCTCCAGCTTCCATTTGCTCCATTTTCTAGCTTTTATTCTTCAGCTCCCCTGTGCTCCATTTCCTCAGTGAAATGAGCTTGTGCTCCTGCTTTCTTTCTCCACGTGATTCACGCTCTCCCTGCTCAGTACTACCAGACACAATATCCATTCTTCAAAGCCTGTTGGTAGGCAGGGGTGCCCTGAAAAGGCATTTATGAACAAAGGAGAGGTGAGATGCAGAATTCCATCTGTCTCTATTTCTGCTCTGGGATACAGAACTAGAATTATTCCTGCAAATGGAGTGTTCATGGTGAGCTGTGAGAACCTACAGCCTGACTTCCCTGCAGTATTGTGTAGGCAGGACCTCAATGAGCTCTCCCTGCTTACTCCTATGCAGAGTGAAGGCTGCACAGGAGCTGGTGGCAGAACAGGACACAGAATTTCAGTACTGGAACTTCTCTCTATATGCTAAACAAGAGCTTCTCAAACTTGAGTGGGCATCAGAATCACCTGGGAGGCTTATTAAAACACACGTTGCCCAGCCCTACCCGCAGTGTGTCTGATTCAGTAGGCCTGGAAGAAGTGCAAAAGTTAGCATTTCTAACAGGTTGTCAGGGGATTCTGATGAGACTAGTTCAGGGATCACACTTTGAGAAGCAATATGCTAAACCATATGGTCTCTAAAGCAACCAGATTAATAAAAGAGCATTATCACGGGTGTCCTCAGACCCAGTGGCAGAATGATGGTCTTTGCCCTTTAGAGGGGGATCTAGTGTATACATCTTATCCCTGTTCGTGATCACAGGATTCTCTCTGTGTGGTGTATGTTTCCTCCATTTCCGCATATTAAAGTGCTATTCCATCCTCTACAGCACAGCTGTAGTAGTATCCTCTTCATGTATCTTTCCTGATCTCTGGATCAGGTAGGCAAGTAACGACTTAACTAACAGTGGCTTAAATAATAAAGATGTTTATTGACTCAAGAAGAAGACTGAAGGTAGGTGGCTTCAGGACTGGCTTAGTAACTCAGTAGTGTCACTGGGAATCCACACTCTTTCACCTTTCTCTTCTACTCTCCTTCGATGTGGTCTTTCATGTTTGTGCACGTGATTATGGTGTCCAGATAGCTTCCACAGAGCCGGACTTTACATCTGTTTTCAGTGCAGGAAGAAAATGGAAGGAGAGGCCACAGCAAGCCTATTTCCAGCAAGTCTGAACCTTTTCTTGAGAAACAAACTTTTCCTGAAGCTCACCAGCAGACTTCCTTTTATGCTTTATCGATTACACTTGTGTCTCATGGTCATCATGAGTAGAAAAAGATTCTGGGAAAGTGGATCCATGTCAAAAGTTAGACAATTTGGCTTAGACCACTTATTATCATTATTTTTCCCTTTTAGGTGGGAAGGGAAGAGTTGGGAGGGAATGGGCTGTATGGTAATGAAGTATCAAAGTCTTCCTTAATCCTCTAGCAGGAAGTTCTTCCTTTTTCAGCATATTTGCAGTTAAGAGCACAAGCTCGGGGTAATCTACGTGGGTGGGTTCGAATCCTGGCTCCACCACTTTCTTGCTCTCTGACTTTGGGCAAATTATTCCACTTATCTAATCTCTGATCAGCCCTGAAAACAAACAGGTTTGAGCAGGACCTTATCCTTACTATGCCAGTGCTCATGATCGAACCTCCAGCTGAGAGGCATGAGAGGTAGTGTGGATAGCTTTAATTGCCCCCACCTTTAAAACAATTATTGATGTGTTTATATAGGTATGCTTGTATGTATGAGTTATTTGAGTAGCCAGTCAGAAGCGCTCATGTGGCGAAATTTTTTTAAAGAAATGTCTCACTAAGGCTTTCGTTTTTTTCTAGTTGTATTTTAGTCCATTCTCCCACTGCTGTGAACAAATACCTGAAACGGGGTAATTTATGAAGGAAAGAGGTTTAATTGGCTCATGGTTTTGCAGGCTGTACCAGAAGCATGGCTGGAGAGGCCCCAAGAAACTTTCAATCATGGCGGAAAGCAAAGGGGAAGCAGGCAGGTCTTACATGGCCCGAGCAGGAGGAAGAGAGAGAAGGGGAAGGTGCTACACACTTTTAAACAATCAGATCTCATGAGAACTCACTCACTATCACGAAAACAGCAAGAAGGAAATCCATCCCTACGACCCAGTCACCTCCCATCCAGCCCTTCCTGCAACATTGGGGATTATATTTCAGCACGAGATTTGGATGGAAATACAAATTCAGATCATGTCACTAGTTCTGCCTTGTATTTATAATGTGCGGTAACAGGACAGATCACCTCTCTGTAGTTTCCTCTTCCAGAGCAGCAAGGTGATACAGGTCATCAGAGTCCAGAACTAAAAAACACTGAAGGCAAGATGTAGAGATGGAGAGCACCAAAGTTTCTCTCTCTGTGTGTGTGTGTGTGTGGTTTCATCTATTTTGTTTTAAGGTTTGCTAAGGTTTCCTTGAAGTAAGTAAGATTTTAAAACCTTTACTCGATGCTCCTGCCTTATCCCAGCTCTAAGAAGAACTACTGTTTTCACGTCAATTAAGGAGGACAAAAAAACCTTGCTGCAGGAAAGTAGAATAACTCATCTGGCTAAGTTTCCAAGAGGCTGAGACGGTTATATGGATCTTTAACAGCCCCGCAGCCAGCAGATGGTCAGTTATCACAGGAATAATGCAGACTGGCTGTTCTCTATCCTTTCATGGGCAGTGGAACCTAAATGGCAAAAATGGGTAGATTTTAGGAAAACTACTATATCTGGCAAAGTTCCTTATAGAATCTCACAGAATTAACTCTTTCAAATTAGCAAAGATAGACATGAAAATCAGTTCTAATTCTGTGGGACAGTTTCACGTCCCATATTTTTTCTTTGTTTCTTTCACAATAACCTCTAAGATGGTCAATCTTTGTGAGCAAACATGATAAAAGTGGAAAATTAATATGATAACCTCTCATGAATTATAAGTTATAACTTGGGCTCTATTCAAGGCTCACTCTAACTCATGAAATAAAATGGCATTGCAAAATGTTTTCAAAGAGACATGTCTTTTGTAATCTTAATACTGTATTTCAGTGAAGGTGAAGGTTAGAGGCATGTGTGAACAGGACCACAGTGCATAGCCATTTGTTAAATGAGTAGTTCCAAAGGGTAGGCAAAGGGAGAGAGCTATGCCCTGCCCTGCCCTGCATTGTAAAGGGAGTTATATAAGCCTTACAACAAACATAAGGAAGGGATTATTCTAATCACGGAGACATGGATAGAGTAACTAATTTGCCCATAATAGGTGTCAGAACTGGGACCTAAATCCAGATCTGTTCAACTCCAAGACTGGCCCGTGTGAAATTAAATATGCAGTGATATGTCAGGATATATCAAAAACATGTCATACATGGGCCACATCTTTATATAGGGTCAATTGTGTTTAGTATTTAGTAGTAATTTTAATGTCATTTTATATTAAACAAAATATAGATGTGCTATAGAGTGAAACATAGAATTTGAATGATTTTAAATTCAATTTAGATGTGAGATTCAAAAGAAACTTCATTTTTGAGGCAAGCCATTTCAAGTTATGTTCCCAGAGTCTTGAAATGTTGTACCTCTTACTTCTCCCACAGGAGTTACTTAAGTAGAAACGTTTGAGAAACCAATACCTGTCCAATGAAACCACCTTAGATTGGTCCAGTGGTCAAGCTCTTTGTCAAGCTGGATCTAAGCAACCATTGCAGTAGTGACTTATGATGGCCTGTGGAGGGCTGTAGCCTCAAAACACTCAACCCTTGCTTGTAAAAAGTAATTATTTTATTTTGCAGGAGGCTGTTATTGAAAATCGAGCCCTGTGGATGATGATTAAAAGATGTTTCGGCTATCAGTCAAAAAGCCAGTATCGGATATGGCAGAGGGACTTGGCAAATGACCCTAGTTGGCCCCCGCTAAACCAAACCTCCCACTCTGACATGCCGGAGTGTGGCAGAGGAGTGTCTTACAGCAATCCAGTATTTGAGAGCAATGAAGAACAACTCTGAAGGACATGTGATATCCAAGTTGATATTACAGAGAAACAATGACAAAAGGGACCAGTTTCATTGATTTTAAGAAATGAGACTCTTGTAACATCAGCTGGAGTTTTGGGGCTACCTATCAAATCATGGTGACAAACTAAAGTCTGTTTGATAAAATACTGTCTACAGAGAAGAACATTGACCCAGAAGAGTGCTTTCCTCTTGGCTTCTGAAGGTATTAGAGGCATTCAGTGAAGGCAAGAATGGGCCAAGAATTTCTATGGGCCAAGAGACAAGCAGGCTAAAGGGGAAAAATATGTGATCTTTCCTCTTAGGACAGGACAATACTTTCCTTTTTATAAAAATGAGTTGAGGGGAAGTAGTACTGTGTATACTCACGGAGTTGTAATTTTTGAATTTTTACTTCATCGATGGAAAAACTAATGCGTGGGAAACATTACACCAATCTTTACTGTCTGGGTTCCTTTTCTCTGTAGTACTTTTCAGATTTGAGGCTTTTTCTTCTGTTTCTGGCCTTACCCAACATATTGTTAAGGATAAGCTTAGCCTATGCTGCAATAAAAAACAACTCTCAGATATCAGTGCCTTAACACACAAGTGCTTCTTTCGTGATCCAGGTGACACTCTGGAACTGCCATTCTTACAGCAGTGACTGCTTCAACCTGATGGCTCCATCAGCTCGATGCAAGGACTGTGTGTTGACTGTGATGGGGGAAGGAATAGACTGGAGATCACGTGTGGGCTCTTCACTGCCTCACCCCAAAAGTGGCACACATTGCTTTCCCTACTCATATCTCATTAGTCAAGGATTTGGCCAGGGAGCTGGAAAGTGCAGTCTCCTGTGTTTAGGGATGCTTCATGGGCTTATGAGCTGTCACTACACAGGGCCCCATGCTTAGAAGGTCCCCACACTTGGCTTTAACACTCTGCTGTTTCCATCTTAAAATTCTTAATTTTTGAACAGGGGTCCCCATATTTTCATTTTGTACCAGGCCCCACAAATGATAGAGTTGGTCTGGAACGTAGTCCTGGGAAGGAGAGGAAAATAACAGATCAGAAAGCACGAGTGCTGTCCACTACAGCCCACTTTTCCTAACCCCAGTAACTTATCCTATGTTTTAGGAATCTCTCATGTCACATGGCCAACTCCAGAAATTTTCACTCCTCTGCTTTATTATTTTTGAGAAACATTAGTCTCATGCTACAGCATTATATGGCACTATTGATGGGAGTTCTTACACAACTAGTACATTTTTTTTTTAAAGTTTGTGGCTTGAGTTTCCAGAAAACTAAAATTGTCCTTATTTTGTCACTATTACAATTTGGTTATATTTGATTTGTTCAGCACAAGGAAGACTCAGGTTTCTGTTACCTCAGGAGACAACACTGAACTCTAGGAGCACACCTACATATAATATTTTAAGGCAAAAGCAAAATTTGTATTATGAGCATCAAATCCTAGGTGAATGTTCTGATCAGGGGATAAGTGTCCTGGCCCAGGCTGGCTTTGGAACTTATCAATAGCATTTGCAAGCATTCCTTCCCCCTAACTGAGCTCTTGAGCATGGCTGATGGCTCTATGATTGCAGCTGATTCTAGGAACATGGTGTCTCCCAGCCATGAGGGTACCCTGTTACTTCTGGTTTTAAAATAGGGCGTGAAGATATTTTAGTGTTTCAAGACTGCAGAATCACTGTCTTTTTTGGTACAGAAAGAAATGTTTCCTTTTGCAAAGCCAGCCTCAGCAATGATATGGCAGTTCTGAATGTCCTTCTCTAAAAGTGTTTCTCATTTTCCAAAAGTAGAGGGTTGTAGGCAGGGGCAAGCTAGAGATGGTCTGTGACCTAGTCATGAGCAAGATCAGCCTGCACAGTTCATACTTAAATGTGCCCTTTGCTAAGTGCATTCACCTCCACTAACTCACCTGAATGGTACCAATTGTCCCATGACTGAACAAGGAAGGGCTTATCATCTCCACCATACAGATGAGAAAGCTGAGATTCAGTAATGGCAAGAGCAGATCTAGGCCTCAAATACAGATCTTCTGAGCAAACCTTATATTGCTGCCAAATACTTCCAAATTCCAGAGTTCCAGCAGGGCAGGTTGCTTAGTGTGATCTCACAGTCAAGCAAAGAATGGGCAACCCTTTGCTAATACCAGGCCCTCTGTTCAAATGAATGCCAGGCATCCTGCCAGGCCTGGGCTAGAGGTGTATTAAAAACAAAACAAAACAAAACAAAAAAATGATTGTCTGTCTTTCTGAGACTTTGAGTTGCTCTTGCCTTGATCCTAAGTGATTCTATCACTAGCAAAGGCTGGCAGGGAACAGGAAGAAAAGAATCTAGTCCTCCACTAGTCAAGCAGCCATAAAATCTTTGGGAAAAGAGACTCATTTTGAAGACTGTATTCCTGGGATTAACTACATCTTAGAAGCAGTAATTGAAGGAACAGGGAGTGCCCAGCCTGGAAAGAAAACAGTCAGGGGACTGTGAAGGGTTTTCCTGAGAAAGAAGGATCCTACTTGTGCCAGGTGGCATGAGAAGGCAAAATCAGGACAAATGGGTAAAGATCACAGTGGGGATGGCTTCAGGCCATCTGCCCTAACCACTGTCCTAACAGCCAGCACTGATAGCAGTGGAATGTACTCTAGGACATTGGAGGAACAAGTGGCTATTCAAGGGCCAAGTAGAGAAGGAAGTCAAGTATCAGATGAAACTCAATTACCTGCAAGATCTCTTTCAAGCTTGATACACCCAGTGTCTCAGTCTTATGCTGTGATGTGAACCTTTTTTTTTTTTTTTTTTTTTTGAGATGGAGTCTCACTCTGTTGCCCAGGCTAGAGTGCAGTGGCACAATCTCGGCTCACTGCCAGCTCCGCCTCCCGGATTCACACCATTCTCCTGCCTCAGCCTCCCAAGTAGCTGGGACTACAGGTCTGCCACCATGCCCGGCTAATTTTTTGTATTTTTAGTAGAGATGGGGTTTCATCATGTTAGCCAGGGTGGTTTCAATCTCCTGACCTCGTGATCCGCCCGCCTCGGCCTCCCAAAGTGCCGGGATTACAGACATGAGCCACCAGATGTGAACTATTTTCTACTACTACCCACACAGAATACCAGACAGACACTCATGGGAGGATGGGCTCTGGAGGGAGGGCTCCCAGCCTTGTCAGATCCGATTGTGTGGACATATAGACTCAATTGCCCTGTACCTTGAAAGGGGACCCCTAATGGAGATAAGATCCTAGGAAAGAGGGGCAGAGTAGGGGTCCTGATTGTCAGATTGAAGCTGGGGTAATACTTCTGATTTGTGAATTTTCTTAAAGAGAGGTGTTAAAAAACTTTGCATGAAAGAGCGTGGGAGAGTGCCCTAAACTTGAGGGCGGAGCAACCTGTTATCAATACACTTTCTTGAGCAGAGTCTGAAGGAGAAACGAACACAGTCACATAGTCCAAATCATTTGAGACGGTGCCCTGTATGTTCATCTCAAGGCATCTAGCTCTTACCCACAGAGAACCGTGACTCTGGGCTTCCCTCACTAAATATGTCTGTGACATCTGTATCCTTATGTGCTTATGGAAATGTTCACATACACACCTGCAGATGTGATGACTGAAAAAAACGATTATTTATTCAGAGCTTTGTATTTAGTTTATGCTATAATAAATTCAGTTGTTATAAAAATCAGTCTCTCTCTCTGCGGTGGAGTCTTTCATTCTGTCTAATGGTGTGGTTTACTCCAGTAATGTTGAATCAAACAACATCTTTACAAAGTTCCAGGCATTTTCTAACACCACAGATGCTATTATTCTCTGCTTTATACACAGGGCATTAGAGTTTACAAAATACTTTCATCCTTGTTCTCTCATTTAAGCCTCGTTAACAACCTTAGGAGGAAAGAAAGGCAAGGATTACTGTCTCTCTTCTTTTGATGAGGTACAAGGCTCTCCAGATGTCTCAGCAACCAGGACACATGGCCCATGGATGGAGGAGCTGGATTCAGATGCAGGTCCTTTATCAGCGAGATCCCTGCTGTGTCACTCTCCTATGTTGTTTTTCCTGAATGAAAAAAGAAGAGAAAAACCGTAGCATTGAAAAACAAGACGACAGCGAGGCAAATGTCCAATGTAATTGCCATAATGAGCACAGTTTCTTCCAGAAAGAGATTTTGGTGTTTCATGGAAGTTCTCTTGAACCTGACCATCAATCACAGAAAAGGCCAACTCCCACAGCTGAGGGAGGAAAATCATAACACCAGAGCCCTGTGAGCCCATTTCATGTGATTGGATAAAGCTCTGGTTTCTGACTTCAGTCTCCAGAAACAGAAAACTATATCCCTGCTTGATCTTTATTCAGACTTGCTTGGCACAGCTTTTCAGGTTCCTATAGATTTTCTTTTGGCTTTGAACTGTGCTCACTTCTCTATGCATAAACATTTGGAAAACTGCTGCCCTATAACATTCTGTCTGCCCTTTGGTTTCCATTAGACTTGTTAACAATGGCCTTTAAACTTTATTAGTAAAGTGAGTTTCTCCAAAATTAAACAAAGATAAAATTAACAACAAAACACAACTCTCCCGGAGTTGATGAAAGAGCCTTAGGAGTGAGCCACATGGCTTTGTCAAACACTCTGAGCTTGCTCTATCCTCAGGAAGACTGCATTTGCCATCCTCTCTGCCTTGAATGCTGCCCGCCACCAACCCCCTGTTGCCATTCCTGATTCCTTCTCCTTCAGATTTCAGCTCACTTGTCACTTCTTCCAAGAAGCCTTCCCTGACCACTCTGTCTAATGTTGCTCTTGCTCTACTACCGTGGTTTGTTTTCTGCATAATGCCTGTGCCACCCTTCAGATGACCAAGGCTGAACGAGTACTACTTGTTCAAGAACCCATAATGGGGAAATGAATGAGCTGAGTCTATAATCTAGACCTACTGACTTCCAAATCAAGGTTCTTTACATTTTTCACATCTAGCCAGATTCTGCTAATTAAATTAGCTAATCTGTCAGGGAAAAGAATGCAGGATGCTGCAGAGCATTGTCCATGGTTGGATGAAAAGCACTCAAAGAGTCATCCAGACTCTCCCAGCTCTTTTCCTTGCTGTCTTGACTTCGAAGTGTTTCAATGCCAAGAAAAATCTGATAAGTCACTGACCTGTGATAAAGGCTGCACACATACTTACCGTGGACATTCTGCTGAGTTTAAAATTGTGGTTAAAGGGGGTTACACTGCAGAGAGGTCTCACATGTGTTGTACGTATTTCACACTGTACAGTCCTAGGAGGCACCATTCATATTGTGCTGCAAGCCCAGGGTGATGGTTTTGCATCATATCGAGGAAGTTTTGTGGGTAAATGATGGCTTTTACCTTTGTAATTACAAACACATATATGCAATGAAAAGTCCCACCTGGGCCTGCTACAAGCAATTCCTAAGTCCTAGACCCTCTCTTGGCAGTGTCTCTTGTGCAGAACTTCCTCTCCTCTAAGCCCTTGGTTGTCACCACCTGCCTGATTACAAGAGCCTCTTAAGTAGTCTCCCTGACTGAGATCTTTCTTCTATTTTTTCTTCTCGAAGTCTCTATCTATTCTATTGCACAACTCTGATGATGTCATGTCCATGGCCAGAAACCCTTAATGGTCTGAAGTGTCTACCAGATAAAGTACACATTGCTTACTAAGGATTTCAAGTCCTTCTCCACTGGCCACATCTGGTTTCATCTCAGATCTTTTCCCTTATTGCCTTCTCTACTTCAGCAAACTGAATTTCCTATTACTCTCAGCACTCAGTCCTCACTTTCCCACCTCAATAGCTGATATGGTTTGGCTCTGTGTCCCCACCCAAATCTCACCTTGAAGTGTAATCCTCATGTGTCAAGGGTGGGACCACGTAGAGGTAATTGGATCATGGGGGCAGTTTCCCTCATGCTGTTCTTGTGACAGTGAGTGAGTCTCATGAGATCTGATGGTTTTATAAGTGTCTGGCATTTCTCCTGCTGGCACTCACTCCATCGTGCTGCCCTGTGAAGAAGGTGCCTGCAGCTGGGTGCGGTGGCTCATGTCTGTAATCCCAGCACTTTAGGAGGCCAAGGCGGGTGGATCATCTGAAGTCAGGAGTTCAAAACCAGCCTGGCCAATATGGCAAAACCCCGTCTCCACTAAAAATACAAACATTAGCTGGGCATGAAGGCGCCTGTAGTCCCAGATGCTTAGGAGGCTGGGACAGGAGAATTGCTTCAAGCCAGGAGGCAGAGGTTGCAGTGAGCTGAGATCTGCCACTGCACTCCAGCCTGGGCAACAGAGTGAGACTCTGTCTCAAAAAAAAAAAAAAAAGTGCATCCTTTACCTTCTGCCATGATTGTAAGTTTCCTGAGGCCTCCCCAGCAATGTGGAACTGTAAGTCAGCTAAATCCCTTTCTTTTATAAGTTACCCAGTCTCAGGTATTTCTTCATAGCAGTGTGAGAACAAACTACTACAGTAAATTGGTACCGAAATGGTAGGGCGCTACTATAAGGATACCTGAAAATGTGGAAGCAATTTTGGAACTGAGTAACAGGCAGAGGGTGGAACAGTTTGGAGGGCTCAGAAGAAGACAGCAAGATGTGGGAAAGTTTGGAACTTTCTAGAGACCTGTTGAATGGTTGTCACCAAAATGATGATAGTAATATGGACAATGAAGTCCAGGCTGAGGTGGTCTTAGCTGGAGATGAGGAACTTCTTGGGAACTAGAGCAAAGGTGACTCTTGGTATGCTTTAGCAAAGAGACTGGTTGGCATTTTGCCCCTGCCCTAGAGATCTGTGGAGCTTTGAACTTGAGAGAAAAATGATTTAGGATATCTGGCAGAAGAACTGTCTAAGCAGCAAAGCATTCAAGAGAAAGCAGAGTGTAAAATTTTGGAAAATTTGCAGGCTGATGATGCAATAGAAAAGAAAAACCAATTTTCTGGGAAGAAATTCAAGCCTACTACAGCAATTTGCCATAAGTAACAAGGAGCTGAATGTTAATCACCAAGACAATGGGAAAATGTCTCCATGGCATGTCCATGGGGAAAATGTCCTTCATGGCAGCCCCTGCCATCACAGGCCCAGAGGCCTAAGAAGGAAAAATGGTTTCCTGGTCTGGGTTCAGGGCCCCCTTCCTCTGTGCAGCCTCCGGACATGGTGCTCTGATTCCCAGCTGCTTCAGTCCCAGCTGTGGCTAAAAGAGGCCAATGTACAGCTCAGGCTGTTGCTTCAGAAGGTGCAAGCCCCAAACCCTTGCGGCTTACACATGGTATTGGGTCTGTGGGTGCACAGAAGTCAAGAATTAAGGTTTGGGAACCTCCACCTACATTTCAGAGGATGTATGGAAACACCTGGGTGTCCAGGCAGATGTTTGCTGCAGGGGCAGAGCCCCCATGGAGAACCTCTGCTACAGCAGTGTGGAAGGGAAATGTGGGGTTGGAGGCTTCACAAAGAGTCCCCTCTGGGGCACTGTCTGGTGGATCTGCGAGAAGAAGGCCAACATCCTCCAGACCCCAGAAGGGTAGATCCACTGACAACTTGCACTGTGAGCCTGGAAAAGCCACAGGCACTCAACACTAGCCTATGAAAGCAGTCAGGAGGGGGCCTGTACCCTGCAAAGCCACAGGGAGCTTGGGCAGAGCTGCCCAAGGCTGTGGGAGCTCACCTTTTGCATCAGCATGACCTGGATGTGAGACAGGAGCCAAAGGAGATCATTTTGGAATTTTAAGGTTTAATGACTGCCCGACTGGATTTTGGACTTGCATGGGGCCTGTAGCCCCTTTGTCTTGGTCCAATTTCTCCCATTCAGAATGGGTGTATTTACCCAATGCCTGTACCCACATTATATCTAGGAAGTAGCTAATTTGGTTTTGATTTTACAGGCTCGTACCTGGAAGGGACTTGCCTTGTCTTAGGTGAGACTTTGGACTTGAACTTTGGGTTAATGCTGGAATGAATTAAGACTTCGGGGGACCATTGGAAGGGTGTGATTGTGTTTTGAAATGTGAAGACATGAGATTTGGGAGGGCCCAGGGGCAGCATGATGTGGTTTGGCTCTGTGTCCCCACCCAAATCTCACCTTGAAGTGTAATCCCCGTAATCCCCATGTGTTAAGAGTGGGACCAGGTGGAGGTAATTGGATCATGGGGCAGTTCCTGCCATGCTGTTCTCATGATAGTGAGTGAGTCTCACAAAATCTGATGATTTTATACATGTCTGTCATTTCCCCTGCTGCCACTCACTCCATCCTGCTGCCCTGTGAAGAAGGTGCCTGCTTCTCCTTTACCTTCCACCATGATTGTAAGTTTCCTGAGGCCTCCTTAGCGATGCAGAACTGTGAGTCAATTAAACCTCTTTCGTTTATAAATTACCCAGTGTCAGGTATTTCTTCATAGCAGTGTGAGAATGGACTAATGTAATACCTTGGCTCGTGTTTTCTCTTTTGGGGCATCAGTAATTCTTACTTTCATCTTGACACATCCAAATCCCACTCATTTCTCAGTAATAATATCCCATTAGAATACCACCTGACCTGCCAAGCCAGAAAGAAGCTCTCTTTTTCTACACAACCATCACGTTCTACATATCTATCCTTTGTGTGGCATGCAGTTTTGTTGTTGTTGTTGTTGTTGTTTTTGCCTTGCATCATGGTCCTGTAGTGCCTTAACATACCATATCTCCCACCCACCCAACCCCACTTCAACTAGAGAGTACATTCTGTGAGGCTAGGGGCCAGGCCTGAGTTGTCTCATCTTCCCATCCTTCACCTAGCACAGAGCTATGGTTAGGGGCTCGGCAAGCAGCTGTCACATGATTACATAAAAAATGTAATCATTGGGATATTTTGTTGATTTATTTCTCATCCTTTGTCTGTGAACATCTGTTTTTCATCCAGTACACTGAAGCTTAACTCAACAATAGGGCTATGAATAAAAACAACTAGAAGTATAAAGTATAGTGATTTCAATGTTGTGTTTAATAAGTTTGGCTATTTATATAGTGAGGATGTAGAAGTGTGGTGTGGAATTATAAGAGTTAGGTGTGTGCTACAAAGACTATCTCAATGTGTAGAAGACACCACAGGCTTATTTGCATGAGAGTGCAAGGGCCCACATAGGAAGATACTAAACCCCAAAGAAGATAAAAGATAAAGAGTTGAGCCAAACAAACTTGTTGAAACCCAAACATTGGATATAAGGGAAAGCGCAAAGTTTGAGGACAATGGGGTATGAATTTTTCCGTCTGTGGCCTGGTTTCACCCTATCTTTAGGACTCTTGCAAGGACCATTGGAAAAGAAAGCTATGACAAAAAAAGTTATGTAGAGATAGAGACAGACAGACACACACACACATACGTGTATGTGTGTGTGTGTGTGTATACATATATATGAAGCATGCGCAAGAGAGATCCACCCTGTGATCTGTGGTCTGCATGTCAGAGTGTAATAAAAGCAAGGTGGAGAAAATCCCCCTGTGGCCTCCGTCACCTGGCAGTGATGTGACTGTGGGAACACAAGTGGAAGATGTGTGTTTCTTTTTTTTTCTTTCTTCTTTTTTTTGAGGCAGAGTTTTACTCTTATTGCCCAGGCTGGAGGGCAATGGTGCAATCTTGGCTCACTGCAACCTCTGCCGGGTTCAAGCAATTCACCTGCCTCAGCCTCCCGAGTAGCTGGGATTACAGGCACCCACCACCACGCCTGGCTAATTTTGTATTTTTAGTAGAGACGGGGTTTCACCATGTTGGTCAGGCTGGTCTCGAACTCCTGACCTCAGGTGATCCACCCACCTTGGCCTCCCAAAGTGCTGGGATTACAGGCATGAGCCACCACCCAAGAGATGTGTGTTTCTAGTGGCTGATGCTGTCACACACAGAAGTACAGGTGACATAAAGAGTCTTCGCATATCTATAAGCGGCTAAAGGAGAAAGAAAGTGGTTAAGAGAGATAGAGAAGGGCCAAGGATGATACAGGGTATCTGTGCACATCATGGAGGCCTGGGGTCCCCTGCCACCAACCTCAGGGTCAGGCAATGCCCCCAGCAAGCCTGACCATGGAAGCAGCCGTGACAATCTCGAAGCAGTGGCCTGTGGCCACACAGACTGTGAGAGGGAAGGGCATGGTGTCACAGGAGCACAGCACACTGTGCAGCACGTGCGGAGGATCCCTGTGAACCTCTCAATGACTCAGGAGGGACTCCAGAGCAGTGGAGTTTCCAGGGTCCCATTTTTGACTATGGTCCCGGGTTTACATGGCCACGGAAACACAGGTTATAAGATAGGAAAGACATCTCCCCACAAGGTGAATGCCCACTTGGTGAAAGTCCGCACGAGGACGGTCACAGGGAGAATCCTCTCAGAAAGCACCGCAGAGCCTCAGGGCCACCATGTGTTCCTGGTGTGCTCAGGAACTAAACACAATACAAGATGGAGTGACTCCCAGCTGGCTGAGTGCTCTTCCTGAAAGCCGAGCCAGTTTTCTCTTGACCCAGCCCAAGGTTAGCCTTGAGAATTTCATAAAGGCTTAAATAGCCTCAGGAATTCAGTCACAATGCATGACTAATTGGTAACTTGATCTGGGGATAATTTTGTAGGCTTGGATACTCCCTAGATGGTTCCTGGAATCCAGGTGGTCTGGATGCCAAGAGTTATACATGGGAAAATCCAAATCTTTGTGTCTGCCCACATCTCAGTCTCGTGCAGCAGTCAGGGAGCTTCACAGGTGGCCCAGGGCACAGTGGGTGGCTCAAGGCAGCAGGAGTCTAGCTGTACGTAGGCCTGTGTGGGGGCAGAACTGGCCTTGGGGGCATTGGATGCCATGCTAGCCAAAGCCTCAGACTTTGACCAGTGTCCCAAGTCTGACCTTATCATTAGAGGCCACACAGTTCTTCAACAAAGTTCATCTCAAAGGTGACCCTTTTGGGGCAGTGGCATATGGCAGGTTAAAGGTACAAGTTTAGGAATCAGACAGATTTGAGTTCTAATCCAGACTTCTCGGAGTTGCCGTTTTGAGCAAATTAGTCACTATGTCTGTGTCTTGGTTTCCTTCACTGTGAAATAGTAAGAAATACTATATTGATCCCCGACCCCAGTCTCTGTCACAGAGCTCCTAAAACCCTTGTAATTTCCTGAGCAACAAGCATGCCAGGAGAACCTTTTGTTCTAATGTTTAGTCTCTGTTCAGGTTCTGAGAGAGAGCTCCTAACACCCGTGCAGGTATGGGTGACAGGGGAATCCTTTGTTCTAGTATTTGGCTTTTGACCTCAATTCCTAATAAAGAGCTCCTAAATTCCTAGAAATTTCCTGGTGATAGGAACATCTTTTGTTCTAAAGAGGCAACTCTTAGTGGGCTCCTGGATAGGAACTGGCCACCAGAAAGACCAAGCCATAGTTAGAAGCTTGGAGCTTTCAGCCCTACTGTCCACTCACCAGAGAGGAGAGGGGCTGGAAGTGGACCTAATAATTTGTCATGCTTACATGATAAACCCTCCATACAAATGTCTGAACTATGGGGCTCAGAGAGCTTCCAGCTTGGCAAACACATCCACATGCAGGGAGGGTGGTGCGCCCCAACTCCACAGGGACGAAGCTCCTGGACTCGGGACCTTGCCAGACCTTGCCTGTGTATGTCTTCATCTGGCGGTTCATCTGTATCCTTTATTATATTTCTTAATAAACGGGTAAACACAAGTAAAGCATTTCCTGAGTTCTGTGAGTCATCCTAGCAAATTAATCAAACCCATGGAGGGGGTAATGGGACTCCCAGTTTATACCCAGTTGGTCAGAAGCATAGGTGACAACCTACAACTTGCAATGGGTGTGTGAGGTTGGGGCAGTCTTTTGAGACTAAGTCCTTAATCTGTGGGATTTCGTACTATCTCTAGGCAGATAGGGTCAGAATTCAATTGTATCATAGGACATCCAGCTGGTGTCCACTGGAGAACTGCTTGGCTTACATCTGATGTCAAAAGTGTTGTGTTGAGTGGTGTGTGAGAGTAGGGAAAACAATTTGTTTTTTCCTATATCTCCAATTGGCTATTGGTATGAAAATATTATTTATGATCTCATTGATAATAGCAAAAATCAAAGGAGATTAAATGTGGCACATAATTTCTTTTTCTTCATCTCTCAAACTTTAAGGAAGCTTCTTAAGTCTTGGCTTTACACATGATATAGCTATTTATTGTGTCGTGGGAGTCAGTAAAAGAACAAATTGAAGAATGCATGAATGAAGAATGAGTGAAATTAGTGAACATACTATTGACTTCCAGGAATTGAATGCATTTAATTCTATTTTAATGCAATTGTAGTTATCCATGTTTTGCTGTTTGTTTAAATTATGTTTTACTTAGACTGTTTATTCTTATTTTATTTAAATAACATACAGAGCAACCTACCTCTAGCCTTCGTTTGCAGATTTCACTACTTATGCTTTGAATGAGTAAGCTTTCTTTTGCAGCTCTTCTTATCCTATCATCTAACTATCCTGAAGAATGGTTTTTTAAACTGGCAGTTTCTGGATAATTTCCAAGTCTATGAGATCTCCCTTGAGATGCAAAGACCTGTGCAAGACAGCCCAGATTTGGACATATTTGTAGGTTATGTTTAGTTTTGTTGTTTTTTTTTTGTTGTTGTTGTTGTTTTTGCTGTCACGCCATGTGATAGCTTACTTTCTCCATAGAGTAGTCCACAGAAATTCATAGGCTTCTTTTTGGAACATGACTCTCCAACTTGACCCATCATGAAAATCCTCAAGGAGCTTATTAGAAATAAATTCCTGAGCCTGATGAGACATATATTGAATCATAATCTCTAGGATGGGTCTTGGGGAGCTATATCTTTATCAAGCTCTCCAGGTGATCTAACGATGGATCAGGTTTAGAAACCATAGTCCTAAAAGAACAACTTAGATTATTTTCTTTCAAATGTGCTATCTTGCACTTGTCCCTATGGAGACTCATCTACAATTTTTTCTGCCACTCACCCTGCATTGAGAGAACTTTTTGTGGTACATTTCCTTTGTAAATTCTGTTTGTCACTGTGCATTCTCTACCTTACATTACAAAAGCAGTCCCTGGTGAAAGGAAATCCTGCTGACAGACTTCTCTCCCTTGAGGTGCGCCCATTTATCCCTGCTCTTTGTTAGAGCTCTAAGTACTGAACTATTGACAAAACAATCACCTGGTGGCTGAGTTCAATGGGGAAAAGCATTGCCTTGATCCATGGACAAAAACACAGAATGGGGTTTAGTTACTTGTATTCTTCAAATTAGTTGAAAATTTATGCAAAAACTCCACAATATTTTTTTTTTCAGACGGAGTCTCACTCTGTCACCCAGGCTAGAGGGCAGTGGCGCAATCTTGGCTTACTGCAACCTCTGCCTCCCGGGTTTAATCAATTCTCTGCAGCCTCCCAAGTAGCTAGGATCACAGGCCCCTGTCACCATGCCCAGCTAATTATTGTATTTTTAATAGAGATGGGGTTTCACCATCGTGGCCAGGCTGGTCTTGGACTCCTGACCTCGTGATACACCTGCTTCAGCCTCCCAAAGTGCTAGAATTACAGGCTTGAGCCACTGCGCCCAGCCAAAAACTCCAGTTTCTGAGATACACAAACTAATCCACCCTCCAGATAAGGGAGAAAAAGAATAACTGATCCTGGACCATTCTCTGGTTTGAATATTTTAAGGAAATCCTCATCTCGCCAACTAGGTTAGATCATCTGCAATTGAGTAGTAACAAATCAATTTGCCTTGCAACATCAGTTTAGAGATTATTCTCCTTAAGATAGATCTTGTGATCTGACTCATTCTGGAAGGCCTCTGTCCATTCTCCATCTTTGTAACCACCGCACCTCATCACAGCTGTTTTCTTCCTTCTTTTGAATCCACAAATACAGTTGAACTCCTGTTCTTTCAGTAGCCACAATAGTTTCGGAAATGCTATTGTCCTCTGCCCAGCACCATTTACTGGTCTCAATGGTTGTGAGCGTTTTTAGCAGCAGTGAGGGGAGAAGAGGTGGGAGTTTAGTCTTCACCAAGGCATTGACCCGACTATACTGGGGCACGTGTTTGGCCACTGGTCTGACGCAGGTTGGTGACTTAACTGACAAACACAGTTAACACTGGACAGTCATTATCACTGGCACTTACTGTTGTCATCAGACAAGTCATACAACTGGGAGTTTGTGTGGATTTGTTCTTGTGGCCAGTCATGTGGAAGGCCTTCCAGAATATTAAATTAAGCAGACATTCTGTTCCCCTGCAGCTAATACACAGAGCACGGGGGCAACATGGCATATGCTTTGACAAGCTTAAAATCCTTGACAATAGTGAACAGATTTCCAGGAACAGAAGGTGACCTGTTGAATTATCCTGGAACAATTCTAACACCTTAAGGAGAAAGAATGGTCAGACCAAACTCAGCATGGTTACATGGACAATTTTAAATTAAGGAGAAAAGACACTGTAGATTTTGAAGTGAGAGAATTGAGTAAGAGGTGAGAGAATGGGACGAGGCAGGTGGTTTTCCTCCCCAGAGAAAGAACGGGTTGTCGGTACCTACAGATGTAGTGAGTACAAACATTAGACACGCTTAGTTCTTTTCTTAAGTTGAGTTCCCCAGAAGCAGACAGCAAGACCTGGATTTATATATAAATATTTTATGAAGGAAGTGTTTCCAGGAGAAGCTGGTAAGAGAGTGAAAGACAATAAAAGTAAGAATGTGATTTTGGGCAGAGTCTTTATTTCAATCTGATGCTGCCAGGGAGCTTTGGAATGAAAACCTTTCTTCACTCTGTCCCAACTATTGGCAAGGAAACAGCTTCAGACTTCTGCCTTGTCAGTCACTGGCTCAGGGCTGCCTGGGCAGGGTGGGGGTGGGGAGCAAACTTCGGGTCTTTGGTAGAACAGTCAAAGGGGCTCAAGGGCAACCCTCTGAAAAGAGTCAGAAGAATAGGTCATTAGAAGAAAAGCACACAAATGCCTGTGAAGGCATCAAAGACATCCAAGAAGATCTGAGCAGACTGCAGACGGTATCTGTCTCTGAGTAACACAGGAAAAGCATATTCCCTAGGTAGGAAAAGAGTCATTTATTCATCACACAATATTTTTTGAGCACCTAATTATATATGCCTCTCCCTATGCTAAGTGCTTGGATTTGAAGATGAATGGCTCTTTTCCTTGAATGTATTAAGAACTATTCTTTACTTACTTATCAAATGTTATGGGAATAGTCCCCAAAGCAAAGTTGTTGGACTCAAGGACAGTGAAGGTCACCCAACCTGGGACATATGAAGCATTTGGAAAATAGAATTGACTCCATGAGAAAGTAAATCAATTAATATTTATTCGATGACTGAAAAGGCAGTTTTCTAAAAAATCCAAAACACAAGGAATTAAATTTTAAAAATTGCTTCAATAATCCACAACATATTAACAGTATTTGCAACACATCAAGCCTCATTTTACAATAAAAACTAAGCAGAGCACAGAATTTAGTTCAAGTTCTGGTTCTTGACTCCCATGAGGGGCATGGAAGAGCTAGCTCAGCTACCTAAGCTTGTGTCTCTGCCCCTGTGGAGGGTAGCTACAGCCATTCCTAGAATAAGAGTAGAAATGAGGTTGGGTGTGGTGGCTCATGCCTGTAATCCCGGCACTCTGGGAGGCCGAGATGGGTGGATCCCCTGAAGTCAGGAATTTGAGACCAGCCTGGCCAACATGGTGAAACTCATTTTAGTCTCTACTAAAACTACACAAATTAGCCAGGTGTGGTGGCAGGCGCCTGTAATCCCAGCTACTCAGGAGGCTGAAGTCGGAGAATCTCTGGAACCCAGGAGGCAGAGGTTGTAGTGAGCCGACATTGCCCCACTGCACTCCAGCCTGGATGACAGAACAAGACTCCATCTCAAAAAAAAAAAAAAAAAAAAAAAAAAAAGAGTAGTGATGAGAGATCCAGAGAAAACTTACTAGCAGAGGTGGAGGAGTTGTTTCTTCATTGATGAGGAGTCAGCTATGAGTGGGTAAAAGGGAATATTTTTTTCTTTAGCTTCACCTGCTGTAATCAGAAGTCCATGGGCTGCCTTGCTTTCTAACAGAAGCTGCATATATTCCAAGAATCAATCTCTTTCAAACTTCCTAACTTCTGGCAACAGATTCTGAATCATCCAGTTTCTATCAGAGGAATTCACCTCAAAGGATCCTGCTAAACAATGAATGGTCATACCTATATGGGTGGTACCTATGTATATCAGTAACAAGCCACGCCTGAACCTGGCAAGGAGAGATGAGCTTGCCAAAGATTCTTTTGTAAAATAGGACACAAGAGCAGCTGGAGGAAAAGTAGAGAATACGTAAGACTTGGACTTGAGAGCATGGCTCCTGTAGACTGAGCTCAAGGGCAAGGTTTGTACCTTATTCGTCTATGGATCCTCATTTTAGGACCTAGAATAGTGTTTTGCATATGGCAGTTTTCCACAGTTATGGGCAGAATTTAACTGAGGAGAGCCGAATAAGTTGAAGAACTACTATTGAACCTCCAGTGGTTGCTTTTTGGCGATAATATAAAATCTAATTCCCTCTCCATACTGTTCAGACTTCCATTCCCTGGCTCCAATTTAGTCTAGTTGTCTTAGAGGTTTTTCTTCCGGGGATCTTCTTCACAAATAGAAGAAGACAGAGTGCACATTCTAAGTTGTCATTTTTTTATGGTAAGTGCACATTTTAGTTCATACTTGAAATATATTTCTGAATTTGAATAATATCTGGGTGGATCACCTGAGGTCGGGAGTTCAAGACCAGCCTGATCAACATGGAGAAACCCCGTCTCTACTAAAAATACAAAATTAGCCGGGCTTGGTGGTGCATGCCTCTAATCCCAGCTACTCGGGAGGCTGAGACAGGAGAATCGCTTGAACCCGGGAGGCGGAGGTTGCGGTGAGCTGAGATCGCGCCATTGCACTCCAGCCTGAGCAACAAGAGCGAGACTCCGTCTCAAAAATAATATCTTTAAAACTGAGATTTATTTTGCTTTTCAAATTTTTGTTCGCTTTTTGAAAAAAGTATGGGTCAAGAAAATAAAATGTTCCATGAGTGAAATGATTTAATAATTGCCCAAATTTTACCTTTTGCCTCTGTTTTCATTACATTAAAATTCATTTATTAGTTGCTATAATGTTATTATTAATTAAAATGTATACATTTTTCTCCTTTAGTAAAAAATATCTTAGTATAGTTGAAAAGTATTGATTACTTCTTTATGTACAGTAATCTTTATTTTTTATTTTTAAAAATCATTTTTACTGGCATGATTACGTATACAAAATTCAATAAAAGACCATTTTACTCTCTATGTTTATTTTCTGGCCATTGCTATTAATTCTATCTCACACTTAAAAAATTTATCACCTAGACAAGGGGGACATAAAGAACGATCTTCTCTGCGTGCCAAATATGTCCACAACTTCGCTTTGCTTCCTGGGATCCTGTGACTCTGTTGGCTGTGCACACTGCCCTGGGCACTCTGGCTTCCTTCCTGGCCACCAGCTTCGGGGTTTTGACACCTGATATTCCTTTTACTCAGAACCCTCTTTGCCCAGGTAGCCATGTGCCCCTAGCTCCTCCGGTCTTTGTAGTGTCTTCCCTGACCACCTTGTTATTATTAATATTTTTACAAAGTATTTGTATCTTTATTCAATTCAATTAAAACACACCTGCCAGGTATATTATATAACATTCACTATATACATATGACTTAGGCAATGCAAGATAATTCTAGATGTGTTGATTACTCAAATATGAGTAAAACATGAATGGTGTCAGGGATGCCCAGCAAATGCTCCTTTTCACATTGGGTGCCTGCGTTTCCATGGTATGGTTAGAGGGATAGCTATGAGCCACGACATGGATTCCCAGTAAACTTTTGTGGGAGAAGGAGGGAAAATGACAATCTAGCATAGATGAACAGTCTCCTAAATGCAAATAGAATACTTGACAGTTACGTTTTTAAAAAAGTTCTTCCATCATGTTAATGACACAAAAATTCTCTTTTTTGAAGACAACACCACCACATTTTGTTTGGGTCTGTGGGGACAGGTGGGGGGAATGCTTTTAAAATTGGTATAATTATTCCTAAAACAGCAACGGGCTGGGTGTGGTGGCTCACGCCTGTAATCTCAGCACTTTGCGAGGCTGAGGTGGGCAGATCATTTGAGGTCAGGAGTTCGAAACCAGCCTGGCCAAGATGGTGAAAGCCCATCTCTACTAAAAGTACAAAAATTAGCTGGGCGTGCTGGTGGGTGCCTGTAATCTCAGCTACTTGGGAGGCTAAAGCAGGAGAATCGCTTGAGCCCGGGAAGTGGAGGTTGCAGTGAGCAGAGATTATGCCATTGCACTCCAGCCTGGGGGACAGGGCAAGACTCTGTCTCAAACAAACAAACAAAAACCAAAAAAGTATGTCTTTGGTGAAGCCTCAGTACCCATTCAGTTCACTGTAATAATCTGTAATAAAACAGGACTGTAGTACAGTGCTGGGCCTTGATTTCAACAAGCGGACCACCTTACTTAACATGCAACTCCACATGCCCTTCCACTCCCCACTCCCCTCACTTCTGACCCCCACCAGCATTGCCTCTTCACTTTCTTAACCTGATTTCTCTCCGTGGCAATATCACTATCTGTCAAACTGTGGGTTTTACTTATTTACTTGCTTTGTCAGTCAGTTCCTGCTCCCTGAGAAGTCAACATTATCTGCTTTGATTACTGCTGTCCTCTCAACACCTTGAACAACGTCTAATAGGAAGTAAGTCCTCAATACATATTTGTTCAGGAAATTAATGAAGAAGCATAAAATGAAGAGACCTTTGAACCATCTAAAGCGTAAGGCAAATTTGACCTAAGTAAAATGTTCTGCACATGTGCATATGTGCATTATTCTTGGGGAGGGGGGAACCTGCACATTTCCTCAGATTCTCAAAGTTCTCTGTGACCCCAAGCAGGTAAATAAGCTGCTAGGCTAGACACACTTGTTAGTCCTTTGAGCAGCTAGACTCCATGCCTCTCTCTCTCTTCTAGCCTTTTCTCTGGCCACCCTCTCTGGCCCATTCCATTATTCCTCCTATAGTGGAGTCGTGTTCTTTTATTCTTTGTTTACCAGCCTATCAACTCATTAACGGCAGGATTGTCATCTGATTCATTTCTGCCCACCCCCGCTTCAGTCTTAACACTAGTCTGATAAGCTTAGAAGCTGTTTGTTAAATGAATTAACAGGACAAGTAGAGGTTAAGGAATAATACAGGAAGCCTCCATTTACAGTTTGGGGTTTTTGTATGTGTGTACCCAGACAAGATATAATTTTTTTTCTACTCATCTAAGGCTTGCTACATATCACCAAATTCTCAATTTGCTGATCTCCAAAATAGAAATTTGAGGTAGGGATTGGGAAAGGTTACAATCATACTTTCACCTTGAACAGCCCATATTTGTGTTTCTAAAGGGAGCTCCTTCTATTTTGTTCAAATCTGTAGAGAATGTGTGAGTTATTTTGATTCAGTGGTGGTTAGGGGTGAAAGAAGCAAGGGTTGGTTGGCTCTGCTTATGAATAGACTGAGTGCAATTCAAGAGAGGGCATGTGATTCCATATTTCAGATAGAGGACAAGTCGTGTATCAAAATTCAAGTATTTTCTTAACCTTTGTGGTTCTTGCAAAGAGCTTCTGGCATTGTCACTCAGTCAGGTATCACAGGCCACTCCATACCCTGTTACCAGATGTAGAACCTCTCAGATTTCCACAGATGCTCTTTATTTCTGCAGTCATGCAGGCCTTCATCACTTCTGCCATGTGTGGCAGTCACCTCTGCTTGATTTTGTTCTCTCACCAGACTCACCAGGGTCCCTTGAGATCTAGGCTGATCTATCTTCACCCGTCTCTCAGATGATCATTGGGGCTGTGTGGCTAGGTAACCCCAAACCCACTTTCTATTCTTCCTGCCACACTGGTGGACCACACTCCTAGTCAACTTTGCAAGTAGATGTGGTCACCTAACTGAGTTCTAATCAATCTTCTAGCGTAAGTTCAGAGTAACTCTTCCAGGATGAGTCCATGGAAACTTTTATTTACTATCCTCCATGAAGTCCCCCTTTTATATAATCAAGGCAGCCTTGGAAGCCACGTGTTGAAAATCGTGGAGCCACAGATGGAAGGAGCCTGGATCTCCAAGATAGAATGTTCCAGTAGGACTCCATTTAATGGGTGGAGAAAAATATCAAGAGAGCTTGAAAATCTAGAGAAGACATCCAACTCTGGATAAGTTTCCCCCTTACTTCATGGGAAAATAGGGGATGAGAATCTTGTCTCTGCCAAATAGGAGGGTGAGGTATGGTTCTAACCAACCTCACCACGTCCATTGTGTCTTCGTCGAATAAGCCTCGTGGACTAGAGGTGGTGACACGCCCTCTCTCCCTAATCCATGTCATCCCCATGTCCCTCACCTCTCTAGCATTCAGAGCAGAGTTCTAGAGAAAATACAGCAGCAGAGCAGGTAGCCTTTCTTGGTGGAAATACGCTGGACTGTGAGGCAGGGAACCGGGCTTGAGCCCTGGATCTGCTGTTATCTCACTGTGCCTCTTTAAGCAAAATTTGCCCATCTTTTTGTTTTCTGGAAATTGTGTTCCAGGTCAGGGATTGTGGAAGAAGATGAAACACTCTCTCAGTCATTTACTTCCTCTGGCTTCACTCTGATAGGAAAGCTGTTCAGCAGTCTATGACTTTGCTTCTTGAGGGATGATCAGTTCTTCAGGCCCCTGTGTGAAGTGGACATTTTACTCTTTGTTCCTTTCTGAGTCTTTCATTGGTCTCTTCCCTCCCTTCTTGTCTCTGAAGGCCCCTGCTCTTATGCTGTATGGTGCTGACAGCTTCCTTCTTATTAGGACAGAGTTTGCCTTTGTGGTTCATCAGGATGCAGTTTTGCTTCTAGTCATAGGCAACAGGGAATCTGACCTCTTCAGATGGAAAAGATCTAAAGAATTCCAGCTTAAGTTATGACCTCCTGAACTCTATGGCTAGAAATACTAGTGTGATCCGGAAGAGGCCACTGCCACCATTCCTGAGGCTGCTTCTCCCAGAAGAGATGCCCTCAACCCTCCAGCACGTGTATAAACATAAAAGGTGACTCTTCCACCCATGTGCCTACAAGGGACTGGCTAAGCCATTGAGGCATGACTGGATCTTCACGTTGCTTATGGGGGTCTGGCATTAGGTCCTATAAGCTATAATGTCTGTTGCAGACCTTCCAGGAGGCAGGGTTTAATGCCATGTGATTACTTTCTTCACAGAGCTTGTCCTCTGGTGGCTAAAGCAATGCTCAGTACTTAAAGACCCTCGAGATTATCTAATACAAACTTTGCCCTGATGAATCCATCATATGGTAAATGGGCCCAATGTCAGCATTCACATCTCTGGGACCTGGAAGCTCAGTGCCTCCAAGACATTTATGAGCATTGGGATTATTCAAAGACTTTAATTTGAAGTGGGTATTTTGTACTTGTACAGGGCAAAGAGTGTTGGTTCCTCAGTGGGAAGGAGCTGAGGCCTTGGGTCTTGGCCGGTGGACAGACAAGAGTCCAGCTCGCCATGGTTGACAAGCTCTTCTTGAGCACACCTTTGTTTGCATCTCCATCATAATTATTACTCATCACTTCCCATCTTTCTAGTCTCAAGTCTTACTTTTATTCCCCTTAATGCCCCGAATAGGTGCTCCTTTCCCACCTCGCTTGACCCTTTCCACACCTTCTGCTCCCAGCCTAGACTGTGCTCACCAGATGCCACTATCCCCCATTCTTTCTATCTGTTAACTTCTGCTTATCTTTGAGATGTCAGAATAAATGTCACTTCCTTTGGGAACCTGTTTGTATTCCATTAAATCTGAGTTTAGTATATTTCCCAATTAAGAGGCTGCTTAGTTATCTGTCATTCCCAAGTAACTATAAACTCTCTCAGGATAGGGGCTCTTTCCTTTACACCATTGTATTCGAGGGCCTAGCACAATGTCTGGAACATCTGTTTTCCAGTACATAATTGTTGAGTAAAAGTGGAATGGAGTCAAGACCAGTGCTATGTATATCTTTGGACTATATGTAACAGAAAACCCAAGCAAGAGTGGCTTTATGAGAATGTTTAATTGTGTATTTAATGTGGTGTTTAGGGGTAGGTAGGTCCATGAATCAGTGGTGTTATAGGCATATAACTTCTTTTGTCCTTTTCTCACCGTAATTTTCATGGTGATTTGCATCCTCCTCACCACCTAAAGATGGCTACCATGCTCCAAGCATTGCATTTTCATGGATCACTTTCAAAGAAAGGCAGAAAGGGGAAGACAGAAAAAAATGTTCTTCTCTCTGTTTCATCAACAAGATAACCTTTCCCACAAGACCATGTCTTTCTCTTCTATTTCATTGTTTAGAACTGGGCCACACGCCGACCCATAGACAAATCATTGACTCATCTTGGTGCTTTTAGCTGAAGTCATGCTGCACAAAGTTGGGGTTCTTTCAGCAAGAAATACAAGTAAATAGCGGATGGGTAAGAAGTGAATGATAGCCACCACTCGTGTCTTTAATGAAGTTTTACTAAAATCCAGAACTCCTTTCTTCAAATATGCATTTTACCTTAGATTGGTACTACTTACAAGGCAACATTCACACCGGCACATTATACTTCAGTATGGGTACCTCGGGAGCCTCTGGCATGAAGAGCTCTAGTTGTCTTCCTGTTTATTCTCATCAGCCACTTTCTCCTGGCCAGAGAGCACGTTGATCTCTCCTGAACACCAAGTTGGACACTTATGCCTGCTCAAGGCAATCAGTGTCTATTTCAGTCAGCAGAAACAGCCAAGTATCATCCCTAATAGTTTTCATTCCCAGCAAATTTTCTTCCATAGTCAAAGTGCAAGGATACAATAAGAGCCAATAAAATGACAAAAGTTTTCATCACAAACAAATTAACTGACTCTGGAATGGATCACAGTATACCTATTTTCTAATCAAAATATCAAATTCAGTGGTGTTGAAATTTGGGCTATATCCTTAATCCTCGGACTTTCTAGCATCTCTTCCCTCCACATACTTTGCTCATTTGAAAACTTTTGTAAACTCTAAAGAGAAAATGAAAAGAATCAAGTTATTAATATAGTTTACTTTTTAAAGCCTCTTTCTTCTTGGTTAGTGTAATGATTATGATGATGATTATTTCTCTCTTAGTGACTGTGGTGGGTGCTATCGTTGGCTTTTTATGACTATCATCTTAAATCTTTATATTACTGTATAGTTATTATTGACATTTTATGTACTAGAAACTGAAATTCCAGATTTTAAGTGATTTGTCCAGGGTCTTCAGTGAAGCACGGATTAGAACTCAGATTTTTCTAATTCCAAAATGATTCCTACATTCTCTATCATGAGCCTACCTCCCTTCCTTCAATTCTCATTGTCACCCCCAATATGTTCATTACTTTTTCAAAGTCTGCAGGGTTTTTATACATCTCTCACTGGCTAATCCTTTTATCTTAGGTTTTTAGCAAAGTGACTATTCTCATTCCTTGGCTGAGACATTTATGGATCGCATACAAAATGATTTCTCCTTCTAGTTTGCCAACTTCTTCCCCCGTCATTCCTCAGGTCTTGAGGCACTCATATCTAGCTCAATAAACAAACACTAGGAAAAAAACCCACAATAACCAGATTAACAGACCAATCCTGTTCCTGAGAAGATTTTCTCTCTTTCCTTTGTTAGTCTAATAGGCAAGGTGTGTACTAAGAGATTTTAAAAGCGCCTGGGAAGAGCAATCACAAGTTGTGACGATTCCAAGTTCACAGAAGCCCAAGGGATTTTGACATTTCTCCAAGGAGTTAGCCAGAAGAGATCCTCGCCGGTTGAGTTCAGATGGAAGAGAACAGTAAGAAGGACCATCGGGCTTTGCTCAACCAGGGAGAGGAGGATGAACTGGTGAGTCTTCCCTTTATTTTATTAGTCTTCTCAAAGAGCCCAAGGCGGTGAGTATGGGCTACAGCTGAATTAGAAAATAGAGTGTAGCATTTATGCTTCAGGCTTTAGGACCTTGAAAGGTTTCAGTCTGGTAAGGTTCCTTAAGGGCTGCAAAGCACCATTTTATTGTGGGGAAACCTGCAGGGGCTGAGAAACTTGTGACCTCTGGATGATAGAATTCTTGCCATCTTCATATGAACCTGTGATGTTTCCTCGCACATTTACAGTATTTGCAGAGCCCCGCATGGTGCTCAGTGGGGTGTCTCCCCCTTATTATCTGGATTGCTATGTGATGGAACAAACTCTATTGAAAACAAGAACTCTTTTTTATTCTCGTGCTTTGGGTATGTATGCATAACCTAGGCTTAGGGGGCTCTGGGCTGAAGTCATGCTTTTTATAAGCGCAGAGAGAAGTTTTAAGCATCAATTACTAAAGAAGGAGTAGAATGTGGCCTGGGATTTTTAACACATATTTTAAACATTTCTCATGTCTCCAATTTTTTCCCCACTCTTGTTTTCATCAAACACACACACACACACACACACACATTTAAAAATAATAATTAAAAAGTTGAAAACTATAGTGTTTATTTGGTGCTGAGGTGTTTATATTTATGATTTTATATAATCCTCAGACCTCAGTGATGAAAGAACTAATCCTATTTAATTGAAAAGAAATCTGAGACCAGGGAGGTTAAATAACTTGCCCAAGGTCATTAGCCTGCAAGGGACAGGCTGGGAATCCAGCCGACTCCTTCTCCACATCCTGTGCTGTTCACCATACAACAGTGGCTCCAGCTAGACAATGAAGAAAGGAGACAGAGACAGACAGGGGAAGGGTCAGAGTGAGGGCACATTTGGGGGCCCCAAAGAACTTGGAGAACATGGTTTGTAGATTAGAATGATGTCAGTTTCCTGGCTGGCATCCTGGTTCCCTGTGAGATCTGGGGCAAATCCATACCGGCTCTCCCTCCACCTATCCCTGTTTGCTACTCTAAGGAAAACATATGATTTCATCTACATCTATGTTGTTCAATAAGGCAGCCATGGGCCACGTGTAGTTTCTGAGCACTAGAAAAGTAGCTAGTCCACACAAAATATGCTTTATGTGTAAAATACGCACCAGATTTTGAAGAATTTAGTAAAAAAAAGTAAAACATCTTATTAATAATTTTTATATTGTTTACACATTGAAATGACAATATTTTAGATAGCTTAGGTAAAAATTTCACCTGCTTCTCTTTACATCTTTAATGTGGCTGCTAGGAACGTTAATATTAAGAAGGCAGCTCATATTTGTGGCTTGCATTATTGTAGCACGCTAAGCTTGACAATAGCACAGCACTTTAAAATCTTCAGAATTAAAGCTTTTAAAGAATGAAAATCTATTCACCTGTGTTCACTGCTGAACAATTCTGTTAGCTCTGATGTTTTCAACATGTAGATAAGAGTGCATGAAAAATTACATTGCTCTTTATTCTTCTCTAACTAGTTGCTTTATTTGTAAAGTTTATAGCCTGATACTTTAATTCTCTCACTCACAAACAGGACATTGGTATCATAGGATTAAATAATGAGCCAGGTGCCCCAGTTTTCTTCATTTTTGCAGGTGATCAAACCCTTTTACAGACACTCACCAGAAATGTCTATTAGGAATCCAAGTAAGCTTAACTCATTGTGGGGAAGGGGAGATGGCTCTAGATTTCTTTTTCAGAATTCTGGGGCGTAGAGCACAGATGCAAATCCTATTCTGGTTGATCAGGTAATCCACAGACTCCGCTAGGCCTGAGGGAGCTGGGGTGACCGAACTGTGGAAGCTGTGACTTAGCTCCAGGCAATTGCTGAACTGATCTTGCAATTGCTAGCCTTTTAGAAGGAAGCCGGATGGGGAACAACACATACTGGGGCCTATCAGAAGGTGGGAGATGGGAGAAGGGAGAGCATCAGGAAGAATAGCTAATGGATGCTGGGCTTAACACCTAGGTGATGGGTCAATCTGTGTGGCAAACCACTATGGCACACTTTTACCTAAGTATCAAACCTGCACATCCTGCGCATGTACCCCTGAACTTAAAATAAAAGTTGGAAATTAAAAAAAGAAAAGAGACCCCTGGCCAGGCATGGTGGCTCATGCCTGTAATCCCAGCACTTTGGGAGGCTAAGGTGGGAAGATCTCTTGAGGCCAGAAGTTCAAGACCAGTCTGGTTAACATAGCAAAAGCCTGTTTTTCTTATAAATAAAAGAAAAGAGAACCTAGAGATCTCCCTTGTCCCTTCTACCATGTGAGGGCACAGAGAAAAGATGGCAGTCTATGCACCAGAAGGAGGGTCCTCATCAGACACTGGATCTGCCAGCACCTTGATCTTGGACTTCCCAGACTCTAGAAATAGATGTTTTTAAATCTAAAAGGTAAAAAATAAATAAATCGAGGGAAGCCAGAAATCTGACTTTTTATGTGATGTAGCCTGATGATAAATTTTGAAAACAAATTCATCTTTTGAAAACAATCAGTAGGTCAAAGTAAACCTGGGCATGGTTTAGTCCCAGCCTTGGGGGCTGTCGCTCTCTGATGTTGACAGCCTCGCCCCACTTGCTCTTCCTTCCCCGAAGATTCCCTGTGGCCCGGTCTAACTTCTACTCGCATTCATTATTTCAAGTGAACAATCCGTTGTGATCGTGAGAGTCACTGTGGTAAAAATTAGAGACAGTCGAGGCAAATAATGAACTCCTTCAATCAAACACCCATGAAGAGCCTAAGTGGATGGAGGGGCGATGCTGTGAGATTATGCAAGCTCAGTCTTGCGTGATTCTGCTGAGCTCAGCATGGAGATAAAGCCTTGCACTGGCCTCTAGAGCTGAACCCTGTTATCATTCCCATCTCCTGTTCTCATCCTGGTAGTGCTTACTGTCCTGGGCATGGTGCGGTACTAGGTGCTTGACACACAGGTTTTCATTTTACCCAAAACTTTACAACAGCCCTGCAATCAATATTCTCACTGTACAGGTCTTTATTGTTTTTTCCAACCTACTCCCATCCACTTCCCACCCTCCTCACTACTATCTAGCTCTAATAGGTTCCTTTTCTTCACCTGCCTTTTTCCTAAAAATCTGCCCTGCCCAGGTGTTTCCCTCAGCCTCTCCCTTTGCAGTCAGTTTTTCTTGTCTTCTCCAGAGGTCTCAGGACCCATAGCTTCACTAAGAGCCCACAGGAGCCTTCAAAACATAAGACCCGAAATAAATCTGAAGCCTCCAGGTTATATAGCTCCATACTTAATGGAATGGGATTTGGCTTCAGGCTGACCTGGGTTGAATTCTAGTTCTGTTAGGCAAGTTATTTGACCTCTCTAATACCTACCATTTGGGATTGTGGTGAGGATTAAATGAGGTAATACAGCTTTTCTAAACATATCTTCTGCAGTAGGTATTATATAAGAAGTTTCCCTGTTCTCCTTCCCTATCAGGTTTGAGAAATACTGGGTGAAACGGGTACACAGGTAACAGCAGGGCTTCTCAAATCTTGAGTATATTTGTCTTGGTCTGCTTTGTGCTGCTGTAACAGAAGACCACAGACTGGGTGATTCATAAAGAAAATAAATTTATTTATTATTGTTCTGGAGGCTGGGAAGTTCAAGGTCAAGGGACCACACCTGGTGAGGGCCTTCTTGCTGTGTCATTCCATGGTGGAAGGTAAAAGGGCAAGAGAGCACGAGAGAGCAGGAGAGTAAGAGGGGTCCCAACTTGCTTTTATAATGAGCCCACTTTGCAATAACTAACCCACTAGGGTGAAAACAACATTCACAAGGGCAGAGACTTGTAATCTAATTACCTCTTATTCGCCCCACCTCCCAGCGCAAGAACCTTGGAGAACACATTCAAACCATATCTATATTATGTTTTTTTGTGATCTCTTAAGGGGGCATTACAGTGCACTATATAGCACTATGTATGCGTGTGTGTGTGTGTGTGTGTGTGTGTGTGTGTGTCATGGTCTTACTCTGCCACACAGGCTGGAGTGCAGTGGTGTGATCATAGCTCACTGCAGCCTCAATCTCCCAGGCACAAGCAATCCTCCTGCCTCAGCCTCCCATATAGCTGGGACCAAAGGCATGCGCTACAACAGCTGGTTAATTTTTTAAAAATTTCAGTAGAGACGAGGTCTCCCTACGTTTTCCAGGCTGGTCTCAAACTCCTGGGCTCAAGTGATGTTCCTGCCTCGAACTCCTAAAATGCTGGGATTATAGGCATGAGCCACCTCACCCAGCCACAATGCACCTTATTTCCCACACTTATGCACCCATGGAATCTTTCCTCTCTCTCTCTCTGTGTGTGTGTGTGTGTGTGTGTGTGCAAATACATGCACAGATTATCTCCTGACCACTGGAACCTCCATAGGAAGGCTGGAACGTTCTCAATGACCGATAGGTATTATTTTATCATTTTACCCTGCTGGGAGGAAAAATAATCATGACGGCTCTTCTCAGCCTGGTTTGTCTGGAGGCACACTGTGTGCATATCAGCCTCTGTTTCAGCAGCTCCCGTGACCACAGGCTGCATTTGCTTTCTGAAGATGACTTTGATTCTGACCCCACTGGAGCCACAAGTGCTGCTTCATTCATATCAGTTGCAAAGCCCAGCAATTCCATCTGTGTTCCCCTTCTGCACAGACACCCACCAACAAAATGTCAAAATTACACATCACAGCAGCCCCAGAAGGCAAAATGGCTGCTTGGTGTGGACAAAACAGAACTGACAAAGGTGCATTTTGCTTCGAAGTAATTTTCTTCTGCTGAACAGTGGCAGAGCCCTGGACTCTGAGAGAGCAAACCTGGGCTTTAGTCTAGGCTCAGCTGCTAATCATGTGGTTGTGGACACCTCTTTGGCCTTGACTCTTTACCTAAGAACAATACCACTAGCTCTCCTGACTCACAAGTTTTGTGAGGGCCACATGCGAGATATGGAAAGGGCTATGAAAAATAAGTGGTTCATTTATGTACAAGGGATCAAGAGTTACAAAGTGCAAAAATAATTAGAAAATGCAGGAATACATATGTTAAGTGAGATTGGTGTTGAGGATATGTTCTCTTTTTTCTGGTTAAGATGTAAAGAATGATCATTGTTTGAGGCTATCATTGAGAAAACAAGTAATATGTGATGAGTTGTTAAAAAAAAAATCAAGAATTGCCTGGGCGCGGTGGCTCACGCCTGTAATCCCAGCACTTTGAGAGGCCGAGGCAGGTGGATCACCTGAGGTCAGGAGTTTGAGACCAGGCTGGCCAACATGACAAAATCCCATCTCTACTAAAAATAAAAGAAAAAAAATTAGCTGGGCATGGTGGCAGCTGCCTGTAATCCCAGCTACTTGGGAGGCTAAGGCAGGAGATCGCTTGAACCTGGGAGGCAGAGGTTGCAGTGAGCCGAGATCACGCCATTGCAGTCCAGCCTGGGCAATGGAGTGAGACTCTATCTCAAAAAAATAAGAAAAAGAAAAATCAGGAATTTTAAACATGTAGATTATTTTACATATACAATGTAATGTATCTTACATACACAAGGTTGTCCTCCAATAAAGAACTTCCCCTCAAAAAAACCACTCAAAGGATTAAAACTGAAAAGTAAAAATTGAAACTGAAAGTCAGCCCTGTTGGCTCTCTCCTGTTTTCAGTCAACATGTATATTATCAGGTTGAATGAGGTAAAGGTAAGCTTATCAATCTTCAACTGACACCTAGCTATAAGGGAAGAACAACAATATAGGTGACAGAATCAAGATTCAAAAATTTGTCTAGGCTGGATTGTAGGTGAGAAATTGGCAAGATGCAATGTAACAGACCTCATTATTGAGTTTTTGTTTTAAGTTATTTTCAAAAAACAAGGTGAGGGTATCAGTGACTTGGGTTTGGTAGTTGTACATGAAAAAGTAATTGAAGTGCTTTATTTGATGTGCTGAATTTTATTTGCCAATGTGATGTAGCTATAAAAAATTAGCCCTGGAATGCCTTAGTAAAAGCCTGTTCTTCAGAATAGAAGAAATAAATAAAAGTTCTGCCATAATCTGTATTTTTTTAGGAAAAATCTAGGAAGTTACATTTAATTCTAAAACTCATACTTAGAGAGAAATTTCAAGAAGTATAGTGTATTTGGAGGAATATCTGCATATCGTAAGTAAGAACTGTTTAAAAGAAATTAGAAACAGTTTCCCAAAGAACAGTCATAATGTTTGTCTTCCAAGAGTTGAGAGGCTGCTGTGGAGAACAAAAGTAGGGGTTGGTAGATTCCAGCCATATTTATTTTCCTTATGGCAGAACTTCCCCCTTTTTTTTTTTTTTTTTTTTTTTTGAGGTGGAGTCTTGCCCAGGCTGGAGTGAAATGGCACGATCTCGGCTCACTGCAACGTCTGCCTCCCAGGTTCAAGCGATTTTCCTGCCTCAGTCTACTGAGTAGTTGGGACTACAGGAGCACACCACCACACCCAGCTAATTTTTGTATTTCTAGTAGAGACAGGGTTTCACCATGTTGTCCAGGCTGGTCTGAATCCCCTGACCTCGTGATCTGCCTGCCTCAGCCTCCCAAAGTGCTGATTACAGGTGTGAGCCACCGCACCTGCCAGAACTTCCTAATCATCTGTGGTGGCAGAAACTTAACATGACACCCCTGTGATCACCGTTCCTGTTGTATAATCCCCTCTAGCTGAGTGTGGGCAGAACCTGTAAATATGAGAAGCTAGGACTCCTATTATTATATTATGTTCTATGGAAAAAGGGACTTTACAGGTATAATCCACATGAACTCAATGGAGTTAATAAAAATGGAGATTGGGTACACCTGACCTAATCAGGTGACTCATTAAAAGAGACTGGGCCTTTCCTGAAGTCAGAGATAGTTAAAGCACGAGAGAGGTCTGATGCAAGGGAGGTTCTACGTTGCATTTTTGAAGATGGAAGATGCCCTGTGGTAAGGAGTGGTTGCTAAGACTGAGAGTCGCTTCCAGCTGACTACCAGCAAGAGAATGGGGGCCCCCCATCTTAAGGCCGCAAGGAACCGAATTCTGCCAACAACCATATGAGTGTGAAGAGGTCTCTTAGCTCCAGAAGGAGCACAGCTCAGGTGACGCCTTGAGTTTAGTCTTGTAAGACGCTCAGCATAGGACCCAGCTAACTGAATACCCAACCCATAAAAACTGAGACAGTAAATCTGTGTTGTATTAAGACACTGAGTTTGCTATGCAGCAACAGAAAACTAATACACCATCACAGCTGTCCAACAAGAGAGTATGCAGCCCTGTAAGGCAACGAAAAGCCCCTCTTAAGCAGACGATAGATGCTCATCTGCAAAGAACACTGTATAGCTGTTTTTTCCTAGAGAGAAATTTGAACCAAATAATCTCTGAGACTCCCTCCCTGGTTAACAATGCTCTTATTTTACAAATGACTTTTAACCGAACTTGCCATGTTGTTCCATGCCCTTGATCTAGGGCAAATTCTGTTTTCAGAAATTGTTCTTGCTACTTGGGCCAGGCATCTCATCATCTTTTGACCCACACTTACAGCTCTCTGCTGTTAGCCTCACCAAACAAAGGTCCTTAGTTGCACTTTCACTTGCAGGAGGACTATATGTTAGCACTCTTGTTATGGTAGTGCCAGCTGAAATTATGGGAATACCTGTAGCCAAGAGTGGGATATGTTCATCTCTTTTGTATTGGGTTTCGAATCACACTGCTAGATAGTGAAAAGTTTTTCTTACTCCAGACTGAATGATTTAGTATTTATTTTGAACATACATTTCCAAGACTGTTTTTGTTCTACAAATAATTTATAAATGTTAATACTTATTTTAGTAAATAATAATGCCTATTTCATAGGGTTGTGGTGAGAATTAAATAACACCTAATAAGTACTCAGAAGGATTTTATCATCAAATACACTCAATTAGTTCTTATTGTCAAATATAGATAAAAGTAAAAGGGATTCAAGATATCATATCTTATTAGTTTCTAACAATAACCCTAGACAATAGTGACTGTTATTATTCTCATCTGTGGAGGAGGAAATTAAGGCATCAGAAGTAAAGTGGGTTGCCAAAGTCTTATATATGGTTACGTGGTAGAGGTATGATTTGAACTTGGTTTTCCCATGCCATATCCTCAGCTTTTAACTGCTGCACCAAACTACTTCTGATGCATTTTACAAGCAGTCACATTTTTCACACGAAAAATCTGAAGTTCAGCAAGTTTAAATCACAGCTGGTAAATAGTGGAGCAAAGGGCAGAAGTGAGAGCTTCTAGAAGGCAACAGGGTGGGGTATAAAGAAAAGAGGTTCTGGTGTCAGACCTGGAAGGGAAGCCTGGCTCTAAGTTGCGATTTATGGCAATAACCTCTGTGAAAAAGCGCATGCATATTTCACTGCTATTCCTAATCCAGACTGCTTCCTTTGTATTCTGGGCCTAGAAAAAGACTGTTAGGGCTGTGGTACCTCTTTCAGAATTCTATAGGAAACAAAAATGTAAAGGAACACCACTGCTTAGACAGAATACAAATCAAGCCTGTGTGAAGATGGACACAATTTCTGTGCTATTCAACTCAACTAACAGGTGGCAGATCTGGGTTCCTGGCCTCATGGAACACAGGCTGTTTCTATTACCGGTCTTGATCCAGTATATTGCAACTAAAAGCTGAAATAGTCACCTCTTTCCTCCTGTGACTGAACCTACTATAAAATCACCTGTTATCATTGACTGAGCTGCTTTTTCTCTCAACACCTTACACCTCTCTTTAAGCCGCATTGTTTTTCCAGGTGTATGCTATTAATATTCCCCTAAGTACAGAGATGGAAACTGAGATTAGAGAAGTTAAATCCTCAGCTCACAGGTAATAGGTGGCAAAACTCACTTTACTACAAGGAACCATGTATAACGGGTTTGAGATTCAGACACTTTCATCCCATTTCCAGTATCTTTACATTAACACCACCTCTGGATACTATTAATTTTCCTTTTATGGTACAAACATGTTCCTGGCTCTCTCCTCTACCCTGCATTTCTCAGTGGATTTTACTGGGGGCGTGTAAATATTCAGAAAAAATCTGAGTGACTCTGACTACATCAGAAGAATAATCATTTATACAATCTAATTTTCCTCTCAATTAGTTGGTCAAAATAAATACATATACTGTGTGACATAATTTGGCTGTGTCCCCACCCAAATCTTATCTCAAATTGTCTTGAACTCCTGGGCTCAAACGATCCTCCCATCTTGGCCTCCCAAAGTGCTGGGATTACAGCATGAGCCACCATGCTTGGCCTCTTCAGAGACCTTTTAATCAACTGAAACTTTTAATTTTCTTTACTTTTAAAATTCATTTCTATATATTTTTAAAAAACTTAGAGACAGTAGAGACAGGGTCTCACTGTTGCCTGAGTGGAAGTGGTGCAATTATGGCTCACTAAAGCCCTGAACTCCTGGGCTCAAGCGATCCTCCCACCTCTGCCTCCTGAGGAACTGGGACAACAGGTGTGCACCACCATTGCTGGCTAATTAAAAAAAAAATTGTAGAGACAGCGTATTTCTATGTTGCTCAGGCTGGTCTTGAACTCCTGGCCTCAAGCAATCCTCCAGCCTCAGCTTCCCAAAGCACTGGGATTACAGGTGTGAGACACTGTGCCCAGCCAGAAGCTTTTAATTTTAACAAAGTCAAGTACATTTGTTTTGTCTTTCTTTTTATTTTCTGTTTAAGAAACATTTGCCTACTTGAGGTTCATAGAATAATTCATCCTATGGTTTCTTTCAGATGATTTATTGTTTCAGTTGTCACATTTACATATTTGTGCCATCTCAAATGAATTTTTGTATATGGTACAAACCAGTGGGGTGGGGCGGTGGGGGGATTGTACTCATTTATTTTCCAGTGCTATTCGTTTTGCTCTGGCACTGTTTGTTGAGCAAATCACCCTTTCCCACACAGATTGCAGTGGCTCCTTTCTTGCAAGTGAAGAAATCATATGTTTGAGTCTCTTTTTGGACTTTGTTTTGTTGCTCTGTTTGTTTATACTTGTGTGTATACCTCATTTTCTTAATTACTGTGGCTTTGTGGTAAGCCTTCACTTCTGGTGGCATAATTCTTCCACATTTATTCGTTTCAAAAATTGTCTTGACTATCCTACATCCTTTGCATTTCCATTCCAATTTTAGAACCAAGTTGTCAATTACCACACACACACACACACACACACACACACAAGTCTGAAGAGATTTTAAATTGGATTACTAATGGCTAATCCCCAAACTTAATACAGCTCTTCGTTTATTTAGGTCTTTACTTTCTCTTGGCGATGATATGTACTTTTCAGTTTAGATGTCTTGTACAACTTTGTTAGAATTATTACAAGGTAATCAATTTCTTTCTTTGAAGGTATTATAAATGGTATTTAATTAATTTTCAAATTGTTTGTTACTAATATATACAAACACAATTGGTTTTCCTATATTGACCTGGTATCCAGCAATCTGAATAAATTCACTTATTAACTCTTATACTTTGTATATTCTTTTGGATATTTTTCCACATTATCTACACATAGAGTTTAGTTCTTGTTTTCAATTGTTATTCCCCTCCCTTCCCCTCCCCTCCCCTCCCCTTCCCTTTCCTTCCCTTCCCTCTTTCTTTCTCTATTTCTTGCGTTGCACTGGTTAAGACTTCTAGTACTGTACTGATAAATATTAGTAGTGATTGTTGACAATCTCATTTTGGTTGTAACTTAAGTGGGAAAATATTCACTATTTCATCATTACACATGATGTTGCTTAAAGATGTTCTCATCTATTTTTAACTTGTTGAGAATTTTTTAAATCATGTATTGGTGTAGAATTGTATAAGTCTTTTTCTCTATCTATTGAGATGGCCTTCTGAGTTTCCTTCTGAATATTGAAGTGCATGGAATGGCAAAGTACATTGACTGATTTTTAAATCCTTGCATTTCTAGGACAAACATTATTTGGTAGTGATGTACTAAACTTTTAATATATCATTGATTTAGTTAGATAATCTATTTTAGAATTATTTTATCTATGTTCATGACAGGGCTTAGCCTGCAATTTTCCTTGCTTGCAACATATTTATCAGAGTTTGGTGTCTGAGTATGCTGGCTTCATAAAACAAATTGGGAGAATTTTCATCTCTTCTACTTATAAAGAGGTTTGTAAAAGAATAGTATCATTTCTATCTTAAATATTTCAAAGGAATCACAAGTTCTCTGGGCTTGACGATTTCTTTGCAGGGAGCTTTTAAATTGCATATTAATTTTCTGTAATAAACACAAAATATTCGTATTTATTGATGAGTTTATCAATGTTATTAATCTTTTCAGGGTACCAATTTGACTTTGCTGTTTCTCTCTATTGTGTTGTATTTCTACTTTCTGTCTTATTTCTGCACTCATCTTTATAATCTTTTCCTTACTTTTTTGGGGTTTAATTTGCTTTTGTTTCTATAACTTCTTGAATTGGAAGCTTAGTTTATTGATTTCAAAACTTTTTCTCTTTACTAAGATTTGCAGCTAAAGCTGTAAATGTCTATGTAAGGATTATCTTCATTGCATTCCATGAATGTTTATTTCTCAATTTTCATTTTCATTCAGTTCGAATGATTTCCTAATATTTATTGTAATTTTTTATTTGACTTACCTGTGTTATTTCAAAATATGTTGTTTACTTTCCAAATATTTGGGAATTTTTAAGTTATTCTGTTTTTAATTTCTAGTTTAATTGTAATGTCATCATACTTTATGTCTCAGAATGTGCTCAGTTTAGGTAAGTATTCTATGTGTACTTGAAAACTATTTGAATTCTGCAGTTGTTGGCTGTAATTTTCTGTATTTGTCAATTAGATCAATGTAGCTAGTGGAGGTGTTCAGACTTCCTGCATTCCTACTGAGTGTTTTGTCTGCTTATTCTGCTGGTTATTGAGAGGGGGGATGTGCTAAAATCTCCAATGATGAGAGTAGATTTAAATTCTATCAATTTTTCTTTATAATTTTTAAAACTATGTTTTTTAGATGTGCAAAAATTTGGGATTGTTATGTCCTCCTGTTGAATTGATCTTTTAGCTTATGAAATATCCTTCCTTTGCTCTCATAGTATTTTTTCCTTAACTATCCTTAAAGAAATATAATTTGTGTGATAGTAATACAGCGATATCAGCTTTCTTCCACTGTTTGCCCAGTATACTTTCCCCTTCTTTTCCTTTTTAACCTATCCACTTCTTTATGTTTAAAGTGTGTCTCTTGTAAATAGTATACGATAGGTCTTTTATTATCTAGTCTAATAATCTTTGCTTTTAATCATAGCATTAAGGCCACATGCATTTAATGCAATTACTAATATAGTTGGGTTAAATTTCATAATGTTGCTTCTTGTTTCCCATTTATTCTACTTGTTCTTTGTTCTTTTCTCCATTTAACATTGTATCACAGTATGCTCCAGGTTTCTACATCACAGTATGCTCCATTCACAACTTACTGAACCATTAGCTATCATTTGGTTTTTCCAGTGTTTTTGCTATTACAGATAATGCTGCACTGAACGTTGTATATGCAAAACTTTCTCATTTAGATATTATTTCATTAGGGCATATTTTCAAATGAAGAATTACTGATTCAAAGAGTAGAAATATCTTTACAATTCTTGATACAATTTGCCACCTTACTTTTCCTAAAAAATTATTCCAGTTCACAAGGCTATTAGCACTATATAGCTGTAGTGCTTTCATTGCAGTCTTACTAGCATTGTGAGTTTGTTTTTTAATTTAAAAACATTGTATAGAAGAGAACTGAAGGGGTACCAGAATTATGATTTTCATTGCCATTACTGTATACAAATAAACAGAAAAAGAGAAAGTTATTTATGAATGAGCTCATTTCATGTACAAGCTAGACTAAAATTCCAAATTGTCCTGCTTCTATTTTTGCACACATTTTGACTTTGGCAGTAAGCTTCTGTAAATAACTCGGTAAAAGAATGTATATTTATGACATAATATATAAAGTGGCATATACATTTTACTTGGTCCTAATAAAACTATAATTCACAAATAAAACTAAAGCAGGTTTATAGAATCAGAGGGAACAGAAAGAGAAAGAGGAGAACCAATAGAAAACATGCTTAAAAGCAGGGTGAATGCATATTTCTAACTTAAACCTTATTTGAATAATCTCAAAATAGAGTGGCTGCCTCATTGAACTTAATGAACTTTTTTCTCAGGTGGATGATAGTGTTGAGGGTCAATGGAAAAAATCTTAAGCCAAGAGATGTTTTATAGCATGATCTAAACTGGCATAAAATGCAGGATGTTCCCGCATCAAAAGTGCTCTAGACACTTAGTAAAAACTAAGTTTCTAAACATGATAGTCCTGTGATCTGGACCTGAAAATTCAGAGTTCAGTCATATTTTTAAAAAGCACAAAAACAACAATAGCAGAACCTAAAATAATAGTATAGTAGAGATATTATTCATAATCAGCATCCCTCAGGGGCTTCAAAATGCACTGAAAATTTAGCTTTTCAAATTTAAAAAACAATGCTATGAAACATCACTGTACAAGTTGGGAACTAGGAATTGGCCTTCAATAAGCAAATCTATTGTTTGGCAATTTTTCCTTCTAGAATCAAATCTCAAATCTTTATTCAGTTTATGACAAATATTGACTAACCTACTAGTGAGAGTCCAAATATTTTAGCATATTACTATCAGGGTAAATAAATATAAGCTGCTTTTTGAAAGTCTTTCATATCCACGAGTAATTCCTTAATTTACATCAACATACTGTTTTAGAAAATAGTACATTTATTCATACTTTCCGTCGTCCTCAATCATGTTATTATAAGACAAAGCTGAATGGATAAAGCTAGATGTATGAGTGTAGATCACATCTGTCATGATTTTATCATCTTCCTACAATAAATTCATATTGTAGGAATTTTAAAATATTAGGTATTTTAAACATAACAATGTTTAAAATAACTAATGCCTAAAGAAAATAAATCTGCCTCAAAACATGAAGTATTTTATAAAAATCTGAGGTGACTCTTATGAATATATAGAAGCAAATAAATCTGCCCTTTCCATACTCTTTCTGTTTAATGTTTTAGTTCCATATACCAGGGTAGTAAAATAAGTCCTTCTTTTTTGATTTGATCAGTGGACAGCTGCAAGCAGTCAACTTGATTTAACCACCTATAACCAGATTTGTCTCCCAGCCAACATTCTTTCATCTCAAGTTTGGTTTATTGAAAGAAAATAATATGTTTATGTGAAGAAAAGAAAAATAGAGCGATCTTTTAAATTTATTCTCCAGGAGGTGTTTGGTTACCGGGACCACAATGTACGGAAAGCCTTCTGCCTTGTCGCATCCGTGCTGACCTGTGGGGGCCTTCTGCTGGTGTTCTACTGGAGACCCCAGTGGAGAGTGTGGGCCAACTGCATCCCATGCCCCTTGCAAGAAGCAGACACTGTTTTGCTGAGGACAACAGTGCGTGCCTTTCTGTTTTCTATTTTGAAAGCCATGATCGTGTCTTCTGTATTGCCTCTGTGGCATAACTCTGTGGCTGGTATTATATTTCAGAAGGTAGATTTCCTCTATTTAAAGAGTTTCCATAGATCAAAACAGGAGAAAATACGGCAAAATTACCTCTGCAATCCATTTGCTATCTCTCATTTTGACCCAGGAAGGAAGAGCATTTCTTCTGCTTCAGCTTGGGGAAATTTCGACCCCATCAGGTTAACAGGGAGTGCTCTTAGCCATTACATGAGCAGTGGCTGTCAGTGTTACAGCGTTTAGAGACCATAACATGGGAATGGTCATTCAGTTTTTCAAAAATATGTATTTTGGAGGATATTACACATTTTAAGCACCTAGATGTCACTTTAATATAGCTAGAAACTATTTTCTGGATAGAAAGCTTTCCTGAAAAGTATTATCTTTCTTTTTATTTTCTAGCACAGTGGTTATCAAATTTCAGTGCATATCAGAATCATCTGGAGGGCTCATTGAAACAAGGATGCTGGCCCCACCCAGAGTTTTTAATTCAGTAGGTCTGAAGTGGGGCTGAGAATTTGCATTTCTACTAAGTTCTGAGATAAAGCTGATGCGCTTGTTTGGGTCAAAGTTTTGTACCACTTGGTAGGTATTTGGTTGATTGAGCACCTTACTGAATAACACTTGAGAATTTCATGAACTGGATTGTCTTTTCCAGGACGAATTTCAAAGATATATGAGGAAGAAGGTATTCTGCCTCTACTTATCCACACTGAAGTTTCCTGTAAGCAAGAAGTGGGAAGAATCCCTGGTGGCTGACCGCCACTCTGTCATAAACCAAGCCTTAATAAAGCCAGAATTAAAAGTAAGTTACTTGAAGGGTATGGTGTTATGCATGTTTACAGAGAAAGCATAAAATAACTGTTTATTAAATGAAAGTTCCGAATATCACACTTTTGGAATGGGAATGACAGCTATGTATCAAAGAAAGTGAGACTGGCTGGGCATGGTCGTTCACGTCTGTAATCCCGGCACTTTTGGGAGGCCAATGTGGGCGGATCCCTTGAGCCCAGGAGTTTGAGACCAGCCTGGGAAACATGGCAAAACCTCATCTCTATTAAAAAAATAAAAACAAAAAATGAGCTGAGTGTGGTGGTGCTTGCCTGTAGTCCCAGCTACTCAGGAGGTTGAGGCAGGAGGATCGATTGAACCTGGGAGGTCAAGGCTACAGTGAGTGGTCATCACGCCACTGCACTCCAGCCTGGGTGACAGAGTGAGACCCTGTCTGAAAGAAAGAAAGAAAGAAAGAAAGAAAGAAAGAAAGAAAGAAAGAAAGAAAGAAAGAAAGAAGGAAAGCAAGTGAGACCCACAAGGGGATCTGCATCCTGCATTGGACACCACTCCCTCTCCCAGTGAGCTTTATGCTGTGAATGACACCTGCTCTATCACATTTGCAATCGTAGCTGCGGTGCATGGAAGTGCAGAAAATCAGGTATGTTTGGAACGACCTGGAGAAGCGGTTTCAGAAAGTTGGGTAAGTACAATGTTTTGTCACCCCTTGGTCAGGATATAGGGGAAAAACACTGATTTGTTGAGTGCTATGAACTGAAGTGTGGTTCCTATCCTGAATACATCCTAGGTTGCTAGAAGACAGCAATTCCTGCTCTGACATCCATCAGACATTTGGATTGGGTCTGACCAGTGAAGAGCAAGAGGTCAGGTAGGACTTATTATATGCCTTAAGAGTAAACTCTGCCAGCAGAAAATGAAGTATCAAATCAGTTATCATCAGTGCATTGTTGGCATAATGCTTCATCAGCTTGTTATAGTCCAAGTTCATTTACTGGCAGCGGAGATATCCTAAATTGTTCTTTTCTTAGGCAAACTTATTTTTACAAAGACCAAAAGAACAATGCAATCATATAAAATTTGATCTTTTATCTCAGGCTTGTAGAGCAATCATCTTTGTGTTGTTTTTTTATTTTTCCTTTCTTAAAAAAATCTTGAGTCATTCCCTAAATGTCAGCTTAGTAATCTTCCAAATCCTGGGAGAGACAGAATGACAATACTTTGATTGCATTTTATTCTGAAGAAACAGCCCTGGAGATGAGGATTTTGCTTGCTCGGTTAGTTGTGTTATTCACCACTATATCTGCAGTACCTAGAACAGTGCCTGATTCTTTGGTAGGAGCTCAATACATAATTCTAGAGTAAATGAGTAAGTTAATATATTCATTGATTTGTTAAATAACAAATAGGTACTTTGCAAGGAACTAAGGATCTAAAGACAAAGGTTTAGTCATTGTCCCAGAGACACGGACTAGTCAGAAAGAGAGGCATAAATGGTGGCACAATCATGAGATTGGTACCTATAGATGCACATAAATTAGGAAATGCTTATGCTATTATTAACTCACAGAGATACAGAGTCCCTGCTTTCTTCAGCTATTATTTGAAATGATGAACCCTGGCAAATCTGAAAGGAAATCATTACAAGTCTTCCCCAGAATCTTATAATCACCTTTATTTCTCACCCATTTTTAGAGAGAGTGTCTGCTTAACCTTTACAGTCGGCCAGAAACACCTATTCTCAAGCTAAGAAGTAATCAGATACTTTAAAATATAGGTTTTAAGCTCCACCCTCATAATTCTGATAATTCTGTAGGAGCAAGGGGTACTTAGAAGATACCCATTTTTAGCAAGCAACCCCCATAATTCTCACACACACCAAGTCTAAGAGTTACTGATCTGTTGTTTATAAGTTTTTCCTCTATCAGACACTGTGAAAAATGAACCAGACATCTGGACTAGGACAATATTGCAAAATGCCTTAGAAATGGTATTATTATGTAAGATTTCAGATGTAATGCTCAAAACATTGTCACAAAAAAGTTTTTAGAGTTATTAAAATATATTGGTTTAATAGCACTAAATACAAGGCATGTAAAGGATTTATCTAGGACATTTAAGAATTCTAGTTGATAGATGTAGACACACTCTGCCTAGGTAACCACTTCCACAGGAAAGATTTCCTGTCAGTGCAGCTACCTCATGTTTTTTTCTTATTTATCAAGCACCAAACTTCAGTAAACATTGTACATAATCAAATTTAAATCTGATCCATGACTGGGCGCAGTGGCTCACACCTGTAATCCCAGCACTTTGGGAGGCCAAGGCGGGTGGTTCACCTGAGGTCAAGAGTTCAAGACCAGCCTGGCCAACATGGTGAAACTCCGTCTTTACTAAAAATACAAAAGTTAGCCAGGCGTGGTGGCCTGTACCTGTAGTCCCAGCTACTCAGGAGGCTGAGGCAGGAGAATTGCTTGGACCCGGGAGGCGGAGGTTGCAGAGAGCTGAGATCATGCCACTGTACTTTAGCCTGGGCAACAGAGTGAGACTCCGTCACAAAAAAAAATCTGATCCACACAATATAGAACTTGACAATCTAATAAGCAAGACAAAGAGTATCATTTTCCAAATATGAAGAATGGAGCAGATAATCTACTTATAAACATGGTCATATTTATGTTATTTGGGGAGTGAAAAGAGAATAAGTAGAATATGGAAGATTTTTTCATTTCATTTTTTAGGGTAAGACCAAGGCCTTTAAAAAACTAAGTGTGATGGATGGTTGAGTAATATCTTACCAATTTCCTAGTGAATTTGAGCTTGCTTTCATTAAAAAGCAAGTGCATAAGATGAGAAATGAACGGGGATACACAAGAATCTCTGATGATGAAAAGCTATAGAGTTTACATGCAAACTTTTTCTATGGGCTCCCTAGCAGCTGGGTAGAGAGAGAAAATGCAGATTTACATAGTTCTCACTTTTCAGTAGCGAAAGCATATCCAAACATCAGGAGAAATAACTTTACCCCGGAGAGAAATTGTGAGAAGGGATCAGAAAGAGAGCAAGTAAATTGTCCCAGGAGTTCCATGTTCCTTAGCTTCACCCGTCATGAACTGAACTCAAACTTCCATATTAGTGCCTGTCCTAGGCAGGTCAAAAGACATTCAAGGTAATTCTTTTATATCACAAAAGTGAGCCCATAAGGGAAAAATAAAAATAAAAAACCTACCTGATTCCTCAACTAGTCAAGTAGTCTTCCTATTAAGATTATTTATCAGTTGAGCATCTCTTCACCTTATTTTTCACTCAGCCCACCCACCCTGCTTCTGTCCCTTTTGTTTAGGCTGCAGAAAATAAAAGGAGTAAATGACTTCCTGGCAGCAGAAATGGAAGGACCCTCTCCCAGCCCCCCTGCACCACCACCACCACCACCACACACACACACACATGCACACACACACACTTGAGGTTAAGTCCAGACCAATCACCTTGCTGGTGACCTAGCTCTCAGGAAGAAAAAAAGCTTTGATAGACAGGGTTTGCTGGTTTCTATGGTAGGAATATTCCATCCATGGCCAACTTAAGCCACCAAGGTGACATCACTGAATGCAAAGCTGGGAAGAGAGGCTCCCCGTTGATTTAGTGATTCTGCAAGGCCAAATTTAATTCTCAATGTTTACCACAGCATTGAGAGAAAAGGCATGCTTGTCAGCACCAGAGGAAAGGAATCCGAGTGACAGACAGCAAGAGAAGGTAGGTTTGCCATTAATGCATAGCTCCAAGCTGACAGAAACTGTTCCATGAGAACACAGAACATCAGAAAAGAGAGAAAGAAGAAGCAAAAAGAAGGTGAGAGAGAGAGAGAGAAGGACAGAGAGAGGCTGCTGTGAGACCCTACTCTCTTACTCCTCAGTCTTGGGGAAAGGAAAATTTAGAAACCATGCTTATATACCGTGACCTCTATCCCCTTTGAAACCACCTCTAGAAAAGAGCCCTGTAGTAGATACTCAGCCATCAGATCAGCATTTACAGAAGGATCAAGGAAGGGCTGGTTGGAGGAGAGGAAAGGGGCTTTGCTCATTCTTCTGGAAGCCAATAACGTAGTCTCAACTATTAGAATTCAATTAGAAGTTAACAAGTTACTTAAAAATGTAACATATATATATATATCCTTTCTTTAAAATTTAATGCATAAGCTATTTAATAAAAATTAAATGAACTGAGATCATTTTCTTTTTTAATAAAGTGGAATTATCAGATCCACGGTTCTATGGATCTTGGCCCATTTAAAGTATAAAACCACTTAACTCTACTGCCTTATTTAGAGCAAAGCCCTACAGAGGGACCAGGAAAGCTAAGTCCAGAATCTCCCTGGCAGGATCCTGCACTCGGTTTCTTTGTACCCCATCTCCATTCCTGATGTCCTCCTGGTCCATTCCCTTCTGCATCCCTATGCCTGGGAATGCTCAAGGCCTTTCCCCAGAAAAGCTGACTGGAAGCGCCTCACTTAGCTCACATGGAGGGCTTGAAGTCCTCTAAGAGCCCAACTTCTCGAGTTTTCCTGAGGCTATCTGAAAACATGCAATTTAGGCAATGAAAGAAATGGGCAGGTCACACATGAGGACAAATGTAAAAAACTAAAATAACTTTCATGTCATTTGTAGAATGGAGATACATTCTCTGTGTAAGTGTTTCATTAAAGTACACAAGCAGGTTCAAGCTGTAATGAAATAGAGATGTTTTCCTTCCATAAAGCAATTTCTCAAAATATACCAATCTTGTTTTTATTATTGTTTTTAATGGAAGGGCTCGAAGGCCAGCACTCTTGTTGTGCTATACAACCACATCCAAATCCCAGAAGTTGGATGCCATGTCCTGTGCATCTGTGAATATCTTAGGTCTTCCTCCCTTTATAAAACAAGAGTGTTAGGGAAGTCAGGAACTTGCTAACAGAATCACATGGGAACTTTCTCAACCTCTACATGTCTGCTTCCTAAAAATTCCTAAGTTCCTGGAAGTGGGTTATGCCAGAATCTCCTGGCTTGACATTGTATGTATGGAAAACTATAGACGTCCCTGCCTGCCAGAGACTCTGTTGGAAACTTATCAGAATGGAAGCAGTGAGCAAAAAATAGGTGTAGTTTGAAAAACTCCACCATAATTCTAACATGCCCTTCCTTCCTCCTTGAGGACTCCTTCAGTCTTTACCACCTGGAGCCTAAAATGGCTACCACACGACACATTATTAACAATTATTGGTAAGTTAATTGAATGAATGAATGAATGAATAACAAATGAAAAGGGACATGGACCTCCTCCAAGAGAAAGTCCTCCTAGTCATCTGCATTTTGTTTTCTCAGAAATAAATAAATTCTAACAGATTTACTGATATCTCAGGGTTGGAGGAAACCTCAATGATTCCCCAAGTTTAGCCCATGGTCCCTGCAGAAATCCCCTCCACAGGTTTCCTGCTGAGAAATTGTTCAACTTCTGGAGAGGGACCATCTACCTCCAAAGCAACTCTTCTTCTAATGCATAGTTGGAACTATTAGGCAGGTCTGCTTAATTTTATTTAGCCTACGTTGTTCTGTGAAGCTGCTGGAACAATCTGGGGCCTGTTTTCCCTGCCAGCTGGTCAGAATGTCAGCTCCCTTGTTTCTTAGACCTTTCCTCATGTGAACCAGCTTCAAATCTTATATTTCTTCCCATTGCTCAGCCATTAGTCAACACCCCTGAATATTCTGCTTGGCTTGTGCTGAAACTGAGATGGGTACATGATCTCTAAACACACAATATTTTTTGGCAAGAAGCAGTAGAAGAGACACAGCAGCAAGGGGCATGCCAGGCTGTGATTTCAATACAGTTCAGATGAACCGTAAAGAGGATGATCTACAGGCAAATATTGATCAACTGGATCCCCGTCCTCATGGGATCTCTTCTCTCTTAATGGTAATATTGCCAAACTTGGAGAGCCAAAGAGCATGAGACTCTAGGCTTGCTTTCTAAACTGCTTTCCATACCCCATGTACTGCCTTGAACCTCATTAATTCATTCTACTATTTAGGGAATATCCTCTAGGTCAGACACTGCGCCCCTAGTGCTAGATTTTTAGACAGGATTTAAAAATCTCTGTTTCTGGGCTGGGCATGGTGGCTCATGCCTGTAATCCCAGCATTTTGGGAAGCCGAGTCAGGTGGATCACGAGGTCAGGGGTTTGAGACCAGCCTGGCCAACATGGTGAAACCCCGTGTCTACTAAAAATACAAAAATTAGCCAGGTGTGGTAGTGTGGGCCTGTAATCCCAGCTACTCAGGAGGCTGAGGCAGGAGAATCGCTTGAAACTGGGAGGCGGAAGTTGAAGTGAGCCTAGACTGTGCCAATGCACTCCAGCCTGGGCGACAGAGCAAGACACTCCGTCTCAAAAAAGAAAAAGAAAAAAAAATCTGTTTCTGCCTTTAAAGGGACTCTAGGAAACTAGAGGGAAAAGACATTTAAGTATACATTATACTTTAATGATGTAAGTGCTGTTGCTAAGAAAAGAAAGGTTGTTGGAAGGGAGAAAAATAGAGTTAATTGTGCCAGAGGGAGTAAGACTTCAAAGATAGCTGCCATTTATTGAGAACTAAATGCTTTATGTATTTTTCTCATATGCTACTGGTAGCATTTTTTTTTTAAATTAGAGTCTCCCTTTGTTGCCCAGGCTGGTCTCAAACTCCTGAGGTCAAGCAGTCCTCCTGCCTCAGCCTCCCAAGTAGCTGGGACTACAGGTGTGTGCCACACACCCAGCTTGATAGCAATTTTATTAGGTATGTTTTATAAAACCCCTTTTACAGATGAGAAGAGTGAGGCTGACCCCTCATTCAGCCATCAATTCGTTCATTCAGCATATAATAGGCTCTGTTTTAGGCATTCGGAATGTATCGATGTCCTCTGGAAGCTTACATTATAGTGGAAGATACAGTCTTTTTTTTTTTTGCAAACTTATTAAAATGTGAAACATAACGTGTACTTTCAGGTAATTATATGCACTATAATGAAAAATATGGCAGGATAAGGAGATGAAGAGAATCTGAATTAAGAGTCAGGGTAGCTATTTCAAGGAGCATTGTTAGGGAAAGCCCAGTAAGGAGGTGCTACTTGAACAGAGAAAGAATGAAATTCATTCACAAAGGGAACGCCCTTGTTTCATTGAGGGACTGAGCGGGTAGACATACGAAGTTGTGGAGGAAATTAGTTCCAGTTGGAGGGAACAGCAAGCACAAGGTCTTAGCTGTGTTCAAATCCAGGCCTCTCTGCTCCCACATTTCTCAACCATTAAGCTTGATTGTCGGATCTGGCTCTCCGAGGCTGAGTAGGCATTTACAAACTGAAGAATGTGGGAAGGGCATTCAAAGCGGAGAGAGGGAGAGAGAATGGAGGACCGAGTTTGGGGTCCTAAGTTCTGACACTTTGCTTAACAACAGATTATTGCCCCAGATTGTGTAAAAGAGTCCTGAGTACTGAAATGGTTTGAGTTATGGGCTCTTTCCAGCGGGAGGTTTAGGGACTTAAGAAGTCAAAGAGCGTGATGGGCTGTTTGCCCTCTCTGATTCCCAACATCCTTGAACCTCAGTGTTTTCATGGCATGGAGTCAGAAGACCTCGGTTTGAGTCCTCTCTGTTCTTTGCAAACTACAATTATACTTGGAAAGAAATATGGCTAAGAAGTCAGATAAACTTGGGCTCAGCTCTCTGTTATACCTCAGTGAGACCAAAGATCTCTCATGCAGATTCTCCCCATTGGTCCTTTCTGAGGCAGATTTGTGAAGTGGAGTCATAGACAATGCTACAAAGCCTGCCTCTTTCTAGCTTTGCGATCCTGGAAAAGTTTCTTGGTTTATCGGAGCTTGAGTTTCTATTACAATAAGTGCTAATAATATGAAATCTCATGGGAATAATGTGATGATTGAAGGAGTTAATGCATATAAAAAGGCTAAGTGCAGTTTCTGACACTGTCAACTCTGTTTAAAAGTTACATTGTAGGCCGGGCGTGCTGGCTCACGCTTGTAATCTCAGCACTTTGGGAGGCTGAGGCGGGTGGATCACCTGAGGTCAGGGGTTCGAGACGAGCCTGACCAAGATGGAGAAACCCCGTCTGTACTAAAAATACAAAATTAGCCTGGCATGATGGTGCATGCCTGTAATCCCAGCTACTCGGGAGGCAGAGGCAGGAGAATCGCTTGAACCTGGGAGGCGGAGGTTGCGGTGAACCGAGATCGTGCCATTGCATTCCAGCCTGGGCAACAAGAGTGAAACTCCATCTCAAAAAAAAAGTTACATTGTTGTGATTCATACTAGATGTGTGCAATTTTGGCTACATGCCGCACTGAATAATTTCTTCCATTGGCAAAATAGAGGTATTAGCCCTTTCCTTTGGACTATTGTGAGGATCAAATGAATCTTTGTAAAAACTTTGTTAATGGTAAAATAGTATAGAAATATGCATTCTTGTTGTAATGCACATATGTATTACACCTTGTGTATAATATACACGTTTACCAAGTGTTAGCCATGAAGGCCATATCTTCCAGTTCATTTGCTCGTTCATTCAGTTCATATACTAATATGTATTCATTCGGTTCGTATACTAAGGGCCCTGTCCTAGGTGCTGGAGGTACCAAAGTAAGATAGATATGACTTCTAGCATCAAGGGCAATCTAGAATGCCTGACAAGTCTAGGAACATCTGCATAGCTGTGTCTTTTTCGTTGCTTTTAGTATATAATAAAATTATTTTAAAAGTAACTCAAAATGAAAGTGTCTTTCCAACTTTTTTTTTGAGTTGTACTACATTTAAGATATATTTGTATCGAGGACTACAGCTCTGTCCATCATACACTGACTTTCATTTCAAAAATAGTAGTTTAGAATTACGTTTCAAAAGAACTTGCACATTATTTTTTAATCAAAGTCACAAAATCTCCAAAGAGTAGAAAAATGACTTCTGTTTAGTTTGGCCTGTAGTCACTTATCATGTGCTTGTAGCTATGACACTAATGGATGATCAATTTCCCGCAGAAGATTAGTGTGTGGGCCCAACGCCATTGAGGTTGAAATCCAACCCATATGGAAGCTGCTTGTTAAACAGGTAACTGTTTTCTTTTCTTTTTTTTTTGAAAAAATAGATTTCTGCCCCTTACTTCTTACTTCCTAGAAGGAACACATAAATACTTTGATGTGAATGATATCTTGTTTCATGCGACTTCTTTTTGTTACTGCTTATTTTAAACTCAGGTTTACTTTAAAATTCCTTTCCAGTGTGAGACAGATTCCTGCCTCATAATCTCCTGTTTGTTTTGTTTTGTTCTCTTTAGTTTGGATGGTGGTTTTGGTGGTGGTGGTGGTGGTGGGGTGGTTAGTCCACTGGGTTGCTATAACAAAATGTCATGCATTGGGTGGCTTAAACAACAAACACTTATTTTCCCACAGTTTTAGAGGCTGGGAAGTCCAAGATCAAGGTGCTTGCATATTCAGTTCCCGGTGAGGACCCATTTCTGGGCGTGCAGACTACTGTGTTCTTTATGTCTTCACATGGTGGAGAGAGAGGTCTGGTCTCTTCCTCTTCCTACAAGGACACTAATCCCATCGTGGGATCTCTACCTTCATGACCTCATCTAAACCTAATTGCCTCCCAAGGGACCCATCTCCAAATACCATCACACTGGGGGTTAGGGCTTCAACCTATGAATTTAGAGGGGACACAAATGTTCAGTCCACAGCATGGGGCAATGTTATTATTTCTATAATTATTGAGGATTTGAAATGTATTCTTTTGGTCTTTTTCAAATGGCTTTATTATTTTCATTTTCTTGAGAGTAACTTCTCCCTTTGTTAGTGTTTTATTTTTGTTTTTGTTTTTAAAAATATTTTCCTTGTGTGCTTGGATTTTTTTTTTTAATGCTTACCTTAAGTGGGACACTTTCCCCATCAATTTTTCTCTTTCTCTCTGTGCTTTCTGTGCTTCTTTGATGGCTTTGTTTGCCTCCAGTTGGCCCCTATGTGGTCCCTGAAGGTTTGGGTGCTTGTCCTTCAGGGATTTGTCACATGCATGCCCTTAGCCAGCTTGAGGCTTAGCCCAGTTCACAGTTGTCCCATGGACACTCCTCTCCCATTCCACCCTTGGGTGGAAAGCCTTCATTGGTTATGACTTTGCTCAACCTCTATTCTGGAACAGGAAGCCCATGGCCACCCTTGTTTTCCACCATATGCCTCATTTCTATCCTCAGCCACCTAAGGGACACGTTCTGTCTCTATTCCTCCGAGAAAGGGGCTCCTAGATTTTGCTGTCTAGTCCTTGTCTGGAACCCATGAATCTGATGATGTGAGCCCCCACTCAATGGTGCATGTTTCCAGTCTATTTCTAACCCATAAAGATGGTCATTTTGTTTTGGAACATGGACATATCTTTTTAATATTAAAAAATTATTTACCATTATTCTGTGTCTGAAGCAGAAAACAGGTTGCTTTTTTTAACTTTATTTTTTAGACTAGTTTTCGGTTCATAGCAAAATTGGGTGGAACATACAAAGATTTCCCATATACGTCCTGCCTCCACATATGCATAGCTTCCCTAACTATCAAAAAGTAGGCAGCTTTTTAAACGTCAAGTACGTTTTCAAATTGCCAAATATTCTCCAGGGGTCAATGTGTTCTAATTTGAAAGGAGTGCTAGTATTTTCTGGCACCTATTTACTAGCCCTTTAGTAGAAAGAAAAAAAAAACCAAGTACAACTATTTCTCTACATTTGGTTTCAAAAGAATATTAAATAAGAGAACTGAATTAATTAGAATAGTGTTGTTTCTTCTGCAAAAAGTATTTAACCAGTATTCTACTGGATTTGTTTAACTTCAAGATCATATTATCATTTGCACATAATCTACAATCAGAGCATTTTATAATAAGCAAACAAAAAAGCTATAATTTGCAAGTAAAGCAGTTGGGATTGAAATAATAAGAAACATTAAGGAACAAAATCTTTTTTAATGGACAAAATATATCCAACACTTAAGATACAACGTACTAACTTATTTACCACATGTCAGTTCACTTTTAAGACTAAATTAGAATTGTATTTAGTACATAAGGGAATTATAGAAAACAGAGGTAAGAGAGAATAGCACTGGTTTTAACCAATATTTCATCCAATTCATAATGATTAGAAAGAACACTTTCTCAGAAAAATAATCCTTGCTTTGCTCTGATGGGCTCTTTAGTTCACTTTCTGCATGTATATCCTATGACTTTTCTCTGGCTTCTCAGGTTTGCCCTCTCTGCTCTCATTATTAGCATGAGTTAGCAGGACCCAAATGGGAAAAATTGAGGGAACAAAAAAAGTTGAAGGTATTCTCATGCGACCAGAAATGTACATGTATGAGTGACCAGCTTTCAGGTTGGTAATACCTTCTGCTTTCTGCTCATGATTTGCTCTGCAGCCTTGGGGAAGACATTTCTCTCCAGTCTTCCTCCTTGTTCAAGAGAAGAACTTGGCTGACTCTTATGTGACCTTGCTAGGACCTGTGACATGAAAGATATGCTATTTTTAAATGACCTGAATAAAAAAGTAGAATCTTTCATTTTCATTGCGCAACTTGACTAAATCTGCAGCATGTGATTATATGAAAAATAAAACTGCAATTAAACTGTTCCAAATGGAAGTACGTTTTTAAAAGAGACTGAATCATGTACCTCCCCCATTATGAGTCAGTCTGTTTAAGAAGGTGAATTGTTAAATTTTGTTATTGGTAAAATATTTTTGAAATTCAAAATGAATAAGAATGATCAACTTGTGGGCATGGCTCTGAATGCATAAAATAATTTTGCTTCCACCATATCACATTCTATGTGTTTGACATTTTCTCAACCCAAATCAATAGAGATCTAAGTGAATTCTTAAATATTAGAGGTTTGTGTATGTTGTAAAAAAATGAGAAAAAAATTGATAATGAAATGACATCTTCTTGATTGCTACTAAGGTTCATGCAAGTGACCCAAATGCCATTTTTGTGCCTGCAGGTTTTAAATCCATTCTATGTGTTCCAAGCCTTCACCCTAACTTTGTGGCTGTCTCAAGGTTACATAGAATACTCTGTGGCCATCATCATTTTGACTGTTATCTCCATTGTCTTAAGTGTGTATGATTTGCGACAGGTAAGACCTGAAATCACAGCCAGATTCTATTTAGCTTCTAGCTAAAGAAGTAAAGCCCATGGTATTTCCACTGAGAGCCAGGAGTTGCTTTGTCAACCATAAGTCATAAAACAAAAAGTGAGGGCTTACCAAATATGGGATGACAGAAGGACTTTGGACTACCAGGGAGAGTTAAATGTCTTTGCAAACTCTGATTATCATCTGAAGCCTTCATCGAATGCTTTGTTTAGAAGCACTCTGAGGCTCTATTTGAGTATGGTGGGAAAGAATGCTGTGATGGATTAATGATGCCAGCCATAGTTTTAGGAGAATGAAGGGGTAGCATCTCAACTGTGTGCATTAATCAAGATATTATGCCCCTTAGAACATTTCCATCTATTTTCCCTGACTTAAATATTGTATTTGTTCTATAGGTTTCCTATTTAATTGTCTTTGAAAAATTTTAGTCTCCCTCTTAGAAGTCCTTTATAATGTCTATGTGTTCATTTGATATTCGGGTATATCTTTACGGAAATCCCAAAGAAATACAGAAATTCCTGTGTGGGAGTTAGGGGATGGGTTGTGGAAAAAATTAGGTTTGATTCTATACTCAATAAGGCAGTGTTTCAGCAAGAGAATTCCTTGACATTTTTGAGCTTCTGGCTTATTAAATCAAAATATCCAGGGTTAGAATCTTCATTTTTAAAAGTTTTATAACTAATGATTGTTATGCATTCTGAAAGCTTAAGAATGATTATTATAAGGGAACCCACTGAAGGATAAATTCAAACACGAAGGTCCCAGATATATGTATTTATTTATTAATGCCATCATATTTTTCATTCATTTTACTCTATTAAGTGCATATATATATACCAGCTTATATGGAGATTTATGTCTTTATTAATTTTTAAAATTAAAATAAGATCTTACTATGCACATTAATCTGGAACTTTCATTTTTCACTTTATATATAATGGCAATTCACCAAGTAAATAAATAATTATAATTCATGTTTTTAAAATAATACTATAATATTCCATGATATATCATAATTTATTCAACTATTCCGTTACTTGTTGAAAGTAATTTCCCCTCAATCTTTTGCCACCACAAATAATGTTGAATTAAAAGTTACTACTACAGTATGGGCGTGTTCTTACATATTAGTGTTTGCATTTTTTAGCATAGCAACCAAAAGCCAGGTTACTGCATCAAGGCATATGTATGTTTTGAATTTTAATAGATGCTGCTATATTATTTTCCACAAATGAAAGAATTTTTTTAAATCAGAAACACACAAGAGTGTTTATTTCCCCTGGATTCATCAGTTTCTGGAGTTATATTGATATTTACGATTTTTAAAATCTAACATCTTTAAAAAAACCGGGTCTCATTGATGTTTTAAGGTACATTTTCCTGATTGCTGGTGAGACTAGACACTTTTTGTTGTCTAATAGTGTTTTGCATTTTCATTTTATATTAAGGGCCTCTTTATATTCATCATATATGTGAAAAAGTTTTACTTTTTAGTCTATTTCTCTAGACTTTGACTTTAGCTGTGGATGAACATTTATATATTGAGTCAAATATATTTCTGCTTTCCTTTATGGTTTATTGTTTTGCTTATAAGAACTCCCCTTCCAAAGTTAGGTAATACCTGTTTTCTAATACTTGTAATTTGCCTATTTAAAAATCCTTACTGGAATTTAAACATTCAGGTTCCATATCTTAACAGAATCCCTACATTCCTTTGTTCAAAACAGTGGCTAATATGGGAACTTTAGACTTGGTGGCAGTATTGCAAAAGATTTCTTTAAAAAACAGAAAAGGAATTAGAGGACAAACACTAATCTCATTAGCAGCCAGTATTTACTAATAAAAGGGTACCTAACCCAACCTGTAAAGCACCTTGTAACACTCCACAAAATGAGCCAGTTTCCTGAAACTGTGTATTTGCAATTTAAATCACAAGTCCTCATTCATCAACATCTGTTTAGGACTTTACGGTTTACAATAGGCGCCCACATTCACAATGTATGTGTTTGTATGGGACATGGCAAATTATGAAATAAAACATACATGATTTTTATAGCCTCCTAACCACCTGAGAGGGAGGGACAGGGGCAATCCAGGAGGTGAAGGGACTTACTCACACTCACCCAGTAACAGTGGCCTTAGCCCCAGGTTTTCTGATTCCAAGTCAAGTACTACATACACACTGTCCCATTGAGCGCAATCTCAAAGTGACTCATGAATTTCCTTGCAGCAGTAAGATTTGGGGAAGGGCTTTGGCAGGACTGAAAGAAGGAGCATCTACTGCTATCTCCAAATCATTCTGTTGAGCTACATTGAAGTTCATTATTTCACTGAATTAAAGACTTAGGTAAACAAACACAGGCTTTGGAAAATTGTAAGAGAGTAAGTGTTTGCAGGAGTAGAATAAGATGTTTTTCTGCATCTACTGGGGCCCCAAATCATGCTACACAAAGAAAGCTTACCTTTCCTAAGCCAAGAAACCCTCCCGCTTCCGTCCCTTTCTAACAAGTTTGGTGCAGGCATGAGTGCAAACCTTGGTACTCAACTGTATTTGCATTGAACTGTATGTGCATACTGTATTGCTGAGCTCCACGGGTGGCTGCTAGAAATAGCATTGGGAGTATCTGGCCCACAGTGCTTTGCCTTCAGTCATGACAGAGCCAAGCTCAAGAGGCACCTGAGTTAATACCCTCATTACTCATCTCTAGAGGAAATCCAGCCACGACAAACACAAGGGCACGTAGCAACAGATGCTGAATAATAACGATATGCAAATTCATCTTGGAAACTGATCCTGGTCCTGCTGAACAGGGACAGAAGAAACTAAAGGTGGCCTAATGAAAATCAGGCAACGAGCTTTGCAGTCATGGCAAGCACTGCAGGGTTTGCCTTCTCCTAGCTAGTTGGTTGCCATAGAAACCCGTGTTTGCAGATTTTCTGAGCGCATTAACTCAAAGAGGAGGCTAACATTATCCCACTCCAGTGTTGTTGGGAGAAGTAGAATAATTTGGTTCTAATAAATACATATTTGACAAGGGCCTACTATGTGATAGGCTCTAGAGGAATCCACAGATACATAATGTACATGGTGCCTTTCTTCTCTCTACTGCCTGACTCACGAGGGAGGCCTGACAAGACAGCAGATAGCTATAATGGAATGTGATCAGTACACTCACACAGGTGGAGAGAGCAGAACAATGAATTCTTCCTGAGAATTGTAGGGATTTGCAGAGTGGAGGTGACATTTGAGTAGGCCTTTATGAGAAGGATTAGAAAGAGTTTGCTAGTAGAAAACCGGAGTGGACGTCCTAGGGACTAGCTTGAGCAGAGGCCTGGAAGCATGACAGGTTACACAGAATGCTAAGTCTAATAAACCAATCCAGCTCTACAGCATAATGAGTTTTGAGAATTACAGTCAAGTATGATTAACTCATACTTCACCACTTCCAAATGTGTTGATTATCATCCTCTTATGCTAAGCTGAATTTGGCATTATCTAAACGAGTTTCTAAGCAAAAAAAAAAGAAATCTAAGGAAGGATTTTTATCTTCTTAAAGAAAAAAAATGCTATTTTTAAGCACTAGTAGAACATATTCCTCAACAGAAAAGGTTTTAGAGTCAGATGAACCTAGGTTTGATTTACCTAGTAAGTAAATGATGGTGAAAAGATTACTTTAACATTTTTCAACCCCCTTTTATTTGGTTTTTACATGTATGTTGGAGATAACATTTTCATCATAGAATTATTTTGAGAATTAAAAAAATTAAATACTGTTATTCAAGTGCCTACAACAATGCCTGGCACATAATAACTGCTTCATGTTTTAAACTATTTATAAATAATAAAGATTTGAGCCATTTTATATACCATGTGTATTTCTTCTATGATGCCTTGCAGGTTTTAAATACATCTCTGACATGCAAAATAAATCAATGTCATATCATTTTAGAGCTTGAAGGTATAACTTGAAAGTGATCCAATTCAATGTTGTCTGTTTACAGAGAAAACGACTAAATTCTAAGGCGCAATTTCTTACATACTCACATTACCTGACTGATTAGGGGGTATGCCTGACCTACGACTCAGAAATCCTGACTGACTCCAGGGTTCTTTGCCCACAGAAACACAGCTGACTTTCCCACTATTACGCATCATTAAAATGCATGCCCCAACAGTTAAGCCTCAGGAAGTCACCTTAGAGCAATGAATATGCACTAAACAGTACTATCGCTTCTTCCACTCAATTGATCCAAATTACCAAAGTTTAACTTTCCATGCAAAACTGAAGTATATCATAAATTTTTCCATATAAATATTAACGCTGGGTTCATTATGTTTTCTTAAGGGGAAAGTTGCCTAATTATGTGTAATGCTTGTCTTAGCCTGGTGACATTTGTAACATTAAATATCACCAACAGAACAGATCAAAACAATTTAACAGCTAAAAGAAAAAAAGTTTTACATTTGAATTAGGTTAAGGTGAATTAAGTATTGCTGACAGTATTCAAACCCACTTCCAGTTAGAGGCATCCAAGTCACCGACATCCAAACAGGAAGAGGCAGTACCTTCCAGGGCTGGCCCAGCATGGAACTTTCTCTCGCTGATGTTGCCCCAACAGTCAGTCTGGGGAACTGTATGGATGAAATCATCTCTCACCTCTGCCTTTCTGTCCCCTGTGTTATCCTATAAGATGCTTTCTCCACTTCTCCAGGCTCCTTCCATTTTCTCCACTTTTCACAGAGTCCTAACTCAATAAACGATCTCAAGCAAGTCTTTCCAGTTAACGTGCTCTCACAACTGTTTTCCCAACAACTTTCTTATGAATCACTAACACTCATGAGCTCTTAGCATAGTATTGAGTACTACACAGAGGGCTCTATAAGAATAAAATACCTTAAAACTTAACCCTATTGTATTCTGTTATAATCTCCCCTTTCTGATGAGCAAAAAGGAGTTAAACAGGCTAAATAACTCATAAGCAGTAGCACAAGATTCACGACTTAACAGCATAACTCCCATCTGCAGACTTAACCAATATGAAAATCCACAGTTCATAAAGGAGAGGATGGCTGTCCCACATGCAATCAGAACACAACCCAAACATTCACAGACACTTACAAGCAGAAAGCCACTTACAGAGAACATTTAGCTTTGTTGTTTTACAGACAAGGAGACAGAGGCATAGAGAGGGAAGTAACCTGCTCACAGTCTCATTCTTCCTCATTCTGATTGTGCATCTTCAAGAAATGTAGCTTTGGTTTGTTAAAGTGAACTAAATATGGCCTGAGAAGGACTCTGTACTTCTATATTTGAGTCCTTGTGGACCAACCTTAACCTAACTTAATAGACAAGATTGAAAACCTAACTTATGCGTCTGTTACAATACCTGAGTCTTGGCCAATCTTCAGCGACTCATACAGCAGCCATACTTCCACCACTCATACACTGCTGAGTGCTCAAACTGTTACTATAAGGCAAACACCAACCTGTAACCAATCCAGCTGTTTCTGTACCTCACTTCCGAGTTCTGTAGTCATTTCCCTTCTTTGTTCCATAAATTTATTCTGACCATCAGGCATCCCTGGAGTCTCTCTGAATCTGCTGTGATTCTGGTGGCTGCCTGATATGCGAATCACTTTTTTTCTCTTCCTCAATTAAACTCCCATTAAATTTAATTTGTCTAAAGTTTCTTTTAACAGGTTCCTTGGCTTAGGTCCTTGAGGCAGTGACTGTGCATTATTTTTTCTTGGGAGTGAGATAGCATTAAACTAATAAGCATATTTGCTGCTGCACATAGGGGGTCAGGTGAGGTAGGGGTTGGAGCAAGGAAGCTGAAGCATCAAAAGAAGTTGAGTCCTTTGCCCAGAGTCACTTTAGCTGTGACAGCTGGCCTGGTATTTACTGTAATGAGATCATGTGGTTTTCAGAACATGAACTATCTAATGTTTAAATGTTAACTTTTACTTGGTAGCAATCAGTTAAGCTGCATAACCTCGTGGAGGACCACAACAAAGTCCAGGTTACAATCATTGTAAAAGACAAAGGTAAGTGATGTGTTAGGCCATCTTCAGCATCTTAATATTTCAGGGGGGAATTGGTCTCATTTGTCCTTAATTATTAGTCAAGGAGAAATAATCTTTTCAGATTGAACCCAGAACTGGGACGAGGGTGAGGCAAAGAAGCCCTCTAAGATAGAAAATTTAAAGAGGCAAGATCATGCCAGTGCTGACCCCACAGCTGCAGGGCCCTGAGAACAAGGGCCTCATTGAATTTTGTACACTGGACAGCTTGCTTGCCTTACCCTCACCCAAGCCCTCATTCCGTCATTCTTACCCAATGTCTGGGTTCCTTCAAATTCCCTCTCCCCTTCACATGTCACTCATTCGAATAACATTGGGTAAACCTTCTTAAGGTTCCTTTATTTCCCAGTCTAACTATCCCAAACAGACCCTGCATCACACAATTTGAACTGCCATCTGGAACCTGGGCCTGAATGGGGCTTTTAGATAGCTGTCTGGACACTTGGCATCTGTTCTGAGCTAGTCAGAGGTGGAGTGGCTGTGGCTTTTTGCAAGGAGCGAGGAGCTGCACCCTGGGACAGCAGAAGTTATTTGGGCAATTTAAGTAAGGCCTCAATCCAAGAAGACAAAGTGTACCAACCACAGGAATCAGAAACCCGGACGAGAGCAAACAGCAGGAAGCTGCACTTCTGCTTTGCCCAGTGCCCTTGTGTATCTGCTGTGGGCAAAGCACACCAGGTACTAGGATCAAGATGGGATCCTGTTGCTTAGCTAATCCTTTTCTGAGTCCCAGGAACCAATTTCCTAATCCTGATTCTTTCGGAATTTTCAATTGACTAAAAAGGGGCTTCAACAGTTGAACAGGTAGGGTAGCTCTTGGCCAACAGGTTGATAAGGATTCTTAGTTGCCTTCATTCTTAAGTAAAAACAGGAAAAGGTCAGCTATTCATGGAAACTTTGCTTTGGTGTAGGTTTGGAGGAGCTGGAATCCCGTCTCTTGGTTCCCGGAGACATTCTTATTCTTCCAGGAAAATTTTCATTGCCATGTGATGCTGTTTTGATTGATGGAAGCTGCGTGGTGAATGAAGGCATGCTTACAGGTAGGCAGTTGTCATGGAGCTTCCTCTTCCCTGTCTGACATCTAATCAGATCAACATATCCTCACCTACCTTATACCAGACCCTTGCTAAGATATTCAGAGATAGGTGAGGGAGACACAGCCAGCCTTTGCATTTATATGGAGACACAATATACACAAACAGGAAATGTTTAACAATATAAGAATTAAGTCACAATAAATGTGAAATGAAAACAAATGTTTAATATGACATGTGATTAATTGACCAATTAGTGGGGTGAATAGGGTGCTTTGGGTTCAGAGGAGGATGAGAGCACTACACAGTTTGAAGCACAATCTCTTCATAAACATGAGAATGGTTTATACACATGTACAAAAGAGATGCAACCTTAAAAACCATGACTCCCACAATTGGAAGGCCATAGAGGTTTTATCCAACCCTGCACTCTGTAGATAGAAAACTACTGAGGCCAAGGTTTCACAGGAAAGGAGTTTGAGTTGAACCTCCGGGCAAAGACGATCGCACAGTTCTGTTCTTTAGATTTATATTCCTGTTGATCTCACTGAGCAGAAACTAATCTTCTAGTTATAGTTCAGGCAGTCCTAGTTCTCATTTGTACTTTGTTAAGTCTACTTGAATTTGTTTAATTAGTAAGATACTACTTATAAAATATTCTTTAGGCAAAAAATTAAAATACACAGCACATTGTAATGAGAGAAGAGACTATACAGCAACACAGAAATAGAAACTTTGTCTTTTATGCTTACAGACTGTTTAGTTTTTCTGTTTCCAAATGGTATAAAGACAGGGAAAATGTTTTAACATGACCTAAATGTAGGGAGAGTTCATTATCTATCCCTAAATTGTTCAACACAAGCAGATTTTACATTAAAATGGGTCTGCTTAATTCAAAATTGAGACAAGAAAATGTAGTTAACATAAATATGTTCAGTATAATTACAAAATACTCCTTTAATGTGTTGAAATGTGTCCTATAATGATAGTGATGAGGATTTGCATACTGATCATATCTTTTACCCAGAATGTTGCCATAGTATCTGACCTGTAAACCTCAAGCCCAAGGAAAACTGTCCTTCTCATTCAAACACAGCAGCTGCCTCACACCTCCCAGCAGCCTGACAGTGAAGAATGACTTCTCTCATTGGTAACAGAGAGTGTGGCAGTGAGCAGACATGGGGAGGAAACACAGAAAGTCTCACTGCCCTTGGGCTGCCCTCTCTCCTTTCACTGTAGCGGGTGTATAGAACTTGCCTTGATTCCCAGGAAAACTCAGAGAGTTCCAGAGGAATAGAAATGACAAACAACGCTGCCTTTCAACAAATGTGCAAAATGGCTCCAAATAACCTTAAATGACAAGTGGCTTCTAGTTTTCCTTTTTGGAAAAACGAACTCATCAGCACTAATATCTGTGTAACTTAAGTACCGATAGAGGCCAGTTTCAGAGACAGACACATGAAGTAAAAATACATTATTTCTTTTTTGTTAACTTCTTCAGAAAGATCTAAATCCCAGTCTGGTCTAAATACTTTATTGCACAGCCTACATAGATCCTCCCACTCATGTACATATTTGTGGAAAGGATCTTGATTAAACAGAGGATTAAGGTAAGATTCCTGAAACTGCAAATGTATTCCTAGGGAATTTGTCCACAAATATGATTTAGGTATTTCTTCCCTATGTACGAAATGGTCCTTTGCATAGATAGAAGTCTTTATTTATGTAAGAATAAAAATATCAAATATTCCTAGCATCTCTATAGCAACTTACATTTTATAAATAACTTTTATATCTCACTTCATCATGGTATAAAACAAATTAGACTAGGAGCTGTTAGAATACCGATTTACAAATGAGGAGAGTGAGGTAAAAAGACCAGAGCTGCTCGGCTAGCAAGTGAAAGGATCAGAATTGGAGGTGGCATTCGCTCCCAAATATAAAGGACCATAGGCGTGAGAAAGATAATTCTAAGCTGGAAAAAGCTGCTGACTTCATCTTCCTGCCTCATCACCTTTTTCTCCCTACTTGGTATTCCCATCAATAGTATCCACTTTTTGGTAAGCTCTTCTCCTCCTGCTCTCCTTAGCCTTATGCTATTGTCATAAATTCAGCTGTGCAAGAAGTTTACCTTTATTTTATAACTACACTTAATTTTTATGTCGGTTCCAAATTTTGCCATCCTTAAAAGTGTCCAGTGTGAATATCTAATATGAGTCAGACAGTTGTCCCCATCAGTTAGGTGGTCTTCCTCACCCTTGTCTGACTGTCCTAAGATGTGCAAGACATCAGGGAGAGGGGTCTGATGGAGGGCAGCTCTTCTTCCTGCTGCTCCCACTCCACTCTGAGCTGTCTGAGGCCTATTTACCTGGACAGGGCAGCAGATCCTGGTGCTGTTCGCGCTGTTTCCACAACCTTGTTGCATGTTCCCGTGTTCTACTGTGGTGCACACCTCTTCTCTCAGGGACACACCACATCTAAGTCCCGTTGGATTCTCTTCCAACTCCCAGTACGAGGACTTTGATTTAGCTAGAAATGCAGTAGAGGAAAGGCATGGTGAGCAGAAAAACTTTGTTCTTACTCTCAGATAGTCTCTCAATCCATGATCAAACTCATGAAGGACTTCAAAAACTCAAAAGCCAGTGATCAACTCCCCCGTCCTTCTCTTCTGCTGTCTTTCCTGAAACAATAATCAACTTCAAGATCTAGCTTCTCTCAAATGGGAGGAGTCTGGAGACAAAAGGGAATATCATTTGGGAGGGGGGGGGAATATGTTAATTTAGAAATTATCTCTTGGCACTATAGCTTTTTTTCTTAGTTCTCATATGTATTAGGCATTGTGCTAACATTTTACATATACTATTTCATTCAACCTGCAACTCTATTAGAGTGGGCAAATCTGAGGCCCAGAAAGGGTAACTAATTTGCCTAAGGTCACACAGCTTAGAAGTGGCACAGCTGAGATTTGGATTTGTTTGTGAATTCACTCATTCTACAGATATTTATTAGCCCCTACTATGGAGCAGGAACTCTGCAGGTGACATAGCAGTGAAAAAGGCAGATAAGATTTCTGCCCTTGTGGAGCTGATATTCTAGTGACAGAGACAGAAAACATGAAAGTATACAAATGACACAAATTTTCAACAGTTATAAGTTATATGAAGAAAACAGAAGACTTCTATTGTCTTAATAAATAAATTTAATGCCTTAAATACAGGCATTTTGTCCCCAGAACCTAGGCTTGTAATCAGTGTTTCCTCATTCTCTTAGGGATAATTATGGCGAAGAGGGGTGGCATGCACTCTGCCGCAATCCCCTTCCCTCTTCTTCTCTTCATTAAGCTGCTGATGTATTTGAGATGTGTGTGGGGCGAGAGTGCAGTGACCTGAGTTGGACATGCAGGGATTTTCCTAAGTGATGATCTCACATCGATATCCTGTCAGACGAGCTTATCATCAGTTGATAGGTCAGATCTTTTTCTCTCTTCCTTTGATCCTTTCGTCCTCTCTTTTTATCATCCTCCTTCTCCCTTTCCTTTTACTTATTTGTTCATCCATTTACTCAATAAAAGCTCAGAAATGCCTACCATGTGCCAGGTACTGTGTTGCGTATTGGTGTCACCAAGTTAAAAGAGAAATGGTCTCTGGTCTCAAAACATTTACAGTCTAATGGTTCTAGAACTATAAATTAAAAGGACTTGGAATTTCAAACACTGTCACCATGAAGAGGCATCTTGATCCTTGTGGACAAGGGAGAGAACCTCCACGTGACAGCACAGGGAGCCAAATGTACAGTTGATTATGAGCAATGATGGTTCTTTCCTCTAAAACTCTCTTCAGCTGCCTTGGACCCCACATCTTTTGTAGATGAATCATCCTTTCTTGGGCTCCCCAGAAAGGCCAAAACATGAGGCTTCTTATTAATATGCAAATAGCATAAAAGAGACTTGAAAACCATCTCTCTGTAAAATCATCTGACTATTATCTCTGGAACAAATTATCTGCAAATGACTTCCATTACTGATTGATCAATACATGACTGCCTCCAGTTTCATTGGTTTTGTGTGCAGAAAACAGTTTACTGATGTTAGCCTAAGTATATATTGTGGATTAATATTCTGTGATTCAAAAGCAAAAAAAAAGGAAATGATCTCTAAGTATTCGCCTCTTACAAAGGCTGATTTCAAAACAATGTAGTACCATAATTTGGAGATTTGTCAAAACATTCTAACCCTTCTACGAAGCCATAGAATGCAATTGATACATCTACACAATGGATGAATATCATAATTGTTTTAAAGAAAATGGCATAGGGAACAACACTTGCCTAAAAGAATTTCTTGAAAAATATTCAAGATTGCTAATAACAATTTTATAGCTTCTTACACCTTAGCATGTAAAAATACATCACAGCAGAAAATGAGTTTTGAAAAACCAATCATAGAGAAACTTGGGCATTTTTATTTAATTCATCTGCGCATTTGAAAAAACTATGTGTTTTCAATATACCAGAATCTCTGGGACACATTTAAAGCAGTGTGTAGAGGGAAATTTATAGCACTAAATGCCCACAAAAGAAAGCAGGAAAGATCTAAAGTTGACACCCTAACATCACAATTAAAAGAACTACAGAAGCAAGAGCAAACGCATTCAAAAGCTAGCAGAAGGCAAGAAATAACTAAGATCAGAGCAGAACTGAAGGAAATAGAGACACAAAAAACCCTTAAAAAAATCAATGAATCCGGGAGCTGATTTTTTGAAAAGATCAACAAAATTGATAGACTGCTAGCAAGACTAATAAAGAAGAAAAGAGAGAAGAATAAAATAGATGCAATAAAAAATGATAAAGGGGATATCACCACCAATCCCACAGAAATACAAACTACCATCAGAGAATACTATAAACACCTCTATGCAAATAAACTAGAAAATCTAGAAGAAATTGATAAATTCCTCGACATATACACCCTCCCAAGACTAAACCAGGAAGAAGTTGAATCCCTGAATAGACAAATAACAGGCTCTGAAATTAAGGCAATAATTAATAGCCTACCAACCAAAAAAAGTCCAGGACCAGACAGATTCACTGCCGAATTCTACCAGAGGTACAAGGAGAAGCTGGTACCAGTCCTTCTGAAACAATTCCAATCACTAGAAAAAGAGGGAATCCTCCCTAACTCATTTTATGAGGCCAGCATCATCCTGATACCAAAGCCTGGCAGAGACACAACAAAAAAAAGAGAATTTTAGACCAATATCCCTGATGAACATCGATGCAAAAATCCTCAATAAAATACTGGCAAACCAAATCCAGCAGCACATCAAAAAGCTTATCCACCATGATGAAGTCGGCTTTATCCCTGGGATGCAAGGCTGGTTCAACATATGAAAATCAATAAATGTAATCCAGCATATAAACAGAACCAAAGACAAAACCCACATGATTATCTCAAGAGATGCAGAAAAGTCCTTCCATAAAATTCAACAGCCCTTCATGCTAAAAACTTTCAATAAATTAGGTATTGATGGGACGTACCTCAAAATAATAAGAGCTATCTATGACAAACCCACAGCCAATATCATACTGAATGGGCAAAAACTGGAAGCATTTCCTTTGAAAACTGGCACAAGACAGGGATGCCCTCTCTCACCACTCCTATTCAACATAGTGTTGGAAGTTCTGGCCAGGGCAATCAGGCAGGAGAAAGAAATAAAGGGTATTCAATTAGAAAAAGAGGAAGTAAAATTGTCCCTTTTTGCAGATGACATGATTGTATATTTAGAAAACCCCATCGTCTCAGCACAAAATCTCCTTAAGCTGATAAGCAACTTCAGCAAAGTCTCAGGATACAAAATCAATGTGCACAAATCACAAGCATTCTTCTACACCCATAACAGACAAACAGAGAGCCAAATTATGAGTGAACTCCCATTCACAATTGCTTCAAAGAGAATAAAATACCTAGGAATCCAACTTACAAGGGATGTGAAGGACCTCTTCAAGGAGAACTACAAACCACTGCTCAATGAAATAAAAGAGGACACAAACAAATGGAAGAACATTCCACACTCATGGATAGGAAGAATCCACATTGTGAAAATGGCCATACTGCCCAAGGTAATTTATAGATACAATGCCATCCCCATCAAGCTACCAATGACTTTCTACACAGAATTGGAAAAAACTACTTTAAAGTTCATATGCAACCAAAAAAAGAGCCCACATTGCCAAGACAATCCTAAGCCAAAATAATGAAGCTGGAGGCATCATGCTACCTGACTTCAAACTATACTACAAGGCTACAGTAATCAAAACAGTGTGGTACTGGTACCAAAACAGAGACATAGACCAATGGAAAAGAACAGAGCCCTCAGAAAGAATACCACACATCTACAACCATCTGACAAACCTGACAAAAACAAGAAATGGGGAAAAGATTCCCTATTTAATAAATGGTGCTGGGAAAACTGGCTAGCCATATGTAGAAAGCTGAAATTGGATCCCTTCCTTACACCTTATACAAAAATTAATTCAAGATGGATTAAAGACTTAAATGTTAGACCTAAAACCATAAAAACCCTAGAAGAAAACCTAGGCAATACCATTCAGGACATAGGCATGGGCAACGACTTCATGTCTAAAACACCAAAAGCAATGGCAACAAAAGCCAAAATTGACAAATGAGATCTAATTAAACTAAAGAGCTTCTGCACAGCAAAAGAAACTACCGTCAGAGTGAACAGACAACCTAGAGAATGGGAGAAAATTTTTGCAACCTACTCATCTGACAAAGGGCTAATATCCAGAATCTACAAAGAACGCCAACAAATTTACAAGAAAAAAACAAACAACCCCATCAAAAAGTGGGCGAAGGATATGAACAGACACTTCTCAAAAGAAGACATTTATGCAGCCAAAAGACACATGAAAAAATGCTCATCATCACTGGCCATCAGAGAAATGCAAATCAAAACCACAATGAGACACCATCTCACACCAGTTAGAATGGCAATCATTAAAAAGTCAGGAAACAACAGGTGCTGGAGAGGATGTGGAGAAATAGGAACACTTTTACACTGTTGGTGGGACTGTAAACTAGTTCAACCATTGTGGAAGACAATGTGGCGATTCCTCAAGGATCTAGAACTAGAAATACCATTTGACCCAGCCATCCCATTACTGGGTATATACCCAAAGGATTATAAATCATGCTGCTATAAAGACACATGCACACGTATGTTTATTGTGGCACTATTCACAATAGCAAAGACTTGGAACCAACCCAAGTGCCCATCAATGATAGAATGGATTAAGAAAATGTGGCACATATACACCATGGAATACTATGCAGCCATAAAAACGGATGAGTTCATGTCCTTTGTAGAGACATGGATGAAGCTGGAAACCATCATTCTCAGCAACTATCTCAAGGACAAAAAATCAAACACCACATGTTCTCACTCATAGGTGGGAATTGAACAGTGAGAACACTTGGACACAGGAAGGGGAACATCACACACCGGGGCCTGTCGTGAGGTGGGGGGAGTGGGGAGGGATAGCATTAGGAGATACACCTAATGTAAATTATGATTTAATGGGTGCAGCACACCAGCATGGCACATGTATACATATGTAACAAACCTGCATGTTGTGCACATGTACCCTAGAATATAAAGTAGAATAAAATAAAAAGAAAAAACTATGTGTTTTGAACCTATTACATATCACTAGGAAAATGAAGAGTATACAAATTTATATATGTCAAAGTTCTTGTTCCCAGTTATGACCTAGAAAGAGAGATGAGACCTAAATTTGTATAACTATGATTGATATAATACTATTTCCAAATTAGAAATATGACAAGTTATCTTGCTAATTGAACATTTAGTAAAAGACTGATGGAATTTTAAATTCATTCTAATACTCTTTAAATCTTGGAGCCAAAAATTATTATTAACATCTTTATTTTGTCTCTGAAATGTATCCTTTTTGAACTCTGAGCTGATTTCTTTGTACCTTAAATATTCTGTCTTATAGCCACCAGGGAAAGGAAAAAAATTGCTACCTGCAAAGAATGGGGGCCAATAAAAGGAAATGCAAGTGGCCTAGTTGAGCTGGAGCTTTTGTAGGGGAATGTCAGGCAATGATGTTTGAATCATGGTAGGCTTTGACAATCTAGCAGGAGAGTTTGGTCTTTATTCAGTAGTGGCAATGGAAAAGGCTAACGATTTTGAGCAAAAGAATGAGATGATAAAAATGGGACTTGGATGGGATCCATCTGAAAATGATGTGGAATAACTACTATTTTCTCACCTTGCTCCATGAGCTTATGAGGGCAAGATTTCTGTCTCTCTTGTTCATCATATTCCTAGCACCTAGCACAGTTCCTGGAACAGAATAAGCACCTAAAATAGCTGAATGAATGGGTGAATGAATAAACAAATGAATAAATGAGTGAATGCAAAGCAAATAGTAATTACTATTCACGTGCTGGAAAGCTCCTTCATTGCCTAAAATAGTGCTGGGCTTAATGAATGCTTGGGAGAATGATTCAGTGATAACTCATCTATAATAGGCTGCTTTTAAAATTATGACAACAAACCATGCAGGCCAGGTATAGGATAGATAGGCAGATCTAATCTAAATATTTGCAATAGAATCAAGTCTACCATTGCTTGTACCACCAGCATCTCTATGAACAGTCATCTGACTCATGGGATGGGCATTAAGACCGGATTAGTTGTGGTTTGTATAATTTCTTGAAACTGGCATGCACCAGTTCTGACCAACTACCTGAGCTTACATAGATTCAACAAAATACAATCCTCTTTAGGAGAAAGTATACCTGTTACAAAGACACCATTGCCCCAGATGGAGAACACTATGCCTTGGAAATGTCACAGTTTGGAGGATTATAGGAAACACGTCCTTTTCTGTGGAACAGAAGTTATCCAGGTCAAGCCCTCTGGGCAGGGGCCTGTACGAGCAGTCGTTTTGCAAACAGGTTAGTGGATTCCACTTTTGTAAGTTTAATTCATGCTTGAACATGGGGAGAGTTGGATTAGGGAAATTTAGTTTAGGATTATGGAGTCTGCCACATTCTGGTAGTAACAACATGCTTTTTTCCAAACAGACACTTATTATTCTAAAGTGTCACTATTTTTAATTAAATGGTTTATTGGTAAAACCCTTCTATGTGATGAAGGGTATGTGTAGGTGAAGTAAAATTTGTCAAAGGTAAAACTATGCTCTTCTTTTTGCTTGTGACCATACGCTGCTTCTATCTCCCTTGACACCTCCTCTGAGTGATTACCAAAAAACAATTTCAGCCACCACGACTATGAGGATTTTTTCCTTTCAAAGAGTTGCTTGCTAGGCTGTATGTCAAATTCAGTAATAAAGAACTCCACCTGGGTGCCCTATAGACCAGTTAAAGCCAACGAATCTGAAACTATTCATCCTCCTGTATTGACTTTCTCTGTTAATATCATCACCATCATGCTGGTCTCTTAATAACATCTCCAACTCCTCTTGTTTCCCATACCAAATGTGGCACCAAATCTGGATGATTCCGCAAACACTTCCTGAGTCCCAGTCTTTTACATGACGTGACACAATGAAGGCCTCCTATGACCTGGTCCTAGCTCTCTGTTCTAACCTCTGACCTCTGTTTCTGCCACCCGACTTATTCACAGATGCAAAATACACTTTACACTGTGATACCTGCATGCTTTAGTTTGGTTTATGATTTAGTTGTTCTAGCTGATTTTTTAAAATTAAAAATATCTAATTTTTTTAAATGTTCAAACTAGTTAGCAGGCACTAGACACTAGAGCATTGCTCAGCCTGTGGCCTACATGGAAGCTCATGGTTAAAAATCATGAAAACCACCTGAAAACTTATAAAATGATTAGGTAGAAGGTTAGAGGACACTCTACTCTTTTCCTCAAAGACAGTAAAGCCATTTTTAGGAGACCAAGTGTCCATCAAGCAGCCTTACTTGATCTATGATTATCTTTATGTAGGTTACAATACAGCCAAAGGGGACTTAGTGAGATCCATCCTGTACCCCCGGCCTCTGAACTTCAAACTATACAGCGATGCCTTCAAGTTCATCGTGTTCCTGGCCTGCCTTGGTGTCATGGGTTTTTTCTATGCCCTAGGGGTATATATGTACCATGGAGTAAGTACTGGGGGTAAGGCTTTTCAATAGTATAGATTCTGCAAAGAGCTTGACCTAACTCAGAGGATTGGTTTAGGTTACATCTTGATCCCATCATTCTGTGAATCATTACTGTCCAAAAGAGCTTCTTAGACAGCGGAAATGTTCTCATGCCTAGTTTGCCCCCAGTGTTTAGGTAATATCTAAAACACTATGCAATCAGTGGGTTTCCCATGTGTTCTGGTTAGGGTCTGAAATGAAGTTAATTTCCACTTTTACAGAGCTGGTACTGCATGAGATACCTACTTCCCTTTAAGCTACAGGGTGTCAGGTTTCATTTGGATGCTCCTTGTCATAGCCTGGTGGCTAGGGAGGGAAGGGTTGTCACTAAAGACCTCTGAGGTCCTTTCTGGTCCTGAGAGTCTGATTTTGCTGTGAACCAGAAAATAAGAAAGTCTGGGATCATAACAGTGTGAGCTGGTGGGGAGGAAGAGAAAATTGTGAATAAAACATCCAAACAGGTGAAAAACTGTGAGTGGCTTAATTACAATGTCCAAATTGGTGGCATCAATGAGCGTGTGTGTGTGTGTGTGTGTGTTTGTGTGTGTGTGTTTGTGTGTGTGTGTGTGTGAGAGAGAGAGAGGTGGGCAGTGAATATTGGTGGGAAAAGACATAGTAACAAGAATTTCAAGGCAATGTTCACGCCAAAACTTAACTGCTGAGTAGTTATTTCAATCTGAAATAGCTCCCAGGGAGCATTTCTGGGTCAAGAGAGGCCCACGATGGGGCCTGTGAAGAGCTAGGCAGAATGTCAAGGTCACTGGGGCTGGAATTTGAGGGAGTATGCCAATTTAATCTGGGGAGCTGGAGCATTGGGCAGAAAAGCAGGAAAAAAGCTCATGGAAGCCCTGGCAGTATTTGAGAATGAGGTTTCCTGGGAAGAACTTAACATCCAATACACACTGAGGCAACAAGACTAATAATCCCAGACCCCAACTTCTTGTGGGTCAGAACCTGTGGCTCTGTTGGCTGCCTCTATCTGCACTGGTTCAGCGCTAGACAAGGCTGAGTCCTTAGGGTCAAAACTCTTCCGTGTCTGTGGTTGGGAAAAGAAGGGAGTAATGAATTTTGTGATAAATTGATATTGGGCAAAAGATGTCCCAGCAGACATTGCTACTGAACTTGAATCCCATGTTTCCAATACTTAAAAAAGTATTTATGGCTAAAATGATGGTTAATTTAACAAAAACATAGGTGAGGTTCTAGAGGGTAGAATCATTAATATCTAGAGCATGTGAGGAAAACAAAACAATCAATCAGTCAACCCTGTGATTTGACCTCATCCCTGACCTTAATTGTGTGAGCCTCCTCTGGAGACCTGCTGTATTAGTCTGTTCTCATGCTGCTAATAAAGACATACCTGAGACTGGGCAATTTATAAAGGAAAGAGGTTTAAGAGACTCACAGTTCCACATGGCTGGGGAGGCCTCACAGTCATGGTTGGAAGGCAAAGCAGAAGCAAAACATGTCTTACATGGTGGCAGGCAAGAGAGTTTGTGCAGGGGAAATCCCATTTATAAACCATCAGATCTCATGAGACTTATTCACAATCATGACAACATTATGGGGGAAACTGCCCCCATGATTCGATTACCTCCCACTGGGTCCCTCTTACTACAGGTGGGAATTAGGGGAGCTACAATTCAAGACGAGATTTGGGTCGGGACACAGCCAAACCGTATCACCTGCCAGGGATCCTGAGTTCACAAAATTGACTTGATAATAAAACATATTGGTCATGGGTTTGTACCCTGCAGTAAGACAGAATAGGGTTCAGATTTCTGTCATTTACCTAGTATGTGGCCTTGGGAAAATTATTTAATTGTTAAAACCTCAGTTTCCTTACCTGTTAAATGGAGAAAATAATAGTATTTACGTCATAAGGTTGTTATAGAGAGCAACTAAATAATATACGTAGCCTAATACAGTTCCTGCTCCAGAGTTAGTATCCAGTGAGAGCAAGCTAATTTTATATTGGCTTCTCTGTAGTTAATAATATATGCTGAGATCTTGGAAGGATGTTGGTCCTAGTTTTTAATTATATTGCCATCCATTCAATCTATGTCCTGAGCACCTCCTCTGTGCTAAATCCCATGCTAGGCTCTGTATCTAGAGATCAATAAGGTAGATTCAAAGATGAATAAGCCATAGCTGCTACACCCAAGGAGTTTGTAGGCTAGTGGGGGAGAGAGATTCATAAGCCAACAGTCAAGCTTGGGCAGAGGGAATGCTAAGTAGAGGGAAACAGAACCAGGAAAGGGGTTGGTGGACTGGGAGTAGGGATCAAAGGTCTCCTTTGCTCTGCAGTAGGAGACAATGTGCTCATTCCTTTGGCACTAGGAAGGGTGGCAGTCTGCTGTGCTGGGCTATCCTGTATGAAAATGTCTGTCCTCTCCCAGGTTCCTCCAAAAGATACTGTGACCATGGCCCTGATCCTCCTCACCGTGACTGTCCCTCCAGTGCTGCCAGCTGCCCTGACCATAGGCAACGTGTATGCTCAGAAGAGACTGAAGAAAAAGAAAATCTTCTGTATCTCCCCACAGAGAATCAACATGTGTGGGCAAATAAACCTCGTGTGCTTTGACAAAGTATGATCCAGACTTCTCAGGTTTAATGTTAATGATTTCAAGGCATGGTGGAGCTGGGAAGAACCTCAGAAAATGTCTAGTCCAGTGTTCCCATTTTACAGATAGGAACGTTGAGGCCAGAGAAGGTCACAGAGTGAGCTAGTGCAAGATCACATTCTAGGAGCCTGCTCTGCTGACTCTTAAGGTTAGCAGCTTAGCCAGCACATCATGAATTTTTTATCTGTGAAACTTAATAATTTGTGTGCCTGGTTTGTGGTTTTTTTAAAACCATCTCTTACTATGTAACTTCTTAGACTGACTGACTTGGCAGAAAATGTGAGGAACATTTCTGTTTCCTGAAATGTTTTGTCCAGAAGATAAGTGAATCTGTTTCCTCTCTCCTCCTCTGCTTCTTTGAAGGAAAGGAAGGAAGGAAACAATGACCCTGTCCTGCCCCTTTGCTCCTCCAGGGCTTGTGACTCCAGGCTAGGTTGTCTCTGTGCTTAGGGACCTGGAAAGGTGGCAGAGGAGGAGCATATGCCACATGGGGAACACTGCGTTTACCAAGCAGGTCCTGACACCCCCCCATGACGTGAGTCTCCTATGGGGAACCTGGAGGACTTCAGCATTAGCTGCCTGCTATTTGGATCCTGCCCTCAGCTTGGACAGGCCAGTTTAACTGCTGTAAAGCAGTGGGCCTGGCTGGGTCCCTTTTGTCTTCAATTCATGTGCATTTGAATAATTTATTAGGGCCTTTGCCATTTTGTGGCAGAGAGCCACTGCTGTGTACAATGCTGGTAGAGAGTCCCATAATGAGTCATTCCTAGCCCTTGAGAAGCTTCTAGTCTAGCTGAGAAAGCAGGAAAATGGGAGTGTAGATGGCGATCATGCTGTGAGATGTGTGTTTAATAGAGGCCTGAGGAAAGCGCGGGGCACAGTTACCTGCCACGGTTGGAGGCCACCTTTGAGGTGCAGCCTTGGTTGTTAGAAAGAATAAGCCCCAGGCTCAGAGCTGAGCAGCTGACAAGCACAGGGGTACAAGGGGCCCACTGCATGTGGGGAACAGAGGACCATGGGGTGTGGCTAGAATATGGGCTGGTAGGTAGAGAATGAAGCTGGGTTGAGGGCAATTGTTAAGGGCCTCATATGCCACGCTAAGGAGTGGGTCCTTGTCTTGAAGCAGAATAGGAGCCTTTACTTTTTAAGAAGACTGGTGACATTTCTTTAGGTGTTTTCTATCCCACCAGGGGCAACTGGGGAGATGGGATGGAAGGGAGACAAGACTGAAGAAAGAGGCCATCTGGGGACAACAGAAGAGATCATTGCTTGTCCCAGACAAAAAGGACAAGGATGGAGAGTAGAAGGCAAATGGGAGTGACTCCAATGAGTAGACTCGACCAGGCTTGGTCCCCAGGTGAAAGGGGTATATCTCTTAGGTTATGTCAGTTCTCTTTCTGTTTGTATTTTGTTTGGCAAAGAAAGTTCTCGATCACCACCAGTCAAGAACCGACAAGGTTAACTTCATTTTAGATTCAGGGCCAAATAACACCCCCTTGGAAGTTCTCTAACAGGGATTCCTGTTACTTCCTCATGAGCCTCACTGGTGTCTGGAATATAAGAGGGAGACTTATGAAATATGTTCATTACATATTCAACTGTTTCTAAAATTAATTTTCCCGAGGCTGTTCACTTTATTTCCTGTATAAAACCTCTCCCTCCACATCCTCATGTCCTCACCTGCCAGGCTGTCTGTGAGGCTGCTTTTAGGTGTCCTTGGTCAAACTCTGCAGGGCATGATGACACGTGACAGTGCAAAAAACTCTTGATTGAAATTTGGCAAAATGAGAAATCTGACCCAGAATTTGGTACTAAGTCTTTGTGTGACCTTTTTTTTTTTTTCTTTTGAGATGGAGTCTCGCTCTGTCACCAGGCTGGAGTGCAGTGGTGCAATCTCAGCTCACTACAGCCTCCGCATCCTGGGTTCAAGTGATTCTCCTCAGCCTCCCGAGTAGCTGGGATTACAGGCGTGCACCACCATGCCCAGCTAATTTTTGTATTTTTAGTAGAGACGGGGTTTCAACATGTTAGCCAGGATGGTCTTGATCGCTTGACCTCGTGATCCACCCTCCTCGGCCTCCCAAAGTGCTGGGATTACAGGCGTGAGCCACCGTGCCCGGCCCATCTCTGTGTGACTTTTTAAGAAAAGCAGATTCAACCACAATCGTCTCTGAGTTTCTTTCCAGCTTTCACATTATAAAATTCTATCACCATCATGTTGGAATAAAGCACTCTGCCATTAATTGAATTTTCATCTAGTGTTATTTCCAGTTTCGGAGATATCTGTCACTGGGTTTCTGAGTCCATTTGTTCTCATATCTATTTCTATTTTCTATTGGTTTGTTATAACTTCTGTAAGACAAGTTCTTTCTTTTTATTCAATTCAGCCCAAGCCTGGGCTTGAATTTATGCTAAGAGGTTTTCTCTTTCTATCTTATTCCCCTTAGAACCTCAACTATAATTTAGTTTTCTCTATTTATGGTTAGTTTTATTGTTAAGGGGTCATTTTCATAGAGAGATAACATAATCTAATTTCTGTTTTGCTGCAGTATCATCTCTGTTTTCATGTTCAAAATATTGATGTTTAAAAACATCATCAGGAAAACATATCAGTTTGAATTAAGTTGCAAACTCTTTTTGAAATGCAACAACTTGAGGGGATTTGGAAACCGAACATGGTGGAGTCCTTTATAAAATGCAGGAGAGAAATGAAACAAATAGCTCTTTTTCAAAAAGTTGTTGTTTAAGAAATAATTCACTCGTGTGTTAGCACCTTCTTTGTGAAGTTCAAATAAATGAATGAAACAAAGTTTTCTTAATTATTTAATCTAGAAACCCAGAAAGAGCTTTGTCTTTCCACATACCCCGTATGATTCACTTAACATTTGCTAGTTTGGAGGAAGACTCCAGAAGGGCTGGATTTTGGTTCTGCCTCTCCAACCTACAGGCCACTATGACATTAGGCTCCTCATTTCACCTCTAACCTGCCTCCACCCTGTTAACTCAGTTGTGAAATGGAAAGCATTGTAAACACTTTCCTGTAAAGCATTATGCTAATGGATGTGCTATAATGACGGAGGTTGCCATTTTATAGAAAACTAGAAAATTCAGTGACTTCTATAGAGATAGGCTTGAAAAGTAGTGTCAGAGACTTGGATCTTAGTGTTGAAACAGGGTATTCTGCCATGCTTGGTAAAGCTCTGGTGGGCCCTGGCAGTGCTGAAGCAGCTAGCTGTAGCCAACTCACTTACTCAGGGTGTTAAGCAGGCCTAAAACTGTTAGCCTACTGCATCAAGACACCAGAGTATGTAATTCATCAACACCTGTGAAACAATGAGGAAATTAAAAGTGCTGTGATAGTACTCGGCTCCATTTTTCTTTCTCTGTTTCATTATCTAACAAATACTCTCCCATAGTATGGCGAATCAAATCTCTGAACTATTTTTCCCTTGATCTAAAAATAAAATCCACTTATGGGCATTAATTAATATTTATTATTAGCATTTACTTTCTCTCTATAGTCTCAAAGCCCTTTATCAACATTTCATTATCAATCTGGACAGTCACTGTGTCACCCATATTTTTAGAAAATTACTGTGAACCAGATGGCAAACTGTGAACTGAACAGTCTCGAAAATGAACAAAAAAAAATGAGCTCTGCTTCAGCGAGATAGCAGGTGACAACTAAAAGTCAGACTCGAGCTGATTCTTGTACTGAACCTCTCCTGGTTAACAACAGCAACGGTCATAGCAATACACAAACCAAACCAAAACAAAACACTTTCATTTTTTCCTCATCATTAGTAACTGAAATCACCTAATTATCGACATGGTCTTTTGGGGATCATGTATCACCTGCTTAATTTTTCTTGTGGGTACTCCTCTCTGATTTAAAATTTGGTACTTATAAACAAGGTATTTAGACTACTGGATCTACTATAATATCTTAGAAACTTGGGTTTTGTTTAAATTACTATATAATTAAAAGCTTTAAATCTTATGCTAATATTGCTTTTAATTTTTACTCAGACTGGCACTCTCACTGAAGATGGGCTGGACCTCTGGGGGACTGTCCCTACTGCTGACAACTGGTAGGCCTCTTATGTGAAAATGGAAGGTGTGTTTGGTGGAGTTACCTGGATGATACTCAAATCCATCTTTTGGGTGTTAAGGGATGAATGTCACATAAAATATATACAATAGTTGGCTGGAACTAGTTCCTAATTATTCTAACTTGCTTAAATGAATTCTAATTTCAGAATGAGAAAGGAAAAGTAGGTCTTCAAAATCTCCATGAAAAATGGAGTAGGATGAGGTGGATAATTAAGGAACTAAATGAATAAAACAGAGAAAAAAGAGTGAAATGAAGACCATGCTTAATTAAAAACTACAAAACTTCCTGGGTGGCTAGCGCAGGCAGGTGGTGTTTCACAGTCTAGCGGGATAAAAAGGTGCAAATACACCCACCTTTGATGTACAACACAGGCCATGAAAATTGTTACTATTAAGGCAGAAATGTCAGAATGGAGAAGAAGAAATGGAGATTATTTGATATAACACAAAGTCCTGACTTTTATATAATTACATGGTGGGTAAAGACAAATTAATTTTGAAATTTAGTGAATCAAAGAAAGCCACCTGAAGGAGATGGCACTTCAGATAGGTTTTGAGGGACGTGCGGCTAGAATTTTTACAGCTGTGGGCTAAAAGCTGGCACTAGGGAGAGGAGAGGACAATCACATAGATGTCTACTCCAGAAAGAGCTACAGAAGGGAAAGAGGGCCCCTGGAGGGTGAATCTCCTCATGGTATCTCCCTGTGGCTTCTAGCTCCTTCCCTATGGGCTAAGACTTGCCTTCTCAATTTGAGCGGCGATGGCCTCTGCTCTTAAGCTCTAAGTACCCTATTTTGGTGCCAACAGTGGCTGAGGCTGCTGTCAGTGACAGAAGACACTTTGCAGGGGACTCCCAAGATGACGAAGGGGCCAGGTAAAGCATGGCACAAGGTAACAGCAGACAAGCAGTGTGATGTTGCAGAAGATACCCTGGACTGGGTGACAAGGAACACCTGAGCTTTAACCCTACTGATGTGTCTCTGCTCCTGGTGCTCAGATGTCCCGGCCAGCCCTTTGCCCAGACAGGCAAGGAATCTATTGGCCAGAGCAGTGAAAGGGAAAAAAGATGTCCACAGTTTCCACCCCTCCATCTTCCTCCCTTGTCTCTGGTACTCTGAAGGTTTTCGGAGACTAGAAACAACTAGACACAATCACTATTCAGCTGTAAGGTGGGAAGAGAGGAAGATACAAGATACCAGTTTGTATTATCAAAGAGAAAAACAGGCTTTAGAGGTGGGATGTCCAGGGTGCTTCAAGAAGTAGGGGCAAACTCTAAAGGGCTGAGACGTGAAAAATGCTTCTGCATCCATGCAGCCTTCTTTCCTATCCCTAATTTCCTGCTCCCTAAGTAGCCCTAGAGACTTCTTGCCTAGGCTGTGTGGCTTTCTGCAGACAGCTCTACAGAGTTTGCAGGTATGACTCCCAGCTGCCTGTTCAGTGCCTTCCCACAATGCTGCCATTATGTGGGCTGGCTTCAAGTAATATGAAAAAAGTCCCTGCAATTCTATCCAAAGCCTCTGAAACTATGTTATTGATTGGCCAGTGGAAAATTCTGTTGAGAACAAAATTCATATCCAACTCAAAGAAATGTTTATATAAAGATAACTCTGTAGGCAAAACACCCTGTTTAAAAAATAAAGAAACCAAGTGGGCAGGGGCTTAAGAGCAGAGAAGTCTCTGGACAAGCATAGCAATAGCAAGAAGTTTAATGTGGATCTAGAGTACAGGGCATAGAGGACATTAGTAGGAGTGGACACTGTAAGGTAAGGTAGATCCGAAGTGGACAAGACTTTGAATACCAGGCTAAGGGGTTTGGACTTTATCATTTGGAGCATAGGGAGCCATGGGAAGGTTCTGAGCATGAACGTTAGGTGTTTGGAGCTCCACTTTAGTAAGATTTAAGGGACAGAATGTGCAAAATGATTTTATCAAAGACTTTAACATTACCTTCTCTACCAGCTTCCAGGAAGCCCACAGCTTTGCCTCAGGCCAGGCTGTGCCATGGAGCCCACTGTGTGCGGCCATGGCCAGCTGCCACTCTCTGATCCTTCTCAATGGGACCATCCAGGGAGACCCTCTGGACCTCAAAATGTTTGAGGGCACTGCCTGGGTAAGGTGATAGTTTAATGGAAAGATGAGAATCTGAGGAAATCTTTACTGGGAGTGCTGAAGCTTTTCTAATTTTTGTTAAAACACAGAGAAGGTTCATAATAATGTATGTATAAGCGTGTAACACTACCAGAACTTCCCAACCTGTGCCCCCAAAGAATTCTGTTAATGGTTGCTGCATGAAATAGGCGTCCATTATTGAACAAACTTGGGAACTGTTGTTTAAACAAAGTTAAACTCATTTCTTGACTGCCTGATTTCTTTAATATACTGTGGTGTTTTGTGAATATTCAAGAGGGAATATGACATGCAGCATTTACCGAACCTATCTGACCTCAAAAACCTTACTGACACCCATAACCCAGCATGTTCTCCAAAACATCAGTGTTTTCCAAAACACTATCAGAGAAACAGTAGTCAAAAGCAGTGTTCTCTGGTAGAGCAGCCACGAGCCATATGTGGCTACTCAGTCCTTGAAATGTGGCTCTGCAACTGAGAAACTGAATTTTTAATCTGATTTAATTTTAAATAGTTTAAATTTAAATAGCTACAAGTGGCTGGTGGCGACTGTGTATTGTAAAGCATAAGTCTAGACACCAAACTGGAGGACTGCATTCCAACTGGTTCAATCTCCTGAGCTGAGTGTGAATGAAAACGGAAGGGTATAAACCCACCCTGAAGGCTGCCATAGTGGAAAACCCTCTGCATTTCACCACTCTCCAGCTGTGTGATCACAAAGCCAGAGCCAGGACTGAGTCTGTGACCTCATCTGTACGTTTGGGGTAATAATGCCTCATTCACGGACTTATGACCACTGAGACTATGAATCTAAAGGGGCTTTGAGCACAATGAAGAGCCAAACAAGTAGAGGGTGTTCACTAATTAACTGGTTAGTTAATTACACCCTGTTGCCTCCGAAGAACATCCTAAAGCTGTGTCCAATGATGTATAAAATACAGTACAGCAGTTAAACATAGCTGCAAAAGAATGGGAACAAATGATTGCAGGGAAACAAAGCACACCTAACAAAGAAGCTAATACAAAGACATATAATAGGGAAATTTTAGCTTTCTAGAGGGCAAATCAATGAAAGAGGAAACCTGGTAAAAAGGGAAACTTCTGATACCAGCAAGTTAAAATAGAGCATTTGCTGTGGAAAAACATTTGACATAGTGACCAATTCTCTGGATCTCAATGGAGAGGAATCGGTGTATTTACTATAAGCAGTGTCCTTAACAGAATCATTGGGATAAACACGGTGATGAGTTGTGCAGGGTCATTTTATATCTGGCTTTGGTCCTGGCCCTAACTACATCCCCCTCTCCATTATAGGAGGGCTGATCTGTCTTTACAAATAACATACTTGGTTGGGAATATAAATCTTTAGTATTAGCTCTGTAAGAACCATCTGTTAAGAATAGTTGTATCCATCCCAAACAAAGCATAAAAATGCATGATTTTTCACTGAGTTTAGAGCTGTGTCAGAAGCTGTCTTGAGTATCTTTTGGTAACTGGGAACCTTCCACTCCACATACAGAGGAGGGAAACTGTCCTTTTAGACTGTCAAGAATTTTAGCATTTGATGGGATGTCAGAATATTTTTCAGAAGAAATTGAGATCTACAGAAATAAAGTGGTGTCCCCAAGATTAAACAGGTAAGTGGCAGAGTGGAAACCAGATACTATCTCCTGTTTTCTGACCTCTACTATTTATATATATGACTGTCTTTCCCATATTTTAATATTGGTTAATATTGGCTTCTCAGAGGTATTAACTTCTGTTGTAATATCCAAAGAATACACGTCATTTTCAAACAGGCTTTCTAATTTGCTAGCAGCTGACATACCAACTCCCTAGTTAACTCAATTAGGCTAGTAGCATAGGTATAGTATGAAGAACTAGTGCCATGTTTATCTCAGGACCCAGTCCTAACTCATCTGAGAGCTATGGTGCTCGGCAATGTTGGAGACTACATCTCCACTTAATCCCTCCTCCAATTACTAGATGTAATCATTTAGAAAGATCCATGGACCTGTAGCTAGCACTTCTTCCATCAATTACTTCTTAAAATGAATTCACAATATTTTTGGCTTTTGACATTCTACAATAAGGCCCCTAATATAAATCGATACAACAGAAATTTGACAATGACAGTATTAAGATAATTGGCCTGGAAGAGAAAATATGTAAAAATGGCTTTGAAAAGATTAAAGTATTGTGCAAATAAGAGATATTTCTTTCTTAATATTTTTATTCAAAGAATCTTATGAATGTTTTCATTTTATAACAGAAAATGGAAGATTGCATTGTAGACTCCTGCAAATTTGGGACGTCAGTTTCAAACATCATAAAACCAGGACCAAAAGCCAGTAAGGTATGATTTCCTTCTTTACATCACATAGCTCTTTCCCCATAAAACTGGTAAAACATTTCTGACTTGCACATATTTTTATAGTCCTATTATTTTGCCTTATCATAACAGTTTCCACGGTTGGTTTGCTGTTTCTTTCATTTCCGAATTTGTCTATTAATTTATTCAACAAACACTACCTGTGTACGCTAGGGCATTGTGCTAGGTGCTAGCAGATAAAGAGGCTTCAAAACAAGACACACTTGGCTCTGGGTTGGAGGAACAGGTAGACTCATAGAAAAATCAATATAGGTGCAGATAAGTGCAACACAATGTGCCAAATGCTATAATCAAGGCTGAAGAAAGAGTTTCAAGAGTCCTGACATGGGAATGAATACTGTTTCTGGGAGATAAAAGCACTGCAGAGGAGATGACCTGTGAGCTTGGCCTGGAAGGTGATTAGGATTTCTCCAGGGGAAGGTCCTTGCAGTCCAGACAACTTGTTGAGGGAGTCACTTTAAGGCAGCCACACACACACACACAAAATCAATGTTGTGACAAATATACTACATCAAGATGTCTCTGGGCTCATTGCACAGTAAAGCCCTTTTGTTGGTATGCATTTGGAAATATCACTTAGCAGCTTGTTAAGCTCCCTGTTGTTGATGGGCTTGCAGAGTCCAGTGGAAGCCATCATCACCTTGTGCCAGTTTCCATTTTCCTCGAGCCTGCAGAGGATGTCCGTGATCGCTCAGCTAGCTGGGGAGAATCATTTCCATGTCTACATGAAAGGTGCCCCAGAAATGGTGGCCAGGTTCTGCAGATCTGAAACAGGTACTAACACTTTTCTCTTTCAAGAAGTAAAATACTTTTGTTTTTTCTTTGAGACAGAATCTTGCTCTGTCCCCAAGGCTGGAGTGCAGTGGCACGATCTCAGCTCACTGTAGCCTCCACCTCCCAAGTTCAAGTGATTCTCCTGCCTCAGCCTCCCAAGTAGCTGGGATTACAGGAGCATGCCACCACACCCGGCTAATTTTAGTATTTTTAGTAGAGACGGGGTTTCACCATGTAGGCCAGGCTGGTCTCAACCTCCTGGCCTCAAGTGATCCGCCTGCCTCAGCCTCCAAAAGTGCTGGGATTATAGGTGTGAGCCACCGCGGCCAGCCGAGACCAAATACATAAAGCCAACAAACACAGAAAGCTTCACAATCAATGAACGTGGAGCTGCTTGTTTCCTGGGTAGGTGCAAAGTAGGCCCAGTAGATCCTAAGAAGCAGGGGTGATAATTTCAAGGCTGGGAGGCAGCGACTAAATATCTGGCTGTGGGTGCAGTAAGAAAAGTACAACCACAGTGAGGCATCTGGGAAGGAGACGAGATGTGAAGCTTGCATCAGGAGCCAGAATAGGGAGCTACTGAGGGTCAGAGAACTAGGGGAGGTGTGAATGAGGGAAATGGAGAGGTCTGGACGCTAGGTAAGTTCTGCAGACATGACTGCTCTGTCACCTCCAGGGAGAATCAGATCGATGGGAGGAGAATATAGAAGAATATAGAACAGAAATAAAAGTGATCAGAGTAAATTCAATGGTATTAGAGCAAGATAATTCATAATTTTCACAGCAATTTCATCTTTCTGGGCCAGACTTTGAGCTGATTTGTATTGCTTTTTAGTCTTATAAACATATGCACTCTTTAAGCGGCAGCCAGATGTATAAGAATGTTGTTGCATTCAAATGAGTTCATTTGGATAAAATTGGTCTTTTTGTCTTCCGATTTTCATGTAGACTCTCCTTATGATTGCTGATGGCCATCAACTTGTGCAGAGAATTCTAGATTTGGCAAATAATTCCTTTAACTTCTCTATTGGGAGTCTTTTTTTAGCCCCTTTTCTTCTGTCTTTGATCTTCAGCATAGGTCACATTAACTCTGTCCTTCACTGATTACAACATATACTGTGTTTGTTTTGTTTCAGTTACACGGGTACAGCTGAGCATCTTCTTGACATTTAAACTGGTATCTATTGTCCCTGCTCTCTCAGTAAGGATTTGGGCCTGTCACTTGGCACTTGTTTTCCTGGCAGCTCTTTCAGTTCTTCCTGTTTTCCCAACTTCCAATCTTTGACTTACGCTAATACTATCTTCAGTGATTTCCACCACCACCGTACCCCATTTTTAGAAATAGAGAGCTAAGAACTTTCTTGAAATTAGATTCCCACCTCCAGGAATATTTTAGAATTACAGAAAGTCTGAAATGAATGGAGACAGAGAGATCTGGAATTCTCATTTTATGGATGAGAAACTAAGGTGCAGAAGGGAGACTGAACATGACTAAGGTCCACATGGAAGTGGAAGGGAGAATAGAACTTAGTTGATTTGCCACCTAAGCTACTATACCTCCCATTGTTCTGTGGTTCCCTCTAATACCCTTATAGGTACGTTATAAATCATAAAGATTTTATAAACATAGTTGTGATTGCCATGCTAAAACACACAAATGTTGGCATTGTGTCATCTTTCACCTAAAGCAGGATTTGGCAAACTTTTCTGTAAAGATCAAGATAGTTCTTACTTTAGGCTTTGCCAATCACATGGCGTCCATTTCAATTCCTCAACACTGTCACTGAAGCCTTAAAGCAGCCATAGACAATGAACAATCAAATGGGCATGGCTGTGTTTCAGTGAAATTTCATTTATAAAAACAAGCTATAGACCAGATTTAGCCTGTGCATCCTAGTTTTGTTTTTTTGACCCCTGATCTAGAAAATCAGCTGTTTCTCTCATTTTATCCAAGTACCCCAGTCCTGAGGTCTGTTCTTACTGAACCCAGTTGGTACATTTGACACCCAGTTTGTCTGAGTCAGCTTGTGCTATTATAACAAAAGACCATAGACTGCGTGCTTGAACAACAGAAATTTATTCCTCACAGTTCTGGGGGCTGGAAAGGCCAGGATAGAGGTGTTGCCCAACGTGGTTCCCGGAGAGGGCTTTCTTTCTGGTTTGCAGATGGTTGCCTTCTTCCTGTATCCTCACATGGTGGAGAGAGATGTGTTTTCTTAGGGCATCAATCTCATTCACGAGGGCTCCACCCTCATAACCTAATTACCTCCTGAAGGCCCCACCTCCAAATACTATTGCATTAGAGATTAGGCTTCAACATATGAATTTTGGAGGGACACATTCCATCCATAACGCAGTAAATGACCAGCACGGCTTTGACATTTTTTCCATCAAAATAATAAGAACACACTGATGAAGTTGTTTGTGGCCTTTAGGAGAAGCTCTAAGTTTTCTATTAAAGTGCTTTTATGGAATGAAAGTTAAGACAAGGTACAATGGCTGTGTCCTGGAGTCTTGCTTAGACCAGCCTTCAACATGACCTTACACTTACCTGTTTCTTCTACCCTGGCAGTGCCCAAGAATTTCCCACAGGAACTGAGGAGTTACACGGTGCAAGGCTTCCGTGTCATTGCTCTTGCCCACAAAACCTTAAAGATGGGGAATCTTTCAGAAGTCGAGCACTTAGCCAGGTAAGCAATTCAGAAATTGGCACTAGAGCAGGCTCTGTGCCCATGAAGTGCGAGTCCTGGAGATGAACAGATGAACAGTTCTAATCACCTGGAAGGCTCTCAGAGACAGAGAATTAATCTTGTACAGTCCCCTGACTCAGAGATGGATAATTGTAGGTGATACTGGAGATGACTTGCTCAAGTCACAATGCTGGTTGGTGGCAGAACAAGGATGGTACTTGAGAGCTTCTGACTCCAAGATACCAGTGTGTTATCTCTGCTTGGCACTATGTTATGTCAACTTTAGTCGCAGCTCTCATCCCATCAAAACAACCAACGCTCCTTCAACCTCAGAGCATTATGTGACCAATCAACTTGGGTGGCCCATACACAGAGAGGTTGAGAGAGGGAGACAGTTGGCACTTTGAAAGATTTTGAGAATACTTTAGACGTGGTTTTTTCAGTGCTCAATACTACAACATCTCCTTCGTATCTGTGAAGGTAACAAGGGCAAATTGAATTACTTATGAGAAATAAAATTCAGTATTCTTAATTACATTACAGGGATAAGTTGTCCTCATTAGAGGATAATTTATAAATTATTATTTCTTTCAACGTTCTTCAGTTTTTAAAGGCTATTTTCAAATTATCTATGACAAAGGAGTAAAAAAATACTGTGGAAAACTGAATAGCAGAAAATCTATTTATTTCTTACATTGGATTTGTGTTGCTGATAAATGCTAATTTATATACAGCTAGCTCCTTCATGTAAAATAGTGATATCCTTGGTTTAACATTATTATTTGCAACCTAAGTCCATTGACTCTAAGTTAATTAGTAAACACAGTCCCTTCCTTACTCTGTGCTTGTTTCACCATCTATAAAATATGCAATTGGATGATCTCCAAGAAGGCCTTCAGCCATGACATTTTAATACTTGAAACAGGATCACAAAGCTTATTTTGAAATATATGAATGTCATTCTCAGATTTAACATTCCAGGTGTTAGCTATTCTTGAGCAAACATAAAGGTCCAGACCACATAGGATTTGTAATTTTCTAAACACAAATTTGAATAATCAACGTTAAGGACATGTGTGAAGAAAAGATCTATGTAGCTAGTGATGGAGTGTAGCCATCATCCAGCTGTCACATACAAACGCAGCTGTGTTGTTCTCATGTAAGAGCCACTAGTGGGATAGACATTATAAATATAACAAAATAAGAAAATGAAGATAAAATGTGCTATATTTCCAACCATTCCAGGTTTTTTTGGGGAATATCAGGAACTTATTATACTTCTTAGAATTTAGTTACTATTTTCAAACAGGGTAAAAGGATAGGGTTTTGGTTTTTCTTAGAATCAAATTCTATTTAGCAAAGTTTTCCAACTAGAAAAATTTAAAACTTCTTAAAAATTGGAGTCATAATGGGGAAGTAGAAAAGTTTTTTGAGATGACGTAAAAAGTCACCCCAAACTAAAACAGCAGGATAAATACTCCATCAAGGCTCACCCCTTCACCAGTTTAGCAAATCTGTATTGAACTTAACTGTATGTCAGACGCTCAAGGAATTGAGAACTTATTTGGAAGTGAATAAAATAAAATCCTTGTCCTCATGAATATATCCTAGTTGGGGAAATAGATTAGAAAATAAACCCATAAAATATTATCCCACTAGTGGTTCTTAAATGACCTGAGGGGGAAAATATAAAGTAAGTTAAGAGGACTTTTTAAAAAAGACAGAGAATGTCATTTTGCCTAGGCAATCAGCAAAGTCCTCAGAGGAGCAACATTTTAACAGACATTTAATAAAATAAGAGAGAAAGACACGCAGATATCCAGAGGAAGAGCATTGCAGGGAATAGAAATGGTGGGTACAAAAGCTTTGACACAAGCACTGCTGGGAGTGTTGTAGGGTAACAAGCAGCCAAGTGCCTAAAGTAGTGAACGAGAAGAAGCATCATAAAATAGAAACAAAGAACATTTGCCTGTTTTTGCTTTTGTTGCCTGTGCTTTATGTGTCATAGCCATGAAATCATTGCCAAGACCAATATCAAGAAGATTTCTCCCTATGTTTTCCTCTAGTAGTTTCACGGTTTCAGGTCTTATGTTTAAGTGTTTAATCCATTTTGAGTTGATTTTTACGTATGGTATAAGATAAGGGTCCAATTTCATTCTTTTGCTGGTGGATATTAAACTGAAAAGTTTTGCACAGCAAAGGAAATAACAGAGTGAAATAGCAACCTATAAAATGGCAGAAAATCTCTGCAAACCATATATCTGATAAGACATTAACATCCAAAATGTACAGAGGACACAATTCAATAGGAAAAATCAATAAATAATCCAATTTAAAAATGAACAAAGGCCCTGAATAGACATTTCTCCAAAGACGTACAAATGACCAACAGATATATGAAAAAGTGCTCAACTTTACTAGTCATTAGGGAAATGCAAATCAAAACCACAATGAAATACCACCTCATACCTGTAAGGATGGCTATTTGAAACAAAAACAAAAGAACAAGTTGACAAGGATATAGAGAAATTAGAACCTTTGTAAAATGGTACAGCTGCTATGGAAAACAATGTGGAGGTTCTTTAAAAAATTAAAAATAGAATGTTTTTAATTTTTTAAAACATTGGATCACCAGGTGATCCAATGGTCCAAAATCCCACTTCTGAGTATATATCCAAAAGAACTGACATTGGGATCTCAAAAAAAGGTATCTTCACCTTTATGTTCATTGCAGCATTATTTATAATAGTCAAGATATGGAAACAACCTAAATGTTCATCATTGGATGAATGGATTTTAAAAATGTAATATGTACATATAATGGAATATTATTAAGCCTTAGAAAAGGAGAAAATCTTGCCATATGAGACAACATGAATGAAACTGAAAGACATCATGCTAAGTGAAATAAACCAGTCACAGAAGGCCTAATACTGTGTGATCCTACTTATCTGAAGCATCTGAAATAGACATATTCATAGAAGTAGAGAGTAGAGACTAGAATTGTGATTACCAAGGGCTAGGGGGAGGGGGAAATAGGAAGTTGTTGTTAATGGATATAAAGTTTCAGTTATGCAAGATGAATACATTCTAGAGAAGTGATTTTAACACACACACACACATAAAACAGGGTAGAAGGAAACTTTTTGAGGTGATGGATATGTTTATTACCTGGATTATGGTAATGGCTTCACAGCTGCATGCATATTGTTCAGATCTATCTCCCTGTAATCTTAACACCACGGTGCACAGCAAAATGAACAAAGATCAAAAAAGAGTTCTTGGCCCCCAAATTTACTTTTTAAAAAGCCACCCAAGAGTGATTCCATTTCAGAGGAACGTTCCTACATAACTAATGCAACCCAGTTGGACTATAAGCCATCACTTTCAAATTCCGAAAACTGTTCAGAGCCCTGTCTGATGCCAGTAAATATTATTCAAGGCGACAGATGGAAACTAAGATGAATGACACTGTATTCAACTACTACTATCGTGTCTTGTATGTATGCAGAATGCCCTTAATAAATGCCAAATAAACTGAAACGATTGCAAGCTCAAAAAAGACAAAGCACTGAGAAATTAAAAAATAAAGTATATTTGATTAACATATTTAAAAACCAACAGAAGAGTTGGAAGATAAGCACATTGTTTTTAAAAATAAAGTTGGAAACTGGAAAAAACAGATTTAGAAGTGGTTGCCTCTAGGAAGGAGAGGGGTGAGGTGGTGTGGAGACAGACTACTGGTTTTCATTATAAGCTTTTAAGTTCATTTTGATTTTTAAAATGTGCCTGTATTGCATTAATAAAACTTATAAATTTTTAAAAGAAGAAATAAATTGAACTATGGAGCCTACGTAGATATACTTTAATATTGATTTTCTCCTGAATACAAAGAGAAAAAGTGGAGTCAGAGTTAACATTTCTGGGACTTCTCATCATGGAGAATCGCTTGAAAAAAGAAACCAAACTGGTCTTGAAGGAACTGAGTGAGGCCCGTATCAGGACTGTGATGATTACAGGTATGTATTTGTTTCTAGGGGCCTGGCAAGTTGATTGTATCCTAGGCATAAGAACAAGATGTGTGAGCTGAGTGAGTTCATGTATCAGAGACAGGGAAAAATGTTCTGTTGTCGAATTTGTTACCCTGTAGTCCCTTACCTAAAAACATGTGCAGCTGCCCCGACAGGACCAGAAGCTTTGAAGGTAGGGACCGTATCTCATCCTCTTTGTCTAATGACTACCCCTCCCAGCCAGGATCTGTGCGGTGCCTCAAGGCTCACAGTAAATGAGCAAGAATGGGTGTGTTCTCATCAAGAAACCCAGTGATCCCTCTGCATAGAGGATTGAGTCTCTGGTTGATGGTCCTCTAGGGCAGTAGGGCCAGGCATGGTGTATGATCGTCAAACCCAAGCACAGCCTGACCCTGTGTGTTCTTTGCTTAGTTAGTTTCCAGATCCCGTGGATGGTTTAAGCTATCAGGCTGAGATCATGCTATATTCTCCACTAAGAGTTGTCTGTCTTCTGAGGATTGGTCATAAATGCTTAAGTATTTCTTTATTAATTCACACATGTTTTGAAATACACATGGACCAGGATATGATGCAGAATATGGAGAGGGAGATGGGAACATAGTGTTTGCCCAGTAGGGGCAGTCTACAGCAGAGAGGAAGATAAAATAAGGCAGAAAGCGGTAAATGCTCTCAAAGAACACCAAGCAGAGTGGAAAAGGGAGACCTCAGTTCTTGTTGCTGAGGGGAGGTTTGTACATACAGCAAGCAAAGTTTCTTTGTCTTCTAGGTGATAACCTTCAAACGGCCATTACTGTTGCAAAGAATTCTGAAATGATCCCTCCAGGCAGCCAAGTGATCATTGTTGAGGCCGATGAACCAGAAGAATTTGTTCCTGCCTCTGTGACCTGGCAGCTGGTGGAGAACCAAGAGACTGGACCTGGGAAGAAAGTGAGCAAATGTTAGAAGGCCCCTCCGTGGGCCTAGACTGATGGAATACAGTCCTGGCACTGCTCAGCCTTCTCTCAACTCCAGGAGTCATCTCAGTAATAATCCCTCACATCTGTCCAGAGTTTGACAGTTTGCAAAGCATTTCTGCCAGCTCTGGTTGCCTAGGAAAATCACCTGGGGGAGTTTCTAAGCTTCCAGTGCAGGCTGCACCAATTAAATCAGAACCCCTGGGGTAGGAACTGGCATCAGGTGCTTTTCCCAGCAATTCCAGTGTGCAGTCATGGCTGAGAACTACTGATTTATACTCATATTTTCCACTTGGTCATTAAAATAACCCTATGCAATTGGGCAAACCATTAATTTTTACAGATGAGAAAACTGAGGCTCAGAGCAGTAAGATTGCCCAATACAAAAACTGGTGAGTTGCAGAGCAGGAAAGCAGACTTAGGCCTATTTGATTCCACACAGATCCACGGGCATTTAGATTGTACTATACCTATGACATGAAGCTAACAGAGGCTGGGCTTTTCTAGATAGAAAGCTCCCTATGCTCTTGTGACAGAATAGCTTTTTCATAAGACAATGGGCTGTAGCCTTACATTCCATCACTAAAGGTAACACCCATGCTTTTGTGTGAATTCAAAGATATGGCCCTACAGGTGATGAATTACAAAAATGCTGCCTTCCTCCAGGCTGACCAGCCTTTCAGATTGTTAAGTATAGAGCGGGCCTTTGTGCAGTCAGGAGTCTTTCTGCAGCACACAAACTGCACAGCTATACAGAATGGCCCTGCCCCTACCCTGGGAAGAGGTGGGTTAACTTGCCTCAACCTCTAATTGCATGGGCTGTGAAAGATGACAGCTCTCCCTCTGCTCTCAGCAGATTTCTGGTGCTTATTTCCTTGTGAACCTACTTGCTTCTCCATCGGTGCATGCTGCCTGAATTTCACTGCATGCTGTAACCCAGGTCCTTTGTGAATTTTAACTAACAGTCCACTCACACTACTCATTCATGAATTTAATGCCTCTGCTGAAATTTTAGTCCCCACCAGGAGAAGCTGTATCACAGTTTCAGGCCTTCCTCCTCTCTGGGTCCCTCCACCATACTTCCTCTCCCCACATTCCCAGTGCAAGCAAAAGGAATTCCTGCCCTTGTCTCAGGAGGGATGCTTTAGAACATGTCTTTTGTTGGTTATTTTGCAATTGGAGATAGAAAGGGAGGGGTGTGTCATCTTGCCTCCCAATTCAGCACAGCAATTTTTTTTTCTTTCAACTACAATGCTTTCCCTGAGATGAAGTCATCTGATGAATAAAATTTTCTCACCTCCTGCAATATTTGAATTTAGAGTCCTAAACACAAATGGAAGTCTCTCTGAGGAATGTTGCATGAAAAACCATGATTAATTATTGATATAATGAATGCACAGGCATTCATCAGATGCTTTCTCCCTAACTGGGAACCAGGGAGGGCTAGAACCAAGCCAGAGAAACACCTTGACAGGTGCAAGGAAGGAGGGAAAGGGTTTCGGAAAAGGATTACTCCTGCAGTGGGATGTAGAGTATGGAAGAGAATCTGGGAACCATGATAGAAAGAGATACCTGTTGAGGTGGGGTCATAACAAAGGTCAGAGGCTGGGGCCTAAAAGGAGTTAGGCACTGAAGAAAGAGTGCCTGCTTTACAGTGAAGACAATGAGGGTGATTTTGGAATAAGTGAATGGTAGAGATCTTAGAAAATATAAGGTTGCATGAGGAGGAGAAGGAAGAAGAGGGAAGAATTTTCCTATTCTTGTAATAACTATTTGGGACCTAAGAATGGTTGGATTTCTTCAGTAGACTGACATCATACATATTATCTCCCAAGACGGGATCCAGAGTACCATACTGTCCAAGTATCATATGTTTACATAATCTTGGGGGGAATGTTTTGAGTGTTTTTTCCTATGGGTAGAACTGCTATAGGCAAATTACACATTATTTTGTTGCTGACCTTCACACTGTTAGGCAACATGAAAACTCTTCCTTCAATAACGCATAGGAAAGCAGAGACACTCCTTAGGAGTCAATGTAGAAATGATGCCCTTTTGATTTTAGGAAATCTACATGCATACTGGAAACAGTTCAACCCCTCGTGGGGAAGGAGGAAGCTGTTACCATTTTGCAATGAGTGGGAAATCATACCAAGTGATATTTCAGCATTTCAACAGCTTGCTTCCAAAAGTAAGTACTGAAGAAAGAAGTGTTTTGTTTTGCTCCTCAAATCAGCGAGGCGAAAGGAGGAGGAGAGTATTGAAAACAGTGATCACTGAGGTTGCCTCACAGTTAGAGAATAAACACCCCCAAAGGAGTACTGCTCCTGAAAAAGTTTTCTGGCCCTTTTTATGCCTTCTCGGTCCCAGGCAGACCCACGGCCTCCCGTTCAGAGTTTGAGTTCTGGTACCTTCTCTCACCCCTGTGGCCAGTTCAGCCTTCCTCCTTCTTTCCCTCCCCACCCAGGAGAACGGCAGAGTTCCAAACACGGTGCTTGTTTTGAGGGCCAGCTTCTCTCTGAAACCAACCAGCTCATGTCAGGCTAAGCTCTATTCCCCTTCTTGCCTGGATTCTTAAATTACAGCAAGAGGAAACAAAGGCCCCATGGTTTATTTTCAGAGTCATTTGTTATCTTGTCCTCTGTGTGTCCTGTTTTAAAATAGTGCTGTGCAGGGTTGCACTGTCAATGTGCGGGAGATTAATGGAGCACAAGGGGAGGGCAGCAACTATCTGTTAGCAGTGTCATGAAAATTCTGTCACCCTAGCAGTCAAAGTCCACAGAATCTAGACCCCAAAGGCTTCTAGAAAGCTCTTAGTTCAGTTCAGGGAAAGCTGAGACTCAGAGATATTAATCTGCTTGTCTAAGGTGTGCACAGCTAGCTGGCACAGCTGAGAACAGAGCCTTGTTTCTCAGCTTCCAGCCTTTCCTCTGTCTATGCTATGATTATGGAGATGGTGTCTATCAGGAAAGAACTGTGTTTCCTCAAGCATTTTTATTCCATATGCTCTTCTGCTTCTTAGTTACTGTAGTATTATTGATTAGTGGTCACCCCATCTTGGAAAAATAGTCTGGGAAAAAAGTAATGGAGTTGTGATGGAGGACTTTAAGTGAAATTTCAATATTAAAGTGTTAAATCTCCTTATTTCCCTTCCTGGTATTGGTCTAATGACATACCATCCAATGCTGTATTAAATTAGTAACCAGGAGTGATTTTTCAGGGCTGTTCTTTTATTTTTAAAAGTTTTCTTCTTCCCAATCATATTGCAATGGTTGTTTTTTCTTTTTAGATTCTGGTGAATGGAACAGTTTTTGCAAGAATGTCTCCTGGGCAGAAATCAAGCCTTATTGAAGAATTTCAGAAATTAAAGTAGGTGTCATGGCATGAAAGAAGAGTGTGCTCATTAACTCTTGCTACCTATGGGTCAATAATTCAGGTGTGAGTCAGAATGGCTATTATTAAAAAGTCAAAAATAACAAATGTTGGCAAGATTGCAGAGAAAAGGGAACACTTATACACTATTGGTGGGAGTGTAAATTAGTTCAGCCATTGTAGAAAGCAGTATGACAATTCCTCAAAGAGCTAAAACAGAACTACCATTTGAACCAGCAACCCCAATGCTGGCTATATACCTAGAGGAATATAAATCATTCTACCATAAAGACACATGCATGTGACTGTTCACTGCAGCACTATTCACAATAGCAAAGACATAGAATCAACCTAAATGCCCAGCAATGACAGATTGGACAAAGAAAATGTGGTACGTACACACCATGGAATACAGTGCAGTCATAAAAAAGAATGAGATTATGACTTCTGCAGGAACACAGATGGAAATGGAGGCTATTATCCTTAGCAAACTAATGCAGGAACAGAAAATCAAATACTGTGTTCTCACTTACAAGTGGAAGCTAAATGATGAGAACACATGGACACAAAGAAGAAAAACACAGATATTGGGGTCTACTTGAGAGCAGAGGGTGGGAGGAGGAAGAGGAGCAGAAAAAATAACTACTGGGTACTGGGCTTAATTCCTGGGTGATGAAATAATCTGTAAAACAAACCTCCGTGACATGAGTTCCCTCGTATAACAAATCTGCACATGTTCTCCAAACCTAAAATAAAAGTTTAAAAAAGGGGATTAAAAAAAAATTCAAGCACTGGCTTGAGTGGGGAAAAAAATCTCTCACCAGCCTCATTCACATGTTGAATGCTCAGTGCCTCATGAGCGGTTGGACTGAACCTCAGTTTTTCACTGGCTAGCGGACAGAAGCCAACCTCAGTTCCTTGTGACAGGGGCCATTGCATAAGGAAGCTCACAGTGCAACAGTTGACTTCTAAAAGAGCAAGCAAGCAAGAAGAACCAGAGACAGAGCACACAAGACGGATGTTGCTGTTTTTTATATGCCAGTCTCATCACCCTTGCCGTATTCCCTTCCTTAGGAGTAAGCCACTAGATCCAGCCCACGTCCAGGGGAGTGGATTACACAGGGCGTGGATGCCAGGAGCTGGGGATCGCTGAGGGCCATTTAGAAGTTACCTATTCCAGAGAGCATTTGTTCTGTGGGCCATAAGGCATATATCTTAGAGAACCCTCCCATGCTTGGATGTAGCAGAAATAGTGGGGCAGGTTGTATAGCTTAGAATCAGAAAAATGGGGAAGTAGGTGCGTTATACCCTGGAATTATTTTAGGTTGGTCCATTAGAAGATATGTGAATAATTTCTGGTCTTCTTAGCAAGAGGTGAAATAGCATTTTGCCTTTATCTGGCCCCAGCAGGGAAAGTCAAGAGAAAGTCCTTTATTACCCCCTTCAAAAATAAAGATGACCAAGTTACCTTATAGTGAAATGGTACTTCTTGAGACCAGATCTACCTACTGGTTTCTGGGAATGTAACAGTTTGGGGCTGCAGAGTCTAGGAAGTGAAAAGGAACATAGGGTAGTGAATCTTTAGATGATGGCTGGTGAGTTGTTGGTGAAATCAGGAGACACCCTTTTATTGTTAGATTTTGTTACCCAAGCATTCATAGGGAAGTCTTACAAACTGCCTATTAACTTCCAGAATGCCTGAGGCTGGGTAAGTAACCAGTGACTAAATGACTATTTCATTCACATGATCATTACATGATATTGCTGAAGAAAGTAATTTTACCTTTTTCAAATGCCTGAGAAATTTTGCCAACTAAAATGCCTAACTTTGAAAAGCCATATTCCCCTTAAAAAATGAATTCAGGAAGACACACACTGCCTCAGAATGAGCTGTCTTCTCAACATCCCAATCTTCCTCCTCATGCCTTTGTCATTGGCAATGTGCATAAGGCTGTCTGCATTCTCTTTCTGAATTCAGGGAATACTAGAAGATGATAAGATTCTTGATGTGATATAGAGACTAAATATGTGCTTTAAGCCTGAAAGAAGGAGCCATTTTTCAACAATTGTGGGTAGTCATGACATGAACATATATAGCATGATTATTTTCATCTACACAGCCCAGTATCGGATTGAACCATAGGGGTGTGCCTACATTTGACTTTTTTTTGTTTTTGAGACAGAGTCTCGCTTTGTTGCCCAGGCTGGAGTGCAGCGGTGCAATATCGGCTCACCGCAGCCTCCGCTTCCAAGGTTCAAGCAATCCCCCTGCCTCAGCCTCCCAAGTAGCTGAGATTACAGGAGCACACCACCATGCCCAGCTGATTTTTTCTATCTTTAGTAGAGATGGGGTTTCACTGTGTTGGCTAGGCTGGTCTCGAACTCCTGACCTCAAGATCCGCCTGCCTCAGCCTCCCAAAATGCTGGGATTACAGGTGTGAGCCACCGTGCCTGGCCACATTTAATTAACTGTTTTTGACCTATAAAAGTGGTTGTTTCTTATGCATTAACTAATAATAACGAAACGCTAACAAAACTTTATTTTTTCTCCTTATTGATTTCATAACTCTGTTTTTAGAAAAATGCAGCTAAGTCTTTAAGAATATTGTCATTTATCAATACTTATAATGTATAACTTATAATAGAAGGCAGGCAGTGTCTTACATCTGAAACTCCTTTTCTTTGGCAGCCGTATTAATTTTTACTCTTCTATTTGTATTGTGCTTGCACACCAAACTGATATAGATGGAAAACATATCTTATTTTCACCCTGACATGCATCAAAAATATGAATATATGTCTCTAGTTATATCTGTTAAACTGTTTTTGAAATTTCTCATCCTGGTATTTGAGCTGTAAATGCTCAGCAACAGTCAGTGACTAAAATGCAGCTGGATTGGGTTATGATCTCTGCATTAGGTTGTGTGGGAAGTGCTCTGCTCATGACTGCATACTCTTAAGCTTGGCCTTGGTGCGTATCATCAAGCAGGACTTCTTTTAAAGTGTGCAATCACTGTTTTGCCGATGTCCTTGGTTATATCACTACCATTTCAATGTGATTGATTGAAACAACTTAAATAACGCAACTGCCTTTTCCCTCTGGGAATATGTCTCTCCAAACCATTTTTCTTCAGCCTGATTCCAGGTGTGTTCAGGGGACACACACATACACACAAATCACATGTGACTTAGTTATGATGGAAAATATTCAAGTGAGCTGTTCATTTTTCTTACCTATTAATCCTTCTTCTCCTGTCTCCCGCAGTTATTATGTGGGCATGTGTGGAGATGGAGCTAACGACTGTGGGGTGAGTAGAAATGGCTTTTGCTCAGACAAGCCACTCACTAATATCCCTCTGGAGGACCTCAGGCTCTCCTGGGGTTTGTCTCTTCATCCTTCCACCAGCAACCATTTGATTATTTTGCTGTTTATATCCACCTCTACCTGAGTGTGGGTTGGAAGCGGAGGGGAGTAAAGGGAGATGAGACACTTCCGATGCTTTCTGGAAACTCCTAGAATAATAAACACAAAGGAAGGCTACTTAGACTCCCATATTTCAGGTTCCAAAGATGGAACTTTACAAGTCTATCTGCTTTAAATCTTTCCTGTTATCAGTAATGAAATGATTTCTCAAGGAGGTGATTTCTTCCCCCCTCCCAAGGTCACACAACTGATAAAGACTCAATGAAACGAAGTTTGAAACTGATGATTAAAGTTTTGAATTATATGTAAATTATATTTATTCCTGCCAAACTTTCATTCTCTGGTTAGTTTTTAAGTTTGCTTCACCCAGAACTCTTTCACTCAGTAAAATCCTAGACCAAACTATTTAGTTATTTTATGCTATAGAAAAAGCTAAATAAAATGATTATCAGCAAATTATTTTTCATATGCAGTAGAAGGGCAGTGAATGTTTTATATTCTGAGTTTTAAAGACATGAAGGAAACAAATAGTCTACCTTCAAGATTATGTACTTAAGGAAATATTTCAGTAGCTGATTTATGGGACAAGAAGTGAGGAAGATTTCTTTGTATTTCCAAAGCTTATTAGAGATTTAAGATCTTGGTATTTGTTTTATTTCTCTCTTAAATATTATTTCCAAATTTCTGTGAAAACTGTGTTTATAGCTAGAAATTTTTATAGCTAGAGATGTTTTTTGCTTTATGTTTCATGAGAAAAAGCTAATTTTTAGTCTGTTCTTTCAAATCTAGAATACGTATCCTCTCACATTAATTATGTGGCGTTTAGAATAAAACAAAAAAATCAAATGCAAAAAGGGACATAGTCTCTGCCTCCTAAAGAGTTCATTGTCTGATGAAGAAAGAATCATGAATAAAACTAACCCTAACATAAAGTAGATGGTCCTAAAGTACATAATAGAGATACGAACTAGAGATCAAAGAGGAAGAAGAAAATGTCCTATTATTTATTAAACCTGAATCTAGTATGTACTCATGGCGCCAGGTACTCTGTAGTTCTGTGGAACTACAGATATATAAAAGTTCATTTTATGCCCACACAATTCTTATAGGATCGGCCTAGGAATTCTTTCACCTTTGTTCATGAAGATTCCCACCAGGTACAAGAACTGAAACGGTGAAGGTCCCCAACCAACGTCCATCCAAATTCTGTCATCTTTTTAATTGAGTTTTTGAATGAGGGCTTCCATCTCCTTTTCACATCTATAATCCCCACAGGCAGGGCCCTTGTATGCACATGCCCACATGCACACACGCATGCATGTACACACACCACTTTTCTACCTCTGGGTCATTGTTTAGTTAGTGACTTTGTGGATCAGGGGAGAGAGGGCACTCCAGGTGGAGGGACAGCATTAAACAGAGACCCAAAGATGAAACAGTACAGTGTTATACCTTTATGATGTGAAGAACAGCCTCTTGGTGTTTTAAGAGGTAAAGCCTAACCTGAAAAGTCATGGGTGAGACATGGGCTTATCATTCCAGGCTTTGAAAGCGGCTCATGCAGGCATTTCATTATCAGAGCAGGAAGCATCTGTGGCATCCCCTTTTACCTCTAAAACAACCAACATCCAGTGTGTGCCTCATCTCATCAGGTAAGTCATTTTTTCCTCTTCCAGCCCTACAATCAATGGGCCCATTGTCTGGCTCTGCAGACAGAATTCAACTACAAGCTAAAGTGATAAATGCTGCAACAGAGGAATGGGTGAAGTGCTATTGGAGAACCAATGAAGGGGGCCATTAGTGTTACTCAAGAGTGCTGGTAAAAGCCACAGAAAAGTGACTTTTGCTGAGCCTTAAAGGATAGGTGGGTATCATGTAAACAGTTGAAAGCTTGACTTGATGTTTTAAAACTAATTGTATTTCTTACTTTTTCTCTCCTCTATTTGGTATGTTGGATGCTTCCTGTAACATTTCTCTCAGGAATTTTGGATGGATGAGGAAGCAGAAAGGAAATACTTCATTAGATAGCTTCCCTAAATACTATTACATGTCTCCAAAATGCAAATTAGTAAATATCCAATATCTTTTACATAAAAAGTTGATTGACAGTGTCAGGGAAGGGGAAGTGATATGGTTTGGCTTTGTGTTCCCACCCAAATCTCATCTGGAGTTGTGGTTCCCAGCCTGTTGACTGGATCATGGGGGCAGTTTCCCCGATGCTGTTCTCATGATAGTGAGGGAGTTCTCATGAGATGTGATGAATTTTAAAGTGGCAGTTTCCCCTGCGTGCTTCCTCTCTCTTGTCTTGTGAAGAAGGTGCCCACTTCTCCTTCACCTTCGCCATCTTTGTAAGTTTCCTGAGGCTTCCCCAGCCATGTGGAATTGTAAGTCAATTAAACCTCTTTTGTTTACAAATTACCCTGTCTCAGGTAGTAATCTTTATGGCAGTGTGAAAATGGACTAATACAGGAAGCCATTAACAGACGTTTATTTTCACAGCATGCTTCCCTCCCCTCCACTCCACTCTGATTTCTGATCTCATGTCTACTTATATTTTAAATGTAGTTAAGAACAAAACACCCAGTTTTATGTTTTATTCATAAATCTGATTTATCTATTGTTTCCTATAGCACTTATGGATAATTTCTGGGCATTTTCATGGGCAGTGATCTGAAAACCATCACCAGATTTTGAGATTCATACAAAAAAGACAGCCATGAAGTTCCCCAGCATGTCCTTTGGTGCATCAGAATAAACAGGTCACTGGCAGGAATCACTGACCTAAAGGTAGCAGGTCTAAAATTCCACACCCCTGGTTGGCTGCATATCAGCAAGACAGCTTTACACAACACCCTGAACACTGGGTGTCTGCACGTGTGTCCTTTCACACCCTCAAACACGATCACTTCCCCTGCCTCCAAAGCAGCTCCTCTTCCCAACTCCCACTTTCCTTGCTTCTAAGAACAGTCTACTCCTTGGAGTCTGCCATTGAGGTTCAGACCCTTAGAGTGCGTGTAACTCCTTCCTCTTCTTCACCCATAACCAAACAAGCATTATGTTTTACTGATTTATTTTGCAGAGTATCTCTAAGCCCTTTGGTTACTATCTCTAGTGTCTTAACCTTGGTTTGTGTCATGGTGACTACATGATGATAGTACTCAGAACCCTCGCCTTATTTTATGCTTTCCATTGTCAATACAACTCATGGAGCTCTTTACAAGTGTGCTTGGAAATGTAAAGAATGAGAGAGTCTTGCCCCCGGAGAATTTACATTCCAGCAAAAATTATGTGTGTGTGTGTGTGTGTGTGTATGTGTATGTATATGTGTAACATGTTACATATATTTACATAAATACATATATACATATATATGAATGTATATATAAATATGTGTGTGTGTGTATATATATTTATATACACACACACATACAAATGAAGTGGATGTGGGTCACTTCCCATGTGGATTGCTTCTGCCCTGACCAGAGGAGGCTGAAGGAGAGCTGGTTTGCTGAGGTCCCACTCTCGCATCACGTGCTGCTACCTCACGTCTTCTTTTAACCTGTCATAATCCACCATTCAGAAAACCTGTTACCGCATTAACAGCTAAGACTGAATTTTTTTAAAGGAGAAATATCTCCTTTACATATATACATATATACATACATTAACATATATACACACACATACACACAAATATATACATTATTTATTGAGTGTCTCTCATGCATCAGGCATGTTTTATACACACACATACACACACAAAATTATATATATACAATGTCTGATACATGGGACGTGCTCAATAAATTTGCTTGAAATAAATTAATGTCCAAACAAGACAGCAAATGTTCTGGCAGTTGAGTGTGAGAACTCAAGCCAGGAGGGAAGCTTTCAGTAGGGGAGTTGCAACTTGAAAAATGGGTGAGACTTATGTAAACAGAAAGGAGGTGAGAAGGAATTCCAGGTGGGGAAAATGCGGCAGCCATGTTTAGACACAGTGTTGTAACTGGAGAATGCAGGGGCCAGTTGGTGCAACTGGGCTAGAAGACTTCTCAGATGAGAATTGTGGTGGTTAAGCTAGACAACCAGATGTGGAGACCTTGCAGGGAGTTTGAGCTCCTGGATAACAGTGCAAAGTGCCTACTTGATCCATTCAACATGCAGTGGCATTCGAACTTCAGATGCTCCTCCTCATGCATGTGGCCCAGTGCATTTATGAGTGCAGTGTACTGTTACGGAATACAAGTCATGATGTAAAATTTCTCCAGTGGCAGATGGCTCAGTAAGACGCTAGGGTAGAAACTCCTTGCTTTTATATTTCATAGACTCATAAAAATTAGATATGGTTCAGCTCTGTTAGGCTCATTTTACTTTTTCTATCCTTGATGCATACTTATTCCTGAGAAAGCACTCCAGAGAGGCAATGAGATACAGTTTTAGATGCATAGGATCAAATCCACGGATTTTCATCTTTGTCTTTTGAAACATGATTTACTTGTTGCTATAGTTCAAGTCCTTTAGGGCAGAGACTGTGTCTTAGTGATTTTTGTATCAAGCATTATGCCTAGCACTATGCTGGGTATATCAGAGCATTCAGTGAACGTTTGTAGAATGCGTAGATAAATGCATGAGCTACTTAAAATTCACAATCATTAGGAATAGCAGTAATTTTGGAGGCCCATTTATCCTTTACTTAGAATAGTTTCTTGTACTTTCCTTTGAATCTGGGTGTCTTAATTTTCCTGGAACTATGCACGATTGCAGAAAAAAACAATGAAATCGCAATGTTTATATCAGACTTGGGAAAACGATCCATACTTCACATGCTTGCCCCTTCTCAGCTTGTCTTCTGCTCCATCCTCAGTGTTGAAAACAAACGACAGCACCTCACAGCTTGGTAGAAAATATCTTCCCAAAATATCCTGGCCTCTCTCCCACCCTTGCCTTCTCATTTTGCCTGAGACAAAGTGGTTAGTAGTTTGGCTTTTAGGTTCTTCTTTTCATGTCCCTGTTCTGTTGACCACATCTTTGAGCAGAGCAGGTGTCCATGTTACTGGGGAGTAGAAATGAAGTGGATGTGGGTCACGTCCCATGTGGATTGCTTCTGCCCTGAGCAGAGGAGGCTGAAGGAGAGCTGGTTTGCTGAGGTCCCACTCTCGCATCACATGCTGCTACCTCACATTTTTTTCTTCTAACCTGTCATAATCCACCATTCAGAAAACCTGTTACTGCGTTAATAGCTAAGACCGAATTTTTTTAAAGGAGAAATATCTACTTTTTAAGCTGCATTTTTTACTGTCGTCTTGATCTCTTGATCTTTATGGCCCACTCAGATTATTACCCTGGGGTCTTCCTGCAATATCAAAGCCTTCCTTACCCATTTAATCTCAAATATTAGAGTCACATTCACACTTCCTAAAATGTCAAAGCACCTATCCTTTAGCTTTATGTCTCCAAGGACCTCTAAAGCACACACAATGCAATTCCCAGGAAGCATGTATTGTTAAGATGTAATGAGTCACAAGTGAGTCAATGCTTGACATTTTGCACCTTATCATAATGTTGTATTGTGTTTATAATACACATAGTAATCTTCTCACTTCACTGAAAGCTTGTTGAAAATGAGGAGTGTGCCTGATTCATTTTATATCCTCTATGACTCTTAGCATAATGCTGGTACTTCATAAGCCCTAAATAAAAGTGAGTAAATGAACCGATGAGTAAGGTAATGATTGAAGGAGAGAATGAATGAATGAGTGGTTAAATAAATAGGAGGATGAATTCATGATTAAGTGAATGTATGTCAACAGGCTACTAAAAATATAACTCGTTTTAAGTATAAAAGAAGTTGGGAGACATTTATCATACATAACCAATTTTTATTTTTATTTCTTTTTAAACAGAGAAGGCCGAGCTGCTCTGGTTTCATCCTTTGGAGTATTTAAATACTTGACCATGTACGGCATAATCCAGTTTATCAGTGCATTACTGCTCTATTGGGTATGAAACAAAATCATTTTGTCTCAGTTCTAATTGCATTTATGTCCCTAATTTATTATTCAGGGTGTAGCTCCTATACAAGATTTAATGTTTTATAAACAAATGACATTTCTCAAAATAGGTGTCTGCAAACTCAGGAACCTGGTGTAACTGTGCATGAAATGTGGAACTAGAAATAAGTACATGTAGATGAGTTTTCTAGTGTGTTGTTTTTCTCTTGATAACCTGAGACTCTTCACCTCTCCAAACCCCTGTTTCTTCTTTTGGAATATGAAGAGAGCTTCAAAGCAGCCTAAGTATAATTCAGCAGGAAATGGATGAGTCTCCAATTGTGGAATATTTTCAACGGAAGACTAAGAAGAGATAAAAAGGAAGAGAAGCTGTTGAATTTGCTTTTGAAGGACTAGAATGCTAAAGACCTTTCACAATGGACCCTTATTCCTGAAGGTACCTAGAATTTATACAGTCAGGGATATCATTAGTAAAGAATCGGAAATTCTTTGAAACTAAAAAAGACTCAAAATTAAATGATGAAAATAGCCATTTAAAAATTAATTAGCTGTACAGAAGAACTATGTATAAGCTAAAAATAATCTTCATTAGTCCAACCATAGCTTGTACTACAGTAAAATGATCCAACAGGCTCAAGGAACACTTCAGGAGGGATTATTCTATTGCTTTCCTGGGAGGTTTGAGAAGTGAATAAGAGGGCCACAAGATTATACCATCCAGTGGGCTATTGCTTGCAAGAATCACACACAGAGGGCTCAAAGGCAGCCTGGTGGGAAGAAACAAGAACTGGACTGGGAGTCAGAAAACCTGGATTCAAGTTCTTCATCCAAAAGAACAAATTAGGTCTTGCCTTTGGCCAAAACCTGCTTCTGGGAAGCTGATTTTTCAGAGCCCTCCATAGTTCCATGAAAGCTTCTCCTAGAAGAAAAACTAAAGCTGCGGTTGGAAATTTCTTCCTGCTCCATCTCATTCTGAATATATAATTTTACCACTCTCAGGTGAAAAGAAGAGGAAAGGATATGAGAAAGAAAAGTAAAGAAGACAGGAAGAATTGGAGGTTGACAGGGACACTGAGGAACCAATGGCAGCCTTTCAAACATGTGAAAGCAGAAATTCATTTTCCAAAGCCTCCACGGATGGAGGTAGAAACCATAGTCCACTCTGCAGCCATTCATTCTAGTGGTCTAGACCTAAATAAGAGTGTCGCAGAAGAACCTTAACCTGGTACCTTCTGGGACTTGGATTCACTCTCTGAGAAGCCAGCAATACTTTCCATGTGCATAAATCTGGTCTGTAATGTGCTCAGAACCAGTTTATAGTTTAGTGCTTAGTCGACAGATATGAAACAGATAAACAGACCTGGCTGCAAGAGATATTGCAAGGCAACTTCCTGGAGAGTAATGATTTGACTTTCATATCTAAATACTTCAACTCTATAATGTGAACTTGAAAGAAGTTCTGTCTACACAAACCTTAAAAAGGCAGATGTACCCGACTGAATTCTGCAATGGGCTTACTTAGGGTAGGAGCCTTTGTTCAGTTTGTGAAAGTGAATGGACTCCAAGAGACCTATGTTGTAAACTCATACCATGGGTGAGGATGGAGAGCAATGCCTATTGAATGAATTGCGCCTTCACTTCAAATTTTAAGTATAACATTTCTAAGGGAACATTCAGGCTTTAACATCTTATGTTGAGAATTCAACTGCCTAGGCTGAGACTACAGCTGTCAGGTAATTAATGCACCCAATAGGAGGGTGGTTCTCAAATAATTGACTTTTGTCGCTAATATGAAGTAGGTTAAATGCAGGGAAAATAGTCGTCTGGCCTCATTCTACAAAATGAGATGCTAATAATTTTAGGTTAGTCATTTTCTTCCTGAAGAGGGAAAAAAAAGTAACAGCTGCCTCCTAACGACTTAAAAAGAGTGTAGGGAATAATAAATAGGCTATGATGGCAGATGCCACATTTATATTTGCTTTTGTTTCTTTTTCAGCAACTACAACTCTTTGGAAATTACCAGTATCTCATGCAAGATGTAGCCATTACTTTGATGGTCTGTTTAACAAGTAAGCTCTTTAGCAAAGAAAACTATATTGTTTTTATTTATCTATGAAATTCTAGAAACAGTCACACAAAAAGGAACTTTTGAGAAAGAGGCACCCTTATTTCCAAAACCTCATTATTTACAATTTTTTAAAAGTGATATTGGGAGTAAGTTGAGAGTTGAAATCCTGAGACTTGGCATTAAAACATTCTGACAACAAATAGGTCTTAGTCACAAAAAACTGTCAACGTAGTCCAAGTTCTTTGTAGTTTTATGTCTTGTACATAGAAAAATGAATACAAAACCTAGAAAGGGAATTTTTTAAAACCCAAAGGTCACTTTCCATTATTCAGCTATGCTTCACATTGACGTGAAACCAGATTTTTTTCTAGGTCTTTGATGTGTGAGAACAAATGCTAACATTTTATTTTAGTAGAATTCTCCAAAAGCAAGGTGTGGCTTCCAACAGCAGCTATTGCTCATGTCCTTCCTTTGAGATGACACTGGTAAAGTATTTCCTATCAAGGAGCTCAGGACTTGATGCTGACTCTTAATAAGTGATAAAGGTGACTGCCTCACCAGAGAGCAAGGAAAAAGAATGGCATTGTCATCTCTTTTTCCTTGCTCAACAATAGGCATGTTATGAAAAATAACAGATAAAACATCAGGCAATGTAGGATATTAATAACCTTGAGAATTTCATGTAGCACCTTAGTACATAAAACTGATATGTTTTATGTATCAACCCAATGACTGAATTTATCAGTATCAGAGCTATAAGCACTAAAACATCAATTTTGATTCTTAGGGTTGAAATGTCTATTCATAGTTCATTAAAATATTTTTCTACATGTTATTAATATTCATATGACTGAATAATTTTGAATCAATGAAATTGCTTCTACAGCACTGGATATTTTAAGCAATTTGCATGATTTATTTGTGAATGATACTAAAAAGAGAAAAAAAACACCAAGAGGTTTCAAGAACCAAGCTTTCAGGCAGCAGCATGGAGGTGAAGGCCATGGCTATTGTGGCCTGTTTTCGTGACCTCTGGCTAACTGTCCTCATAGAATTGTGAGGATCAGATACAATGATGCTGGTGAAGTGTGCATCACAGCACAGGACACACTGAGCACTCATTACAACATGAATCATATCTCCTCCTTTTCCTCTTTTGAGAAGACTGACTAGCTCTCTGAGCACTTGAAGAGCCTTAGAATGTGTACAGATAGACCAGTGTCATTAGAAATCCAAAAACATGGATGATCTTCCTAGTTCTAGTCTTGCCTCCGACTTACTATATGACACTGAGCAAGTTATTTGGAGCTTTTGCACACTTAATTCCATGATATTAGTTATGTGGTAATGGGGCTGCTTAAATCTTTCCCACAGCAATAGCCTGTTGAGCCTCATGCCAGTTGGTAGCCCTGGGAAACTCAGTCTCGCATCTCAGAATGGGCTCTATGGGAGTGCTGGGATGACTCACAGTGGGACCGTTATTACCACTAGGAGAAAAAAAACCTCAGAAGGGTGACGATAGACCAGAAGCATAACATTCTATCAGAGTGACGGCACTTTAATTATTACTCAGCAGACTGTAGCTAGTAAATGGGCTAAACTCAGGGAGATTGGTGAAGGAGAGAGTAGAGGCAGAAACCAGCTATGTTTGTTAGTTTGTTTTTTACCCTCTACCTGCAAACATCCTATTGTTTTCCCGTCTCTGCAAACTTACTCATCCCACAGGCTAGTCATTTCCTGGTCAAGTCTAGGTATTAAGATGATCTTATCCTTAGACATGAAAAGTCCAGGTATTATAATTATTACTTCACATTTTCATCTGATTCAAAGCTTTTCTTCCCTTACATTAAGCCTGAACTATGGGCTTGGGGCAAGCAGTAGACGAGAAGGCCATGGTCTCTTCTTCACTTCCCTTGAGTCACCTACTCTCCACCCCTGTTTCTGGGGAAGAAGAGCAACAAGAAGAAAGGACTTATTTTTATGATTTTTGTGTTCTTTTTTCTGCTGCAAATTTTAAGTTCCAGGGTACATGTGCAGGATGTGCAGGTTTGTCACATAGGTAAACATGTGCCATAGTGGTTTGCTGCACAGTTCAACCCATCACCTAGGTATTAAGCCCAGCATCCATTAGCTATTCTTCCTGATGCTCTCCTTCCTCCTTGCCCTTCCCAACAGGCCCCAGCGTGTTTTGTCTCCCACTATGTGTCCATGTGTTCCCACTGTTCAGCTCCACTTATAAGTGAGAATATGCAGTGCTTGGTTTTCTGTTCTTGCATTAGTTTGCTGAGGAACAAATGGAAAAACACTCCATGCTCATGGATAGGAAGAATCAATATCATGAAAATGGCCATACTGCCCAAAGTAATTTACAGATTCAATACTATTCCCATTAAACTACCATTAATATTCTTCACAGAATTAGAAGAAACTATTTTAAAATTCATATGAAACAAAAAAAAAGAGCACGAATAGCCAAGACAATCATAAGCAAAAAGAACAAAGCTGGAGGCATCATGCTACCTGACTTCAAACTATACTACAAAGCAACAGTAACCAAAACAGCATGGTACTGATACAAAAACAGACACAGAGACCAGTGGAACAGAATAGAGAACTCAGAAATAAGACCGCACATGTACAACCATCTGATCTCTGACAAACCTGACAAAAACAAGCAACGGGGAAAGGATTCCCTATTTAATAAGTGGTGCTGGGAGAACTGGCTAGCCATATGCAGAAAATTGAAACTGGACCCCTTCCTTACACCTTACACAAAAATATCCTGTCAAATGCCCTCAAACATGGCAACACCCACATTTAGGCAATAGGCACGGGGTTCATTGGTGAATTCATCAGAGCTTCCCTGTGGATAGGTATGGACTAGACCACACCCTGACATAGTGGTGCTCTCTCCCTCTGACTTCTCAGGATTCCTTTCTGCAGCTGCCTCCTAGTGGTACATACCATGAAGCCCTTTTCTACTACTGGGCCCTCCAACCCCCAGCAGGCTGCCACATTCATAAACTCCTTCCAGGATAGCTAGCTCTAGCCTGGCTAATTTCCATGGCTTCTACTTAACCTACCAGACAGTAAATAGCTTGCTCTCGCTGCTGCCTGCCCTTTCCCTCTGCTATTACCATGAAGGGGAGTGAGCAAGGCCAATATCCTCTCTTAAAACCACTTCCAGTCTCTCTAACAGTGGCTCTTATGACTTCCCCTCATGGGGTTGTGGTGATGCTGAGAAGAAAACCAGTTTACATTGCTCCTAACAATTGCCTTTAAAGAATTGCTTGATAATCTCCATAAGTTTTATCTTGTACAGACAGCATGCAGCGAATGAGGCAGGAACAGACATGCTTATAGTTAAATAACCAATATGGATCTCTCTTGCTAGACACTATGGAGATATGGCGATAATCTCTCTTCACAATAAATTGGCACTTGCAATTCACTGTCCTCACATATAAGGCTCGGCACAATTTTCTAGACAAGAGAAGCACCATTCAACATTCCCTTATACAAGTGTTCATCTCTCACTGTATATTAGCCACGTAGGTTCCTGAGGCATGAGAAGGCTGATTGTTCAAGTTCAGAGTTCAGTGGGGGATTCACATACATGAACAAATAAGATGCAAGTTGAAAGTAGTGAGTAGCAGAAAACAGCAGATGCTTTGGGAGTCCAGAGGAAGAAGAGATGGCTTCCGATAATCTGGGGTTAAGGAGGAGATAGCAGTGGAGAAAGGAGAAAGATACTAGGCATGGAGGCATGAAAGCAGTAGCATTCACATCAAAATAGGAAAGTTGGATAAGTTTCAAATATCTTTTGCTAAAAGAAGAGCATTTCAAGTAGAAGGAAGCAGCATGAGCAAGAGAAAGCTGATAAATATGGGGTATGAGCTTTTAATGTGACCACACTGCAGCGTATGTGAAATCTTTTATTGAAAAATTGAAAAAGTGAATTGGGTCAAATCACAGAGAATCTTGACTGCTGGTCTGAGAACTGTGGACATTTATCTGCAGCCCTTAGGAGTCATCAACAATTGATGATCAATGTAAAATTACAGATGTCCCCGATTTATGATGGTTTGACTTATGGTTTTTGACTTTACAATGGTGCGAAAGTGATGCATATTCAGAAGAAAGTGGCATGATACTCTCTTAGGATGCTGGGCAGTGGCAGCACGCTGCAGCTCTCAGCCAGCCAAGCAATAATGAGGTTAAACAACAGACACTTTACATTGTACTGTGTTGCTAGATGATTTTGTTCAATTGTAGCCTACTTAAGCGTTGTGAGCATGTTTGAGCTAGGCTAGGCTAAACTATGGTATTCGGTAAGTTAGGTGTACAGCATAAATGTATTTTCAACTGAAAAATGTTTTCAATTTACAATGGGCTTATCAGAATGTAACCCCATTGTAAATCAAAGAGTATCTGTATTCTCATTACGGCTTCTTACATTTCCAGGTTTCCAGGTTAAGGCTTTTGGCCTTAACTCTGACTTGGTTCTGGGAAGAGACAATACCATCACATATTTGATTTATTTACTTATTTATCTATACACACCCTGCCTTGTTCCCACAAGGTTTTAAGGCAATGTACAGAGACAAAATATAATACATTACAGAGAAAATCTAAAAGAGAAATAAGATGAAGTGAGGAGGGATGTTGATCAGGCAATGCATGTCTGGAAGTCCAATTTGACTCTATTTTGTGTAGCGGCATTTTTAAGGAGCTTGTTTTGCCACATCTCTGTCCTCTTCAACAAGAACTCCTCAAACTAGATCAAGAAAATAGAGGGAGGGTTTGTTTAAGAACATAATTCTCAAAAAAATCTAAGAACAGGAACTTGGAAGCACCTGGATCTGAGGATGACTAGAACACTAAAGGATAAAAATGGAGGTCACTTTCTTTATTTCCAGGTGGCCACCTTGTGTCTCTTCTTCTTTCCATTCTTACTGTTTCCATCTGTCTTCCATTTATTCACCCTACAGCTGACCTCATAAAATGACACTAGGACTGGGGCTTTGCAGCCTTTATGTTTGTTTTCTTATAGCTAATGAGCTCAGCCTTTCATTGTCCTATTTGCAAATATTTTGAAGAGAAAATTTATCGACCTGACGTGGGTTAGATGCCCACCTCTAGGCCCCTCATTTCTCTGAATGAAGGTGGGATCGTGAAATTCAGATCCATTTAGGCCAGCCATTCCAGCCCCTAGGAGAAGGCAGTATCCAGAGAAGGAGGTGCAGGAGGGACTCACCCATTATAGAAGTGCATCTCGTACACCCCATCTGTGTTTCAATGACTCCTAATCTTTTCTGGGTCTTGGTCCCCTTAAATAATCTGATGGAAAATACAAACCATTTCATCTTAGAAATCTCATGATACCCATTTGAAATTCTGCATGTAGTTTAGGTGGGTTCATGAACCTCCTGAAATTTGTCTTATATGATTTTCAGTGTTTGGAATAAAAAGTAAACCAACTACTTAGGAGAAACACAACTACGAGATAGCCAAATGATGCCAAATAATTAAAAACTATAAGAATAGAATTTGAAACTGCGAAGTCTTCCCATGCAATAGATCCTGTGCTGGGTTTAGTAAGAAACAGAATGTGGAATGAGACAGGATTTCTTCCTTCAGGGAGCTCACAGTCTGCTGAGTGCAGATGTAAACAACTAGATTTAATGCAAGACACCCTGCACTATAGCAGCAATGTGAGTAATGTGTTGTGGGAACTCAGAAGGGAGAATGATTAATTTTGAATACCATATAACACTTCAGAAGTTAGTATTCCTCTGAATGCAATCTGATAGCATATATCATCATCATTTTAAGGAAACCCAGATAATGCAGAAAAGTTTTATGGGGGGATCCTCATAAATGGTACTACTGTCCAAGCTTGTATTGCAGGGCTTGCCATTTTGTTCTTTTAATTTTTGAGATGCATCATACTGCAATATGCTGTAGAGTGGAGAACATAGGGCTTCACAATCAGAAATACTGGGGTTTCCAGTGCCATGCTGTCACTCACTAACTGTGGGTCTTTAAGCAAAGGAAACTACTTTTCTGAGCCTCAGTTTCTTCACCTGTAAAATTTACCTACTTTGCTTTCAAGGAAATAAAAATCATGTTTATAAACACTTATTAGAGCCTCTGGAACCTAACAGATGTCCTACAATGGTAGCTATAAAATTATTTTATTTATAATCAGGTATACAGATTCTCTGTCAGAAGTAGTAAGAGTCTCTAACATGGAAAAAGTCAGAATATTCTGCATAAGAACCCTGTATGCATTAGGTATTGCCTCAATAATGCTGCATAACAACCCACCCCCAAAACTCAGCATTTATACCATCAGGCAGTTATTCTCCCCATTCATGGGTTTGTAAGTTGATTGTCATTTAGCTGATCTAGGTCAGCTCAGCTGAGCCAGTCCGCTCTAGTATGTAGATCAGTTGATCTTGGTTAATGCTTTTGGATTTGATTCAGGTCTACTCCACATTTTTCATTCTGAGGCCAGGTTGAACGGACAGATTTGGTATTTTCTCATTGTGAGTCACAAAAAGCAGAGCCACAGGGCAAGCCCGGCTGTGCAAGCATGCTTGAAGTCTATGCTAACATCTCTTTGGCCAGAGAAAGTCACACAGGGAAGCCCAAAATTAAGGGATGACAAAATACACCCCACCACTCTGAAGCCAGCAATTCAGTCTACCACAGTTACTGTGTAAAAGAAAGGCAAGAAACTACAATGAGCATGAGAGAGAAGACCAAAGAGGTAGAAGCCAGATGCACAGAGAAGCAATTTTACTCTCTCCACTACCTGCAGCCTCTTTATGAATTTATAGCTACATTCTGCTTTGGATACTGGAATACAGAGAGAACTCCAAGCACTAAAGCCTCTGCCTTCTGTGACCTGAAAGCACAATTTCCTTGCACTTCTCCTGAGCCCTGATCACAGTCCACACTGTGTACCCCTTCTTCGTGGACCCAAGCAATGGCTTCTGACACCAACCACCCAGAATTAGGCCAAACTTTACAGATTAAGGGTAAAGCCTCCACAAGAATGCCCTCACTTCAGACACCAGCCACAGGTGTGGGGCTCTCGATACCACCTGAACTTCTGATTAGTTGGCTACAAACTTAGGAGTTCCCATTACTCCCTTGGGTTCAACAATTTGCTACAATTTACAGAACTCAGGAAAGTGTTATACTTATGATTGCAGTTTTATTATAGCAAAAAGACAAAAATCAGAACCAGCCAAAGGAAGAGACACCTAGGGTAAGGTCTATTAGGGGTCTCAAACAAGAGAGACACTTCCATTGTCCTTTCCCTGTGAAGTCAGGATGCCTCACCCTCTTGGCACATCGATGGGTGACAATATGCAGAGTACTACCAACCAGGGAAGCTCAACTGAGCTTCGGTGTCTGGAGTTTTTATTAGGGTTTCATTATGTAGACATGATTGATTGAATCATTGGCTGTGAGGTCAAACTTAGTCTCTAACCCCACTCCCCTATCTGGAGGTCAGGCTGATATCCTGTGGATCAAAGTTCCAACCCTCTAATCACAGATGGTCTTTTGGGCGTTGGCAGGACCCTTCCTGAGTCATCTTAACACAAACGCTCCTCATTCCCACCATGAGTCATCTTGTTAGCATAAACTCTCAAAGCCCACCGTGCATAAGAAAAATACTCCTATCACTGAGGGCATTTCAAAGATTTAGAGGATACATCCCAGGAAAAGCCAGCCAGCTTCTTTATTACACAATCTGTCTGTGTCTTTCATGGACTTCAAACTCTTTGAAGGCAGGTGGAATGTCCTTCTCATCTCTGCATACCCCACAGACTCTAGCCCAGCACCCTGCCGGGAAAACATTGATTGATCTGGTATAGGTAAAGACTTAGTCATAGAGCTTTAGAATAAAAGAGTTGAAAGGGCCTTTGGGTACCATTTAGGCATTCCAACACATTTTATATGTGAGAAAATGAAGGACCAAGGAGTTTACATGATTACCCCAGAACACATATTGAACAAAGCAAAGAAATACTATAGAGTTTTATCATCCCACATTGGACACTCATTTACCACTACTCTACCTGTACACTCATAAATACAAACTTAAATATGCACACCCCACTTCTTCCCTTACATCAAACAAACCAGTGATAAGCTGTGAGAAGGGAAGAGGTGACAGGTATGAAGACAGGAACTGAAACATGACTACAATATCAGTCTTTAAATTCAAATTCCTGTCCTCCTCATGCTTCCTTCCTGCTCTGCCTTGAGAAGCAAATACATTTCATTTTCATCAGCATGTTCATATATGTAGCTACTAAGGATGTAGTCGTCTTTTTAAAATAGTTGTTCTTTTTAATTTCTGCCCATTTCCAAACGCTTTAAATTTAAAAAAGCCCTGAAATCAAAAATACAATATAGTTTAACACTCTCATCTAGAAGCAATATTTTTCATGAGTTCTTTTTCTTAATGTAACATACATCAGCAGTCCCCCATTCACCTGTGTATCCAGAGAGATACTTAATGCATCTCTAGCATCTATCACAGTGCCTGGCTCATTGACATGCTCAGAGAAAGTTGGCTGAATGAATAATAGAGTGAGTGTTTTTTTTAAATTATCCAGCATATGAAGATGAATCTGGCTATATTCCTCCTTATTCTCCTCATTCTAACTCTCCACTTTCCTGTCATCACTGAGACACAATATTAGTGTTGCTTATCCCACGAGCAAGGCCATTTCCCTCTTTTACACACAATTTCTGGTCAGTCTGGTTATGGAGGAAATAGTTGCACCATGCGATATGGTAAATATATTAATTACAAAACTTCCTAACCCACTTTTTTATTTCTGAAGGTGAAGACAGAGCATGGAAGAGACAAAGGCTGGTGGAACTGGATGTGCCACCAGGCAATGTGCTTACCTAGGTGTAAATCTTCTGTTCGTGTTTGCTTAGTCTGAATCCCAATGCCAGACTCAAGATAATATGCATCTCAATCTCAACCTTTTATTCTCAATGATAAGATTGTAATAGGAAAAAAATGTATTTGTCTTTCAGTGAGTTCAACTCATGCCTACCCAAAGCTGGCTCCATATAGACCAGCAGGACAGCTCCTTTCTCCCCCTTTACTGCTTTCAATATTTTTGAATTCCTGTTTCTCCTGCATTGTGCAGATCAGTGCATTTCTCTATGTGAAGCAGCAGCCTTGGTATTGTGAGGTCTACCAATACAGGTAAGTTCATTTTCTTAGTGCTGCTTTCGAAAGGTAATTTAATAAATATCCAATGACATTGCATAACTTGGCTTGAACATATATCCTAAAACTTTTAATTAATCAAATTGTGTCGCTGCAAAACTCAAATGATGGGACAGAACACAGTTAATCCATGGACTACTGGGGTGGAGTGGGTGGGAAGAGATCTGTCACACTGGTTGTTAATGTATAGATCTAACAACTGGTTGGCTGAATGAATATATTCCCTGGTATTCTGTTTATTTTATAGACCAGGGGTTGGCAAACATTTCTTAGAGGGCCGGATAGTAAATAGGCTTTGTGCACTACATGGCCTCAGTTGCAGCTAGTCAACTCCACTGTTGCAGCACAAAAGCAGCCTTAGACAATAGGTAAACAAGTGGGTGTGGCTGTATTCTAATAAAACATTATCTACAAAATCAGGTGATGAATCAGATTTGGCCTGTGGGCTGTAGTTTGCAGGCCACTGATATAGACATATGAGAGAGATTTGTTTATTTTGTTTTTTCCCAAATGAATGTTAAAGTTAAAATGTGAATTGATGGTATCCTTGTTCTGATTGAATTGGACTAGAATCAGGACAAGTCTCTTTACCTCCCTGGGCTTTAATGTTTTTGTGGTAGGCTATAGCGCCGATGGCTCAAGCTTTATTTTGCTGACAAAGTCTTTCTGCCGATAAAAGAAAAGGCAGGAAAAGAGCTGCTCTCTTTGAAATAGCAAATGTGCAAACTGCCCCTCACTCCACAGAGCACCAGAAATCAGTAAAACAGATTGAAAACTAGCAAATGATCAGATTGTCATTTAGATAAAAAATTTGGCAATTTAAGTATAACTAGGAATATAGAATCTCATTCTGTTTAAACACTAGATTTTTTCCAAAATTGGAGTGCATATACTCAGAGAACTCAAGTTTTGACTGAACCTAGAAGACAATATGTTGTAGCCAAAAGAGGATGGATAGGAAATCAGGAATTCTAAGAATTCCTGACTCTATCACTAACTAGATGTGCCATACTAGCCCTCAATTTTATTACCTTAATGTAAGTATATTGGACTAGATACTCTTTGGTTGTAAACTCTATAATTCAGGCCATCTAGTCTGTCTGTTCCTCTTTTTGTAAAAATGCTTTGTGACTATGGAACATCTACTACAGGCCTACGTCAGAGATATTGTGGGTTTGGCTCCAGTCTACCACGATAAAGTGAATATTGCAATAAAGCAAGTCACATGAAGTTTTGGGTTCCCAGTCCATATAAAAGTTATGTTTACACTATACTGTAGTCTATCAAGTGTGCAATAGCATTATGTCTAAAAAAGTACATGCCTTAATTTCAAAATAATTTATTGCTAAAAAATTCTAATGATCATCTGAGCCTTCAGCAAGTCATAATCTTTTTGCTGGTAGAGAGCCTTTACCTCAAGCTGAGCGGCTGCTGACTGATCAAGGTAGTGGTTGTTGAAGGTTGGGGTATAGCTGTGACAATTTCTTAAAATAAACAACGATGAAGTTTGCCTCACTGATTGACTCTTCCTTTCATGAGATATTTCTCTGTAGCAAGTGAGGCTGTTTAATAGCATTTTATCCCATCTCAGTACTTTCAAATTTGAAGTGAATTCTCGCAAACCCTGCTGATGCTTTGTCAAGTAAGTTTATATAATATTCTAAATACTTTGTTTTCATTTCAACAATGCTTACAACATCTTCACCAGGAGCAGATTCCATCTCAAGAAACCACTTTCTGTGCTCATCCATATGAAGCAACTCTTCATCCATTCAAATTTTATCATGAGATTGCAGCAATTCAGTCACATCTTCAGGCTCCACTTCTAATTCCAGTTCTCTTGCTATTTCCACCATATCTACAGTTACATCCTCCACCTAAGTCTTGAACCCCAAAAAGTCATTCAAGAAGGTTGAATCAACTTCTTCCAAACTTCCATTAATGTTGATGTTTTTACCTTCTCCCATGAATCATGAATGTTATTAATGACATCTAGAATGGTGAATTCTTTCCAGAAGGTTTTCAATTTTCTTTGCCCAGATCCAATAAATGAATCACTCTCTATGGCAGCTATAGTCTTAAAAAGTGTATTTCTTAAAAAATAAGACTTGAAATTTGAAATTACTCTTTGATCCATGGGCTACAGAATAGATGTGTATTAGCAGGCACGAAAACATTAATTTCCTTATACATCTCCATCAGTGCTCTTGAAGGGTGACCAGGGGCACTGTCAATAAAGAGTAATATTTTGAAAGGAATCTTTTTTTTCTGAGCAGTAGGTCTGAACAGTGGGCTTGAAATATTCAGTAAACCATGCTGTAAACAGACGTGCTGTCATCCATGCTTTGTTGTTCCATTTCTAGAGCACAGGCAAAGTAGAGTTAGCATAATCCTTAAAGGCCCTAGGATTTTCAGAAGAGCAAATGAGCATTGGCATCAACTTAAAGTCACCAGCTGCGTTAGCCCCTAATAAGAGAGACAGCCTCTCCTTTGGAGCCTTGAATCCAGTTATTGACTTATCTCTAGTTATTAAAGTCCTAGAAGACATCTTCTTCCAATAGAAGAGGCTGTTTCATTTCCACTGAGAGCTGTTTAGTGTAGACACCTTCATTAATTGTCTTAGTTAAATCTTCTGGACCACTTGCTGCAGCTGCTACATCAAGACTTGCTGTTTTACCTTGTACTTTTACATATGGAGACACCTTCTTTCTCTCAGTCTTAGGAACCAACCTCTTGCTAGTTTCAAACTTTTCCTCTGCAGCTTCCTCACCTCTTTCAGCCTTCAAAGAATTGAAGGGAGTTAGGGCCTTGCTCTGGATTAGACTTTGGCTTAAAGGAATGTTGTGACTGGTTTGATCCACTACCCAGACCACTAAAATTTTCTTCATATCAGCAATAAGACCATTTTACTTCCTTATTGTTCATGTGTTCACTGGAATAACACTTTTAATTTTCTTCAAGAACTCCTACTTTGCATTCACAGCTTGGCTAACTGGTGCAAGAGGCCTAGCTTTTGGCCTGTCTTGGATTTTGACATGCCTTCCTCACTAAGCTTACCCATTTCTAGTTTTTTATTTAAAGAGAGAGACACGTGACTCTTCCTTTCACTTGAACACTTAGAGGCCACTGTGGGGTTATTAATTGAACAGATTTCGATATTATTGTCTCTCAAGGAATAGGGAGGCCCCAGGAGAGGAAGAGAGATGCGGAAACAGCCAGTCAGTGAAGCAGTCAGACACAGACAATATTTATCGATTAAATTTGCATTCTTATAAAAGCACAGTTCGTGGCATCTCAAAACAATTATGATAGAAACGCCAAAGATCACTGATCACAGATCACAATAATAGAGGTAGTAATTATTTCGAAAAGTTTAAAACATTGCAAGAATTACCAAAATGTGACACAGAGACAAAGTGAGCACATACTATTAAAAAATGGTGCCAATAGACTTGCTAGATGCAAGGTTGCCACAAACATTCAATTTGTAGAAAAATGCAATATCTGGGAAGCAAAATAAAGTGAAACATAATAAAGCAAAGTGTGCCTGTATGTGCAAAAAGCATTTCTAGACTACAGGGAGCCCAGGATAATAAGTATTAAGTCTTGCATTTGAGTTCACGTTAGAAAATGAATCTTATTTATAAACAGTTGTAATAGTGGTTTAAAAGTTTCAAGCTGAACAAGAAAGCTGGTGGAAACTAATTTGTAGGTTTAATTATTGAAAAAAAAGAACATTGGAAATAGATCAATCAGGACTGGGAAAGCTCATATCTTGGACAAAGATTTTTTGAGTAAATATTATGTGACCTCACTTTGCTAGGTGCCAAAAATTTATTGTAAATCTAACTAAAACCAAAAAACAAAACCACAAAAAAATCCCATATTCTAGGAACTCTCATCCCAAAGATGTAAAATAAAATTATGTAAATAAAGAATTGCAAAACAATGAGCTTGCTATGTGTTATTGCCTTTAACCGAGATAACATTTTTTTAAATGTCTTTACTTTTGTGGGCACTAGTACCACTTGCCAGCAAAAGTAAAGGCATTTCAGATGCAGAGGTGTTTGAAGGACGGATGTTATATCGCAGTTAAAGGCAATAGCACATGCAACCCAACAGGTATGCAAATTGATACGTGGGGAACAGGGAATAATCCTATATGTTTGGAGTGTATAGAGCATGGGAGGAGTGGCAAAAGGTAAGACTGAAAAGGTAGATTGAGACAAGGATGCAAAGATCTCATAGGCCAGTTGGAGAAGTTTGAGCTTAATTTATCAGCAAAATAGAGCCGTAGACCCCTTATAAGCAGCAGACTGTCATGTTCAGATTTTCAGGAAGATCCTTTAGCTATCTGAGGGAAGTAAATAGGAGTGGCAGACTCAAACTCAAAACTCAAGTTAGGAGTCTTGTTTAGTCCACGAAAGAGAAAACCACACACACACAGTTTAATTGACATGGTCTATTTACTCTTTGAATTGATAGGAATTCATAAAATATTGTCATCCAGGCCCTTTCAAGGTAGATCACTTGTTCTAAACGGAGTGCCAGACAAAGAACAATCTTGACTTCCTTTTATTTCTGCTTTGTCATAGCAAGAGGTGAACAAAGTATGTCTTGGTAGTTACTGGCTGACATAGTTTGAAAGCTAAAATCCCATGGTAGTGATTAAATTATTTTTTTTTTCACCTAATGGACAAAAATGGAATCAAATGTTTCATAAACACTGGTGATTCTTTTGTAGTGAGTGTTTTCTGGCCAACCAAAGTAATTTTTCAACAAATGTGAGTTTGGAAAGAAACTGGACTGGAAATGCAACTCTGATTCCTGGTTCAATTTTAAGTTTTGAGACCACCACACTGTGGCCCATCACCACCATCAACTATATCACAGTAGCATTCATCTTTTCTAAGGGAAAGCCATTTCGAAAACCCATCTATACAAACTGTAAGTATATAAAGTTTAATTTTTCTTTCTGAATATTTTCCCATTCCCTTTCTCACCCTAGAGTTGTACCTCACTGGTGAAATGATGGGCTGAGGAAGAAACAATTGCATGACTCTAAAATTGTTGTTGAATGCAGTGGTCATCGTTGGTAGAGCCCACATGCAGAAAATCTGCTTGTTTGCAGATAAGCACAGACATTATTTAACTGTCACATGAGTCTTGTCCTATTGTGAGTCATCAAGAATCATTTTAAACACATACATGCATGTGAAGATATTTTATTAAAGGCTTTCTAACCAATTCAAATGCAAATTAACCTCTTTAGCCTTATAACATTGGGCAAGTTACTTTAACCATTCTATGACCTTATTTCCTCATCGGTAGAATGGGAGGGAGTATCCTTAATTTGTTAAGTCCTGAGGGAAGGACTAAACAAAGCATTTTATGGAATGGGCCTAGCACAATTTATGTAAAGGGTCTGGCACTTATAATAGGGGCTCAAAAAATCTTACTTACTTTCCCTGTGTATTAATTTAAGTAGAGTTTTTTAAAAACTCTTCAAAGCTACAATTAAGGTCCTCCCAGCTAAGGCTGGGAGTGGTGGCTCACTCCTGTAATCCCAGCACTTTGGGAGGCTGAGGTGGAAGGATCACTTGAGTTCAGGAGTTTGAGACTAGCCTGGGCAACACAGTGAGACCTTGTCTCTAAAAAAACACTTTTACAAATTAGCTGGGCATGGTGGCTCTTGCCTATAGTCTCAGCTACTTGGGGAGGCTGAGGTGAGAGGATTGCTTGAGCCTGGGAGGTCGAGGCTGCAGTGAGCCAGGATCACACCACTACACTCCAGCCTGGGCAACAGAGCAAGGCTCTGTCTCAAAAAATAATAATAATAATAATAATAATAATCCGCAGGCCAAAGAAGCCAGAGAATATGCCCCATCATTACTGATCAGACTGGGACACTCTTTAGGAGTGAAGTGAGACACTATTAATAATTATGCCAGGCTTAAATAGAGAATGTCAAGGCAAACTAGATACATGATACCTATCCAGATATTGCATGATAAAGATGGTCACCCTATCAAGCAATTGGCTTCAGTATGATAAATAATGCTATAAAAGTATACTTGTGTAAATTACTTTGACTTAGCCTCTTATTTCCTTAGGATAAGAAAATTCAGTTAACTGGTAAAATAGTGTGAAAATGTCAAAGCCTGGAATACACAATTTAAAGTTGCTTTCTAGAAAGTTTGTACTGATTTTCACTTCTATCAGTTGTTTTGGAGAGGGTGTGCTTCTTAATATTATATCCAACAGGAAGTACTAGTTAAAAAACAAAATTTGTGCTGGTCTGATAAGATTTTAGAAAACAGTGTCTTATTTGGTTTTAGTTTGCATTTCTTTGATCACCAGTGAGGAGAAACGTATTTTCATGTCATTAGCAATTTCTTCTTCTGTGAATTGTGTGTTTACATTTTTAAACTTATTTTTTTTCTGTTGGATTGCTGTTTCTCATTTATTTGTATGAGCTGTTTATTTTTTGTGATCTTTTTTCCATTGTCTTTATGCACAGGAAGTTTTTTCTAATTATGAAATAGGATAGATTATCACAATTAGTTTTAAAGTGCTTTTAAAATCTAATGTTAATTTTGGTGTATAGTTTGAGGTAGGGATTAAAACAAGTTGCTCCAACTAGTCAACCGGTTTTTCTAGCAGCTTTTATTGACTATTGAGTTTTTAATATTCAATTATTTTTCCACTGAATATACCACCTTCATCCTATCTTCATATATGTGTTTGTCTGTACATCATTTATATTATGCATTGTTTGTATGTGTATGTCTATATAGTTTCCATACTATCTTTTTTGTTTTTAAATATCAGTCTATTCTTGATTTACCACTATACTTTAAAACTTATAGTTTTATAATAAGTTTTATTTAATAAGTGGCAAGATCAGTGTATCCTCATTATTCCTCATTTTAAAAAATGTATTTATTTCTTTCCTGTTCATTCTTTAAGATAAACTCTAGAATAAATTGCCAGGCTTTTAAAATTTCCCTTTGGGATTTTGATACTTTGGGAAGAATTTACATTGGTATATAACTTAATCTTCCCATTTAGGAACATGTCATGTCTCCCCATTTATTCTTGCTTTTTGTTAAGGTCTCTTAGCAAATATTCGTTGTTTTCTCCATTACAAATCCTGCCTGCACATTTATTTAAGAAACTAATTGGGCCAGACGCGGTGGCTCATGCCTGTAATCCCAGCACTTTGGGAGGCCAAGGCGGGCAGATCACCTGAGGTCAGGAGTTCAATACCAGCCTGGCCAACATGGTGAAACCCCATCTCTGCTAAATAATACAAAAATTAGCTGGGGGTGGTGGTGGGCACCTGTAATCTCAGCTACTTGGGAGGCTGAGGCAGGGAGAATTGCTTGAACCCAGGAGGCGGAGGTTGCAGTGAGCTGAGATCATGCCACTGGACTCCAGCCTTGGCAACAGAGCGAGACTCCGTCTCAAAAAAAAAAAGAAACTAATCCTTTGTATTTTATATTTTTGCTTATATTGTGAATGACTTTCCCATTATATTTATTAACGAATTATTACTAATACACAGGAAATGTATGTTGTTATACATGAATAATTTTTAAAATTATAAATGTATTTTACAAGCAGAATATATTTGTTGCCTAGTACTTTAATTATTATTATTATTGAGATGGAGTCTTGCTCTTTCACCCAGGCTGGAGTGCAGTGGCACCATCTTGGCTCACTGCAACCTTCACCTCCCGGGATCAAGCAATTCTCTGCCTCAGCCTCCCAAGTAGCTGGGATTACAGGTGCCCGCCACCACGCCTGGCTAATTTTTTTGTATTTTTAGTAGAGGCGGGGTTTCACCATCTTGGCCAGGCTGGTCTTGAACTCCTGACCTCGTGATCCACCCGCTTCGGCCTCCCAAAGTGCTGGGATTACAGGGGTGAACCACTGCACCTGGCCTAGTACTTTAATTTTAATAGTAGCTGCAAAGTCCTTTTACATGAATTGAGTGAATTAGAGGTAGTTACCTCACAGTGACTTAAAGCTTGTGGGTAAATTCAAACCCCTATACCAGACATAACTGATAATTTTAAATGTAAAATGTTTTACATTTTAGCATACAGGTATGCTAACAAATGTAATAAGATAACAAACATATACTCTCAGGTTATAAGTCAAAAGCCTCTAGAACTACTATTAAAATATACAAGCAACTTTATTTTGATGTAACAGAAAACTCTTTGCCCTTTTTAACAGCCTTTGACAGAAGCTCAACTTTATGAAAAAGTAGAGGCTTAACTTTTCTGGAAACAAATGTGAACATTACTAACCTTACCTGAAAATAAAGTGTAATGGCTTACACAGGATTTGCTTTCCTAAAGCACCTGCATTAACAGAGCCCTATTCTTTCATGTTTCCTCAGCAGCAGCAACTAACCAAGAAGAGCCAACATTCAAATCTTTATTACATCTTTTCAATCAAAGCTGAATTTTAAAAGATGACCTTATAATTTTGTTTCTACATTGCTCACTTGTGCACAGGCGAGACCTAGTTTTTAGACCATTAGACAGTGATGTGCACCCCACTCAGCCCCAGTTGCTAGTGAGGTCTAGGACTTCATCAGAACAGACCTTTCAGGCGTCCTCTTCTTCCCAGCTTCTGCGTTCCTGGGACTCCAAATCCATGAAGTAAATGAAAAATCCACACAGCTATTTCCTGAAATCGTATCACCAAGCCATTTAGATTGCTTTATCCTGAGAGATGCAATTCCTACTTTTCTTCTGTCTGCCTCATACCCTTCCCAAGCACTTCTGAGACGTGCTGCATTTATTTATATACATAAAGTGAGGCATGAATAAATATTGAGGGTGTGTGTAGGTGCTCAAGGATGAAAACAGAACTCTGTTCACTTCAAAAATAGAGCCTGCTATCAAGGGGCAGTTGCCTCAGATTTCTGGTTGGTATAGGCCTGTAGAGAGTTGGGGGTGGGAGGAGTAGATCAACACTGAATAAATGAGGTAGAGTGTAAGAGAAAACCTAGTTTGTTCACTTATTTATAACTTTATAGGATTGTCAGAATCATTTGTATCATGGCAATGCTGATTAAATGCTGTTGTTTGGGCCTGAAGGTGATAATTCTATTAAAAAATAATATTTCTAAGGTACCGTCTCTAAAGTGCTCTGCTAAAGGCTCTGACAGAGGAGTGGGTGAGGTTGGAAATAAGAACAGAGATGCTGTCACAGTGCATCCGGGAAGTTTAGCTCCCAAAATTAAAACAATTTGGGCAGGATGGAAAGAAGAAATGCAACAGATGTACATGCTAATTTCTCATTTACTTTTTCAAGTCAGAGTTCCAGAGAACCAGAGATAAAGCCACTTTCAAATGGTCACAGTCCAGTTGATACATGAATTAAGATCATGCAAAGCAGAATATGATACATACTATATGAAATAAGCTTTTGTAAGGGAGTATTACTCTTTGAAGAGGAAGTGGTATTTTAACTGGTTTAAGAAAAATTGGAGGCCAGGGGTGTGGCTGATGCCTGTAATCATAGCACTTTGGGAGGCCGAGGCGGGTGGATCGCAGGTCAGGAGTTCGAGCCCAGCCTGGCCAATATGGTGAAACCCCATCTCTATGGAAAATACAAAAAAAATTTAGCCATGCATGGTGGTGGGCGCCTGTAGTCCCAGCTACTTGGGAGGCTGAAGCAGGAGAATTGCTTGAACCAGGGAGGCGGAGGTTGCAGTGAGCCAAGATCGTGCCACTGCACTCCAGCCTGGGTGACAGGGACTCTGTCTCAAAAAAAAGGAAAGAAAAATTGGAGCATGCCAAGACAGGAAGATTATTATGTACACAGGTACACAGGGCTTTTTTTTTTTTTTTTTTTTTTTTTTTAACAAAGACACAGAAGCTAGAGAGTGTTGGGCCTCCGTGGAAGCTGGAGGTTTTATGGTTTACCTTTCCAATTGCCCATAAGGAAGAGCAGTCAGAGACCAGGTTAGAAAGGCTGATTGGGACCAGATTGTGGAAGGCCTTGAATGTCAATAGAGGATCCCTGAACTTTATTCTCCAGGCAACGGGGAAGAATGAGATGGTGCCAAGAACACTGACTGTTTATCCCACGCAAGCACAACTCACTGGACACGCAGTGATAGTGCACCAGGGCAGCTGCTTTATGGAGGTTACTTTAATACATTTGATTAACAGTCTCTACATCCAGACTTTCAAGGAAAGATTCTAAGATATTACCTTCATCTTATAAGCATTAGAACATATTTCAAAACATATGAGGATATATCAAAACATCTGAAGATATATCTGGTATTTGCCCAACAGAGATAATTGATTCTGCAATGTGTGCCAAATTATATGAAACATTCTTTTAACATCTAAAAATAATGTTTGGTATTTCCTCAGATATATTTTCATTTCTGCTGCTAGCTGCCTTGGGCCTCACAATTTTCATTCTGTTTTCTGACTTTCAAGTTATATACCGTGGAATGGAGGTAAGTGGCATTCATTTGCACATCTGGCATGACTCATGTACATGGACCATGTATTCATTGTAATTCACAAGTCAATTATTACTGTATTCTCTTTGACCACCAAATACTGTGAGGCTATTTCTATATACTAGAAGGGCAAATAAGATATCTGGATTTCACCTATACTGGCCTCTAATGGTTTTCATATTATTAATATTATTGGGTACATTTATCCTGTACCTACCTGAAATATTGTTTGGATACTTTATTATGCTATGTTATACCAATACAATAAAATTAATGCAATAATACAATAATTTTCCAAGTACAATTTTCAAAAAAATAAACCATATCATAGAAATCCTTTATAAAGTAGTTATAAAGGGAAAGAAAACATAGACTTATAAGACAGTCATGTTTTGTCAGATATTGACTACATGAAGTTTTATATCAGTGGATATAATTTGATCCAGGATGCCCTGGGTTAAAATCTAATTCATCAAGGCTATTGAACTAATTCTTGGACCCCGTATTGTGAGAGAAATAAAAGAGAAGGGTTGGCTCCTGATCTCCGAGTCATAGATTTGTTGTGAAGATGAGACATACTTGAACGCTACCTGAGGCTATCCATACTTGAAAAGAGTGTGAAGACAGACAGAACTGGGAAGAACATAGAAGAAGGAGGCCCCACTGTGGACTGTGGCTGTCATGGGAGGCATTTCATTGATGAGATGCAACTTGACCTGGGTTCAAAAGAATAGGCCACATTTTGCCAGGTAGGAGGTAGGGATATTCCCAATAAGAACAGCCTAAGACGCAGAGAGGACTGAAAGAGGTTTTGTTTTAGAAATGCAAATGAATGTACGGTGGCAGAGACAGAAATCAAAAGCAAGGCTTACCCAAGCACTAGAAGACTGGCTAAAACTGAGGCCATGTGCTGTGGAGTATGAACAAGAATGAATAATAAAGGCAGGCATGGATGGATGGAGGCAGCTAGAGAAGTTTAGACTTTATGCCAAGGGCAACATGGAGTGAATGAAGCTATCTGAGCAGGCTTCTCAGCAGGGCTCTGAAGACAGACTAATTAGATGACGGCAGGAAGACTACATGTGAGAGGAGAGACAAGCAATTAGGAAATGAAAACCCAAGTCATTCATTTATCAAACACGAAGCTCCAGAGTGAGTTTGGTACTAGAGTTACAAAGATGAATAAGGTGTGGTCACTGCTCTCAAGTAGTTTAGAAGCTAGGGGAGAAGACCATTGCATAAATAAATAATTCCAGGGTCAGGCATGGTGGCTCATGCCTGTAATCCCTGCACTCTAGGAGGCCAAGGCGGGTGGATCACTTGAGGTCAGGAGTTCAAGACCAGCCTGGCCAACATGGTAAAACCCCGTCTCTACTAAAAATATAAAAATTAGCTGGGTGTCGTGGCAGGTGCCTGTATTCCCAGCTACTTGGGAGGCTGAGGCAGGAGAATGTTGCAGTGAGCTGAAATTGTGCCACTGCACTCCAGCCTGAGAGAGCGAGACTCCATCTCAAAATTAAACAAACAAACAAATAATTCAAAATCAAGTGACTTCCAGGTCAAGGGATGGAGAAGAGTTAGTTCTGGATTGGAGTGGTGGCAGCCATGAGAAAAAGAGCCAGGTTCTCTGCTAGAATCTGACCCAGCTTTTCCAAACAACCCTTTAATCCAAACAACCCTTTACAATTTGCTGTATTTCACAACTTGATTAAGACTGTCTCCACCTGGGGAAAAAAATGACAAAGTATTACTTTGAAATAACCCGTATCAGCATAGGGGTGAGAATTAGGGATAAGCATTTAGATACTACGGAGGGTCAGTGAGTTTTGTTCTCAAGGGAGTTCAGTCCCACACGCAGTCAGCCATAAATATTCCACTCTTGGGTGGGGTCTCAGAAAAAAGGCTGTGTAACTAGCCTTTTGCTATGGATGCAGCCGTGGGAAGTTATGGCTCTCACACTTTAAATAAGCATATTTAATGATTAATGTGTACCCTTAAATTTTAAAAACTGGTGGGTTTGGAGGGTTCATTCAACTTTCATTAACCCATCAGACATAGGGCCAGAAGCAATCTGCATCTAGTCTCAATCAAAATATACTTACATTTCTCTGTCCTCCTTAAAGAATGAATTCCAGGTAGAATTTGCTTTGGGAGAATTGGAAATATTAACATTATTTGATGAATGATTTAATCTTAGCCTTCTGTTTGAAAAGATAAAAATGGAGACAGACACATAGCCTCCAAAATGTCCTGTCTCGTATTTGTGATTCAGGGCACATTTCTCAGTAGGCACCATGAGGCTGTCAAAGGTACACAGGCCAAGAGGTAGTCCATTCTCCTTTGAATTCTGGTTCTGCCATTTATTTATAGGCTTTGAGTCCTTCAGTTGTATTATCTGTAAAGGGACAAAGTAATGCCCACCACTAAGCTCAGAGAGTTATTACAAATCTATAAATTAAATAATTAATATGGTCTTTTTTCAAAGTGTGAAGTGTGCAAAATATAATAATGGTATTTGTTTTTCAACAGTTGATCCCAACCATAACATCGTGGAGGGTTTTAATTTTGGTGGTAGCCCTCACCCAATTCTGTGTGGCTTTCTTTGTAGAGGTAAAGTAATCTCTATATTTTTTCTAGGAAGATAAACAAATTAAGGATCTCATTTTCAGCAGGTGCTTATTTTCTAGAGCAACCACTTTGATCCCCCAAAATGACAGTTATTAAGGGTTTATTAAAATGGTACATATTCTTTTGGAGGAAAATTTTGGGGGGAATGATTTAAAATTATTTGAAGTCTGCATAGAAATGTTCTTGATATCTTATGCATAGAAAGCAAAACATGTATGAACTCTAATTTTGCTTCCATGAATGCACTGTATTGCACTTTTCTAATATTTTCAACAATCTAGTAAAGACTAGACCAGGTGACCTTCCAACCCTAAAACCCAAAGAGACTTTTTAGAGTGAAGAACTGCCTTCCGCAGGGTTTCCATAAGAAAGAGGAGAAGCCGTTGCTTATTCTAGTCAATTCCTTTTCTTGAAGGTCTTCCTCTTACGGTGTTTCTTTTCTACTCAGTGTCACTAAATGACTTTACCCACTTAGTAAGAGGCTCAAGTATTATCTTTGTAAAAGGAGAGTTCTTTTTTGTAAAAGGAGAGTTTTATTTTAACTCATGTGCTTTAAGACTTTTTGGAAAAGGGATCAACCAAATTTTAAAATATATATACACCTCATTATATATGTTTAAAGGGGATTCCATTTTTGAGACTATGTTTTAATAACCCAAAAGAAGAGAAAAATACTACATGTATGAAGGCACTTATCATAATATTATCTACAGTGGCAAAATATTACATTCAACTTAAGTGTTGTTGAGATGCTGTTTGTTTAAATAGCTATACAGCGATTTGAGGAAATGCTAGTCACTAAAAATCATTATTAATCATATTGTACCTACGTTCTTCCCATAATAAAATAAAAATTTTTAAAGGCTAAAGCTACATAAAAATTGTTTACCACAGAAAGTTTAGCATAAATAAAACTGGGATGCAAAATTTGACCAATTTCATTACTATAAATGGATAAAAACTGTGTGGGCATGTGAACAAAAGAAAACTCTCAAAAAATGAAAACCAATAAACATTTGATTTCTAGAGCTCAACACTTTATTCAACAAACGCTTAGACACCTTTTACATGGCAGGTGGCAGGTAGCAAGGCTAATGGTGATTTTTCTTTTCTTCATTTTGAGCACGTTATTGCTGTTACCATTTCAGTCTGAGGGGAAAATCATTCTAAGAAAATCCCTAGCCAGGACTTAACCAGGAAATGTGTGAAAAGGAAATGCTGGAAGCTTCTGGCAGATTTCCGTGAAAACAAGCACCCTCTAGCTTCTTAAGGGCAGAATTCCAGAACTTGGGAAAGGAGAGGTAGATGCAACAGCAATGAGCACACCTCAGAGGAAGGCCTGGGGAAAGGAGGTGGCTGTGGTGGCCAGCGGCCTGGCTGCAGGGGGACCTGCGCAATAAATTGATTGTTTTCCCATCTGATTTTTCAGGATTCCATCCTTCAAAATCATGAACTCTGGCTGTTGATCAAAAGAGAATTTGGATTCTACTCTAAAAGTCAATATAGGACTTGGCAAAAGAAGCTAGCAGAAGACTCAACCTGGCCTCCCATAAACAGGACAGATTATTCAGGTGATGGCAAAAATGGATTCTACATCAACGGAGGCTATGAAAGCCATGAACAGATTCCAAAAAGAAAACTCAAATTGGGAGGCCAACCCACAGAACAGCATTTCTGGGCCAGGCTGTAATCAGAATTGTCGTCGTACATGCTCAACAGCATTGCTTTTTTCCCCAAAATTAACACATTGTGGAGAAGTGATGATACTCTCCCCTTACCTTTCCTCTCTCCATTCAAGCATTCAAAGTATATTTTCAATGAATTAAACCTTGCAGCAAGGGACCTTAGATAGGCTTATTCTGACTGTATGCTTTACCAATGAGAGAAAAAAATGCATTTCCTGTATCATCCTTTTCAATAAACTGTATTCATTTTGCATAGCATTATTTTGTTTAAAATGAGCAGCTGTCATGGTACTGTAGTCAAATTAGTAGTATGAACATCAATGGAAAAAAGAAAAATTGAGGCAACATTTGGTCTTTGAAAGTTTTACTATTAGTTGTCACAAGTTTACTTAAATCTTTGTGAAGAACATTTACATATATATCTTTTCCCAAGGTCACAGTTCCTCTTTTTGTTTCACTGGTATGCTTTTCATAGAGAAACAAGGACCAACATTTACTTCAGAAATTCAACCCTTTCGGAAATTCAACCCTAACTATAATAAGCCAGAATTGTGTGGAAGTGGTAGAATGAAGGAGATGTTTGTTAATTCCATATAATCTTGGCATGGGCACAGTTAATATATAAGCAAATTCCACCAAAGTTTGGCATCACTCAGTGTATAGTGTTTAGGGGCCAGTGAACAGGAAAGTTTAGAGTAGATCACAAAGGTAATGAAATAAACTGTAAAAAGATACTTTTACTTAAAGAAGCATAGCAACATTTACTGCTTGTTACTGACACATGAAAACCTCAAGCTTTTTTTTGAGATGGTGTCTCGCTCTGTCACCCAGGCTGGAGTGCAGTGGCACAATTTTGGCTCACTGCAACCTCCGCCTCCCAGATTCAAGCAATTCCCCTGCCTCAGCCTCTCGAGTAGCTGGGATACAGGCACCCGCTACCATGCCCAGATAATTTTTGTATTTTTAGTAAAGATGGCGTTTCACCATGTTGTCCAGGCTGGTCTCAAACTCCTGACCTCAAGTGATTCACCCACCTCAGCCTCCCAAAGTGCTAGGATTACACACGTGAGCCACTGCACCCAGCCTCAAGCTCTAACTTTAAAAGTCGTCCAGAACTCAACATTACTCATCTTAAAAACAATGCTAGAAAAGGGACTTATATTTGTAACTGCAGCATGACAGTTCTCAGGCTACTAAACAATCTTAAGTTCTATTTCATCTTTTAATTATCTAAATCATCTTACTAGATGCATATTAAATAGCACATGAAAGGGTGCATCCTTTACAAATATATTCTGTACACTATTACCTTTTATATATCACCCTCACCATAAACTTGAGAGAAAATTTATTTCTAGTGAACATTTTAAATTACCTACTGGTCTTTCCTTATAACGATAAATCTGATTTTGCTAATTTAACAGACCATAGGCAATTAGTTAACCAGTTTCATTACATGAGTGCCAATTATGTACCTAATACCATGATGTACGGATTCAATATATGATAGCCTTGAGTTTACAATTCTGAAATCTTTAGGAATGATAAATGTTTCAACATGAAATTCGCTACTGTAAATCATATTATAAATGTTACACAAACCACCAGCATAAATGCAAATTCCTATAAAAACAATCCCTCTGTGTTTACATTTTGTTTGCTTTTTAACCTTTTCTTGTATTCACAGCTCTCTGGAGAGTAATAATTTCTACAATGTGTATAATTTAGCAGCTACTGGTAACAAGACAAAAGTTTTAAAAAGAAGAGATTTTTAGTTTATGATTATAAACTATGTATCAAACTAAAAAAATGGTAGTTCAGGTTCCTTGAGCTGACATCTGCATTTAGTAATTTGACTTTTAGAATGAAAAGATTCAATTGATACACTGTATAATATTTCAATAGCATAAAAAGATTTTTTAAAAAATAGATTCAATAAAGTTATAGGCTTTTTCTCCCCCCAGGTTTTCCTACAACCTATAAGGTTTCTGGTGGATAACGATCTTTATTTCATAATTTTTATTCTTAGAATGTGATAAAGTTGAACTCCATTCCTGACTGTTAAAAATATGCTCAGAGAAAGGTTTAATAGTCTTGGGAAAATCATTTCATAAAAGCACAATGAGCATGATATCAAATAATCACCTATAGGAAAAACAAGCTGGACAGTCTTAAGCTGGCCATCATCAAGAGTAACCAGTTTTATGGGAAACTGATGGCTTTGTGAGCTAACCTCTAAGGGTGAAAACTACCACACCCTCAAACACTACCAATGTGAACATGAATCCATGAATTTAATTTAAAAGTGCATTTATGACATTATCTAGCACAGACAGGACTGTCTTCTGGAGTGGAGACATCCAGAATTCTCCAGAAAGGCTGCACTTGAGGCTCTTAGGAGGTTCTTGACTTCAAATTTTGCTCCTTCTCCCACTGGTGGGTGTAGTAATTCCCCTGCTTCGGGTTAAGATTTGCCCCGTGTAGGCATCCTTTACTGAAAAGGGTACCTTGGGAAAGGTAACACATTATGCTACTGCCAGGCTCATCTTAACTTGACAATACTAGAAAACTGGGTTTTTTTGTTTTGTTTTGTTTTGTTTTTGAGGTGGAGTCTCGCTCTGTCGTCGCCCAGGCTGGAGTGCAGTGGAGTGATCTCGGCTCACTGCAACCTCCGCTCCTGGGTTCACGCCATTCTCCTGCCTCAGCCTCCTGAGTAGCTGGGACTGTAGGCGCCCGCCACCACGCCTGGCTAATTTTTTGTATTTTTAGTAGAGACGGGGTTTCACCATGTTAACCAGGATGGTCTTGATCTCCTGACCTCATGATCCACCTGCCTCGGCCTCCCAAAGTGCTGGGATTACAGGTGTGAGCCACCGCACCTGGCCTGTTATTGTGGTTTTTAACTATTACTTGGGAACAAGGCATAAAAGGAACAGAGACTTGAATTTAGAGTAAAAATGAAAGAGAAATTTTCTCTCATTAGTTCCTGGTAGGAGACACTCACACCCCCACAGAAGACCAGTGGAAGAAGAGAGTCTTTGAGGGTTACTGGAGACAGAGTTGATGCCATAAGAAAGGGAGGGAATTATTGAAAAAGAAGGGACGAGATATAGGGTCTCTGTGGCCTGGACTGCAGCACACAACTCCTTCCATTACCATTATTATTAACCCTGCAGTTAGCTTGTTGAGTATTTCTGGCCCTGGGGTAAAATCTAAATCAGTTTAATAGGTACAAGACTTTCACCGAGTCCTCTGTTCAGTTACATTATGTACTGTATTCCTAGCTTTCTCACTGTATCAACCCCCTAATATTAACTTGAACATTTCCTTTATTTAATGCCAAGCTTTTGATGATAGCATAAGACGGATGTCATTGGCTGGTGGTGTAGTTTATGGGGTCATGTTACAATGTCTGATGTAATCCTAGGTTAGAGAGAGCTGCACTCCCCCTTTCTCCACCTGCTGCAACCAAGAATTTCACTGGAGCAGCATAAAAAGCAGTGTCTTTAATTCAACACATAATAAAATGAGAGAATAAAATTATGACATTCCTTGGCTTGTAAAAAAGTCTTAAAAATATGAGATATTGTTTTCCAAATATGGCATTTTAAACAAACATTTAATGATTGCTTCTCAAGGTTAAAAGGTCAAATCCCTGAAACACTTCAAAATCCAAAGGGAATAATATGTAACACTGTAGAAATAACAGCCCACTCTTACTTGTCATGTCCTCCTGACAAGCAAGTAGATTCCACACAAATCACCGGAACTGAAACCCTGGAGCAAACAGCCTCTCCTCTTCCCATCCACCCTCATCTACACAGGCAGGAAGAAGATGAGGGTGCATTCCCCAAAAGGCTTGTAAATTAGAGTCCCTCAAACTGCCTAACCAAAATGCTAAATTTCCCAGTTTCTTTTCCAACAAGAAAAGAAACATGAATTTGGATGTCAACTCTTAACAATCTGGGGTTCTTAAAATTTCTTTCAAAACCATATATAAATAGTCTTTCATGCCTCTGGCAAAATGGCCACCCTTGGGGAAAAGGAAAATAATATTTATAGTAGAAATAAAATGTGATGAGATTTTGTTAAGATCTTCTGCTGGCTCACTCAAAAGACTACTGCTTCTCCGTTCAAGCTGCCACAGTACATCTATGCTAGCAGGGGAAAAAAATTTCATTGGCTCAATGATAAGATAATATCAGTAAGCAATTTATTAAAGAGTCTGCCATCCATCATAGGAATCTGGAACAGTAATGATGCACTGAAAATAAGTATTCACCCCAGGTTTCTTTTCCTCCTCCCAAATTCCTTCAATATCAATATCTCTTTGGTAAATTGTTAATAGTATTTTGCTCTTTGTCCTTTTGGAAACAAGCCCAGGAATGAGAAGACACCAACAGCAGCTGTCACAAACTCAACGGTACTTATCGCTCGGTTGGCCTATAAGGAAACAAGAAGTAAACAAAAAACACATCATATTCTAAAGACATCTGTGTCCTAAATGAAGCTTTAGCCTGTTTCCTAAACTGAACACCTGTTTTAATGTACAATGGATACATCTAAAGTACAATGCAAAATTAAAATTCTGCATAAAGATGAAGAAATAAATTTATAATTTGTATAATTATGTCAAAGATGTAGATACGTACACATGGGTATATATTCCTCATATTTTTAAAGCACTCTGACAGTTTATAAACTAATTATGAACACAGTTCCCATTCATCATAATAGTACACTGGTGAAAGAGGTTAATATACCACTCTTGTTTTGCAAAACTTGGGATATCATAAGTAGTTTGCCTGAGATCATTCCACGAAGATGTTTAAAGATAGGCTGAGTCTTCTGAAACACACGTTCTTCTCCTATGCAGCTCCTGCCCCTTAAATAAACACTTTGGATTGGTTGGGTCTACACCAAAGTAAGTATCGTGTAAGAGTGTGTGTGTGTGTGTGTGTGTGTGTGTGTGTGTGTTTCAGGGATGTCAAATAGCAAATAATTCAGGGATGTCATCTGAGCTAAATACACATAAGCTCTTATTTGGTAGACACAATTTCTTTTCTGATAAACAAATTTCAAAAAAAGCCAATACTGATGTTAACTATCATGTCAAAAATTAATTTCTCATGTAGACAAACCACTCTCAAGATCAACTGTCCATAAAGGAATTCAGACATTTATAGCTTTAAGGGTATTAATCATCATGATGATGAGAGAACTAATGAATATTCATGGTATTCTTGGCACTCAACTAATATTGCCTTCCATTCAAATGGGTTTGAGTGCAATTTGATGACCCAAAGGTCACATTCGGACACTTCAGAATTATCAAGTACTCTGAAAACATATTTGTTCTCTCTGGGATTGAAGAATCAGGTCTTTCAAATAAAGCAAAATATTTTTCCCAAATGACTCTGGGGAACCAGTCTAAGAGCTGGAAAGCCTAACCCAGGTCATATTTGAGCATGCCCTCTGTCTAACCACAGCCTTCCACCGTGGAACCTGCCACCCACGTATTACTGCAACACAATGCTACCTCCCTAACTGCAGCTTCCCTGTTAGGAACAGGCACAAGGGCCAGGGCCAGGAAAGAGGGACACAACAGAAGTCTTGGCTCCATGTGTTTGCAGCATGTGTTCATTCCACTACACCATCCTGTGGTGGGCAGAGACTAGGCCTGTAATTGTGGCCCACTGTCTCTGCTCCAACCCCCAGATGCCAGGGAGAATGGTAAGGGCAAACAACTTGGCACTAACCCTGAAAAATCCTGTTTTACTTTATAATTTTGATTTTATTTGATTTCTTATCTATTTTATTTATATTTTAATCCTTACCTAAACTATTTCCTAAGAGATAATCAGAATTCACTGTAGCACAGAGCCACCCATATGCCATATTGGGGGAGCGGGGGAGAAGAGGCAGGGAGATGCAGGATATAAGATAAAATCCCAAAGAAGAGGAAGAGTCACTAATTAGACAGGGATCAAGCCCAACCCTAGTACAATTCCAGCAGATAGTGAGATCCCAAGAAGGTCTAATAGAGAGAAATGGGGTAGTCAATAAAAAAAAAATGAAGGTGCAATCAGTGTCTTTAAACAGAGGTGTCAAATGGTAGCAGGGTACGGCCCTTGGAAAATGGCAGGATCCTATAGATGGTGTGGCCCCAGCTAGATGCAGACCTAACTGACTAGGTATCTTTCAGCCACTAGAAACACAAGATGTTAATGAAAGCTGACAAATTTAAGAGGCCTGGTTGGGGGATGGGCAACCTGATCCCAAACCAAAATCCCTAGAGATGACAAAGGCCAGATATCATGATCATAAAGCCACTTTAAGCAGTGCCACTTTAAGACAGCTTCCCCAATTCCAAATGTTCATTTATTTCAAGTCTCATTCTAGATAATGAATCTCATGTAATTGGGACAACCCACTGGAGTTAGGAGTAATGGGATGTGATGTGCAAGATTACAACATCTCAGGATGTTCTTGGTGAACCAACATGAACAAGAACTTTTACTTCACGGCTTACTTTGGATTATAAGGTCACCAAATCCAACTCTGCATTCTTTATCCTTTAGAGGGCTTTCTGTCCATGGGCCATAATAAAGGCCTCGTTCTGGGGATCTGTACCTGGCCTAATGAAACATTAGCTGAACCTGGAGTGGCTGTGTCTAGACAGCAGTATAGCGGGGACACAGACGTGTGGCAGGTTTATCAAAACGCTCTTTCCTAAGGCCTCGTAAGGCTGCAGTCATATGCACCGAAGCACCATCAGGATGTGTTCCTGTGTTGCCTTGTCCAGGCCTACTGAAGAGTGTGGGCCATCTTTGACAAAGATAGAGATATTTTCATAATTTGGTCTATGAGAGTAAAGTATGTTCTTAGAAATTTTGAAAAATACATAAAAGATAAGACACAAACTGAGAGAAAACAACTGTAAAAGACAAATCTGATAAAAGTGTTTTCTAAAATATATAAAGAACTCTTGAAATTCAACAATAGGAAAATGAACAGCTGAATTAAAAAGTAGGCAAGGTCATCAAGAGATACATCATCAAAGATGATATGCAAAGAAGCATATAAAAGATGCTCAAAATTACATGTAACTAGGCAACTGCAAACTGAAACAAGATGCCTATTAAAATGGTTAAAATTCAAAATACTGATAACATCAAATGCTGGCAAGGATGTGGAACAAGAACTCTCATTGCTGAGAGTGCAAAATGTGAAAAGATACATTCATTCAGGAAGATAGTTTGGCAGTGTCTTACAAAACTAAGAATATTCTAACCATATGATCTAGCAATCATGCTCCTTGGTACTTACCCAAAGGAGCTGAATACTTATGTCCACATAAAAACCTGCACATGGAGGTTTATAGAGGCTTTATTCATAATTGCCAAAACTTCGAAGCAACCAAGACGTCCTTCAGTGGGTGAATGGATAAATAAGGTGTGGTAAATCAAGGAAATGGAATATCATTCAGTGCTAAAAAGAAATGAGGAATCAAGCCACAAAAGTACATGAAGAAACCTTAAATACATATTATTACATGAAAGAAGCCAATCTGAAAAAAGCCACATACTACATGATTTCAGCAACATGATATTCTGCAAATGGGAAAACTATGGAGATGGTAAAAAAAAAAATCAATGGTTGTCAGGGATTTGCAGGGAAGGAAGGATGAATAGGTGGAGCACAGGAGTTTTAGGGCAGGAAAATTATTATTTATAATACTATAATAATGGATTGTGTCATTTTAAATTTGTCCAAACCATAGAATTCGTAACATAACCAGCGAACCCTAATGTAAACTATGGACTTTGGTTGATAATGATGTATTAATGTTGGTTCATCAATTTTCACAATGGTATGGTAATGATGTGACATATTGATGAAGGAGATGGCTATACTGGGTGGGGAAGGAGGAGAGAGTTCTATACTTTCAGCTTAATTTTGCTATGAAGCTAAAAACTGCTCTAGAAAATTGAATCTATTATTTTTTTCAAATACAGAAAAGCACAAAGAAGAAAAAAAGATGAAATCATAATCCTACCCTTCTCACCTTTTTTATGCATTACTAGTTTTTAAACTTGGGAAATACATAGCCATTCCCAAGAAAACATTTCTAAGCTCAAGGGCCCTAAGCTTAAAGGGATTCAAAAAACTAATCTAATATTAGCTATTATTAGTAGTAATACTATTAGTTATTGATAGTAATATATAATCCAGTTGCTGCTAGATCAAGATTTTATTGACTATGCTAACAACGATCTATAAAATTCCCGGATACTGTTATGAAAAGTAATATCCACTATGGGCATGCTATTTATTGGGATGGATAATACATAATACAGTATGCTGAGAGACCTCAAATATCTCCATAATCTTTCAAACGATCTGTGTTGATTAGAAGACTGATAAACAGTGGGTTCAAGGACACTCCACTAATAATGGTGATGATGGCATTCTCACTGAGGTCTGTGAACACGAAAGCTTAGGTAGACTCTTAAGGCTGTCACTGCATCATCTTCATCAGAACCTGCCAGAGACAGGTTCTTACTATTTGTTGAAGAAAAATTAATTTTTCATGGGTCTTGGGTCTAGATGTGAAAGGTGAAATGATGATAGATTGCAAGTTATAGTCAAATAAGAAGATGGCTCTAATCTCTTTTTATTTAACATTTTAAAAAATTTGCTTATTTGTAACCACTTTACTGAAGACTGACATGCAAAAAGCTGTAGATATTTAATGTGTTCAACTTGATGTATTTGGAGATAAGCATACCCCCATGAAACCATCATTACAATCAATGCCATAAACTTATCCATCACCTCCACCATGAAACCATCATCACAATCAATGCCATAAACTTATCCATCACCTCCAAAAGCTTCCGCCCACTCCCTTTGTTGGTTTGTGCTAAGAATACTTAACATAAGATCTAACCTCTTAGCAAATTTTAAAGTAGGCAACATAGTATCATTAATCATAGGCCCTATGTTGTACAGCACATCTTCAGAACTTGTCTTGCGTAACTGAAATTTTCTACCCTTTGACTAACATCTCCTCATTTCCAAAAATAAAATAAGTAAACAAATAAAAATTGCTTGGTTAGTGCAGTGAACAACTTTGTCATTAACAAAGAAGAAGAGGAATGGAACCTATTTCCTATCTACACCACTAATTTTCAACGCAAAAGTGAGCAGGAATTTGTGTGTACCCTCTATGTTCTAGCTCAAAAGCAATTTATTGTTACATGTGAGCAGAACATTCATTATGTTAATACATTTCCTAATGAGAATGAATTTCCAATTATTTCCTAATGAAAATAAATATATCCTTTCATTATGTTCTATCTCCCATTTTCCCAAACCTTTTTATTTAAAAAAAAATTTTGAGATCTAATTAGCACACCATATATTTACCCACTGAAATAATGTAGTTCAATGTTTTTTAGTATATTCATAGACTTGTGCAACAATCACAATTTTGAAACACTTCATCATTCCAAAAAGATACCTCTTACCCTTTAGCAGTCTCCCCTGATTTACCTCAACCACCTCAGCCCCAGGCAACCACTAATTTATTTTGTCTCTATAGATTTCCCTATTCTAGGCATCTCATATCGATGAAATAATATAATATGTAGTCTCTTGTGATTGGCTAAGTAGGCAACTTGGCATAATGTTTTCAAGGTCCATACTGTAGCATGTATGAGTACTTCATTTCTTTTTATTATTGAAAGATATTACATTGTATGGATATACCCCATTTTGTCTATCCATTGCCCATTAGATGGATATTTGAGTTATTTCTACAATGCTGCTATAAACATTCATGTGCAGGTTTCCACGTGGACATGTGTTTCATTTATCTTGGATATATACCTAGGATTACAATAGCTGAGTCATACAGTAATTCTACATTTAATTTTAGAGGAATTGCCAGAATGGTTTCCAAAGCAGTTATATCATTTTACATGCCTACCAGAAGGGCAAGAGAGTTCCAATTTCTTCACTTCCTTGCCAACACTTACTATCTTTTGTATTATAGCAATCGTATTGAGTGTGAAGCGAAATCTCATTGTGGCTTTGATTTGCATTTCCCTGATGAAAAATATGTATTCTAGATACGTATCTAAAAAGAGTCCAGTATCCAAAGTACATAAAGAAAACTTACTACTGAACAATAAAAAGGCAAATAATCCAATTTAAAAACGGGCAAATAGGCTGGGCACGGTGGCTCACGCCTGTAATCCCAGCGCTGTGGGAGGCCAAGGCGGGTGGATCACGAGGTCAGGAGTTTGAGACCAGCCTGGCCAACATGAGACCAGCCTAGCCAACATAGTCTCTACTAAAAATACAAAAAATTAGCTAGGCATAGTGGCAGATGCCTGTAATCCCAGCTACTTGGGAGGCTGAAGCAGGAGAATAGCCTGAACCCAGGAGGCGGAGGTTGCAGTGAGCTGAGATCGTGCCACTGCACTCCAGCCTGGACAACAGAGCAAGGCTCCATCTAAAAAAAAAAAGAAGAAGAAGAAGAAACAAACAACAACAACAAAAAAATGGGCAAATAATCTTAATAGGCATTTCTCCAAAGGTGATATACGAATGGCCAATAAGCACATAAATTGATGCCCAACATCATTAGCCATCAGGAAAATGCAAATCAAAACCACAATAAATTTGAATCTTGGGTATAGGGCAGGATAAGTAGGATTTTGAAAAATTAGGCTCAAGAGGTGCAGCGTTTAAATAACACGAGGCTTTGCTAGCCTTCTTATAGATGACATTTTTCCAAGCTTTTGTGAGAAGAATTATAACCTCATTTCTTACTTAGGATAGAAATGTATAACTGATCCACCATTTCAAAATACTGGAAGTCTTCAATAAATGTGAATTATTAAAATATTATGGTATTATCCTTCAAATTTTTAGTTGCCTTTTAAAAAGTTTTCATAGGTAACAACTCCCTGGAGTTCAATCTATTAAATTATTTTTCATATTTTAATATTTTAAATGAACACTTTTATATGTATTTTGGATGAAGAGGACTTTCTTTTGATAATAGTTTTATATATCCATTCTCTTTTATCACCTTAATATTCATTTTTAGTTTACTGGACTGGTGGGACAACAGGACAACAGGTAGGGAAAAGACGAACATGCTGTTAGCTAGAAATTTGTCATACTACAAAACAATGGTAGTAACTGACAAAAATTGTAAAGTACTTTAAAAATAAAGTCAATTAATCTATCAAAAGTCATCCAAAAGCTCAGTGAATCAAAGGATCTACTTAAAGGCACAAAATTTCATTGAAATTAGCAATTGCAAGGAAAAAGAAAACATTCACAAGCCCACTAAGATATGTCATTAGTTAGCCTCTGTCCACCAATGAAAAATAATTTAAGAATAACCATTTGTGATACTGGTAAATAAACTCCCATTCAAAAAGCTCAACATCCTTTCTAGCATATTCTTTTCAGTATATGAGATCACCAATTTGAAACTGCTGTATGGTGAAGTAACAGGAAAAAAAGACTAAAAGGCAGTAAGATTGACAGAATGCTATTGTCTTGATTCTACTTCAAGTCCCTTATAGCTCAAAATTCATAATATTCATGTTTTAGTCTCAGTTTGGTTATTAACTTGTTGCAGGACCTTGGACAACTCAAGTCCATTCTCTATCCTTCAGTATTCTCGTATTTTCTGGTTCTTTTCATTTGGTTTGAGGCCTGGGAACCTTATCATAGCCAATAGTTATTCTTTTCTCAATGTAAGAATATCTCCTAAAGAAAACTTACCTGCTCTGAAACTCCTTCTCCATAGCGAAGCAATGTCACAAAATGTTCACAGTTGTTGACAAGTAAGTTATAGGCCACCTCCTGTCCAATTACAAACTCTGACCGCTTTATGATTTCTTCCACAGGGAGAGGGGGGTACGTTTCATCGTATTTATTGTTTATTCTGTATGTGTCATTTCCCACAACATCCTTCAAGAGCTGCATTTTCACCAGGGCCTTACTGCTGAATACAGACTTGGCGCTTGTAAAGGACGCAGGAATGCCATCTATAAAGTAGAATTCTGGTTAGTAAGGTATAGTGACCCAGTCCAATGAACTCTACTGCCATCTAAAGACTTTGGAAATGCTGGCATGTCTAAACCTAGCCCTGTTCCTAACTTATTATCAAACCAAAGTCATTTAATCTCATCAGCCTTAAGCAGTTATTCTATAACTTAGCAGTAACACTTACTATTGTATGAGTGAGAATATAAGAAAAACTTTTTGAAAATGTTTGATGTTCCCATAGAACAAATTGGATGAGAATACGCTACTCATCCTTGGAAAATAAATTCTCTGTAGATTGGTATTATATTATTAGAGATGTTGGTATGTGTGTCTAACATAGATACAGATAAGATTATTGTCCACTTTTTCTATAAGGCAGTTTTTTGCTGAGCATCTGAACCCTTCCAAATTAATACTGTAGGGTACACTGTTATTAGTAGGCTCATCCTAGTATCTAAGCTCCCTAAGCGTCTGAAACTTGTTTTTCAACTAGGCATCAATTTGGGGTCCAATTTCCTATTCCGAAACCCGCATGGTACCTCAGTCCTGTGATAGGATGGCTGAAGTCAGGCTGGGGCCCTGCTTTTTTCCTGCCAGTTCCTTTGGCCAGAAAAAAAAAAAAAAAAAGCCCCCTAAGTCCTGAGCCTGAAGCTAACTTGGTAGGCACTGTCTACCAGACATGGCCCCAGGCAGTGACCTACCCACTTACGACAATGCCCCATGCCCTACCACTCCACCTTGGCTGCCTCTGCTCATAAGCATTTGCCTAGTCTGCCAGGAACTACTATATCTTTGGCCTGACAATGTCAGTACTTGAGGTTGGACAGATGATTCCTCAGGGTACAGGTCTAAAGCCAGGCTCCAGTCCTTGTCAAACTGCCCACAACTGCTGTGCTTGGCCATGTTCAGGTCAATCATGAGAGAGAGTCTCCACATAACTAGTGTTTAGAAACTTTCTCTTTTAGTAATGACTGAAAGCAAAACTTATTTTCCACTATCCTTCTGTCTGTCCTCCTTCTCACGGAATGTGAGATGTTCCAGTGAACATCTTACACATTGCAAGTTCTCACACATTACAAGTCCTCAGAGCATATATATCCCAGTTAGACTTACTAAACATATTTTTAATAACCACATGCAAAAATTAGAAAATTAAAATTTGGAGAGGTAAACTGGCTTGGAAAATGTATCACAGTAGTTAACAACATAATTGAATATCAATCTACAGGATCAAACCTGAACGCTCAAACCACAATAATATGGAATTTAAGGCATGATAATAAGAAAACAGCATGAAAATCTCATATTATTTTCCAGGTATGAAAACTGCAGAGATAATGTAGATGTAGAGGGTTGCTTAGTATTAACCACTAGACTCTGGAAGCTCTGAATCATAAATATCATTTTATTTGTCATTTTCACTTATAATATTCTAAAACAAGAGGCAAATACTTTAAAATGTTGCAAAAAACCACTTCATTAAAAAGTCTCAGAAGTTCCCAAGATAATAAAACTTAGGTCTATAAATACTTCTCTTTAAACATAACCTGAGGAAAATACTCCAGGTTATTTATTTGTTATCTGCATACACTTTTTTTTTTTTTATGGAGTCTTGCTTTGTTGCCCAGGCTGGAGTGTAGTGGCCCAATCTCAGCTCACTGCAACCTCCACCTCCTAGGCTCAAGTGATTCTCCTGCCTCAGCCTCCTGAGTAGCTAGAATTGCAGGTGCCTGCCACCACACCTGGCTAATTTTTGTATTTTTTGTAGAGACAGGGTTTCGTCATGTTGGCCAGGCTGGTCTTGAACTCCTGACCTCAACTGATCTGCCTGCCTTGGCCTACCAAAGTACTGGATTACAGGCGTGACCCAGCACGCCTGGTCTGCATACACTTTTTGTTAATAAATTAATTTGTGCTCATTTTTAAACATTTATAAAATACAGAAAAACAAAGCATTTAAATGTATACAGGAATCACCCATTATCCCACCACCCAGAAGTAACTGCTAGTAATATTTTGAATAAGACTGATTCTATGTCCTTCCTATGCAAATAATGCTGTGATGAACATTCAAGTACATGTGTCTTCTTGGTAGAATAATTTATTTTCCTTTGGATATATATGCAGTAATAGGATTGCTGGATCAAATGGTAGTTCTCTTTTAAGCTCTTTGATAAATCTCCAATCTGCTTTCCACAGTGGCTGAACTAATTTACATTCCCACCAACAGTGTATAAACATTTCCTTTTCTCTGCAACATCACCAGCATCTGTTTTTTTTTTTGACTTTTTAATAATCACCATTCTGACTGATGTGAGATGGTATCTCATTGTGGTTTTGATTTGCATTTCTATGATTAGTGATGATGAGCATTGTTTCATAGGTTTGTTGGTTGCCTGAATGTCTTCTTTTCAGAAGTGTCTGTTCCTGTCTTTGCCCATTTTTTAATTAGATTATTTTTTACATGTTGATTAATTTAAATTCCTTGTAAATTCTGGGCACTAGACTTTTGTCAGATGCACAGTTTATGAATATTTTCTCCCATTCTGTAGACTATTTACTCTGTTGATAATTTCTTTTGCTGTGCAGAAGCTCTTTTGTTTACTTAGGTCTCACTCGTCATTTTTGTTCTTGTTGCAATTCATTTTGGAGACTTAGACATAAATTATTTGCCAAAGCTGAGGTCAAGAAGAGTGTTTCCTAGGTTTTCTTCTGGGACTTTTATAGTTTGAGTTCTTCATTTAAACTTTTAGTCCATCTTGAGTAAATTTTTGTACATAGTGAAAGGCAGAGGTCCAGTTTTTTTTCTTATGCATATGGCTAGCCAGTTATTCCAGCACCATTTATTGAATAGGAAGACCTTTCCCCATTGCTTATTTTTGTTGAATTTGTTGAAGATCAGATGGTTTTATGTGCTTGGCTTTATTTCTGGGTTCTCTATTCTGTTCCCTTGGTCTGTGTGTCTGTTTTTGTACCAGTACTATGATGTTTTGGTTACTATAGCCTTCTAGTAGAGTTTGAAGTTGGGTAATGTGCCTGCAGCTTTTTTTTAGTTTTTGCTACTTGGGCTCTTTTTTGGTTCCATACAAATTTTAGAATATTTTTTCTAATTCTGTGAAGAATGGCATTGGTAGCTTGATAGAAATAGTGTTGAATCTGTAGATTGCTTTGGGCAATATGAACATTTTAATATTATTTCTTCCAATCCGTGAGCATGGAATGTTTTTCCATCTATTTGTCTCATCTCTGATTTCTTTTAGCAGTGTTTTATAGTTCTCCTTGTAGAGATCTTTCACCTTCTTGGTTGGATGTATTCCTAGGTATTTTATTTATTTGTGGCTATTGTAAATGAATTGTGTTTTTAATATGGCTCTCAGCTAGAATGTTACTGGTGTATAAAAATGCTACTGATTTTTGTACACTGATTTTGTATCCTAAAAATTTACTGAAGTTGTTTATCAGTTCCAGGAGGCTTCTGGTGGAGTCTGTAGGGCTTTCTAGGTACAGAATGAAATATTCAGCAAAAAGAGGTAATTTGACTTACTCTTTTCCTATTTGGATGCCTTTTATTTCTTTCTCTTGCCTCACTGCTCTGGCTAGAACTTCCAGTACTATGTTGAACAGGAATAGTGTGAGTGAACACCCTTATCTTGCTTCAGTTCTGAAGGGGAATGGCCCATTCAGTATGATGTTGGCTGTGGGTGTCTCATAAATGATTCATTATTTTGAGGTTATGTTCCTTCAATGCCTATTCTCTTCAGGGTTTTTAACATGAAGGGATGTTGTGTTTAATCAAATGCATCTATTGAGATGATCATATGGTTTTTGGTTTTCACTTGGTTTATGTGGTGAATCATATTTATGGATTTGTGTATGTCGAACCAATCTTGTACCTCAGGAATAAAGCCTTCTTGATTATGAATTAACTTTTTGATGTGCGCCAAATTTGGTTTGTTGGTCTTTTGTTGAGGATTTTTGCATCTATGTTCATCAGGAATACTGGCCTGAAGTTTTCTTTTTTTGTGTGTCTCTCCGATTTTGGTATCAGGATGATGCTAGTTTCATAGAATGAGTTAGGAAGGAGCCCCTCCTCCTGGGGTTTTTGGAGTAGTTTCAGTAGGATTGGTACCAGTTCTTTGTACACCTCCTGGAATTTGGCTGTGAATCCATCTGCTCCAGGGCTTTTTTCGGTTGGTAGTTTTTTTATTATTATTATTGTTACTGATTCAATTTTGGAACTTGTTATTGGTCTTCTCAGGTTTTCACTTTTTTCCTGGTTCAATGTTGAAAGGTTGTATGTTTCAAAATTTGTCCATTTCCTCTAAATTTTCTAAATTGTATTATAGAAGTGTTCATAATAGTCTCTAGGGACCTTCTGTATTTCTGTAGGACTGGTTATAATGTCATTTTTGTCATTTCCGATTGTACTTCTTTGGATCTTTTTTCCTTTGTTAATTTAGATAGCAATCTATCAATCATTTATCCTTTCAAAAAACAAATTCTTTGTTTTGTTAATTTTGCATGGATTTTTGTATCTCCATTTCTTTCAGTTTTTCTCCAATTTTAGATTTATTTTGTCCTGCTAGCTTGGGGTTGGTCTGTTCTTTTTTTCCTAGTTCCACTATGTGCAATATTAGGTTGTTAATCTGAGCTCCTTCTAACTTCTTAATGACAGTGCTTAGTGCTATAAACTTTCCTTTTAACATTGATTTAGGCGCATCCCAAAGATTTTGGTAAGTTGTGTCTCTATTTTCATTAATTTCAAATAACTTTTTGATTTCTGCCCTCATTTCATTTTCCACCTGTATTCTTCAGGGGTCTCTAGAGGGGCAGGACTAATAGGATAGATGTATATATGAAAGGGAGTTTATTAAGGAGTATTGACTCACACGATCACAAGGTGAAGTCCCACAATAGGCCATCTGCAAGTGGAGCAGCAAGGAAGCCAGTCCGAGTCCCAAAATCTCAAAAGTAGGTAAGCTGACAGTGAAGCCTTCAGTCTGTGGCCAAAGGCCTGAGAGTCCCTGGCAAACCACTGGTGTAGGTCCAAGAATCCAAAAGCTTAAGAACTTGGAGTCGGATGTTCAAGGGCAGGAAGCATCCAGCATGGGAGAAAGATGGAGGCCAGAAGACTTAGCCAGTGTAATTTTTCCACGTTCCTCTGCCTGCTTTTATCCTAGCCTCACTGGCAGCTGATTAGATGGTGCCCACCCAGATTGAGGGTGGGTCTGTCTCTCCTAGCCCACTGACTCAAATGTTAGTCTCCTTTGGCAACACCCTCACAGACACACCCAGGAACAATACTTTGCATCCTTCAATCCAATCATGTTGACACTAGATATTAAGCATCACTCATCGATATTGAGGACCAAGCTGTTTAATTTCCATGTTTTTGTATAGTTTTGAGAAATCTTCTTTGTATTCATTTCTGTTTTTATTGCACTGTGGTTCAAGAGTGTGCTTGGTATGATTTCAGTTTTTTTGACTTTATTGAGACTTGCTTTATGACTAAGCATGTGGTTAATCTTTTTCAAATAAATATCATATTAAGACCATCTTCCCTGCAATAAAACATGTCCAGATATAAGACTTTTAATGGCTGTTATGGATGCTGTTATTTATATCTATCCAGCACCAAATCCCACCATTGCCTATTTATTCCTGGAAACAATTGTGTCTGAGCCAATCACAGTATTCCATTCTCTTGGGCACAGTGATAGTCCAGCGATGAACATGGGGCTCACACTGGAGTGATTGGAGTCTGTCTCCGTGATTCTTTAACTGTAACAGGTAGTTACAGTTAGCTCTTTCGTGTTGGATCAAAAGAACCTAAGAGTCAGAACCTAAAGCTGCTTATGGTCATCAGTTTAGTTTTTTAAAGAGACATAGTCCGGGGAAATGAAGACAGCACATAGAAAAAAATGCAGATGTGTGACAGAGAGTCTAAATAGTGGTTAAACCCCTAAATATAGGCATCTCTGAGGCCGGCACCACCTCAGCTCTTTCTGCAGTTTCCCTCCATGATGCAATGAAGATTTCTCAGTAAAGAATATTTGATAACTAATATCATATGGCTAAATCTTAATTCATTTAACCATTCCCCTATTGAAAATATGCCATTGTCTACTTTAACCATTATAAATGACACAGAAGTGAATATCCTTACACAGAAATGCTTGTCTACATCTCTAAATATTTCCCCAGAATAGATTCCTAGAAGTACAATTACAGGGTCAGAGGATACGAACCCTTTTAAGGTCCTAGCCCTTATCAATTTATATTACCATCAACAATACCTTTATGTTCATTTCACTATATTCTTATCAACACTGATCGTTATCACTTAACCTTTGCTAATGAGATAGGTATGAAATATTTTATTGGTTTATTTTACAATTCCTAGGCCAGAAAGTTGAAATTTTTTCAAAAGGTGTATTAGCTTTTGCTTTTCTTCTTTTACAAACTGTTCCTAATTCTTTATCCATTTGTTTGTTGAGGTTTTAGTGTCTGCTGTCCCCTTGACCTGGGATACTATATCTCTAGAGAGCATCTGACCGGTTTCTTTACCTCTTTTACATTTTTCCTCAAATGTCACTTTCTTAAGAAATTTTCCTGACCACTTCATTTAAAATCACAGCATCTGCACCCACCACCTTCTGCCCTCAGCACTTCTCATCCTACCTTCTTATTTTTTCTGTATCACTTATCACAATTTTAACATTTCTGTAACTTGCTCATGGTCTGTCCCTGCTTACTAAAATGTAAACTCCACCATGCAGGGAGACGTCTGTATACCCCCAGCACTTAGAATAGCATTCAGAACATACTAGGTGATCTATAAATAGGTGTTGAATAAATTGAAATAACCTATTTGTGTGAAACATAAAGACACTGAACCTTGCCATGTTTGTGGCAAATATTTTCCCCAGCTGGTTATTTACTTTTTAATTGTGATTTTTTAAATCCAGAGGTTTTAAAATTTCATGTGAATTGGCCTTTGTGATTTCTTCAATGCTGCTTTGGTTTTAGAATATCCTTCTCTAAACCTAGATTAGTTGGATTTATCTGCTTTCTATATTTTATTTCGATTTTGTTTTGTTTATTATTTCACCCATGATTACTTCCTGTAACAAGAACACTAAAACTTTGCTCCCAGGAGCCACTGGAAATAAACCTCACCTACAGGTGCTATGTTGATAACGTAACCATCACCCAAGTACAGGGCCCAGTGCTGATAGCCAGGACGGAACACTTCGATCAAGTCCCCTGGGCAGGGGTTGCCAGGGTAGTTCAAACTGAAGCAATCATTAAACGCCATCTGCAATGACAAATACAAAGAAGAGCTAGCTAATACAACTTGCCAAAAGAAAATCAGTTTAAGACATCCATAAAAGCAGAATGATACAGAATTTATTGAGACTGCATTCTATATTAAAGACTTAGAATCACGACCCTGTCCTTTTCTTTGAATGATTCCAACACTGATGTGTGCACAAGGGGACAAGTAGAGAAATAATTTGTCTTGTATTACTTAATTTTCTATAGTAATGCTTCTCATCCCGATCAATTTCAGAGCCCCTTTATAATAACAAGCATTCTGTAATTTTCTCTTTAAATCTAGAAATCCCTGGATAATATAACTTACACAGATTTTAAAAATATCAAGGATTAAATATTAAAAAATGGTCTATTTAGGATAAAAAGGGGAAATAGGAAAGTAAACATATAATATCTGTTTACTAAGTAAATGTTCAGTCTATGACTATACTAAAGGATATAAAAAAGGGTTTATATGCTTGCACTTATTTAGCATGAAAAAGTCAGAATTCAGGAGCAATAAAATCAGATCAGAAGTCTTTCAACCTTTTATACAGCAGTATAGTAAAATCAAGAAGCAGAGGTAGGGGTGGATGCTAACATTTAATATTTTGTGAGTACTAAAACTCTGCAAAAATGCCATATATTACAAAACCTACTCTGTCATTTCATTTAAGCAAAGTTGGGTTCCAGGCTCAGATGGATGTCCAGCCAGATGTTCAAATTAATGTAGGACATGGAACATTTCTTTCTTGTTTAAAACTATACTGTGTAGTGTAGCATGTATAGGTACTCTGGTTTGCACCCACTAAATATCAGTAAATGCCCTTTGTCATTGTAACAATCATAAATGCCATCACAGATTTTCATGACTCTCCTTCCTGCCCCATTTATTGTCAGATTCCTCACTTACCGATTCCAGAAGCCATGCTAGGTGGTCAACAGCAGACGCAGGACAACTTGGAAAGCTGGTGAGTTCATCACATTGATGAACATGTTTGAAATTCTAAGTTTGGTAATTTTTTTTAAGTCAATACTTTTTAGAAAGAATACATAAGTATCTGACAGTTGATTCTTATGAAAGGTTATATTTTCTATGTATGGAATAGAAGTAGAATGACTCAGCAAGAGGAGATTATGTACATCTATCAACAAACAAAGGAGGATTTAAATGCTGTATCTATGTTGAATCTCTAATTGACAACAGGGTGTTCCTCATCATTTCACTCTAATGCAGATATATATGCTCATTTATGAAACAAATCCACATGCCAGAAATAGAAACTTCCAAATCATCTAAATTATAATAGCAGAGACTAAGGACTTGGGAATACAGACTATCATTTTTCTGGCACTCTAAAAGTCTTTTTTATAACAATTAATGTTAGAAGGGTGTTTTCCCAAGTGTTTGTATGCCATCTGTTGAAAAGTTCAATCATCACACTGTCACAGAAACGTGGCCAAATGTAAGCTGTCCATCTGTTGAAAAACAACTATTAAAACAACTTTATGAAAACGATTAAGTCTAACCACCCTCTCAAATATGTTTGCATCTTATTAATATGGCAGTTCGTAATTTGGCCACATGGGTATTAAAAGGAAAAATAGATAATACACTGTGATATAAACAAACACATTTCCCATGAATAGGAATCAGCAAACACACAAAGCTGCCTGCTATGATTCCGAGATGCAGCCAAAGTATAAAATAATAACCACCATTTGAACGGGGAGCACTTTCTAGTGCAATTTTTTTTCAAATGCACTATCTCTACCCTATTTAATTGAAAAAAAGAAAAAACATGCAACTATTTGAGTGTGTTATGTTATCATCCCACTTTATAGATAAAAAGCTAAAGTAGCAAATATCAACTTTTGGAAAATACCCACTGAAACCCTAATATATAAAACAAAGGGAAAATAACTTGACTAGGTGTTACTGATGTGAGCTCTTCTCTTAGTCTTCTACTTGATACTTGTTAGTTCTCTAACTTTGGGCAGGTCACTGGAACTTAGTCTGTTTCCTCATGTTGAAAATAGGTATGGGCATATAAGCCTGATTTTGTTTATCTCAAAAAGCTGCTGCAAGTAACCCTTAGGGAGCTGGTAAAAAGCTGTCGCAAGTAACCCTTTGGGAGCTGATAAAAAAACTGTTGCAAATGCCCTGTGAATTGGCAAGAGCCAGACAGGTGGATGATAAGAGAGACATTGAGATTGGTACATGGTTTATGTAGGATTTTAGTTCCTTATGCTCTCTTCCAGGCATGATAATTCTGTGAAATAAATGATTCAACTGTAAAATTCTAATATATTTAACAAATTTTCAATTTGACATATAAATTGATTCATAAACTGTTAAGTTAATTGATTTCATAAAGTCTATCATATTTATAAAGAGAAATAAGATTTCATAAGAGTAACCCCTCAAGATACTAACAGAGGAAGCTGAAGGCTAATATGCAACTTAAAAAGTGAGTTATGATACTGAACACTTAGAATCATAGCAAGGGACTACAGAAAGGTACTTCAGATATTATCTAATCTAATGGTCTCCAAACTTGTTTGCAGCAGTGGGTACCATGTCAAAACACATATCAAATAGAACCATAAAAATATAAAACCTAAAAAGCAGCACTGCCCTGAATGAAGTCAGGGACAACATGAGAGCCCTACTCACCGCTCACCCACATTGCTGCTCCTATTGAGGCTTCCTGGGACCCCAGAACTTCCAGGAATGCAGCTTAAATGATACCCATCTAGTCCTAGTCCAATCTCCTCATTTTTAGACAAAGGAAACAAAACCAGGCAGGTAGTTTAACTGGTCAAGGTCATACACTATTATATAAAAGATTTTTGACAATTGGTGCTGAAACAATTAGACATCCATAGACAAACAAATAAACAAACCTTGACCTAAATTTCATACTTCATACAAAAATTATTTCAAAATGGATAACAGACTTATATGTAAAACTATAAAATATAGAGAAAAACATAGGAGAAAAATTTTTAGGGTCTAGGGTAGACAAAGAGTTCCCAGACTTGATACCAAAAGTATGATCCTTACCAGGAAAAATTGGTAAATTGATTGTCCTTAAGATTAAAAACTTTTGTACTACAAAAGATCCTGTTAAGATGAAAAGACAGACTACAGAGTGGGCGAAAATATTTGCAAACCACATATCTGTGAAAGGACTAGTATCTAGAACATATAAAGGACTCCTCAAACTCAACAATAAAAAAGCAAACAATACAATTAGAATGTAGGTTATATGGTTTGGATATTTATCACTGCCAAATATCATGTTGAAATGTAATCCCCAGTGTTGGAGGTGGGGTCTGGTGGGAAGCATGTGGATCATGGGAGTGGATCCCTCATGAATGGCTAATGCCAACCCCTTGGTGATGACTGAGTTCACAAGAGATCTGGTTGTTTAAAAGAGTGTGGTGCCTCCCACCGCCCCTTGTTCCCATTCTCATCGAGTACACCTGGTCCCCCATTGCATTCCACCATGATTGTAAGCTTCCTGAGACCCTCACCAGAAGCAGATACCAGCACCATGCATCCTGTACGCCCTATGGAGCTGTGAGCCAATTAAATCTCTTTTCCTTATACATTACGCAGTCTCAAATATTCCTTTATAGTAATGCAAACAGACTAATTTCACCAAAGAAAATACATAGATGTCAAGGAAGCCATTAGTCATTAGGAAAATGCAAAATTAAAACCACAATAAGGGGACCTCAGCAAAATGGTGTAATAGGAGGCTCCCTAACTATCCCTTCTCCTACAAACACACTAAGGAAACACCTACACACAGATCAATTATCTCCAAAAGAAAGGCAGAATCCAGCTGAAAGACTCCTACACACTAGACAAAGAAGAAAATATCCACATCAAAATTGGTAGAAAAAGTGGAGATACACTCATTTACAAACCCCACCCTATGCACAGAGCCTTATAATCAGGAAGGGAACCCAACTCCTAGCATGGTCCCAAGGAGTGAGGGGCTTCTGTCTTACACCTAATGTTCAACTTTTACCATCCCTTTAAAAGGGCTTGGCTCTTAAATCACTGTGTCTGAAAAATAGTATGGAAAAGGCATTGGAGGATTTCCCTCAAGCACGAAAAACAAAGTGAGGTTTCACACCTTGCAAGCTCTGTCAGCTGCTGTAGTGCCCAGAATCAGCCCAGCTTCCAATCTCTCCCTGGAAAGGGTTTGGCTATGTTCTTTTCCAGTAGTTCAGTGTGGTTCTGGTCTGTAATACACCGGTATCTGGGAGCCTATATAGCAAAAAAAGAATAAACCTCTTCAAGCCTAAACAAGGACAACATTCCCACCTTCTTTCCTTAGTTTGTTCTAGTGACAATTCCAGCCCTACAATTTCTCAAGGAAAAGAGGCTGGAGGCCTCTGCCAGCAAGAACATGCTTTCTTGCCTGGTTTGCTCCTGAGATAAATTTCTGCAATCTCTCATGAGAGTGAAGCTGGGGGATCTCTCCATGCCTGAGAAGCAAAAAGGGCATTCCTGTATCTTTTTCCCTGGCTTGCTTCTGTGATAACTCCAGACTAGAAGACTCCACCTGCAAAAAAGATCTGAGACTTCTTGCTTGAACAGGAGATAGGCACTCACTGCACTTCTTTCCCCTGCTCGCTCCAGCAACAATCCAGCCCAGAGATCTCTCTGTTGAAAGAAACTGGGAGACCTCTGCCAACAAGAATGGGAGGGATGGCACTCCCAAACCTTTTCCCTTGACTTGCCCTGGAAATAAACTCCTTTAATCTCCAATTGGAAAAAGGTGCGGGGGTGGGGGGGATAGGGCAGGGCAGGGGCTTCTTCATGTCTGAAAGGGAAAGTGGGCACTCCTTGCACCTTCCCCTATGGCTTGCTTTAGTAATAACTCTAGACCAGAAGTTTCTCCCTGCCAGGAGGGTGTGAGATTTCTGCTTGTTCAGACAGGAGAGCAGTCACTCCCTCTACACCTTTTCCTCTGGCTTGTGCCAGCAAGAAATCCAGATCTGCAGACTTTCTCCAGAAGTAGTTTCCATACACACGGAGTGCTCTTTTATAGCCTTCACCCAAGAGACAGGCTCCTAGTCTGGGAGTTGACAGAGTTCTTCATTTTTGAGTCTCGTAGACAACAAAGAACAAAAACGTGGCTTTTTAACTTGAAAATGTTCAGCAGCAATCTCTCCAGGTCCAATGTGAGCAGTCTATCAAGAGTATAAGCATCCGCCTCAGACATTCTCCTTGGTATAGGGCAGAATGAGTGGGAGATTAAACTCTGCTCAAAGCTTCTCTGCAAAGAAAAAAGAAACTGGAACACACAACTAACACCTCAGTCTCTCCAGCTTCATTTCAAGGGACTGGCTTCTATCCCACCTCTCATAGGCAATGACTTGAAACTTTAATTTGGGTTGGCGGTGGGGGACAATAAGAATAAAAAATAGCAGATTTTACAAGCACAAAGAGGTTAGTGGATTCTAACAATCTTTGAAGAGGCTGATTGGAAAGGAACATCTCCTACACAAGACCAGTCTAGCAAGACTGAGAAAGGTGGTTCTTTTATCTAATGTGCAGAAAACAACATAGGGAACGGAGGAAAATGAAGAAACATAGAAATATGTTCCAAATAAAATAACAAGATAAATTAAATCTCCAGAAAGTGACTCTAATGAAATGTAAATATGTGATTTATCTGACAGGGAATTCAAAAGGGCAGTCATAACAATTTTTATTGAGGTAGGGAAAGCAATGCATGAAAAAACTGGGAACTTCAACGATGAGACAGAAAATATTAAAAAGTACCAAACAAACCATCAAGCTGAATAATAATATAACTGAAATGAAAAAACCAATAAGGAGGTTCAACAGTAGAATAAATCAAGCAGAAGTAAGAATTAGCAAACTTGAATACGGGTCATTGGTAAATCATAATTTGAGGATTTTTAAAGAAAAAAGAATGAAAAAGAGTGAAACAGCCTAACAGCCTTAGTGGACAGCATTAAACAGAATATGTGAATTATTGTTGTACAAGAAAGGGAAGAGAGAAAGGGACAGAAAATATATTCAAAGACATATAGCAAGTCCTCATTTAATGTCACTGATAGATCCTTGGAAACTGACTTAAAGCAAAACAACATATAATGAAAGGAATTTTTTTCTCATCAACATAATGAAATGACATTGAGTAAAATGATGTTATTCAAAAGCCGCTATAAATCATTTTGGTTAAAGTTGCAGTTTCCAAGAACCTATGAACATTAAACAAGAATCTACTGCAATTGCGAAAACCTTCCTAAGTGTAGGGAAGGAAACAGAAATCCAGAAGCTTGACAAACATCTAACAGGATGAATCCAAGGCAAACCAAATCAAGATACATTATAATCAAATTGTGGAAAGTTAAAGACAAAGAGAAGATAGGAAAGCTGTAAGGGAAAAGCAACTTGTTACATAAAAGGGGACCCCCATCAGATCTTTCAACAGAAACCCTGCAGGGTAGAAGGGAATAAGATATGGTCAAAGAGCTAAAAGAAAAAAAACCCTGCCAACCAAGAATACTACACTCAGCAATCCTGTCCTTCAAAAAGGAAGAGAAGAAGGGGAGCTTTAAAAAAAACTTTCTCAGATAAACAAAAGCTGAGGGAATTTATCACAACTAGACCTGCCTTACAAGAAATACTAAAATGGGCACTTCACATTGAAGGAAAATATCACTAAGTAGCAACATGGAAATACATAAAAATAAAAACTCACTGGTAAAAGTAAGTATATAGTCAAACACAGAACACTTGTACTGTAATTGTAGTATGAAAATAAATTATATCTCTAATATAAAGGTTAAAAGAAGAAAAACTATTCAAAACACATATAGCAACTATACTTTGCTAATGGACATGCCAAAAACTATTTAAAAATTGTCAATAAAAACAAATTGTTGGAGGGGATAGTAAAAGTTTAGAGTTTGTACAAGTGATCAAAGTGAAGTAATTATAAGCTTAAAATAGCTTGTCATTAGTATAAGACGTTTTATGTAAGCCTCCTAGTAACCACAAAGGAAAAATTCTTAGTAGATACACAAAAGATAAAAAGAAAGAATTCAAAGCATACCACTACAAAAAATCATTAAATTGCAAAGGAAGCAAGCAAGAGAGGAAAACAGAAAACAAAAGATCTACAAATTAACCAGAAAACAACAAAACACCAATAGTAAGTTCTTACCTACCAATAATTACTTTGAATGTAAGTGTATTAAATTCTCCAGTCAAAACATATTGAATGGTTCAATGGATTAAAAAAAAAGACCCAACTATATGCTGCCTACAATAGATTAACTTCACCTCTCTTAACCTTTAAGAACACATATAAGCTGATAATGAAGGGATGAAAAAAGATATTCCACACAAATGGAAACCAACACAAAGTGGGAGTAGCTATACTTCTATCAGACAAAATAGACTGTAAGTGAAAAACTGCAGAAAGATATGAAAAGTTATTATATAATGATGAAGGGGTCAATTCATAAAGAAAATATAACAATTATATATGCACCCAATATCAAAGCACCGAATACATAAAGCAAATATTAATAGATCTGATGAGAGACATGGACTGCAATACAATAATGTCCCGCTTTCAACATTGGACAGATCTAGACCAAAAATCAACAAGGAAATATTGAACTTGAACTATACTTTAAGCCAAATGGACCTAACAAATATTTACAGAAAACTTCATCCAACAACAATTGAATATACATTTTTCTCAATTGCACATGGAGTATTCTCCAGGGTAGATCATATGATATATCACAAAGCAAATCTCAACAAATTTAAGAAGACTGAAATCTTATCAAGTATTTCTTCTGACCACAATGGCACAAACCTAGAAATCAATAACAGGAGGAATCTTGGAAAACTCTATGTGGAAATTAAATAACATGCCCTTCAACAACCAATGAGTCAAATAAAAAATTAAAAGGAAAATTTAAAAATATCTTGAGACAAAAAAAAGAGGAAACTGATATTGATGCAGGATTTTTTACTCCTTAGCTCAGCTAGGTCTGGGCTCTTGTCTCATGACCAGGAATAATTAGGCACGCAGACACTTGAAGAGTGACTGGAGTAGAATTTATTAAGCAAAAGGAATGTTCTCAGCAAAGAGAGGGGTCCTGAAAGCAGGTTAGTCATTGCCCCCTCAGAGCTGAATACAAGGGCTTTATATATAACCTGATGAGGCTGAGCTCCCTATCTGTATAAGGCGTGAATTTCTGGTGGCTCCACATATTCCTCCAGTGTGCATGTGGGCCCTTAGTGTGCTGTGGGCATGTTTAGGCAAGCCCCCTGTGCAAGTTCCCTTATCTGCACAAAATATCTGGTGTAAGCACCTGTGGGGTGGGTCAGAGGTTCTCTGGGGATCCTTTACTTACTGTCTGCCTAAAGCAAGCTAACTAACTCCTTTCAACATCCCAGAAATACAAAGGATCATAGAAGACTACTATGAACAGCTAAATACCAAGAAATTGGATAACACAGAAGAAATGGATGAATTCCTAGAAACATGCAACCCAAGACTGAATCAGGAAGAAACAGAAAATCTGAGTAGACCAATAATAAATAAGGAAATTGAATTGTAATAAACAATCTCCCACCAAAGGAAAGCCCAGGACCTGATGGCTTCACAGGTGAATCCCATTAAGTGCTCAAGAAGAAATACCAATCCTTCTCAAGCTCTTCCAAAAAATTATAAAACAGGGACTACCTCAGAGCTTATTTTATGAGGCCAGTATTACCCTGACACCAAAGCCAGGCAAGAACACCCCAAGAAAACTACAGGCCAATATCCCTGATGAACACAAATGCAAAGATCTTTAACAAAATACTAGCAAACTGCATTCAACAGTAAATTTAAACGATCACTCACCATAATCAAGTGGGACTTATCCCAGGGATGCAAGGATGGGTGAACATATATAAATCAATAAATATGGGCCAGGCACTGTGGCTCATGCTTGTAATCCCAGCACTTTGGGAGGCCGAGGCAGATGGATATCTTGAGCCCAGGAGTTCTAGACCAGCCTAGGAAACATGGCTAAACCTCATCTCTACAAAAATACCAAAAGCTAACATGGTGGCATGTGCCTGTGGTCCTAACTACTTGAGAGGCTGAGGTGAGAGGACAGCTTGAGCTCGATGCGGGTGGAGGTTGCAGTGAGTCAAGATCACACCACTGCACTCCAGCTTGGGTGACAGAGTAAGACTCTGTCTCAAAAATAAATAAATAAATACATTAATAAATAAATATACCATATTAACAAAATGAACGACAAAAAGCACACAAGTATCTCAGTAGATGCAGAAAAAACATTTGACAAAATCCAACACCCATTCACGCTACAAAACTCTCAAAAAATAGGCATAGAAAGAATGTACCTTAACACAATAAAGGCCATATATGACAAGCCCACAGACACCATCATGCTCGATGGTAAAAAGTTGAAAGTTTTTCCTGTAAGATTAGAAAGACAACAGTGATTCCCACTCTCACAGCTATTCAACATAGTCTGGAAGTCCTAGCTAGAGCAATTAGGCAAGAAGAAGAAATAAAAGGCATTCATATAGGAATGGAAGAAGTGTATTTCTGTTTGTTGATGACATTAGGATTCTCCTTGCACATGAAATGGGAGAAAACATTTGTAAACTGCACATTTGCTATGGGGCTAACATGAAAAATATATAAGGAATCCATACAACTCAATAGCAAGAAAACAAGTCAATTAAAAACTTGGCAAAGTATCTAAACAGACATTTTACAAAAGAAGAGACACAAATAGCCAAAAGGTAGATGGAAAAAATACTCAACATCTCTAATCATCAGGGAAATGCAAATTAAAGCCACAATGTGGTATCTCCTCATGCTTGTTAGAAGGGCTGTTACCAAAAATGATAAGAAGTGTTGGTGAGGATGTGGAGAAAAGGAAACCCTTGTATATCGTTGGTGGGAATGCAAATTGGTTTAGCCATTTTGGAAAATAGTATGGAAGTTTCCTAAAAAACTAAAAGTAGAATTACCATATGATCCAGAAATCATCCTTCTGGGTATATAACCAAATGAACTGAAGCCATTACGTTGAAGAGATATCTGCACCCTCATGTTCATTTTAGCATTGTTCATAATAGCCAAGATACAGAAGCAACCTAAGTGTCTATTAATGGATAAACGGATAAAAATGTGGTACATATACACATTGAAATAACTATACAGCCTTTTAAAAAAGGAAATTTCGTCATTAGTGACAACATGGATGGAACTGAGGAACACTGTGCTAAGTGAAATAAGCCAGAAACGTAAGAGAAATACAGTATGATCTCACGTGTGAAATCTAAAAACGCTGACCTCATAGAAATAGAGTACAGAGGTCATTACCAGAGGCTAAAGGGAAGAGAGAGAAATGAGGAAAGGGAAGAAGTGGATCAAAGGGTAAAAAGTTTCAGTTAGACTGAAGAAGTAGGTTTTAGTGATTTATTGCACTGCATGTTGACCACACATAATAATGTACTGCATATTTCAAGACTGTTAAAACAGATTTTTAACATTCTCACCACCACAAAAAATAATAAATTGGTGAGATGATGTATATGTGCTATGGTTTGAATGTTTGTCTCCTCCAAAATGCATGTTGAAACTGAATGTCTAATGTGGTAGTATTGAGAAGTGGGGCAGGCCTTGAAGAGGTGGTTGGATCAGGAGAGCTCTGTCCTCATGAATGGATTAATCTATTCATGGATTACTGGATTAAGGAGTTCATGGATTAAAGGATTATCATGGGAAGGGAACTAGTGGCTTTATCACAGGAAGAGAGACCTAAGCTAGCAAGGTAGCATACTCAGCCCCCTTACCATGTGATACTCTGTACCACCTTGGGACTCTGCAGAGTCTCCACCAACAAGAAGGCTCTCACAAGAAGTGGTCCCTTGACCTTGGATTTCTCAGCCTCCATAACTATAAGAAATACATTAATTTTCTTTATAAATTACTTAGTTTTTGGCATTCTGTTATAAATCTGTTATAACAGAAAATGAACTAATACATTAGTTTGATTATTTCTATAATGTATGGATAGATTAAAACATCACGTTGTACCCCATAAATATAAATCATTGTCAATTTAAAAAAAAAAAACAAAATGAGATATCATTATACATCTAACAGAATAGCTAAAATAAAAAACAGTGACAACATCAAATGTTGACAATGATGCAGAGTCATCATTGTCATTAACTGGATCACTCATTCACTGCTGGTGGGAATGTGTAGCTACTCTGGAAGCAGTCTGGCAACTTCCTTAAAAGTTTAGCTTGTAACTACTATATAATCCAGCAACTGTACTTCTAGGCATTTACCCCTGAGAATAAAGACAATGAAGATTTATAGCCACCCAAAAACCTGCACACAAAAGCTTATAGCAGCTTTATTCATCATATCCCAAAAGTGGAAACAACCAAGATGACCTTCAAAGGGTGGTTAAAAAAATTAAAAAATAAAAAACTGTGTGCAGGCCTACCATGGAATACTACTTAGGAATAAAGGAAAAAACTATTGACATATGCGACAACCTGAATGTACCTCTAGAGAATTATACTTAGTGGAAAAAATAAAAACACACAATGCCAAAGGGTCACACACTATATCATTCCATTTTTATAACATTCTTGAAATGATACAATTATTTAAAAAGATAGTGAACACACAGTGGTTGCTATGAGTTAAGGAAGTGGAGGAGGCAGTGGGAGGGAAGTAGGTGTGGCTATAAAAGGCCAACAAGTGGGATTCTAGTGGTGACAGGTTGTTCTGTTAGACTGCGAGCTGATTATTGTGGTGACCATTTTACAGATGAGGAAACTGAGACTCAGATGAGTTAAGTGCCAGACCTAAAGTCGCACAGGTAGTAAGCGACACAACTGGAATTCAATTTCAGGTGTCCCTTCTTATTCCAGAGTTCATGCTCCTTTTTTATACCATTGATTAACATCATTAACCAAAGGAATTTCTACTAAGCAACATTTCATTTTTTCCCCTTCTCAAATACTATTAGATGGAGCAGCTGCAAAAGCATGCAAATACATATTTCATATAACACCACAGGAAGTTTTTAAATATTCATATGCAGAACCAGAAGATAATGTGAAGTGGAACCTCGCTCCAGAATCCCTGCACCTTTCCAGTTGCGGAGTTTCCGGGTGAGGTTAGAATATCTCTAAGGTGCCCAGGCTCAGATTTTAGGCAAATATCTGTAACCTGTCTGATTGGGTAAGTTTTACATGGACCACATCTACCAATTTCATTCAGACAAATTGTGTAATGCAGTGCTTCATAAGTATGAGAAAACACAGAACCAATTAAAGACACATTTATAACATCCTCTACTACAATCTTTAAGGTAAAAAAATGCTTCATTTTGAGTCCATCTGCAAAGAACTGTATGAACAGTTTATAATAAAGAGTGGCATGAAGGTTAAGTCTGTAATCTTTGTATAAGAAATTTCCCATTTCAACTGGCCAACTGGCAAAACAGGCTGCTGTCTTTATAGCTCTCTGTTGGTCCCTGGGGATGCATCAAAATAAATAAATGTTCCCTGCCGATAGGGACAGGCTGAACGTCTGCTCATGCCTAAGAGGCCACCCAAGTTACAGAAACACGAAGAGCACTTTTTTAACAACTACTCCCAAGAATGTTACTGGAAGTCTGAAACACAATCGCAGGTGATCACAGGCTACCCCTGGCCCAAGGCTTCTAATTAGGTTTCGACCTTTTCCCATTCCAGCTGCACTTTCCATCCATAATCCTCCTACACTGTGATGTTTCCATGAAGCCCTGTATTCCCAGATTGGCTAATTCATAGACTCTCAGTGCTGCAAAGATCCTTGGTCCAACACTCTCACGCTACAAAGGAGGGTTCCACTCCTTGGCCAAATTAACTATCCGCTGCCACAGCACTGTCATGCCTTGCTTGGAATCTTCCAGGGCTTCCCACCACTGACTCCCCATCTTGGTCCCCCGCCCTAGAATCCTGGCATCCTTATTAATCTCTACATTCTAGGCAAATCAAACTATCCATTATTCTTCCCACTCAAGAGTATTGTTTTGTTTTTGTTAATACTGAACCTTCTACCCAGAATGCCCATTTCCAAGTGCCCCAAATGACTCAATCTTAAAAAATCCAAGTCGATGCCACCTTCTCCCCCTCTCTCCTCCACTCCCCAGGTCGGATTGTCTTCCTCCGATCCGCCTTCTTTAGCTTCCACAGGCATCCATCTAATGGCCCATTCACTTCCTACACCTGCCTCAGCTACTGGTCTCTGGGAAATTGTCTCTTGTGGGGCATACGCTATGGAGGGATGCTTCTTGTTTTTCTCTATACCATGCGTCCGATCTTTTGGCTTCCCTGAGCCACACTGGGAGAACTGTCTTGGGCCACACATAAAATACACTAACTCTAATGATAGCTGATGAGAAAAAAAAAAAAAGCGCAAAAAAAAAACCTCTCATAATGTTTTAAGAACATTTACAAATTTGTGTTGGGCGGCATTCAAAGCTGTCCTGGGCCGCACGCGGTTAGTGAGCCACGGGTTGGACAAGCTTGCTCTATACCTTCAGTCTCCGGTGAGAGTGCCTCGCACAAGTAACTGCGGAGCAAATGTTCATTGAATGAAGGAATGAGGAATCCAAGCCCAGAGAAAACATGAGTGACTTTTTCCAGCACGAGTCATATTAATAGTCTCGCATGCCAAAGGAATATCACCATCCAACTTTCCAAAATCCAATACGATAATAATTACTTGTATTATTATTCATATTCACTTCAGTGAGGACAGTAGGCTTAAAAAGCCTTAAACAGGTTGGGTTTCTAGTCCCAGCTCTGCCACTTAATAGCTGTGTAACCTAGGGAAGAAAGTCTCTTGCCCTGTGGACTGAGTTCCCCAGTCTGTGAAAAAGAGGAGGGTGGATAAGCTCCGTTGTTCTCTAGTCATGTCAACTTTTCCCACTTGCCAGTTGGTTAGAACACGGTTGGTTGCCGGGGCGCCTCGAGGTCCTCCCCCACTCCGCCCAGCACACCTCACTCTCAAGCCGGGGTCTTCTTCTCGCACCGGGAGGCAGCTGTGTGTGTCCTGGGGTCTCTCTTGGCCTCGCAGCTGCCGACCTTGCCGCCGGCGGCCGCGGGACGACTCCATCTGTACCCGGGAGACACCCGGGAGGCAGGCGCCAGCCATCACTCGGGGCCGTCCTCCAGGGCCAACGCCAGCACCAGCGCCGCCACGCTGAAACGGTCCCGGCGGCCCCTCCGCGGCTCTGAGACGCCCGCACGCCGGGGGGCCGACGCGCTGGGCTCGGCGTCCGGGCGCTGCCGAGCCGGCACGAGGCTCTGACCATGGGGAGCCGCCCGCTCCGCCCAGGAGGCGGGGCACAGTCGCTCCGGCTAGACCTCGCTTGGCCCCGAGCCCAGCTTCGCCCGCCCGCCCGCCCGCCCGCCGGGGAACTGCACCTTCTCGCGCCCCGACGCAGCCGCCTCCGCGCGCGCACGCAACGCACGCGCTCCAGCGCCTACGGTCAAAGCGCCGCGCAACCAGTTATTCCGCCCCCGGCTCCGCACCCGCGTCTCGGACGTTCCCGCAGCCAACGTTTAGGGCACCAGGCGCTGTGCTAGGCGCCGCGGTTATAAAGATAATCGGTTTTGTTGAGCCCAGGAATGTTCGGGTACACCCATCATGAGTACACCCACTCTTCTAGCCTAACAAAAATTCCCTTAGGGCCCAAGGAATCATGGTACCTGCACCCCAAGAAAGCCTCTGGGTCTTTGAGTCAGCAAAGTGGCGGAGGAAGGACTGGCCCTAAAACAACCTCACTGCTTACACACACCACACCACACACACACACACGCCAGATAGCCAGCAGAGACCTCCAACCACACACACACACACACACACACACACACACGCCAGATAGCCAGCACAGACCTCCAGACCCCGCCCCGCCCCCCTCCCCCGGCCCCCCTCCGCCCCCACGCGCCAAATAGCCAGCAGAGACCTCCAGGATATGGCTGTGAGTTTAAAAATAAAGCTGGGGCAGGGAGAGTATCCTTTTTCTCACTGCTAAAAAAAGAGGCCAGGAATACTAACCTAGCTAAGTAAGGAACCCTTGAAGACTAAGTGAACTTTATGGAGCGCTGCACAGGACGTTGCTTCAACCTAGTCATAACTTAGATTTTTATTCTGATGTAAATGGAATCTCAGCTAAAAGGATTTTTTCCCACTTATTTGAAGGCTAAAAAATATCTCGCTAATTTTATGTATTTTGTCATAATGGGATAACAACTACCTAAATATGCAACTTTTTTCGTAAAGCTATTGGGTTGTGTTATGAAGGTTAAGGGTGAATCTGAGTGATCTGAAACTTTGGGTCTGGATTGGCACCTTTGGAAACAGTCCACAGAAGGACATTGAAAACGTAATTATTGACAAAGTGGAAACTAGAACACTTGAGAAGTTGTAGCTTTTTTTATGCATTAATATTTTCTTACATGTTCCTTAATATATATCCAGAGTTATAAGCTGAATCAGATATGCCTTTCAATACCCTTTTAATGTCTCAAAGAGAAAGCCATAAACATGCATTTGCTTTATGTTTCTCAACTATTTCGATGGAGTCATCACTGTAGGAAGTGGTTCATGATTTTATACAGGAGAGGTATTGTGAGCATTTATAAAGCCATCCTGCTTATGAGCCAAATTTATTATGTTTGCTAGGTTAATCTGTTTTCTCTAATCAAACACTTAATCATCCAGTCTCCTCTCTGCGTTATGGATTCATGAATGTGAAGTGAGGAGAGTTGCTCAGTCAAGGTAAAATGATAAATTATCTTTTCATTTTCAGGGTATTTGTGATTAAATGCTTCATAATAGAATTAAAATGAAATAAATCTTGTAATTTCACTTCTAGATTCCTGCCAGGTATAGATAAAACGCATTTGGTTAAGAACAAATTCAATTCAATGCCTGCGTGGAATTTATAGGAGAAATGTAGAAAGCGTTGTAGTTCAGGAGAGCCCTGAGTTCTCTCTTCATTTCTATGGATTGGAGAGAGAGTTGATCAATCGGTGGTACTCTACGGATGAGCAGTGGAAAATTAAAATTTCCATTAAGAAAGAATGAGGACTTAGCCTTGGGCAGTAATAGGCAAAGTTTGTCTTAATCTAGAGTTGTAATCTGGGGCTATGATTGGAGCAGATGTTAAATTACACTTAAATAAACAGTTCCTATTATTTTGGCCATTATAAGTGAAGCCCTGTGTGGCTGGCATTCTCTGTTGCTGCCTAATTTTATAGTAAGAGTTGAAACATATTGAAAAAAGCATAATGGAGATGACTTAGTCCTGTTTGTTGTTGAGTGAATAAAGTTCACATTCCAGAAAAAGCCCTATAAGGTAACAAAAATTACAATTGGCTTTTTAACACATGGAAACTCAAACCAATTGGCATTGTGTGATATTAGACAGAGGCCTCAAACAACCCTATATGTTTTGTGCATATTTTACAATTAGCAAAGCGCTTTGATTCTGTTGTCTCATTTGATCCTCTCAGCAAACTTGTGACTGCTCAGTCCTGGCAGTTGGTGTGAGGCCTGAGATGTGGAGCTCTGTATTCCAGTTCTCCTGGGGTAGAACTGAAGTCAGGCCTCTTAGGCAAGAGCTCTTCCCCTACCCAGACTCCCTCTTTTATCAGACAGCAAAAGAAAAACCTTTTTTTTAATAGGTTTTCAAAACCACAAAAATAAAAGAGCTGCACAAATAACTGAAATATTTGCCAAGATAATGCAGAGATGGTTGGCTACGTTTTATGTGAGCTAGTAAGAGTTGAGACAATCATTCCAATAGTTCCAACCTCAGCCCCTAAAATCTATGCTGTAAAAGTAAAAGCTTTTTTCTTGACTTGAATGTCCAGGCCACCTGCCTGCTCAGACTGGATTTTTTTCCTGTACAAATTACTTAACCCTCTAATTCAATCTGCTTTGTGTATTTCTGGTCAATATCATTGCAACTGAAAATCTGTTTGCTTACAGGTTTTTCACGTACTGCACATCCAAGCTAGGTAATGTCTCTGCAACTGCTGCTTCCTGATGATTATATTCATCTGAAATGACTAAGCTTGGTAAATTAGGCTAAGTCAAGTCTGTGGAGCAGTCAAGGGACGAATGAAGAAAAGAATAATGTAATGGAGGCTACACCAGAGACATGGGAATCTATCAGCATGTGGCAAGGAAGGAAGAACATAGCTATGTCTTCTATATAAAGAGTTGCCTGCATTCTTCTCAGAAAAAAAAAGACAATGGAAAGGCAATGAGTCATGAGTCTTGGGTTCTAAGCCTGGTTCTACCATTTGCTAGCTGTATGATAAGAAGCATGTTTGTTAAACCTCTGAGCCTCAGCTTATATATATACGAAACAGGAAAAATAGTAACATAGCCTGCCATCTTCACAGATTTGTGAAAAGGTCTTTTAAATATCCAAAAAGCTTAGTATGTATAAGAAAGATTAAATTGGCTGGGCGCGGTGGCTCACGCCTGTAATCCCAGCACTTTGGGAGGCCGAGGCGGGCGGATCACAAGGTCAGGAGATCGAGACCATCTTGGCTAACACGGTGAAACCCCGTCTCTACTAAAAATACAAAAAATTAGCCGGGCGCGGTGGCGGGCGCCTGTAGTCCCAGCTACTCGGGAGGCTGAGGCAGGAGAATGGCGTGAACCTGGGAGGCGGAGCTTGCAGTGAGCCGAGATTGCGCCACTGCAATCCGGCCTGGGCTAAACAGCGGGACTCCGTCTCAAAAAAAAAAAAAAAAAAAAAAAAAAGAAAGATTAAATTTAAGCTATGGGTATGACACAAAAATATACTTGAAAATTATTCTTAAATTTCACCATATTTAGGAAGTGGCTAAATATCAACATAATATTCCTACTTCTGCATTTCCTATTTCTCTCTTTGCATTTTAAATTCAGAGGAAGTTATCTCATTTATTAATTGTAACATTTAAATAGTATACATTTCTGTCATTTAAAAGTGGTACTGACAATGTAGTTAAACCTTTATTATCTTTTATTGGTTTAATAAATAAAAGTGCATGACTAAAAACAGGCCACAAATATCAATGATTTTGGGGATTTCGCCCTACAGGAAAATCATACAATGCATTTGGAAAAAGGTAATTCTGACTTGTCCTCTACGAAATGCTAAATTTCTGCACAAAAGCTTAAAGCACAAGTGTTTACAGGATTCTTGGTGACAAGAAAAGTGATAGTAAATGTGCTTTAGCACTAAAATTCATGTATCCATGGAAACCTGTGAAGTTCTGTAAGCACACACACACGGCCTGCGGTATTTATTGAAGAGCTAAGACAGCGATCAGTGGGTTACTATGCTGTGAAAAGCCGACAGATTGCTGGGAGCTGCTATGCACAGGCATGGATGAGGTTGTTTTTCCCCTGCTAAATGTAATTACAGAGGAATTCAGAAGTCTCAGATATTACTGAGAAAAAAAAAACATGTTTATTTATTTATATGTACTTGTACCTTTCAGAATACAGTGTCCTTTTTTTACAGTGTCAGATTTTTTAGTCAGGAAAGCCTTGAAAAGTCATCAGCATTTCCCTTTCCCACACATTTGTAGCCATAGTCAAAAACTCTCTAGTAGATTTTCCATGTGTGCAAAGAAAGATATTTCTTGGATGTTAGGAGAGAATGCCCCCAGTTTTTTCCAAACTGATTATTCCTGGGTATTTAAATATGTTTCTTATCAGTGTTTCGTAACGTATAATGATTGTGAAAGCAAAGAGCATGATGATATTTGGGGGAAAGAATCGCCTACAAATATCTGAAGTGTTTATTTAACCACAGACTGATACTCTAATAAAATAAAGAAGTAATGCTATTTCATAAAGGCATATTCATATGGCATTCTTTTATTAAAACATACATCTCATCTCGTTTAATCCTTACATCAATCTCAATGAGTACTATTATGCCCACATTCTCTTCCATTGCCAAGTCCTGGATTCTTTCTCAAATCTTATTCTAAACTTTAATAACTTGGAAATGGTCTGTGTTTGGGTTGAAACAGAGGTAAAATTATTGAGTTCTTAAACGTACTTCATGTTTTATTCCCACAGTTTTCCTTTAAAGTTTTTTTTTGTGTTTGGTCTTCTAAAGATGGACTGTTCAATAGGAGAGCCATTAGCCACATGTGATTACTGAACACTTAGGGGCTCACGTGAAATAATATTTGAATATATTGATTTGAATAGTAAATGCTAATTTCAGCTGTTTTAAAAATTGTTTTAATATGCTTACTAAAATATTTTAAAATATATATGTGGCTAGCATTATATTTCTACTGGACAGCACTGCTATTATCCAGAGCATTCAAAAGGGGTCTCTTTTTAAAAATCATTTAGTATATGCCAGAGTTTCTCAGTCTTGCAACTGACTTGCCATACTTTTCACCAGAAACAATGAGATTAGTTCACACTGATTGTTTTCACCTAAAAGAAGTGCTTTAAGTTATCTTCTTTTTGTGGACCAGGTTTCTCTTCTTTTCTCCCATGCAATTCTCCGGCAAAATCCAAGTAAGCAAATCAACCTTGTTTTGTTGTTGTTGTTTGTTTGTTTGTTTGTTTTTGAGCTCTCTGGGCCTCAATATTTGTTTATTCTAATGTATTTTTAATGGAGTTTAATAATTAAGTAAATTATGTAGATAAACCCTCGTGCAAGAGTTTGTAATGATCCAAGACTCTGGTGATTTAGTTTTAACTCATAAGACTGGGGGAAAAAAAAGAGAGCACATTGAAGAAATAATAGTTTGCTTCCAGTTGTATTAGGAATACTTTCAGCTGCAAGTAAGAGAAGACCACATTAATAATAGTGGCTTAAACAACAGAGGTTTATTTTTCTCATATATTAAGAAGTCTGAAGATAGGCCCTTGCTGGATTGATACTTTGCATCAAATCCCTCAGAAAAACTTGTTGCTTTAACCTTTAAAATATATCTAGAATCCAGCCTTTCTCCCTACCTCCATCACTTCCACTTGTGTCCAGAAACTCTTCTTTTAGTAACATTTTTCTAGCTTATCTGTTTTCTTCCTTGTTCTCATTTAACATTTTCTATATCCAGCAGCCAGAAAGGTTCTGTTAAAATTTTATAGCATGGGCTGGGCACTGTGGCTCACACCTGTAATCCCAGCACTTTGGAAGGCCAAGGTGGATGGATCACCTGAGGTCAGGAGTTCGAGACCAGCCTAACCAACATGGTGAAACCCTGTCTCTACTAAATACAAAAATTAGCCAGGCATGGTGGCACTCGTCTGTAATCCCGGCTACTTGGGAGACTGAGGCAGGACAATAGCTTGAACCCGGGAGGCAGAGGTTGCAGTGAGCCAAGATTGTGCCATTCCACTCCAGCCTGGGCAACAGGAGCCTAATCCCATCTCAAAAAAAAAAAATGTATAGCATGTTGCTCCCCTGCTCAAAATCTTCCAATAATTTCGTATGTCTTTCAAAATAAAATCTAAAATCATTACTATAGCTTCCAGGCCTCTAGAAGATCTGAACCTTGGTGAACTCTAATCTCATTCCCTTCATTTTCCCTGTTGTTCACTCAGTACTTGCCACTCTGGTCTTCTTGCTACTTCTTGAATATGCTGAGTCGTGCCTTCCTTCAGGGTCTTTGCATATGCTGTATCCTCTTCCTGGAGCATTCTGCTCCCCTCTCCAATATCTGCATGATTTACTCTCTCATTTTCTTTATGTCTCTCAAATGTGATTTTATCAGTTAGATATTCCTTTATAAACCTATATACAATATCACCCCATCACTTTTCAGCTCCCTTACCCTGCTTCATTGTTTTAACAATAGCTCTAAACTCTACCTGATATATATTTATTATTGGCTGTCTTGCTCCCTATTAAAATGTAAGCTCCCTGAAAACAGGGGCATTGTTTTTACATTTGAATTCCTAGCACTAGTGCAGTGCATGGAATGTAATAAGCATCCAATAACTAGTTGTTGAATGAATACTTCAACACCTGGAGGATATCAAGTGCTTCTGTCAGTGTCCCTTGACCTTCTTCTCCTTGCTTCCGGGTGGCTGCTGCAGCTCCACCATACAACCACCTGCAGAAATAGGAAGCAGTGGTGTTGGGAGCTGAAAGCCTGAGGGTGGTGACCAACTCAGCATTCCACTGGAGGCTATATGATCAAACAGCAAACTGTTTATCATGAATGCAGGATGTGGACAAACTCGCTTCTGCTCCTGCTGCCAGAAGGTACACTGAGGGCAGTCACTCCCTGGCGCCATGCACCTTGAGGTTATCCACTGGAACATCTGGAGCCTACCGAAAAAAAAGGCTTTTCCTCCAGTACTTTTAACAGGGAGACAAATACCTCCCTGAGAATCTTCTATCAGATTTCCCTTTACATTTTCTTGATTAGAACTAGGTCATATGGGTGGAGAGGAGGAAGAAGCTCTTCTGTTCTATTGTACAGTAGGGCAACTATGGTTAACAATATTGTAGTTATATTTAAAATGTACATTTTAAATATTTTTTAAAATGTATATATTTTTAAATGGCTAGAAAAGAGGATTTTGAATGTTCTCATCACAAAGAAATGATAAGTTCCCTGATTTGATTATTACACAATGTATAACTATATTGATACATTACACTTTCTCTCATAAATACATACAATTAGTATGTGTCAATTAAAAACAAAAAATTTATTCTTTAAAGACCTGGGTCAAGGGCTACCTTTATTTGCAAGAGAGGTTAGGAAAGTATTTGATTTTTCTAAACTTTAGCAAAGGAGACAGACAAGATAAAATAGTATGATTAATAACAGCACCATCCCAATAAAATGCCATAATTAGGACACCTTATGCATATCACATGGCTGATTAGAGATTTGGTAAACCATGAGATTTAAAAGCACTCAACTGAGTGTTTTCACTGTGGAGTGCCCCTATTTTTTCCACCCTTTATATCCTGAATATGTAACCATTTATATGACTTATCATTCCAATTTAATTACTATTTTGTTAAAGGAAAACATTTTCAAATAATTATGTGGAAAAATTATGTATATAATTTTATAATTAGGGAAGGTTGATAGAAGGGTATATAAGATAGAAGGCAAATGAGGAAAAATGGCCAAAGCTATGCAACTTCAGATTGGGACAGACGGAGAGAAGCTGAGAGAAAGTTGGCTGAGAGACCAGTGCAGGTGTGTGGGTGGGAGTGGGGTTGGGAGTGAGAGCAGGCCGGAGGGAGTACTGTCATACTTGATTTTATATCCCAATTTATGCTTTGCAAAAGTGCCAAGACTTGGTTTTTATGTAACATTTGTAAATCAGACACTTAGAGTGTTACCTAGCAATTTACTTTTCCTTTTGAATAATTCACAAAAGCTTGATTTTTGGCAGGTTGATGGTGTGGCCCACGACAGTGTCCTCCAAGTTCTAAGGGAGTCTAGAAAAGACACTAGGATTTAGATGTCCAAATAAGCTCCCTTTTTCATGTCTTCCCTGAGCTATCCATAGCCTAATACATCAATCATGAGTGAAGGCATGTATTTCAGGCCTGATATGTGGGTCACTAGGCAAGAAAGCAACCTGTACAGGACTCCAGGGTAGAGAGAGAGGAAGTGAAGAGACCCTCTTTACCTTGTAATTTCAAATATTTTGTGTCCCATGATTCCAATTTTCTGGCCCAAAAGAAAATAATGACTCAGAATCCCAGAGTCCTAGAATCAGAGGGTGTGAAAGCTTGGACCTTAAGACATAGATGCTTGCCCTACCCGACTGTCATGTAAGCTCTGCATTGTGTGATCACACAGATATTTTGTAATGCTACTGTTTTCTCCTGTGACTATTTAAAGTGAAAAAGAGCTTTTCACATTTTATAATGACATGATGACATATGAGGCAGCCATTTTAAAATGAATTACATTTGAATACTTACTCACTCAGATATATTTTGCAAAAAAGCATGAATGAGAAACAGGTGAGATAGGATTCATTAAAATCACCACTGGCTGTGAAATCCTTTGTCAAATGCAGCATCTGGGATAGGGACACAGGCCTGTTGCCCCAAGTTCACATGTAATGCATCATAGTATTGAATTGGCAGGTTCTCCAATCCATTAGAAAATGGCTTCCAGTTCTTTCTGTTAAATTATCAAAAAAGAAGAAGAGCTTGACCATGAAAAGTGAACACATTGCCCTTGAGATAATTTGATTCTCAACAAAATTATTGTACTTGCCATGGATGAACTCTTGGCTGGGATGTTCCCTAAGAGGTAAGCAGGACTGACTACCTGGTTTTATATTCCAGCCTTGCCATGTGTAGAAGTGTGATGCTGGCAGATTACTTAACCTCTTTATTCTCCTATTTTCCCATCACCTCCTATGAAGACCTACCTCTTTAGGTTAACGTGAGGATTAAACAACTTAATAAATAATAAATACTTAGAACAATGCCTGGAAAATACTATGTAAGTGTTAGCTATTATTGTTTCTACCCAAGTCGAAATGTGATCATTCCAAGAAACTTGGAAGAATATGGTGGAAATAAATCTTTGACAAAGTAGATTTAAGAATATAGGGGGAACAAATATTTCATTTCTAAGTAAAAAAGAATTGCAAACCTGTTAATAAGAAATTGTAGCATGATATTTATTTCAAAAGATATAAAAGACATTGCCTCATATAAAGTGGATCACACCTTCCCATTATTCTCTTGCTCAGACTATAAAAAAAAAAAAGAGAGAGAAACCAAGTGACCTTTTTTCTCTGCCTGAATATTGATTCCATTAGGACCATAGAGCCAGTTGAACCAGTGCCCTCTAAGCTGACTAGAACAGCCTCCGTCCTCTTTTTTTTTTTTTAAAGCAGATAACTAATCTTTACTCTTCCTAGGGCTTCCCCAAGCTCAGCTTCTTAATGTTAAACTTTGAATAGTGATGCCATTCCCTGTGGCTTATTGCTATAAGAAATGTCAAGAATCCTTGAGCTACTGATTCGCAGTATCTGTCTAATCCAGCTAACACTTGGAAGCTTAGAAGACAGAGCCTGGAATTTTGTATATAAAGCACAGTGAGGTTATCTGAGGCAAACTGGCCTGTGATGGACCTAAAGGCAAAGACATGCCTGGACGTGCTGTGGCTCCATGGCATGGCTGCAGCACAGCAGCCTCTCCGTGTTTGCGTGAGGGACTTTGCAGCGTGCCTCAGGACTCTTCAGATCTCTTTTAATGACCGTCTAATGGAATTAACATGGTGTCTCATGAATATACAGGTTGGCCATTTGAGGTAACTCCTGGGCTAGTTGGAAATAGTACTAATAACTCCAGAGTGCCTGAAAACTACTGAAAAAATGCATAAAAGAAGAGAAGCAAGTTTAAGGGAAAGGAACTGTAAAAAAGAAAAAGAAAAAATCTCCACTACCAGCAAAGTGTTCATTTTCCTGCTGAGTTACTTTCCCTGCCCACCCCATTTCAACCTCCACCGGACCACCAGAAGTTTCTAACACTGATCTGATCATGTCACTCCTCTGATTAAACCCTTCTCTAGCACCTGTAAGATGAAGTGTAAATTTCTCAGCCCTTCGTTTTAATGTGGATATCAGGTACCCATTATACCTTGCAGGCTTCATCTCCCGTCTCCACCTCCCTGTCTGACTCAACCAGCCCCAGTCCCTATACCATATGTTCTAGCCACATTGAACTACTTAAAATTCCCTGAGCATGACAGATGGCATCTTGTCTCCATGTCCATTATGCCCTTAACGCCTCCTGTTTCAATGGTAAATGCTCCTAGATTTCAAGGCCTAGTTCAAACCACTCCAAAAATGAAGCAGCATTTCCCCCTTCTTTTTTCTCATTGTGTTTCTTTCAGAACTTTCTAAGATAATGTTTATCGTAGATGCTTTTCTCTTTCCTGCAGTAGACTGTAAACTCCTCAGTATCAAGCCTGGATATTATTCACATTTCTGTTGATAATACCTAACTCAGAACTGCAGGTGTATGCAGTCACAGAGGAATGAAAAAATGAACAAGTTCGCCTCTCTTTCATTTTCTATCCCCCTTTATATTATTGTTCTCACCAGGGAGTCATTTTGCTAATCACAAGTGGGAGTTCTCACTACTCTGATACTGCATCCCTGCAAGACCTCAGATATAAATGAAAGTAAGGTACATCCCAGTGACTCCTTGAGAGTAAATGAAGGACGATCTATGGAAGCTCCTAACACAAAATTATAACCTTATAAAAACAGCTGCCCTGCCTTACCTGCTGTCGTCACTGCTGTTCCAGAAGCTGCTAGCAAATTCAGCTTTCTGATAACTCAGAAGCTATTCAGCAGCCTCCCTGCTGATTTGCTTTCTGGTGGAGCTGAATAGAAACCAGCTTGTAGTCAGAAGGCCTGAATTCTAGTCTTGGCTCTGTGGTTGAAATTCATATGACTTCCTATAGGAACTGAGTCTGTTTCCTCATGTGCAAAATATGGAAAACAATCCTTTCTCCTGCTCTGCTGACCTTACTGGATTCTTACGAAATTCAGAGGATATAAAGAACTTGAAATCACTTTACGAAATAGAAAATTCACCAGAGGGACAGAGAGTTATAATATAGTATTGTTTATATCTTAACCCTGCATTGTCTGTTTTCCTCAGGAAGGTCAAATTAAATACAATGCCTGAAATACAGACACTTATTTATTCAGCAATATCAAGTTGAGTACAATGCCTGAGACACATTTTAAAATGCAAGTGAAAGACCAACCTCTACCACCAGTAACCTGGAACCTTTCCTACACTGTGCCTATTCAAAGCACATTGACCAGTTGTCACCATTGGTAGCATTTATTTGTGAGGCCACATGTCCAGACTCAGTTTAGCTACATGGGACCTGGGCATTGACTACAAGGCAAATAAAAGCCATGTCTACAGATATCTGTGCACCTATCAGAGAGGTGACTCACTAACCTGCATGGAAAATCCTGGTTATATCCTTAGAGCAATGGTGTTGCTCTATGTTATTAGACATACAAAAGGACATATAGTCTTATTCTGCTTAGAATAGAATGATAAGTCTATTTTGGTTGAAGTGTTTAAAAGTGTTTAAAAGGAAAGCTGCTGTAGAGAGTAATAATAACAGCTAACTCCTACAGAATGGTCACTATATACTAGGCACAATCGTTAACAATTGTCCTGCATTCTCTTAACCCACACCAATCCTTTGAGGAAGGTTCGCTTGATAGCTGTATTTTACAGTTGAGAAAAATGAAGTCACAATGCTTAAGTGTGCAGAGCCTGACTCCACAACCTGGATGCCTAACTCTCCAGTCAGGTCCCTGACTTTGTGAGGTCCACTAACAGCTAAAATTTCTCTTAGGATTGTTGAGAGAGGTATTTGGGTTAAAAGTGTCAGGTCAGGTATACATTTTACTCTGCATGGTTTCTCTGTACACTCAACTTCAATAGATTGAGGTGGGAGGAAGCAGGGGTGTGGATGATTATTTCTCACATTGTTTTTATAATGGGTAATTGCCCAAGCAAAAGGCTTTCTCTACTTCTTTCTCCACTTTTACTTGAACTGGCAATGTGCACATCTGAAACTTACGTTTACCAACCTCCTGTAATGTTATCTGTGATTATGTGACTATGTTTCAGGCAATAAGATGAAAATGGAAGCATGACCATAGAATAATCTTGTGGTATTGAAATGGGAGAGTTCCCTGATTTCCTCTCACAAGACGCACCAGGGGTGTGGCTCACCTGTTTGTGTCATCCCACAGCTCAGACACCTAGAAGGAGCATGCAGACGGGCAGGTGCAGAGGCCGGGATAAGTGCTTTGGGCTCTCGGCCCTGGGGTAGTGTCTAGGGCAGGGTGCTGCAACCCCAGTGTTACAAAGCTCTTTCAGCTTTGCCATCTGCAGATGGCTTGAGTGTTAATCAGCTCAATGGACTCTCTGCCTTATCGTAAGGGCAAAGGGCCAGTGTGACAGCCTTCTGTGTCCTAAGCTCTTGCCCAGTGTCCCAGAAGAATCGGATCACACACAGGCTCAAAGGATGAGTGCAAGGTTTTATTGAGTGGTGGAGGTCGCTCTCAGCGAGATGGTTGGGGAGCCAGCAGCGGGGATGGAGTAGGAAGGTGATCTTTCCCTGGAGTCAGGACACCCAGCAGCTGGACTCTTCTCCAACCGCCCCCAGCTGAACTCCCCTTGGTGTCCAGACATTCCTCCTCTTCTCTCTTTCTCTGCCACATTATTCTGCCATCATTGGTCTGCTGGTCTGCTGATCTGTTGGTCTGCTCTGGAGTTTGGGGTTTATATGGGAGCAGGATAGGGGGTGTGGCAGGCCAACAGGCAACTTTTGGGGCATGAAAACAGAAATACCTGTTCTTATTTAGGGCTCCAGGTATCCAGGCTTGCGGGTGGGGCCTTTGCCGGGGAACTGCCCTCTTCTACCCATATGTCCCTGTCTCCTGTCTCTATCAGTATTTACAGAAAAGGGAGTTGATGCAGCTGAGGGGGACATCCTGCTTTCCTCCTGCTTCTTCATTTCTTTTACGTGACATACAAACATGGAGGCAGAGCTCTGGTAGTTGTATTGGACCGTGAAGCAACCTTATGCAGAGAGACAGAAAAAGCCTGAGTTCCTAATTATTTTTTTGGAGCATTCATGTCAGCACTGCTACCCACTTTACCTTCTTTTATGCTAGAAGAATAAATCCTGAGAGTTTAAGTAAATGCTATTTTGGTTTTCCTCTTATATGCAACTACAACTAATCCTAATTGATATGAAGATTACCTGGTTTGGCTTCTGTTTCATAGACATTTCACTGTGGATTAGCATTTCAACTACAGGGAAGTTGCAAAATTAATCCTGTTCACTTTGCTTACTTTTTAATAAAACTGAGAAGAAAAATTTTAGTCAGAAAAAGGCTGAATTTATTGATTAAAATAAAATCTGGAGGCTCATTTCTTTTTCTAGACCAAATTAAAATAACCAGTCAAGAACTAATTGGATTTGTATTCTACAAAGAGAAAGAAAGACAGCCCTTTTCATCCTCTGTACTCACATGGTAGTGTTGTAGAAAAAACCCAGGTTCTTGTCACACAACCAGGATAATTTAGGCACGTAGACACATTGTAGGGTGAGTAGGGCTGCATTTATTGGGTGGAAAAAAAAGGGAAGCAGGAACCATCAGCAAAGTGAGATAGAGTCCTGCTAGCAGGTTTCTCACCTCACAGATTGAATCCCAGGTTGCCACGCAGGAACAGGAGAGGCCAGGCTCCTCGACCTTGCAAACAGCACAAACTTTCAGAGGCTCCACTCCATCTTCCCAGTGTGCATGCCAGTCAGAGATTCTTCAGCGACCCCTTTTTACTTGACTGTCTCAGTAGGAGGTTTGTCCTTCCTTAGATTACAAGTAACCTGTATTCTATTGTTGTAAATTATGCAAATTGCCCACGTTGAGCCTAGTTATGTAAATCGATTACTGCTGGCCAATAGTCAAACTGGAATTTTCCTGGGTCTAGGATAAATTATGAAATTATAAAACTCAAGTCCATTTCTGAGGTATCTCCGACTTTTGTTTCAGAACACTGTGAAGTATATCCATTAACACGTGCTTCGAGGAGACTGATTTCTGGCACAGTAGGATGAGAAGCTCCAGTGACCTGTTTTCCAATAAAACTTGCAAAAATTATTTTTTAAAAAACAAAGCAAACTTTTGAAGCCTCTCTGGAAATGGTCGAAGGGTAAATAGCAAATGAAGAAACATCTATGAACATTTAGTAAGAAAGATGAGAGTCTGTGGTAGCTGAACAAAGACTCCTTTTTTCCTTTCCCCTCCAAGCTAAGCCGGGTGGAGATTTCTGCAACCAAGAATACAGAGCCCCCTCTCCTTTTAGCTCCCAGCTGGAGAGCTTCTTCCAGGGAGAAGCAGGAATTTCTCATTCTGTCTTCAGCTGCCCATTGCTGAGCTTAAGTCCCAAGTTGGTGTGATTGTGTGGAGGCTCCATTTCTCCACCCAATTTCCACTCATGGATCTGAGACTCTACCTTGAGTGTGATATGCTTAAAATACTGCAGCCCCCAGAAGCTCTCTGCTAGTGAGGTGCTAGTTTCACACTAAAAGTGACAAGCCTAAAGGACCCCAGAGTATTGAATCTCTTCCCCTTCCACTTAGCTGTCAGCTTCTAGAGTGGAGTGTCACTCGGAAAAGAGCTTGCCATTGTCTCCACCTCCATTTCCAGAGCCCTGGCTCAGAGGTTTTGCCTGGGAGAAGAAGCCAGCCATATGACAGATCATGCCTAATCTCTTCCCCCAAACTGACTTTAGATGCAATGATACGTGGAGAAGTTTAAACCTAAGGCCACTCTGCAGATAGTAGAGGTTGGAGTAATAGAAAGTTGGGAGGAGATCCATGGGTCTAATGGAGATACAGCCTAGACTATAAGCCAGCTACTTTGCAGGAGAGAGCCAGGGAATAGGGCAGCTGGGAGGAACATTTCTAGGGTTAGGACAAATATCAAACTTTTACCTCAGAAACTGTTCTGCCAAGGGAACTGAAAGTTGATTAGACCGGTTTGAAGAAGAATTTATCCTCAGGGCATTGTTGAAAACAATAGAACTCTCAATGGGCAAGTAACTGCTGAGAAAGTCAGTAGAGATTAACAGCTGGATATGGTCAGGAAAAGAGTAGAGGAGTCCTGCAAGTGCCACTGTTACCCGAGGGCGACTGTGAACATAGACCAAGTTCCATCTCCCTGAGCACAAATATCAGAGGCTGAACACTATAGAGCTGACAGGCTAGATTTAACTAAACCTAGGGAGTCACTCAACAGATAAACAAATAAATAATAATTATAAGCCCCAGAGGCCTGGCAGTGCCCAGAATTGCTACAATATATTATCTAAAGTGTCCAGTTTCTAATAAAAAATTACAAGGCATGAAAAGAAACAGAAAACTATGATACACCTAAATAAAAGAAGACAAGACAAACTGCCTTTCAGAGTGACCAGATGTTGTAACTGCCCAAGGGGTTCACCTTGCCCTCTGCCTAGACAGAGTTGATTTATCAAGACAGGGGAATTGCAATAGAGAAAGAGTAATTCACTCAGAGCCGGCTGTGCAGGAGACTGGAGTTTTATTATTACTCAAATCAGTCTCCCCGAAAACTCGGGGATCAGAGTTTTTAAGGATAATATGGTGGGTAGGGGGCCAGTGAATCAGGAGTGCTGACTGCTTGGCTCAGGGATGAACTCATAGGGAGTCAAAGCTGTTCTCTTCTACTAAGTTAGTTCCTGGGTGGGTGCCATAGAACGGGCTGGCAGGTCCGGGGGAGCTATCTGGATGTTAGAAATGCAAAAACCTGAAAAGACATCTCCAAAGGCCGATCTTAGGTTCACAATAGTGATGTTACCTTGAAGAGGAACTGGGGAAGCTACAAATCTCATGACCTCTGGAATTATGGCTGGTAATATTTAAAATTCAGCTCCTCTCATCTTGACTTGGTGGCTGGTGGCCTTTCATTTGTTTTGCTAGAACAGTTTAGCCTTTTGGGAAGAGCTATTATATAAACTATACACTAAATTCCTTTCCAAAGTTAGTTTGGCCTATGCCCAGGAATGGACAAGGACAGTTTAGAGGTTAGAAGCAAGATGAGGTCAGCTAGGTCTGATATTGTTCAGTGTCATAATTTTCTCAGTTATGATTTTTGCAAAGGCAGTTTCAATGTCAGACTAACAGAAAATGATTTTAAGGTAGTTATCACAAATACATTGACAGAACTAAGGGGAAGCATAATTAAAGAAGTAAAGGAAGGCATGATGACAATATATCAAATAGAGAATACCTCTAAAGACATACAAGTTACTAGAAATAACCAAATGAAAATTCTGAGGTTGAAAACTTCAATAATTGCAATAAAAATAACTAGATGGGCTCAACAGTAGATTTTATCTGGCAGAACAAAGTACTTGTAAAGGAAATTAAGAAATTATAAAGAAACTATAAATGCATATTTTTCTTCTTTCTTCTGCTAATAGATTTAAAAAGCAACTGTATAAAATAATATGTATCAGCTGGGTGCTGTGGCTCATACCTGTAATCCTAGCACTTTGGGAGGCCGAGGTGGGCAGATCACCTGAGGTCAGGAGTTCAAGACCATCCTGGCCAATATGGTAAAACCCTGACTCCACTTAAAATAGAAAAAATTAAGCAGGTGTGGTGGCACATGCCTGTATTTCCAGGTACTCAGGAGGCTGAGACAGGAGAGTCACCTGGACCTGGGAGGCAGAGGTAGCAATGAGCCAAGATTTTGCCACTGCACTCCAGCCTGGATGACAGAGCAAGACTCCCTCTCAAAAATAATAATAATAATAATAATAATAATAATAATAATAATATGTAGCTAATGTATTGTGGAGACTATAACAAGCATATAGAAATGTAATGCATGTAATATATTTGCCAATCAGAGAACAAAGAAGATGAATGGGAGCAAAACCATATTGCCTAAGGAAATAATGATAGACAGTAAATTAAAATTATAATAATATATTGTCGGGTTTTTAACATTAATAGATATGTATGACAATACCACAAACAAGGAGGAAAAGGGAATAGAGAGCTAACAGAAGTAACATTTCTTTACATTACTAGAATTAAGCTAGTATAAATCTGAAGCTAATTCCAATAAGTTAAGATTCATGTAGTAAACCTTAGAGCAACCACTTAAAAAAAAACCAACCTCAAAATATATGATGGAAAAAATAATGGAATTAAAATGCTACATTAGAAAACATTCACTCAGTGCAAAAGAAAGCAGTAAGGGAGGAATAGAGTAATAAAAAAGACAAAAGACATGGAAAACAAAAAGTAAAATGGCAGACATATCTAAATATATAAAAAATAAAATGTGAATGGATAAATAACCAATTAAAAGGTAGTTATTTTCAGACTAGATAAAAAGCATAACCCAAAGCCTGTCTTATTTAGATCACATATAGTAGATAAGTGTGTCTATATGTCATCTACATAAGGTACACTAGTCATATTTAGTAGATGACTATATGTCATCTACATAAGACACACTTTGGATTCAAAGACACAAAAAGATTAAAAGTGAAAGAAAGGGAAAAGATATATTATGCAAACAGCAATCTCAAGAAATCTTGAGTGGCTATATTAATGTCAGACCAAATACATTTTAGATTACAAAAATTACTAAAGATAAAGAGGGACATTTGATAATGATAAAAGGATCAATTCAGAACTAAAATATAACAATTATAAATATGTATGCACCTAATAACAGATCACAAAAATACATGAAAAAACCTGACAGAAATGAAGGGAAAAGGAGGAAGTTCAACAATAAGAGTTGGAGACATCAACACCCCCCTTTCAATAATGGGTAAAAGTAGACATAAGGTTAACAAGGAAATAGAAAAAAACTATAACTATACCTAGAAGACATCTACAGAATATTTTACAAAACAACACAATATGCATTTTTCTCAAGTGCACATGGAACATTCTGAAAGATCAATCACAGTAAAACCATGAAACAAAGTTTCAGTAAATTTGAAAGAATGTAAATAATGCAAAGCATGTTCTCTTACCACAATAAAATACAATTAGACGTCAATAATGGAAAATTTGGGGAAACTCACAAATATGTGGAAATTGAACACACTCCTAAATAATCAATAGGACAAGGAAGAAATTAAAGAGAAACAGAAGATACCTTGAGATGTATGAAAATGAAGACATAACATAAGAAAGCTTATAGGATGCACCTAAAGCAATGCTTAGACAGAAATTTATTACAATAAAAGCCTGTATTAAGAAAAAAAGAAATAAATCAATAGCCTAATTTTGCACCTTAAGACACTGAAAAAGTAAAAGGAGACTAAACCTAAAACAAGCAGAATGAAGAAAATAATAATTAGAGTAGAAATTAATTACATCGAAATAGAAAAAAATAGATAAAATCAGTAAACCCAAAAGCTGGTTCTTAGAAAAGATCTACAAAATTGACAAACTTTTACTAGTTTGACTAAAAAATAAAAAGAGAAAAGACTCAGATTACTAGAATCAGAAATGAAAGAGAGGACATTACCACTGACCTTATAAAAATAGGAAGGATTATAAATAAATACTGTGAACAATTGTACACAAACAGATTAGACAAATGAAATGGGCCAAGTCCTAGAAAAACACAAACTACTAAAGCTGACTCAATGTGAAATAGTTATTCCGAATAGACTTATAATAAGTAAAGAGATTGGATCAAGAATTTTAAAACTATCCATGAGAAAAGCCCAGGCCCAGATGGCTTCACCACTGAATTCTATCAAACATTCAAAAAAGAACTAATATCAATTTTTCACAAATTCTCCCAAAAAATAGAATGAGAAGGAACACTTTCCAAATATTTTAAGCCACTATTACTCTGATACCCAAACCAGAGAAAGGCATTACAAGAAAATTAAAACTGCACAACAATGTCTCTTATGAATGTGGATGCAAAAATCTTCAATGGCATACTAGCAAACCAAATCCAGCAACATACAAAACAAATTATACTTATACTCTATGACTAAGTGGGATTTATTCCAGGAATTCAAAATTGGTTTAACAACTAAAAACTTAATTAATGTACTAAATCATCAATAGAACAAAAAAACTCACATGGTCATTTCAATAGGCAAAGAAAAAGGCATTTGACAAAATCCAACACCTTTTAATAATAAGAAACCCTCAGCAAACTAGGAATAGAAGGAAACTTTCTCATCCTGACAAAGACAACCCATAGAATAGGATAAAATACTTGCAAATCACACATCTGATAAGGGACTTCTATCCAGGATATATAAAGAACTCCTACTAAAAAACTCTTATAATAAAAAGACAACCAAATTTTAAAATGGGCAAATGATTTGGATAAGCATTTCTCCAAAAAAGATGTATACAAGTGGCAAATAAGCATATGAAAAGGCACTTGACATCAGTCATCAGCATCCACTAGGAAGGTGAGAATAAAAACTAACAAGAAATGTTGGTGAGGATGTGGAAAACTCAGAACTTTCATACAGTCATAGTGGGAATGTAAAATGGTACAGCCACTGTGGGGAAGAATCTAGTAGTTCCTCAAATAATTAAACCTTGAGTTACTATATAACATAACAATTTCACTTCTAGGTATGCATCCAAGAGAGATGAAAATGTATGTCCACACAAAAACTTGTACAGAAATGTTAATAGTAGCATCTTTCATAACAGCCAAAAGATGGAAACAACCCAAATGTTCATCAGTCAACAAATGGATCAACAAAAGTGGTATCCATACCAGGAAAATTACTTAACAAGAAATGAAGTACTGGTACATGCTATAATGTAGATTAACCTTGAAAACATTATGCTAACTAAAAGAAATCAGTTACAAAAGACCACTAATTATATGACTCCATTTATTTATAAGTCCAGAATGAAGAAATCTGTAGAGACAGAAGTATATTAATGGTTGCTTAGGGTCTGGGGTAGTGGAAGAGATGGGAGAGTTGTGGAGTGATAGCCAAAGAGTAAGAGATTTCATTTTAAGGTGGTGAAAATATTCTAAAATTGACTGTTATGATAATTGCATGTGTCCTAGAAACCATTGAGATGTACACTGGAAATACAATTTTATAGACTGAATTATATTTCAATAAAGCTATTAAAAAGTTTTTAAATTACTTGTATAATTTTATGTTTCTTTTCTAAATATATATAGACAGATGTCCCTCTTTATATTTTCTGACAAATAATATCACCAACTATCACTTATCTATGTGTAATATAATATTTGCATGAGGAAATGCTCATTTGAAGCAGATTTTTCCCTACCACAAATGCCAATTCTGTTAAATTCCTAAACTATATTCAGTTTTCACTATTACACTTCCTCCTTTTGACTTGGATACAACAATCTTGGAGCTAAATGAATATAGTGTTCAAATGTAGTGAATCACTCAGCAAGCATCTAGTGTTGTGACTAGCCATAGTAAGCAACCAATAAATAACAGCTATCATCATCATCAGGACCAGTGTTGTCATTACCTCCACCACCACCCCAGGTTTTAACATCTAATCTATGCCTCTCTTCTGCTTGGTTTCTGGTATTTTAACCTGAATTTACTTGTAGTTGTTCCATAGTGTGTGTAATATATGTACATATTCATATGCATTTGTGCCTATGTTTCTATTTATGTATGTGTTTGTGTGTGAATTGAAAACTTTGCAAATTCCTTAAAGAAGTAGTTGAATTATAATTAAGTAACCTGATTGAGGAATACTACAAAAATCTGTTATTGACTACAAAAAGATTTTTCTGTCATTGTTTTCCACAGGTTATTGGAGAATAAGTGGTATTTGGTTACATGAGTAAGTTCTTTAGTGGTGATTTGTGAAATTTTGGTGCACTTATCACCTGAGCAGTATACACTGCCCCCTATTTGTAGTCTTATTCCTCACCCCTTCCCACCCTTTCCTCCTGTGTCCCCAAAGTCCAGTGTGTCATTCTTATGTCTTTGCATCCTCATAGCTTAGCTCCCACTTATGGGTGAGAACATGTGATGTTTGGTTTTCCATTCCTGAGTCACTTCATTTAGGATAATAGTCTCCAATCTCATCCAGGTCTCTGCATTTGCCATTAATTCATTCCTTTTTATGGCTGACTAGTATTCCATCATATATATATAAAACACCACAGTTTATTTATCCACTCCTTCACTGACGGGCATTTGGGTTGGTTCCACGACTACAGAAAGTTTTGATAATTTTACAAAGAAGCTCAATTGTGTTCTCACTTTTTTTTTTAGCTGTCAAGTGTAATAGATTTCTTCTTCATTTATTTCCAGATAATTGTTAGGTGTCTATCCTAAGCCCTGCAATGAGTTACAGCTCCCTATTTGGAGGAGAAAAGTAAAGAATGTGTTTTTCTCCTATTAGATTTGCAGCAGGTAAGTTAGGAGTGTCTATTTAAGAATATGGCACAGATGAGTTTGCTCATGGTCCACTTAAAACAAAGGATTTTTTAAAAGCCACTAGTTAAGGAAAGCTTAGAATTTCTCAGGACAAAAGATAAATGTTGATACAGTTTAATCTGTCTCACTTGATAATATGCCCTCTTGCCATCTACATCCTTCTGATTCTCCAAAAAAAAAAAACAAAAAACAAAAAAACACCAAAACAAAATGAAATCTTAGTTGAAAGTTTGAAAGTTCCCATTAGATAAGTTTGGTTAAGCAGGATTTTGCTGTAGTTGACTATTATTGTACTCCTAACTTAGGCATCTGAATAATTAATTTCTATTCTCATAATGCAATTAATTTTTTACTAGTTTCACATTGAATTAGTCATTAAAGCAAAGCTCATTAAAATGCTGACATATGTTGTGTTTAGGTTGCTTTTGAACAGTAGTCAAAATTAAAATTTTTCATCTAAGTATTCCAAAGAGAAGGTAAGATAAAAAGACATATGAATAAAGTCAACCAACTATGTGCCAAGATAAATATCTCTATTTTCTAAAAGATGTAAATTGACATTTTTTAAAGAAAGTGGACACAGTGTTTCATTGTTACAGTAGATGCTCTATGTTACTAAGTACAATAGTGTTCCAAAGAGTAATAATTGTACTATTAGTGGTAGTTATAATTGAAGAGTAATAGGAAAGAAGTAGCTAAAATTTAAGTAGTAATTTTTACTTCTTTGAAATTTTTCAGAAATGTTGCTAGTTATAACCTCAATTTTAAGAAGCAATAAAGATGATATGATTATACATTGTTTAGATTTCTTACTGATATATGGAACTAGAAGTTATGCACTTTTATTCAACCTGAATAGTTAAGTGCTAAACTATAGACCATCAAGGTATTCTCTTGTTATGATTTGGCTGTGGATTTGCTGCTTTTTCTCGAACAAATCAATTCAGTGTTTTGTAATTTGGATTTGTCTCTAAAAGACTGAGAATAGAAATGTTGAACATTCTCTTCAGATTGTTTTAAACGTTAATGGAACTTTCAAATAATTATTATTAATTTTGTATTTATAATTGACACATAATGTGCATATTAATGGAGTATAGTGTGAGGTTTCAGTACATTTATATATTGTTTAAAGATCAAATCAAGATAGTTACCATATTCATCACTTTTAACATTTCTCTTTTCTTTGTGGTGACAGCAAGAACACCAGAACTTATTCCTCCAATATAACTATGACTTTGCACCCATTGACCGACCTCTTCCAGTCCCCTCCTCCTTTTTACCTTCCCCAGCCTTTGGTAATAAATACTCTGCTCTCTAATTCTATGAGATCAACTTTTTAAAATTCCATATATGAGTGAGATAATGTGGTGTTTGTCTTTCTGTGCCTGGCTTATTTCACTTAATGTAATATCCTTCAGGTTCATCCATGTTGCTCTAAGTGACAGGATTTCATTCTGTTTTATGGCTGAGTAGTATTCCATTGTGTACGTATATACATCACATTTTCTTTATCCATTCATCTGTACATGTGTATTTAGGTTGATTTCATATCTTGGCTATTGTGAATAATGCTGCAATAAACATTAGGGTGCAGATATCTCTTCAGCATAGTGATTTCGTTTGTTTTGGATATGCAACAAGTAATGTAATGGGACTGCTGGATCATGAATTAGTTCTATTGTTAACTTTTTGTAGAACCTCCATACTGTTTTCCATAATAGCTGTGCTAATTTACATTCCCACCAACGGTGTATAAAAGTTCCCCTTTCTCTGGATTCTCGTTTTTTTAAATAATAGACATTTTAACTGGGGTAAGATCATTGGGGTAAGGTCATTGGGGTTTTGATTTACGTTTCCCCAATGATTAGTGGTGCTGAGCATTTTTTCATATATCTGTTAGCCATTTGTATGTCTTCTTCTGAGAAATGTTTGTTCAGGTCTTTTGTTCATTTTTTAATCTGATGATGATGATTATTATTGCTATTGAGTTGTTTGACTTCCTTATATATTCAGTATGTGATGGTTAATATTAAGTGCCAACTTGATTGGATTGAAGGATGCAAAGTATTGTTTCTGGGTGAAACAATTGTACACGAAGTATTGTGTCTATGAAGGTGTTGCCAGAGGAGATTAGCATTTGAGTCAGTGGACTACTAGAGGGAGGCCCACCCTCAATGTGGGTGGGCACCAGCCAATCAGCTGTGTGGCTAGAAAAAGCAGGTAGAAGAAGGTGTAATAAGCCGGCTTGCTGAATCTTCCAGTTTTCATCTTTTTCCCATGCTGGATGATTCCTGCACCCTTGGACTTACACCAGTGGTTCACCAGGGGCTCTCCAGCCTTTGGCCACAGACTGAAGGCTGCACTGTCTGTCGGCTTCCCTACTTTTGAGAGCTGGGGACTCAGACTGAGCCACTACTGGCTTCCTAGCTCCTCAGCTTGCAGACAGCCTATTGTGGGGCTTCAACTTGTGATTGTGTAAGTCAATTCTCCTTAATAAACTTCCTTTCATATGTACATATGTACATATATCCTTTCATATGTACATATGTACATATATCCTTTCATATGTACATATGTACATATATCCTTTCATATGTACATATGTACATATATCCTTTCATATGTACATATGTACATATATCCTTTCATATGTACATATGTACATATATCCTTTCATATGTACATATGTACATATATCCTTTCATATGTACATATGTACATATATCCTTTCATATGTACATATGTACATATATCCTTTCATATGTACATATGTACATATATCCTTTCATATGTACATATATCCTATTAGTTCTGTCCTTCTGGAGAACCCTAATATGCAGGATATTTACCTTCTGTCAAATGCAAAGTTTACAGATACTTTCTCCCATTCTGTAAGTTGTCTCTTCACTATATTGATGGTCTCCTTAGCTGCACAGAGCCTTTTTAGTTTGATACAATCCCATTTGTCTATTTTTGCTCTTGTTGCTTATGCTTTTGAGGTCTTATTAAAAACAATCTGCCCAGTCCAGTTTCACAAAGCCTTTTTCCTACGTTTTCTTCTGGTAGTTTCATAGCTTCAGGCCTTCCATTTAAGTATTTAACATATTTAGATTTGACTTTTATGTATGGTGAGAGATAGAGGTCTAAATAAATAACCTCTTAAATATATAAATATATATACACATATAAATATATAAAAATCCATATTTATATATGTAAATATATAAAATACATATTTATATGTAAATATATAAAATACATATTTATATGTAAATATATAAATACATATTTGTGCTATATGCTATGTAAATATATAGATACATAAATGTGCTCTAATTCCTAGCACATTTATATATTTGCATATATAAATATGGATTTTATATATTTATATATGTGTGTGTATATTTACACACACACACATACTCACACAATGGATTATTTTTCAGCCTTAAAAATTAAAGAACTACTGACTCAAACCACAACATGGATAAATGTGGAGGACATTATGCTAAGTAAAATCAGCTAGTCACGGCCGGGTGGGGTGGTTCACGCCTTAATTCCAGCACTTTGGGAGGCTGAGGCAGGTGGATCACGAGGTCAAGAGATCAAGACCATCCTGGTCAACATGGTGAAACTCCGTCTCTACTAAAAATACAAAAAATTAGCCAGACGTGGTGGCAAGCGTCTGTAGTCCCAGCTACTTGAGAAGCTGAGGCAGGAGAATCACTTGAACCTGGGAGGTGGAGTTTGCAGTGAGCCGAGATTGTGCCACTGCACTCTAGCCTGGCAACAGAGCGAGACTCTGTCTCAAAATAAATAAATAGATAAATAAATAAGCTAGTCACAAAAGGACAAATACTGTATGATTTCACTTACATAAGAAAGACAGAGAGTAGAATGGTGGTTGTTAGGGGCACCATCCAATCAGCTGTGTGGCTAGAAAAGGCAGGTGGAAGAAGGTGTAACAAGCTGGCTTGCTGAGTCTTCTGGTTTTCATCTTTTTCCCATGCTGGATGCTTCCTGCCCTTGGACATCAGACTGCAGTTTCGTTGGCCTTTAGATTCTTGGACTAAAGAATCCTTTGGATTCCCTTTAGGGCAAGTTAGGAATGGGGAGTTGGTATTTAATGGGTACAATGTTGCAGCTGGTGAAGATGAAAACTTTCTGGAGATGGATGGTGCTGATGGTCGCACAACAATGTGAATGTATTTAATACCACTGACCTCTACAATTTAAAAAGGCTAAAATGGTAAATTTCATGTTATATGTATTTTAGCACAATTTTTAAAAAGAACGACAATAACTAACATTTACTGGATGCTTGAAATGTGGCAGATGCCCTTCTAAATTCTTTCCAAATAGAATCTCATTAAATTCTCACAGCAAGCCAGTGAATAATTATCATTATTCCTCTTTCACAGGTGAATAAACTGCAGATAGAGGTGTTGAGGGACAATTTTCCACAGGACTCTCAGGTTTCTCTATGTTTTGTGAGCAGAGGTTACCCTTTTTCCGGACTATCTTCTCAAGAATACACGTATAGCAAACAGACTGGGAAAATAAGCATAGTGTCTTCTTTCAGGGCAAAAGCAGGTTTGTTTATTGTCCAGTATAATAAAGATAATGTCTTCCTTCAAGGCAAAGTTCAGGCAGGCTGACTGTCCATTACAAAAGATCTGGGTTCCCTAGACCAGGGAGTCCTCTCCTATAACACAATCCACTGCACGTGATGATATCTCCTGCCTTGTTTGCATCATCCTGTAAGAATTGGGGCTCAGGGAACTGGCACAAATGCTGATATTTTGGCTACCGACGTTGCCATGAGTAATAAAGTCCATTGTTTCTGACTCAAGAGTCTCATGTCTTCTGCCAATATCCATGAAACTGTGGCAGTTAACTTGTTAGCTTGCAAGTAGAATGAAATATATGAGACTCTTCACAGTTCTGACAACAGGTTCAGCAAGTTTCCCAAGATCACTCAGCCAAAAAGCAGTGGAGCTAGGAATTGGACCAGCCCATTTCTAATTCCTAGCACATGCTTCCCCCACCCATCTTGCTATACTGAAAGAAATGGTGGCCAGAAGACAGGAGATAACACTCAAATATGTTATTTAAAAGTTAATAAACCATATGTATCCTTTAATAAGCCCGTCAAGTTATATTTGATATCCTTTGCCTCCACTAATTATGGACAATTTACAGGGAATGAAAATGTATCCACAATGATTAGTATAGTCAATGTGTCAGAAAGAATGCTCTTCATTCTGTCCTGATCTTTCCAAACCTATAGTTCTCTGCTTTCATAATTCTTTCAAGGTATCATTTAAAATATTATATCTTGCATGAATCCCTTCCTATTCCCTCACTGAAAAATAATGTGACATTTCTCTGAATTCTAGAGTATTTTGCATTTCTTGCTAAGGTCAAAACTGCAGAGCAATTGAGAACATGGTTTCTGGAGCCAGGCTGCCTTGATTCTAAACTTGACTTGCCGTTTCTTAGCTATGTGACCTTGGGCAATTCACTTAAGCTTATGAGTCTGTTTCCTCACCTGAAAAATGGAGATAATAATGTTGATAGTAGGTCATAGGTACAGCCATGATAAAGAAAATGCATCTGTGTGTCACCATACCCTCACAGTTTAAGAAGAAAAATGCACATTTTCTATGAGTACACTTTAGCTTATTTTGTTTTGCAGCCAGTTTTATGTTAGGTTTGCAGCCCAACATAAAATGTCCTGGGTTATGAGATTAAATGAGTTCCTCCCTTTAAAGCACTCTGAATACCACCTGGCATATCATTAAGTTTTCAATAAATGTCTGCTATCATTATCCACCTCTTACAGCCCTTTTAAATGCTACCTGGCTTCATGGCTACAAGTGTATGTTACCTCCAGCGAGTATAGATGTAGTCCCATCTGTTCTGCCAAATATCATTGACTGTGACCCTCTTCCTGATTGTTTTAGAAATATCAAAGGAAAATCACAGTTCCTTCTAAATTATCCTCAAAACTGTTTTTATGTTTCCATAATGAAGTCCTGATTAAACATCACCCTCTCAATCAGCCTGAGCCTCAACACTTCCTCAGTGGTGTCACTTAGAGTTGGAACTCTGCGACACACCAGCAGCACTGCCATCACCTGGGACCTGGCGGAGCTGGAAAGTGGCTACATTCAATGTCGGTAGAATGGGAACAACCTAACCACAGAGATGTCTGCTATCACTCTTATGTAAAAGAGACAACACACCTACTGTGTGATACTTGGGCAGATAAGAGATCCTCAACAAGATTGCCTGCACATGCTAAGACTTCAGGCTTCTGGGATGTAACAACTCTCTCCCCTGTTTACATCCACAAAACTGGAGCAAGATGAGTCTGTTTTCTCAACCACGTGGTTCTCAGGACTTGCATTTTCCTCTGGCTCTGTTACTAAGGATGGCTCCCTGTGAAGATTCCTTTCTCTGTGATAAATTATTTTCAATGAGTCACTTTGTCTCTCTCTCTGCAGAGTATCAGGCATATCTGTCTAAATGCAAATGGCAGATGAGATTCAGGTTTTTTCCAAAGTGGCTACCATCCTCTCTGTTTGTCAGTGGGTATAAATGTGTACATATGAATGAAAACTTTTGGAATAACTGAAGTGAAAAAAGACTGACCAAAAAGACTGACCATACCAGTTTTTGGAAAGGTGTGGAACAACTAGAATTCTCATACATTGCTGATGAGAATTAAAAAATGGTACAGCCATTCTGGAAACAGTTTGTCAGTTTCTTAAAAAGCTAATCATACAGCTGCCATATGACCCAGCCATTCCACCCCCTAGTATTTACTCAAGATAAATGAAAGCATGTATCATTTCCATATGTCCATGTAAATAAAGACTTCATAAATATATGAATATTTATACCTTTATTTGTAATAATCAAAAACTGGAAATAACCCCAAATTTCCCACAACAGATGAATGGATAAACAAGTTCTGGTATATATTTAGCAGACTATTACTTTGCAATAAAAATAAACAAACTATTGATACAAAACAATGTATATGGACCTCAAAATAATGACGCTGAGTGAAAAAAAGCCAAGCAAAAAAATAGTACATATAGTATGATTCCATTTATATAAAATAATGAAAATGCAACCCAATCTATAGTGACAGAAAGCAGGTCACTGTTTTCCTAGGGATTGGGCAGTGGAGCCCAAGAGGAGCAAGAGGGAGGGATTACTGAAGGTACTAGCAATTCTGTGGGGTGATGGGTATGTTCATCATCTTGACAGTGATCATGGGGTGTCTACATATGTCAGAACTTATCAAATTGTCTCTTTCATTGTATGTGGTTTATTGTGTGTCAGTCAAACCTCAGTAAAGCTGTTTTTACAAAACGAGTACAGAGGGAAAATGTGCCACCTAACCCTTTTCTCCAGAAGTGACTGAGTGCTGTCCCCTCCTACTGAATCAAAATTCCCTGCTGAATATCCATCACTTAGTTCTTAAAAAACTAGGAGCTAGCTTGTTGAGGGCAGAAGTGGCTTTACCTACCTTTGTGTTTCCCAGGAACCTTACCCACCTTTACCTACCTTTACCTACCTTTGTGTTTCCCAGGAACCTTAGCATAATATCTTGCAGGCATCACAGGCACTGCATATAAACATATGAAATGAGTGAAGAATAAATTAACTAATGAATTGAATAATTATCAATGGTAATAGTTATTTTGTTATTTGCATGTAGCTCTACAATTGCTAACTTTTCTCTCCCTAGTATAAATTATTTCTCTTGATAAGTCAATACTTCTCACTTCAGATTATCAAGCAACAAACCTTTGTTTGAAGATCTATGTGTATAAATGATGCAATTCATAAAATAGGAAGCATTATTAATTTCTCTTTAAACAGAGCACTGAGGTAGTCTCTTATGTGTCCTTTCAGCACCATTAAAACTTGGAATTATAGTTCAGTATCTCCTTGATTCAGTTGACAAAGTGCTGCCAACATTCAGGAATCTGAATGTAAATGGAAAATGATTCTGTAAATAGAAGGAAAGCTTTAGACCAGGAGATGGGATCCTAGCGTTTCATTCCAGAATCTACCACTTACTGACTGTTTGCTTCATCACTCTCGGGCTTAAATTGCTTCATCACTCTTGGGCTTAGTTTTCCAGTCCTAAAAAAAAAAGATGAAGCAAAATTACTCATGGGGCTTTCCTATGCCAACATTCTGTGATTTTGATTCCAGGAGGGATCTATAGACTGTACCAGGGCTGAAGTGTACTCTTTTGGGGAGGAGATACAATGAGGTAGGCAGTTGAGGGATTAAGTGGAGAAGGAGAGCATTAAATTTGCAGGCTGTTTCTACTCTTAGAAAATTCTAGTACATGGATGGGCGTATTCAGGTCCCAGTTCTTTATTATTTAACTGTGTCCTTGGAGTATACCTCTCTTATCACATTATACCTCTTCTGGGGAACATAGAGCATTAGCTATGTGTCCTATCTACTTGCTATGGATAAACTGTATAATGAAAAGAGCATGGCAGCTTTGATCTGAAGGAAGTATGAGCCACTCATTCATCAGCTTTTCCCTGCATGTTTTGTATTTAGGGACATCAGGCAGAGATTTGGCATAGTCTATGTTCAATCACTGTCAGAGACCAGAATTGCATTTTCTGCCCTGTTTCTACTTGGCAAGAGTGCTTTTTGTGCTGATGCCTAATGGGATGCAGTTTCCAGAAGAGTGATTGATTGCCAGGTGCAGGCATGATTAAGCCAGTGCAACTGTGGGTCACCCCACACCCATAGTGTAAGAAGCAAAGCACACATTTTCTGCAAGGACACTGTAGCTTTTTTTGGCTTTATAGCTCACGACAAACACCCTATAGTAAAAAATAAATAATAGTAACCTATGCATATACTCAGTAAACTAGACTCCTTCATAGAAGCAGAAAGTGAATAAAATAAATACATTACTGTCAGGACTTGGGGTCAAAACCTAAATATAAAAAATGGAAGCATAAAGGTCATTTGAAAAGACTGCTTTACTAGTGGTGTCATTCCCATGTTGTACTTATTTAGCCAAATTAATGTGATATGTGTGTAGCCCAGTTATAGCTCAGTCTTTTGTTCCAAACTTGAAGTCTATCTCTGTCTCAAAGAAAAAAAAAATCAATTTCTGAAAGTCTTGAAAAGCCGAACACTCTTGGAGAAGAGAAAAAGGATAATTGAATGCAATTCAGCACCAAGATCTCTTGGTGATATATATTTCTTTCCATCCCTTCTGGCTATGGCAACTTGCAGTTTGACAGTGCAGAAAAGACAAATTTCTGCCACTCTACCTCCTATCCCACCACACAGGAATGGACCAAGGCACAGCATCCAAAGAAAGGTTCCCCTTCAGGATAAGAAAGTAGGGGAAACAGGACTCACTGGTCTATGCAAGGATGGAATACTGATGGATGGGTCTTATAAAGGACTCTTGTTCTATCATGGAGAAAATTTGTAACAAACCTTGGACTCAATTTCTGGGAGGAATTCCCTAGGCTATTGTTTTCTATGGCCCCTAACTCTCCCATTTGGGAAGCTGGAGGCTCAAAAGTTTTCACAGTCAAGACTTTTAAAGTGCAGGCTTGTTGTTTCTTTTAGCAATGCATTTCCTTCAAAAATATAATGGGCTTCTGATCTATTTACTCCCAGTCAATTCCATGTGCGAATTACCATACCCAAAGTTATTCTCTAGATAGAGTGCTCAGGCCTCTGTATTTGCTTCCTTACCCCCATGCTGAACTCTCTAAACTTAGAGCATACCGAAGTATATCTAAAACAAAAGGCTTGGGCAGGAAGAGAACATTCTTAACTTGATCTATGCTACAGTATTGAGTTTCTTCGTAAGTCCTTATAGACCTTTTCTTGTTCAAAGTGTTTATATGTCTTGCTGTTTGGATTCCAGAAGCAGTTGGCTTTTCAGATCCAAATTTCTAGATTGCTAACACCTTTTATTTATGCTTTTAAATCAGCCAATCCTTATAGGTACTTATTTCCTCTTTACAATACCTTGCTAATACACTAACACACCCAATGCACACACAGATGCACTGGGTTTTTCTTACCTATTCCCCTAGAACTAAAGATTTAGAAGGCACTTGTTTTGAGTTCCAAGTTACTGAAAGTGACAATATTACCAAAATTTTTTGCCACTTTATGCCATGGGTTCTCATCTTTCTAGCCTCTGAATATTTGTTTACTCCTCAGCAGATGCTTGACCACTAAGCAGAACCCACATATTTTCATTTTTTGTTAAAGTAGAGCCCTACTTCTGATGTCAATTTCTAGTCAGTTGTTGGGGGACATAAAATAATCATGCCAACAAAAAGACTCTTCCACACCAATATTGAAGAAAGAAATAGAACACTATTACTGGGAAGCATTAGAGGATTTATACACATGTGAGGTCATAAAAATGTGACTACAAAGTCTGGACAGAATTTCGCACAAATTTCTACAGTAAGGTAGTAGAAAGAGCAATTAAAACTTCCCTTATTTCCTCAAGAGACGAAGATGCTAAAGTGTGTGACAATTTCCGCTCACCTCCTGAGATGCTTCTGACCTAATTCCAGGGGTACACTCTTACATAAAGAGCTATCTCATGACCTTAGAAATATCTCTATATTGTAGAACCTAAAGATTAGGCTTAATATCTAAAAAGATTTATCTTTATTACAAAGGTTAGAATAAAAGCTCAGATTTATTATGGCTCCAAGAAACCATTTTAAGAGAGAAGGGGGAAATGGTCTCTTTGCCCTCTATAAGCAGAGAAAAACATCTTTATTTATACTTACGCTAGTTAAAGTCATGATGACAAATAGACCTAACATGAATATGGCTCTAAAACAATAGAAGTTTGTCTGTTTTCACCTAATAGTCCAAGATAGGTGTTCCTGATCTGCAGGTCAACTTTCCTCCACGCAGTTATCCAAGGGTTCATGCCGACAATGCATCTGCCAACTTCAGCCTATGATTGGCAAGATCATCCTGGGGATTGCCATCCCAGTTAACCATAAAAGCATGGAGGAGGCTTTCCTCTTTTTTAAAAGCCTTAGCTTAGAAACGATACCTATCACCTATGCTCACATTCCATCCACTCAGTCCTATGGCCACACTTAACCTGCAAAAGAGTCTGGAAAATGTGATCTAACTCTGCCCAGGAAAATTAATTGCCTGAAAAAACTAATTTGGTAAATGGCTAGCCATGTCTACCACAGGAAATTAGACGAAGCAATATAAGAGCAAGATCACAGGATCTGTAGATAAATTAATTAAAAGGCAGTGTTTTTCAGAAGTGTTTACTTTTCCAATAGCTGGTGCAGTCTCTAACCCAACTGATCCACTCCTAGAATTACAACCTGGCAACACTTCTGGTAGCTCTTCTGCAATAGTATCTTCTGTGCTGCATTCTTCTTGCTCATTTAAAAGTCAGTCTCAGTCAGAGTGACCTTGATTCTGAAGGAGTAACTCGATATTACTCTTGACCCCACCAGGTCTGCTCTGAATTCCCTGGAATTTATATTCCCCTAGCCAAGCCTCCCTCTCCACATCAGTTACTGGCCTCAGCACACAGTCAGACACGTTATTTTTTGCCACTCTTTTAGTAGGCTTTCTGGACTTGAAAATGCCAGTTGCTTATTTCCAGGCACTCATTCAATTCTAATGTAAATGTGTTGAGAGCAGGGACGCTGTTTATCTTGGCACACAAATAAGCTTCTCAGACATATCTACTAAAGTATTTCTGTTTGAAGATATGAATGGCACCAATCTATTTTGTAAGTGTCCATAGCTTCCCCCTTTTGAACTTGTATTAACCACATCTCCTTATTTTCTGTTTTGATGCTATGACATCTGGTGTCTTGCTCTCTCTGGAAGGACTACAGCTCACAAGATTAGCCAATTCCTAGAGATAATAAATAACTTGCCCAGGAGCACGCTTTCCAAATGTAAACTAACCATTCCAGAGCCACACCCAACCACTTCCTGTATTGATCTTTCTCACTGCACACCCCTATCCATCTGTCCTAAACACTCTAGGGCCAGTGTATTAGTCAGAGTTCTCCAGAAACATAACCAAGAGGATAGACAAATACAGATGCTGCTTGACTTACTGTGGAGTTATGTCTCAATAAACACATCATAAGTTGAAAATATCATGTCAAAAATTCATTTAATATACCTAACCTACTGAACATCATAGCTTACTCTACCCTACTTTAAACAGAACACTTACATTCACCTACAACTGGGCAAAATAACCTAACACAAAGTGTGGAATATCTCACATAATTTATTGACTATTGTACTGAAAGTGAAAAACAGAATGGTTGCGTGAGTACGTTAAGTATGGTTTCTAAAATGCCTATCACTTTTGTGCCATCGTAAAGTTGAAAAATTGTACTTGGAACCATTGTAAGTTGGGGATTGTGTTATATAGGGAGAGTTTTTTAAAAACAGAATGGTTCATGTGATTGCGGTGGCTTGATAAATCCAAAATCTGCAGGGTAGGCCAGCAGACAGGTATATTAGTCCATTTCCACACGGTTATAAAGATACCACCTGAGAATGGGTAATTTATAAACAATAATTTATAAAATATAAACAAAAGAGGTTTAATTGACTTACAGCTCCACATGGCTGGAGAGGCCTGAGGAAACTTACAATCATGGCGGAAGGCAAAGGGAAAGCAAGGCACGTCTTACATGGCGGCAGGAGAGAGGAGAAGAGTGAAGAGGTAACTGCCAAACACTTTTAAAACCATCAGCTCTCATAAGAAGTCACTCACTATCATGAGAACAACATGGGGGAAACCATCCCAATGATACAATCACCTCCCACCAGGTCCCTCCCTCGACATCTGAAGATTACAATTTGAGATGAGATTTGGGTGGGGACACAGAGACAAACCATATCAGCAGCAGACCCAGGGAAGAGTTGCAGTTCAAGTCCAAAGGTAGTCTGCTATCATAATTCCTCCTTGCTCAGGAGAGGTCAGTCTTTATGCTTAAGACCTTCAAATGATTGGATGAGGACCACCCACATTTTGGAGAGTAATCTACTTTATGCAAAGTCCACAAATTTAAATGTTAACTTCATGCAAAAAACACCTTCATGAAAGTACCCAGAATAATGTTTGACCAACTATTTGAGCACCATGGCCCAGCCAGGTTGACACATAAAATTAATTATCACAGCCAGGTACCAGATAACTCAAGACAGCTCCTCTCCTCCAGAGGCCATGTTTTCCCCTCCCTCCGTCTGCCTCCTGACGAACCTCGGTGCTTCCCCATGTGAGGAACCTCAGTGCTTCCCCATGTGAGCCCCTGCGTGGCATGCCATGCCTCCTGTTTCTAGGAATCTGTGAGTATAACAAATTTTTTCGTCATGACAACCATGTCTGTGTGTCTTACCATACGTAATCAAAACAAATCCTGGTTACCCTTAAAACATCACTAAATAGGAAAGGCGCGGTGGCTCACGCCTGTAATCCCAGCACTTTGGGAGGCAGAGGTGGGCAGATCACAAGGTCAGGAGATCAAGACCATCCTGGCTAACACAGTGAAACCCCATCTCTACTGAAAATACAAAAAATTAGCTGGGCATGGTGGCACACACCTGTAGTCCCAGTTACTCGGGAGGCTGAGGCAGGAGAATTGCTTGAACCTGGTAGGCAGAGGTTGCAGTGAGCCGAGATTGTATCATTGTACTCCAGCCTGGGCGACAGAGCAAGACTCAGTCTCAAAAAAAAAAAAAAAAAAAAAAAAAATCACTAAATAGGATGCTCCAGGTATTTTTCCTACAGGAGAAATTGTGTTACTGGAAAACCATCTCCAATTCCGGAATTTAAAATCTTTATCATTTTTATCATAGGCTGAATGGCTTTTGCTCACTTACTCTGTGTTAGCTCTTGCCTCTGAGCCTCATATTTTCAGGCTGACAAAGTAGTAGTGTCTGGTACCCCAATTAGGAGAGCAAAACCAACCATTGTGAGCTTTTCCTCCTCCAAGAATTAAACTCTGAGGCCTAAACACAGCCCTATACAATCTCAAAGCCATCTTGAAGCCTCCAACTCCTGAACCTTTCAAATATAATAAGCTAATTAGAGCTCTTTGGGGTTACTGTTCAGACCTCATTCTCATGCCTTTCAAATCCAAAGCCTATGTTTTTAATGACCAATGAGTTGGCAGAACAATGTTGGTTGCTGTGTGTGAACTTAAATAAGTGACCCTTACCAAATCTGGCCATCAGCTTTTGTATCTCTTCAGTCCTTAATGAAAACGCAGGATACATGCTGAAGGCTCTGCTGGCTATTTCTCATTTTCCATGCCCACTCCTATATTGATTCTCTGCTCTTCTCTGCCCTGTTCAATGCCCCAGGAAGCTCTGACTGCATAACCTAAGCTACCTTGCTCCTGGCTCCTGCTTATGTTAAGCCAGTGGAAGCCACTAGCAAAAGAGAGAAGGAATGGATATGTCTCTCCACATCCCTCCTGCTCTACCAAAGCATTTCTGACAATTGCTGCATGTCTTCAACAGCCTAGTTTCTGGAAGGCAGCCCCTCCACTAGGGTTCCCATTCTCACTGATTCCAATAAAGGTTAATTTCTACCATTATTCCATCAGCTCTGGGGAGGGGTGGCAGTGGCAGTGGTAATGGCTTGTCATTGTTGCTGGTCTCTGGGTTCCTCACTTTATTGTTTCCCTAATCTGGCCCACATCTCTGGAAATAGTCCCTTCATTGAATTCTCTTCATTTGAAACATTTATGCTCCCTGACTCAAATAGGACCTTTGCAACCTACAGTAGCTGTGACAAGACAGGTGAAAGAGAAAAGAGCATCTCCTAACAAGGGGAACTGGCCTAACACAGCTAAGCCTCAGTGTTATGAAAGCAGGCCCAGTGCTCACAGCTACACCAGGGGTTCTCTTATTGGACAAAAACTATCTCATGGACTGCCAGCATCAGACAAGATCACTCTGTGACCTTGACGAAGTGAGACTAAACAGGATCACTTCATAATGCTTGTCTAAACACAGACAAAGACAAGGTCTTTATGCAAACTACAAAATGTGAAACCTCCCTCTCCTGGCTAATATGAGTGACAGTTGCTTGTCCGCCAATTATAGCTTTAGCCTTGCTTTAGTCTTGCCCTCCTTCTACATAAGATTTATTGAGATGCCCAATTATAAGATTCTTCCCACTTTTTAACAGCACTCAATCCTGAGCAAACCCACATTTCCTGGGACCCTCTCCAAAATCACCTAACCAACACTTACAGTCGTTTCTAATATTCTTACTGAGGCGCAGTTCCCCATGGCGGCAGTCTCGCTAACTTCAACAAGGAATAAAACCACTTTGCTCAACTGCACATGTGTTTCTGGTAGTTTTAGACCAGATTCTATAACCAATGGAAATGCCCTGTGCCAGATGGCCTGAGATCTTTGATTTAAATTCTCCCTTATCTTTGCTCCAAGCAAAATTGATAGGGAGAAACATTACAAGAGCCCTCAAATGGGAGAGAGCTGAGGTTGCCACACCTAGAGAAATACTTTTCCTAGAAAACTCTGTAGTCATCTAGCCCACCCCAATCCTAGGAAAGTAAGACAATCCCAACCAGGCCATCACTAATGCATATGCGTAACAATGCCTGGTGGAAATTCACAGCCACACAAGGCAACTGGTCTAGTTGTGACATCTACCAACATGTCAGGCCACCAAGCCTAGTAGAAGCCCAAAACATGATCTTAGGTTCTTCCAGTACCTCATGGGGGCATGCTTCAAAATACCCAAGTATTTAGAATGGATACCCTTGGATTAGAGATGGCTCAGAGAGGCCTAAAGACCTGCCGCATTTTCTGTCATCTCAAACATCCTGGGATTTTATCAGAAAGATATATTTTAAGTGCTTGGCTTCCTGATGCCCAAGACATCATCCCAATAATGTTAAATGCTTTTGCCAAAATGGCATATTTTCTAGGTACCAATATCCCACTGCTGCTCATCTGTATCACCCACAGCAACTGTCTTCATCAAAAAGATCTACTTTCACAGACTGCCCAGCTCTCTGATCTCTGACTATGCACTTTGGTTTCTTGTTTCCAAATTCTTGTTTTGGAAAATGCTCTCTGAGCTTGGGCTTACACATCCATACCAACCAGACTATCATGTACCTCTCCTGGGCCAACAACAACCTGGAATGGTCAACTGATCCCTAGAATATTGCAGATAATAGAACTAGCCAATCAACCCAGATGCTTTCCAAGACCTGAACTTTGCCTATAGTAACTTACCTTGCTCCTCTACACAGACTGTCGTCTTTCAAAAGTATCGATTTGTCCTCCAAACTCCTTACACCAAACACCACACCTCCTCAGTAGTCAGAGTATTTAAGAAGACATGGAAGACATACTCTCTCTTGCACCCAAGAATAGGGAATGTGTCAGCAGGGAATCTAGGATGGGAGATAAAATGTAAAAAGCCCTGCATCTGCTACAACCAGAGGATGGTGACGTGAGTCTTTCAAGTTAATACCCATAGTCAACTCTAGTTTTACAGTTTGCAGCTCCAATCACCCTCTATTATTTTGTCCATCCTGTTTTTATGACTCTCTGCTCCATCTGGCCTACTAAGACCCTGTTCGGTACATCTTCCAGGTTCCAGAACCTAAGATGGGTAACCTGAACATGTTGTCAAAGGCCTTCTGAACTCTTGCTTAAACTATATTCAGTCTCAGGACTTTCAAGTTCTAGGTGGTGACAGTGTATGGGATAGAACACATACTCTGGAATTTAGTGTCTGCACCCCTCGGATGAGTCTAAAAGAGGGTTCTGGAAATGGGAGTATCTCCTTCATTCCTGACTCTACAAAAGAGCCAGTCCTCCTAAAAATCCTCCTGAGACAGACACATCAAATCTGATGAGGTAGCAATATCCATTTTTGATAAATACCCTGCACTATTTGTTTTACAAGTGCCCTGTAAGCAATACATGCTCTGTTTTAAGTCCCCTGTGAGTAATATCTGTAAGTACCCTTAACTGTTTTACTTTTTTTTTCAAGCTACTCTCCAACCCAAAATTTAAATATTGATTCTGGCTCGCAGTTGATGATACACTTCCACTTCCATCTCTATCATACTGAACTCCACCTTCTGACTGAATGATATGCCTCCTTCCATCTTCTCCTTCCCAGGGGTAAAACTCCTTCCATCCAAGAATCCCAGGAAACTCTGTAGCTTGGATCAGCCCTGGAAAGCGCTGGGGAAATTAGGTGCTTGACAGCTTCTATTTGATAACCTCTGCTCTTCTCTAGTCTCTTTTATATTCTGATCATCCATCCTTCCATCTATCTACCTATCCAAATGTCCAGTCAAAAATTTTAAGAATTTACTATATGTCAAAGACTCTGTTAAACTCTTGAAATAAAACCAGTCCATATCATCATTGAGTCTACAATGTAATGGTGGAAAGCAACTTTTAAAAGAGAAAAATTGTATTAAAAGGGGTATATGTCCTAATAAGCAGAAGGAACTGCATGTTGTGGCAGCTTGATGGTACCGAACTGCCTTGCTTTCTACCTCCTTCATTTCCATGACTCCTCTCTGACGCTCTCTGTCTCTTCCTCCTCCAAGATGCTTCAACTCTTGAGCCTGCTGTATGATCACAACTGATGTGTCTCCTTCTAGTTTCCCATATTTTCTGTCTTTTCCTTTCATATGACATGAAGCCCCACAAGAGATACATTATATTAAAATTTGTCACTAATTCCATGGCAACGCATTTAAATGAGATTTTTGTGAGGCTACACTCAGTACGGAAAACTTGTGTTGGGATAATGTATTGTCTGTGTGCATATGCTATCTACTGTAGAAGAGCAGATGAAATGAAATGCCTTCTGTAATTGCTGTCTTTGGGGAATAACATGGGAGATAGGACAAAATGGTATTATTACTGTATCAGCCAAGCCCCATGAATTTAAAAATGTTTATGTGAAAGGAAACAATTTTCAACCCACAATTTCATATCCAGCCACACTAAGCTTCATAAGTGAAGGAGAAATAAAATCCTTTACAGACAAGCAAATGCTGAGAGATTTTGTCACCACCAGGGATGCCTTACAAGAGCTCCTGAAGGAAGCACTAAATATGGAAAGAAAATAGAAGTACCCACCACTACAACAACATACCAAATTGTAAAGACCATTGACACCATGAGGAAACTGCATCAATTAACAGACAAAATAGCCAGCTAGAATCAAAATGACAAGATCAAATTCACACATAACAATATTAACCTGAAATGTAAATGGGCTAAATGCCCCAATTAAAAGACACAGACTGGCAAATTGGATAGAGTCAAGACCCATTGGTGTGCTGTATTCAGGAGACCCATCTCACATGCAAAGACACATATAGGCTCAAAATAAAGATATGGAGGAAAATTTATCAAGCAAAAGGAAAGCAAAAAAAAAGTGGGGGTGGCAACCCTAATCACTGATAAAACAGACTTTAAACCAACAAAGATCAAAAAAGACAAAGAAGGGTATACATAATGGTAAAGGAATCAATGTAATAAGAAGAGCTAACTATCCTAAATATATATGCACCCAATACAGGAGCACCCAGATTCATAAAGCAAGTTCTTAGAGGCCTAAAAAGAGACTCAGACTCTCACACAATAATAGTGGGGGACTTTAATACTCCACTCTCAATATTAGGCAGATCAACAAGACTGAAAATTAACAAGGATATTCAGGACATGAACTCAGCTCTGGAGCAAGCAGAACTAATAGACATCTACAGAACTCTCCACCCCAAATCAACAGAATACGCATTCTTCTCAGCACCACATCACATTTATTCTAAAATTGACCACATAATTGGAAGCAAAACACTCCTCAGCAAATGCAAAACAATGGAAATCCTAACAAACAGTGTCTCAGACCACAGTGCAATCAAATTAGAACTCGGGATTAAGAAACTCACTCAAAACGGCACAACTACATGGAAACTGAACAACCTGCTCCTGAATGACTATAGGGTAAATAACAAAATTAAGGCAGAAATAAAGAAGTTCTTTGAAACCAATGAGAACAAAGACACAATGTACCAGAATCTCTGGGATTCAGCTAAAGCAGTGTTAAGAAAGAAATTTATAGCACTAAATGCCCACAGGAGAAAACAGGAAAGATCTAAAATCGACACCCTAACATCACAATAAAAAGAACTAGAGAAGCAAGGGCAAACAGAAGCTGGCAGAACACAAGAAATAACTAAGATCAGAGCAGAACTGAAGGAGAGAGAGACATGAAAAAACCTTCAAAAAATCAAAGAACTCAGGAGGTGGTTTTTTGAAAAGATTAATAAAATATACCACTACCCAGACTAATAAAGAAGAAAAGAGAGAAGAATCAAATAGACACAATAAAAAAATGATAAAGGGGATATCATCACTGATCCAGCAGAAATACAAACTACCATCAGAGAATGCTAGAAACACCTATAGGCAAATAAACTAGAAAATCTAGAAGAAATGGATAAATTCCTGGACACATCCACCCTCCCAAGAATAAAACAGGAAGAAGTCAAATCCCTGAATAGACCAATAACAAGTTCTGACATTGAGAAAGTAATTAATAGCCTTCCAACCAAAAAAAGCCCAGGACCAGATAGATTCACAGCTGAATTTTACCAGAGATACAAAGAGGAGCTGGTACCATTCCTTCTGAACTATTCCAATCAATAGAAAAAGGGGGACTCTTCCGTAACTCATTTTATGAGACCAGCATCATTCTGATACCAAAACCTGGCAGAGACACAACAAAAAAAGAAAATTCCAGGCCAATATCCCTGACAAACATCGATGAGAAAATCCTCAATAAAATACTGGCAAACTGAATCCAGCAGCACATCAAAAAGCTTATCCACCATGATCAAGTCAGCTTCATCCCTGGGATACAAGGCCGGTTCAACATACTCAAATCAATAAATGTAATCTGTCACACAAACAGAACCAATGATAAAAACCACATGATTATCTCAATAGATGTAGAAAAGACCTTCCATAAAATTCAACACTGCTTCATGCCAAAAACCCTCAATAAACTAGGCATTGGTGGAACGCATCTCAAAATAATAAAAGTTATTTATGACAAACCCACAGCCAATATCATACTGAATGGGCAAAAGCTGGAAGCATACCCTTTGAAAACTGACACAAGACAAAGATGCCCTCTCTCACCACTCCTATTCAACATAGTATTGGAAGTTCTGGCCAGGGCAATCAGTCAAGAGAAAGAAATGAAGGGTATTCAAATAGGAAGGAGGAAGTCAAATTGTTCCTGTTTGCAGATGACGTGATTGTATATTTAGAAAACCCCATCGTCTCAGGCCAAAATCTCCTTAAGCTGATAAGCAACTTCAGCAAAGTCTCAGGATACAAAATCAATGTGCAAAAGTCACAGGCATTCCTATACACCAATAACAGACAAACAGAGAGCCAAATCATGAGTGAACTCCCATTCACAATTGCTACAAAGATAATAAAATACCTAGGAATACAACTTACAAGGGATGTAAAGGATCTCTTCAAGGAGAACTATAAACCACGGCTAAAGAAAATAAGAGAGGATACAAACAAATGGAAAAACATTCCATGCTCATGGATAGGAAGAATCAATATCATGAAAATGGCCATACTGCTTAAAGTAATTTATAAATTCAATGCTATCCCCTTCAAGCTACCATTGACTTTCTTCACAGAATTAGAAAAAACTACTTTAAATTTCATATGGAACCAAAAAGGAGCCCATATAGCCAAGTCAATCCTAAGCCAAAAGAACGAAGCTGGAGGCATCACGCTGCCTCACTTCAAACTCTAGTACAAGGCTACAGTAACCAAAACAGCATGGTACTGGTACCAAAACAGATATATAGACCAATGAAACAGAAGAGAGGCCTCATAAATAACACCACACATCTACAACCATTTGATCTTTGACAAATCTGACAAAAACAAGAAATGGGGAAAGGATTCCCTATTTAATAAATGATGCTGGGAAAACTGGCTAGCCATATACAGAAAACTGAAACTGGATCCCTTCCTTACACCTTATACAAAAATTAACTCAAGATGGATTAAAGATTTAAACATAAGACCTAAAACCATACAAACCCTAGAAGAAAACCTAGGCAATACCATTCAGGACATAGACATTGGCAAAGACTTCATGACTAAAACACCAAAAGCAATGGCAACAACAGCCAAAATTGACAAATGGGATCTAATTAAACTAAAGAGCTTCTGCACAGCAAAAGAAACTGTCATCAGAGTGAACAGACAACCTACAGAATGGGAGAAAATTTTTGCAATCTATCCACCAGACAAAGGGCTAATATCCAGAATCTAAGAAGAACTTAAACAAATTTACAAGAAAAAAAAACAACCCCATCAAAAAGTAGGCAAAGGATATGAACAGACCCTTCTCAAAGAAGACATTTATGTGGCCAAAAAGCATACGAAAAAAAGCTCATCATCACTGGACATTAGAGAAATGTAAATCAAAACCACAATGAGATACCATCTCATGCCAGTTAGAATGTCTATCTCTAATAAAAAGTCAGGAAACAACAGATGCTGGAGAGGATGTGGAGGAATAGGAACCCTTTTACACTGTTGGTGGGAGTGTAAATCAGTTCAACCATTGTGGAAGACAGTGTGGCAATTCCTCAAGGATCTAGAACCAGAAATACCATTTGACCCAGCAAGCCCATTACTGGGTATATACCCAAAGGATTATAAATCATGCTACTATAAAGACATGCACACGTATGTTTATTGCAGCACTGTTCACCATAGCAAAGACTTGGAACCAACACAAATGCCCATCAATGATAGACTGGAAAAAGAAAATGTGGCACGTATACACCATGGAATACTATGCAGCCATAAAAAAGAATGAGTTCATGTCCTTTGCAGGGACATGGATGAAGCTGGAAACCATCATTCTCAGCAAACTAACACAGGAATATAAAACCAAACACCACATATTCTCACTCATAAGTGGGAGTTGAACAATGAGAACACATGGACACAGGGAAGGTAACATCACACACCAGGGCCTGTTGGGGGGTGAGGGCCTAGGGGAGGGATAGCATTAGGAGAAATACTTAATGTAGATGACGGGTTGATGGGTGCAGCAAACCACCATGGCACGTGTACACCTATGTAACAAACGTGCATGTTCTGCACATGTATCCCAGAACTTAAAGTATAAAAAAAATTATGTGAAAATACTAAAAAGAGATGCATCTTATATTCTTGCACACATGTAAAAGAGACTTGGATCAAAGTACTGGAAACAGTAATAAAAAGAAAATATAATTTACCATACAAAAGGACATTTCAGGTGTGTGTGAGAATCTCTGGCCAAACCAGGCAGGGTCAGAGCTTTGCACCTTGGGGTGCCCTAGTGCTTTGGTGGTGGCATCACCCTCCCTCACAGATATCTTGGCAAGCTATCCAGGAGTACTGGCCAGTTTCTTTCATTTGTTTATTCATTGCTTCATTCAACAAATATTTGCAAAGTTCCTACCATGTGCCAGGCTCTCTGCTAGGTTTGAAATACAATTGTGAAACCGAAGGATCCATGCTATCATGGAGCTTATATCTTAGTACTGGAAGTAGCCCAAACTAGAGGATAATAGAATGTAACTGTAATCGTTCTAATACTTAATTTGGATGTGCCAGGTAGTAAGTGCTTTACTCATCACCATCCTAAGGTTAAGATTATTATTCTCACCTATATTGTTTTTATTAGATTTGTTATCCTCATTTTACAGAGGAAGAAATTGAAATTCAGAGGAATTAAGTAACTTATCCCAAATCAGTATTGGCCCCTATAATGGTTAATATTCAGTGTCAACTGGATTAGATTGAAAGATGCAATATATTGTTCCTGGATGTGTCTGTGAGGGTGCTGACAAAAGAGATTAACATTTGAGTCAGTGGACTGGGAGAGGCAGACCCACCCTCAATCTGGGTGGGCACCATCTCATCAGCTGCCAGCACCACTAGAATAAAGCAGGCAGAAGAAGGAAGAGCAGACTTGCTGAGTCTTCCAGTCTTCACCTTTCTCCCATGTGGGATGCTTCTGCCCTTGAACATCAGACTCCAAGTTCTTCAGATTTCGGATTCTTGGACGTGCCAGGGGCTCTCAGGCCTTAGACCACAGGCTGAAGGCTGTAGTGTCAGCTTCCCTACTTTTGAGGTTTTGGGACTCAGACTGACTTCCTTACTCCTCAGCTTGCAGACAGCCTATTGTGGGACTTCACCTTGTGATTGTGTGAGTCAGCACTCCTTAATAAATTCCCCTTTAATAGACATCTATCCTATTAGTTCCATCCCTCTAGGGAACCCTGACTAATACAGCACCAAATCATATAGTTAGTAAGTGCCGTCTTTGCTAAAGTCCGTGGGCTTAGTTACTGTGCTCTTGAAGTTTCCAAAATGAGAAAGCTGAAACCAATCACCCAACAAGGGGAAAACACATCTCTGCCTCCCCTTCTAAGGCTGAGGCTTAAGTGGATAAGGCCTGGAAGAAATGATAGTTGGGTTCCGTCTAAGCCCCATATATAAAGGGGGACATCAGTTCTCTGAATCTTGCTCATGAGTTTTTCTGAATCACTTGCCCTGAACTACCTCATGTTCCACTTTCCAATCCATTCCTCACCTTCCATTTAAGTCTCAAGTTGCCCCTCAGGCCTGGCCTTTCTGCTGTGTCTCTACCTGTAAGCCCCAGCTTGGTCTGGACCACCTTCTGGAGCTACTCTCCAGAGCTCTAGATGAATGATTGCTTACGGTAGCACAGCTACAGGAGCTACACCCCACAATTCTCCAGGTTCACCTGGCCCCCAGGCAGGAGAACGCAGGCATCCCTATGAGTATCCATACATATCACTTATACAGCTGGATATAGTACAGGTGCATTTGAGGCTCCCAGGAAAACAAAGGCTTTGATCGTTTTATTCTTCTCTTCTGCTAAAATCTAAACCAATAATTCAATTAAAGATAATGTAAAGCTGTATCAGAAAATCCTTTTTCACTTTGTGCTGAGCTTGGCTCATGGAGAAGTAACATAGCAAGTGGATTTTTCTTTCTCTGCCTTTGTTAGCAACTGAAATCAGAGTGACTTAATTTTTTTTCTTCTAGTTTCATTTAGAGATTTAAACACCTTTTGTTCTGGTTCTCTGCAAAATTCCATTGTATCTTTGGGGAAAAATCTCTCTCCCACCTTGTAATCTTCTGCTATCAGTAAGAAGCAAAGTCAGAATAAAGTTTCAGGAGAAAAGTCATCAACTTTGTTGCTTGACAAGAACTAAAATGTGGGGTTTTGACAGATGACAAATTCATTGTGATTACAGGAATTATTTAAGTCTTGAAGGCCAAACTTGAAGAGTAAGATATTTTCTGTTTACAGGTGTAAAGTTAAAATGAAACTACAAATTGCTTGACAGCTGTATTTTCCATTGTTTTTTAGGACACTTCTCTCCTACTTTCAACCAGAGAGGCAGTGTTTTATAGACATGATATTCTTATCACTGTTTAGTCCATGTAGTGTTATTAAACAAGGTTTGTGGAATATAAGAGCTAAAAAGAAACTCTAAAATTATCTAGTTTAAAGAATTCATTTTCCTGTTAGAGCAATTGAGGTCCAGAGAGAGGAGCTGCTTGGCAGAGGTAACTGAAGAAATACATTGTGCCTGGGTCTTTGAATGTCACTCAGTCAGGCATCCTCATGTCTGCTACCTCTCTGCTGTTGCTATGCAATTCCTAGACATGGCAGTGAGGAGACACCTCCCAATCAGCTGTACCCAGAGCTTTGTGTGAGTGTGCTGGAGGAGGAGGATTGCTCTGTAAAACGACTTGAAATAATTTAATTATTAATGGTAAAGAAGAGATCCAGCTGCTGCAGCCGCTGCTGCTGCTGTTAAAAGCTCATCATTCTCACATCTTCAGTGACACCTCATTTAACAAACAGCATGAGAAGCTGACAACTTCACAGAATGAAAAACGCTGACTTTATTTTATCCTACCTAAAAAATGTCTTTTTCTTTGGGGAAAAAATGTCAAAATGAAATACATGTTTTCATAGTGTAAAAGTGCACTTCTCCCTGTAAAACTCTCCTGTTATTCCATGATATACAAAATGTTTACAGGGCTCAACTGCAAACTCACCATTGGGAACATATGTATATACACTCAGAAATCTTCATATGTGTCTCGAGAACTTCCTGGAATGATTTTGAGTGGAGGAGTATTAGAGAGAAGAAGAAGAAGCAAAGCTTATTTTCCATCTAAAAATTAATTTAAAAGGTGGTTGTAACTATGTTTGCTTTTTAATTAGGCATATAAATTTTTAATAAAATTAATAAATAGCATCCACAGAGCACCATTTCCCAAAAAAGTAATACATTTTCTATTACTCCCACAAGACAATCTATTAAAAATGGATTCTGTGGTCGAATGAATTTGAAAAATGCAGATAATATAGTCCCTTGAAAATTTACAACCCATATCAGCTTTTTATGGCACTGAGGTGTCCTGCTGTCAAGAAAAATGCATTTGTTTTATAACAGAGCCAGTTTACTTTTTAACAGAACACACTTCTGAAAACAATGCCATGATAATACTTTTTAAAAGGTCAATATGAAATATCTTTAAAATTATGAATACACTGAAAACAGTGGAATAAAAGCAAGAAAACTAATCTTGGGTTTCTGGTATTGACAGGTGTAGATTCATGCTTAAAAAAATATAAGAATGGTCATAATAAATGAAGTAGCTGTGTTTAGATGTCGGACATCAGACATATTACTAAAAGAAGAAAAATGCATTAAGTGAGGCCTGGGTTGATTGGCCTTTAGCCTGGGGCACTGCTTGGTAGGCTGAAGGGAAGTGGGGCTCAAGCAGATCAGCTTCAGCAGAGGAACAGAGGTCAGAGTCTGGGGGTGCTGAGCCAGCTGGGGTTTGGGGAGCATGATCTTTGAAAGGAGGAGTGCACAGAGCAGGTGCTTGGAAATCTACATAGAGGTCCTCTGGTCTTGGGCCAAATACAATGTCAGGTATGCACAGGAGAGACTCAGTGAGACCTGGCAGAAGAGAGCTTCTGGATTGTCACATATGTAACCAAGTGAAAGCCTCAAGAGAAGGTCTGAAGGTCCCACAGTGTGCCGGGAGCCATCAAACTCGGACCATCCAGACTCAGAAGACCTTGCTGAACGGGTAGACCTTCTACCAAGACCCCCAAAAGACTCTAGCCTTAGACTAAGGGCTCCACTGGACCCTACCTAACAAAGCTTACAATCAAGCTTCAGAGGGATCCAGCCTATCTGCCAGCAAATTACTGCCGGCCATAATAAAAATTCACATTTCTTGCAGGAAGAAAAATATTCAGACTCTCAAGAGTTGGAGCATTTCAAATATCCACAATGCAATTTTAAAATTACTGGATATTTATCTTAAGAAAATAAGCCAAAAGATATGACCTTATAGCTATGCTTCTTCCTCCTCCAACGCTCTTCAACTCCCGAGCCTGCTGTTTGACCACCACTGATATGTCCTTCTAGTTTCACATCTTTTCTCCCTTTTCCTTGCATATGACATGAAGCGCCACTAAAGGTGGGTGGCCATGAGTCAATAGGAGCAGACCCTGAGATGACCTGGAATTAGCAGGTGAGTGCTTAAAATAGCTCTTATACATATTTATAGATTGAAAAGGAAAGATGGACATAATGAGTGAACAAGTTCTCAAACTAAAACATACGGTACCTGAAATAAAAACAAAACCTCAGTAAGCTTGCAAATACATGTCATTCCTTTTAATACTTTAAAAACATCTAGTTATTAATTACTTCCAATAATAAAGTGTTCAATTTTAGGTTTAGATTCTGTACTTAAATTTTACAGATTCTGGAGATGTAAAAGAAACCTCAGAGCAGTTAAAAAAAACTTATAATCTGTGACTGAAAAAGACATGGAAATCATATCTAGATATAACAATTAGAACTTGGCTGTTAATGGCAAGTTATAAGTGATTCATTGGCTGGTTTAACTGTGGGGAGTCAAAAAGAATAGTTTCCTTAGTGAGACGCAATGAAAGAAAATATTCAAAACTAAAATATGAAGCAAAAGCAAGTCATAGACAAATATGGTCACCCACATAAGAGGACTTTTATATAATTTTATCCTCAGTCAAAACTGGTTCTTCACATTTTTAAGAGACATTTGCCTCTTTTGATTTTATCTTTTTTTATTATGCTGCAAGTCAGCATGACAGAGCACCAACTTTTGCTGAATATCTTCTGTCAGAAGTCCTCTAAGATCCTTTGGATCTTGGGTCAGAAAAGTCAATTGGCATTGCTTAATGGTGCGTTGGGGGGTATAAATAAGAGCTATATCCTATAACCTGTGGATTCTCATTGCAGGAACAAAGTTGTCTCTGTTCCTTAACACAGTGAGAAGACAAGGAGAGAGCAGAGCTGTAGTCCATCGGAAGTGGAATGTAATGTGTCTTATCACTGACATGGGTTACAATCACCAGCACATGGTAATAATGAAAAGTAGATCAACTTCTGGTTGGTTTTAAAATTCTCTGTAAGGGTTACTTCCATTGCCTCCTCCCCTCCCAACATACACCACCACCTCAACATTTTGCTAGTTACCTTTATTGGCCATCCTGTCTTCATTTACTTGGGCATTAAAATCGTCAGTTGGAATAATGCTCTTACACTCTGTGCTCTAGAGCAGATTTCATTAAGCGACTGAGTTTATCCCAGGAGCTTTAATTGCGTCTTATATGGACCTATTTTTAATTGTCCTCAACAGACAAAATGTTCTTATGCATAGATTCTAAGGATGATATAGAAAAATCTGGTAAATTTAATAATGTTACATTTATATAGCAACTACATAATTTTTTTAGATTCAAATTTCATTTTAAACTCTTAGTGCTGTTGTATCCTTATAGATATAGACAGATGTTATTATTTTCATTTGACACATGATGAAATGCTGTATCATTTGAATGTCTATTCTAGTTAATTATCCCATTTAATAAGAGACTATTGAGGAAGATATATTGTAAATTTAGATATTTATCTTTAATATTCCCATTTAACCAATAGGAAAGCCAAAGCTTGGGTATGTTAACTAACATTTTAGATCAAGGTGCAACTTGTTGCCTTAGGACAGGAAGTTGAGCTCTATACCAAGATGCAAGGCTTCATAACCAAGCCTGGGAGTGTCTCTTGCATGGATGAAGACTCTGGCCCACCATGAGGATTCAGGCTCGTGGCAGCAGTGGGAAGGTAGGAAGATGTGACCTGGAGGAAAGTTTGTTCTTTCCAGCCCAGGAAAATAGAAGTAGAAGAAAGGTGTCAGGGCAGAGAAGTTGTTGGGGGCTGTGAGAAGGCCCAGTGTCCTGACTTCTCAGCTCTGGGCTTCAGGCTGCAGAGAAGGAGGTGTTTTAGATAAGCTATGGTGGAGCCAAGAGCAGAGCAAACACAGCTTGATTCCCATTTCATGCTATGAAAAGAATTCTCCTGCTGGACTGAATTCCCCATACCAACCATATCAGAATAAATTTGTCAACACAATTAGATAGAAAGAGGACTTGAAATTTAGTTTTCCTAAGCATCTCCAAGTCCTCATTTAGAATACAGCACCTTATTTCTACCTAAAATCTAAGCACTTTGAACTGATCTGAAGAATGAAGCCCTTAGCCTCATGGGGCCAGGGGCTCATATAGACATACACTTATACTGCCTCCTAGTGGGAGGTCTCAGAAATCACTGACTTGAGATGCAGATGGCTTGCCACAGAGCCCTATAGCAATGGAAGAGGAAACCCCACAGTAGAGGCTGGGGCTAAACTGCTTGTGTCAGGGTGCCACACAGAGGACATGGCAGAGACTCAAGGGTCTAAAATGCTACTGAGAATATTTCTGTGGAGGCAGCCAGGGAGCATCACCAGGCTGTGATCAACCCAAGAGAGAGAGAGATCAGATGACAGTACACAGCCCCAACCAGTGAGAACAGACAATTCCTCAGAGACCAGAAGAACCAGCAGATGGTACAAGGAAGTAAAGTAAATCTGATCATTCTCCTGCCTTTCTCAAAATCGTGGTGTTGCATAAGCCTCTTCCTTCAGAAGGGAGGGTCAAGCAGAGGATTTTCGCTTAAACTAGAACATTATCTGAAGCAACTCTTTAAATCATTGCATTGGAGTAGGATTTTTTAAATCTTTAAATAATCTCAAACTTACAGAAGAACTGCAAATACAGTAAAAAAACTGCACTCCCTCAGAACCATTTGTGACTAACTTGCTGAAATGATACATCTTAAGACCAAAATAAATCAAAGCATCATATTTCAAAAAAAAAACAAGAAAATTATCCTCTATGACTACACTACAAATATTAAAATCAGGGAATCAATACTGATAAATTGCCATCATTTCATCCTCAGACTCCATTCCAACTTCAGGAATTGTCACAATAACATCCTTTATAGCAAAAGGATGCAGTTCTGAATTGCACGATGCATGTCTCCTTATTTCTATCTGGAACATTTTCATGGCCTTGACTTTTTTGAAGATTAAAGGCTACTTTGTAGAATATCCCTCAGTTTAGGTTTTCTGATGTTCCCTTACAATGAGATCTAGATTATTTACCTCTAGCAAGAATATCCCAGAAGTGATGCTGTGTATTTCTCATAGCATCTGATCAGGTGGCGTATGATTTTCAGCTTGTTCCATTACTGATAATGTTCACTTTGATTGCTCCATTAAAGTCTGCCTTATCCATGGTAAGGTTACTCTTTTTCCCTTTTTAATTAACAGGTATTTTGTGGAGAGGTACTTTGAAACTATTTAAATACCCTACTCTTTCCATACTTTTAGTTTATTTATAAATTGACTCATATTTTCCTGTGTTTATTGGGTTATAATTCTTTCCTGTCCTCATGTATTTTGATGCTCTGTGTCCTTTTGATATGCCCCTTTCATTTTTCAAGCTCTTCCTTAGCTTTCTGGCAAATGGATGCTCCAGGCTCTGATCTACCTTGCTCAACTCCACCTAATGACTTCAGGACTGAATTGTTCAGGAAGGGAAGAGAAGGGAAGAGGAAGAGCTGACAAAGTTAATTTCTACCCTCCTTACCTCCCCATCCAATGTATGAGACTTCAAAGGAAACCAAAGTGCTTATCCTCTGCTATTACGGATGGTAGTGTAAGGAAATTTAAAACCTTGCTAAATCTATGTTACCAGGGAGAAGTGTTAGGAGACCTGTGTTCGCAGCTCATAGACTTTGTCGGTTCCCTGGGTTGGTTACTTGTGTTCACGTTTTGTTCACCCGTCTATAGTGCTTAGCAACAAATCTGTGAAACAGCAGTAACATGAATCTGTTTTAGGATCTTCAACAATGGAAGAAGTGGTGAAATTTTAATACTATTCTAAAGTGAGTTCAAGGATTGGGCACAAGAGAGAAGGTACACTGGTAAATAAGCCCAAATCTCTGGAGTCTGAGAAAATGTAAAAAATCAAGAACACCAAAACTTGTCCAGGACCCAAAGGAGACCTGATGGCTTAAGAAGCAGAGGACAGCTCCTTGCCAGCAGCACGGCACAGCTTCTCCCAGGGTAGAGGACAGCTCCTTGCCAGTAGCATGGCACAGCTTCTCCCAGGATTCACAGTGTTCCTGGAGATTATGGGCCAGGTGACAAAACTAGCAGTTCTACACCCTCAAAGCGGCCGCTTTTTCGTAGAAAAATACAACCTGGGTATGATAAATTTTTAACAATGTTTTCTCTCTGGGAAATGGTGTTTTGAACGATATTCATTTTCTAGGCTTTTACATTTCTGATATGTTGGGGTACTTTACAAAATACATATGTTTTGTAACCAGAAAAATTACAGATGTAAGAAATAAAAAGTTAAATAATGAATAGGGTGCAAAGCGGTTTCATTAAAATATCGCATTTAGTTTTTTCTAAGGTATAGTGTTACATTTAGTAAAATGTACACATCTTAAATGTATAACTGGGTAGATTTTTACATACGTGTACATTCCAGTAGCCACCATTTGGATCAAGATAGAGAATATTTCTGTCATACAAGAGAGGTTTTTTTGCACCTCTTCCTAGCCAATCCCCAATCAAGGTACCACTCTTCTGACTTGTATCACATAGGTTATGTTCAGGAAGCAGGTCCCAGCTCTGCTCTGACCCTTAATGTACAGTGCCAACCTACACAAGTGCCTGGTCATCTGTGTGTCTCAGGAAATGGACTCAAAGACCTTCATGAACACTTTCCATTGTACTGTTCCACAAAAAATACGATAAGTAGGGCATTTTCTCCACGGGTCATTAGTAATTGAGCAGAAAGATTATCTGCCAACTTCCATACCTGACTCCATCTACTGAGCCACAGGGCTTTTGTGAAAATTAGTTCCTGAAGCTGAATCAAATAGTTAACTCAAATGTGAAGGTGATGCTTAATTTTGAAATATTAGGTTAATGCTTCACTCATTCACTTATTCTACCAAAACTTTTTATTTTTACTATTTATGATTTGCCCAACATTTGTTTGGCAGGAAAAAGGCTTCTCCGGGGAGGCAATGATAGTCACAGTGGTGCCTGCTCCTCAGTCTAGTGGAAGAATGTAAACACAGGCCCAGGTGCATGTAATGGAGGAAAGAAATTATCAAGGTCACAAGAGAGAAACAGATACAGTTCCAAGAGGGGAGAAAACTCCCTTTCAGCTGGAACATTAGCTCAGGCTTCATGGAAGGGAAAGGTGGCGTGACTGAAGAGCTAGACCTTGAATGATAAGCAGTAGTTGGATGCAGAGAAATGGAGTTTATTAAAAAAAAGTGCTCTTCTTTCATAAGGGTGACATACTTCAACTACAGAGCTTGCATAGGGAATTCTTTCTTCCAGCAAGATTAATGGTTTTGTGCTGAGGTCGCCACAGATTCTACCTGATTTATATTTGCCAGTCTGAAGGCCATGATTAGGGAAATTTTTTTGTGTAACAGATTGACGTCAATGAATCTTTCATATGTTATACGAAGAAATTAAGACATATAGAGAAAATTTCATGTTCACAGGGCAGCTGTATATGAGTGATTCTGGTCAGAACCCTCAAGGCTATTCTGTGTACTCTGTGTACACCGGAAGGGCTCTGAAGTTTTCTGGTTGGGCTGAGGAGTAGATGTCTGTCCCAGTGCCACGGGATTTTCTTTTCTGGAGGAAGATAGTACATCATAAATGTTGTCTTTTTCTTGTACTGCTGGTGTGAGTGCTTCTTTATTGATTTGACATTTGTATTATTGACTCTGAAAACATTGAGTGGCCCGAGACCTCACTTCACTGATTTCTGTGTCGAAAAACATCCAGAGATCTTCAGATTTGAGCTCTCTTGGGGTGCTCCTCTGTGCTGTCACTGTACATGAAAAAATCTTTTCATGAAGGAAGTGAACCAAGAACCATATGCCTGGGTTCTCAAAAGAAAGTCGGGAAAGGGAAAGTCATAGTTATTGATTTTCTTAGAGCTATTTATTCTTTTTTAATAATATATTTAAAAAAATTTTACCCACAATTTGAACTACATTATCATAACATTTTATTGCATATTATATTTTTCCTATTAGAAAAAAAAATTTTTCTTTTGAATAAACAGATATTAAGCTCCACTTACATGCTAGGAGCTGATATTCTATGGAAATGCAGAAGAAAGAAGATCATAGTTTCTCAGCATCATGTATCATAATTCACAACACTCTATGTACAGGTAGTTTTCTAGGTGCTAGGGAGGGAGACGGGGCTTCAGAGGTGATCTCTTACAACCCTCCATTTTTGGGATGTAGAAATTACAGCTAAGAGATGTTATGTAATTTAATCAAGGTCTTGTGGCTAATATATTTCACAACTAGGACATGACTTTCTTTCCTAGATTAGTAGGCTCTTCATGATCAAAAATGTTCTTTTCATAGGAATAAAAGCAAATCTGTTCAATGTTTTCCTGAATTTGACATATTTTGATAGGCTATGAACTGTTGGCTAGGGAACTTGAGTAATCCCTTCTCAATGAAACAGTATAATTCCACTGGAACCATCAGATTTTTCTTGCCAAAGTGTGTTCACAAAGCCAGTTTGCATAGTTTGGAGTGGGAAAGTCATATAGCCAAGGGAGAATATATATTGATGAGAGAAAGACATTTTGCTGCAGGATTTAATATGTAAGAATTCATTTATAACAGGTAAAAACTAAAAGGACCAGAATACGATTTGTTTCTAAAAGGGACAGTTGCTATCCATAGTATTATAGTGACTATCCAAGCTACCTATGTAACTAGAGTCAGAAATAATTTCAGGCTAGCAAGTATATTATTTTCTTATCCTAGCCTCCATCAATTGAAATATGACTGCTACTATTACTCATGCTCTCTTTACCTCTACTTTCCCCTGTTTGGATCTAACTTGAACAAAAACACACAGCCCTCCTTTTTCATACACCAATCTACATAAGCACAGAACCACAGATTACTTTTTTTTTTAATAAGTTCTAGGGTACATGTGCACAACATGCAGGTTTGTTGCATCGGTATGCATGTCCCATGTTGGTTTGCTACACTCATCAACTCATCATTTACATTAGGTATTTCTCCTAATGCTATCCCTCCCCAGCCCCCCACCCCACAACAGGCCCCGGTGTGTGTTGTTCCCCCCCCGTGTCCAAATGTTCTTGTTGTTGAACTCCCACCTATGAGTGAGAACATGTGGTGTTTGGTTTTCTGCACTGGTGATAGTTTGCTGAGAATGATGGTTTCCAGCTTCATCCATGTCCCTGCAAAGGACATGAACTCATCCTTTTTTATGGCTGCACAGTATATGTGTGTATATGTGCCATGGTGTATATGTGCCAAATTTTCTTAATCCAGTCTATCATTGACGGACATTAGGGTTGGTTCCAAGTCTTTGCTATTGTGAATAGTGCCACAATAAACAAACATACATGTGCATGTGTCTTTATAGTAGCATGATATATAATCCTTTGGGTATATACCCAGTAATGGGATTGCTAGGTCAAATGGTATTTTTTTTTTTTTTTTTTTTTGAGACAGAGTCTCACTCTGTCACCCAGGCTGGAGTGCAGTGGCGCAATCTCGGCTCACTGAAAGCTCTGCCTCCCGGGTTCACGCCATTCCCCTGCCTCAGCCTCCAGAGTAGCTGGGACTACAGGCACCTGCCACCTCGCCCGGCTAATTTTTTGTGTTTTTAGTAGAGGTGGGGTTTCACCGTGTTAGCCAGGATGGTCTCAATCTCCTGACCTCGTGAACCACCCACCTCGGACTCCCAAAATGCTGGGATTACAGGCGTGAGCCACCGCGCCCGGCCTCAAATGGTATTTCTATTTCTAGATCATTGAAGAATCGCCACACTGTCTTCCACAATTGTTGAACTGATTTACACTCCCACCAACAGTTTAAAAGTGGTCCTATTTCTCCGCATCCACTCCAGCATCTGTTGTTTCCCGACTTTTTAATGATCGCCATTCTAACTAGCGTGAGATGGTATCTCATTGTGGTTTTGATTTGCATTTCTCTGATAACCACTGATGATGAGCATTTTTTCATATGTCTGTTGGCTGCATAAATGTCTTCTGTTGAGAAGTGTCTGTTCATATCCTTTGCTCACTTTTTGATGGGGTTGTCTTTTTCTTGTAAATCTGTTTAAGTTCTTTGTAGATTCTGGATACCCTTTGTCAGATGGGTAGATTGCAAAAATTTTCTCCCATTCTGTAGGTTGCCTGTTCACTCTGATGGTAGTTTCTTTTGCTGTGCAGAAGCTCTTTAGTTTAATTAGATCCCATTTGTCTATTTTGGCTTTTGTTGCCATTGCTTTTGGTGTTTTAGTCATGAAGTACTTGTCCGTGCCTATGTCCTAAATGGTATTTCCTGGGTTTTCTTCTAGGGTTTTTATGGTTTTAGGTCTAACATTTAAGTCTTTAATCCATCTTGAATTAATTTTTGTATAAGGTGTAAGGAAAGGATCCAGTTTCAGCTTTCTACATATGGCTAGCCAGTTTTCCCAGCACCATTTATTAAATAGAGAATCCTTTCCCAATTGCTTGTTTTTGTCAGGTTTGTCAAAGATTAGATGGTTGTAGATGTGTGGTGTTATTTCTGAGGCCTCTGTTCTGTTTCATTGGTCTATATATCTGTTTTGGTACCAGTACCATGCTGTTTTGGTTACTGTAGCCTTGTAGTATAGTTTGAAGTCAGGTAGCGTGATGCCTCCAGCTTTGTTTTTTTTTTTTTTTGCTTAGGATTGTCTTGGCTATATGGGCTCTTTTTTGGTTCCATATGAACTTTAAAGTAGCTTTTTCCAATTCTGTGAAGAAAGTCATTGGTAGCTTGATGGGGATGGCATTGAATCTATAAATTACCTTGGACAGTATGGCCATTTTCATGATTTTTCCTATCCATGTGCATAAAATGGTCTTCCATTTATATGTGTCCTCTTTTATCTCATTGAGCAGTGGCTTGTAGTTCTCCTTGAGGACGTCCTTCATATCCCTTGTAAGTTGGATTCCCAGGTATTTTATTCTCTTTGTAGCAATTGTGAATGGGAGTTCACTCATCATTTGGCTCTCTGTTTGTCTGTTATTGGTGTATAGGAATGCTTGTGATTTTTGCACATTGATTTTGTATCTGAGACTTTGCTGAAGTTGCTTATCAGCTTAAGGAGATTTTCGGCTGAGACAATGGGGTTTTCTAAATATAATCACCTCATCTGCAAACACGGACAATTTGAGTTCCTCTTTTCCTAATTGAATACCCTTTATTTCTTTCTCTTGCCTGATTGCCCTGGCCAGAAGTTCCGATAATATGTTGAAAAGGAGTGATAAGAGAGGGCATCCTTGTCTTGTGCCAGTTTTCAAAGGGAATGCTTCCAGTTTTTGCCCATTCAGTATGATATTGGCTGTGGGTTTGTCATAAATAGCTCTTATTATTTTGAGATATGTTCCATCAACACCTAGTTTATTGAGAGTTTTTAGCATGAAGAGGTGTTGAATTTCATGGAAGGACTTTTCTGCATCTATTGAGATAATTATGTGGTTTTTGTCTTTGGTTCTGTTTATGTGATGGATTATGTTTATTGATGTGTGTATGTTGAACCAGCCTTGCATCCCAGGGATGAAGCCAACTTCATCATGGTGGATAAGCTTTTTGATGTGCTGCTGGATTTGGTATGCCAGTATTTTATTGAGGATTTTTGCATTGATGTTCACCGTGGATATTGGTCTAAACTTCTCTTTTTTTGTTGTGTCTCTGCCAGGCTTTGGTATCAGGATGATGTTGGCCTCATAAAATGAGTTAGGGAGGATTCTCTCTTTTTCTATAGATTGGAATAGTTTCAGAAGGAATAGTACCAGCTGCTGTTTGTACCTCTGGTAGATTCGGCTGTGAATCTGTCTGGTCCTGGACTTTTTTTGGTTGTTAGGCTATTAATTATTGCCTCAATTTCAGAGCCTGTTATTGGTCTATTCAGAGATTCAACTTCTTCCTGGTTTGTTCTTGGGAGGGTGTATGTGTCCAGGAATTTATCCATTTCTTCCAGATTTTCTAGTTTATTTGTATGGACCTGTTTATAGTATTCTCTGATGGTAGTTTGTATTTCTGTGGGATCAGTAGTGATATCCCCTTTATCATTTTTTATTGCATCTATTTGATTTTTCTCTCTTTTCTTCTTTAGTCTTGCTAGTGGTCTATCAATTTTGTTGATCTTTTCAAAAAAAACAGCTCCTGGATTCATTGATTTTTTGAAGGGTTTTTTGTGTCTCTGTCTCCTTGAGTTCTGCTCTGATCTTAGTTATTTCTTGCCTTCTGCTAGCTTTTGAATTTGTTTGCTCTTGCTTATCTAGTTCTTTTAATTGTGATGTTAGGGTGTCAATTTTAGATCTTTCCTGCTTTCTCTTGTGGGCATTTATGGTGCTATAAATTTCCCTCTACACACTGCTTTAAATGTGTCCCAGAGATTCTGGTATGTTGTGTCTTTGTTCTCACTGGTTTCAAAGAACATCTTTATTTCTGGCTTCATTTCGTTATTTACCCAGTAGTCATTCAGGAGCAGGTTGTTCAGTTTCCATGTAGTTCTGTGGTTTTGAGTGAATTTCTTAATCCTGAATTCTAATTTGATTGCACTGTGGTCCGAAAGACAGTTTGTTGTGGTTTCAGTTCTTTTACATTTGCTGAGGAGTGCTTTACTTCCAATTATGTGCTCAATTTTAAAACAAGTGTGATGTTGTGCTGAGAAGAATGTACATTCTGTTGATTTGGGATGGAGAGTTCTGTAGATGTCTATTAGGTCTGCTTGGTGCAGAGCTGAGTTCAAGTCCTGGATATCCTTGTTAACTTTCTGACTCATTGATCTGTCTAATATTGACAGTGGGGTGCTAAAGTCTCCCATTATTATTGTGTGGGAGTCTAAGTCTCTTTGTAGGTCTCTGAGGACTTGCTTTATAAATCTGGATGCTCCTGTATTGGGTGCATATATGTTTAGGATAGTTAGCTCTTCTTGTTGAATTTGATCCCTATACCATTATGTAATGGTCTTCTTCGTCTCTTTTGATCTTTGTTGGTTTAAAGTCTGTTTTATCAGAGACTAGGATTGCAACCCCTGCTTTTTTTTTCTTGCTTTCCATTTGCTTGGTAGATCTTCCTCCATCCCTTTATTTTGAGCCTATGTGTGTCTCTGCACGTGAGATGGGTCTCCTGAATACAGCACACTGATGCGTCTTGACTCTTTATCCAATTTGCCAGTCTGTGTCTTTTAATTGGGGCATTTAGCCCATTTACATTTAAGGTTAATATTGTTATGTGTGAATATGATCCCTTCATTATGATGTTAGCTAGCTATCTTGCCCGTTAGTTGATGCAGTTTCTTCCTAGCATCGTTGGTGTTTACAATTTGGCATGTTTTTGCAGTGGCTGATACTGGTTGTTCCTTTCCATGTTTAGTGCTTCCTTCAGGAGCTCTTATAAGGCAGGCCTGGTGGTGACAAAATCTCTCAGCATTTGCTTGTCTGTAAAGGATTTTATTTCTCCTTCACTTATGAAGCTTCGTTTGGCTGGGTATGAAATTCTGGGTTAAAAATTCTTTTCCTTAAGAATGTTGAATATTGGTCCCCACTCTCTTCTGGCTTGTAAGGTTTCTGCTGAGAGATCTGCTGTTAGTCCGATGGGCTTCCCTTTGTGGGTAACCTGACCTTTCTCTCTAGCTGCCCTTAACATTTTTTCCTTCATTTCAACCTTGGTGAATCTGACAATTATGTGTCTTGGAATTGCTCTTCTCAAGGAATATCTTTGTGGTATTCTCTGTATTTCCTGAATTTGAATGTTGGCCTGCCTTGCTAGGTTGGGGAAGTTCTCCTGGATAATATCCTGAAGAGTGTTTTCCAACTTGGTTCCATTCTCCCCATCACTTTCAGTTACACCAATCAAACATAGATTTGGTCTTTTCACGTCATCCTATATTTCTTGGAGGCTTTGTTCATTTCTTTTTACACTTTTTTCTCTAAACTTGTCTCTCGCTTTATTCCATTAATTTGATTTTCAATCACTGATACCCTTTCTTCCACTTGATCGAATTGGCTATTGAAGCTTGTGCATGTGTCACAACGTTCTTGTGCCATGGTTTTCAGCTCCATCAGGTCATTTAAGATCTTCTCTACACTGTTTATTCTAGTTAGCCATTCGTCTAACCTTTTTTCAAGGTTTTTAACTTCCTTGTGATGGGTTAGAACGTGCTTCTTTACCTCAGAGAAGTTTGTTATTACCGATCTTCTGAAGCCTACTTCTGTCAACTCGTCAAAGTCATTCTCCATCCAGCTGTGTTCCGTTGCTGGCAAGGAGCTGCAATCCTTTAGAGGAGAAGAGGCACTCTGATTTTTAGAATTTTCAGCTTTTCTGCTCTGGTTTTTCCCCATCTTTGTGGTTTTATCTACCTTTGGTCTTTGATGCTGGTGACCTACAGACCTACAGATGGGGTTTTGGTGTAGATGTCCTTTTTGTTGATGTCGATGCTATTCCTTTCTGCTTGTTGGTTTTCCTTCTAGCAGTCAAGGCCCTCAGCTGCAGGTCTGTTAGAGTTTGCTGGAGGTCCACTCCAGACCGTGTTTCCCTGGGTATCACCAGCAGAGGTTGCAGAACAGCAAATATTGCAGAGCAGTAAATATTGCTGCCTGATCCTTCCTCTGGAAGCTTTGTCCCAGAGGAGCACCCACCTGTATGAGGTGTCTGTCAGCCCCTACTGGGAGGTGTCTCCCAGTTAGGCTACACAGGGGTCAAGCGCCCATGTGAGGAGGCAGTCTGTCTGTTCTCAGAGCTCAAACGCCATGCTGGGAGAACCACTGCTCTCTTCAGAGCTGTCAGACGGGGATGTCTAAGTCTGCAGAAGTTGTCTACTGCCTTTTGTTCAGCTATGCCCTGCCCACAGAGGTGGAGTCTACAGAGGCAGTAGGCCTTGCTGAGCTGCAGTGGGCTCCACCCAGTTCGAGCTTCCTGGCTGCTTTGTTTACCTATTCAAGCCTCAGTAATGGCAGATGCCCCTCCCCCAGCCAGGCTGCTGCCACACAGTTCAATCTCAGACTGCTGCACTAGCAGTGAGCAAGGCTCTGTGGGCATGGGACCTGCGGAGTCAGGCACTGGAGAGAATCTCCTTGTCTGCTGGTTGCTAAGACCTTGGGAAAAGCACAGTATTTGGGCTGGAGTGTCCCGTTTTTCCCAGTACAGTCTGTCATGGCTTCCCTTGTCTAGGAAAGGGAAATCCCCTGATCCCTTGCACTTCTCGGGTGAGGCAATGCCCCACTCTGCTTCAGCTCACCCTCCATGGGCTGCACTCACTGTCCGACCAGTCACAATGAGATGAGCCAGATACCTCAGTTGTAACCACAGAAATCACCTGTCTTCTGCATTGATCACACTGGGAGCTGAAGACCGGAGCTGTTCCTACTCAGCCATCTTGGAATGGAAGCCCATAGATTACTTTTTTAAAAGCATGATTTCTATGCGATTTATTCATTAGCTCATTTTAAAATTCATTTAGCAAACTTATATGGAGCACCCAGCTGTTAAGTGTATCAGGTCCAGTCCTTGACATAGAGGATACGGTAATAAAAAGAAAAGACTAAATCCCTGTGGTGAGAAAATTTACATGACAGTGGGAGAAGAAAGGTATAAATAAAAACATACAGAACACATTGGTTGTTAATAAGCACTCAAAAGAAAATAAATTGCATTATGATGTACAGAGAAAAAGATTGGCAGGTGGAGGCTGCTATTTTATAGATACTGGTCGAGGAAACACTTTCCAATAAGATGACATTTAAACTGAGGCCTGAGTGAAGTGAGGAACTGAGTCATTAGCAATAGTATTCCAGTTAGAGGTAACAGCAAGTGCTATGACCTTGAATATGCTTAATGTGCTGAAGAACAGCAAAGTGATCATTATGGCTAAAGTAGAGAAGGAATTGGGAAGTAAATCATGCAAGGCTCTATGATTAGAAGCCACTGGACATTGTAAGCAGAGGAACGGAATATTTTTTCATTTATATCTTGAAAGGCTTATTCTGGTTGTTGAGTGTAGATAGTAACTAACGGGCAATGGAAGGCAGAGTTTTCTTTCAGAAAACCCTTTAATAGATAGGGTCTATGGAAGGTTCAGGCCTTGGACCAGGGTAGCAGGATGGAAGAGCTGGGAAGTGACCTGATTCTGGATATAGTTGGATGATAAAGTCAATAGGATTCGCTAATGGATTGACTAAGACTTATGGAATAAGGAAAGGGGTCAAAGTAGGTGTTGGAATTACAATGGTAAACAAAACAGACAGGGCCCTGACCTCAGGGAGTTTATCTACTGGTGGAATAGGCAGCCAATAAACAAATAAATGTGATTACATTTTGTGATGAGTACTGAAAAGGAGACAGCAGAGGCTATTGCTACAAAATAACAAGGGGTGCCTGCTTATAGTAGAGTAGTCAGGGGCGGCCTCTACCAGAAAGGGGTATTTAAGCTAACGCCTGAAGAATGAGAAGGAACCTGCCATGCAAAGATGCAGGGGTACAGTGATCAGTTGGAAGTTCCAGCAAACATAACAGCCTGGAGGTCTCAGGGCTGAAAAGAAGAAGAAGAAGTCAGGAATTAAAGCAATCTGTCTAGTCTTAAACCTGTTGTGTTCAACTCTCACCTGCTCTAGCACAACGGCTTTCAAGATGTGATCTGTGGACCCCAGAGTTCCCTGAGACCTTTTTAGGGCTGTCTATAAGGTCAAAACTCTTTTCATATGAATACTAAGACATTATTTTCACTTTTCCTATACATTCTTTCATGAGTATACAATGTTTTTCAAAGGCTACAAGACATATAATATCACAACAGATTTTTTTGAGATGGACAGGGTCTTGCTCTGTCATCCAGGCTAGAGTGCAGTGGCACAATCACAGCTCACTGCAGCCTTGAACTCCTGGGCTCAAGTGATCCTCCTGCCTCAGCCGCCCAAGGAGCTGGGACTACGGGTACATGTCACCCTGCCTGGCTAATTTTTTTTGTGTGTGTAGAGATGGGGTCTCCCTACGTTGCCTAGGATGGTCTCGAATTCCTGGCCTTAAGCCATCCTCCTGCCTCGACCTCCCAAAGTGATCACAACAAATTGAATGCAAAGCAAATATGAAAATCCAGCTGCCTTCAGTTAAGCCAGACATTAAAGAAATGTGGACAAATGTAAAGCAATGTCACTCTTCTCACTAAATTATTTTTATTTTGTGGAAGAATCATTTTTCATAACATATCATTTGTATTAACAAGACAGAGGGTTATTAATGTTATTTTTAAACAAACTGATAAATATTTTTAATTGCTCAGTATTGAATAAGGTAAATATAAATGAAAATAATCCACAAAAACGAAGGTTCTTTGGGTCCTCCATAATTTCTAAATGTGTAAACATCTTAAGACTACAAATCTCAGAACTGCTACTCTAGTACTAATGTTAAAGCTCTCTCAAATTTTGTACTTTGTCTCTAGACATAAAATACCCTTTAACACTCAGAACTTTCTGTAACAAACAGTAGAAAGAATTACTAACATTGATGGAGTGTTTACTACATTCTAGGCATGTCCTAAGTGTTCCACATATTTTAACTAATTTAATCCTCTCAAACAAACCCATAAATTGGATAATTTCATTATATCCATTTTGTAAGGAAGAAACGAAGGAACAGAGACATGAAAACTTGTCCCAGGTCACACAACTAGTAAGTAATGGAACTGAGATTTGAACCCAAGCAGTCTTGCTCTTTAGAAAACATTTCTATCCACCAGCAGTAATTTAATATGTATGAACAAATAAAAGAAGATTTAGTTCTAATGCTATGTAAACCTCCCTTGAAAGGGATTACAGTAGCTCCACCTGTCTGGTGGATCCAGGTCAAGCAGAGTGGTGGCCTGAAATATAATGCGGTAAGAAGCACCAAGGGCAGGCAAGAACCCTGGCCAGGGCGCAGTGAGCACTGAGCCACGGAAACTCAACTCTGCCATGTCCCACAGGCAAGCATGAATCAGGATGACAGTCAATGCCACAAAATCCAAAGCCGTGTGGGTGCTTTTTTGACTAGAGACAGAGCAAGGGCAGGAGTGAAGCTTAGGCTTCTGCACCAACCCAGCGAGACATCAGTCATCTCTAAGCACTGCAGCTCTCTGCCCCTCTGATTCTCAAAGGAAGACCACAAGGACCATATTCCATGGAGTCATAGCTACAGGTGAGGCCTTAGTTGAAGCTGGAAAATATTTCCTCTCTTTTTCCCACCCCACTAACTGAAGGTCACTGAATTAGAAGTTTCCAGACAAACAATAAGAAAAGGGCTAGAATGCTTAAGACTTGTTTTGATTTATTGAAGAATTCATAGGATCCTTCACAGAAATTTATAGGACTTCACAGGTGGATTGCCTGGTTTAATAGCATCAGGATAGGGAAACACCCACAGCAGAATACATTTTGCAATACGAGTTGAGTACCCCTTATCCAAAATGCATGAGACCAGAAGTGTTTGGATTTCAAATTTTTGGATTAGGGATGCTCAAATTGTAATATACGTGGTGAACTAAATAATCACATGGTCTGTAGATTTTAGCTTGAAGAATCTTTTAAGTGACACAAAATTTCCTAAATGCAAATTTGTTATAATCAGGCATAAAGACCAAAATCAACAGAGAATTAAAATCTAATTATATTCTACTGAACATAAATATCATTTATACTAGACATTTGAAAATGTCATTTAAAGTTTTTCTGCTTTAGTAGAATGAGATACAGGTTTCACTTTCAGTATAATGCAATTGTAAGATAAAAGGGAAATTTTTGTATCTGAGAACTCAGCCTCATTTGTAACAGGCTATATAACCTCTTTCCCTCTCCCCTGCACTAAGATGAACGTGTATTATGCAAATGAGGTGATGGATGAGAGGAAAGGAAACTCAGAGAAGCCCATTTGGTTTATATTGGAAACAGATAATATAAAATAGACACCCTCCTTAAGAGCTATCTTCAAATCCCCCTTTATGTCCCTCCCATACCATTCCCAACCCGACCTACAAAGGTAAGCACCATCTTAATAGTCTTACCATCTATTTTTTTCCTAAAAATAAAGTGTTTAGTTTTGCATGTTTTGAACCGTAGGTAAGTGAAGTCAGATTGTATGTGCTCTTCTGCAATGTGCTTTGTACATTGCACTCTCAGCTCCTGAGATACATCCATAAAGGTGGGGTTTATTCCTTTTCTCTATTGTGTAGAATTCTACTATTGGCCTCATTCACATTTTCTTTGTTCATTCTCCTTTTGACTGACAGTTTGGTTGTTTCCAGTTTTTTCTCTATACACAATGCTTCTGTGAACCACCTTGTGCATGAGTCTTTGTGCGCATCCCTAAGAGTCACTTCAGAATGTTCATCTAGGACCAGAATTGCAGGGTTATGCAGGATGCACGTCTTCAGCTGCACTGAATCATGCCATTTTGCTTAATCAATTACTGAGAGAAATAAGCTAAAATCTCCCACAGCGTTGATGGGTTTTAAAATTCCTCTTTGCTGTTTCAATAATTTTGGCTTTACAGCTTTAAATTGAGAGATGATTCCCTTCACATTTACTGTAAATTTGTGAATAATATGTTTGACTTTACTTATATTGCTTTATATTGTCTTATTTTTACTTTTTCTGTGAACTTTCTCTCTCTTTTCTTGACTTCTTTTTTTTTTTTTTCTTTTGAGATGGAATCTCTCTCTTGTCACCCAGGCTGGAGCGCAGTGGTGTGATCTCAGATCACTGCAACCTCGGCCTCCCAGGTTCAAGCGATTCTCCTGCCTCAACCTCCCAAGTAGCTGAGATTACAGGCACTCTCCACCACGCCCAGCTAATTTTTGTATTTTTAGTAGAGATGGGGTTTCACCATGTTAGTCAGACTGGTCTTGAACTCCTGACCTCAGGTTATCTGCCCACCTTGGCCTCCCAAAGTGCTGGGATTAAAGGCATGAGCCACTGTGCCCGGGCTTTTTCTTGACTTCTTTTTGATTTATTGAAATTATGGTGGATTATCAAAATGAGATGCAATCATTTCTCTCCCTGTAAAAGGAATCCCTTTGGTAATAAGACTTTGCATTTCTTTCTATCAAGAGGTGAAAGAAGCTATACCAGTCCTAAGTCTATGCCAGGAGTAAGCAAACTAAAGCCCACAGGCCAAATCTGGCCTGCTGTCCATCTTTTAACATAAAGATTAATTGTAACACAGCCACGTTCATTCATGTTCATATTGGCAATGGATGCTTTCTTGCCAAAACAGCAGAGCTGAGTGGTTGCAATTGTATGGCCTGCAAAGCCTAAAATATTTACTATCTGGACCTTTACAGAGAAAGTTTGCTAATCTCTGATTTAGGCATTCATTCTGTTGGGACTTGTCCAGTTAATATGTGAACAAGAGCAGGCTGGCCTGTTGGAGGATGAGAGGCTACAAGGAAAAGAGATGAGCTGCTCTAGATAAGGCCATCTCTGACCAGCTCCCAGGGATGAAGCGTGAGTCATGACATAAGTGAGTCTATCCAAGAACAGCTAAATCTAGCCCAAATTAGTGGAACAGCCTAGTTAATCTACCAGCTGATGAGCAATAATAAATGATTGCTCTTTTAAGACACTAAGTTTTAGGGCACTTTGTTAAGCAGCTGATACAGAAGTTTGTGGGGTTTTTTTTCGTGATTTCATTTTTTATTCTAGCAGTGAGAATTTATACCCGCTATTATCTTCTATTTTTAATTCTGTTATGCTCATTCTAAAAATTCTAGTATGCAAAGTCTAAAGTTAATCATCATCTTTTCTTTTCTCATAAACAATACAAGAACCTCAGATGACTGACTCTGATCAGCCTCCTCCCAACTTATATACTACTATTGTATAGAATTTTTGTTCTATCTTACATAACTCCATAAATTAGACATTATTACTAATTATTGTCTTTTACTGTTATGTTGTTTAGATTTACTCATAAATGTATCTATTTCTTTGCTCATTATTTCTTCTTGCACATGAAACCTTTCATGTTTTATGAAGTTTTTTTTTTTTTTTGTGAGAATTGGTTATTGCCACATTCTTTCAGGTTTTTTCCGAAAGTATTTTATTTTGCCTTCATTATTAGAAGATATGTTTCACGAACTGTGCAATTCTGGATTGATAGTTATTTTCTCTCAATAATTTCAATATACTATTACAGTTTTTCTCTGGCTTTCATTTTTATTTTTTCCTGGGAAACCAGCTGTCATTTTAACATTTTTTCTTTTTAAGAATATTTGTCTATTTCTTCATACAGTCAACTTATCTTCTCTCTTTTTCTTTTCTTTCTTTTCTTTTTTCTTTTTTTTTTTTTTTTTGAGATGGAGTCTCACTCTGTCGCCCAGGCTGGTGTGCAGTGGCGTGATCTTGGCTCACTGCAACCCCTGCCTCCCGGGTTCAATTCTCCTGCCTCAGCCTCCCAAGTAGTTGAGACTATAGGCGCCCACCACCACGCCCAGCTAATTTTTGTATTTTTAGCAGGGACAGGGTTTCACCATAATGGCCAGGCTGGTCTCGAACTCCTGACCTTGTGATCCGCCTGCCTCGGCCTCCCAAAGTGCTGAGATTACAGGCGTGAGCCACCACACCTGGCCATCTTCTCTCTTTTTCTAATTGTGTTCCCCTATGCTGTATCTAGTAGTGTATTTCTCTTTTTCTTACTTATATTCAGAATTTGTTCAGTTTCCTGAAATGAGAACAGTTTTTGAAAATACATTTGAAATGTTTTGGGGTGTTAATGCCTTACATATTGACTCATTTCTATTTTCCCTTTTCTCTTCTATTGTAACTCCAGTTAGGTATATGTCAGCTTTCTCATTCTCCTTTACATTACTTACTTCCACTGTCATATACAATTTATTAATTTTTCTCTCTGAGAAGCATGTTGAATAAATTTTTCTATCTTCCAGTTTATTGATCCTTTCCTCATTTATATAAAGTCTGCTATAATACACATTAGTTTTTAAAAAATCAAAATAGAATTCACCTACCATAAAATTTACCCTTTAAAAAAATGTGCAATTCAGTGTTTTGAGTAGATTCACAAAGTTGTACTTAATCGTCAATGTCTAATTCCAGAGCATTTTTATCACGCCAAAAAGAAACCTCATACCCATTAACAGTGGCTTTCTTTTCCCCTCTCTCCAGACCCTGGCAATCATTAACCAGGTCTGTCTCTATGGATTTGCCTATTCTGGGCATTTCATGTAAGTGGGATCATACAATATGAGGCCTTTTGTGTCTGGCTTCTTTCACATAGCATAATGTCTTCAAGATTTATCCATGCTGTAGTATGTACCAGCATTTCATTTTTTATTGCTGGATAATATTCTGTTATAGAGGTAATATCATATTTTATTTATGCATTCATCAGTTGAAAGACAGTTGGGTTGTTTCTACTTTCTAACTATTATGAGTAATGCTGTTATGAACATTCATGTGAAGTGTTTGTGTGGACATATGTTTTCAGTTCTCTTCTAGGAGTGGGAATGATGGTAACTCCATGTTTAACTTTTTGAGGAACTGTCTGATTGTTTTCCATGGTGGCTGCACCATTTTACATTTCTACCAGCATTGCATGAGGATTCCAATTTCTCCATGTCCTTACCAACACTTGTTATTTTCTGCTTAAAAAAAATTTGTATCCATCCTACCGGTCATAAAGTGGTATCTTACTGTGGTTTTGATTTGTATTTTCCTAATGACTAATAATGTGAACATCTTATTTTGTGTTTATTGGCTATTTGTATAACTTCTTTGGAGAAATGTCTATATAAGTGCTTTGCCCATTTTTAAGCTGGATTGTTTTGTCTTTTTGTTGTTGTAAAATTTCTTTATATATTCTGAATACTAAATCTTTATTATATATTTAATTTGCAAATATATAATTATATATTATATATATAATTTGCAAATATTTTCTCCCATTATGTAGGTTGTCTAGTGTTCTTTATATACATTTTCAAATTTTGATTAAGTCTAAATATTATTTTGTTGTTGGTGCTTGTGCTTTTAGTGTCATAGCTAAATCATTGTCAGATGCAAAGTCATACGATTTATTCCTAAATTTTCTTCAAAGACATATTTTCTGCTCTTACATTTAGGTCTCTGATTCATTTTGAATCAGTTTTTGTATATGGCGTGAGGTAAGGGTCCAGCTCATTCTTTTGCATGTGGCTATCCAGTTGACCCAACACCATTTGTTAGAGGCACAAAAGCTTTCTAAATTTAATGACATTTAGTTTTTCTATTTTTTCTTTGGTTATTTGTACTGTAGGTGTCTTACTTAAGAAACCATTACCTAATCCAAGATCACAGAAATTTATACCTATTTATAACACAGATGTTAAATTTAAATATCAATTTTTGTATTCCTACATGTTCATTTGATTTTTTCCTAAATCTGCCTGACCAATCTTATAGTCCCTTATTCCTTAGTCAAATTTTCCTTTCCTATTTATTTTATTATGCATAACAAATATATTATTCTATTTCAGTCTAATAATTCTAATATTTGAAATCTGTAATATCTGATTTAATTGTCTGTTATTTCTTGCTGGCTTTGCTTTGCCTTATTTCCAATGAGGGCCTTATGGTTTTGACTGCAAGTTTGAAATTTTGTCTGTGGGAATCTTAACTTAAAGATGAATTCCCATAGAAAGATTTTTAAATATTATTTTCCAAAAGCACAGAATTGTAAGAAAAAACTAGGTGCACTTTATTTTTATAATTTGGCAGGTGAGGGAAGGTGTTCAGGGTATCTAGTCTGTCATTTTTCTGGAAATGAGTCTTGTAATTAACTTTTACTTAATATTATAGTTACATATATATATACACATATATGTATGTATATGTTATTAGACTCTCAGTTGCTCTAAAGAATGTCTGATTTTATTTCTTTCTTTCACAGCACCTAGTATTATGCAATGCCTAAAGAAATGCTTTTTAAAATGTTCAATTAATAAATTAATTAATTTGTGGATATAAATTTAATGTTAATTGATTGAAATTCTTAGCTGATAAGCTGAAAACATCTGAAGGCCTTGAGGTGTAATAAGAATTTATATGTTAGCCAAACATAGCTATAGACACAGGTACATTTTACATAATTTACCACATGTAAATTACGGTGTGATTATTTAAAGATAAATTATTATAAACGTATATTTTGCTAAATTCATAAAAATGTGTGGTCCTTACAATTCTCCCAGACACCAAATAATAAAACTGCAAGTATTATCATATCTGTATAATTTTTTGTTTTGTTTTGAGATGGAGTCTCGCTCTGTCTCCCAGGCTGGAGTGCAGTGGCATGATCTCGGCTCAATGCAACCTCTGCCTCCCAGGTTCCGGTGATTCTCCTATCTCAGCCTCCCGAGTAGCTGGGACTACAGCTGTGCACCACCATGCCCAGCTAATTTTGTATTTTTAGTAGAGACGGGTTTTCACCATATTGGCCAGGATGGTCTCGGTCTCCTGACCTCATGATCCACCCGCCTCGGCCTCCCAAAGTGCTGGGATTACAGGCGTGAGCCGCCGCATCCAGCCATATCTGTGTAATATTTTATAAACAGGTTCTACTCAAAAAGTTGAAAACACTAACATTAACATAGCATGTCTGGATCATTGTTATGGGTGAATTTTAGTAGTCTGTAGATTTCTCGAAGAAATTTAAATCTAAATCTTCTTCCTGGAAATTTACCTCATAGTTAAATAAGTGACTTGTCTATACTATTCTCTTTAGGGAATAATCCTTCTTAATGGTGTGACATGGGCTAGGGCGTTTGCTCTTCAAAGCAGCTGCTGCACTCACTATCATTTTTCAAGGCATTGCTTCTTTCTCTCCCAGTCACACATGACTAAGACTTCATTGAAATGGTCAGAGCATAATGTCCCTAAGAATTGTTTTCATCTTGTAATTTCATATGTCTTTCCCCAAAAAGATTTATTTAATCATTTGAAAGAACAATTAGTCAATAGAGTAGGGAAGTATGTAACTTTCAGAATATTCAAATAAGTGAGTCAAATGCAATAAAAGATGTGAAATAACTATAAAGACAGAAAACCACTGTAAAAACAAATGGAATTATTTTCATTATCAATGTATTAATATTGAAATTGATAATATTTAATAGCATGGTAAACACTTGGCTATGCTTTTCTTTTTGGGGACAATTGTAAAAGCTAAGAAAGTAATTATGAATATTTTTATATAATCATTGCAGTATTTCTAATTAATGCCCTTTTTACCATACATGGAGAATGAATTCAGAGAAGTAAGATCTTATTTTGTTTTTAACCCTCAGGATAATATGAAGTTTATATTGCCATTGAAGAGGCAGAGAGGAGCTGCAGCATGTATTCACAACTGAGAACTTGTCCTGTGAAGGAAGAAAACAATGCCCCTTGGAGCAAAGAATTAAGAGATGACTTATATTTGAAAAACCACCCACAGCTGCATGTTGATGTGTAAGTTGCACTCAGTGCTTTTTGGATGTGACATGGGAAAAATCCCCATTGTCCACATTAGCCTCTATAGAAGTTTTGTTGAAAGCTCTCCCCAAGGAATACTTCTGCATTTTGTCTTTGTGCTCATGCTTAGTGGTGGTAAATGGATTAACACAGCAGTCTCTGATAGTATGATAGATGGAGTCGGAAGAGCAATTTTCTAAACACCCTTTCCTTACTTGATGGATGTTTCCATTGCTATCTCTTCCCTCGGGGCTCTTTGTGTGCAAAATCTCTCTTCTGAAAAGAGTTTTCATTGCATGCTATTAGTACTGAGTGGATTTATGGTGTCCTCTCGTGCAAACAGCCTTTCTGCCATTCTGTAGGTATTATAGAATCTGCTCTAGCACTTTATGCAAAATGATGTCCTAGTTTTTTGATCAAAAGTTTCCACTGTGTTAACATTTTCAAGTATGGGACAGAATTTAGCTCCAAAAAACAACACTGATTTTCTTCTCACCACACTGAAGTGCAGCTGAAGCTTATTATACATCTAGAGAAGCATTTTCCTTCTTAGACATTTCGCTAAATCCTGTGGTACTCCTCTGTTGTCATCAGCACCTCCATGAATAATCTTACATGGTTCCATCATAAACCTCAGCTGGGGCCAGAGGATACATCTTGATTACACTAATCAGCATGTACTTCTCCTCCATGACCCCACTCATTTGAACCCTGAAGCATGTGGGTCCCTGTGATGGATGGGAAAAAAGTTGCCAAGACCGATGAACAAAGACACCAAATTTGGGAAGGAAGGGTTTTTGGTAAACAGCAAGGATGTAGGTGTGAGGTGTAGAATTTAAAAACTGTTACTATCCATCTGAACCAATTTTTTTTTCTTACGTTTTCCCACCTTCTTTGTAAAAAGAACAAATCTCTGGTAACAGAGAGTTGAGAAGTGGATTATGTGCTCCAATAATTGGAATTTAAAATGATGAACAGGGGGCAAACTCCCTCTTGAAATTAGGGAATTAGAACCAGCTTCCAGCTGAAGATTTTTGAGAACAATTTCTTTTCTGGCAATAGTCCTTGTACCACCTGGCCAAGCAGAGAGCAGTGAGGTGACAGGGTAATGAATATGGATAGGAGAGACCTGAGGACATCTCCCTCCTGAATCTTCCTGGTACCCCACAAGCCGTGAGGAAGAGATGCAAAATTTTATCCCCATAAATAGAATGTGAAATTTTTCTGCAGGTGAGAGCAACTACCTGCTAAGAAGTTCTTTAAAAGGAGTGAGAAAACTTACATTGAAAGAAGTGTAATATTTCAGTCACCAGCTGGAAAATGTGGAGCTGAAACCTTGTATGTGTCACCCCTGCCACAGAGACAAGGAAGGAGATCACACTATTTCCTTGCCAGAATCGTCACCATGGATAACCCAGGGGTAGAAGACGGAGTATCTATTATTATTATTCGCAGCAGCAGACACTATATAGATGCTGTCAGGGACCACTGGCTCACCTTCACCCTTCCTGCCTATCCTTGAGATATAAATCTCCCCTAGATTCAAACACCATTCCCTGAAGACGGAGAAGACAGTAGACTCTTGAATTGACAATATTTTAACCTACACTGACTTGGAAAATTACTAGGGTGGACTGAACAAACTACCCACTTTTTGGCAGGCTCTACAATGCAAAGTGAGATCACATTGAGTTATATGAGTAAAGTTTACCTGCGTCCTTAAGATTGTAGTAACTGTGAAAGTTAAGATGTAAAATTTATGGGTTTTTTTTTTTTTTTGGTTTATGAAGAGTACAATAGGATACCAAGATCAAGTAAAATAGTTGTTCTTTTTAGGAAAAATGTGAATATTCAATATGGGGATTGGAGGAATGGGCAAGAGAATTATAAGAAAGTTTCTTAAAATGCTTGCCATTTTTAGAGAAATATTAATAGTAGATTTAGGGGGAAAAAAATAGAAAACCTTGCATTAAAGCCAAAAGGAACAGAATCTGAAACTTCTTATCTGTGAAAATGTTATATTCTGGAAGATTTTTAAGACCGGAGTTCAGAAAAGCAGGTTCCCATAAATTCCAGGACAATTTTAATCCAAATTAAGCCTAGATTCCCGTGGAAGAAAACAACTACTGGCTTTTGGAATGGAGAAGAAAGAAAAATGAACTAGCAGTGGACTGTGGATATTTGAAACGCCCAAGTCTACAATCCGCCTCATTTATATATATATATTTGTTGTTGTTGTTGTTGTTGTTCTTAGACAGAGTCTGGGAGTCTTGCTCTGCCGCCCAGGCTGAAGTGCGGCAATGGCGCCATCTCGGCTCACTGCAAGCTCCGCCTCCCAGGCTCAAGAGATTCTCCTGCCTCAGCCTCCTGAGTAGCTGGGACTACAGGCGTGCACCACCACCCTCGGCTAATTTTTTTGTATTTTTAGTAGGGACGGGGTTTCACCATATCGGCCAGTCTGGTCTTGAATTCCTGACCTCAAGTAATCTGCCCACCTGGCCTCCCAAACTGTTGGAATTGCAGGCGTGAGCCACCGCGCCCGGCTATTTATACCTTTTTAAAGTAAAACTGTCCCACCACAGATTGCGTGCTTCAGGCGACTCATTAACAATGCAAGAAAAATGGCAGAAATATGTCCTATGAACCCAGGCAAAGGATATTTGCTGGGTGGAAATTATCGTTGCAAGATAAGGAATCATCAACGGCAAAGCAAAAGTGGGTTTAGATACTTCTCAGGTTCATGTTTTAGTGACTTTTATCATTTCACCTTTGGCGACCAGAACAAGTTACGCTTTAAGCATGTTTTCAGTGGACTATAAATGATGGAATAATAATTATTTGAAAATAATTTCAGCTTTGGCTTTAATAACCAGAGACCCTGTTTCTCAACATATTGGAGTAGACGAGCAGTCGCGTTTTAACAGCTTGTCTTTTTAAAAAATCCTAATTCCAAAATGGAATGCAGCTGGTTGTTTTTTATTATTGTCTTGAATATTCTCCTTTTATTCATGCATTTCAATATCTTTTGTTTTTTGGAAACTAAGGAATGGACTAAGATAAACGTAACCCAAAACCATTACCTTAAGTGAACTTTAGCTCAGACATTTCTAGCCAGTTAACTCCATCTAATACTACAAAGTGACATTTAGAAAATACTATAAGAAAATTTCCATCTCCATTGCTTCCCTTTCGTTAGAAGGCAAGACCCAGTTCCTTGGGTGCTATTTTATGTGGCAAACTCAAACTTGCTCCTTGGGCAAAAGATTAAAAGCCTTTGTCTCAGGCACGTAGAAACATTTTCAGCCATTGTGTGGAAACCATTGCAAAGTGCCATAGAAATCCTTCACACCTTAGTACTCTGAATAGCATACTCTACATCAAAGTATGCTAGAAATCCAAGGCATCTTGGTGAAAAACAATACTAAATTATCTTAATCACCATCTCTTTCAGTTATACTTCATGAGTGTGTGAAAAATTAAAATCACAAAGAATTTTTCAAAGAAGACACATCTTTGTCATTTATGTTTGTCTTCGAGGCCTTAACATATGGGGAGGGTGCTAAATCAGACCTTTATTATTGTAATCAGTAATAACAAATGGAAAATGAAGTCCGAAGAAAACTCAAAACAGAATGAATCACTGGTAAATGAAAAGGCTTTCAGAGGTAACCTGACATCTTGGCAGATGGAGCAACTTCAGCTTTACTTCTATCCCTTCTGTCTTCCATCCTAATCTCTGCCTTCACCTCCTCTTACTGGAACAAATAAAGCTGTCCTTAACTGGATTTCCTGTCTCTATGACCTCTTCCTTCTAATCCATTTTATACCTCATTAGTTTTCCCAAAACATTTGTATCATTTTATTTTAAAAACTATTAATTTATACTTTTTTTTAACTTTTGGGGTTCTTCATGGAACTCTCTCCTGCTAAACCTCATTTTAAACTGTGGCTCAGAGCAGTGAGTTTAAAGGGCCGTAACTACAGTCAGCTATTCTTCTCACCAAGAACTAGAAATGGCCTCCTGTTTTACATTGTATCTGGTGCTGAATTCTTCCTCTCATTCAAGTCTCTCTGCATGCTCTTGCTTACCCCATATCTCCGAGTTTATTCTCTATGATCTCAATTCCTATCTTTGATAGTAACTTTATTTCACATGATCTCAACACCCATTTCTGACATTCCTACTTTCCAACACTGTAACCGCCATCTAAACTTCTCCAAATACAATCAGTAATAATCAGTAGATATATTCTGTTCATTAGCATTACAGAGTAACTTGAATTCAAATTGTCTGCAATTCCATCATCTTTCTAAGTTTCAAGTGACAGCAAATAATGTCTAAAAATCTACATGTTGGGCTGGGCGCAGTGGCTCCTGCCTGTAATCCCAGCACTTCAGGAGGCCGAGGCAGGGGAATCACTTGAGGTCAGGAGTTTGAGACCAGCCTGGCCAACATGGTGAAACCCCATCTCTACTAAAAATACAAAAATCAGCCGGGCATGGTGGCGGGTGCCTGTAGTCCCAGCTACTCCAGAGGCTGAGGCAGGAGAATCGCTTGAACCCGGGAGATGGAGGTTGCAGTGAGCCAAGATCGCGCCACTGCACTCTTTTATTTTAGAATCACAGGGTACATGTGCAGGTTTGTTACGAAGGTATTGTATGATGCTGAGGTTTGGAGTATGACTGAACACATCACCCAGGTAATGAGCATAGTACCCAGTGGGTAGTTTTTCAACCCTGATCCTTTTCCTTCCCTCCCTCCCCCTTCTAGTAGTCCCGGTGTCTATTGTTCCTCTCATTATGTCCATGTGTACTCAATGTTTAGCTTCCACTTATAAGTAACAACATGTGGTATTTGATTTTCTTTTTCTGTGTTAACTCACTTAGGATGCTGGTCTCCAGCTGCATCTATGTAGCTGCAAAGAACATGATTTTGCCCTTTTTATGGCTGCATAGTGTTTTATGGTATATATGTACCACGTTTTCTTTATGCAGTTTACTGTGGATGGACAACAGGGTTGATTCCACATGTTTGCTATTGTGAATTGTGCTGCAATGAACATGTGGGTGCATGCGTCCTTTTGGTAGAATGAATTATTTTCCTTTGTGTTTCTCTTATTTTCAGTGGAAACAACATACACTTACTATAATGATATTAAAATTAAGACTTCATGTACTTTTTTTTAGATTCCAGGCAAATAATTTCTCACCAAAATTGAAACTATTAATTAGAAATATGTTGCTTCTGTTGTCCTTTCTCTTCCACAACAGAGAATCAATGTATTTGGAAACTCCATGAGAACTAACTGATTAATGTAATAAAGTTTATTTCAATTCAACAAACATTCAGTATTTACTACATGAAAAAGACTGTGCTGGCCAAATTGGAGAATACACAGATGGCTAAGATACAGCTTCTGTCCTTCAAGAATATAAAATCAAATGGGAAAGAGACACAAACATAATATTGTTAATATATAAGTTAGAGGGCAAGAGAGATTTGTTTTGACTGAACTGAGCACTTAGGATTCTTGGAGAAAGCAGGATTTGAGTTGGCTTTAAAAGATTTACAGGATTTTACAAGGCAAGGAAGATCTGGCAGAGGTCAATTTGAGTTCATTCCTCAGCATCATGATGCATCATAATTATTAGGTTGGTACAAAAGTAATTGCAGTTTTTGCTATTAAAAGTAATGAAAAAAACTCACAATTACTTTTACACCAACCTAATATTTGTTTAAGTGCTTTTCTCCTCCAACTGAATATTTTCTCCTCCAGGAGATCCTGCCTTCCCCATCTTTGCATCCCCAGAGTCTACCAAGGACCTAGTTACTGGAATTTCAGAGTAAATATTTGTCAAATTAATTAATAGATAGCTATTAGGCTCCTAAAAATTGTTAATGCCTCTCAAATCTGTACCTAGCCATTGCTTAATGAAGTTTCACTAAGGCTGTACCAAAAAACACATTCAAAAAACTAAAAATGCAAAAACTCCTCTCACTCCTATCTGTCATCTCTGTAAGACTGGATCATTCCCACATTGTTCTCCGTGGTGGTTCTGTTGATGAAAAGAGTCAAACTGTAAAATATATTTAGAGATTTATTCTGAGCCAAATATGAGTGACCACGGCCCATGACACAGCCCTCAGGAGGTCCTGGGAACATGTGCCCAAGGTGGTCGGGGTACAGCTTGGTTTTGTATATTTTAGGGAGGCATGAGACATCAATCAAATACATGTAAGAAATAGGTTACTGTGGTTCAGAAAGGCAGGACAACTCAAAGCAGGGGCTTCCAGCCTGTAGGTAAATTTAAACATTTTCTGGTTGACAATTGGTTGAGTTTATCTGAAGACCTGGGATGAATAGAAAATGTTCAGGTTAAGATAAAAATTATGGAGACCAAGTTTTATTGTACAGAGGAAGCTCTCAGGTAGCAGACTTCAGAGAGAGAGAGAGAGAGCGGGTTGTAAAATGTTTTTTATCGGACCTAAAAGTCTCTTAGTTGATGATCTCCTGGATCTGGAAAGGAAGGAAGGAAAACAAGGGGAAAAGGGATTTTCTATAGAATATGGATTTTTCCCACAAGAGACGGCTTTGCAGGGTCATTTCAAGATATGGTAGAGAAACATGTTTTGGGGTAAAATATTTTGATTTTCTTCCTTGTTATGCCAGAGTCAGATTGGAAAGTAAGCCACTATTTACAGGGTTAAATAAAACACATCTGATGAGAATTTTTGGTTTGTAGGGCATGACTCCCCAGACCCCTTAGATAGGAATTTGGGCAAGATAAAAAAAAAAAATCAGAGTTTAGTCCTCAGTTTGTATGAAAAGCACTGTATTGGCACTAACAGCATAAAACTGAGGCCAACCAGCACTTTGTAAGAACTGGACAATCTCTCTTTCAGGCCAGAACCACACCTGCCTTGAGTGTTCTGTGCAGTGAAGAATCTCATTCCTGCTGGTTGAGGGGCTGTGTGAGGAAATGAGAAGTGCTGAATGAGCTGGTGCCCCCTTAGGAATCAGTGAGCGGTTACGGTCACATTTGTGAGGTTAGCGTTGTATTTGTGATTCTCTTACAGTCTTGAATGAAGAAACAACCTGATCTTACGTCATAACCACCTGTACCTATATGCTTCCCCAAGAGAAAATTAGATAAGATGAGAAACAAAATGCTGCTTTCTAAATAGATATGTAAGAGCTCAGTAACTTCCCATTCAGGGTCTTCTTATAAGCTGTATAGGATGGAGCACATGGTCTAATGTTGAGAAAAGAATGGTTCTAGTTCTCCATCTTTACTCTAAATTCTAGGATCAAGGTGCATTTTCAGTAAGAGATATATGCCAACCAAGCCCTGACATAATTTACCATTCAGTTGCATATTTCAGGGGGATGGAAAAGAAGAAAGAAACCTGGTTAGGCCTGTGTCAAAGAGAAAAACCCTGTCTATATCTGCAAAAGGAAAACAAAGAGACTGTAATAGTCAGAGTTGCTCATCTTTAAGGAATGTTGGTAAATGTACCCCAATGAATGTTCTAGATTCTGACCAATGTATCCACTCTTCCTCCTTCAAGGGACTGAATAAGTGCATGGGTGTGGTAACAAGAGACCAATGTGTCCATTCTTTTTGTAGTACCTATCACGTCCATGTGCTTTAAAGCATTTTCCTTTTTTTTTCTTTTTTTTTTCTTTTGAGACAGTGTCTCACTCTGTCGCTCAGACTAGAGTGCAATGGCGTGATCTCAGCTCACTGCAACCTCCACCTCCCTGGTTCAAGCAATTCTCCTGCCTCAGCCTCTCAAGTAGCTGGGATTACAGGCATGTGCCACCACGCCCAGCTAATTTTTTTTTATTTTTAGCAGAGATGGGGTTTCACCATGTTGGCTAGACTAGTCTCAAACTCCTGACTTCAGGTGATCCGCCAGCCTCAGCCTCCCAAAGTGCTGGGATTACAGGCGTGAGCCACCACGCCCAGCCCGAAAGCATTTTCAATTACACTTGTCTACCAAATATCCATTTAGCAGTAGATTTTTATTCACTCAGCATATATTTATCAAGTTTATTTACTAGGTGCACAGGTAGACACTAGAGAGGCAATGGTGAATGAGATAATCACGATTCCTGCCTTAATAGCCTTTGTAGTTTAATCAGGAATTAAGAGAAACAAACAGACAATTTTAACACAATATAAAAGTGCTGTGATAAAGAAAGTACAGGTGGTATAGGAAAAAAACAATAGGGGCAACTAGTCTAGAACTGACAGCATTGAGGTTGGCCAGGAAAAGTTCATAGTGGAAATAATAGGCAAGCTGAGACCTGAAGGAGAACTTAGTTAGGTGTAAAGCACATCAATTAGTTGTGTTAGTTGGTTTTTGCCTGATCATCATTCGTTCCTCCAAATTCTGGTATCAACACCTTGATTTCCCTTTGGGCAACCCCTCCCCAACTTTCCATCCATGAGTGTTGGCTAAGGCTGGCATCAACCCTACACTCTAGGAGTCGGAACACTCTTCAGATCAGTCAACTATGGTCCTCATGATTGGTTCAGTTATGTGCATGTTACCTAAGCTAGTCCAATAAGACTGATTCCAAGGGCATGTGTTAAAACTATTAGACCAGAGGCCCTCTGATGCATTGAAATGTCTTACCTAATAGAATGTAAAGCTGGAGCTGTGCAAAGATAGGTAGCACATCATATCGGTGTCTGAGGTATAAAGCAGGAAAAGGGGTGGGGGAACATGCATAATGCCTTCATCTGTCTTTTTCTATTAGGAAAGCAAAATGTTTCTCAGAAGCCCCACTGAACATTCTCCTTAGTCTTGCTGCCCAGAACTGGGTCACAAAGTCAACACTACTTGCAAGAGATGCTGAGAAAACAGGAATAGGATTTTCAGAGTTGGCCTAGACCAATCATGGTCTACAGCCTAGTGCTGGGCACAGTGCTGTACTCTCAATAATAATAATAATCAAAAAGAAAAAACTCAGGTTCTATTAGTAAGGAAAAATGGGAAAATGGGTATTGAGAGGAATTGGCTGTGGTAGCCACAGCGTATGAAGATATTAATATTTAAGATTCTTACTCTTGTATGAGTTCTCTAGGGCTGCCATAAGAGAATACCACAGATTGGGTGACTTAACAAGATAAATTTATTTTCTTGCAATTCTGGAACCTACAAGTTCAAGATCAAGATGATGGCAGGCTTGGTTTCTTCTGAGGATGGCTGCCTTCTTGCTATGTGTTCACACAGTCTTTCCTCTGTGGGCATGCTTCCCTGATATCTCTGAGTGTCCAATTTCCTCTCCTTCTAAGGATACCATTCAGATTGGATTAGGGCCCACTCTAAGGCTTCATTTTAACTTAATCACCTCTTTAAAGGCCTATCTCCAAATATAGTCACATTCCGACATACTAGGGGTTAGGATTTCAACATATAAATTTGGTGGGGGGTGGGACACAATTTGGCCCACAAAAATTTATAACATTAGTTTAGTCCAAGGAAGTTCATAAAATGTATTCATTTTAGCAGTAAAACTCTTCCTCTCTTACTACATCTTTAAAAAATTAAGAATTATCATTTTACAAATCACTTTAAATTTATCAAAGGAAAAGATATTGATTGTTGTAGTGATTTGCATTCCTTTGTACCAGCAAATGTAAGTGCTTTTCAGGTGTATTTTTCTCACATTAATTTCATCTTTTATTATACCAGACACCTCTCAGCCTCATCTTGGTTCCAGCCACAGCTCAGGCAGAGGACTCCCTTGGCACTCGATATCTTCTGTGCTCCTGCCTCCAGGTTCTCTCCAACACAGGGGAGCAGAATGTCAGTGAGATTTCACTCTGCAAATAGCTCAGAAGTGCTAGAGAGTTAGTAGCCCTGGACAACTTTCAACCAGTGGGGTGTGGAAGACAAAGAGCAGATTCTTTTCTCCAACAATCCTTGGGTGGCCAGTTCTGAGCATTCCCTGCACTCTTGAGCACATCCCAGAAGGACTGAACCTCAGTTGGTGGGAACTCAGTCACACACCTTTGTATTGACTTTTTCTCCTCTATTTCAATCAGCTCAGTTCCTCACATCTGCCTACCTGGGTTCATCCCCTCATTCCCTGCCCCAGATAAATTTCTTGCACACAAGTCCTATTCCAGCCTCTTCTTTCAGAAGCTACAGCATCTGCAAGCTGGTCTTTGGTTATGCATTTTTGGTTTTGTTGTTCTTCTCAAAAACATTATTTGCCATGAATGTTTTATATATCAAGGATATTAACCTTTTGAGAAAATGTCAACAGAGTTATGAAGGGAGTATATCCCTTGGATTCTATGTCATGCTGAGTTATATTTGAGGTCAAAATTCTTGTACTTGCTTTAATATTTTAGAAATGTAATGTTGAAGAGTATCCATTTTGCAGTTGATCTTAACCAAAAGGCTGAGAAGTGATAGAAGTGTCCATTTTATATTGTTGTTGCTGTCATAGTTTTTAATTTAGAAATCATTTTTATATGTCCATAAAATTCTACCTGATATAAGATGGGCTCCTCTTTAGGGCTATTTGTTTTAGCTTTAGAGCTAGAGCTCCCTTTTGAATTTTCTTGATAATATAAATAAAATCACTTTTTAATATGTCTGTTTCTTTCACTCCAACAGTTTTTGGTGAAGACCAACTCTCATTCTTCCGTGTGGTCCATTTCCTTTGAATTACAGCTTCAGTTTTGTCCAGGTTCTTTGCTTTTACTGATTGTTCCTCCATAAAGAAGGTCTATGCTTTTCCAGAAGTAGCTTCTATTTCAGGAAGGGTAGAGGTGCATTCTGTCAAATCACTGGGTTTTTGCCTAAACCTTTTTTATAGGGGCTTTCAGGTTAAAATAAGTTCTGAGATTTTGAAGACATCATCTGATGTGACTATCAGTCAAGTCTTGAGGTGGAAGTGCTAAGCCATTTTATACCTGATTTTAACTGAGCTGGCCAAGAAGAGTGAGCTAAGATGAGGAATAGTCATACATAAGGGGAGAAGAAGGGGAAATAGGAGAGCGAGGCTTGGAGAATTTCTCAGCTGACCAGTACCCAGCTATAGAGACACTGGATATGATTCCCATGGCAGAGGAAAGGTATATGGTCTGAGGCTTAAGAACTGGAGGTAGGACTGGATGCAGAGGCAATGATGAGCACTTTAGATGAATTTATTACCCCTACTTGTAAAGTCAAGGGAAGAATAAGCTTATTTTACCCTTTCCAATTATCTTTGTTTAAAACTTTGTCTAGTTAATTTCATTTGAGGATAATTAGCAAACATCTGGTGTTCTACAGCTATTTCCCTCCCCACGGTATAGATTCTTCTCACTTGGGTGAGCATCAGTAGCATTCCCTCTCCTTTCTGAGGAGGATTTCAGTAAGTAGGAAATCACAGTCGAACTCAGTGCTGTTTCTTACATGGGGTGATGTATTTTGCTCATCTACAGCTACAGTAGTAAAGTGGTCCGTTCATTTTTGCATTTTAGCTGCCACTGATCATGATAGTCAAGACTGTGACTCTGCAGATGTGTTAAATAATTTTAAGAACATAACAAGAAAGTAATCAGTCTTTTATTCAATTTGTCATTTAATTTTCCTAATTATAACTGTCCTCCTGATAAATACCTTGAAGTTAGTGTTTTGAGCTGAGGCAGGAGATACTGAATTATAGATCCCAGAGTTACCTGAAAAAGAGTATCTAAAATCAATATGAAAACTCATACAAAAAGTCCAACTGAAGAACTGATTTGAAGAATCTAAGCAAAGAGGCAGCTTTGAGGCAAGAAGTAAGAAGAAATATGAATGAGATAATTTAGAATACCTGGTAGAGACTCTACCTCGAGAGGTTCTAAGGGGCCCAGAACTGTAGTTTCAAATCCTAGTTGCAGAGTATTCAGGGCCTTATAAATGAGAGGATCCGGAAATATTAACAGTACTGTATTAGTCCATTCTTACACTGCTATAAAGAATAGAAACTGCGGATGTTGGGGAGCCACCGCCGCCACTGCTTTGTTGTCACCTCCTCTGGCTGAGGAGGCTCCCCGAGCGGGGGGAGTGGGGAGGAGGGGGGGTCGGCCGTCGCAGCCATGGAGGCCAACTGGACCTCGTTCCTGTTCCAGAGAACATTTTTTGAAAACCCAGTTCCCCCTTGGAAGGCTTCATGTAGAAGTGTGGGGATCCTAGGAATCCTCAGAGAGCGATTCCTGCAGTGGTTCTACAGCATTTCACCCAAGAATCAGGGACCTGGTGTGACCCTTGTGTGAGAGTGAGCTTCAGCAATGCTGTAAAAATACTTTATGTTGCCACAAACATCTGAATTGGTAAAATGGCAGCCCAGGTAGCTTCCCATCACCAACAGCAGGCAGCACAGAACAGCTTGCTGCTCCTCCTGAGCTCTGCCGTGGAGCCCCCTGATCAGAAACCATTGCTTCCAATACCGATAACTCAGAAACCTCAGGGTTCACCAGAAACATTAAAGGATGCCATTGGGATTAAAAAATAAAAACCCAAAACTTCGTTTGTGTGCACTTACTGCAGTAAAGCTTTCAGGGACAGCTATCACCTGAGGCGCCATGAATCCTGCCACACAGGGATCAAGGTGGTGTCCCAGCCAAAGAAAACCCCCACCACGGTGTTTCCCCTTATCTCTACCATGGCTGGGGACAGCAGCCGAACTTCGTTGGTCTCGACCATTGCAGGCATCTTGTCAACAGTCACTACATCTTCCTCGGGCACCAACCCCAGTAGCAGTGCCAGCACCACAGCTCTGCCGGTGACTCAATCTGTCAAGAAACCCAGCAAGCCTGTCAAGAAGAACCAGGCTTGTGAAATGTGTGGGAAGGCCTTCCGAGATGTGTACCATCTCAGTCGGCACAAGCTCTCCCATTCAGATGAGAAGCCCTTCGAGTGTCCTATTTGTAATCAGCGCTTCAAGAGGAAGGACCGGATGACTTACCGTGTGAGGTCTCATGAAGGAGGAATCACCAAACCCTATACTTGCAGTGTTTGTGGGAAAGGCTTCTCAAGACCTGACCCCTTAAGCTGTCATGTAAAACATGTCCATTCAACAGAAAGACCCTTCAAATGCCAAACGTGCACTGCTGCCTTTGCCGCCAAAGACAGACTGCGGACACACATGGTGCGCCACGAAGACAAGGTATCATGTAACATCTGTGGGAAGCTCCTGAGTGCAGCATACATCACCAGCCACTTAAAGACTCATGGGCAGAGCCAAAGTATCAACTGCAATACATGTAAACAAGGCATCAGTAAAACAAGCATGAGTGAAGAGACCAGTAACCAAAAGCAGCAGCAGCAGCAACAACAGCAACAACAACATGTGACAAGCTGGCCAGGGAAGCAGGTAGCAACACTGAGACTGTGGGAAGAAGCTGTTAAAGCAAGGAAGAAAGAAGCTGCTAACCTGTGCCAAACCTCCACGGCTGCTACAACACCTGTGACTCTCACTACGCCATTCAATATAACATCCTCTGTGTCGTCTGGGGCTATGTCAAACCCAGTCACACTGGCAGCTGCAATGAGCATGAGAAGTTCAGTAAATGTTTCAAGGGCAGTTAACATAACCAGTCCAATGAACATAGGGCATCCTGTAACTATAACCAGTCCACTATCCATGACCTCTCCTTTAACACTCACTACCCAGATCAACCTCCCCACCCCGTCACTGCCCCAGAGAATATAGCACACCCTGTCACCATCACATCTCCAATGAATCTGCCCATGCCTATGACATTAGCCGCCCCTCTCAATATAGCAGTGAGACATGTAGAGAGCATGTCTTCCTTGTCCCAAGCTTTGCCTACATCACCGCCTTGGTAAACAGTATTATAAAATCAAAATATAGGTTAAAGTAAATATTTACCAGCAACTTAACTTTTAGTTGATTAAAGCAAAAAGTAAACCATGAAATTGGGAGATTTTATTACATTAGTTAATAAGAGTGTGGTAGCATTTTTCTCCAATTTGGCTGGGATTATTCAAAGTAGGGTGTGTATGTAACTTATCACTGGACCACTTTAGTTTAATCAGAAATTCCTTTTAGCTGACAACATTGCTTAAACAGGATAGTAGTTGGCAAGATGAAATGCCAGAATTAAAACCAATCATAAATAAGTAGAACCCACTTCAAAATAAAAAAAAAAACAGCATTACTATTTCTAATTCAAAGGAATCACTTTATTGTAAACACTAGCAGAACTCTTCTCCCTATACAAGGTGGATGGCTGATTTTAACCTGAAATTCTAAATCCACAGATTGAGAGCTAGTGTAGAATTGTCTGTGTTTATTGTTTTTATGAGTAAATACATGCATTGTCATAATAAAATGCATTTCAGAGAATATGCATTTTACCCTTGGGAATATGTTAATTTCAGGCAGCATTCCCTGTGGGAAAAGTGATACCAGCTCTGATATGCAAAACATATAATTTATCATTCTAACTTCAACATATAATAGGGATTGTGACCTGATATTTGGAGATGTAAATATTGCTCAGCATATTAATCCCAATGGAATATAGCATTGTAGTTGACTTTTTAAAAAAAAAAAATTGTTTTTAAATCTGCAAATTGTGTTTTGCTAAGAAAAGCCTCAGCTGACAGAGGAGAAGTCAAGTGTGTGGACAGGCAGGCTCCTAACAAACAGAGGCCAGTGGGACTCCTGTTTAGGAGCCAAGGAGTACTTTGGAACAGTTCAAATATATTGCTTTAAATTGGAAGACTCTGGAGGCACTGGGATGTGATATGCCCCTCTGTCTCCCAATCAGAGCCTGTTGATGTTACAACAGAGACAGATGTGTTAGTTGCTCACTAGAGTTTATGTCTTATATTAAATTGTATAGTTTTTATTCTAACCACTAACTAGGTAGTATATGCCCCTTCAGAACATGCAGAGTGTATCTTTTTTAAAATTTCTCCTTCTGTTTCTTAAGTATTGCGCAGATTTGTTCAACTTTGTAAATATGGACATCACTTTTTTTCTTTTTTTGAGAAAACATTTGTATCAGCTTTGTGGTGTTTTCAGGGAGACAGCTGTCTGCACTCCCTGTAGAAACCCAGCAATGATTGTGCACGTTGAGACATGTGCTTTTTATTTCTTAGCAGGGTATTTTATCTCTGTACATAAAGTAGAAACCAAAAGCTAGGGAAACAGATACTCTTTATACCATCATGCCACACATTGTTTTTAAAGCATTGTGTTAAAAAAAAAAAAGTTAACTAAAACCAAGACGCTGTGATTTTTTTTAAGTTGCAATATGTTTTTGGTTTTTTTCATTTTTTAATCATTGCAGTTAAGAGAAATGGAAATTAGTTGTGTTAATCTTGCAGAATGTTTGCAGGACTGACTATCAAACTGGATGATTTCCGTTTATACCCTACTGTGTCAGTTCAAGCATCAAAATACCTTGCATCTGAGACAGACTTCCTACCTCAGGGACAGGTATCTGTGTGTCGTTACACAAAACAGTTCTAGGGGGTTGAACTACATAGCAAAAAAATAAAATAAATAGTACTTAGTGTAAAATAATTTTATAAATGATCTTTTGTACTTTAGGACATTAAATTATACAACTTTTGTATATATAAAAGCTTAGGAACTTTCTGTTTAGCAGGAAGGCAACACATTCCTACACTTTTAATGTATATGTTTGTTATAATGTCCATGTAAACATGCCCTATGTTTGTGCCTTTTAATTAGTTTGTCTCAATAAACAAAATGTAGAGAAAAAAAAGAATAGAAACTGGGTAATTATAAAGGAAAGAGGTTTATTTAACTCCCAGTTATGCAGGCTTAGCATGAAGCATGGCTAGGAGGCCTCAGGAAACTTACAATCATGGTGAAAGGTGAAAAGGAAGCAGATACCTTCTTCACAAGGTGGCAGGAGGGAGTGAGTGCCAGCAGGAGAAATGCCAGACACTTATAAAACCATCAGATCTCATGAGACTCACTATCATGAGAGAAGTATGGGGGAAACTGCCCTCATGATCCAATCACCTCCCTCCCTTGACACGTGCAGATTATAAGTCCCTCCCTCAACACGTGGGGATTACAATTCGAGATGAGATTCGGGTGGGGACACAGAGCCAAACCACATTAAGCACCAATTCCATTCAGACATTTCCCTCACTTCATAATTCCTTCCTTTCCTCTTTACAAAAGTTTTCAGCATGAAACATAATTCAAAGTACAATAAATTGTATGCATATCTACATTGATCCATGTATATATAAAGAAGAGAACAGAACTATTAGATATTATTGTTACCTGAAATGAACTACTTAATAAATTTAATTGAACAAAAAGTTTGTTTTAATTTGTGGGTAACAAAAACAAAAAGGATGATATAACCATTGTTGTTTGGACAGGATGTGAATTTGTCTGTTGTGACTTTTCCGTTGTGATTATATTGAAAAAAACATTGTGGGAATCTTATGTGAACCGTTTAGCAACATAATGAAAAATGTCATTCTTTTTAATCTGAAGTATTCTATCAATTCCTGAAATCTCCCAAATCATCATCTCATTATACATCACCTGTTGGTAATAGGACTCACGAGTGGCTTAGAATGAGATTTTACCTTTGTTTCTGCAAAGTACCACAGGGTATTATAAGCTTACACTACCTTTTTATCTAATTTCTTGGCTCAGAAGTGTCCAGAATACAGAGGTAATATAAATTTGAGCCAGAGAAGATCCAAGTCCCTGGTTACTAATGTTTAGGACAGGATTATTTCCACCCACAACCAAGCCTGAAACAGACACAGCTTTCTTGTAATTGAGCTGGGGAGAGTATTCCAGTTCACATTTTGACTAAGGAAACAGTAATGTCAGGCAGTGGTTGAAATTTTGGGGTCTAGCAGGGAGCAATTGTCATTCTGGAGTTCTCTACATTCACAGTATTAAGATTTCTCTGCCCTCAACAGCAGAAGTAGGATACAGAAGCAAGGTCCAGAACTCAGATGCATTACCTAATTTTAGCCTTGGGGTAGATACCACCAAAAAAAACCCTGAAAACTTTAATTTGTTGCACCTTTCAACTGTTTGTTTCAACTCAACATTCACTCTACTGACTCATCTGCTTCTGATTATCTTGACTTCTGGTAGCTTGAATAATTTCTTGCACCTGGTTTTGCTTCAGGCCTCAATCCTGATACTTGTTTCTGCTGCTGTTACTCACAGTTCTGGATTATTTTCTTGATTGCAATTTACATTTGCCAATTTAGCTAAACACAACACCCAGTTCAACATAGTCCCAAAGACCCTACACACAGGTACAGGCCCTTAGGTTTATCATTCCTATCTAATTCACATGCAGAATCAGGGAAGGGAATTAGTCCATGCCTGGCAGGGTGGGTGTCTTAGTCTGTTCCTGCTGCTATAACAAAATACCTTAGACTGGGTAACTTGTAAATAATAGAAATTTATTTCTCACAGTTCTAGATGCTGGGAAGTCCAAGATCAAGGCATAAGCAGCTTCGGTGTCTGATAAGTTCTGACTCTCTGCTTCCAAGATGATTCCTTATTGATGCATCCTCCAGAGGGAACAAATACTGTGTGTCCTCGTATGGCAGAAGGGATGGAAGAGCAAAAGGCACTAGGGTGCTCCCTCTTCTAAGGTCCCATCTCTTAATACCTTAGGGTTTAAATTCTAACACATGAATTTTGGAGGGACACATTCATTCAAACCGTAAAAGTGGGGCTCCAGTCTTACAGGAAAACTTAAGGAAGGTTTTCAGAAACTTAAATGACTAAAACTTTAGCTCTGTTTTTTCTTTTCTAGCCAAAATTAAAACATTTTATTGACATATATTAAAGAAAACAAACTATAATCTTGATATAGAAGACTAATCATAAAGATGTAATTATCTCAAAATTGGTTTATATTTTAATATAATCTCTACAAAAGTTCTTATAGGAATTTTTATAGAACTTGACAGTCTAATTATATATTTGTCAGAGAATAGCAAATGAACAATAGCCAATATAATAGTAAAGAAGAACATGGTACAGGAAAGTGCCCTAACCAATATCAAGATTTATTATAAAGTTTATACATAAAAAACATGATATTAATGCAAAGTTAGAAAAACAGATTCTTGGAACAGAATAGAGACCTCCTAAAATAATAAGGATGCTCAAAAATTTGATTTGTGAGAGTCTGCATATTGAAGATCAGTGGCTAAGGGATAAGATACTCTATAATTAACCTCAAGAAACTCAATTATCAGTATAGAACACAATCAATTCCATATAAAAACCTAAATGAGAAAGATAACTTCATAAAAATAATTTTCATATAGTTAAGAATTTTTTTAAATAAGGCTTTAAAAATCATAAAAGCTTGATGAAACTGTAGTAAATTTTAATTTTCAATGAAACGAAAAGACAACATAAGTTTTAAAGAGCAAACTACAACTTTGTTGAAGATGTTTGCCATACTTAAGATGTAAAATTTATTCCAAAAACATTTAACATTTAGTTCTTGAAAGAAGCCTGGACCTGTGGATGGAATCAATGCTGAAGAGCCATAGAAAAAGGGAAAAGGAGTTGAAGTTGGAGGGTGCAAGGGTGCCCCTGGATTGTTCCTGGGAATAGCAGGTTCTGCCATAAAAGAGACAGAGAAAAGCAGGGGCACACTAGTCATATCTGGCTTTCTACATACTAGGCTTGTGAAACGAACAATTCCAAGTTTCATCAAAAGCAAGTTAGACCATATGATTCAGCAGTTCCATTTCTGGGTATATATCCAAAAGAAATAAAGACGAGGGTTGATCATCTCTTTGTACATCCATGTTCATAGCAGCATTCTTCACAATTGACAACAGGCAGAAGCAACCCAAGTGTCCATTAATAGAAGAAAGGATAAAAAATATGTGGTATATGCATACGATGGAATATTATTCAGACTTAAGGAAGGAAATTCTAACACATGGTACAACATGGATGAACCTTGAAGACATTATGCTGACATGCCAATCACAAAAAAAATTAATGTATGATTCCACTTATATGAGCTACCTAGAGTAGTCATATTCAGAGACAGAAATCTGTACCCGTTATGCAATATCTCCCTGTTCTTCTCTCCCCACAGCCAGGAGGGATATTGTGCAATGGGTAGAGAGTTTTGTTTGGTGAAGATGAAAAAGTTCTGGAGATGGATAGTGGTGATGGTTGTACAACAATGTAATTGTACTTAGTACTACTGAGCTATACACTTAAAAGTTTTTATTAAGCACTGTTATATGCCAGGTGCATTTTTTTAATTTTTTAAATTATACTTTAAGTTCTAGGGTACATGTGCACAACGAGCAGGTTTGTTATGTATGTATACATGTGCTGTGTTGGTTTGCTGCACCCATTAACTCATCATTTACATTAGGTATTTCTCCTAATGCTATCCCTCCCCCCTCCCCCCTCCCCCAACCCCAGGACAGGCCCCAGTATGTGATGTTCCCCACCTTGTGGCCAAGTGTTCTCATTTTTCAATTCCCACCTATGGAACTCTGATATTTTTAAATGTCTGCTAACATTCAGGATTAGGTAGCATTCTCCAGAGAAACAGAACCAGTAGGATATATACAGATATAATATATAAGAAGGTATTTATTGTGGGAATTAGTCCACATGATTTTAGAAGCCAAAAAGCCCCATAATATGCCATCAGCAAACTGAAGAGCCAGGAAAGCTGCTGTGGTGTTGTTCAGCTGGAGACCAGAGGCCTGGGGCTGCGGGGAGGCAGTGTTGATGGTATGAGTTTCAGAGTCTAAAAGCCCAAGAACCTGGAGCTCTGGGCAGGAGAAGATGGATACTCTGGCTCCAAAAAAGAGAGCAATTTTGCCCTTTCTCTGCTGTTCTGTTCTATCTGGGCCCTTAATGGATTGCCTGCCCGTATTGGTGAGGCTGGTCTTTTTTACTTAGCCTACTGATTCATAACCTAATCTCTTCCAGAAACACCCTGATAGATATACTCAGAAACAATGTTTGCCAGCTATCTGGGTATTGCTTAACCCAGTCAAGTTGACACATAAAATTTTCCATCACACATGCTTCACACATACACACATTACATGTGCACTGCTCTGTGCATGCTTGTGTAATCCTATAATCAATTTAGCCTTCTGAATTTGCACTCAGTGAGCTCTTGGCTCAGTTACCCTAGTCCTTGGGGATCCCCTACTGAATGCCCTCAGGTATGATGAATGAGCAAGTGGGCCAGTCAACGGTAGAAGCAGTGTGAAAAGCATTCAAGAGTGGACACCGCTTATGGAAGTTCACAGGGATTTGGCTTCAGAAGGCTTCTTCAGCTCATGGTCAGTGGTTCCAAATGGACAATTACCAACATATGACTTTAATCTTGGAATTTAGCCAATATCTGCTCCTCAGCTTTGGCTGCAGCCTCAGCCTTTGAAAGCTCAAATAGCAAAATGCCTAAGTGCAATATCATTCCTGGCATTCCTGAAATCACGGGTGATCAATGATCATAACATTGCATGTTACTCTCATATCTAAATAATGTATCAATATCAGCAATAAAAACAGATCATGTCATCTGGATGTGTTGTCGTCTGGATGTGTTGTGATTGCATAATATTCACTTTCAAATGTGGATCACCATTTTAGATATAGGTAGGATTAAAATCTCCTTGTATGCATTAGTTTTTGAGATTCTGTCAGTTGAATTCAGAGTAAAACGCTGCAATAATTAATGTTGTGAAACCAGTTAATTTTATACATAAAAATTAGATTTTTTCAAACAGTTAACTAGAGAGAGAAATATTTGGTTTTGGGGATTGCCTCAGTGAAATTGCACCATCATCATTGACTAAATTATCAAGACCAGGAGTTGAAGAGGAAGTAAGTTTTCACCTCAGTTTTATCACCCTAAGAAAATACAGAAAGCTTAACATCCTGATTGCAGCTCCATCTTGAACAGTTACCTGTATTGGCAGTGTTAGCCAAAAAGATCTTATTTCTCCAGTGACCTCAGTTGAAGGTAAATATCTGTTCCCATCCCCAGTGTGCAGTTGAATTAATAAATGTGCAGCTAATAGTACTGAGAAATTATTGTTCCTTTACTAGGTCAAACTTTCAAATTTTGACTCCTGAAAATTTTAACAACTAACATTTTTATAATATTTCGGATTTTTTCTATCCAGATATTCATTCTATGATGGTTAGAGTGACCAACTATTTTCATTTGCCTGGGACTGAGGGGGTTCCCAGGTATGGAATTTATCTGCTAAAATCAGAAAAGTCCTGGGCAAACAGGAAGGAGTTGGTCACCCTAGTGATGGTGTTCTATTTAGCACTGGATTGGGCTTAATATTTGCTTGAACATTTAGCCAAAAATCTATATTTCATGTACTTCTGCCACTAAAATCTTGCAGTGCTAGATAGAGTTATTATTTAATACAATGCCGACCACTTCTCTGGCATAGCTCAGGGTGACCAGGTCTGGAGAGAAAGTAGAGAGTTATTGTTTGTTTGTTTATTTGTTTTTTTAAGATAGAGTCTCTCGCTCTGTTGCCCAGGCTGGAGTACAGTGGCATGATCTTGGCTCACTGCAACATCTGCCTCCCGGCTTCAAGAGATTCTCCTGCCTCAGCCTCCTGAGTAGCTGGGATTACAGGCATCCACCACCACGCCCAGCTAATTTTTTTTTTTAGTAGAGATGGGGTTTCACCATGTTGGCCAGCCTGGTGTCAAACTCCTGACCTCTGGTAATCCACCCACCAAGGCCTCCCAAAGTGCTGGGATTACAGGCGTGAGCCACCGTGCCTGGCCAAGAAAGTAGAGAGTTATTTAGTGACCTATCGGACTTTTTATGGAGTACCAAACTTCCAGCACCTCATGAACTGACCCAAAATTCAGGGCCCTGAGAATGAGCCCTGGCACCCACTTACTTAATTTCAACACTTTCTACTCTCCTTGTTATTCCTAATGTTGGCTTTACACAGGGAAAGGAATCTGCTTCAACTTTTACCTATTAGCCTGTCTGCTATTCCAGTTTTCACTTGTTAAGCCCTATTCTTTGTCTGAGTCCTTTAAATAAATGTTTTTGTAAGTTGAAGACAAATCAGTGTAGTGCTTTGGAGTTTTTTTAACATAGTCTAGCTTAATGAGCCAGGTCCACTACTTTGCTTTCTCAGTGTGCTAGAACACAGCGAAACAGAGATCACCAGCTGTGTTACTGTGCCTATAACTGCTTCTTACTTACATAAAAGATTATTTGGTTGAAATGCAACCTTCAATTTGTAGAGAAAGAAGATGATTAGTTTGTATATTGGGCATTTAAGATTTCCCTTTCTAAAAGGGAGTAGAATGATGATGATGGTGATGATGATAAATGCCAATATTTATTATGGTAATGTTCTCAGTTCTTTACAGGTATTGATCTACTGAATCCCCACGGCGTCTTTGTCAGTTGGGTACTGTTATTGTTAAGCTGTTAGACTGCAACCAGTGCTGTTATTGGTTAGGAAACTGAGACCACAGTCACATAGCTAGAAATTGGTAGAGTCATAATTTGAATCCACGTTTGCAATCTCTGCTACACTTCTATTTCTCACGGTAGACATAATGTAGTATTTAATGTTTCCATAGTGTAATTTTGTAGCTATAGTGTGAAAAAAAATATTTTTCTAACTCTAACTTTAGTTTAAACTTTATTTTTTATTTATTTAGAAACTAATTTAATTTTACTCGAGTCATTTCACACAAAAATTACACATGATCATGGAATAATCTTGAAGAGTTGTATGAGATTCAGCTTCTAGCTACTTATGATTTGAATCAATGTCAGTATTCTCTTGGTGGTAAAGAAACATATAACTCCTCCTACACAGAGGGCTGGTTCGGAGTAAAGGAAAGGGGTGGGGAGGTATGGAAGTAGAAGCCAAAGAATCTTAGGGCTGTTTGCTTAGAATATTGTTTTGTCTACGAGAATGAAAAAAAATTATGATTATATTTTTAAAAGATTGTGCAGCCCTATTATAATGAAGAGGAACTTGCCATCTAATATTTGTCACAGATCAGCCTTGTAAGTAGGAATTTCAAAATCATCTACCCATTATTGTAGACCCAAAGATACTTAGCACAATAAAAAAGACACAATAATCTCTTAGGACTCTTCTGTTTTAGAATTTTATGGTTATGAATTAGACTGTTTCACTGCTTGCCTACATGTTCTCTACTGCCCAGATCTGCAAAGACAGGCAAGTATCCAAGAGGCTGTTTTCAAGGTTGGTTGAGGTGATGTCTAATCTATAAAATGCTATTAATGGTCACAAATGGATCAAAATCACTTACCATCATGAAAAGTAATGGTAATGTCTCTGGCTGGATTAGAACTTGCTTGAGATATACAAAGCATTCTCATGGACTCAATCAAGTGTCAAAACAACCCAGAGAATTAGAAGTTACCATCTCCAGTTCATAAGCAAAGGGAGAGATAGAAATGCTAAAGGTCTCTTCTGGAGACACACAGTATTGCATAGTATTTTCCTTTTTTCTTTTTTTTTTTTTTAGACAGCATCTCACTGTGTCACCCAGGCTGGAGTGCAGTGGCATGATCTTGGCTCACTGCAACTTCCATCTCCCGGGTTCAAGTGATTCTCCTGTTTCAGCCATCCAAGTAGCTGGGACTACAGGTGCACACCATCACGCCCAGCTAATTTCTGTATTTTTAGTAGAGAAAGGGTTTTGCCATGTTGGCCATGGCTGGTCTTGAACTCCTGACCTCAGGGGATCCACCTGTCTCAGCCTCCCAAAGTGCTGGGATTACAAGCATGAGCCACTGCACACAGCCGAGTCACGCAGTATTTTGAGTGCAAGACTAGCATACTTGCACTATATGTAATACCTATAATTAGACATGCACAGTGAGAAAGAGAACAGATTCCTTCAGATTTGTGACATTGGTAGAGGGCTTCAAAAGAAATAAACAATAATCCAGCATAAAGCTTATTTCAAAAGTGAAAAAACAGAATTGAAAGAAATCTGTACTAAATTTCTGTTGCTAATACTTTATCCTCCATAAGGACATGAAGAGAAATCTTAAGCCCTTAGAAATCTGTATGAAATCAGATATGTTTTTATTCTCTTTCTCTTTTTCTTTCTCTCTCTCCCTCTTTTTTTATTTCATTTTTGGTGATCATATATATACACACAGAGGGAGAAAGAATGTATATATGTGTGTATATATACACACACAAATTATATATATCATATAGGTAAAAATATTTATATGTAAAGTTTTAACTTAATTTTAACATATGCAGAACAATTACAGAATTGTATAAAAAAATGCTGCTCATGTTCAAGTCCACTGAAAATTGAGGTGCCTTGGGCATGGAGTGCACTTTACAGAAATACTAATGCTAATGGGATTGATTCAATGAAAGCCATGCACTGTGAAGTTATACCCATACTTTTTTTAATTTCATTTGCTAAAAATGTTTTATAAAAAGCTATTTTTCAATATGCCTTGATAACTATTACCAGGAATGCCTCATGTTGACTGCCTTCCTCTACATAAACTATACATTAAAACTGAGAATTAACAAAACAAATATTTGTTGTCATGTCTACATTTAAGGGGCAATGGTCTACAATTTGGTGGCAAGAGGAAGACAGATACAGAAATAACATCACTGTGGAAATGGAAATTCTCCAACCTAACTCACTTTTTTCCTTTTATTCTGTTACCAGGCTCGAGTGGCTTGTTGATGCTGCCTGAAGTTGGGGTTCTGGCTGTACCAGTTATTTACCCTTTGATTAAAAAAATACTTTAATTCTGATTGAAAATCACCAGAAATGAAATAAAAAGACAAAACAGAATTCCACTTGTTTTATTTTGCTTTATATGTGCTTCTCATTTTATTTGCTTGTTGTTTTTTTAATTAGCCAAATTTATTTTAGTCTATATGTGAACCAAATATTTAGTTTCTAGGAAAAATATGAGGTTACATTAACATTAGACACCACATGATCACATTGCTTACCACGAAAAGCAACCTAAGAGATTCTGGAATATGTTATGGAGTGAAAAATAAACCGATTAACTATATGTCTGGGATAGATTTTCATTGGCTGGACATAGAATTGTAAATTTTCCAATAGTTCATATGATTGGCACTAAGCGGTAAAACAGAAGTTTTCATTTTTTGTGAGTCATATATTCTGTAGTTGAGAGAAATGTATTTTTTGATTACTCATAACTATGAAAGACCTGTTGAAGAAATTAGGGCAACATTTTCAAACTCATAAAAATCCATTGCAATCACATGACCATGATATGTAAATCTTAACCTGAAAACAGATGCTCAGTTTTTCATCTTGTCACAAAAAGATGCTTTCCTTTCTGGAGAAGATAGACATTCATGAGTCATGCCTCAATCATACCCATTGAAAGAGAGACTATAAAGATGGCATATTGAAAAAATAAGTACAGCATAATTTGCCATACTATACGCTATATTTCCAGCCTTGGTGGTCCACAGACACTCAGGAACTTACTCATCTTGGCAGACTTCACAAAACCTAGCACAATGGTTTGCACATTGCAAGTGCTTGATAAATGTCCTGTGTGTTGAGTCTATAAACCAGTAACATCCATCCTGAGAGCATTCGTACTGCTCCCTAGACAGAACTAGTTGGAGTAACTTCTTGTCAAAGACATTTCTGCATACAGAGTTGCTTCTATACTGTTACCCTTGAAAGTATAAGGAGTTGGAGTTTGTTGTCATATTTGAAATAATCTATAGTTAGGATGACAATGACAAAGAGGCTGCAGCCCAAGATGCTTGAATGACCATGAGTCACCTTAATATAAGGACATTGTATTAATCAGAATTCTCCAGAGAAATAGAACCAACAGGAGATTATATCCATCTAGGTAGATCGGTCAGTCAGTAGTTAGGTAGGTAGGTAGGTAGATAGATATAATGATCTATTATAAGGAATTAGCTCACATGATTATGAAGGCTGAGAAGTCCCAAGATTTTCAGTTGGCAAGCTGGAGACCCAAGAGAGCTCATGGTATAAGCTTCTCAAGCTTGGGATTTCTCAGCCATTTTGAAAGCCTCTAGGTTCAAGACCCGAGAAGAGCTGATGTTTCAGTTCAAGTCCAAAGGCAGAAAAAGACCAAGGTCCCAGCTCAAGCAATCAGGCAGAAGGAATTCCCTCTTACTTACAAAGAGTCAGACTTTTTGTTCTATTCAGGCCCTCAACTGATTGGTTGGGGCCCACTCACATTAGATAGGGTAATCTACTTTGATCAAATGTTAATCTTGTCCAGAAACACTGTCACATACACACCCAGAGTAATGTTTGACTCAATATCCTGGCATTCCATGGTCCAGTCAAGTTGACACATAAAATCAACCATCCTAGGCTTGAAGGCTTTATGGGGCAAACTTTGATGACTTATGAAAAACAGGGCATGGGAAGGAGCTAAAAAATTATTTACTCTTCCTCCTCTGGAACGGGGATTTCTGAGGTTAAATGGTTCCAGTCTTCCACTCTGGAGGCTGCTATGTGGCCCAATGGTTGGCTAGGTTTCTTGTCAGCCACTCAGTAATGCACCACCACTTATAATTACTTCCTTTCCTTTTTCCATTACTCCTTTCATCCTTAGAAAAAAAATCATTTTACTTATAGGTTGTGAACTTGACAAGCTTATATCTAACTTTCAACATGGTCTTTATCTATATATTTTCTTTATGCATGTGTGTGTGTTTGTGTGTGTGTGTGCACCTGTAATTGCTTGGAACTGTGAAGGATAGAAAGGCAGCTAGGAGAAGCACTTTCTTCAAGGTAACTTACATTATCATTGAGGAGACAAGACACATGCAACTGAAAAAATAACTAATACAAGGTAGCATGTTCTGTGTTAGGTAAATGTCATAGATCACGCTTTTGTTTTAGAGTACATTTTAGTTCACAAATAATCTTAAACATGTAATAAATATCTTTTCTCATGTTATGAACTATAATGAATACCTGATCCATCTGACCAACGTTTTCTTGTTGGAAAATAGCTTTCTTACTCATCTTATTTATAAATACAACCCAAGCACGGTTCAAAATATTCAAAGACCTTAAAAAAAAAAAGCACTGGAAATTTCACAACTCAGAGTTAGTAACTATAAAAATTTTTGCTGAGGTCAAGAGTTCGAGACCAGCCGGGCCGACATGGTGAAACCCCATCTCTATTAAACCATACAAAGAATTAGCCAGGTGTGGTGGTGTGTGCCTGTAATCCCGGCTACTTGGAAGGCTGAGGCAGGAGAATCGCCTGAACCCAGGAGGCGGAGGTTGCAGTGAGCCAAGATCGCTCCACTTCACTCCAGCCTGGGCAACAGAACGAGACTGTCAAAAACAAAAAAATTGGTACAACTTTGTATATTTTTCTATATAAATTTCAAGATCTGCTCTTTCCTGACCTGTGTTTACATTATATTGCACTCAAAATAGATGGAACAATTGCAATATATATTGAATACATATTCTTGTGCTTAATTTTTTTAACATTCAGAGTTTGGATTTCTTTTAGATTCAGGGGGTACATACGTACTTTTATTACATAGATATATTGTGTAACGGCAAGGTTTGGGTTCCTAACGTACCCATCACCCAAATAGTGAACATTGTACCCAGTAGGTATTTTTTTCAACCCTCATCTTCCCCACTTTTGGAGTCCCCGGTGTCTATCATTTCCTTCTTCCATATGTACCCATTGTTTAGCTCCCACTTGTAAGTGAGAACATGTGGTATTTAATTTCTGTTTCTGAAATTTTCCATGTAGGAAAATGACCTCCAGCTTTATCCATAACATTCATAGTTTTCAAAGTCAATAGTAGTACTAGGCTTATAAAGAAAACCATAGGTTTTTTTTTTTTTTTTTTTTTTTTGAGACGGAGCCTCGCTCTGTCGCCCAGGCTGGAGTGCAGTGGCGGGATCTCGGCTCACTGCGAGCTCCGCCTCCCGGGTTCACGCCATTCTCCTGCCTCAGCCTCCCGAGTAGCTGGGACTACAGGCGCCCGCCACCGCGCCCGGCTAATTTTTTTGCATTTTTAGTAGAGACAGGGTGTCACCGTGTTAGCCAGGATGGTCTCGATCTCCTGACCTCGTGATCCGCCCATCTTGGCCTCCCAAAGTGCCGGGATTACAGGCGTGAGCCACCGTGCCCGGCCCATAAATTTCTTTAATACCTCTTCACACACTGATTCTTACTCTCTGGAAGGAACTTTTTTTTTTTAATTTAGATATTTCTTTAGGCACTAATCTCCATTCTTCTGAATCACGTTACATATTATAATATATAATTATATTGTTGTTTCTAGATTTTTCTGTTTTAACTATTATGTATTGATTTCCTACAAGATGAGAATTTTATTCTTTATGTCCTCCTCTGTCTGTCTCTGTCTCTCTCTCTCTCTCCCAATCTCATTCTCTATCTCTCTTCAGCTTCTCAGTAAAGTTACATGGCCCTTTTTGGTTGTCAATGTGTTATTCTATGTTCCCCAGAAAACAGTGCTTAAACAAAGTTTACATGCTAAGGCTTGATTGGGTGCATTCCAAGACACAAGAGTAGGAGGTATGGGAAAAAAGAAGAAAGCAAATACAAGTGGTGATGCATTACTGAGCAGCTGTAGCCTAACAGGAAACCTAGCCAACACTTGGCCACATAAGAAGCTTCCAGAATGAGAGACTGGAACCGCTTAACCACAGAAATGCCCTGTTCTAGAGGAAGAAGAGTAAAGACTTTGTTAGCTCCTTCCCATAAGTCATCAAAGTTTGCCCCGTAAAATCTTAACTACTCCACACTTGCAAGTTGTGTGACCCAGCCCTCCAACCAGTCACAGGAGAGGGGGACTCTGTGGACCTAAACCTGGAGTTCAAGGGCTCCTGTGGGGGCTGTGATGCATACACACAGATGCCCTGCTCCCACCCCGGGAGGGGCTGAGATGAGGCAACAACCTAGTGGCTAGTATTCTCCACTGAGCAAGGGCAAAAGCATGGAGTGGGCAGTGAAGAGCAGGTGAGGCCAAGCAAATCTGGGTCATGCAAACTGGGTCCAGTACAATCAATATTGATGTTGATATTTTTAAGACTAAGTAGATATTCATAGTAGAGTCATATATTGTCCTAGATTACACTTTCTTTTATAATTTTATTTTTCTTCTTTTTTTCTTACTCTTATTTTCTTATTTTTAATTATTCTATAATTAAATTTATTTCCCAATTCTGACAGAATTGTATATATCTGCTCAAGCAAGCCAGGCATTATGTTAGACATTTTTTTCTTTCTTAGATACATTTCTGTGGAGCCCTCTGCCTTTTTTCTCTAATCTTGACTTGTTGCTCTCTAGCCTTGCTCAAATCTGTTGTTCTGGGATCTCTTTTTACCATGATTTTGAAATTGGCCTTTGATTCTTCCATGTATGTTTCTTGTTTCCTGAGGCCAGTGTCTTCCTCTTTCACAGTTATGTTCCCATTTTGCTGGAACAAATATTCCAGTAACATTGTGGGGAAGGTAATATTTTTGAGGTCTTACATATCTGAAGATGTATAATCTTTATTTGTCTTCTTACCCTTGATGGATAGTTTAGCTGCATACAAAATTTAGTTTCCCTCAGAATTTAAAGGACATTGCTCTATTTTCTTTTATATCCCAGTTTATTTTTGAAATGTTTAATGCCATTCTAATTCCTGAGCTTTTCATTAGCTCAGCCTCGAGAAATATATATATATGTGTGTGTGTGTGTGTGTGTGTGTGTGTGTTTGTGTGTGTGTGTCTGTGTGTATGCCTATGTATATATATAGTGTTGGGAACTCAGAAGACCCCTTCAATCCACAAACTTGCATTCTTTCTTCTGGGAAATTCATTGCATAATCTTGTCTTAATTTCCTCTCCTCCATTTTATGTTTGTTTTTCCTGAAACGCCTGTCATTTGGACAATGAAACCACTAATGTGATATTTTACATTTCTGATCTTTCCTCCACATTTTACATTTCTTTTTGTTCTCCTCTCTGAGAGACTTACTTAACTTTGTCTCTCAACTCTCTTTTGAATTTTTTATTTCTGCTATCAAATTTTAATTCACAAATGTTCTTTCTTATACTCTCTGTATTCCTTTTTTAGAACTTCCTTTTTTTTCCTGGATGCAATCTCTCATCCATCTCCTCTGCTTCTTTCACTCTCTGAATGTTGATGTACTCAAGACTCGGCCCTCAGATCTCTTCTTTTCTCTACCCACATTTTCTTCTTATGTAGTCTTATTTACTTCCATAGCTTTAAATATCATTTATATGTTGGTTACTCCAGCCTTTCCTAGTACACTGTATAAAATAGCTCTCCGTAACCACTGTCATCTGCCCCATCACTCTCCATTTCCTTCCTTTCCTGTATTTTCTTCATTGTTCTTATTGCTATGCAACATGGTTCTAGTATGTTGTCTATAGTATATACAATTAGCACAGTGGAGTATACATTATATAAACTCCATAAGGAAGTATATTTGTCTATTTTGTTAAATGTTATAATTCTAATACTAGAATAGAATTTGTCACCATGTTTCACAAATTTTTTTGAGTGAATAAATATCTCTGAGAATATGAAGTCAGCTTTTAAAGTGTCTCCTTTCATTTTTTAAACTGTTTCTCTTTCCTCATTTCCCTTTTGCTATAGGTTATTTAAATACAAATGTAGGCTTTTCTTTAATCCCTAGATATTTTTGGCCATTCATATAATAATAATAATTATCATCATCATCATCAAAAATACAGATTGGAAGTGATGAACATGAAGAGAATATTTATTGCCTGGTAGGCTTCACTGTAATGTGATCAGGCAGGAATTTTGCCATTTTGTTAGGAACCTCAAATGTCAGGATCTGGGTTCTTTTCTATTAGGCCAATCCATTAACCCACAACAATTTTCCATTTTATCTTCCTGGAGGTATAACTAGGGTTGCTATTCACCATGTATTCAATGCTATGACCATTGCAGTTTTCAAAATATTGACACACACAACAGAAGCCCCAGGCCCCCCATTTCATCACTGTCTAGCAATAGCAAGTATAGCTGGGAGCCAGTAGGTCTACTGGGACCCTGCTCTAGTACTATTACCAGCGTCAGTGACTATGATATACTGATTACCATGTTCCACACGTATCTAAGCCACTTCTCCATCATCCAGAAAGAGGACGGATGTTCACAGTCGCTGTGCCTATTCACCCTTCATGCTCTTATTTAAAGGGTACCCTGCTCACACTTGTCCTTTGTTAAACTTGGTGTCTCTGAGCCTAGAGCCTGTATGTTCTGTCATCTTTGAAAGGAAAACCTCCAGTATTCTAACAAGGAAGGGTAAGTATATGTTGGTTTCTAAATATCCTTTATGAAGACTTTCAACCAATCTTTTTCTAGCCCAAATCTGTACCTCTGTCTTCAAAAATTCCTAGCATCTCTCACAATAGAAACGTCTTAGAGTTTTGCAGTGTGAATAGACCGGCTTCCTGTTCATTTACTCAATCCATTCTGATTTATGTTTCAGCTTTTTCTGCCTTTCTAAGTCAGAAACTCATCCTTGTGCTTTCTAGATACCTCAAATTTAGCTATCGTTGCCTTCTTTCCAATTCTATTTGTCTGTTTAGGTTTAAACTTTAAGTTTTTTTTCTTTGCTGTCTTTTCTTATTAAATTGGGTTTCAGGAGAGAGTGGAGATAGATGAGTGTGTTCAATCCACTACCGCAACTGTAAATTTTGACCAATAAATTTCACCAACTAGATCCTAACTCAGCCATCTGTTGGTCTTATATATGAGAAATACTGCATGGCCAACATCTAAAAATAATGAACATGAATATTTCTGCTAAAAAAAATTACATTTACACACATATACACATATGCATATATTCATTTTAACTCCATAGGAGAAAGAGTTTTCCATGTCAACCTATAGATATGCCCAGGGTTCTCTTTTGAAGAGATTTGATCATCAGCTTGATTCTAAACAGATTTCATGGAATTGAACAAAGAAGGGCATGTTCTGATTCTTTTAGGGCTTGTTTAAGAGCATGAAGTCCCTGCTATTCTAAGCAATTTCTTTCTAGAATTTCTACTAAATTGTTTATATTTGGACCATTTGTTGCCAGAGAACTGCAATTCAAAATAAAAGGATATCTATGTGGTAGATATTTGTTTAGATCTTGATGTCCTGTCAATTGCATTTGCTTGATTTTCCCTTCCTTTTTAGCAAGCATGGATTTTTCTGACTGATTGAACTAAGTATAAATGAGTCCTTTTGGCCCAAAAACTAAAATAAAGCTTATTGGATTGGAAACCTAACGTACCCAGCCTTAGGAGTATGCTAGCTGCCCAGAGAAAAAGTCTTCGAATAGATTTTTAAGAATGGTATAAGAATAATTTTGAACTTCATAAACTTTTTTTAAAGACTTGAAATAAATAAACAAAAAAGTAATGGCCTTTAAAACACATGGCTGTGACAGAGTTTGAAAAAAATATATTATTAGGAAAACTCAAGAGGTGGAATATGAAAAAAATGTTACATTTTTGGCCAACCAGCATATTAACTCCTCTAACCCTATGATCAGGGGGAATTCCTACCTCATAAATTTTGAAGGGAAGCAGAGCCAGCCTTTGACTATATAAGCCAACAAGGGCATATTATAAATTTCCCAGCCTCCTTTGCAGCTAGAATATGAACACACAATCTAGGTTAGCCAATCATGTTCACCCACATGATAATTTGAATCAGGAGCCAGTGATGCAAGAACGCAGGGCTTAGGGAGAATTTATTTTATTGGCAGCAGTGGCAGGGTGTCTAGGGGCTGTATCCAGAATCTAGTAACCACAGTGAAGATGGTATTCAGTGTCATCTGTGGCCATCATGGCAGCAGCATCCTCATCAGACTTAATTCCTCCTTCCATTCTCTCTCTCTCTGTATGTATAATGAGCTCCTTTTCTGCTGAAATCAGATCGATTCAATTTCTCTTGCTTAAAACCAAAAACACTGACGAATACTAAAACACTGACTCAGCTCTAACAATCCTTTTAAATTACAAATAACATTTCCATTGGAAAGGTTGGAGTTACTCAAAAAGAAATGGAGTGAGCTATATTAGAAACTGAACTTGGAGGATTTTGAACGGGTTGGCCTATGTTTCCCTTCCTTTTGTTCTTCAGCATAAAATTCTGCATTCTTAACAATGTTCAAATTCCCTTTGTCTCAGAATATTTTACAGTCTCCATTTAGAGGGTATAGTTAGAAGTGCTTTAGCATTTTTTGTAATACTAGGGTTTGATGGACATAAGTGAAGCAATATATTCTTGGCTTCAATGTAGAAAAACCAGGAAGATTCATTTATGTTTTTTTCGGATATGATGCCAAACATCCACAAGAAGATTCACAGATCAAAATGAGACCCCCCAAAGACAGCAATCTTCAAACTGGCCATCCCTTAAGGTTGCATTTACAGGCTTGCTCTTTCTCTTTTCTGTGTCCTCAGCTGCTTGTCATGAGATGTAGATTATTGTGGTAGATAGAATAAAATGCACTGGAAAGGAATATAAAGGATATTAAAATATAGGCAATGGCTTCCGTAAATCTCTGTGAAAGCTTACTCCTTAGAGCTGTGCTTGAAACATTGAACTGCCTACTCCCATGATGCTCAGTCCACTCTAAAATTAATAAAATCTGATAAGACCATATAAACTAACTAGTCACTGGTACCCAGGGAGTTGACAACTCAACTTATTGTCTAACTGCTGTGTGTAATGAGAAGAAAGTTTAACATGTTGGCCAAGTGCACAGACTTCAGAACCAGGCACCTTGCTCATTCCTGCCTTGCCTCCTGCTAGCTGTCTGACCCAAATAACTCATTGATCTCTCTGAACTAGTTTTCTTACCTATAAAAATGTCCTTAAAAATAACCAGTTTATAGTATTTGAGTATTAATGAAAAAATATTTATGTCACTGTAAACATGCCTAACACATATTAATAGTAAGAATACACTAAATTACAGCAATCACTATTATGATCAACAGACTCACTCTTGGTCCCTAGTCTTCGGCATCTTCTATTGGTTAGGTCTCTGGCTGGCTCTCCTCATGAGTCAGCTGCAGGAATCTGTCATGCCTTATGTTTTGTGTTTTGGCAATGACTCACTTTACTACTTGGCTCTGTCGTCTACCAGTGATACACATGCTCCCTTCATTCTTAAACACGTCCAGTCCCACATGGCCGGTTTCCATTTCTATGTCAAGTAGAATCTAAGTGTTATGACAGTCTGCATTAATGGCAACAACAAACTAAAACGTGTCATTCCTGTCACTCTTCACTGGTGACAACCCTTTACTTGTGTAGCTTCTTACAAATGTCATTCATCCTATTACAGCAAAGCCAGAGAACCAATAGAAGTCCAGCCTGGACAGAGTCAGGCACTGTATCCCTATCCACATGGAAAGACTACACATTGCCATTTTTGCTTCTGGCCCATTGAACCAATCCACTTACTCAAGCATCACAAAACTTTAAGTTTCCAAGGTACACTGTAAATAACAGCCGATATGCAAATCAATTGCTTAGGGTGTCCTCTTATTTATACCCAGCTGCTTTTGTTTTGATATTACCTTCACCCGACCTCAGGCTTGGCATCCTTGGCTCCTATGGATTTGTTTTCTCTGATATTTAGTTCTCAGATTTCTCATGTTGATTTTCTTTTGGCCCACTCTCCTGGCCCTAGGCATTTCTATTAGGTAAAAATCCTCCGTTTTAGTTTAGGCTTCACAGAAAACATAATCCCTGTTTTAAGTCATAGAGTGTGTGGCAGTAAAGAACATCATTCTAGAAATTCATTTACCTAGGTTCAGCCCTATTTTTTTTCACTTTCGAGCTATGGCCTTGGTCAAGTGCCTTAAACCACCGGAATCTCCATATTTCATTTGAAAATTGGTGTTTATATTGCTAAAACTATCATGAGAGGATCAAATGAGATACATAAAATTTTTTAAAAGTGCTTTCTAAACTACAAGGGTATTATTAACTACTCAACAGTAAAATAAAAGATAGCTCATAAAAGGTCAGCAGGTAATAAAAGGAGCTATAATCTCCCTTGTCCAAAATAAAGATCCATTTTTCTTAAGATGCATTTCTTCAGTTAAGCCCTAAAGCCAACACTTTAAAGCAAATAAAAACAACAATCTTTAGGGTCAGAAAAATTAAAATATTTGCCACTTTTTTTCTTCACATTATCTATTATGAGCTTTTAAGCTTTTATAACTTAAAAGAAATTATTAACATGAAAATTGTAAATTACCTCTTGCCAAATTAGACTGGTGAAGATGTGGGATTTTTGTTATATTTCTGCATATAAAATACATTTTCTTCTTCTTAAGAAAACATGTTTTACAGAAGTCTTCCTTTTGTCATATCCCTGATGACACAAAGCAGAGCGGTTTCCTTCATACAGGTTGAGTAATGGGCAGGTGCAGTTCTCATGAAATGAGATTGCTTTGCTGTTGATAAAATAATACATCGGGTCACCTCATGCCTGGAAAACTTACACCAGGACTGAATAAAAGAAATGGGCCTCTATTTGCATGTGAGGAAGTTTGAGATGTGAAGGTCAACTTGTGTTCATTTAAGACTGCTATCTGATATCTGGATTTCCAAGGCAGGACCTGTGGCACACTTACAAGATGAAACTAAACCCTTCCTTCAGGAACTAAGAAAGAAAATATTTCAGTATTAACATCTGAGGTTCCCTGTAAGACACAATTCTCAAAGCCTAAGGTAAGAATTGATTCAACTGAGAATCAAAATGTCTTCTAATTATCCTGTTTGATAGAAAAACAGAGCAATTAAGGGATTGATCCAGTTACATGATGTACACACACCCAACAGTTACATAGCTAACTTGACATTCGCTGCTCAGTCCCAGAGTCTTTGTTCTTTCCAAAACCCTTTTCCACATCTCTTCAGGCAATTTGATTCATCATAAATTGTACTGTTGCCAACATTCCCTGAACATTTGCTTTTTTTTCCACTATGAAATTAACTCAGATTTAACAGATGAATGCTTGAGCTAGCTCTGCTCTGTGTACATGTGTGTTGACTGTGAAGTGGTTCTGCCACTGCTGGATGTCATCTCTAGGCACTGTGCTGCGATCCGTGTGTCCTCAATCTGGACGATGGAGGAGAGAGTGTGGGATCCTTTGGTCACAGGTCTTAGAGGCTTAACAGAGATGGCCAATCAGCTTTATCCTCCCATGCCTACTCCAACAATTGATGGTAGCTCCTGGAATGTTATGAGAGGGATTTTGAGATTGGGTCCAGACTTGGTAGGAAAAAGTGTAGTGATCAATTAGCAATGCTGACTGTGGGGCTCAGGAATAAGGAAAGCTGCACCTGTGCCATGTATTTCCCTTCCCTAGGAGCACTCAGGTCCTTGAGTGCAGCAAACCCATCTGCCTAGGGAAGCAGCATGATAATTCCTTGAGGCAGAAGGTTCAAGCCGGAAGAGGGCAAGATTTAGAATGTGAGGCATTTACATGGCACTTCACCTTTTACAAAGTGTTTTCCCCCACATTATTTCCTCCCATCCCTACCCATGGGGCAGATGTCAATTTTATCTTCATTTTGCAGCAGAGGGATTTAAAGCTAAGGGAATAAAAATGGTAGCCTAAGGTCCCACATGGGTCATAAATGTCAGACTCACTACCTAAACCAGACTTCCTGCTTCTAAGTCTTGTGCTGGAGGGTAGTGAGTCAATCAAGCACTAAGTTTCCCCTAGAGTCAAAGGATGAGGCCGAACATTTGGAATGGATTTGTGTAGCCTGTGAAGCACATCTGGATTTCAACACAGAAGCACAGCACACACACTCAAATCAAGTACGGGCACACTCATCCTTTTTTTCTTCCTTTTCAGGCAGGCTTCTTTGTGAAAGCATTAGAATGGTTGTCATCACACACACATAGAAGAGGCAAAGAGTTGTTGCTAAATAAAATATAATGCACCTTATTTAAAATGGCTTATCCTGCTTTATTTGTAAATTGATGTTAATCCGACTACTTAGTCTGATATCCTTAAGCAACATTAATGCCTTTGCTACCTGTCTTCTGCAGCATAAAAAATGAGGTGGCTGTTTTGGAAAGAATTAACTTCTTTCTTGAGGGCAAAAGGCTAAACTCCTTCCTGAAGATTCTTGCCAATGATTCTAATTAGGACATACAGATGTATGTACCTAATGCAAATGAAGCCATGGACCACAGAAGTTTAATGATTTGGGGGAAAGTTTGGGTACAATAAACTCCCTTCACAATTTTGCACCAATGTCACCCAAAACTCTTGCTCTTTTGAAATAAAGAAGATATTAAGAATTTCCCCATTTCCAAAGCTTAGGATCATATGTAGGAGAATGGCTAAAACTTACATGAGCAATTTTTAACGTTCACAGTGATTTTGCCTGTATTAAATCTCAGTATCAAAATAGTCTATGAGATAAATATCATTTTTTCTCACTTTTCAGGTGAGAGAACCAATGTACATAGAAGCAAAGGAATGACTTGTCCTACGAAAAATAGCCAATTTAAAATTCAAATCTGGCATTCTTCCCCCTGTTGTTTCACTTATAGCAACCTCTCCACAGAAGTAAATACCACCTTACATGTGTATAGCACTTCACAGTTTATAAATTCTTGTCATTCAAATATTTTAATTCATGGATTTGCTACTTTAATTCAAATGTTTATTCACCATCTACAATGTACCTGCCAGACATTATTTTAGGTACAAGTGGTATAAGGTCTCTGCTGTATTCGTGTTTATATTATTAGTTGGAGGGAGACAACTAAAGAACAAGTAAGCAAACAAATTAGAATAAATTCAAATGGTGATAATTAGTACCAAGAAAATAAAACAGGATAATGTGGTGGTCTATGACCAGTTGGTGGTAGGAATGAAATGTACCAGTGTGAAACATTTGGTGGGGTGAATAGAAAAACCTTCTTTGAATAAAAGATGTTATATGAGCTGAGAGCAAGATGGGAAAGAGAAAGCAGAGGGTGTTAGGGGGAAAGCATTTCAGTCCCGATGTGGGAGAGAGGTTGATATTTGAGCACTAGAAAGAAGGCCTGTGTAACAGGAAGTGAATGAGCAAAGGGAGAGAAACACAAGAGGAGACTGAAGAGATAAGCACAGGCTATGACAGAAGGGTCTTTTAGGTCATTTGTTAGAATTACACCCCAATTTTTATGGAATGACTTTGCAGAGTTTTTAGAAAATTTAATTCCCACAATAATCTGTTATGTTTGTTTAACAAATTAGAAAACTTGGAGATTTACCTAAGGATACACAACTAATAAACAGCAAGACTCCAGTCTTTAGGATCCTAGACTAGGCTTACTTCCTCATATCCGAAAGGAAAAAATGGAAACAAACTCACAAAGGAGGAATACAGTACAGCATCACGTGACTATCCCATGCGTATAATGGGTGAATTTCCTCGGGCAGACAGAGGGCTCACTTATTATGGGAAGTCTTATGACTGTTTGGCTCCAGCTGGAAGGAGATACTAAATTTCTGAAGGACTTTTGGCTTAAATTTAAGACAAATATTTTATTAGAGTTACCATTGAATATTTAGCATTATTGAATTTCTCCCAGAGTCTAATTTGTTTGACAGATTGTTTTGGGAAAGTAGCCAGTGAATGCCCAAGACTAGGGGATGAAGAACAATCACAATCATCAAGCAACAAGCTTTGCGTTACTTCTCTTTCCACCTTTGCCTCCCACTCCACACTGCTGATCAATGGGTGGTAACCCATGCATGTGGCTAAGATAGAAATAGTCCTTCCAGCACATAACCTGAAATCCAGCTCATTCATTCATCACCCATAATATCACTGCAGCCCATCCTTCCGTCTACCTCTTCAAGGCAAATTGCTTGAGATTAATCATTCATTCATTCATTCATTCATTCATTCAGAGCATCTACTGTGTTATGGACTGAGTTCTTGTGAGGTGTTGGGTATGTGAATGTCATGCAGTCTGAGACCTTACAGCTTTCACAACCCAGTGGTCTCTCAGACTTACCACCTCTTATGACTCCTTTTGTTCTCATTGTTCCCTTTAACTTGAGTCCACCTGCACAAAAGTATTACAGTTGAAGAAAAAGTTGCTTTGGACATTACCCTATCCTCCTAAGAATGTTACTAGCTGCCATTCAAGCTTTATGACCCTCATAGGCATCAGGGAAAGAATACAGATATGGCCCTTAATTGTCTGATTTCTGTGTGCTAAGGAACAGCCTGTACTTATTATCTTCCATTATTTTTAGCTAATACCCCCACATCCTCATTTTCGAAAATCTTTCCTCTAAAATTGGTTTCCCTTCTTTGTCTTGCCTAACCTGCTTCCCAGCACCTCTGTGGCTTTTGTCCAGAAGAGGGCGAGATCACCTTTGCTACTTAGAATTCATCTCGCTCTTTTTTTTATTTTTGCAATTAAATATGATTCATTGGTCTCTTGGTCGCTTAGCTTTCTCTCCTGAAGGAGAAAGTCAAAGTCCTTGATATTTCTCCAACAAAATTTATATTATGGGTATTTGTATTGCATTATGTGATTTTTAAGAGGACTAGCAAGAAGCTCTAAAATGGCGAATAATGAATTATAGCTGAATAGGAGAAACCTGTGAACAGTTAGGACTGATGATCACTGTAACCTTTCCCATGCTTGTGCAATTATGTTTTGCTAATATATAGACTCTTAGAATGCTATATTTCAGGGAACCTTAGAAATTATCTGGAAATGTCATCATGCTGTGTTAAGGAAACTGAGGCATAGAGAAAAAATAACTTACCTGCTAGAACTACTATGACTTTAAACTGCAGAAAAAGATAATCATTCCATATACATAAAAAATTTAATAAGGGGATGCTTGTAAGAATATTATCCGGGCTTATCATTCTCAGCAAAGGAACACAGCAACAGAAAACCAAACACCACATGTTCTCACTCATAAGTGGGAGTTGAACAATGAGAACACATGGACACAGGGAGGGGAACTTCATACAACGGGGCCTCTAGTGGGGTGGGGAACAAGTGGAGGGAGAGAACAAATACCTAAAGCATGCAGGGTTTAATAGCTAGATGACGGGTTGATAGGTGCAGGAAACCACCATGGCACGTGTATACCTATATAACAAACCTGCACGTTCTGCACATGTATCCCAGAACTTAAAGTAAAATTTAAAAAAATAAAGGAAGAAGCATGAATCTTCCCACTCACATGATAAAAAAAAAAGAATATTACCTGGGTTTTTCTTGCCATCACAAGCTTTATCACTCATTTCCCCCGGATCATCCTGTATCCAGAGTGATAGCTCTCCCCTCCTCTGCCTCCTTTACCTAGACCGTATGACAATGGGGAGGTTCCATACCATTTGTACTCCACTTACACACTGGGAATAGCACTGGCCCTGACCCACAGCCCACTTGACTGAAGCCCTAAAAATCTACTTAGCCCTCACCATCCACAGGGGCCAGGGCAGGTCAAGGGAAGTACTCTGCTAGGATCCTGCTTCAAACATGTCCTATTCCCTAGAATCCCAAATAAACACCCCAACCCCCGTTATGAGCACAGCATATCACCTGCAGGTTAGATGTTTTGGTTAACAAAACAAGTCCCAATTATACACAAGTTTGCCACACTGGATGTTATATTCAAATTCCAGGCCAGATCCCCTCTTCCCTAAGGAGTAGCAGCCTTAAGGCTATATTTATCCCTCTCCCTGTCCCAACTCATTCTTTTCTCCCATAGCCCCTATTACTGAGGTATGACAAGCTAGTAGGCCAAGGTCATATAAGGTAGGGTGATGAATACAATACGTTCATTTTCTAGGTAGAGACTAAGACTCATCTTTGGCAAAGTCCATTCTTGGTGATACTCTCTGTTCTGTTTCCCTGAACCTGTCTGATTGCCCCCAGTCAGAAGACACATTAATCATGTGAATGTCAGCATCACTGGCAGTGTGTTTCCACAGAGTGATTTACATAGTAAGCTTTACTCTTATCCTAAAGTGCAATGATTCACAGGTTTCACTGTGCATTAGAATCACCTGGAAATCTTTCTAAAAATACTGATGATCTGAGCTAGGCACGGTGGCTCACACCTGTAATCCCAGCACTTTGGGAGGCCAAGGCAGGCAGATCGCTGGAGCCCAGGAGTTTGAGACCAGCCTGGGCAACATGGTGAGACCACTTCTCTACCAAAAATACAATCACCCAGGCATGGTGTCATGCACCTGGGAGTTCAAGGCTGCAGTGAGCCATGATTGTACCACTGCACTTTAGCCTGTGTGACAGAGTGAGACCCTATCTCTCAAAAACAAAATCAAACAAACAAAAAACTGATGATCAAGTCTCATGATGATTCATTAAATTTGAATCTCAGAGTGTGAAGCTACGCATTGACATTGCTTAAAACTTCCCCAGGAACTTCAAATTTTCAGCCAGGGTTGAGAACCACTATCTGGTTAAAGGCTGTTTAGAGTTTGGGGCACTGTGAATACTGAGTGGATAACATTTCTTTGGGAAGGGCCCTTTTCCTGGTACTTCAAAAACCAACCCATATGAACTATTACATACTTCGCCCATATTCTAAACAAGTTTTCCTGAGATGCTTTAAGACAACATGAAGGACTTTCTGATTTCTTTCTCAGGAGTTTCTGAAAAGCGAATTAAGCTCATAGTTTGGGGAGAAAGCTTAAAGTATTCCACCCCTTGGCTGAGGCCAAGAGTTAAGAAGAACTGGTAGGCGCTTGAAACAAATAGAAGCAGAAGTAAAAATCTCAAAGAATGGGCCAGATATCATGTCCAAAGACAAGTGGACCATGAATCCTCCTTGGTTCTGAGGTGTGATGCAAGGACTAGGGGGAGTTTAGCTTATGGGAAGAGGACAAGGATACAAGGCGAATGCAACAGGAGTATAGGGCAAAAGAGTCATTCAAGGACTCTGTCAAGTATGAGAGGGGTCATGATGGGAATTGGGGCTCAGTAGCAAGGTGACAAAAGAAGCTTTGACAACGGCCTTAGGTATAGGGTAGACATATGATTTAGGCATATGTTCAGAGAAAATAGGGAAAATTTAGGTACGCAGGAGATTAGAACAGAAGAGGACAAAAGAATTTCAGGGGATGGGGAGTTTCTACATTGCAATGTTACTGAACTGGCATGCCGTTGAATGATGAATTCCCACTCCACCAATTCATAGGAAGGTTATTGATACACCAAACCATACGAGAAAGGTTATTGCTATCCTCTAGTTAGTCCCAGTAGAGGGGAGAGAATAGCCAGCTGAGAGGCTGGAGTTCATCATCAGGTGCTGAGATGGTGTGAGTCTGATCCCAAAGACTGACAGTGTAGAACTTCAAGGACACCACTGGCCAAGAAACATATTGAGCTTGCCACAGCATGCTGGATAGGAGCTAAAGCCTTTTAATTTGAAAATCATGTGGAAAATTGACAAGAGAGACTAGAAAATTTGAGGATACATCGGGACAAATATCTCGGTAACAGATCATTAAAAATGTTTAGGTATTAAGAATAAATGAAAAACATTTTAGCATTTAGGTGGAATAGCCAGAATGTCACTATAACAGAGAGTGAGTCAGTTCCTTGTCACTAGAGGTGTTTTGGTTAAAGCTGAAAGACAGACGATGAACTCTCCTTTCTGGGACACCATTCAGTGACTGTGGGATGTTTTTTGGCCAGACAAGGGAAGAATGCTGACAAAGAAGATAAAGCAAACTTAAAAATCAGGAGCTGAACAGGGGGATGTCCAGGACATCAGCCGTGTAGCAGGCTGGAGGGCAAACAGTCCATACGGCGGCAAGAAGGGGGAAGCTCTGGAAGGGGAGTCTCCAGGGAAAAGCAGGTGAGTGTGTTGTGGGAGGGTACACTCAGTATAGTGTCAGATCTGGTGAGGTGCTTGAAAAAAATTAATACAATAATGTCAAATGGGAAATAGTCATAATGATTTTTTTAACCATACCCAAAATAAAACTATGTTAGGAAGATGGAAGTGCCAGGATGTAGAGGGTTTATAAGAACACTAAACTCTCATTTGCAGTAAGAGAAAGTCAAAAGGAAAAGGTAAAAGCAATTCCTTTTGGGAGTGTTGGAGCTGTAGGGTAGGGAGCTAACTATTTTTTATAAAAAACACATCTCAGCATTACATTGTTTTTGTTCTAACTGGGTGCTTGAGTGACTTAGGTAAAAATAAAATTGAATAATTGTAGTTAATTAAAAAAAAACAGAAGAGATAATGGACCAGTTAGTAATGGAGCTATTGAAAAGGAAATTCTATGGTCACCTGCACCAGATAATAAGGTTGCTTTTTTATCTCCAATTTAAAAATGCCCATGTTTCTAGGTCCTCTCTCCTTTCCTTAGTGTGCTCTGTTCAGCTCAGTATGTGGGCTGTAGAGATGCAAGGGTGTAGGTGGTCAATGTAAGCTGGGCTGGAAGCACCGAAGGTTGGAGTAAGGTATCTTGCTCCTGATCACCTCAGTTCTCATACTGAAATCCAAATCTAGGTGTCCAAGCAGTGTAGACCATGAACTCTAACATTCTACGTGTTTCTGGAAGGCATTATGAGAAAATGTCCCACAGTGATTTGGTGATGGCCCACTTCCAGCATTATGAGGTCACTTTTGATGGCTTATCGATCATTTAAAAGCCTTTGCTTTCAAGGGAGTGCCTTTGTGTGTTTGACATCTGTACTACCACAGAGACTTGAACCCAATAATCTAGTAAGCCATACACAGGTCAGCGGTCACCCCATGGTGCTGCCAGGGACTCACATACCTGGACTTAGAATCAGACAAACCTGCGTTCAAGTCCTAGCTCTGACACTAATTTTCTGTGTGGCCTTGGGCATTTTACTTGATCTCTGTAAGCCTGGTTTCCTCAGCTGCAAAAGGATAGTAATGATCATTCATTTCATTGAGACTTTGGGGAGAAAAAAAAAAAACAAGATAACTCATGTATGTTCATGCAGCGCTCATAAATGTTAGCAGTAAGTACTAGCTTCCTATGATTCCAGTCCCTCGTTCCTCCCCGTGTCTCACTCAGTTAGATGGACACTGAACAGGCAGGGCGCTCTTCCAGCTTCCTCACGTGGTGCAGAGCACACTGCTGATTTTTAACACATGCTAATTATTATGATGACCAGCCAATTGTCTCCTCTCTGGCAGCGAGACACTGTCATGAAAAAAGCAGCGAAATCATCTCTATCACCCTCTGCATAACTGTGGTGCTGAGCAAGATAGCACTTCCATAATCCTTCTAGAACCCTGACCCTCCAACGGCGAATAGAAATGCTGATTTCTCTGAAGTTGCCAGCCACGAAAATACTTTCTGGCATGATGCTCCAATGCATGCTGCATGAGAAAGAAAAATCTTTGTTGGCTTTGGGAGTGTTAATGATGTTATGCCCCATGTGCTTCGCAAAAGGAAAGAGAGAAAAAATGAGGAATAAACTGCCTCCAGTGTTGCAGAATACCTGAAATGTGCCCAAAGAAAGAAATTCTCATTATATTCATATACTGTATGCTTCACTTCTCTAGAATGTCATGAATACAAATGTTAACTCCATATGCATACGTCAACCAAAAAGACAATGTTTTGCCCCAAAACCATGGAGATCTTGCGTTTTCATCTGGTTCCATATCTCCTTTCCATTTCTCCTTCTTGGGTTCCTCACGCCTCTCTCTTGAGCATTAGAGGTTTTCCCTAATGTCTCTGAGATTTTGTGGACATGCATTCCCAGGGTGGCTTAGTGGTCTTCCCTGTTACAGCAAGGCAGGTCTTCTGCTTATCTCCTTTCTGTCTACTAAGGCAGCTGACTTGGGAGGAATGAGGGTCACCAAAGTGTCTCCCAACTGCCCCAGCCCTCCCAGAAGTATATTTTGTTTCTAGTCTTCCATGTCCTCAGAACATTCCCATGGCAAATATTACTTGTGTATGACGTGAGTAATCTTGAATCATCTCTTTGAGGGATTTTATGTCATTTCATTTCTGTTATAAATTATGTATCTGCCACTGGATATCTCCACGCTCTCCAGCTTTCTGGTGTCACCCTCTTCTTTTTTATGAAACTAGAAATGCTTGACTCCAGTTGCATTTATTCTGAAAGCCCAGGACATCCCACTCATATTCTTGTTGCAGGAAGGGGTTTATGTTTCTCTTAGTGATACTGGAAGACTTTGTCTCTCTCCACCTCTTCTGATTTTTTGCTTCTCCTGAACTCTCCATTCTTAATCCTATCTCTCTCTCTTGCAATTACTGTTTCTTTTTGTACCACTTTGCCCCATCTAGGCAAAAATCTTTTTCCTCTATTCCCTTACATTATCACAAATCAAACTGTTATGTCTATCACATTTTTACTGAAAATTTGAGGTAACCTAAGATATGTATGGCAGACACAAAATAAGTCAACTCAGAAAAGGCTTGACTGCACTAAAATTATTTTTTGACTCCTTCACTCAGATACTTTTTTTCTCTAGACAAGATATTCTTAAATGGTAGTTCATGGACTAAATACAGTCCAAAGACATATATCATTTGGCCAGCAGAGTAGTTAAATACAATTTTAATTAGTTCCGAACATTTTTTAAAATGAGATTTTTTTCAGATGTTGACTTTTCTTGAAAGATTGGAAGATCTGACAGTGGCTGGATCTCCACCTCTGCATGGCAATGACTGGCTGGAGCAGAGCAGCACTGACCCTGGCCAGACCTTGCCTTCTGAAGCATCATCAAGCCTGCCCTCCTCAGCTCCCAGCTGCGTTACAGCATGAGCCCTGCCTAGCTTGTAAGTTTCGCTGTACACCATTTCCTTCTACCTTTTTCCAAGGGTCCAGTTTCTTTCTCTAAGCACCAACAAATAATTCTAGCATTCCTGTCTCATATCTTGCAGAGCATTTGCCTCTGCTAAGGCCGAATGTTTATGTCCCCTGAATGTTCGCCCCCAAAATTCATATGTTGAAATCCTTACCCAAGGTGATACTATTAGGAAGTAGGGGCATTTGGGAGGTGATTATGTCATAAGGACAAAGTATTAGTGCCCTTACCAAAGAGACCCCAGAGTGCTAGTTAGACTTTCCCACCATGTGAGGACACAGCCAGGAGGCACCATCTATGAACCTCGAAACAGGCCTCTACCAGACACCGAATTTACTGGCACATAGATCTTGGACTTCCCAGACTCCAGAACTGTGAGAAATAAATTTCTGGTGTTCATAAGTGACCCATTTTATGGTATTTTGTTATAGCAGCCCAAACAGACTAAGACGGCCTCTCTGGGGCAACCCTGCTTCATCTAAACTGGCACAGACCACTCCATCTTTTTATAACCAGAAAGACCTAGTGAGATCTTCAGAGTGTTTACCTCCATAGAACTTATTCTTCTTGATATGAATTTTGCCCCTCCGGTAGAAGACAGAAGTAATTAGCTGTGGGCATTTGCTTTATGAAGTGCTCCCAAATCATGTGGCTAACAAGCAGCAAAACCAAGATTCGGATCCAGTCCTCTTAGTCCCAGTCCAGTACCTCTTCAACACCGTTAATATACCTGACACATTCTGTAAACTGGGCGGGTTTTATTCTGGGAGGCAGATTTAGAGAGGAGGTGAGAGGGAGGTACCTGCCAGCTGATGCTGATGGGCATTTATCTGCCTGTGAACCCTCTCCCTGTCAGCAAGTAAGGGGTCCTTACTTCTCCAACACCTGAGTCAGACAACTGGTCTACATCTTCTTTACTGACATGAGTCCACATGAGTCCGCTAGTCACATGCTTGAGAGGCAGGACAATGTCAAATTGCTATGAAAGTTTCTAAATGCTTACTCTTGATCTCTGTACTTCTGTACACATTGACAACCAGTAAAAAATACTTTGTGGACTGGCATTGGTCGGTGAAGCACATTTTGAGTAGCCCTCGGCAGGAAAGGAGGAAGCGCCATCTGATTCCAGCTCCACCTCTTACCACGTGAGCAAGCCTGGTTAGGGGCTGCATCTACCCCAGTGTCTGATTGTCAGTAATTATTCTTGATGCAGGATTACCCCATGTGCAGACTCAAGTACCCTACGTACTTGAGACAATAGTAATGAAAGAATGTCTTCCCATCCTCCAAAACACCAAAGAAAGAAATACAAATTTAAATATTCTATTTTACAGAGAAACATTAATGTAATAATTATGAGAAATTTCAGAACTTATTAGCCTGTTCTATACCTATCATACTGATACAGAATGGCTGTGCTCCCGGCTAAACCCCACCCTTAAGTTTGGAACTGTGGCCCTAAGTGAAAACAGCTGACCCCATTTTTTGCCCAAATGTTGCCTTTTTGGTTTGCCATGTCCCTATCTTTTGCCCATAAAAAGACTTTGGCTGGCAGAGCAACACAGGTGGCTGGTACAAGTGGCCAGGGACACAGGCTACTGAGTGTCGGAGATGAAAGCGGCTGAGAGTGGTCCACTGTGGATAGACAGGGCTAACTTCAGACAGCACAGCTTCAGGGAAAGATCATTTCTTCCTGTTCCATTCCCTTTCCAACTCCCGTCTTGCTGAGAGCCACCACCCAATAAAATCCTCCACATAGGCTGGGTTCGGTGGTTCACGCCTGTAATCTCAGCACTCTGGGAGGCCAAGGTGAGAGGATCCCTTGAGGTCAGGAGTTTGAGACCAGCCTGGCCAACATGGTAAAACCCCGTCTCTACTAAAAATACAAAAATTAGCCAGGCATGGTGGCACATGCCTGTAATCCCAGCTACTCAGGAGGCCGAGGCAGGAGAATCACTTGAACCCAGGAGGCGGAGGTTGCAGTGAGCCAAGATTGCACCACTGCACTCCAGCCTGGTCAACAGAGCAAGACTCTGTATCAAAAAAAAAAAAGAAAGAAAGAAATCCTTCACATACACTACTCTTCAATCCATTTATGTGGCCTGATTTTTCCTGGACGCAACACAAGAACCTGAGTGTCAAGAGGGCAGGGGCTTGGATGCTGCTGCGGAGGCTGCACAGAGCCGGGTCCCATCAGAGAGGAGCAATGTGCTGGTTCTAGTGCTCATTCTCTCTGGTTCCCACACTTGCTTCCTCGCACATTCCCTCTTCCAAGGAGTGGCCAGTGGTGGGCTGAGAGAAAGGAACACTCCAGTTCCCATTCACGACCGGAGTCGAGGTCAAGGGAATGATCCCGTCTCAATACTATCTAGAAATGTTTTCATACTGAAGGCCACATAAGGATAGGACAAAAGCAGGAAAACCTTAATCTCTGACAGCTTAGCAATTTTAAACATCTTAAACTGGCCCTGATTATGACTTTTACTTACTTTACGTGATTGTTATAAGACATATATACATACATATATATGAGAAATGTTAAATGATTCATCAGTGTTCTTTTAGTCACAATGTTAAAGTAGTTAAAATTTAGCTTTTAAAAGAGAAAAGATAAATGTCATTTTTATATATTAATACATATATATAAAATTCCTGGAACTGGTGAGATTGCAAACCCCTGTGCATGCTTGCACCCTTGTATGCTTGCATGTGCTAAAATACACTGATTAAGAATGTAGCCTCTGGACTTAGAAGACAGTTTCAATTTGGTTCTGTCACATAATATTATAGTTGTATGACCTTGGAAAACTTTCTTCACATTTTAGAGTTTCAGTTTTCTCATCTGCAAAATAGAGATAATGTTAGTACTTCTCATGAAATTAGTGTGAAAGATTAACTGAAATAATTCATGTAAAGCATTTAAAACATTGCCTGGCCCATAGCAAGTTTTCCAAACTAGTAGTTTTAAAAAAAATAACAAGCAATTGTTACTGTGGCAAATGCACATGGATTTGCAGCAACCTCAATTCTTGCTTCTGCAGAAGAAAGAATTCAACTGAGGGGCCTAAGGCACAAGGAGAGACCAAGACAAGTTTTAGAGCAGGAGTGAAAGTTTATTAAAAAGCTTTAGAGCAGGAATGAAAGTAAAGTACACTTGGAAGAGGGTCAAATGGGTGACTTGGGAGATTAGTGGGGTTTGATCCAACTTGAGGTTTTATATCTTGGCATGCTTCCGGGGTCTTGCATCTCTTCTCCTCTGATTCTTCCTTTGCGGCGGGCTATCCACATGTGCAGTAGTCTGCTAGTGCTTGGGAGGTGCCCCATGCTCAGTGTGTTTACTGGTATTGTACACATGCTCACTTGAGGCATTTTTCCCTTATCAGTCCAGTGTTCCCAGAGGAAGGTCTTTGGCCATTTTCCCTCTTAATGTGCATGCTTGAGCCCACCCAGCCAACTCTTGAGATCTTATCTGGAAGCTGTTGATCACTAGTTTCAGGTATTTCTATCTATTGAGAGACTGCCTTTCCCTGGCACTGGCTGCAACCAATTAATTATTATTTTAGAGAAACAGTGTAAAACTGCCTGACCATCACCTGATAGTTGCCTGACATTTCTGGTAGTGGGTGGGAAGGGCTGTTGGGAGCAGGGGTCTCCTGCCCTGCTCTGACTAGCTGCCTATTGTAACATAATGAGTTAATGATTACTTTATATTTATGGAAGGTAATATTGAAGCATGTAACTAAAGCATCAAAATATACATGACAAAAATTGACAACACAGATAACCATTGCTGTGTTTTTTTTATAATAGCTACAGTTAGGAAGATCTCATGGGGGCTAAGGGAGAGCTTTCACCTTGGGCCTCTGAAGGTTCACTGAGAAGTCAACTCACAAAAGGCAGATTAATAGGACAAAAGGCATATACATTTATTTCATATGTATACATGGAAACCTTCAGAATAAAGATCCAAGTTCCCAATGAGTTTGAGAAGCCATCCTGAGTTACAGAGAGAATGGGGGCTTGGATCCTGGCAAAACAGGTTATAGGAGGGGGGTGGAGAAGAATTCTATTGTGGGGCAATAAATAATTATTAGGAAGAATGAATAGATGGTGAACAGGGATTAGGTTGTAAATAGGTCTCTTTGGAATTTAAATGATCCTTGGGGACAAGTCATTATACTTGTAAAAGGGGCTACTCAGGTGTGGTCACATCTCGGTCTTTTAGATAAGAGGGAGGAGAACTAAAAACAATTGTTCTCCTTGATGGGTCTGAATCTTAGGCAGATAAAGGAACTTCAGCTCCTATGGGAGAGACAGTGGGGGTACAGGAGGTCAGAGAGACTTTGAGGCTTGTTCAGTTCAGTGTGTCAAAAATGCCATATTTTGGGGTATTGGTTTCTGAATCTCAACAAACTCAAATGCCCAATATGAGTTTCTCTCAATAAATTATGTACGCACACATATACTTGGAAGCGTAATTTTTTAAGAATTTCTTTTTGAGAAAGGGTCTTGCTCTACCACTCAGGGTGGAGTGCAGTGGTGTGATAATGTCTCACTGCATCCTCGACCTCCATGGCTCAATCAACCCTTTCACCTCAGCCTGCCGAGTAGCTGGGAATACAGGGGCATACCACTAGACCTGGTTAATCTCTGTATTTTATTTTATTTTATTTTTTGTATAGACATGATGTTGTTGTCAAGGTTGGTCTCAAACTCCTGGGCTCAAGCAATCCACCCGCCTCAGCGTCCCAAAGTGCTGGGATTACAGGCAAGAGCTACCACACCCGGCCAGCATAATTAAAATTTAAGATAATGTACATGAAAATAAAATCTTCATCTTAACTTTGGTTTTCTATATAGAATAATTTTTTGTTTTTCTATTTTTTTCTCCAGTGATCATATAATACTTGGGTAGTAAAATTTGTTTAAAAGGTCCTGTGGAGTCATGATGAGATAAGTAAGCAACAATAAGGAAGGGGCCTCAAGTAGGGGAGAACAATTGTTCGGAGAGACAGCTAATCACAAACAACCTGCTGCACAAAATCCTGTTCCAAAATACCTCCTTCCACACATAGCCTCTCCAGCATGACCTTGTAAAAGTTCCCTCCAGGCCCTGCCTCTTTGCAGACAGCCACTTCTCTGCTGTGCTTCCCCTTGCGCCCTTGCAACATAACTTTGTGCTTTCTCTAATAAATCTGCCTTTCTTTAACTACAACTGTCTTGGTAGATTCCCTTATCACCTGCAATGCTGGCCCCAGCCAGTCACACCTGTGACAGTGCTAAAATTGTAGCTTCTTTTTTTAATACCCCTGGATTTGTTTTCTAGGGTCATTCTCCCACCTGCCAGTAGTCCACTATTACCATCTCTAGGATGATACTCCATTGCCCTAGGTCTCACTTCTTTCTGCCAATCAAAATCTGCTGCTTGAAAAGGATCTGTTAAACTTGTTTTTAGTCCAGGTGTCTAGAGCCTATTAAGCTGAGAAAGCAAATAGAATCTTGGGACCCCAAACTTACCATCCTAAAGAGAAAGTTAAGCTTGGGAACTAAATCACACAATATTGGTTTCCTTTTGTTCTCAAACAGGTATTAGCAATTTCCCAACCCTGTGTCATATTCTCATCCATAAGCCAAGTTCTCATGATGATCAAAGGCCATATATCACCCCAGATATATGCTTCACAAATTGCTCACAAGGAAATTCCTTGTGAGCCTCTAAATGTTTCGGGATACATATCCCCCTTATAAACTAGCTCTAAATCTGAGTTCTGTTGAATTTCACCCTGACAATGTCAATTATCAGCTTATCTTCACAAAGGACAAAGACAAGATCAGAAATCATCCCTTCACCTACCCTTCAGATATAAAACTTAGTTTTCCTTCTATTCCCTCTTTTCACACGTTTTCTTTACCTTATGTAAAATGTAGATTTACTGAGCATGAGACAATGCATACTTGACTTTTTCCTTTACCTTTTTATAAATAAAATGTACACTTTCAGAGGCTGATCAGGGCCTCACAAGAATGTAAACATCTGCCTCAGTCACTTTTTGGTTAACACGGCAAATTTGGTAGGAGCATTTGGGTATTTTTGTCCTAGGGGCAGGTTAAAGAATGGTCTTATTAGAATTGTCTGAAGATGAATAACAGGGAGAAGACAAAATCATAACACGGCAGCAAGAGAGTGAATCAAACTTAAGAAAATGTAAAAGCTTAATAGAAATAACAAAGGCAGCCAACTGTTAGGAGAAACAGCCTGCAGCAAGGGTCAAATCAAGGAGGTCACGGCTTATGGATGAAATGTGTGTGACAAGGAGTCTCTTTTCTGTGGCTCCATGCACAAAATGGAAGGCAAGCACAACAGCTTCTAGGAGCATATTTTGCTGGATAATAGGTGGGAATGATTGAGACTGTATTGAGAAAACATCTTGAAATAAATCAAAGTGCTTTTTCTTTTGCATTTCCTCATCCAAAACCTTCCCTTTATTCATCCAGAGGCATCCATTGCTGGGGGGAAGAATGGTATAATTGTAATATAAACGCAAAGAGAGTTGATGCTCAGATTTTGAGTTCCAAGAAAGGTTCTTGATGCCCACTTCAGAGGCAAAAATGTATAAAAGCTGAAGGTTGAAGCTTTTTATTTTAAAGGGAAAGATAGGTTTTAGTAAATCAAAAGGCAAAGCCCTAAAGGAGCTAAGCACAAAATATATCCACCAACGAAAGGTGGGAAAAAGAATAGAGGTGGCATCAGTTTCCTATAATAAGGAGGACTAGGTTATTGAGGATCTCTCTCCTGCTAAAAGCATATAAAAATGTTATATAAATTTAAATGTTTAAAATATATAGCCAAATTAGAAAAAAAAGAAAGAAAAGAAAGTTCACTTTTCAGCATTCAGAAACAAAGAGGAAACTTAAAATCAGATGGGTGTCAAAGACAAAATGCACCAGACAATGAAGAAGAAGATTTTATTGAGGTATTGCAATAGAGAGAATGTTGACTAATAAGGAACATCTTAAGGAAAAGGAAGGGAACTGGGGAATTTATAGAGGCAGTAAACAAAGGAGTCATTGCCAAGTGACTTTATTTTGTGTTGCTGTAACAGAATACCTGAGAATGGTAATTTAAAAAGAACAGAAATTTATTCTCTCATAGTTCTGGAGACTGGGAAGTCCAAAAGCAAGGCACTGGCACTGGTGTGGCCTTCTTACTGCATCCTCACATAGTGGAAGGCAGACGAGCAAGAGAGGACAAAAGATGTGTCCTCACATGGCAGGATAGCAAGAGAGAGCCCACTCCCATATGCCCTTTGTATAGCAGCATTATTCTATTCATGAGGACAGAGCTCTCATTATCTAAACACTTCCCATGAAGCCCCACCTCCCAACACTGTTGCATTAGAGATGAAGTTTTCAACACATAAATACTGGGGGACATATTCAGACCATAGCTCTGAGTCTTATGGTGGTCATGAAGAAGGCTGGAGCCTGGTCTTATGTAAGTCATTGGGGAAAGATGGAGGTGGGCCTTCTCCTGAAAAATGCCAGCACCTGCTAGCTTTTCAATGTTAGCTGGTTAGGGTTAGCCTTTTTCTCTTGTATGACCAAGGGGTGAGGAATTTTTTAACTATCGTTGTTTTCTGGGAGCACAGGGCTGAAGTAGAGTTCAGTATTGTCACTACCACCTTTCTGAACAACTCAGAAGTAATCATAAACCTGATTGGCTGAAGTAAAGTCTAAGAAATAGTCTCTGATTATTGGTGTTGTTCCTGCAAATCAGCTGAAACAGCTGTTGAGAGGTAGTCGCAAAGGTCAGTTGTTTCAGGGTCCTGGCCACAAGGTATTTTAAAACATGCCTCAAATGGAAAGAAGAAATATTAATATAAAAGGTTTTCTTAAATAAAGAGCCAGGAGTTGAACCCTGAGAGGAACCTGTCCAATGGATTTCAAGAAGTCAATGGTAGAAAATCTTTCAGTTCTGCAGCACCACCCGCTGAGTTTCTTGAAGCTCTCAAGCTAGGATGGCCATGCTCTTGGTGATTATGTACAGTCTTAGTTACCTCTTTTATAAGAGCATTGAAGGAAACCAAGATATTTCATCCTGAAATATACTTCTTTATGTATTTTGAGATGGCTGTTCAGAGTGCTTGCAAACAAGAGTAGCCTTGCAAAGCTGTCTTTTGTGGAGGTGATTTGCATCTGTAGAGAATCTGCATTGATACAGCCAGGCTTTCTCTGAGGCCCTCCCTTGTCCAATTTGGGAAAGCTTAACTGAGGGTCTGACACCTTTAAAGATTTGAAAGAAACATTTACCATCTATTCTCTCTGCGGGTGACGACCTATTAGATTTTGTCTATGTAACAAGATGACCTTTGCTAGCCAGGCCTTTTCTTGTCTCCCTCCCATAACCTGTCCTGCCACATAACCTGCTTTACCACCATAGCCTATTTTTGGCCATGCTCCAAGCCCTCATTCTTTCTGTAACCTCAAGATGGTTTATAAGCTTCCGAACACCATTTGGGGGTTGGGGTAATCACTCTGTAGTTCTCCGCACAATGCACGTGAATAAATCTGCATACCTTCTCTCCTATGAATCTGCCTCATGTCAATTGATTTTCAGTGAACCTTCAGAGTGCAAAGTGAAAGTTTGTCCTTGGCGCCTGAAGTATGCAGGACCCAACCATTTCAACAGACTTTCTTCACAGCCAAGACAGTGGCTTGTTAAGGGATACTTGTGACTCACGCATGGTCTGCTTTAGTGGTGAGGTTTGCATCAAGTCCTCGGGCTTCAGCTCACAGGGATTCTTCAGATCCTGGAGAAAAGAGCTGGCTGGATGCAAGGCAACTTAGAGTCTCAGGAGGAATCCGGGCGGCCAGATTTTAGTCCCTGTCCCCAGTGATGCTGAGTCAAAACAGAGAAATTGGAAATGTTGGGAGAATGGCACATAATCAGATATTCATATCAGATATTGAAGGAAACAGGAAGAATTGAAAATTTGGTAAGGATTAGCAATTTCAGCAAGGTGATAGGATCCATTCCAATTTTCATGTAGGATAAAAGCTGTTTCTCCACAGTGTGGGAGGGAAGATACATTTTTTTCAACAAAATGACAAGATAGTTTACTTATCTGTCAGTTACTACAATTTCAAAAAAGGTGCAAAATAGCTCAAAGACAATGAATAGTGCCAGAATTTAACCATCTGCAAGATTATGCTATAGACAATGCTATAGACAAAAACTATTCATTGAAATACGAAATTTCTCTCTACAGTCACACCCCTTTTGCTCAAAAATAATGTGAAGAAAAAGTATTATTCTTGATCACAAAATAAGAATGCTCTAATTTTATTTGGCTTCATTACTTACATAGAGGCAGCAAGAATGGTAATTTACCACATAGGTCTTCTTAAGTTTGCTTTGCTGGAAGTTTTCATAAAGGAATATCAGATTAGAATTTCAAAAGCACCAAAAGCCCCTTGATACTAAAAAGTCAAGTCAATATCTCACCATCAGATTTCACCTAGGATATCAAATTCCTCTCTTCATGAAGTCCTCAAAGTATTTTAAGAGTCCTAGGCCTTCCAGGAAGTGACCTTTCTTACTCACATTTAAGTCTGGGAACTCTGTGAGTCAAGTAATAGGCCAATTTTTCCAAGGGCTTTGTAAGCATTGACTCCATAGTGTTCACCTTAGTTCCTTAAAGGTATCTGGTTATATCAGATTAAATGAACACCATTCTCAAATACGATATTCCTGGCAAGATTTTGGTTACAAAACTAACGTCTCCAATTACATCTGCTAACAATAAGGTTGGCTTTATGGAACATATGCAAATCATAATATCGCTATAAAAAAAACAACAAGAGCTTTGAAATTCTGGAGGGATCAAGCAGAGAGAAAAAGATAACATTTAGAAATGTTTCTCTCCCATTTATAAAAGTATAATCTACTTAATTTTTATGAATTATAGTTTATGAGAAAAGGAAGAATTCCTTCTATATCCAGAAAACAGAACATTAAAATATGAACACTATCCCAAGCAAAAATCACAATCAATTTTCATTACTTTATTGATGTATAACTTAATTATTGTTCTGCTTCATCTTGGGTTGGCAGTCTCGTGAACCCACTTGTTTCTCAAGTAAAGTTCTAAAAAACATGACTCAGTCTACCAGTGTGTTCTCAAAGTTGCTTAAGAAGGATGAGCCCCAAAATACCTAACATAGTCCTTTTACATGAGACTCTGAGACAGACCCTCTTTATTGAAGACAAAGCATTCTGGCCTGTAGCTGATTGCAAGTATTTTCAGGAAAGGAACAGAGTAAAATTAAAACTATTTACAGTTAACAACAGACAAAATGGCTATGGTTAACTTATTATTGATAATTTTCAAAAGTGAAACATCTGGTGAATGTTCGTCACAAGAATAATGTAACTGACAAAGTTGTTTGCTTCCATTTCATACAAAAGAAGATAACAAAATCAATCCCAAAGATGAGGCAAAATGTCTGTAAACATAATTGTTAGCGATATTTTCAAAGAAGAGTCGATGTTACATTTAATTCACAAAAATGAATGAATATAATCTTTCACAAAGTAATATATCTTCAGGCATATAATAATCCTGAGATATACTAAGCTTATAGTTTGAACATACCAAGAATATATCAAGAACTTCAAGTCTAGAGTAGGTCCTAAGCATCCATATTGATAAAATTCTGTAGGGAGGTTGGTGAATTCCCAGTTGAAAACTACTGTCCTGGCTAGATTCAAATTAAAGGAGTAAAATTGCAATCCAGTTAACAGTTTAAAAAGCAACTGAATATACTGATAATACTATTATGACTGATAATAGAATATGACTGATAATACTGTATTGTTGTAGATTGACATCAAGGAAAGCAGCACCAGGATTCTGATGAAGAGAAACAGACCATGGACCGAGGGCATTGACAAATCTCCAGGAACGTCTCATGCAACATAGAATTTCTAAAATATTTATATTAATAACATTTTTCATACAACTGTAATCCAGAGAGGGCTAAACCTCTCTCCTGATTTAAAAACTCCATGCAACTCATCAATAATTACATGTCAAATAAACCTAATTATTTCTAGCACTTCTCCTTTTATAACTAGGAAGAATAAATCCTTTGTGATTTTCCAGGTTCCTTCTAGGAAATCTTAAAGATTTTGGTCTTTTAGATGTAAAAGATATTAGTTAGATTTCAATTTTGAAAATGCAAAATATTGAAATTATCAGGAAATTTAAACTTGATTAAGATAGGAGCATGGGTTACTGAGAAATGACACTTAGCGACCTATTAATCCAAGGGGCAATAAAAGATTTTGAAAGTAAACATAGGAGATAACATGATTGTAAAGAATCTTAACTTTTTTATACGTATTTTTTTTGTTTTTTAAAATAATAAAGGACATAATAAATTTAACATAAACCATAGCGGTTATTTTGGCAAGATACAGAATCTTTGGTATCTAGGCAGATTACAAAAGGGATAAAGAATAATCTTTTACAACCTCTTAGTAAGAACAGAACACTATGCTAGTGGAAAAGTTTGCTGAAAAAGAGAGAAAAACAAATTCTAATATTGTATCAATATAATATTTGATATCAAAGCTCTTTTTAAAAATCTTATAAATAAACCATCGAACCTTACCTTTGACCACAACAAAATTATCTTTCCATTAACTTTCTGTTATTTTCCTATAGCCATATACATCTTTTATAGAACAACTTCTCAGAATGGCAAAATAAATACTTTTAATAACAGATTAAAATATATACAGCCTATTTATACCATATAAAAATAAGAGGCAGAAAGTATAAGCTTAAAATTCCATTTAAGAATTAATGTTTCCATATTCTGTCTTACTCAGAAATAATCTACGTATCTAATGAATATCCATTAATTAGCTCAATTTAGTTTCAGTCCAAGATTTTAAATTACCTAAAGAGCTTGGAAATTATCTTCAAGGTATATACTATAAAACCTAATTACTCTTGAAATAAAGTTTGTCAGAATAATGATTCAATTTGATAAACACTAGTTTACATTTTGCATAATTTATACATTAAGTAGAAGTGATGCTAGCTTATTTGACCAGTAAACATGTGTACTTTTAAGAAAAGCATAAGAAGTAGAATAAAGTCTATGTGTATACTATATTTAACACAAATCAGAGGAGATACGATGTTTGAAAAATTAAATCAAAATATTAAACTGGTTTATTTGACAAACTTTCTGAAAGTTATGAGAACTTCTTAAAACATTTGTGTTAGTTTCTATAAAAAATTTTGTAGCACATTTTACTAGAAATTTAATTTCCTTAATATCTGGGAATTTTAGGGGTATTCAATTTATATAAGCACTTAATCTCTAAACCAATTAGCACTGAGTTCCTTTAAGAGATGCTAAATCTAATTTATTAATGCCATCCAGATAAGGAAAAATATTACACACACAATGAGAGAGGCAGAGGAACTTCTGAACACGTCATATCAACATGCAGACAGACGCAAATAGAGTGCATACAGCTTCAATTCTAAAATTTTAGCCTTGGATCAAGAAAAAACACTAATTCATAAAACTCATCATTTCATGGCTTTTATCAAAAAGACAAGGTATAATGGATGCTGGTGAGGATGTGGAGAGAGGGGAACACTTGTACACTGTTGATGGGAATGTAAATTAGTACAGCCCCTATGGAAAACTGTATAGAGTTTCCTTAAAAACTCAGAATAGAACTATCATATGATCCAGCAATTCCACTACTGGTTATATATCCAAAGAAAGAAAATCAATATATGAAAGAGATATGTGCACGCCCATGTTTATTGCAGCACTATTCACAATAGTCAAAATATGGAATCAGTCAAAGGGTCTATTAACAGATGAATGGATAAACAAAATGTGGTATATACACACAATGGAATATTATTCAGCCATAAAAAGGAATGAAAACCTGTCATTTGCAGCAACATGGATGGAGATCATTATGGAGGTTATTACGTTAAGTGAAATAAGCCAAAGCTAAGTATCACATGTTCTCACCTATTTGGGGGAGCTAAAAAGTGGATCTGCTGAAGATAGAAAGTATACTGGCATTTACCAAAGGCTGGGAAGGGTATAGGGGAAGGGAAAAAGAGATTGATGAGTTGGTAAATACACAGTTTAATAAAAGAATTATGACCTAGTTTTTCTTTGTGTTTTTTTGTTTGGTTGTTTGTTGTTGTTATTGTTGTTGTTTTGTTTGTCTGTTTGTTTTGAGACAGAGTTTTGCTCTGTTGCCCAGGCTGGTGTGCAGTGGCAGTGGCATGATCTCAGCTCACTGAGATCAACCTCCACATACTGGGTTTAAGCGATTCTCCTGCCTCAGCCTCCCAAGTAACTGAGATTACAGACACGTGCCACCACACCCAGCTAATTTTCGCATTTTTAGTAAAGATGGGGTTTCACCATGTTGGCTAGGCTGGTCTGAATCTCCTAGCTTCAAGTGATCCACCCACCTCAGTCTCTCAAATTACTGGGATTACAGGCGTGAGCCACCATCCCTGGCCTAAGACCTAGTTTTTGATAGATAAGTAGGGTGACTCTAGTTTACAATGATCTATTGTATATTTCAAAGTAGCTAGAAGAGAATAATTAAAATGCTTCTAAACACAAACAAAAGACAAATATTTGAGGTGAAAGATATGCCAGTTACACTGATTTGATCTTTACAAATTATATGAATGTATTAAATTATCACTTGTAGCTTGAAAATATGTGATTATATATCAATAAAAAGTCACCATTTCATATTAAAAACCTCTTCTTTATAAATGGGTATGAATTCTTAATTGATTTGAGTTCAAAGTAGACAAACAAAAGAGATTAACACTCTTCTGTTAATATTTTGTTGTCCTTTACTCAATAAAAACAAGATCTCTATAAACCATCAATCCATTTATAGAAATCACCAAAAGGTCAGACCATCAAATCAGAAGGAGCAGCACCAGAAATCAAGTGCATACTCAAATATAATCAAAATCAATCTTTATCATGCTACCAATGGACAGTAACCCAGAACACAGGACAAGAAATCACGCACACCATTGGTTACCAGATCACCAGTCAGGAACAGTGCACAAAGCTCACTGAGGGGCCCAATTATGGGGATGGAATTAACAGGGATCTGAAGGTGAGGTTCAATCCCTTCTGAGTCACAGCACCAAAGTATTACAGACAAAATTCACCAGGCAGTTAAGGAGAAGGTTTTATTCAGGCTATTGCAATTGAGAGAGCATTCACTAGTGAGGGACATATAGAAGAAAATAAAGGGGACATAGGAAGAGGCAAGTTAACAAGGGAATCATCCACAAGTCTTATAAGAATCAAGAGGGAAGATGAAGAAGGGTTTATCTGAGTCATTGGAAAAGGTAGAGGTGAGTCTCATCTTGAAATATGGGAAAGCTGAAAATATGGGATGTCCTTCATGGATACTCATTTCTCAGAAAATAAAAGGATGGGGATTTGTTAATCATTGCTATTTTCTCAGAGCACAAGGCTCAGGTGAAGTTCAACATAATCAGAGGTAAGCTTGTGAGCTGTAACTACAGGTCAAATCTCAATTTAAGTTGTTATTGGTTGGGACTAGGTTTTTAATGCTTATTGTAGAGAAAGCAACATGACTTGCATAAGATAGGGGCTGGAATTAAAAGTCAATTGAGAGACCACTGTAGGTGGCTTCTTTCTCAGTGAAATGAGGACTGAAAAATCTCCATGCACCATTCCAGGGAAACAATAAGTAAGCTCGTCTATGTTTGAAGCTGTGAGAGACAAAGATCTCCTATGAGTAGTCAGAACTCATTAGTTAAGTATCTAGATGGAGTCTCAACCTATACTAACTGTGTGGCATGTGAATCTCCAAGCTATTAATAAAAGAGTAACATAAAATCTGGACCAGGACACAAACAAAACCCTGCAGAACCTAGTGAAACAAATTCAAACTTAAACAAACAAACAACAGCAACAACAAAAACACTCTACTGAAGAAGAGCTGGCAACATTTTTTAACACAAGAGAAAACTGTTTACCATGAAAGACAGAATTAGCAAACATAAGACTTTGATATAATAGAAAAATGGGGGAAGACTATAGAATATGTATGCTTTAAATTATTTAAAAGCTAAATGAAGGAACATAAGTTATACTAAAATAATAGGCTATTGCAAAACATTAGAAATTTTATTTATTTATTTATTTATTTATTTTGAGATGCAGTCTCTCTCTGTCACCCAGGCTGGAGTACAGTGGCGTGATCTTGGTTCACTGCAAGCTCCACCTCCCAGGTTCACACCATTCTTGTGCCTCAGCCTCCCAAGCAGCTGGGATTACAGGTGCCTGCTACCACGCCCAGCTAATTTTTTTGTATTTTTAGTAAAGACAGCGTTTCACCATGTTAGCCAGGATAGTCTTAATCTCCTGACCTTGTGACCTGCCTGCGGCCTCCCAAAGTGCTGGGATTATAGGCATGAGCCACCACTGTGCCTGGCCAAAATTAGAAATTTTAAAAAACTTCTAAAAATAATAAAAAGTAATTGAATACTTAAAATTTTCATACTTAAAACACAGATTAAGAAATAAATTAGTGTACTAGAAGATAGATTTGAAGAAATACCCACACTGCACCACAAAAAATTGTTTTAATATAATAAAGCTAGACAGCAATTATGCATAAAACATAAAATTCACAAAAGAGAAAATTTGAATGGGAAGTATATATAAGAAAAGATGCTTGACCTACTAGTAATCAGAAAAATAAAAATAAAAATAAGATAGCATAGATACCTATCTGATTAGAAAGTTAATATACATTATAACTTAAAATTTTAGTGAGAACATGGAAGAATAGGAACTCTAAACATGGCTGGTTAGGGTATAAACCAATACAATTTTAGCAAACAATTTTAATTTGGCAACATCTAATTAGTTATGCAATTAGGAATTTATTATCATCTGGCAATTTGACACCTAATAAGTATTTTAGAGAAATTTTGTCACGTGTATACAAGGATATTTGTTGAAATGTGTTTGAATAGCAAAAAGAAGAAAAAACTCAGTGACCTCTTTTTAAATGTATGGGAATAGGATAAATCAGTTGTAGCATATTTTACTCTGTTTTCACCATGTGCTGTTCACCAATAACTTCCAGCTCTCTACTTTCCAGGAATATACTAGAATTGTAATTCTCTATCCACTTGATATTTTGTGTGACCTTATGACTTGCTTTTGTCCAGAGAAAGGAAAACAGAAGTTCCAGTTTGAAATTTTAAAGTCAGCTCAGAATTCGCCATATTCCCTTTCTACTATCAAAGGCCATGGAAACATGTAACAAAATGAAGCCCACATTAACCTATGTTCTTGAAAGACTACAATGAGCAAAGCCATCGTGTTGATTAATAGTGGACATATCCATGTAGCATGATTGAATCATAACATTTGTTGGTTATTTTTTATCTAAGTAATGTTTGATTCTCAAAGATGCACTTGAGAAGCTAGGCAGAGATTTCTGAAAGACTGTTAGCTCTATCAGTACAAAAGCCTAAGTTTAATGACCACAAAGGATGGAGATCCTGAACAAATTCAGGAAATGCTGAGAACCTCAGTAAGATACTTCACAAGAAGATCATACCCAAGACACATAATCATCAGATTCTCCAAAGTCAAAATGAAAGAAGAAATGCTAAAGGCAGCTAGTGAGAAAGGTTAGATCACCCACAAAGGGAAGTCCATCAGACTGACAGTGGACTTCTCAGCAGAAACCTTACAAGCCAGAAGAGATTGGGGACCAATATTCAACATTCTTATAGAAAAAAATTCCAACGCAGGATTTTATATCTGGCCAAACTAAGCTTCAAAAGTGAAGGAAAAATAAGAATCTATTCAGACAAGGAAATGCTGAAGGAATTCACTACCACCTGACTTGCCTTACAAAAGCTCCTGAAGGAAGCACTAAATATGGAAAGGAAAGACTCTTACCAGCCACTATAAAAACACACTGAAGTACACAGATCAGTGACACTATAAAGCAACCACACAAACAAATCTGCATAATAACTAGCAAATATCATGATTACATGATCAAATCCATATATGTCAATACTAACCATGAGTATAAATGGACTAAACGCCCCAATTATAAGGTAGTGTGGCAGGCTGGATAAAGAACGAAGACTGATTGGTATGCTGTCTTCAAGAGACTGATCTCACATGCAATAACACCAAGAGGTTCAATACAGAGATGGAGAAAAATCTAGCAAGCAAATAGAAAACATAAAAAAGCTGGGGTTACAATCCTAATTTCAGATAGAACACACTTTAAAACAACAAAGATTTTAAAACAAATAAGGACATTACATAATGGTAAAAGGTTCATTTCAACAAGAAGACCTAACTGTCCTAAATACATATATGCACCCAACACAGGAGCACCCAGATTCATAAAGCAAGTCCTTAGAGACCTTCAAAGAGACTTAGACTCTCATACAATAATAGCAGTGACAGCATTAGATCATCAAGGCAGAAAATAAAGATATTCAGAATCTGAACTCAGCACTGGATCAAATGGACCTAATAGACATCTACAGAATTCTCCACCCAAAAGCAACAGAATGTACTTTCTTCTCGTCACTACATGGCACATACTCTAAAATCAACCACATAATCAGACACAAAACACTCCTCAGCAAATGCAAAAGAACTGAAATTATAGCAACCACTCTCTCAGACCACAGCAAAATCAAATTAGAAATCAAGACTAAGAAATGTGTTCAAAACCATACAATTACATGGAAATTAAATAACCTGATCCTGAATGACTTTTGTGTAAATAGTGAAATTAAGGCAGAATTCAAGAAGTTATTTGAAACTAATGAGAACAAAGATACAACATACCAGAATATCTGGGACAGAGCTAAGGCACTGTTAAGAAAGAAATTTATAGTACTAGATGCTCACATCTAAAAGTTTGAAAGATCTCAATTTAACAACCTAACATCACAGCTGAAAGAATTAGAGAACTAAGAGCAAACCAACCCCAAAGCTAGCAGAAGACAAAAAATAACCAAAATCCGAGGTGAACTGAAAAAGATTGAAACACTAGAAACCATTCAAAAGATCAACAAATCCAGGAGTTGCTCCTTTGAAAAATTAATAAAATAAATAAACTGCTAATTAGACTAATAAAGAAGAAAAGAGAGAAGATCCAACTAAACACAATTAGAAATGACAATAGTAACCGGCAAATAATATTTGCTGACCCCACTGACCCAAAAAAAATTACAAATAACTGTCAGAGACTATTATGAACACTTCTATGCACATAAACTAGAAAATATAGAAGAAGTGGGCAAAGTCCTAGACACATATGCCCTCCCAAGACTGAACTAGGAAGAAATTGAATTCCTGAACAGACCAACAATAAGCTCTGAAATGGAATCTGTAATAAATAGCCTACCAACCAAAAAAAGCCTAGGACCAAATGGATTTATAGCTGAACTCTACCAGATGTACAAAAAACAACCTGGTACCATTCCTACTGGAACTATTCCAAAAAATTGAGGAGGAAGAACTCTTCCCTAACCCATTCTATGAGGGCAGCATCATTCTGACCATAAAACCTGGCAGAGACACAACAAAAACAGGCCAATATCCTTGATGAATATTGATGCAAACATCCTCAACCAAATACTGGCAAACTAAATCCAGCATTACATCAAAAGCTAATCCACCATGGTCTTTATTCATGGGATGCAAGTTTGGTTCAACATACGTAAATCAATAAGTACGATGCATCACATAAACAAAACTAAAGACAAAAACCACATTATTATATCAATACATGCAGAAAATACTTTTGATAAATTTCAATGCCTCTTTATATTAAAAACTCTCAATAAACTAGGTATCAAAGGAACATACCTCAAAATAATAAGAGCTGTCTATGACAAACCCACAGCCAACAATATAATGAAGGGGCAAAAGCTAGAAGCAATCGCCTTGAAAACCAGCACAAGACAAGGATGTCCTCTTTCACTACTCCTATTCGATAGAGTATTGGAAGTCCTAGCCAGGGCAATCAAGCAAGAGGATGAAATAAAGGGCATTCAAATAGAAAGAGAGAAAGTCAACTACCCCTGTTTGCAGATGATATAATCCTATATCTAGAAAACCTTATAGTCTCAGCCCAAAAGCTCCTTAAGCTGATAAACAACTTCAGCAAAGTCTCAGGATACACAATCAATGTGTAAAAATTACTAACATTCCTATTTACCAACAGTTAAGCTGAGAGCCAAATCAGGAACACAATCCCATTCACAATTGTCAAAAAACAAACAAACAAACAAAAAAACTATAAATACAGTTAACTGAGGAGGTGAAAGATTTTTACAAAAAGAACTACAAAACACTGCTTAAAGAAGTCAAAGATAACACAAACAAATGGAAAAACATTCTATGCTCATGGATAGGAAGAAGAATCAATATTGTTAACATGGCCATACTGTCCAAAACAATTTATAGATTCAGTTCTGTTCCTATTAAACTACCATTGACAGTCTTTGCAGACTAGAAACAACCATTTTAAAATTTGTATGGAACCAAAAAGAGCCCAAAGAGCCAAGGCAATTCTAAGCAAAAAGAACAAAGCTGAAGGCATCATTGTACTTGACTTCAAATTATACTACAGGGCTACAGTAATCAAAACAGCGTGGTACTAATACAAAAACAGACACATAGACCAATGGAACAGAAGAGAAAACCAAGAAGTAAGTCTACACACCTACAGCTATCTGACTTTCAACAAACCTGACAAAAACAAGCAATGGGAAAATTATTCCCTATTCAATAAATGGTTCTGGGATAACTGGCTAGCCATATGCAGAAGATTGAAACTGGGCCCCTTCCTTACATCATATACAAAACTCAAGATGGATTAAAAACTTAAATGTAAAACCCAAAACTTTAAAAACTTTGGAAGACAACCTAGGCAATATCACTCTGGATGTAGGAACAGGCAAAAATTTCATGATGAAGATGCCAAAAGCAATAGCAACAAAAGCAAAGATTGAGAAGTGGGATCTAATTAAACTAAAAAGCTTCTGCACAGCAATAGAAACTATCATCGGAGTAAACAGACAACCTACAGAATGGGAGAAAATATTTGCAAACTATGCATCTAACAAAGGCCTAATATCTAACACCCGTAAAGAACTTAAATAAACAAAACTTAAACAAAAGAGAAAAGAAAAACAACCGCATTAACAAGTGGGCAAAGAACATGAATAGATACTTTTCAAAAGAAGACATACGTGCCACCAACAATCATATGACAAAAGCTCATCTCTGATCATTAGAGAAATGCAAATCAAAACCACAATGAGATACCATCTCACACCAGTCAGAATGGCTGGTATTAAAAAGTCAAAAAATAACAGATGCTGGCAAGGTTGCAGAGAAAAAAGAAACACTTATACACTGTTAATGGGACTGTAAATTAGTTCAATCATTGTGGAAAGCAGTGTGTCAATCTCTCAGAGACCTAAAGACCGAAATACTGTTCCATCCTGCAATCCCATTACTGGGTACATATCCAGAGGAAAATAAATTTTTCTATTATAAAGACACATGCACACGTATGTTCATTGCAGCACTATTTACAATAGCAAAAACTTGGAATCAACCTAACTGCCCATCAATGGAAGACTGGGTGAAAAAATGTGGTACATATACACTGTATTAGTCCATTCTATGCTACTTATAAATACATACCTGAGACTGAGTAATTTATAAAGCAAAGAGGTTTAATTGGCTCACAGTTCAGCATGGCTCAGGAGACATCAGGAAATTTACCATCATGGTGGAAGGCAAAGGGGAAGCAAGGCACCTTCTTTACAAAGTGGCAGGAAGGAGAAGTGCAAGAAGGAGAAATGCAGATGTTTATCATACCATCAGATCTCATGAGACTCACTCATTATCATGAGAACAGCATGGGGGAAACCATCTCCATGATTCAGTTACCTCCACCTCATTCTGCCTTTGACATGTGAGGATTATTACATTTCAAGGTGAGATTTGGGTGGGGACCCAGAGCCAAACCATATCATTCTACCCCTGTCTCCTCCCACATCTCATGTCCTCACATTTCAAAACACAATCATGCCCTTCCAACAGTCCCCCAAAGACTTAACTCATTTCAGAATTAACCCAAAAGTCCAAGTCCAAAGTCTCATCTGAGACAAGGCAAGTCCCTTCTGCCTATGAACCTGTAAAATCAAAAGCAAGTTAGTTACTTCCTAGATACAATGAGGGTGCAGACATTGGGTAAATACACCCATTCCAAATGGGAGAAATTGGCCAAAACAAAGAGGCTACAGGCCCAATGCAAGTTTTAAATCCAATAGGACAATCATTAAAACTTAAAGTTCAAAAATGATCTCCTTTGACTCCATGTTTCACATCCAGGTCATGGTGATGCAAGGAGTGGGCTCCCATGGCCTTGGGCAGATCTACCCCTGTGGCTTTGCAGGTACAGCCTCTCTCCCAGCTGCTTTCATGGGCTGGCATTGAGTGACTAGAGCTTTTCCAGGCACATGATGCAAACTGTTGGTGGATCTACCATTCTGGGGACTAGAGGACAGTGGCCCTCTTCTCACAGCTCCACTAGGCAGTGCCCCAGTGGGTGCTCTGAATGGGGGCTCCAACCCCACACTTCCCCTCCACACTGTCCTAGCAGAGGATCTCCATGAGGGTCCCACTCCTGCAGCAAACATCTGCCTGGATAGCCAGGCATTTCCATACATCCTCTAAAATCTAGACAGAGGTTCCCAAACCTCAATTCCTGACTTCTGTGCATCTGCAGGCCCAACACTACATGTAAGCTACCAAGTCTTAGGGCTTGCATCCTCTGAAGCAATGGCCTGAGCTGTATGTTGGTCCCTTTTAGCCATGGCTAGCATGCAGGGCACCAAGTCCCAAGACAGCACAAGGCGGCAAGGCCCTGGGCCTGGTCCATAAAACCATTTTTTCCTCCTAGGTCTCTGGGCCTGTGATGAGAGGGCCTGCCATGAAGACCTCTGACATGCCCTGGAGACATTTCCCCATTATCTTGGCTATTGACATTTGGCTCCTCGTTACTTATGCAAGTTTCTGGAGCTGCTTGAATTTCTCCTTAGAAAATGGGTTTTTCTTTTTCTATTGCATTGTCCAGGCTGCAAATTTTCCAAACTTTTATGCTTTGCTTCCCTTTTAAACATAAGTTCCAATTCCAAACCATCTCTTTGTGGATGCATAAAACTGAATGCTTTTAAGAACATCCAAGTCACCTCTTGAATGCTTTGCTGCTTAGAAATTTCTTTGGCCAGGAACTCTAAATCATCTCTTTCAAGTTCAAAGTTCCACAGATCTCTAGGGCAGAGGCAAAATGTAATCAGTCTCTTTGCTAAAGCATAGCAAGAGTCACCCTTATTCCAATTCCCAGTAAGTTCCTCATCTCCATCTAAGACCACCTCAGCCTGGACTTCACTGTCCATATCACTCTCAGCATTTTAGTCAAAGCTATTCAATAAATCCCTAGAAAGTTCCAAACTTTCCCATATCTTCCTATCTTCTTCTAGCCCTCCAAACTCTTCCAACCTCTACCTGTTAACTAGTTCTAAAGTCACTTCCACATTTTCAGGTATCTTTATAGCAGCACCTCCCCCCACCTCGGTACCAATTTACTGCATTAGTCCACTCTCACACTGCTAATAAAGACATACCTGAAACTGCGTAATTTTTAAAGGAAAGAGGTGTAATTGACTCATAGTTCAGCATGGGTGTAATCGACTCATAGTTCACCATTCTCACGCTGCTAATAAAGACATACCTAAGACTGCATAATTTTTAAAGGAAAGAGGTATAGTTGACTCACAGTTCAGCATAGGCCTCAGGAAATTTACCATCATGGTAGAAGGGGAAGCAAGGCATCTTCTTCACAAAGTGGCAGGAAGGAGAAGTGCAAGCAGGGGAAATGCCAGATGCTTATAAAACCATTAGATCATATGAAACTCACTCATTGTTATGAGAACAGCAAGGGGGATCCACCCCCTAATTCAATTACCTCCACTTGGTCCCACGTTTGACACATGGGTGTTATTACAATTTAAGGTGAGATTTTGGTGGGGACACACAGCCAAATTATATCATACACTATGGAATACTATGCATTCATTCTCAATGAGGTCCTGTCCACTGCAGGAACATGGATGGAGTTGGAGGCTATTATCCTTAGCAAACTAACACAGGAACAGAAAACCAAACACCACATGTTCTCACTTATGAGTGGGAGCTAAATGATGAGAACACATGGACACATAGAGGGAAACAACACACATCAGGGCCCATCAGATGGTGGAGGGTGAAAAGACAAAGAAGATCGGGACGAATAACTAACAAGTACTAGGCTTAATATCAGGGTGATGAAATAATTTGTACAACAAATCCCTATAACACAAGTTTACCTATATAACACACCTGCACATGTACCCCTGAACTGAAAATAAAAGTTAAATAATTTTTTTTAAAAAATCAAATACTAAGAATAGATCCAAAGCCTTAACTTCTAGGTAGGAATTATAAGAGGGTGCTGAAGCAACTATGCACAGAGACAGACACTAATAGTCACATAAAATCATTATAAAGAAAGTGTACAGAGAATGACTAAATGTTTCCTCTCATTATCTCATCTACAGTTAGAGTAGTACTATTGACATTTGAGACTCAGTAATGCTTTGTTGTGGAGCATGATAAAATTAGCAGCGTCCCTTCCCTGGGCTCTACCCATGAGATGCCAACAGCAGCAGCCCCTTATTATGACAATAAAAATTGTCTTCAGATATAGCTTGAGAATACCCAGAGTGGAGAGCTCACAGAAGCCACCCATCTAGTGGGTTGGTGGATGATATTGTCAAAGTGAAGGAAGAGAAGAGGAAGAAAGGAGAAGCTGGAGCAGAATCCCGACAGTGATAAAATCCAGGCAAAATTATTCCCAGTTGAGAAGCACTGATTAGAGGAAAGCTCCAAGAGAATTAAGGAAGAATCCCAGGAAGTGATGACTAAATATGTTTAAAGACTGTGAAAAGGAAAATGAAAAATAAACATTTTTGACAGTTTACTTAACCTACCACAAACTACAGCCTTACCTGGAGGAAAGATGATAACAAATTAAAATCCCTTTAAGCCCTAGCTGGGTTAAGGGATGGTGTTGCCAATGAAAGGTATCCATCCATGTAAATCTGGTAGGGCTAACACTGTAAGTGTTCTTAACAGTTAAAGAATATTCCAGATTAAAGAAAGAGCAAATCAGAAGAAGGTAATAACCTTAGAAATAAAGCTTCATTAAGACTAATTATAATAAAGATTTTCTTCTCGGAAATGACCTTTTCGATGACAGGCCAATTTGGATTACCTAATTATCATATTTACTGTGAAATTTTCAAATGAAAGAATCTGACTTTACAGATGTTGTGGTTTAAACAAAGAAAAGCATCTAACAGACCAAGAGTAACCTTCTGGACTCTTATAGGACACTTCTGTGCTATTATCTGCAAATACTTCTTGTGGACTTTGATTACACTATAAGTTGTATCATCAATTCAGCTCAGTTCAGCTGGTCTCTATCAGGGCCTGGGTGGGATAAAGAGATGCTCAAGGAAGTCTATTTGCCCTCAATGACCTTGCTGTCTGGTAATAGAGACAGGAATACTCTGAAATAAATTATATTAATTTCTGTCCCAATAAAAAATAATTTATTAAGTTACAAACATGGAATAGAAATGAGCTTGGAAAGCCTAGGAAGGAATCACATAATTTCAGCTGACTGTGGTTGAGGAATAGTGATTATTTGGGGTAGATTTGGAACTAGGCCTTAAAATAGGAAAAGTTCAATAGTTACTAATGGAGGATGTACACAAAATGATCTTCTAGGTGGAAGGAACAAAAATGGCAAAAGCCAAGGGGTCAGAGGCATAGGCTGTGAGTGTGGAATGAGGAGTTAATCTTTTAGGACTGGAGCGTGAAGTGTGTGGAAACGTGAGACACGTTGCCAGAAAGCTAGATTGTTGTCAGCTGTGGAGAGCTTTGAATGCCAGAGTAAGGTATACATGATGGTGATTTGAAATTTCTACCTTATTCTTTGGATACTATGTAATTGCTTCCATCTCCAGACATATTGATGACAAATGAAGAGTATATTGTTAGTAAATTAATGTAAATAAGTTTTCAAAAGCATAAATGTGTCTGAGATGACTTAACTGGTAGCAGCTCTAGAATTTATATCATAACCAAGTGGCTTTTCAGTCTTAGCCTTGCTGCTGAATTTACAGGGCAAAGACAATATTTTTACTATAATTGTAAGAATGATGTGGAGTGGCTTTGAGGAAGACACTGGAGTTACTGGAGAGGCTAGAATTTTACGAAAATCCCATTTGGAGAATTTAAAACCTCTGAAAATCTGTTTGGAACTGGGCTTCATTAAATAAGAAGCTAGTAGGTTAAGGATTAAAGAAAAATATATTTGTGCTCTATATCCAAGGATGAAGCAGGGCATTAGGTAACAAAATCCAAAACCTTTATATATGCAGAAAGAAGCAGAAAAGTGCTCCTTGAATGTTATTGACAATCTTCTGGAAAATGCCCATTGAATCAGAGGATCAGAAAACTCAAATACTTTATGTTATCAGATACTGTGCACCTTTTAAATAAGTAAGCATCCTTACGTTATTCACTAAACAATTTATCTTCCCCCAGAAAGTTTCGTCCTGTGGAGTTAGGAATGAAGGTTGCAACATGTCAAATTGATGTCAAACAGAAACTCACAGTTTTATCAGTAAACTTTCCCACTGAGGGGCTCACCTCTGAAAACCCTGTTGTCAAGAGAGTTTGACCTATCCCAAAATAGTCTGAATAATCACTCTTCTAAGAAAACAAAAATGCCTTTGTGAAAGGTGCCATTAAAATATCGTTATGTAGATTTCATTATCATTGTCCTTGCTCTAGCTATTAACAGTGTATTTCTGAGACACTTCATATATGCAAAATCTAGACAGAAGGTTAAGGTCTACTTGAATTATTGAATAGAAAATAGCATGTCATCCTAAGGTCACAGTTTTTAAGTGTCTAAATGAAGCCACTTGATGAATTTTATTTTAATTATGAAAACATCCCTCTATTTTTAAAATTTGTAATTCAAATCCTTCTGTGCCTTCTGCTAAATGATGATTGAAATATTATTCCTTATTGAAGGATATTGAGTGTCCCATATCCACCAATCTTGAAATCTAATTGTATGTATCTTTGTAATACTTTGATTGTAAGTGGCCTTGTATATGAAAGCGTCTACTACAGCATCTACCTTACAGAAGCTAGTAACATTAATTTTACCTTTAAATGAGTGAGAACTGCATTGAAAATCAGTGAAGTAAATCCCAGCCTATCTTTACTAACTACGCAAGAAAATCCTCCTTGGGGCTGCCTATCTGTACTGAGAAAGTAGGTTTACCTTCATTGTGAAGATAATTCTAGGTCATGATTCTTTCTTCCCTCTTTCCAGCCTACTCTTATTCACTCAGTGTGGATATTTGGTTAGTATCCTGTGAAATGCAAAGTGCCTACCTCCAAGAGAAACATTTTGTATTATAAAAATCCAGTAAACTCTGGAGACAAATGGATTTGGGTTGGAATGCTGGCTCTGCTTGAAGGAAGTTATATAACTTCTGAGTTTTTGTTTCCTGGTTTATGCGATGTCTATAATAAGTGTGTACCTTGTTATACATTATTATATTATACAGTGTTGTTCTGAGGTTTGGAGGGAATGAACACATTGATCTGGTCCCTGCTAGGTGCTCAGGCAGTGGTTGCTGCTGCAGTTGTCATTGTTAGGATTTAGCTAGAACTGACCTGTAACACGTCAGCAATGACAGATCTGAACCACATGTTCTCCTCAGGAGCAGCTGAGGGCAACAGAGAAGTAGAGAGCTCTCAGAAGCCACTTTCTACAGGTGAATAGAGCTGTCAGCCTGGAGGCAGGAGAAAGGAAGAAAGGAGAGGCTGGAGCAGAATCCCTGAGCTGACAGGAATGGAAATGTAGGCGTAAGAGGGAACATCAACACCAAGAATGGAATTGGGTCAGGCAGTGGGCAACTGAGAAACACATTTAAAAGAACATTTTTCCTTAGCAGAATCAGAAACTAGAAAATACAGAAACTCAGGAAAGTGGACAATAATACTAACATTTACGTGGGAACCTTTTAAATTACAAAGCCCATTCACATCCCTGAGTTTATAGTGAGATAGACCCATTATGAAGCCCATTTAATAGCCTTCAGTTTCGCTGTTTAGAAACTTGATAACCTTCATATTTTACAAATCACCTCACTATATTTCTAACTACATGTTAGAATAGGGAAGCGTATAATCACCTAAACTTCCACCCTGTGGGAAATGTCTCACAATAAACAGCTCTTGCATATTCTTCTAGAGAGCCTAGAAGTAATAAGCCCCCTCTGCTAAGTAAATCTGCACCATCACCCTGGTCACTCGTCGATGCCTGAGTGATCATGCACCTGAAAGCTGGCTGGCTATCTGCCAGACCAGGGCCACCAGGCAGTGCCAGAGAGGTTAATACAGTGTGCCAAGATGTACTTCCAGAATGCCACAAATTGCTGACTCTTCACTGGTTGCTAAGGGAGAAATAGCCTCTTTTCTGCCAAGCGGGCTTCATCTGGGAAAATTGAGCTCTTGGTCATCCAGGCATTTTAATGGACTCTATGAATCACTGATCAGCCAAGAAAGAATGTGAAAGAGCCCAGGGTCCTAAGTCTGCTGATTGGCTTTTCTAACAAAGACAAATGGAAAGCCAGTCATTCTCAATGAAGCAGGCCGCAAAAGAGATGCTTTCTGCTAATTCCGGCCTCTCCTGTTTCTGTCCCTGGAGGACCATGGAGGTAAAAGCCACCATAAACCACAATTCTTAGCAGACAGCAAAAGAGAGTAGAGGAAACAAGGATGGATTGAATCACTCGGTATCCTTCAAAAAGTCTCAGCCTTGGTTCACAGCAAGAAAGAGATGTGAGATGACTGGGGCCCCCCTTTGCCCCCCTTTTTCACAAGCAACATTGAAATGACTGAGACGTGACACAAATTAGAAACAAAGGATCTTAGTGCTGGAAGGGGAATTAAACGTCATTACTCTACTCGCCCCAAACCATTTTATAAATGGGAAATTTGAGGCTGAGAAAGGCAAAGAAAATTGTCCAAGGTCAGACTGTATATTAAAGGCAGCACTGGAACTAGAACCTGTGACTCCGTATGCTCAGTCCCAGTGTCGTTTGAATATACCATGCCTCTGTGTGGGGTGGGGTGGGCTGGACAAAAAGCAGAAAGCATACCTTTTTATGAAGATCATATGAGGAGTCACTTTACAGAGCTTCTAGATATTGATGCCTTCACAGATATGCAAAGCAGAATGGGGGCTTATATAACAGCATGATTTTCAACCAAACTGTCATATATTGAGGAGTCCCAAAGATGAAAACTTTGTCATTTTCTTGCTTAACTGAGATCAAGTTGGGAATTTAGAAAACATCCAAGTCTTATCCAAGGCATACTGAGGGAACATTTGCTGCCAACCAAAATGAAATAACAGGAACCAGTTTTTCTCCCTCCAGATGAAAATATATATAGAGAGAGAGAGCAAGAGAGAGAGAGAGAGCAAGAGAGAGAGCAATGGTGTTCAAATAAGTGGGAAATGGACATCCGGCAACCAAGGACAGTGATTTCTGAGAAAGAAAAACAAATCAAATGAAGCCTGTGATTGTGCCCAGACTGCAGATTCCAGGCTGCAACACAGGTTGGGGAACCTGGGTGGAGCCTCATAAACTCCCTGGGCTGGGATTCTAGGGAGGCCAATGTGGCTGGAGTATACGAAGCAGAGTACTAAAGTGGAGACAGCTACAGGAAGAAGGACTCTCGAGGTTTTCAGAGAGTGTCCTGAGAGTCTTCACCTGATAGTATTGAACAGTGAAAGTGTGTGAGGAAACAGGTGAATAGATAAGTGATGGTATATCCATACAAAAGCATGCTACTCTGTTATACAAAGAAACAAATTGGGCCAGGCGTGGTGGCTCACACCTGTAATCCCTTCAGGGGGCCAAGACAGACAGATCGCTCGAGCTCAGGAGTTTGAGAACAGCCTGAGTAGCATGGTGAAACCCTGTCACAAAAAAATAAAAATAAAAATTAGCAGGGCGTGGTGACATGCACCTGTGGTCCCAGCTACTTGGGAGGCTGAGGTGGGAGGTCCAGGAGATCAAGACTTTAGTCCAGGAGGTCAAGGCTGCGGTGAGCAGTGATCTCACCACTGCAGTCCAGCCTGGGTGACAGAGCAAGACCTTATCTCAGAAATTAAAACAAAACAAAACAAATGTATTAATATGTGCAGCATCGATAAATCTTAAATAATAATTACGATTAAAAGAAGTCAAACAAGTATTACATAGAGTATGATTCCATTCATGTAAAACTCTAGAGGATGCAAACTAGTCTATAACAGAAATACCAGTGATTGTCTAAGGAGAAGTGGTGGGACAGGTAGTGGCATGAGGAAGAAAGTAGGAAAGGGCACAAGGAAACTTAGAGGATCGGGTGTGTGTTCATTTCCTTGGTCATAATAATTGACTGTGGAGTAGTAATTGATGTATATCTGGCAAAACTTATCACTGGAATCATGCAATGTATACTCTTCAGTGTTGAGCTTCTTTGATGCAACATGTTTCTTAGATTCCCCTGTGTTGTGGGCTGTATCAGCAGTTTATTCCTTTCTGTTGCTGAATAGCATGCCATTGTGTAAATATACCACAATTTTAAAATATTTTTAAAAGTTTTGTGGGTACATAGTAAATGTATATGTTTATGGGATACATGAGATATTTTGATACAGGCATACAATGAATAATAATTACATCAGGGTACATGGGCTATTTATTGCCTCAATAATTTTTTCTTTGTGTAGAAAAAATCCAGTTATACTATTTTAGTTATTTTTAAACGTACAATAAATTGTTGACTGTGGTCACCCTGTTGTACTATCAAATACTATATCTTATTTATTCTATATGACTATATTTTTGTACCCATTAACCATCCCCACTTCCTCCACTCCACAACCCTTCTCAGCCTCTGGTATTCATTCTTCTACTCTCTATCTCTATGAGTTCAATTGTTTTAAATTTTAGCTTTCACAAATAAGTGAGAACATGCAAAGTTTGTCTTTTTGTGCCTGGCTTATGTCACTAACTTACTGACCTCCAGTTTCATCCATGTTGTTGCAAATGACAGGACCTCATTTATTATTATTATTATTGAGACAGAGTCTCGCTGTGTTGCCCAGGCTGGAGTGCAGTGGCACAATCTCAGCTCACTACAACCTCCGCCTCCCAGGTTCAAGCGATTCTCCTGCCTCAACCTCCCAAGTAGCTGGGATTACAGGCTCGCACCTCTACGCCTGGCTAATTTTTGTATTTTTAGTAGAGACACGGTTTCACTATGTTGGCCAGGCTGGTCTCGAACTCCTGACGTCAAGTGATCTGCCTGCCACAGCCTCCCAAATTGCTGGGATTACAGGCGTAAGCCACCATGCCTGGCCAGATCTCATTATTTTTTATGGATGACTAGAACTCCATTGTGTATATGTACCACATTTTCTTTATCCATTCGACTGTTGATGGACATCCACATTGCTTCCGAATCTCGGCTATTGTGAATAGTACTACAATAAACATAAGAGTGCAGATATCTCTTCGATATACTGACTTTCTTTTTTTGGGGGGTAGGGGGTGGGTATAGACCTAGTAGTAGGATTGTTGGGTCATATGGTAGCTCTATTTTTAGTTTCTTGAGGAACCTCCAAACTGTTCTCCATAGTGGGTTGCACATTCCCACCAATGGTGTACTAAGGCTCCCTTTCCTCCACATCCTCGTCAGCATTTGTTATTGCTTGTCTTTGGGATAAAAGCCGTTTTAACTGGGGTGGGATGATATCTCAGTGAAGTTTGGGGTTTCTTTTCTCTGATGATCAATGATGTTGAGCTCCTTTTCATTCACCTTCTTGCCATTTGTATGTCTTCTTTTGAGGATTGTCTATTCAGATCTCTTGACCATTTTTAAATCAGAGTATTAGATTTTTTTCCTATAGAGTTGCTTGAGCTTCTTATGTATTCTTGTTATTAATCTCTTGTCAGATGGGTAGTTTGAAAATATTTTCTCTCATTCTGTGGGTTTTCCCTTCACTCTGTTGATTGCTTCCTTTGCTATGCAGAACTTTTTTAGCTTGATATGATGCCATTTGTTCATTTTTGCTTTGGTTGCCTGTGCTTGTGGGGTACTACTCAAGAAATCTTTGACCACTTCAATGTCTTGGAGAGTTTCCCAATGTTTTGTTTTAGAAGTTTCATAGATTAAGGTCTTAGACTTAAGTCTTTAATCCATTTTGATTTGATTTTTGTGTATGGCAAGAGATGTGGTCTAGGTTCATTCTTCTGCATGTAAGATATCCAGTTTTCCCAGCACCATTTATTGAAGAAACTATCCTTTCCCTAACTTATGTTCTTGGCATCTTTGTTAGAAATGAGTTCACTGTAGACGTATGGATTTACTTCTGTTCCATTGGTATGTGTGTCTGTTATTATGCAAGTACCATGCTGTTTTTTTTACTATAACTCTAGAATAATTGGAAGTCTGCCAATGTGATTCCTCCAGTTCCTTTCTTTTCTCAGAAAACTTTGGTATTCTGGGTATTTTGTAGTTCTATTTAAATATTAGAATTGTTTTCTTCTATTTCTGTGAAGAATGTCTTTGGGCTTGCATTGAATCTGTAGATTGCTTTGAGCAGTATAAACATTTTAACAATATTGATTCTTCCTATCCATAAACATAAAGTATCTTTCCATTTTTTTTGGTGTCCTCTTCAATTTCTTGCATCCATGTTTTACAGTTTTCATTGTAGAGATCTTTCACTTTTTTGGTTAAGTTCATTCCTAGTTATTTTGTTTTGTTTGTAGCAATTGTAAATGAGATTAAGTTCTTGATTTCTATTTCAGATTGTTCACTGATGGCATATAGAAATGCTACTGATTTTTTGTACGCTGATTTTGTATCCAGCAACTTTACTGGATTTGTTGATCTGTTCCAATAGTTTTTCAGTGGAATTTTCAGTTTTCTCCAAATAAAAGATCATATCATCTGCCAACTATGTTATTTGACTCCTTCCTTTCCAATTTGGATGCCCTTTATTTCTTTCTCTTGTCTGCTCTCAGCTAGGACTTCCAGTACTATGTTGAATAATAGTAATGAAAGCAGGCATCCTTGTCATGTTTCAGATCTCAGAGGAAAGGCTTTCAGTTTTTCCCCATGCAGTATAATACTAGCTATGGGTCTGTTGTATATGGCTATTATTTTGTTGAGGTATGTTCTTTCTATTCTTTCTATCCTTTCTGGGTATCCTTCTATACCCAGCTTTTGAGGGTTTTTATCACAAAGGGATGTTAAATTTTATCAAATGCTTTTTCTACATCAGTTGAAATGATCACATGGTTTTTGTCCTTCATTCTGTTGATATAATGTATCACATTGATTGATTTGCATATGTTGCACAATCCTTGCATCCCTAGGATAAATCCCATTTGGTCATGATGAATGGTCTTTTAAATGTGTTGTTGAATTCAGTTTGCCAGTATTTTGTGGAGGATTTTTACATCAATGTTCATCAGGGATATTGGCCTGTACTTTTCTTTTATTCATATGCCTTTTTCTGGGTAATACTGGCCTTGTAGAATGAGTGTTTATTCCATTTACATCCAGGGTTATTATTGATAAGTAAAGACTTACTCCTGACATTTTGTTACTCATTTTCTCATTGTTTTGTGTGCCTGGCTAAACATCAAAAATTCCCTTTGCCTCTACCCCCAAAATTTCTGATTTAGTTGAGTTGGGATGGAGCCTGCTCATTATTGCTTTTTAAACATTACCCTGATTATTTTAATATTCAGCCAGAATTGAGGACTACTGCAATAGTGGGGAAAATGTGATTATTAGAAGAGTTTTTTTTTTATCTAATCTCAATAAGTCAGTTATAGAAAACTTACTTTTCAGTAGTGTGTTAGAACTGACTTATAATAGCTTATGAAAGCTGATTGTTAAAATTTCAGAAATTTTGTTAACCCTTTGGTGTTGTTTTGGTCAATGAAAAGTAGATGTGTGGGATAATTTACACATTGGCGAATACTACAAATCAGGGTTTCCCGCTCCCAGCTGATTGCAAAGCATTTACCAGTACAACACTGCTCTAGCCTTTAGTTCATTTTCCTTCACCTTGCTTGTCCTTGAATCAGAAACTACATGTAACTAGAGGCACTCTCCTTTTAATGAAGTTCAGATGAAAGTTTTTTCCCTATAGTTCACCATAAAATTGTTCTGCATCCTCTTCTCTTAAATAGAAATGGCTGCCAGAGTAGCCTAGGGTAAAGTCGATAAATACCTTCATAAATATGAACTGACAGAGTTGAGAAGGCCCCACTTTCTATGCAAGTCTATTTGCTCTTTTTTCCTCATTGGTCTGATAATTTATAATTATTGATCTAATTTTCATGGTTCTCCAGACCCACAGCAATCCTTTCAGTTCTACAGCACATGAGTTATTTTCCGTGTATTTTATTGCAAGTGTATAAAATAAAATAAAACTTATCCTAGGCAGATGTAATATCAAGGAATATCAGAAGAAAATGGCCTTATAAGTCATCTAGTCCAAGCCCTTCACTTTTAAAATAGTGTAATAGGCCCAGAGAGTTTAGGTGACACCCATGGTTATATCTCCAGTCACTGGCAGAGCCAGAATCGTATATAAGTCAAGTCTCTCCACTTCCAAGCTACTTTACTTTTTTCTATGCCCTTGCATCTCAAAGTATAATCTCCCCAACAGTGGCATGGCCATCACCTGGGTGCTGTTTATAAATACAGAATCTCTGTTATTACTCTTACTAAATAAGAGTCTACGTCTCCACAAGATTTTGAGATTATTTGTATGTACATTAAAGGTTAGGAAGCATGAATCCATCCAGTAATTCCACTTCTAGGTATATACTCAAAAGAATTAAAGGCAAGATCTCAAAGAGATATTTGTACACCTGTGTTCATAGCAGTATAATTCACAATAGCTAAAAGATAGAAATAACCCAAGTGTCCATTGGTGGATGAATGGATAAATAAAATACAGTGTGTGTGTGTGTGTGTATGTGTGTACGTGTGTGCATGTGTGTGTGGGGGGGGATATTATTCAGCCTGTAAAAAGGAAAGAAAAAATTCTGACACATGATACAACATGGATGAAACTTGAGCACATGAAAAGTGAAATAATCCAGTCACAAAAGACAAATACTACATTATTCCACTTATATGAAGTACCTAACATGAAATTCATAGAGACAGACAGTAGAATGGTGGTTCCTAGGGGGTAGGGGGTGAGGGGAGTGGGAAGTTGTTGTTTAATGGGTATAGAGGTTCAGCTTTGCACGATGAAAGGAGTTCCAGAGATTGGCTGCACAGCAAATGTGAATGTACTTAACACTCCTATACTGTGCATTTTCAAATGGTTAAAATTGTAAATGTTATGTTGTGTACATTTTACCACAATTAAAAAACTTTTTTAAAAATCTTCATTGAAAAAATCATACTGATATGATTCTGGTCTTCTGGAAGGTTTGATTCACCAACTGAAGCAGATGTCAAGTGGAGAAAAAAGTAGAAAGACTATCAAAGTAAATTGAATAAAACCAGTTTTCATTAATTTAAAACTTATTTTTACTAGGCTTTCTATTACTGGCTCAGAATCCTCACCACAACCTGTAGATAGGTATCATTTAATCCTTCATGTTTTTAATAGGGTAACCAACTTGTCCATTTGCCTGGGACTCTGACCTTTCATATTGAAAGCCTCATGTCCTAGGAAACCCCTCAGTCCCGAGCAAACCAGGACAGCTGATCACCCTATTTATTAGTCTTAGAATCTTGCAAAGGCTATGCAGCAGTTCAGTAGAGCCAACACTCAACCACAGAGCTGACTGACGAAAGAACCAAAAGAACTCCAATTAAATGAAAAATAAAAAGAGAAGAGTGAACACAAAACCTCTCTGCCAATGTCACTGTATCATAGTAGGGTAATATTATTTTAATATCTCTCACAACAGTTTGGATTTGTATTTAAAAGAAATTTAGTCCGGCATGTCAAATATTCTTTTTTTTTTTTTTTTGAGACACCTGTTGCCCAGGCTGGAGGGCAGTGGCATGATCTCGGCTCTCTGCAATCTCCGCCTCCTGGGTTCAACCTGTTCTCCTGTCTCAGCCTCCCAAGTAGCTGGGACTACAGGTGCACACTACCATGCCTGGCTAATTTTTGTATTTTTATTAGAGACAGGGTTTCACCATATTGGCCAGGCTGGTCTCTAACTCCTGACCTTGTGATCTGCCCGCCTTGGTCTCCCTAAGTGCTAGGATTACAGGCATGAGTCACCGCACCTGGCCAATACTCTTAACTAGCTAGTTTCTCTGCCCCTATTAAAGACACCATTATGACCACTGAAATTCTGGGAAGTTTGAAGGATGCTGCCCTTCAAAAGCAAAGGCAAATCTCTGACTTGTGTGTTGTGTTTAGAATGACTGTGGAACACAGGGAAGAAGCAGCAGGCAATGACTGGCCCCAGGCATGGAGTATTATCAGAGCTGTAATCAGTTTTCACCCAAAGTATTCTTAACAAAGGACTTCAGGGAAGAAGTCTATGCTTTAAAAGTCATTGCAAAAAAAAAATCACTGTAACCTCTGGCAGTATTCAAAGTATAGGCTGACAATTGGACGATCAAAGATGTTTGGATTACAGTCCGTGATTAACCATATTTGATTTTTTCTGCATTTACTGGAGAGGTGGCAGGAATGATCAGGATGAACAATAAAGCCAAAAGATTGAGGTTCACCTGGGGTCCCCATAATCCACTGGAAGAAATCTCAGATAATTCATGTATCTGCCCTATATCTATCTTTTTCAGTCCTGGGTGCTAAAGAGAAGGACTATTAAAAAGAAAGGGCTGAAAGAACACTGGGAGGAGAGGGGAAGCTCCACTCCAAGGAAAGAAAGAATGAGAGTACTGACCAGAAATCATTAAAAAGGAGAAACTGCCTAAGCTGACAGGGATATTTTAGAATGAAACAGGAAAGCGATTCTTTGTATTTTATTGTATCTCAGGGAATGACTACTATTATGATGCTATCAGTCCTGAGGTAATGTTGCCACTGCCCACGTTGCTTTGTTTGTTTTTCATTCTCCTTACCTATTGAAGTTAATAATAAAACCCTAAGTCGTGAGCAGAGGGAGAAAAACTAGTGAGACTGTTCTGCTCCACAGTCATCTCTGGATTAGGGAAGGCGGAAAGTTGAGAGATGAATCTCTAGTAGGATCTGTAAAAAGAAGACAATAGAATGCTAGCTTCCTTGAGCATATATAAAGGGAAAATGTCATTCTTAGACCTAGCTTTGAGTGAGACAAAGAAGCAGCCTAGAACCAAAGCGTTCCCTTTGTAGGTCCACTGAAAAATTCTCTTGTCCATTCAGAGACAAATCCTCCAGAAATGAGTGCATCCAAATCAGTGACTGAATAGAACCACTCTCAACCTTTTTATTCTACAACACAATTGAAAAATGATGTTCCCTCACACACTGGGGCCTGTCATGGGGTGGGGGAGGGGGGAGGGATAGCATTAGGAGATATATCTAATGTAAATGACAAGTTAATGGGTGCAGCACACCAACATGGCTCATGTATACATACGTAACAAACCTGCACGTTGTGCACATGTACCCTAGAACTTAAAGTATAATAATAAAAAATTAACATAAAAAAAGAAAAAGAAAAATGATGTTCCCATGCCTGGCAAACTCCTGGGGCTGCCCCCAAGGTTACTCCCATCTGCCTATTTGATTTCTGAAAATCCATTGTTTTCACTCTTGCCAACAGGATGGAAGTGAGTGAGACGTATAGGGATACTTGTTTATTTCCCTGAAATTTATTATATGACAACAACAACAAAAAACCAACTTAGCTACAAACCTCAAATTTGTAACTATCAAGTCAAGAATGACTTGTTCTCATACATAGACTCATACATGCATGCTCATGACAGCATTATTCTCAAAAGCCAAAGAGTGGAAGCAACCCAAATATGCAACAACTCATGAACAGGCAAACAAAATGTGATATATCCTTGAATACTATTCAGTAATACAAAGGAACAAAGCACTACGACATGGAGAAACCTCAAAAACATTACCCTCAGTGAAAGAAGGCAAACAAAATTGCTTATATGACATTATTTCATGAAATAAATATTTACATGAAATGTCAAGAAAAGGCACATAAATCAAGACAGAAAGATTAGTGGTTGCTTGGGGCTGGGAGTGGGAATAGGGAGTAACGTTAAGTGAGTATAAAGTTTCTTTTTAGGGTGTTGGAAATGCTCTAAAATTAGATTTGGAGGATGGTTGTAAAACTCTCTAAATATACTGAAATTCATTGAAGTGTACCCCTAAAAATGTGTGAATTGTATGGCATGTAAATTATATCTCAATAATGTTTTTAAAAGGAAAAAAATTACTTGAAATTAGAAAAAAGAATGGTTGGTGGCATTGCTCATAATTAATTGGTAGAAACTTGCCTGGGATGTCTACCCAAATCTATTTCTGAAGCTGTTCTCTGTCATCGTCTGGCACTCAGTTGAGGATTTACATCTTCTCTGTGTCCTGCTTTGCTGTTAGATTGTGACCATCCCTGAGGCACATTATCACATCTCTATAAATATAGTCAACACCATTACACTTGGATTACTTGAGTCTAACAATGTATCCTAACAGCAGAGAAACCAGGAGGTGTTGTACACAGGTTACTCTTGAGAACAAAATATAGGAAATAATATGTAAAATGTGTTGCCATAAGTTACCTGTTGTGTATTCTTGGTGCATTTTCCCTGCTGGGACAAAAGGAGGGAATGATAATGCTTTCTGGTCATTAGGAGTTGTTTATAATAAGATAAAATATTCTGCATGTGTGAAATGGGAATATAAAGGTGATAGTTCCTATCGACACTAGATGTTAATAATTCTGTATTGCCATGACTTGAAAACTCACAGTTTTAACAAATTTCTGTTGCTATATACGGATCTGAAATAAAGTGTGATAAACAGATTATAAGTTTATTATAACTGTTAAGGTGGTACAATGCTATAAAACAAAGTTTAGTATGTTTAAATTTTCCTTAAGTCACATGTCTGACTATAAAACTTTTTAAAATTGAAAATACAGAAGCTGGATGAGAACTAAAATATCACCTAGCCAATCTCTTTAGCTTAGAGAATGAAGGACTATTACATGCAACTTGCTCCAGATCTTCTCGCAGAATAGTGAAGACAATTCAGGACTTAGAACCTAAGTCTCCCGACTCATAATTATATGTTCTTTCCATTATATCTATAGCTCATAGAGTATACATGAGAAGGTTACACGCTGGATTAATAAGAACAGGAGAGAAGCTTCTCCTCTGAGGACACCTGAGATTTCCAGAAAAACAGAAATACATATATATATATATGTATCTTTCTCTCACTCTCTCTCTATACACACACATACACACACACACACACACACACACACCACAGACACATTAAAATCTTGGTCTTCACAATCCCTTATCTTAACCCAGACATTTCTTTCTATTGAATTCAGGTCTTTAGATAATAACTCTTTGAAAAAATTGCCAATTAGAAAATTCTTGAATCCATCTTTGACCTGGAAGTCCCCACTTCAAATTGCCCCCCCTTTCCAGACCAAACCAGTATACATCTTAAATGCAGTGATCAATGTCTTATGTCTCCCTAAAATGTATAAAATCAAGCTATAGCCTGACCACTTTGGACACATGTTCTCAGGATCTCCCAGGGCTGTGTCATGAGTCATGGCCCTCATATTTGGCTCAGAATATATCTTTTCAAATGTTTTATAGAGTCTTTGTCTACACCAGGTGCAGGATGCAAGCTCCTGGTGAATCGACCATTCTGGGGTCTGGAAGGTGGCAGCCCTCTTCCCACAGCTCCACTAGGCAGTTCCCTGGGGACTCTGTGTAAGGCCTCTAAACCCAAAGTTTGTTCCCCTCTGCACTTCCCTAGTAGAGATTCCTTGTAAGGGCTCTGCCCCTGCAGTAGTCTTCTGCTTGGACTTCCAGGCTTTTCCATATATCCTCTGAAATCTAGGTAGAGGTCCCAAGCCTTCTTCACTTTTGCATTCTGAGAACCTACAGGCTTAACATCATGTAGAAGCCACCAAGGTTTACAGCTTGTGCCCTCTGGGCCCCTTTGACTTAAAGCTGGAGCTGGAGCAACCTGGATGCAGAAAGCAATGTCCCAAGGATGCACAGGGCAGCAGGGCCCTGGGCCTGACCTACAAAACCATTCTTTCCCCCTAGGCCTCTAGGTCTGTGATGGAAGAGCCTGCCTCACCGAGCTCTGAAATGCCCTTTTGAGGCCTTTTCTCCCATTGTCTTGGTTATTAGCACTTGATTCCTTTTTAGTCAGGATAATATCTCTATCAAGTGGTTGCTCCAGAGCCCTCTTGAATTCCTCTCCAGATAGTGCTTTTTCTTTCTCTGACAGATGGCCAGGCTGCACATTTTCCAAACTGTTATGCTCTGCTTCCTCTTTAAATGTAACTTCCAACTTTAAGTCATTTATTTGCTACCACATCTGAATGAAGGTTGTTAGAAGCAGCCAGAACACATCTCAAATGCACTGCTGCTTAGAAATTTTTTTTCACCAGATACCCTAAGTCACCACTCTTGAGTTCATACTTCCATAGATCCCTTAGGCATGGACACAATAAAGCCAAGTTCTCTGCTAAGGTGTAACAAGGGTGACTTCCGCTCCAGTTCCCAGTAAGCTCCTAATTTCCATCTGAGATCTCATCAACCTGAACTTCACTGTCCATATTACTATCAGCATTTTGCTCACAACTATTTAACCAGTCTCTAAGAAACTCCAAACCTTCTCTCATCTTCTTGCCTTCTTTTAGGCCCTCCAAACTTTTCTAACCTCTGCCTGTTACCCAGTTCCAAAATCACTTCCACATTTTCAGGTATCTTTATAGCAATATCCCACTCCTGGTACCAATTTTCTGTATTAGGCCATTCTTTACATTGCTTAAAGAAATACCTGAGACTGGATGATTTATAAAGAAAATAGGTTTAATTGGTTCATGGTTTTTCAGGCTGTACAGGAAGCATGGCACCTGCATCTTCTCAGCTTCTGGGGAGGCCTCAACGGGCTTTTACTTATGGCAGAAGGTGCAGTGGGAGCAGGCACATCAAATGGTGAGAGTGGGAGCAAGAGAGAGAGAGAGAGAGAGAGAGAGAGAGAGAGAGAGAGAGGAGGAAGATGCCACACAGCCAGATCTCATGAGAACTTGCTCACTGCCATGAGGACAGCCCAAGTGGGTGGTACTAAGTCATTCACGAGAAACTTATCCCCATGATCCAATCACCTCCCACCAGGCCCCACCTCCAACATTGGGGATTACAATTCAACATGAGATTTAGAGGGGACAACATACAAACTGTATCACTCCTTTCTCTACCTTTTGTTCTATTCAAGCCCTCAATAGATTAAATGCCAACATACATCATCTAATAGGAAAGAGCAATCTAGTTTAATGAGTCCACTGATTCAAATGCTAATCTCATCCACAAATGCTGTCACAGCCACACTGAGAAATAACGTTTCATCTGGACACCCTTTGGCATAGTCATGTTGACACATAGAATTAACCATCAGAATACCTCAGAAAGCATTAAGGTGAAAGTCAAACTGTACCGAAGACTAAATTCAGCCTACAAAAAGGTATGCTTGACCAACATAAACTTTAAAAAACGTAAATTAGTGTCAACTTTTAAAAATTTGAAGATTTGATATATGAACGCAGATTTCCAGATTTTTAAGAAACAGAGTTTTTGTAACACTGGGTCAGTGTTCTTCTTCTTCTTCTTCTTTTTTCTTTTTTCCTGAGATGGGGCCTTGCTCTGTTGCCCAGGCTAGAGTGCAGTGGTGTGATCTCGGCTCACTGCAACCTCTGTCTCCCGGGTTCAAGCAATTCTCTTCCCCAGCCTCCCAAGTAGCTGGGATTACAAGCGCCAGCCACCACACCCAGCAATTTTTGTATTTTTAGTAGAGACGGGGTTTCACCGTCTTGGCCAGGCTGGTGTTGAACTCCTGACCAGTGTTATTCTTATGATAGTAGTCACTGGAGGTGAATGGTAGCTGCCCCATTTGGAAGGTGCTTTCCCTCTCCTTTGTGTAGGCATTTGAGTTTGTGACACTGAATAAAGGGATCTGAGAATACTGACTCTTAGACTGCATATATTAAGGTGGAACTTCTGGGACAAAAGTGTGGAATATAGAGGTTGGCTGAGTTCTAGCCTCTCTGATTGGGTATAATTTATGCAAAGGACAACTGTTGGGAATATACATCTGCAACAGACTTATTATGGATACCCTGAGAGTAACTTGGGAATTGGTGGTTTTTTTCAAAGTAAGAGTACTGGATATCCTGGGACAGGTTTGCTCTCAATATTTGTGCAGCTCAGAGTAGGAGTACAAATAAAGGCCCGTGTACTATGTGTTTAAATATTTTGAATTTGTAAATGTAAACTAACAAACTATTAATCAAAATAAAGTTCTATATTCCATTGAAAGATGCACCTAAATAACATTAAAGGCCAGGGTGTTTGTTCATTTATTTGTTTGTTTTTGAGACAGGGTCTCGCTCTGTCACTCAGGTTGGAATGCTGTGTCACAGTCATGGCTCACTGCAGCCCAGACCTCCCAAGACTCAAAGGATCCTCCAGCTTAGCCTCCCAAGTATCTGGGACTACAGGCCCACGGCATCATGCCTGGCTAATTTTTTGCATTTTTTGTACAGATGGAGGTCTCACTTTGTTCCCCAGGCTGGTCTCAAACTCCTGGACTCAAGCTATCTTTTCACTTAGCCCTCCCAAAATGCTGGGATTACAGGCATGAGCCACTACACTTGGCCTAAGGCCAGTTTTAAATTTAAAATTCTCAGAAATCTTGGAATTCCAGACCAGAACAATGTAGCATGAATGTTAGCCTCAGGATACTTCCCCACAGTTCATCCCCATCTCTTCCTATCCTATCTTCATCATCTACCAGTCATGCCTTTTGAGGAAGGAGCTGATGAAGAATCCAGTACAGGCCCTGGAAGTGGGCTATGTGTCATTTAAGCGTAATATTCTTTGGTACATAGGGAAAAGCCTAGAAACTTGTTATGAACACTAGAAGGGCACATTCCCTTGGCTGCAAGGACCCCTGGTACCACAGGAAGGCGTGCAACCATGAAATAACCAGACGGGGTTCATTTCCAGTAGCGATCGGTAAACCATAGCCTGAAGGCCAAATCTAGCCCACAACTTGTTTTTATATATCCTTTGAGATAAGAGTGGTTTTTTGTTTTTTGTTTTGAGACGGAGTCTCGCTCTGTTGCCAAGCTGGAGTGCAGTGGCACGATCTCGGCTCACTGCAACCTCCGTCTCCTGGGTTCAAGCGTTTCTCCTGCCTCAGCCTCCCGAGTAGCTGGGACTACAGGCATGCACCACCACGCCCAGCTAATTTTTGTATTTTTAGTAAAGACAGGGTTTCACCCTGTTGGCCAGGATGTTCTCAAACTCCTGACCTCAAATGATCCGCCCTCCTTGGCCTCCCAAAGTGCTGGGATTACAGGTGTGAGCCATCGTGCCCGGCCAAGAATGGTTTTACATTTTTAAAGAGTTGTAAAAATAAACTAACAAACTACAAAACAAAACAAACAAACAGAAAACAATGAAGAATAGGTGACAGAGATCCCAAGTGGCCCACAAAGCCCAAAATATGTACTATCTTGCTCTTCACAGGGAAAAATTTCCCTAACCCTATATTAAGACTCATGTGAAGCTTCCCTCTTACCTGAGTCTAGGGGCAATGTATCCTAGGATAACCCAGATTCTTCTGAAACTATCATGAAGCCAGTTCAAAGTCTATTTGTCTCCTCCAAAATCCCTCAATGATCCTGGGATCTGTCTTTTAATCCCACCTTGTGTGAACTCTTACAAACAAAAGAAGCTCTTGATGCGGTTAGGGGTAGAAACTATACAGTAACATATATCATCGTCAACCACTGTGCTAAATTTTTAGGTGCCTTATCCCATTCAGTGCTCTCGGGCCATCTTCAATCAAGAGTAGAAACCTAAATCATACAAATAATCCTAGTAAGACTGGAGATAATGAAAAAGACTAATACTTCTTGTTTTTGCTGAAATTAGTACTATCATCAACATCATCATTTTAGTTTAATTCAATGACGTTGATGAATAAGAGGATCAATCATTTTAAGAATACAGTTTCAATTAAGTGCAAAAATGACTCTTCTTCCTTCTCACAGCAAAGGAACGCAGGCTTTTAGCTGAATCTCAGCAAGTGGGGAGTTCAATAGCCTAGAGACCTCGGTGATTACATTCCACAGTTGCTTTTCCTCTGTGTCTCTCTAAGGAGAGAGACAGATGTTGTGTCAGGTGAAAGCAGATCATGTGGAGATGAATATCTGACACTGGCTCAGAGGCGGTTTTATATGAGGCCAGTGGCCTTGAATGGAATCAAATACTTATATTAAAAGAGAAGGCAGAAGGAAGTTGCCACATCGTAAGCTGCAGCATCTTACCTCACAACCTGACTGAGGTACTGTGATCTGCCATTTCCTCACACCACATAAAGCAGTGCTTTCCCAGAGGAAGACAGGCTCTCCTTTCTCAGGGAAAGAGGTGTCATTTTAAATCCCTGAACTGAGCTAAGAACAAAGAAACCTCACAGAAAGTCACTCATGACCTTTGAGGTTGATCTGATTTTCCTGTTCACAGCAATAAAATGGCTTTTTTTTTTTTTTTATAAGCAAAGGCAAAAGCCCCATTGTATTTGAATGGGTCAAAAGAGTAGGAGGTTGATTTTTACAGGCTTTCTTCAATAAGAAATAGCTTTATCTATTGATAATGCAGAAAATCTTGCTGCAATCTAGTAGAGAATAGGCTGTAAAATTACAAAATTGGACAACTACAGAGAGTAATACAGTAAAAGCACACGTACCCACACCAAGGTGGGGTAAGGTTTTGTCATAATTGCCTCAGATCTTTTTAATATATAAAATAAATTAAATATTACTTTCAAGTTGAATTCAATTTTTTGCCTACCTTTTCCCATAGCTTTATTAAACCTGTAAATCTGATAAATTACATTAATAGGTTCATAATGCTGAATTATTGTTTTAGAATAAATGTTATTTGTTCACATTTTTATATATGTAGTACTGCGCTGAATTCTACTTGGTCTTATATTATTTAGAATTTGTGCATCTATGTTTGTTAGTAATGCTGGACTATAATTTTAGCCTTAAAAAATGAGTTACGTAACTTACCTCTTCTTTCTATTTTCTGAAACAGTTTACATATAAAAGGAATTATCTTTTCCATTTATATTTGAAAGAATTCACCTACAAAACTGCTAGAGAAATTTTTTTACTATTAATACAATTTTTTAAAGTCTTCGATCTGTCAATATAAAAAAAATCCTGTTTTGTCAATTTTATCATTTATATATTTTATATTTTGTACCTTATCCAAATTTTTTAATTTATTAGCAAAAATTGTTCACGGTATCTTTCATATACACTCTCAATTAAATTGTATTTATAATATTTTTATTCTCATATTCCTTTCAGTATTTATTTGCATTTGCTCTCCTTTTCTCAATTTTTTTCACATATGTCTGTTTTATTAGTTATTAAAATCATCAGCTTTTTACATTTTATAATTTCTTCTTTATTTTTTATTTCATTAATTTCTGATTTTACCTTTTTTACATTCTGTTTGTGCTTTTTTTATTTTTTAGCTTTTTGACTTGAAACTTTATCCTACTTGTTTATAGCATTTTTCTTAAACGCATCACACAGTGCTTATACATACTTCCTTTGTTTAAAACTATTTTATATTTTATATTATGATTATCTCTTTATAAGTTGTTAAATGTTGCTTTGCTTTTAAATTTGTTTTTAAATATTAATTAATTTCTTATTTATTTACTTGATTTTAATAATTGACTATGTTCTGTGTGATATCAACTCTTGGCAATCTATTGGAATTCCCATTGTGCTCTTAAAGAATGTCGACTCAAGAGAATGTTTTATTTCTGTATGCTTGAAAATAACTTAGACCCATTATTGTTTGATGCTAAATACTATATAGGTGCTAGGTCAAGCTAATAAAATGCATTATTTATATTACTACAGTCCTACTATGTTTTTTTCTGCAAGAGTTATCAATTTCTGAAAGCATTCTATTAATATCTTCCTCTGTGAGTGTATTAATGTAGAACATAATATTGACTGATTTCCTGTTGTTAAACATTCCTTTCATTCCTGAAATAAATCCTACTAGGTAATGATTATCTTCTTAATTCATTTTATTCAGTTTGCTAATGATTTGTTTAGGATATTTGTTCCTAAGTTCATAAAAGCGATTAGCCTGTAGATTTCCATTCTTCTAATACCATTGCAACAAAATGAGTTTGAAAGCATCCTCTATTTTTCTTTTCTTTGAAAGATGTCGCGTAGGATTGTTACCACTTTTTTATCAGAGGCTGTAGTTTTCTTTGTGTATTTTCTTCAGATTATGAGTGCAGTTTTTACTATCATTTCAACGTCTTTAGGATTTATAGCCATGTTCTTATTTTTATTCCTAATATCAGTAACGAGATTTTTATGTTAAAGCATAACTTATTTTAAAGCATATAACTTAATTTCCAATTAATCGGGAAATATTTTCTTATTGATTTGTAGTTTAATTCTACCATTGCCTGAGAATATATTCTACTCAATTTTAATCCTTTGAAAATTTTTTAGACTCACTTTATGGCACAGCATACACTCCCTTTTTGGTAAAAATTTCATGGCATCTGGAAAAAAATGTATTTTCTTCAGTTTCTACAAATGCCAATTTGGTCAAATTAAATTATTGTATTGTTCAAATCTTTTCTATCCTTTCAGTATTTATTTGCTTGTTCTATTAGTTACTCTGAAAAATGTGTTTAAAGTACTAACTATAATTGTGTATTTGTCCATAGTGTCAAATTTTCCTTTAAATATTTTGAATTTGTGTTTTTAGGTATGTACAAATTTTTACTTTTTTATTGACTTTTCCCTGGGTAGGATTTCTGATATAATGTTAAATAGAAGTGGTGATAGCCTCATCCTTACATTCTTTCTTATCTCAAGGGCAAAGTTTTAAATATTTTGATATTAAATCTGATGTTTGCTGTAGGTGTCCTATAAATTTTTTTTGTCAGATTAAGAAAGTTCCCTTCTATTCATAGTTTGCTATGAGTTTTTTATCATGAATGGATGGTAAATTGTATCAAATAATTTCTGTATCTCTCAAGATTATATAATTTTTGTACTTTTCTATTAATGTGGTGAAATATATGGTTTTTTAAAAATATCATGCTGTTCTTGATACCTAGAATAGATTCTACTTTATCATGATGTATGCCTTTTCATATACTGTTTAATTTCATTGCTAATAATTTCTTTTGATACTTTATCTATGATCTATATTTTTCTTTTCAGAATCTTTGTCTATAGTCTGTATTTTTCCTTTCTGGTAATATTATTGCCAGGTTTCAAATCAAGGATGTGCTGGCCCATAAACAACAGAGAGGAATTCCCCAGTTTTTAAATTCTTGGACCATTTTGTGAGATAGGTTTTCTTTCTTTTGTAAATATTTGGGAAAATTCTCCAATGAAGCTATCTGGGACTGGGAATTTGTTTTGTTGTTGTTGTTGTTATTATTGTTAATTGTTGTGTTTTCTTTGAGGGTAGAGTTTCAATAATAAATTACATATCTTTTATAAATACAGAAGCATTCAGGTATATTATTTTTTGTGGTCTAATTTGGCAAGTTGTATTTATCAAGGAATTTGTTTATTTTATCTATATCACCATATATTGGTATAAAGTTTTTCATAATATCTTTTTATTATCCTTTTAAACTCTGTAGCATCTATAATGATGCCCTTCTTGCCATGTCTTTTAATGATAATTTTGTGCATTTTTTCAGTTTGTTTTGATTTGTTTTATTAATGGATTTTTGATGGTATGATTAATCTTTGCAAAGGATAAAAGTTTGGCTCAAATTATTTTCTCTATTGTATGTGTGTTTTCTACTCTGTTTCTATTCTTATCTTTAATACTTCCTTCTTTTATCTTTCTTTGGGTTAAATTGTCTGTTTTATTTAGTTTCCAAGCCTCTTAAGGTACAAGCTTAAGCTGGGCATGGTGTCACATGCCTGTAGTCCTAGCTACTTGGGACACTTGAGGTAGGAGAATGTCTTGAGCTCAAGAATCTGAGGTTACAGTGAGTTATGATCACACCACTGCACTCCAGGCTAGATAACAGAGTGTCTCCAAAAAAAAAAAAAAAAAAAGGTAGAAGCTTAGAATGTTGATTTTGAGACTTTCTTTCAAATATATGCATTTAATCCTATATACATGTCTCTTAGCAAGACTGTTTTAGTCATATCATATAAGTATCACATATCACATGTCTTTCTTATTTTTCAGCTAAAAAGTTCTTATTTCCTCTTTATCCCACAAATTACTTAACAATACGTTATCTAATTTCCAAGCAGGGGATCACCTTTCTGTGATCAAATTGTAGTTTGATTCAATTATGGTCAAAGAAATTATTTTGAGTGATATAAATCATTGAAATTTCTTGAAGTTTATTTTATGACACAACATAAATTTTGGGAAATGTTTGACGTGTACTTGAAAAGAATGAGTATTCTGTCATTGTGTGCAGTGTTCTAAATATGTTAATTGGGTCAGTTTTGTGGTTATTAAAAATCTATACTCATACTGAGTTTATTTTTGTTTGCTTGTACTTTGTACATAGAGAGAAATGTTTTAAATCTTTCTGACTGTAAATTTATCTACTTTTTATTTTAATCTTATCAATTTTTGCTTATAAATTTTGAAGCTCTACTATTGGGTACATTAACATTTAAATTGTTGTAACTTATTGATTAATGTACTCATTGGCCTTATGAAATGTTGGTCATTATCTCTAGTAATATTTTTGTCTTTAAAAATGTACTTTGTATGGTACTGCCATGCCAGCTTTTTTTGGTTAGTCTGTACGTGGTATGTCTTTTTTCATTCTTTTCTTGGAAACTAAGTCCTTGTATTTAAAGTGTTCATTTTGTAAATAGCATATAACTATTGGGGTTTTTCAATCTACTCTGACAATGCTGCCTTTTAATAGAAGTAAGTAGCCTATTTACATTTAATGTAATTATTGATATTTAAATTTATTTACACAATTACTTTTTTTCCACTTAACACATTTATGTTCCTTTTTTCTTTCTTGCCTTATTTTTGATTAATAAAAAAATTTTATTATTCTATTACTTTCCTCCCAATAAGCAGTTAGTGATATGGTTTGGCTCTGTGTCCCCATCTAAATCTCATCTTGAATTGTAATCCCCACATGTTGAGGAGGTGATTGGATCATGGAGGTAGTTTCCCCAATGTTGTTCTCGTGATAGTGAGGGATTTCTCATGAGATCTGATGGTTTAAAATCGGCAATTGCCCCTGCACAAACTCTCTCTCTCTCCTGCTGCCACGTAAAGCATGCCTTACTTCTCTTTCTCCTTCCACCATGATTGTAAGTTTCCTGAGGTTTCTCCAGCCATGTGGAACAGTAAGTCAATTAAATCTCTTTCATTTATAATGTACCCAGTTTTAGGTAGTATCTTTATAACAGTGTGAAAATGGATTAATAGTTAGTTATATATTTTACTCATCCTTTTAGTAGTTACACTAGAGATCACTGTGTACATCCTTAACTCATTGTAGGTTAATACAGTTTATTACCTTTTACTACTTCTCCAGTACTGCTAGAATCCTAGAACATGATAACTTCATTCATCCTTCTCTTGCCTTTTGTATTACATTTTTTATGAATTTTAACTCTAGGTATATATTTTTAAATTCCATGCAAAATTACTGTTTTTTGTAAAGTGAATATTTACTGAAATTTACCCGTATATTTTTTCTAATTATTATTCTTTTTTCCTTTCTGTATTTCTATATTCTTGTATTATTTCTTGTAGTGGATACTGCTGGTGACAAATTCTTCTCTTTTTTTCCTCTTACGATATATTTATTTCTCTTTCATTTTGACAAAAAATTCTGCTGGGTATAGAGTATAGGTTCCACTTATTTTCATGAGGCACTTTAAAGTTGTTGTAAATCTTTTTGTTCCTTCTTTAAGATGACATTACTCTTTTCTCTGTCTCATTTTAAAATCTTTTTTGAAATTTGTTTTTTAGCAATTTTAATATAATATGCCCAGTTGTGTGGTTTTATGTGATTTTTTCTTTGTATTTTTTATTTTTTATTATTTATTTGTATTTTTGTATTTTTAAGTTTTGTTTGTAGTCTGTAAATCTTCTTCAATCTGGATTAATGTCTTACTCCAGTTTGGGAAAATTCTTGCCATTATTCATTACCTCTTCAGTTTTTTCTGTTTCAAACAAAAAGTATCTATCTCTTTATCTACCTTATTCATATTTTCTTCTATTTTATTCTACATAATGCTGAATATTTTAAGGTCTTTATCTCTCAACTCCAACACCTGCATAACCTACAGATCTGCTGTTTCCTCCCTCTTGAGTTTTTTTTGTTTTATGGTTTCTGTCTTGGCATGCCTGTTTTTTACTTTTATTTAAGGTAATGCTGCATATTATATATGAAGAAAATGCAGAATCTCTGCATAATGTCACCTTCCTTCAGAGAAGTCTTAATTTTCTTCTAGCTGGCAGATACAGTACAAGCAGATCACTTTGACCCAATTGGAATTTCACAGCTTCGAGGTTGTCTTTCAAGCTTTTTGATAGTTTGTCTGTTCTCAGTTTGCCTATTCTCAGTTTGCCTTTATGTCCAGAACATAATCCTTCAATCATTCCAACTAGAAGCCTTGAATATATTCCAAGTGGCTTTTTCTCTGGCTGACTCTTAATTCCTATTTTTCTCTCCCTGTCTTAGACAGCTTAACCTGCTGTAACAAAATACTATACACTGGATGGCTTAAACAACCACACTTATTTTATCAATGTTCTGGGGCCTGGAATCCGAGACCAGAGTGCCAGCATAATCAGGTTCTTGTGAGGGCTCTCTTTCTGGCTTACAGAGATGGTCATCTTCTTGCTATGTCTTTAAATGGTAGTTCCTTAGTGCTTGCATGTAGACAGTGATTGATCTCTCTTTCTTTTCTTATAAGGCTACTAATCTCATCATGAGGGCTCAACCTCATCACCTAATCTCATTCTAACTACCTCTCAAAGGCCCAATCTCCAAATACCATCATACTGAAGGTTGCTGCTTCAACATATAAATTTGAGGAAGGTATAAACTTTCAGTTGATAACATGCCCAACCCAGTGAGACTGCCAGAATGTCTGCTTAGCATTTTCATCTTTGAGTAGCTACGTTGTGCTTGGCCTTTTTCCCTATACACATGAAAGTTAAGAATATCAAATGCTTCCGCGGAAATCATGTGTAAATGTTGGGCTTACTTCTTTTTTTTTTAGTCCATTTATTTATCCATTAAAGTAAAACACATACACACCCAAATGCACACACATATTTTGGGGCCCCTGCTGGGACAGGAGCACACTAAGCTTGTTACCTACACTATATAACTAATTCACCTTAGGTAGGTACATTCACATTACAAATGCTTATGATCCTAACAGCTCATCTATTGCAACACATCTGTGAAATGCTTCCCATGTCCTGGGCCTGAAAGAAGTTGCCATGGGACTAAAGTAGATAAAAGAGGAGATCTGGAGAGATTTGATGACAGCCATGTCTTCTTCCTATTCCTGTGTATTTAATCCCTAGGGGAGCTGATTGGAGACATTCTCATTATTCTCTTATAGACTGGAGCAAAGTGAAAAGAAATTAGGTAGAAACTGTGAGATTTGGGAAGTAAATGTTTAGGACTGGTAGATTTGGGTGTATCTAGTACATTTTGCAGACTAAGAGCTATTTGCAGTGTTTTAAGGGATATTTTACCAATTATACAGGGCAGAGTGGAATAAAAGGTTAATATCTAGGGTTAGCAAACGCCAACTTTCCAACTCACTAGCTATGTGACTTGCAGCAATTCACTTAATCTCTCTGAATCTCTTTTTTTTAGTATTACTATACTTTAAGTTCTAGGGTACATGTGCACAACGTGCAGGTTTGTTACATATGTATACATGTGCCGTGTTGGTGTGCTGCACCCATTAACTCGTCATTCACATTAGGTATATCTCCTAATGCTATCCCTCCCCCCTCCCCCCACCCCACAACAGGCCCCGTGTGTGATGTTCCACTTCCTGTGTCCAAGTGTTCTCATTGTTCAATTCCCACCTATGAGTGAGAACATGTGATGTTTGGTTTTTTCTCCTTGCAATAGTTTGATGAGAATGATGGTTTCCAGCTTCATCCATGTCCCTACAAAGGACATGAACTCATCCTTTTTATGGCTGCATAGTATTCCATGGTGTATATGTGCCACATTTTCTTAATCCAGTCTATCATTGATGGACATTTGGGTTGGTTCCAAGTCTTTGCTATTGTGAATAGTGCCACAATAAACATACGTGTGCATGTGTCTTTATAGCAACATGATTTATAATCCTTTGGGTATATACCCAGTAATGGGATGGCTGGGTCAAATGGTATTTCTAGTTCTAGATCCTTGAGGAATCGCCACACTGTCTTCCACAATGGTTGAACTAGTTTACAGTCCCACCAACAGTGTAAAACTGTTCCTATTTCTCCACATCCTCTCCAGCACTTGTTGTTTCCTGACTTTTTAATGATCGCCATTCTAACTGGTGTGAGATGGTATCTCATTGTGAATACAAAATCAATGTGCAAAAATCACAAGCATTCTTATACACAAATAACAGACAAACAGAGAGCAAAATCATGAGTGAACTCCCATTTGCAATTGCTTCAAAGAGAATAAAATACCTAGGAATCCAACTTACAAGGGATGTGAAAGACCCCTTCAAGGACAACTACAAACCACTGCTCAATGAAATAAAAGAGGACACGAACAAATGGAAGAACATTCCATGCTCATGGATAGGAAGAATCAATATCGTGAAAATGGCCATACTGCCCAAGGTAATTTATAGATTCAATGTCATCCCGATCAAGCTACCAATGACTTTCTTCACAGAATTGGAAAAAACTACTTTAAAGTTCATATGGAACCAAAAAAGAGCCCGCATGGCCAAGTCAATCCTAAGCCAAAAGAACAAAGCTGGAGGCATCATGCTACCTGACTTCAAACTATACTACAAGGCTACAGTAACCAAAATAGCATGGTACTGGTACCAAAACAGAGATATAGACCAAGGAAACAGAACAGAGCCCTCAGAAATAATACCACACATCTACAACCATCTGATCTTTGACAAACCTGACCAAAACAAGAAATGGGGAAAGGATTCCCTATTTAATAAATGGTGCTGGGAAAACTGGCTAGCCATATGTAGAAAGCTGAAACTGGATCCCTTCCTTACACCTTATACAAAAATTAATTCAAGATGGATTAAAGACTTAAATATTAGACCTAAAACCATAAAAACCCTAGAAGAAAACCTAGGCAATACCATACAGGACATAGACACAGGCAAGGACTTCATGTCTAAAACACCAAAAGCAATAGCAACAAAAGCCAAAATTGACAAATGGGATCTAATTAAACTAAAGAGCTTCTGCATAGCAAAAGAAACTACCATCAGAGTGAACAGGCAACCTACAGAATGGGAGAAAATTTTTGCAACCTACTCATCTGACAAAGGGCTAATATCCAGAATCTACAAAGAACTCCAACAAATGTAAAAGAAAAAAACAAACAACCCCATCAAAAAGTGGGCGAAGGATATGAACAGACACTTCTCCAAAGAAGACATTTATGCAGCCAACAGACACATGAAAAAATGCTCGTCATCACTGGCCATCAGAGAAATGCAAATCAAAACCACAATGGGCTTACTTCTCTAAAGCCTTTTTATTGATTGTCACGATCCTTCACATTATAGCTGCTTTAGTTGCTGCCTGGTGATTTCAACATCTGTGTTGTCTGTTTTATTCAGCTTTTATAGTTACTTTCAGCAGGAGTTTAGTCTGATATAAACTACTCCTTTTAATCTAAAAGTGGTAGTATACTCTGTTTTCTGAATTGCATAGGTGAGAAGGAGTACATAAATACAAGACAGAAATTGTTACTAGTAATAAGATTATATAATTAGGAGAACTTCTCTTGTGTTCTCTAGGAATTTGTAATGCAGATAGCATTGATGTCTCTCTCATTTACTCTTCTTTTACTTCCAGTTTGCAAATTAATTTTATTAGGGTACTATTTGACCAGCAAAATTCTACTTGCCAAAACTGTACATTTACTCTTTGAATCTATTTTGGTTAATGTCATGTAAATTAAAAAAGGGGTTCAAAAATAAGTTTGTACTAAAATGGCAAAGAATGTCTTTGGTGCATTCACCTTTATGCAGCTATTACAAAACAAGAAATAATTTGAAAGTAAGTCAGCTATGAGTTCTTGGAAGCAGAAGTCTTATAGTACTTAGTACTTTCCTCTTTCTACAACATTCAAGGCTCTGTGCTAAGATAGATGATAGATAGATAGATAATAGAATTTAAAGAGAGATATAAAATGGAAGGATAAAAGGAATAATATTTAAATTTCTACTCATTTCATCAAGAATGGAAATTTACAAAATTTTAAAGATAATGTCTTTATTTGCCAATTAATAAGCATATTAATTTGATGTCAAATCACTCTCAGTATATTCGCAGAGAGTTTGAACATATACATCCAATTCAAATATTCAATCTATAAGGAATGGGCCACGATGCTTATTACTGTTACATGTCACTTTCACGTGTTTATTGTGCTGTTTCTCACCAGACTTCAACAAATTACTGTCACCTACATAGCATTAAGATAATTTCTCACTGAAGATAAGTAGCAACAGCAAAGCCACTTAGCATGTGGCTAGTGGTTTACATAGATTAATCCATTCCCTGCAAGTATTATTTTGTTCTCATTTTAACAATTGGGAAACAAGGACAAAGATTAACTCTGTAGAGGAGAATGAACAGCAGTCGTTTAAAGAAGAAATGTGCGTGGGTAATCATCCCACTTATAGGATGTACTTCCTAAGCCAAAACTAAACCAAACCATCAAAGCAAAGCAACTAACCAAGTAAATAAATTAAATAACTCGTGTTTAAAAGGTCATACTTTTTTTTTTTTAACTCTTGACAGGGAGAAACTGGAAAAAGTGTTATTTAAAGATACAGACTACTTCTGCTTTCTAAGGCATGGAAACTGGAACTTTCTGGAGATGATTACCTTACTTGGGGGGGAGGAATATGTGCAGAATCTACTAGAAAGATCAAGTATCTATTTACCGTTTTGGGGGAAGACTTTTATGTACAGTATAATGACCCAAATACTGATATTTTGGGTTGAGAAATTAAAGTTCTGGTTAGTAATATAAATAGGATTAATTTTTAATAGATGTTTGTCATTCCAGATTATGTTAGTATTATTTATGCTTATATGTTATTGCTGGATTTTGGTAGATATGCATGCTATTACCTAAACTGTTGCACTCAGAAGGTAAGGATAAGATCTCAGAAAGAATTAGATGGTTGCGTAGGCCTGGTCATAGCCTCATGCTGGAGAACAGCCTTTGATATAGAAATATATTTTGTTCAACTTGATGGAAGGACTAAAGTCTTCCAGATGGTGTTATTCAAGATTGAATGACCTGGACTCTGAAAATTATAATGATGCTGAATAAAGATATTTGAGATATATACTGATGATAATTATAAAAATATCTTATGGTCCAATATATTTTGGATATGAAGGGGCAAAGAGTATATTACTCTGTAACGTTGGAATAGCCTCTCAAGAGAAGTGGCATTCCCAACAAAAATTATCCCGGAAAATAGTCAATCCTGAATAAAAATGACTGTAGGAGGTGGGGCTTTGGCTGGAGGAGGGGGAAAACGATTTTATTTCTGGAATTCAAGGAATTGGGGCTAGGGTTCTGGAGAAGGGAGTATAATTATTGGGTCTTCCATTGGGGAAAGCAGTCTGAACCCCATCACAGCCGCAGTCCAGAGATTAAACAGCTTGGCAGACCTATGAAACAGTGAGATCACAGGCAGCTAGACAAGAAGTTGCCTACTAGGGGATCAATGATGAAGATCTTAGGACCGTGGTCTCTTTCTAACAGCAGCATATCTATGTTTAAGTTCTCTGTATTGTAATTCCCTCCAATTATCATCAAAAATCCTCTAAATCACCTCTTAATAAAAGGGTTTCCATTCATGGTCTGTCTGAAGTGGTGCTAAGAGAGCAGCAACAGCTTAAGCAAAGTTCTCAGGTTAGTAAGAAGCCATGTACTGACTAGAGGGACAGACAACAACCTGGATGGAATGGCAACGCCTTACCACTCCCAAGGAGGTTCCAGAAGTTCTTGACAAGGGTAGGCTTGTTAACCTCAGCTCTTCCTGCATAGAGGTGTCATGGAGACCCTTGACAGTGACTTTGGTATGAAAGTACAGAGGGACCTCACCGACTGGGGAATCCTCAGACGTCTGAAGAATACAACAGAAAAGTTTTCATAGTTAAAATAGCCCACTACAGAGTGAAAATTTAAACTCCATGCTTTTTATTTGTTTGTGATACTTTCGTGAGTTTTTATTGTTTTAGATTCTTTTTTGCAACACTGATCAATTTTCATTTTAAATTAAGAGTGACATTTTTTCAGATTTACACTCTGATGAGGCTAATGCTATAGTCAAAGATGTTTCCTCTCTTTGAGATTATAAGTATTTCACTTATTTGACTAATTATGATGAATAGCAAAAGTTATCCGCTGTTAGTCTTTGTACATGTTTACTTTAACAGACTAATACACACACGTATACTTTTGACTGATTAACATTAATTTTGCATGCTTATTTAAGCCAGTGTTTTTCAAAATTCCAAGAATTTAGGATTGTATCAAAATAACATAAGGTACAGACTAAGAATACAGATTCCTGGGTCATACCCCCAAAATTCTGATTTAGAAGGGCTAGTCCAGTGCTCAGAAATTTGCAATTCAATATCTCCTTTGTGTTTATTATGTCAATAATGTTTGAGAATCACTGCCAGAGGCTTCTCCATATGTTGTACATTTATCACTTTAAAAATTCACTTAAAAAGCGAGCTTCTTCACTCACTGTAGATGCTCAGAGCTAAAACACTGTAGTTTTTTTTAATATAAATACAAAATCAAAACCTGATAAAACGCAAGCAGAATCAGATTTTTTTTACCAGTGCAGTAAAACTACTTGAATTCCTATTGAAATGCTGGTTATTGTGAAGTTTTAGCCCCATTTTTACAGCATTGTAATATCACTTGAGATAAAGACTTAAGTAGCTTCTGCCAATCCCCATGCTCCTATATCTGGCTCAGACCTTCTGCCACTGTGCCATCTTTGAAACAGCTTCCAAAGAGGTGAAATTAATAATTTCTCCACTTTGTGCAGATCCCAAGAACTGATGCTTCTTTATCCTTTTCTCTTCTCTGATCCACTGGCCACATTAGATGTACTCACACCATGGGATGATAGTTTTTCTCTTAGAACTAGAATTTCCAGTCAGTCATGAACATTTATTGCATATATTTTTTGAGACAGGGTCTCACTCGCTCTGTCACCCAGGCTGGAGTGCAGTGGTATGAACATGGCTTACTATAGCCTTTGAACTCCTAGGCTCAAGCAATCCTCCCACCTCAGTCTCCCAAATAGCTGGGACTACAGGCACATGCCAATATGCCCAACCAATTTTTTTTTTTTTTTTTTTTTTTGGAGAGACAGGGTCTCATTATGTTGCCAAGGCTGGTCTTAAACTCTTGGGCTCAAGCAATCCTGCCTTGGCCTCCCAAAGTTACAGGCATGAGCCACTGCACTCAGCCCAATAATACTTACTAATTACTAATTACCACTCTTATTTTACTGTGATGTTTGACTCACATCTGTTATCACACTAGATTCACATTATCACTATTATATTTTTTCTAAATTCTCAGTACACATTCTGTGTTAGTATCTTTCAGATGATATCTACCATGACTTAGCCAGACTTCATTATTTATGTCCACATCCTTTTTCTTCCTCCTTCCTTCCTTTGCTGATTCTTTCTTCCTCCCTCCCTCCCTTCTTTCCTCCTGTCACTTTTCTTTTCTCCTTTTATTTCGTTTCTCTTTTCTTTAGAGGATCCTCTGAGGAGCCATACAAACTTTCTTAAGACTGCCCAGAGTTTGTCCTTCAGAGCATTAACTGCTGGCACTTCTGCATTTGCATATGTGGGCATTGAATGTGGAAAGTGAGAGGCACAGGGTGGGGGTGTGAGGCAAGTCACTGTCAAAATGCACATGCATGAAGCTGGTCAAAGTCCTCACAGAGTAGCTGCAGTAATTGGAATAAGAGACAAATGAGGCTGAGAGACTTTGAAGTGCTGCACGAGAGATGTCTGAAACAGATGGCTCTGAAAAGATGAATAAGAGCTGACAGGTAGACAAATCGTAGAAAGCTGGGGGACTCCAAGTAGAGAAACTGACATATGGAAAGATACCAAGGCATGAAATGTGTTGTGTACAGGGATCCACAGGCGGTTCTATTTTGGCGGAATACAAAATTTAAGAAGGTCATGACAAGAGAAGAGGCTAAAGGGATGACAAGCTCCTATAAATTTCTAGATTTCTTTGTAACCCTTTATGGACTTGAAAACTGTTGTGTTATTTGTTGAATTTTATGTATATTAGAGTATATTTTATTATTTGTTTAATTTTATGAGACATTTTAACATTTTATGTCCTATAAAGGCAAGAACATGCCCATCTTCTTCTCCGCTCTATTTGGCATAAGGTAGGCTTTTTGAATGAAGAAGGACAGTGATTGCTAAGGGCCTTGCACATTATTCTAGACTCTAGGAATCTCCTTTCACTCTCTAAGCTGCTTGAGGACAAGTGTCACATCCAGCCCTTCTTCTAACTGCCTCGTGAAGAGCTTTCCATCTAGTAAGTACACAGAGACTGTTTACTGAAAGAATACAAAGTTATTTAATTACCGAATTGCTTGGATTTACTGGAAAGTTATGGAAAGAGTAGGCATGCTAGGAGAGGCTGCTGCCTTGTGAAAGAGATGTCAAGGAAGTGTGATCTGAATAATCTGAAGGAAGACTGAAGAGCTTTTTGACATCTCTCTATTTTTCAAACTAACTTAACTAATCAAATCATTTGTAACACTTAAACTAATTTGTGCTATTAGACCTAGCCTCAGAGTGTCTTTTCTAGACTCTGGCATATGAATTTTCCAAGACATCGGCATAAGCACTTGCTATTACTCTTTGTGTGTGTGTGTGTGTGTCTGTGTCTGTGTAATAATGAACAGCTATTAAAATGTGAAGATGTTAGTGTGGTTTTAGAATATAATTGCATTTAGAAACATTAATTGCTCATTGACATCCGCTTTTGGATATAGTGTGCTCAATAAAAGTGTGGAGAAATGAATATGTGTAAGTCCAACAAATTAATAATTCTTGTGTTAAAGCCACCAGACATTTGCAGCTGCATAGTTACAGTTGTGACATTCCTCTCAAACACCCAAAGAAAGCATGAGGTCAGAATAAAATAAGTGATTCCATTTCAGTTTATTTTTTCTTTTCAAAATCTTGGCCGGGCGCGGTGGCTCACGCCTGTAATCCCAGCACTTTGGGAGGCCGAGGCGGGCGGATCACAAGGTCAAGAGATCAAGACCATCCTGTCCAACATGATGAAACCCCGTCTCTATTAAAAGTACAAAAATTAGCTGGGCGTAGTGGCGCACGCCTGTAGTCCCAGCTACTCAGGAGGCTGAGGCAGGAGAATCGCTTGAACCCGGGAGGCAGAGGTTGCAGTGAGCCGGGATTGTGCCACTGCACTCCAGCCTGGCGACAGAGCAGGACTCCATCTCAAAACAAAACAAAACAAAACAAAAAAAACACAAAATCTCATTTAGCAGTCTCAATGCATAAATCTAGCCTAGAAATCACAAAAAAATGTGAAGATAAAAATCTGTGAGTGATTCCATGTAGCTGCTTGAGATTTGGCCAAGTTTTTACCTGGTTACACCTATCAGTTGTTCTCTGTAGTTATCTTTCTTTTCCCAAAAATAGTTTGCAATGTATTGTTTAAATATGACTTGATAATTTTAGTAAAATAAGCAACATCTGGCAGAAAATGTGGAAGAATTCTTGCTAACTATATTAAACTGCTAACTAAATATGTACTAGCACAATCTGAGGCCAAATGGTACCTTAAAGATCATGTATAGTGTTTGGCTCATCTAGAAACTGATGACCTATGGAACTAAATCTGACATATAGATGGATTTTCTTTGGCCTACACTTGATTTTGATCCCAAAAATTGAATTTGGGGCCATTTAAAACTCAAGATGTTTCTCACAAGTGTCTAGACTTGCAACTTTTCTTCTTCTGTGACAATATCCAGGGTTTATCTCCATGTGGTAACCAAAACCTGGAGCTGACAACCATTGCCCTTTAGAGAGATAGGCCCTACCTCTCTGCATGGTATTCTACCCGCCCACTGTAAGAGTTTAGGTTTCTGGCCTGACCTCCGTACGTATTTGAACTCCTGGCTTCTGCATTTGTGTAATACTAAGGGATATTTTAGCTCTCATATCTTAAATCCCTGAAGTTGAGTAATATATGCTGTACTTTTATCTGGCTGACACGGATAATTTTTCTTCAGTATGGCATTATCTGACAATATAAATATTATAATTTGTTTAACCTGCTACAGTCTTAAGCTAATTGGGGATTTACTTCTATCTAATGAAATATGCTTATAGCAGTTTAACGTTATCTTGTTAGCACAGATTGCAAATGCCTAATTCTTTCTTTAAGAATTTCTTTAAAGTCAACTCAAACATATGGGCATTAGACCAGGAAAAGCCTCAGTCAACAATATGGAATATATATAGACATATCCAATATGTTTATAATCTCATATTAATTTTTGGTCTGAATGTTTTTCAAACTATAATACACAACGTGAATTAGGATTAATTTTAGAATGGCAATGAACATTCTTCTGTATAATCGAGACTCCAGTGTTCACTGACAATATAATTTGGCCTACTTTACTGAATATTTATTTAGCAAATGCTTATCATATCTCAAAATCTTTGTGCAAAGGGCAATTAGGAAATGTAAAGGTGAATGAAACATGGTCTGTGCCCTCCAAATAATTTACATTCTACTCAGGGATACAAATACATAAATAATTCAAGGGAGAAGAGCAGGGGTGCTAAATAGATGGTGGGTGGAAGTGAACAGTCTCAAGGTTGGAACTGGGGTAAGGGGGTGTTGGGGGGGAGGACTGGAGAGTTATTTTAACATTCTCATCAGTGACCTGGATGGCATTAAGAGAGTCCGTCCAGAATTGTAGACCAAATGGATGCTGAATGCTGCCCAATAAAAAGAAGTAAATTTTAGGACCAGTCTTGCCAGTACGACAATTTTTTCATCAGCTTATATAGCTTCCTAAAAATGCCACTTGAGAGAGTTAAAGGTTGGCCTCAAAAAAGTTACAATACTAGTGTAGAGAAAGAGAGATTAACTACATCCTGCCTTTCTGTTTGGAGTGGTTTTGACCTCTTTTTCATAGGGATTGGTGTACATAATCCAGGCTGGTGTGGATTTGATGGTGGTCATAATATTTGCAAAGAAGACAGACAGTTAATGTCCTCTCGCATAGGTCTATATGCACTGAAATACTTGGTCTATTAAGTGGTTGTTCTATAATGAGTTTATTCTACAGGTAAAATCAGACAGATTTACTGTTTGATATCATAGTTTTTTTAAGTGACAATAACTGTTGGGCTGGAGCTTTCCCTTTTCAAATTCTTTTGCCAATTCTTTTTAGATCATCTGGTGACATTAGGAGATCTCACCAGTACCTCATTCAGTACCTCAAGAGAAGGAGGTAGGAATTAAGAGAGGTATGGAGTATCACTGACAAGTGTGGTAGAATGTCTGCTTCAAATTGCTGTGCTGCTATAAAATATCATTTCTAATTATACATTATTAGTGTGCTCTAAGTAATACCAGCTAGCCAAACACAGACAGGGGAAAAGTGGATAATATTATCTCATATTGATAACTTACACTCATTCGGTATTAATAATTTGTTGAACCCATCTTTTCCATCTGCATAAATGCCTCCATTTGCCCTACCTACCTGATTATTTGTGTTTTATCAACAGTGCTTGGAGCAATTCTTTCTTTTTCTTTCTCCTCCTTTTTCCTATTTGTCATTTTTGGCCCTTTCCTAAGCACAATCAGTGAACTATTCATCCAAGTCTACATTTATTGAGCATAATTAAAGTCAAGCACTAGAATAGATACCATACAGGACATGGTGACATGCACAATTCAGTCCCTGCCTACAAGTCTATAGTGTGGGAGTGGAGGAGATAGGAGGAGGAGGGGACAGTACTTTGTTAAGAACCTGTAATGTTATCTCTTTTAAGCCTCACAAAAGTCGTTAAGTTTGCCTGCATGTTTATAAGGGTGATGACAGAGAGATCAAATAAATTACCTGAGCTCAAAAATGATGCATGTCCCCCTACACACACACACACCCTCAATCTAGAAGCTTTTGTTTGTGCCTTTTTTATTGCACTGGTTGATGTTTGCCTTCTAATATAGTTAACTGTGTATATCTGTGAGACACATTTTCATAACTCTAGCTCCCGACCTAGGGGTCTGGCTCATAATAACCATTCAGCGAGTGTTTAATGAGTTAGTTGAATTTTCTTGACTAAAACCAGAATAGTGGTGGGGGACTAATACCTGCTGTTCAAAAGCTCTCATAACAACGTTTGCTCACCATAGGGTTGGAGGACTTCCGTGGAGGAGAGAGAATACCCTTTCCTTAATCACCAAGCAATTTCCCAGGTCATCAGTTTTCCTCAAGTAAATAAGAAAAGCTCAGGTTACTTCAGCTTCCACTTACTTACTGGTGAAACCGAATGCCCCGAGTGTACAAGTGTACGTCACTTTAGGAAAACCTAATGTGAAAACAGCCGAATATTTAAAAGGCTTTTTAAAAATGGAAATTTCATGAGTTGGATTTCTAGTGCATTACAGGTAGCCCACTAGCTCCGCTGGTTGTCTGTGCCATGCTCAGCGTAGGGGTAATATGGTAAGACAGATCAGCGCATCTGTGACTGGAGACCCAAGATGAGAAGCGGTTATGTTCTTAGCAGCCTCCCTGGTGTCCGCACTGGCGTTCCGACTTCCCCATTTCACCTCAGCTCAGGATTTTGATACACTCTGTTGACTAAGCACATTCTCAGCACCATAAACTTTAGCAAATTTGCATTTCATCTCGGAAATCCTGTGAAAAATGAACCAATGCCTACACTTTGAGAATCATATTACACCCAAGCTACTCAGAGACTTCTTCCCACTGTCTTTCAGAAAATCTCCAGAGTCCTCTCTGTTCCCCTTCTCCTGGACCCCTTACTCCCACTTGTACCTCAGTCTCCTCAAAAGAGTAGAAATGGTGCAGAAATGAAGGGGTCAAGATCAGGATCATTTATCAGGTCCTATGCTAACCAAAATAATCTTTCTCTTTCTCCCTCAACGCCTTTCTCTCTCTCTCTCTCCCTCTCTCTCTCTGTCTCTCTCTCTCTCTATCTCTGTGTGTGTGTGTGTGTGTGTGTGTGTGTGTGTGTGTATTTTCCCTCTTGGTAGCCTCTCTCTCTTCATTTATAAAGCTATCAAAGGTAAGACAGGCCTCGGATTCATCCCATGTGAGTCTCTCCCAGGCCCTCTTAGCACGGAGTGTTCCTATTAGGCCAGCCAATGTGGCCTGCTAAGGGCTGGGAGTGAGAGTGGTCTGCCCCAGGTATAAACAATAAAGGTGTGAATTGTCTATAAATAATTTAAAAGCAATAACAGAACAACTAAAATTCTGTTTATTATCAGCATGCACCAATAATTCTAAACAATATCTGTGATCAAACACTCCTCCTGTCCTGGGAGGGGCAGATTGACTGTTCCCTGTGCCCTGCCCTTCGTACACCTCTGGCAAGCCCTGCTGTGGAACATAGAGAGAAATTCCTTTCTTTGGTTTGCTTTTCTCAGACTTAACTTTCCTCCCCATGAAGGAATGGTAAGCACAGTGAACTTAAGTCAGAACAAAATATGGTCCTCAGGCCATTATCAGCAGCCCCTCTTACTTAGATCTTTTAAGCTGTCAGTTTAAAGACAGAGAGAAAGGTGAAGCAATATACTTTTCATAAATTTGAAGTTATTTTTCTCAGAAACCTTATTATGTAAAGTTTAGGAAAATAATTTGAAGAATGAAATTATATTCTCCAAATTATATTCATAAACTTTATACAAGATACTGTAATGACTAAATTGGTTGTTCTTTTTTTTTTTTTTTTTTAAAGACAGGGTCTCGCTCTGTCATCCAGACTAGAGTGCAGCGCATACAATCATAGCTCACTGCAGCTGCAACCTTCCGGCCTCAAGGGATCCTCCCACCTTAGCCTCCCAAGTACCTGGGACTACAAGTGTGCACCACCACACCCGGCTAATTTTTTAATTTCTTTGTAGAGACAGGAGTCTCAATATGTTGCCCAGACTGGTCTCAAATTTCTGGCCTCCAGTGATCCACTCGCCTTGGCCTCACAAAGCTCTGGGATTACAGGCATGAGCCACTGTGCCCAGCCTGATTGTTCATATTAATTAACAGTTTGCTTTTTAAAAAGCAAACAAATTTCTCCATCATTTGCATGTTATTAATTTTTTCATCAAATTAACAGTTTTAATTATTCCTACCATGTTGCATTATATTCTTCGAAAATGGCTCAAAAGTGGGTCATTAAAGCATTAAAGTAGTTAATGTAAAAAGTAATACAGCGGATTGCCCTGCCTCTACAAAAAAAAAATTATGTGTTTTTAATTAGCCAGGCATGGTGGCGCATGCCTATAGTCCCAGCTACTCAGCAGGCTGAGGTGGGAGGCTCTGTTGAGCCCAGGAGTTCAAGTCTGCAGCAAGCTATGATCATGCCACTGCACTCCAGCCTGTATAACAGAGCTAGACCTGGTCTCCGAAAAAAAAAATGATAATAAGACAAATACAATTCTAATGAATCAGAAGGTGTGATGATTTTACATAAGCATCTGGAAATGGGAACTACACATAGAAAATAAAGAGTGAATATTTGAACATCAGATATTACTGCACAAGTGATCCATCTGCTCCCCAGTTTTGTTGTCTATGTCATGTCATATAATGCATGGAGCAATGAGATTGTCACATCATTCTAAAACAAAGGACAGTGGCCTTCCTGATAAACCAATCACAATATTTTGGAATAAGCAAAAAAAATTAATGTTTCAAATAGAAAATTGATTAATTTGTTATTAAAATAAGACATGAGAAAATATGACTCATGCATCTAAACTACTCAGGCATCAAAATAAGTAATTGTCGTTACATAGAGCAAAAATAGGCACAAGTCACTCTATTTCCAAGAAGTCTATAAAACCAGAAACAAAGTCATTGATAATATTTTATTTGGAGAGAAAGAAGAATGAGTTATTGGCAAACTTATCAAATGGCACCTTTTCGATGTTACATTCTGCCAATAGCATAGGATGTGATTGAGCCATCAGCATCCCACGGGCATGCTGCCCTTTAGAGTGAGATCAAAGCATTTTTTAATGCAGAGTGTGGATCAGCCTTTGGCAAATGTACTTCGAATAAGAAAAAGTGCCCAATGACTTCTTATTTTGCTTATCCTTAAAAACACACTACAGGAGAGACATTTCTCATTTAGATAACACTTGTTTTTGTGAGCCAAGAGGTAGACTGGAAATGGCACATTGGGGTCAGAACCAAAGGTGCACCAGCTATGTGTGCAGTAAGGAAGGGCTTTACCACAAGGATAATGGGGGCTGCTCTTGAATGCCAGTCCACAGACTGTTTATTGTCAGAGAACAGGTCACCAACTGGAAGTCGTCAAAATACCTTCTGATCTTAATTTGGTGTTGAAAGGAATTGTAAAACCTATGAGTCTGATTCAATTGTAGAGCCTGAGTGTATGGCTTTTCAGCCTGCTGTTCAAAGAAATAAGCAGCAAGTACAAGACTGTCACGATATGTAAGTTGGCTAACTGTTGAGGGGAAAGGTGCTTGCATTGAGTGGTTGAATACAGGATGAAATGAACCTTTTTTTTCGTGGCACTGCTAAAGTCAGCAAAGACCATCTCTACGATTTTAAGGGGCTTACTCAAATGAGGTGTCTCAACACTATAGTCAATATCTGAATAGCTTGAATCTATCATCCTAAAGATAAAATATAATGTTTAATGTTTAGGAAAATATATCAAAACATATTTAAAAGACTGAATTATGGTGAAGCCAGCTTTTTCATCAAGAATTTGGATCTTTCTCAGAATCTGAGGATTTTTTTCCTTCCATCAGAAAGATCAATACTGAACTAAGCACCTTTTAAAAATGCATACAAATGTCACAGCAAAATATAAATTAAGAATTAAAGCAACTGAAAAGTGGATAATTAATCCATTTCCTGCTTTCTCCCAAGTTAAAATATCCAGCCTTCCAGCTTTGGACATGATAATCCCAATTAGTATGTGAAAGAATGTTGAAGTAACCTTCAGTGAAATTTCTCTCCATCTTTCCAGGCTCTTCACTGATCTCAATGTCTATAATTATCTGACAAGTCACCAAACACTTTCTCCCATTTCTGATGACTTATAATTGCATATTAGGATTTTCTTTTCTTTTGAGACAGTGTCGCTCCGTTGCCCACGCTGGAATGCGGTGGCGCAATCTTGGCTCACTCTAGCCTCAACCTCCCAGGTTCAACCGATTCTCGTGCCTCAGCCTTCCGAGGGACTAGGACTACAGGTGTGCACTATGGTGCCTGGATAATTTTTGTATTTTTCTTTTTTTTAGTATAGATGGTGTTTCACCACATTGCTCAGACTGGTCTTGAACTCTTGAGCTCAGGTGACCCACCCACCTCAGCCTCCCAAAGTGCTGGGATTATAGGCGTGAGCCAACAGGCCTGTCCACATTAAGATTTTCTATTTTCATGTTGTAAAAGATTATAATAAACCAAGTTGATATGAAACATGGCTGGCAGTTATAGTCATTATAGAGTCTGGTAGTCAGGTATCAATACTTTGGGGAAAGAAAGCTATATTGTCTATTAAACCTATATAAAACAATAATTACTAACATTTAAAGGTTGTACATTATGTTTACCTTATCTAAAAGATGTTGATACAGTGCTATGTATGCACTAACAACTATAAAAAGCTTGCTGCTGCTAAGAAAAAAAAAGCCACAGATTCATTCTTTTTCAAGTCTGAATAAACAAAATTACTAGAGGTTACATTGAGGTTTCGAATAAAACACTGCTTGTAATAAAACAAGTGACCTTGTCTTCTGCCTGCAGATCCCTGGGAATCTCATCACAGAGGGTGGAGAAGATGGGGGAGAGGTCTTGTAGGAGATCAGGATTTGAGCATCTAGGGTTTCTGGCTATTTTCCTTTCCTTCATGTTTGAAAATTTATTGAGATTATTTAAAATTTTGTATATAAATATCAATATCATTTTGAAAATATTGTTATATAATGGAAGATTTTTGTAGCATCTATGCTAGCTAAATTGAAATATTTTTGCTCTCATCTTTTATTATCTAATGTAATTGCTTATTGCAATTTAAATAATGACAATGTTTATGTTTCCTATTCTCATTTTCTATTGAAATGTGGAATTCCATAATCATGCAGCTATAGTCTCACAGTGATAATAATTGCTATGCATCTGTATATTCCTATGCAGAACATTTTTATTGCATATGTCTTCATTTCAGCAATGCAATGGTAAGCATTTGTTTCCAATACAATTGCAAGCTGCTCTTAATGTAAACATCAGTATTCCATCAGCCTCACAAATCCACAAGCAACAGCACTTCCGTAAGCATCAGCATTCTTATCTCTATTTCTCCAGGGAATACGTTTTCACTTTGGTAATTTTCCCTGTATTTTTAGGATTAAATATATGCCTTTCACACCAGAGTGAGGAGGGGCATACTCATTTATCATTAAGCAGGCTGTCCATCTCCTAACACTTAAAAGAAGAGAAAAGGAAAAAAAAAGATTCCTCTGTCTTTTATTGCTGACTTCCTATGAGAGTTTTCAAAGTATTTTGGATGAACCCAAGAGAAACCATGTCATCATCTCTGTCCATGGTAGCATATACTAGCCTCCATGCATGTTTTTTTTTGTTTTGTTTTGTTTTTGAGACAGATTCTCACTCTGTCGCCCAGGCCGGAGTGCAGTGGCACAATCACGGCTCACTGCAACCTCTGCCTCCCGCGTTCAAATGATTATCCTGCCTCAGCTTCCCGAGTGAGTAGCTGGGATTACAGGCGTGCGCCACCACGCCCGGCTAATTTTTGTAGCCTGCATGCATTTTAGGTGGTAAAACAAATACTAGAATAAGAAAGATATTTGTTCTTCCTGCCAAATGGCCAGTCTAATTCTTGGTCCTACCATTGTTTTAGTATCTATGATAAGCATTAAGATGTTAATTTTGAGCCTAGGGTAGGCATCAGAGGAATTGGTCAGGACAGGCAGTGGCAGGTAAATTAGAGTAGAAGCCACTTGCTTTCTTTTTTCCTCCCAACATTTTAAACATTTGAGCCTAATGATCTTTGCCAGCAAATCGTGTTACTAATACTACCAGTGTCTAACAGTAATTAATGATAAGTATAATTTAATAACTGCATGTTCTAGGCAAATAAGTGTGCTAATTACATATATTGCTTCATTTAAAACAGTTATGACCCCATGAGATATGTATTACTTCCTCTAGTGTACAGATTAGGTCATTGAAGCTCATAGAGTTCAGTAACTTGCCTGAGGCATTGTGGCAACTAAATGTGGAGCTGCCATTTCAGCAGAGGTCTTTGAGACTCCAAAGCCTTAACTAATGTAATATGATAGTCCAATTTCCTAAGCCTTTATATCATTCTGTTCTACCAAAAATTATTGTGAACCCTTCAAGAAGAAAAGTGATGCACTTTCTTCAACCATCACTAACTAAACAAGCTATTTTATTATGCTCTCTAGGAAATGTATATGTAAGAACATGAATTCTTTCCCCCAAAGAACTGGGGATCTAAGCATAAAGATTATACAAATGCAAGAACACTCATAACACAACAAAAAATGGTAAGTATCATGAAAGAAGCACAGATGGGTTTTGTTTGATAGAGCATTAACTTCCAGCTGAGGATACCCGAGAATCTTCACGAACAGAGGCCAGAGATAGCCTAATATGGAAATGTAAAAATGGAGATACATATTAGCAAGCAAACATGGATAGTCGCACACAGCCACATGTTTTAAGAGGTTCTCCCAACCTCCATCATTCACAGGGCTGGTGGATGCTATATGCCTTTGAGCAAATTATTCTCTCTTTGACCCTCTCTCCTATAAATCGGAGGGAATGGCTTGTAGGATCAATAGTCTATGGCTGTATGTTCATATGTTGATTAAATTTGGAGCCAAAGGGAGAAAAACATCCAAGGGAAGGAAGAGAGAGCTGTCATATATTCCTGAGCAATGGTTGCAGAGGAAGGTTAAGGTGGGAATTACAGAGATAAGAGAAGAAGGAAGCTCTTCTACAAGCCCAAAGGCCTGGTCCTGGAAAGAACCTTTCTATGGCCACAAGAGGATAATGCTTGATGTTCATCTTGTCCCCACACTTTGGAGAACTGTACTCTTGTTTCCTCTTTGACTTACATGGTTGACATGGTAAAACGGGATGCAGGCTTGTCTTCAAATTCAGACTATTTCTTTGGGCTGGCTGGTAGACTGCTGGGACTCAGATGATCTTCACCAATCAGATTTCTACAAGAAATTCTTATAATGCTACAATTCAGGAAACATAGATAAAATACAAAGGATAACACTGGCTTGGTAGGTAGGTGTCCAGTAAATGTCTACCAAAAACCAGGAAGTATGTGCTTGAAACAAGCCAAGGGCAGTTTTCCAAATGACCTAGCCCTTCTTTGTCTGATGGTAAGTCAGGGGTCCTTGCTTGAGATTTGAGACTTTCCCTCCCGTTAGCTACCCTTTTTATATTTTATTGGCAAAAAGTTACCATATAATTTCCAAAGGAAACTATGTCATAAAAATAGACATTGAATCAATGGACAATTAAGCATCCATTAATAGAAATATGCAGACTGTGTTCTTAGGAAAGTGTAAATGAAATAGCATTAAGTGAAAATGTCAAATAAAAATTATTATATATACTCTATAATTATTATAATGGTTATATGTGGAAAGACTTAAAATAGGCCAAGGAATGATGAAAATAGTTGTTTAAATAAAAAGAATAAAGATATACTTCTTTGAGAAACTGATTTAATAATAATTTTCTATGAAAAATATTATGGTATTTCTTCTCATTGTTAAATATCCAAACCATGCAGAGAATGTAAAAATCTTTATATGATCTCATCTCCTTCCCCACTCCCAGGGGATAACCACTTATAACAAGCTGCTGGAATACTTCCAGACTTTTAAAACACATACAACCATACTCATACATATTTCTCCATAAATGAGACCATATTCTGCATTCTGTTTTATAACCAGATTTTTTTATTTTAAATATTGTTTGTTATGATAGTGGAAACAATATAAGCTTATAAATTAAAGAATAAATAATTAATTAGAGACAACTCTAGAGATTCAAATACAGATGACAAGGTATAGTCTTTCCTTAATTGCCATTGAGATTCCAATCAGGTCAGGCTCAACATTTCCTCAGTGCAGCAGCCTAGTAACATGGCCTCATCCTCCAAGACTGAGAGGGAGGGTAATAGAGTAATCCTGATGGTCTGAGGGAGGGGGATTGTAACTTCAGCCCCATCTGTCATGTTGTGCCTGACCTGTCAAGACAAAACCCAATGGACCTCTCCACAATGAGGAAAAAAGAAAACGTTGCGTCTTTGATTGTAATAGATGTGGAGCCCAGGGAGTCCATGAGTGAGCCGGAGAGGTGGCTGCTGAAAAGCTGCCTTGTATGATGTGCCAGCAAAGCCCACAGGCTTGGTTTTGATTTTCTGAGTTTACACCCTACTTTCCACGGAGAACAGCAATCTATATTCTCCGGGTCTCCAGTCTGTGTGCCTTCTCTCCCAAGGGACACTTCTCAGCTAAAGGAGGTTATTATTCATTATCCTCATGTCATTCTAGCTAATCGGACTGAGATTTTCCTAAGGTCACATGGCAGTACTACTGCAACTTAAAACCAGGCAGCCTGGGAAAAGGCCTCCTCCTTCTGCTCTGTAACTATTAGAGTAATGAAGTAATGTGAGATTACGCAGCTCAGCGTATGACATTTCCTTGGAGAGCAGAGTCTTAGCAATGGAGGCCTGGGAAGTAGTTTTAAGGTAGAACAGCTTCACTGAAGACTCTCAGATAGTGCTAACACAGGGCCCATGGGTTTGGGGACCTATGAATACTGGCCAACTCGAAACATTTGCAACTTTCTGAGGTAAGGGTCTAATGCATGCAACAGATCCTTAAAGGCATTTGTGATGCTCTAAAATGTGACAAATTCTTATATTATTGTTCCTAGACCTAGCAGATATTGTTGGTGCTCTGGCCAGATTCCCCTTGGATTTTTTGTTTGTTTTTGTTTTGTTTTGTTTTTTACTATTTCAGCATACTCTTCCTCCAATTCCAATGGGCTTTTGGCTTTAAAGGCTCACAACCATGACTCTCTTCAGAAGAGCTTTGTTTGTGCAGAAAGCTGAATATCTGGAATTTATATCCTCTTGGGGTTGTCTTTAGCCAATGACAGACTAGTGAAGAAGTATGAAAGCCCAGCTCCCTTGCCTCAGTGGGGATAAGCTGGTGTGTATTTCACATTCCAGCATACCCTGCGGAATCAAACTGAAGTTAGGGCTTTGGCAGAAATTTCTGGGCTTCTTTGCGTTCCGTGTCCTGTTTCCCTCACCACCTTACTGGATTCTCCTGGAAGCACTTTCTTAATAACTCACACACACACATCCTCCTTTCAGGGTCTTTTTCTGGGAAACCTTTCTTAAGACAACTGCCTACAGAATGCCAACTGGATGGGGTCAACTGCGTCTTTGCTACTGAACCTCTTACAAAACAACTGATCATAGCCCAGAAGTGAGAAGAGTTGTCACTAACAAGCTGGAGGCATGGTTAGAGACAAAGAAAGAATATAAAGCAGATGGATGAGCACAGAAGTAAGGCAGAAAAACAAATGGAAAGAGGAAGAGGAATGGTGAGAAATGTTAAGAGAGTCATTCATTTATTCATCCGTTTGTTACACGTGATTGTTATTCATTCACATTACGCTGGAAAAAGTTTTAAATAAGAATGAAACTCTCTGGGTTTTTGTTCAGACTCCATAAATTATCAGTTGTTTGGTCTTAGACAAGTTGCTCAAATTCTCAGAGCTTCAGTTTTCTTATCTGTAAGTCAGGGATCATAATACCTAATTCATAAGATTAACAGGAGGATCAAATAAAACAACGGAAGTAAAAGCACCTTAAAGTTGTCATGCACAATGAAATGCTGTCTTTAATAAGCATTTTTTGTGCCTGTTTAGGCTACATTAGTAATTAACTGGGCTATAAAAAGTGTTTAAAATATGATACTGTCCTATAAGAGGTTTCGATCTAACTGGGGATGCAAAATAAACACAAAGGAAACAGCAAAATAACAAGTAAGTGTGTATCTATATACAAAAATATATAGACAGCAAGAACAGAAAAGATTTTGGAAGTGGTAAGGTCACAGTTGCCCTGAGGAGAAAAACTCATGTAATAAGGCATGTCTCCCTATTACATGTGTCTATGGCACCTACTCTCTTTTTGAAACACTCCTTACATCTTCGGTAATTAGCTATTTAATGCCATGCTATTCTGCCAGATTGTAAGGTACAGATCATATCTGAACTATTCTCCTAAGAATCTCCAGTGCATAGCATGTAGTTAGTGAACATTAAGTATTTCTTAATGAATAAGTAATATGAGGTGGACCTTTTAAGGTAAACAGCATTTGCGAAGGAATTTGAAAATATGTTGCCATTAAAAGTGAACACAAGCCGGGCGCAGTGGCTCACGCCTGTAACCCCAGCACTTTGGGAGGCCGAGGCGGGCAGATCACATGGTCAGGAGTTCAAGACCAGACTGGCCAATATGGTGAAACCTCAACTGTACTAAAAATACAAAAATTAGCTGGGCATGGTGGTGGGTATCTGTAATCCCAGCTACTCGGGAGGCTGAGGCAGGAGAATCACTTGAACCTGGGAGACGGAGGTTGCGGTGAGCTGAGATTGCGCCACTGCACTCCAGTCTGAGTGACAGAGTGAGACTCTGTCTCAAAAAAAAAGTAGAAACAATGTAAAAATCTATTTGGACTCAAACAGGGTTGATGTTCAGCATACTAGGAGAAAAATTTTCAGAGATAGGATAAGAGTGACATTATAAAAAGGTTTTGACTGCCAATGTGATGGTTAGACTTTTGCCCTATTGGGAGTCACTGAAGATTCTGCAGCAGAATAACGTGATGGAATCCGTGCACTTGGAAGATCTTTCTGGCAACAGTGAGTGGAATGTATTTTGGAGATATGTCAGTGGGATGGATCCCAGTCAGAGAGCTGATGCAGTAACCATGAGGTGAGAGGTGGTGAGGAATTAGACTAAAGAGCGACAGTTTTCCAGAGGCTCAAATCACTGCCATAGGTCATCTGTCCTTGTCCCAGTTTCCCTTTCATAATTAGAAATTAAGCTTTTGTGTTTAAAAAAACGGCCTCAATTCCTCACAGCCTTCTAACAAATGAGTTGGCAGAGAATAGCTTTATATAAAACTGGAAGGTAAATTCTACCTACCCATCTGATGCATTTATCTACAGGTGTCCTTCTAGGTAGCATTTGTCCTACACTTGACCATCTCACTACCTTCTAAGGGAGCCTGTTCCATATCAGCATTACTGGCTTTATTAAAATACTGGGCACACTGACATGACTGGCCATTTGTTTCAAGAAACCCCAGAAGAATTAGCCTGCCCCTTGGCATGGGACTGGCAGTCAGACAACCTAGATTCCATTTCCAAATTTGTACCTGAGTTGCTGTGTGATATTGGGCAACTCATTTTTTCTAATTTTACTTTGGTTTTCTCATCTTAAAAATGAAGAAGTGTTATTCTGCCTGAGCATACATTTTTTAAATGATGAAGTATGACTAGATCATTAATTTTCAAACCTTGATGGTCATTGCCATTACCTAGTGACCTTGTTAAAACTATGCCAGACCAGGCGCAGTGGCTCACACCTGTAATCCTAGCACTTTGGGAGGCCAAGGCAGGCAGATCACGAGGTCAGGAGTTTGAGACCATCCTGGCCAACATGGTGAAATCTCATCTCTACTAAAAATACAAAAATTAGCTGGGTGTGGCTAAGATATGATACTGTCCTATTAGAAGTTTCAACCTAACTGGGGATACAAAATAAACACAAAGGAAATGGCTAAATAACAAGTAAGTGTGTATCTATATACAAAAATATGTAGACAGCAAGAACAGAAAATATTTCAGAAGTGGTGAGGTCACAGTTGCCCTGAGGATGTGCACCAGTTGCCCTGGTGCACGGCTGTAGTTCCAGCTACTCAGGAGGCTAAGGCGGGATAATCACTTGAACCCAGGAGGCAGAGGTTGCAGTGAGCCGAGATCGTGCCACTGCACTCCAACCTGATGATAGAACGAGACTCCATCTCAAAAAAAAAAAACAAAAACCTGCCAAACCTACTGAAGCAGAATCTTTGGGAACTTCATTCAGGAATCAGATTATTAACAAGCTCTAGAGTTATCTTATGAAGCCAGCATGGATCTGGTCCAAGTTGAAGTATTTGGGAACTGATAGACTAGATGATCTCTAGGGTCTTCTCCAAATCTTAAAATTCTATTTAAGAAATGTATTCTGCAAGTCAGGCATGGTGGTATGTGCCACTAGTCCCAACTACTCAAGAGTCTGAGGCAGGAGAATCACTTGAACCCAAAAATTCGTGGCTATGATCCCACCTGTAAATGAGAATGTTCACTGCACTCCAACGTGGGCAACATACCAAGATTTTGTTTAAAAAAAATTTGTTTGCTGTGATTCTTATGTTAGTAATTATACAACTAGTCATATAAATGTAATCTTTTTATCAGACTGTATCAGCCTAGATTTAGAAAGGGGGAAGGAAAAAACTAACAAAGTAAAAAAAAAAATCCACCAACTCTACCCTTTCCTGCTATTGCAGACTCTTCAAATTCCCATTTCCCCAGAATTTTGGGAGTTCACTGGGGATGTACACCGATAAACATTCTCTCTCCATTGTAGTAGCTTTCTCTTTCTGCTCATGTTCTGGATCTGATGTGCATGCCTCTTCTTATGAGTAACACATGTCATCTCTGAAACTCAATATTTTCTCCCAAAAAATCTTGCTGTAGCTGTTGTCACTCCATCCTATTGATACTAGTTGTACTGTGCTGTGCCAGAGGTACCACCATGAGCTATGCCACTCAGCCTTCTGAGACTCCTGATGAAGAGGACCACAGGCATCACTCAATTGTAAGCAGAGCAAATGTATTTCCTCTCACATGCTAATTCAGAACAATTGCTGTTGGGAATTCTGAGGCTGCATGAGGTTGGTGGAAAGTGCCATAATCAATTAATTATGATGGTTATGGGAGCAAGAATGAAGAATGATGGTATGCCAAGGATGTGCCATCTAATCCAAATCCTCTCTTTTCTTTCTGGCTATTTGTTTTGTTTTGTTTTACAAATGACAATACTGCAGCCCAGAGAAAGACTTACTCAAATTTGCACAAATATTGCAGAGACACCAATTGTATTAGTCAGGGTTCTCCAGAGGGACAGAATTAATAAGATAAATGTATATATAAAGGGGAGTTTATTAAGGAGTACTGACTCACACAATCACAAAGTGAAGTTCCACAATAGGCCATCTGCAAGCTGAGGAGCAAGGAAGCCAGTCCAAGTCCCAAAACCTCAAAAGTAGGGAAGCCAAAAGTGTAGCCTTCGGTCTGTGGCCAAAGGCCTGAGAGCCTCTGGAAAATCACTGGTGTTAAGTCCAAGAGTCCAAAAGCTGAAGAACCTGGAGTCTGATGTTCAAGGAAGGAAGCATCCAGCATGGGAGAAAGATGAAGGCTGGAAGACTCAGCAAGTCTAGTCCTTCCAAATTTTCTGCCTGCTTTATTCTAGCCACACTGGCAGCTGATTAGATGGTGCCCACCCAGATTGAGGGTGGGTCTGCCTCTCCCAGTCCACTGATTCAAATGTGTCAACACCCGCACAGATACACCCAGGAACAATATTTTGCATCCTTCAGTCCAATCAAGTTGACATTCAATATTAACCATCACACCAATCATCCCAAGCAGACTTTGGGTTAGAGGCAATTAGCCCATGTACAGGACTTTAGGCTGATGGTGTTCTCTCTCTCTCTCTTTCTCTCTCTCACTCTCTCTGTGTGTGTGTGTGTGTCTGTGTGTGTGTGTGTGTGTGTAAGAACCTGGACAGCCAGGTGCAGTGGCTCACGCCTGTAATCCCAGCGCTTTGGGAGGCCGAGGCAGGTGGATCACTTGAGGTCAAGAGTTTGAGACCAGCCTGGCCAACATGGTGAAACCCTGTCTCTACTAAAAATACAAAAATTAGCTGGGCATGGTGGTGGACGCCTGTAATCCCAACTACTCAGGAGGCTGAGGCAGGAGAATCACTTGAACCTGGGAGGTGGAGGTTGCGGTGAGCCAAGATTGTGCCACTGCACTCCAGCCTGGGCAACAAAGTGAGACTCTGTCACACACACACCCACACAAAAAGAACCTAGACAATATTCCATAATGCAATGCAATGCCTCGTGTACACAGTCCATGTGGGCTTTCTGATATTTATCTGTCCTTTTGAAGATTTTTTAATTAAAAAAACTCTATAGAATTTATTCAAGCAGCATTATCTTAGGACAACTACTTACTACATTTTCTAACAGTTGTTATTTCCCCTTTGTTAAAGAGTCAGCTGTAAAATAATGCTTTCTTTGCAGAAAGCTTGTGCCGCTGGACAGATTAGATAACTCGGGGGATTTGCAGCAGGCAGTGGAGACTTTAACCCGCAGGTCACCCCTTTCATCTCTCACCCAGATTAGGCCTGACAGCTGTTCACGATCCTCCTTGGAAGGGAATGCCCAGCCGCTTGCCTCAAGACAATTGGCATCAAACTATGGAACCCTTTTGAAAGTCTTGAAATATATTTTGTCATTCCTTTTAGTCCAGGTGTCTGTCATTTCACAAATCACAAGAGTACCACAAAAACCTGGATGAAGTTTAGTTAGCACAGAGCAAAGAGGCTCTGACCGCTGAAATAGATATTGATGACTGGCCCCAAAGCTCCATCCACAAACCACAGGCAAAAAACAGTTTCACCACATATAATCCAGGGTCTGTGATAGGTGCTGAACAGATGTTGCTTCTTGAAGAACAGTCTCTCTGGCTACTTTTCTAGAGAGTTCTTTATTCTACCCCATCTTCGCTTCCCCAGAGTGAGGTCCAAAGCAGTTGCAACATATCTTGCAGGTAGAAGCTGGTTGAGTTCAACTCACTCACAACTAGAAAACTGAATTCGTCTCAGAAAACATCCATTTATATTGTGATTGTTGGGATGGTTGGTTTTATTACAGGAAGGGAGAGTGGAAAATAATATATTATAAATGGGATTTTTAATATTATTGATCTATAGCAATAATCCCCAACTTCTTCAACAAAAGAACACCTCATATATGCAGAACCATGCCACATCCCACAACACACACATACATAACTGTGGCCATATTTTTTACATGCCTGGAATGAAAAAATATTTATACTTCAAGATCTCTGGAACTCTTGTAATAATTTCTTGTCTCCCTAATTCTCCTTTCACTCCTCCAGATGAGGAGCCTCTGCCTAGAGGAGTGGTCCATGCATGCATTCTCACAGGTAGGAATACCTATTGAAATACCCAGTAGAGTCTCGTAAAGGAGTCTCCATGCTTCATCTTCATAGATGGACAACAATAAGAACGTGCTGTGGAGTAAAAAACTCAGTGACAATTTTCATCCCAGGTTGCTACTTATTCATTTTTTTTGTATGAAACTTACATTTCTTTTTTTAACTTTTAAGTTCAGGAGTACATGTGCAGGTTTGTTATTTATGTAAACTTATGTCACAGGGATTTGTTGTACAGATTATTTTGTCACCCAGGTGTTAAGCCTAATACTCATTAGTTATTTTTCCTGATCCTCTCCTTCCTCCTACCCTCCACCCTCAGGTAGGCCCCTGTGCCTGCTGTTCCTCTCTATGTGTCCATGTGTTCTCATCATTTAGCTCCTGCTTATAAGTGAGAATGTGAAATATTTAATTTTCTGTTCCTGCATTAGTTTGCTAAGGATAATGGCCTCCGTTGTATGGCTGCATAGTATTCCATGGTGTATACGTACTGCATTTTCTTTATCCAGTCTACCACTCATGGACATTTAGGTTGATTCCATGTGTTTGCTGTAGTGAATAGTGCTGCAAGAACATACATGTGCATGTGTCTTTATGATGGCATGACCTACATTCCTTTGGGTATATACCCAGTCACTGTATATTTATATATATTTTTATCCCAAATCTTTCAATTTAAGACTAAGCTTAAATGATCTCCAAGTCACTATATATTTATATATATTTTATCCCAAATATTTCAATTTAAGACTAAGCTTAAACGATCTCCATGAAACATATTACTGCTGTTATTGTTATTATTTCTTCTACTTTCATATGTGTCATTAATAAATTGTTGGGAATAAAGAGCATTGTTAGATTTTTCTTTGTTTATTAAAGGAAGATATTTTAATATTTATTGTTTTATTTATTTTTGAGACAGGGTCTCACTCTGTTGCCCAGGCTGGAGTGCAGTGGTAAGATCATGGCTTACTGCAGCCTCAACCACCCAGGCTCAAGTGATCCTCCCACTTTAGCCTCCTAAGTAACTGGGACTACAGGTTTACACCACCATGCCTGGCTAATTTTTTTTATTTTTTGTACAGACAGCGTTTTGCCATGTTACCCAGGTTGGTCTCAAACTTCTGCACTCAAGTGATTATCCAACCTTGGCCTCCCAAAGTGCTGGGATTACAGGTGTGAGCTACCACACCCAGGCTGAAGGAAGGTATTTTAAAGAATTGTGGTATAATGGAGAGATTGGATTAATACTCAGAAGACCTATTCTGATTATTAGGCTACTTGGCCACATGACTTAACTCTTCTGAGCCTCAATTTTGTTATGTATGAATTCAAAAACATTGTTCCCATTCTTGCCTCATAGCATTGTTACAGAGATCAAATATGTTAATATATTTGAAAAAACTTTAAGCTTTTTAAAAAGTATTTTGTGCTACTTATAATCTATTCTTTTCTAACTAAAGGAGTAATGGTAGTTTATTATGGAAAATTGGAAAATGCAATACAGTAGAAAGTAAATTAATGTGACTCATAATCTCACAATTTAGAAATATCAACTGTTAAAATTTTGACATGTAAACTTCCACACTATTTGTCTTCTGTATACATGTGTATGTGTTTGAAAAATCAAAGTCACATTATAAACATGGCTTATGACATACATTTTTTCACTTAAGTGTCTTGAGTGTTATAGACTGAATTGTGTTTCCTCCAAATTCCTATGCGGAAGTCCTCACTCCTAATATGACTGCATTTGGAGAAAGGGCCTTTAAAGAGGTAATTGCAGTTCAATGAGGTGGTAAGGGTGAAGCCCTGTTCCAACATGACTGGTGTCCTTATAAGAAAAGGGAGAGAAAGGGCGCAGTGGCTCACGCCTGTAATCCCAGCACTTTAGGAGGCTGAGGTGTGTAGATCACGAGGTCAGGAGTTCGAGACCAGCCTGATCAACATGGTGAAACCACGTCTCTACTAAAAATACAAAAATTAGCTGGGCATGGTGGTGCGCACCTGTAGTCCCAGCTACTCAGGAGGCTGAGGCAGGAGAATCGTTTGAACCCAGGAGACAGAGGATGCAGTGAGCCGAGATCATGCCACTGCACTCCAACCTGGGTGACAGAGTGAGACTCCATCTTAAAAAAAAAAAGAAAAAAGAAAAGGGAGAGACACCAAGAATGTACAAACACAGAGAAAGGACCATGTGAAAACACAGCAAGAAGGAGGCCAGCTGCAAGCCAAGGACAGAGGCCTCAGGAGACAGCAACCCTGCTGGCACCCTGATCTTGGACTTTTGTTCTCCAGAACTGTGATAAATCAATTTCTGTTGTTTATGTTACAAGGTCTATGGTATTTTGTTATGGCAGCACCAGGAAAATAATATATTGAGCATTTCCCTGTAAATATTTTTAAATAATTTTATTTTTAATGACTGAAAATTCATCATTTTGATATAATTATGTAGCTAATCCTCTTTTTTGAAATATTTAGGTCATTCCCAATTTTTGCTATCATGAATAATGCTTTTAATATCCTTGTATGTTGGTAAATCATTTTTTAGATGCAAAATGCCCTCCAAAAAGACCATAGTATAAATTAATGGGAATAAATTATGGGAATTCTTCATACTATTTCTGCAACTTTTCTGGGTTAAAAATTACTTCAAAATAAAAATGAGAGAGAAGGCCAGGCGTGGTGCCTCACGCCTGTAATCCCAGCACTTTGGGAGGCCAAAGTGGGTGGGTCACCTGAGGTCAGGAGTTCGAGACCAGTCTGGCCAACATGGTGAAACCCCGTCTCTACTAAAAACACAAAAATTAGCCGGGCATGGTGGCGGGAGCCTGTAATTCCAGCTACCTGGGAGGCTGAGGCAGGAGAATCACTTGAATCCCGGAGGCGGAAGTTGCAGTGAGCTGAGACCATGCCATTGCACTCCAGCCTGGGCAATAAGAGCAAAACTCCATCTAAAAAAAAAAAAAGTGAAGAGAAATCTCATAACAAAGCTAGAATTCCACTAGAATATGTACATGAGTATTATCCTGCAGCCAATATTGTATAGGCACAGGACCAGAAAAGCCTTCTTGGAGATCAATATTCTGATTGCAAATACTGTCAATCCAACAGGGGACTCTAACAGGAATGCTTTCTCTTGGCAGGAATTTGACAATTTGGTGCACAGCTAAGGATGGGGAAGGAAGGAAATTTAGAAACATCTTTCTAAAAATTATTGGTCCTGCACAGAGAAGAATAAATGTGAGAATGGAGGTGGGATTCCTACCTTTGCTAGTCTCTCCTTGATTTTATAAGCAATGACTATCACACAGCTCCCTTATGCTCCTCATTTTAGTAAAATTTACCCTAGCTCTTACAATCAGGTGGTGCTTACAGGCTTTTCTATGACAATTCAATAACAGTCAAATATTTACTGAACACTTATACAGAGTTTTGTTGGGGGTTATAGAAATTAATGAGGATCGTTCTCTACCTTCTAGGTGGACACACTAGTGAGACAGACTCATAGAAAGGAAAACAATAAGCTATCATAAAAACTGAAGGAACTAAGCCTCACTGGTGGCTGGGAAGGCACTGAATATGCATTAAAGAGATCAGGGAAGCATTAATAGAGGAGGTAGTATTGAAGGATGAATAGGATATTGCTAAGCAGAGTCAAATGGAAAAGCTGCTAAAAGTACCTAACATCTGAAAAAGAATGACCAGGGTTCATGCATGAGATAGGGTGCATGGGGCATGCCATGGGATATGAAGCTGGGCATGGGAGCCAGTACTATGGATTTTGAATTATTAAAAGGACACCAATTTGCATTTTAAGATTACTGAGAAAATGTTAAGGGTAAAAGAGTAGAATGTGTATCTTGCCTGGTTCAAGGGTGACAGAGAAGGGTTTGCTCTATCCCCACTCTATCCCCATCTCCTAAAATTCAGTTCACAGGGACACTGTTGCACTCTGCAGAGCCAGAAAGAAAGATGTGTTAGTCACATACTGTAATACAAAGCTGTGATATGATGTGATCAGACAAAAGACTCCACACATTGCTGCTGAGTGCATGGCCGATGTGTTTAGTATTTGTCAATGCATGAAATAATGGTTCACTCTTCATTTGTGTTAAAGCATAATGCAGGTTCACTTGTGTTAAGGTTTAAGTATGCATCTGCCAATCACTGTGTGACCTTCTGGAAGTGACATACTCTCTGAGAACCTCAGTTGCTTTTTCTGTCAAATGTGGGTAATAAAAGCTACCTCATAAGGATTTTGTGAGCATTAAATGAGATCATGCACATGTAAGTGTTTGCTAGCTATAAAGCATGATATAAATGTTATTGTTACTAGGATAATTCGTGTGTGTGTGTGTGTGTGTGTGTGTGTGTAAAAATGACAGGGGGAGAAAATATTCTGTACTATTTTACCAGAAGGTGGCAGCATTTTGTTTGCTAGGCATTTCCTGCCTGTGTTACCTCTAACAGGTATTTTCTGGAGACTTCTTCAGGCAACCAAGGAAATCTCATGGGGAGGTATATGAGTTGAAGACCCTTATTCTTGTTTGTCTTATGTTGTTTTAAACTACAGGGAGATGAATATATAGAAAAGTTACAGGGAACAAAGTCTTCTTAGAAGCTCAATTAGGGGAAAATCATTTGCTCTCCTGCCCCACCACTGCAGCATAAGCCCTTCTCTGAGCCTCCCATTTGCTGGAGCCTTTTAAAATGCCTTTATTGTTGTCTGGTGTTTGAAGCAGAGATGTACATTTTGGATCTGATTAATGTTTTTGTTGGATTGTCTCTGTGTCTCCCACATGTTAATCCACATTACCATATTCAAACATGTGCATTAACTGAACACCTTCTAGCTGCAGAGATTCTGGATAAAATTACAAATCTGGTCATATTTTTCAGGATCTTACAGTAAGTCTTGTTAGGAAGATCAAGTATGAAACAACTTGAAAATGGTTACAAAATAACATATCAACATGAATAAGCAACAATACCATCAACTGAATTGGGGGTCCTGAAAATGCAAAAAAAAAAAAAAAAAGATCAGAGTGAGAGGAGGGTGGTGAGGTTTTCTGGAGGGAATATATTCTACTTATTATTTCACATCAAAATTTGTGATGTTTCATAACCTATTCCACCACACACACACCCAAAACACCCTATACCTCACCATTTTTAAAAGCCTTATTTATTTATATGTATGTTTATTAACATAATGTTTGAGTTTGTTAAAATATATTATTTCCTGTTACTTCTTATGGCAATATGACAATCTTCTGGATATATTGCAAAACTAAAGTTTCAGAGAACAGAGACTACATCTAACTAAATATCTTTGCAGTGTGTCTAGTGAAACTAAATAGGCTTGTGGCAAGTCATTTTAACCACCTTTTAAAAAAAATTGCTTTCCAGTACTCTACTTGGGGAACCAAAGTGTTCCCTAGACTTGGTTTTGCTTTCCGTCTTGACAGTGAGGATAATACAATAATGCTGGTGCTGTGATGAAACGTGTCCGCTATGAAGTACAGTCCAATTGATACTTATTGTTTTATCACATGTTGGGACAATAAAAGAAGATTTTTTAATTTAAGGAATTATTATTTACATGGTGACAAAAGGCTGTGAATCCAAAATCAACAGCATATCAGATCTGGTTTCACTAAGAAAAAGACCAGGACTCCACTTGGGATTCAATCTCTATGATCATCGCCTCCCTGGTAGGAGCTGGGAAAGTATCTAGGTCTACAAAACTTCCCCTGAAGCCCATGCAATTGACAGTTACCACTGCCACCATTTTCATTTCCAAATTTGTTTTAAAATGGATCTGATTTTTGCCCAACATCCACTTAAGTGCCCTGCTATCTCAGAGTAAGGAGCAAAGATTACACAGCTAACCCTTTCTTTTGTCTGTGAGAGCAAACAAATAATTAAACCATATTAAAATAAGGTAGTTCTAGACCTCCTGAGATATTTGGTAATGCATAACATGACTTGCGAAAGTCATTTTTTCCCCTGAATCTCATTTTACCCATCTATTAAAAGTGGGGGGTGAGGAGGGCTCAAGGATGGTGGCACGGATTAGCTCTAAGGGCCCTGCCAACTTTGACCTTCTGTGATTCTAAAAGAAGTCAAGTTTTGATAATTGCCTGGGATTCAGTATCAGGCCCCTGTAAGGAGCATCAAGAGTCTTTTAATGAAACTCATTTTGCTGTATGTATTTATAACAGCACTTGAATCGGGCTGGTTGAGTATTGGTCAATAATGGGGCCTAATATGAAAACGATCACCAGATCAATCCTTTCCCCTTCAGTTAGGAAGCATCATTCACTACCATTCAGGTAGTGAGAACACCATTTCGGAGCTGCCCAGGGTCTCCAACAAATGTGGAAAATGTGAACACTGCCTCTGATGATGAATGCCACAGATCTAAGAACATTTTTATCCATGAATCAGCAAAAAGAGCATTTGCCCTTAAGTAACAGAACTTAAATTTGAGACCTAGCTCTGGACCTAGCCCTCGCTCTAACCTGGTTTGAGTCCTCAAAGCCAAACTTCAGTTTATAATATTTAAAACTTAAGAATAATATCTAACTGCATGGCTGCAGTATTACTCAGCTGACATAATAAATGTAAATTTTTATAAAGATGTATCAATCAACATTAATTGAGAATCCACAACATGAAAGTTACATGGTTTTCAAGGAACTTTCAGGGTTTTTTTTGGGGGGATGAGGAGGGTGGCAGGCATGCAAACAAGTACCATTTTAAAAGATTAAAACTGGTAAGCCAGTAAGAGGAGTACAAAATGGCATGAGCAGAAATTTCATTCATGTAATTCACTACATTAACCAAAAAAAAAATAAGTTAAACTAAGGTAATCTCAACAGGAACCAAAATTAGTGCAGAAAAAAAAATTTTTGATAAAATTGAACAGCTATTCCTGATTGATTAAAAGCCAACAGAAAATTCCCATACTAGAAAGAGGCCCTGTACCAAGAACCTAAAGTAAATTTCATAATAACATTAGAAACATTTCCAGTTAGATACAAAATGAGTTAAAGATGCCCTCTACAATCACCACTCTTATTTGACATCATCCTAGAGATCTTATCCAGTAACAAGACAAAATAAAGGAACAAACAAATCTATTATTATGGCGAAAAAGCTGAGATATTTTTTCAGTTAATATGATCACCTATCTAGAAAATCCACAAGAATCAATTTTTTTAAGTATAAAGATTAGGAGTTCAGCAATGTAGTTAGATTGAAGATCAATAGCTTTCCTACACATTAGCAAAGCCAATTAGAAAATACAAAATAAAAATCACAATCACAACAGCAACCAAAACTGTAAAATTTCTAGAAATGCAAGAACTATATTACTTATGAAAATGCATAAACAAAGACCTGAATAAATGGAAAGACAAGCAGTATTTCAGGAAGGGAAGACTCAGTGTAAATAAGCAGCGCCAGGTGAACAATTAAAACAATAAGGCAATCCTATTACTGGGTATATACCCATAGGATTATAAATCATTCTACTATAAAGACACATGCACACGTATGTTTATTGCGGCACTGTTCTCAATAGCAAAGACTTGGAACCAACTCAAATGCCCATCAATGATATACTGGATAAAGAAAATGTGGCATATATACACCATGGAATACTATGCAGCCATAAAAAAGGATAGATTAATGTATTTTGCAGGGACATGGATGAAGCTGGAAACCATAATTCTCAGCAAACTAACACAAAACAGAAAACCAAACATCGCATGTTCTAACTCATAAGTGGGAGTTGAATAATGAGAACACATGGACACAGGGAGAGGAACATCACACACCAAGGCCTGTTGGGGGGTGAGGGGGCTAGGGGAAGGATAGCATTAGGAGAAATACCTAATGTAGATGATGGTTGATGGGTGCAGCAAACCTCCATGGCACGAGTATACCTATGTAACAAACCTGCACGTTCTGCACATGTACCCCAGAACTTAAAGTATAATAAAAAAATGAAATAAAAAAAACAAGAACAAGGCAGCTTCAGGCATTCTGAGATGCAAAGATTTTCTGGACGTTCTATTAAGTGGGGAAAAAATGTAACAGAATAATATAAAAAGAAATTATTCATTTTTCTAAAAAACAACAAAACCACATACAGTTGATTTTTGAATAATGCAGGAGTTAGGGGCGCTGTCCCCTGCACAGCTGAGAAGCCATGTATAATTTTTGACTCCCTATAAACATAATGACTAATAGTCTACTGGCTAATGGAAGCCTTACTGATAACATAAACAGTTGATTAACACATATCTTGTATGTTATATGAATTATATACTTCATTCTTACAATAAAGTAAGCTAGAGAAAAGAAAATGTTATTAATGAAATTATAAGGAAGGGGAAATAGTTTTATAGTAGGTACTGTATTATAGATACGTATATCTGTTTACAAACCGAATCATCAGTCTGAAATGGTGGGCAACCATAGCCGCAGACCTCAATCTTACCAAGCAATTCGACTTTTTCTTCTAAAGTCTTGACTTTTCTCTGCTCCTTGGAAGCACTACTGACATCACTAGTGGCACTTCATATGGGTCCCTTGGTGTTATTCAACGTTGACTATATCACACGGGAAATACAGGAGAACCACCCCGAAGGATCACTTGTTACTGCAACATGCGATTTGCTGGAGAGAGGAACCACTCGCATGCAGACCCATGTCACTGGGTGTTTTCAGCGGATATTTGCTCTACTCCTCACTACACCGTAACACGAGAGGTCTGCAAAATGATTACAGTAGTGCAGTATGTACTACAGTTAACTTTACGCGGTTATGATTTAATACTGCTTCTTTACTTGTTTACATTTCTCTTGACTGCGGGTGGTGCGATGCATGGTAAGTAAATGTTTATGTGAGTTTTGACAAATTTTAACATTTTATAATAGATTTATACCCATGTCATAGTAGTACATGATAAAATAGACTTATACCTACATATATTTTATGCATTCATAACTTACCTTCATTTATTTATTTATTTATTTATTTATTTATTTATTTCGAGACGGAGTTTCGCTCTTGTCGCCCAGGCTGGAGTGCAGTGGCGCGATCTCGGCTCACTGCAACCTCTGCCTTCCGGGTTCAAGCGATTCTCCTGCCTCAGCCTCCCGAGTAGCTGGGATTACAGGCGTGCGCCACCACGCCTGGCTAATTTTGTATTTTTAGTAGAGACGGGGTTTCTCCATGTTGGTCAGGCTGGTCTCGAACTCCCGACATGCCTTTTTCTTAATGTTTCAATATTTCTAGGCTAAAAGATTCATCTGTGAGTTTTTCAAATTGTCCAAAGTCTCCAAAAAAGTGTACTGTATGTTTATTGAAAACCTTCTGGCCCGGCGCGGTGGCTCACGCCTGTAATCCCAGCACTTTGGGCACTTTGGGAGGCCGAGGCGGGTGGATCACAAGGTCAGGAGATCGAGACCATCCTAGCTAACAAGGTGAAACCCCATATCTACTAAAAATACAAAAAAAAAATTAGCCGGGTGCGCTGGCGGGCGCCTGTAGTCCCAGCTACTGGGGAGGCTGAGGCAGGAGAATGGCGTGAACCCGGGAGGCGGAGCTTGCAGTGAGCCGAGATGGCGCCACTGCACTCCAGCCTGGGCGACAGAGCAAGACTCCGTCTCGAAAAAAAAGAAAAAGAAAAGAACAAAAAGAAAACCTTCTGTGTGCAAGTGGACTATAACAATTCAAACCCATGTTGCTCGAGAGTTAACTGTATTTCTATGTATATGTGTTCAAGTAAATGCTTAGCAAAAAGTAACGTGGTTACTTCAAGGAAAGGGGTTGGGAGAGGGCACAGGAAGGAGGAATTCAGCCTTTTTGTAGTCTTAAGATTTCTTTTAGCAACAATACATTAGTGCATCTTTTTTGAGAGGTATTACCACCAATGAGGAAAATGAGGGAAGAATAGGGGAAGAGGAATTTTGTAGAGCAGGCTTTTGCAAGATGAGGAGGAGGTTTTCAACAGGTTTAGACAGTGGCATACATTCCAGAATGAAGGAAAAGCCAGGAGGAAAAAAATGGCAGCATAAACCTGAAGGAGACAACAGCTTTGCCTTGTGCTTTATAATTTACAAAGCACTATAGCATTTCATGTAAGTAGTGCTGCAGTGTAAATGGTTTAAATCATCCGTTCTGGATTTGAATCCCAGCTCTGCTAGTAGCTAACTAGGAGAGTGACTTTGGACAAGTAACCCAAACTCTCTGAACTTCCATTTTCTCATTTCTAAAGTGGAGCAAATATTGGAACCTAATTTATAGGAATGTCTTAACTATAAACCAAAAAGCAGAGAAAAACCTGAAGCATGGGTGCTCACATAGGACCTTCTTACCTGTACTAACCTACTCTGAAATTCTGGATAATTCTTTTCCACATGAAAACACCATATTCTTCCATTTTCTATCATAAAAATCATCATTATTTTTATCTAAATAATGTTTTTGCCATACTCTTTCCCCGAGATGCCATGTGATAAAATGGTAAGGAACCAAGTATGTTTTGAAGTCTGCACTAGACAAGCACATACATCGCATCAAGCAGGGACATTTCTCTAACGCACAGGGGACTGGTCAAGGAACATCGTTATAAAGAAGCTTTTAACACACAGCATTTTCTTTTTCTCTCTGGTTTGCCATAGATTGTGCTTTTCCTCTCCTAAGAGAAGGAAATGGGGAAAATGATAGATGAAAATTCATAAGGCAAGTCAGCTTCTAAAGAGAAAATCATGCCCAGGAGAGAAGACAGACTTTGTCCCATTGTGTCTGCAGGTGAGACTGAAGTCAGCCACGGTGTTTCATGTTTTAACAAGAACGTGGGCATAAATAACGTCATTACAAAATGTGATTCCATAAACCAGAAAGGTTGTGCCTGTGAGTTTTCGCATGATTAGGCTTTTGGAGAACGAAGAAAGAAAGGGATAGAAATGTAGTCAGAATTTGATTTTTATCATCTCAGAATTACAGGAAAGAAATGGTGAGTCAGTAGAGCATAAGAATTAGTATTTCAATACCCCAAGGGAATGCTTTATGTTTAGAAAAAACCATATAGATTGTATACAATTAAGGAAGTACCTTATATGAATTATGCACATGGGAACTGAATCTTCCAAAATCTAAATGGGAGATTCACTGATCCCTAAGACTAGGGGTTAAATTTTGAGTTAGCATCAGTTTATTTTTGCCATTACTGTTCTTGTATATTCTGCGACATCCACTCCTCAGTTCAGGCAAAAGTTCTGTGTTATCAACAACTCCTTTTTATTTAAAAATCTCTTTAGGGCCTGTGTAGCCTATTACAAATAAATTGATTAATTTTCAAAGATGTTAATTAAAAATATTAAATGAGAGGCTCAGTGAGTTTATTCCTCTGCTTAAAATCTCTCAAATATGTACACATTGACACAAAACTACTTTGCTAAAAATTGTATATCAAGCTGTTATAAAAATATTTGTATTATAAATTTGTTTATGCACTATAGCAACAAAAGACATGTCTGATACACTTAGCCTGTCCTTGCACCCCTGCTCTGAGACATCTTTCCCAGTTCTATTATCCCTGTATTTACAAACCCAAGAGTTTCTTCAAGAGTCTCAAGTATCTAGCTGGCATGGTGGCTCACGCCTGTGATCCCAGCACTTTGGGAGGCCGAGGCAGGAGGATCACTTGTGCCCGGGAGGTCGAGACCAGCCTGGGCAACATGGTGAAACCTCATCTCTACTCAAAATACAGAAATTAGCCAGGCATAGTGGTGCACACCTGTAGTCCCAGCTACTCGAGGCTAAGGCAGGAGAATCACTTGAACCCGGGAGGTGGTGGGGTGTAGTGAACCAAGATCGTGCCACTTCCCTCCAGCCTGGGCAACAGAGCAAGACTCTGTCTCACAAAAAAGAGTCTCAGGTTTCTCAGCGTTACTAGATTCCAAGGGAGGCTGGAGAACTCTTTTAGCCTGTGTCTCCTTAGCATCCTTGACTTCTGGCTTTACTTGTCACAAGGCCCTCTGCACTGCAGGGCCAAAGCATAAAAGCTCCTAGAGCAATGGTTACATTATACATGACACTTAGTGACTAATAGGTCCCACTGTCATCATCAAAAGCATTTTTGAACCTCTCTTGCCAGAGGAGGTGTATAATACAGAATGTTTGCTCTATTGGTCTGTGTTTCAGTGGCTGACCTCGGAAATTTTTCTGGATCAGTAGCGTCCCTAAAAGAATTGTAAGTTCATAGTTTGACTAGGTCTGGGTATCACCAAGTTGACCTGTGTGATCAATCCTAAATCAAGCTATATCGTGAAGTAGCTGGTGCCCGACTTTTCAGAATCTAGACCTAACATGATCGAGGATCAAATCTGATCCCATTGGAATCAGAAAAGTCCTGCACAAACTCAGCCACACACAATAACCACAGGTCTAGCTGATCGTTTTAGATGCCTATTCTTGTTTGTGATGGGTATACCTTGAGAGTGTATGAGTGGCTTTATAGAATCTTGTTACTTCTGGAGACAAAAGCAGACAAATTCATAGAACATGCTCTAACAATAATGAGAAAGAAATATGCACTTAGGGAGAAAAGATCAGAGTTTGAATTTAGACTCCTTATTCACCTGCATATATCTTGGGCAAAACTATTAGTCACCATGAACTTCAATTACTTCAACTGTAAAATGAAGATAATGGCACCTACCTACCTTACAAGGTTATAGGAAAGCTCAAATTTGGTAATAATTGTGAAAATGTTTTGTAATATGCAAAAAAATACACACATATATATTTGGAATGACTCCTGTTTTATTAGTAGTATTATTATTTTCCATGCTAATGAGCATACTAGAACATCTTAAACATCATTTAGTATAGTGCTCCTAAAATATATGTGCATGAGACCCACCTGGTGATTCTGTTAAAATACAGATTCTGATTTAGTAGATCTGGCAAGGGCCCCAAGAGTCTGTATTTCTAATAAGCTCCCAGGTGATAACAATACTGCTAGTGTGGAGCCGCCACTCTATGTAGCAAGGACTTAATACAACTTAGGACCCTTAGAAATGATAACTGTATAAAATGGCTCCATATATGACTCTGAGAGTAAGAATCTGAACATCTTAGGTGATTTATTTTATTTTGAACATAAAGGCAGTTTTTACTTTGCATCAATTGCATGTGCAGAGGGCATAGGAGTCTGTCAGATAATGTCAGTTGTAGACTGTTGGATTCTGCTACCACAAACAATAAATGCAATCAAGGGATATTGATGAATGTCTTCTATACATTTCTTTCCCTTCAGAGATTTCGCCCTTCCTAAATACTCAGCTACCCTTTAGAGAAAATTCTATTTGGCAACTCATTCTTGGCAGTCCTGAGAAATTATTTCCAGGAGAGAAGAGTTATGACAGGATGGCCTGAGAGGGGGCCTTACCTTACACATGTCTGCCAGCCCCAGCAGCTTCTCAGAAGCTGTGCTCACTGTGAAATTCATCTTTGTCACAAATAGCAAATCACATGCTATGGAATATCACAATCTCATTATGGGATGTCATCTCACAGCACAAATACATTATTTTCACCAGATTTACAGACAGTGCAGCCCACATCACAGCCAGCATGTGATGGATGGGCTCTATCTGGATGTATTTGGGTGTATGATTTACACATGGCAGGACCCTGACAGACGGGGACTGCAGCCAGCCCCACAAGGGCTTTGAAGAAGGTTTCTCCTTCACGGTCTCTTAAACACAAAACCCAGTGTCTGGAAAATGCTGTGGCACCTACTTTAAGGGAAAGAAATAGGGACAGCCCCGATTACCTCCCTGTCACACTTCCTTTCCTTCTTGTGTATTAGAATTTAGACCTCACAACAAGGAAACTGTTAAAATTCACACTCAACCTCATGGGATGTACCCACAGTAACATATCTGCTATTAAATTCCATTCTACAAAAAAACTGTCATTTAACAGGCATTGTATCTTGCACAAGAAGAAGCACCTTGCTGTAGTATTTTGGAATTTTTTTCTTTTTTTGAGATGGAATCTCACTCTGTCGCCCAGGCTGGAGTGCAATGGCACAATCTCGGCTCACTGCAACCTCTGCCTCCTGGGTCCAAGCAATTCTCCTGCCTCAGTCTCCCTAGTAGCTGGGATTACAGGTGCCTACCACCATTCTTGGCTAATTGTTTTGTATTTTTAGTAGAGATGGGGTTGCACCATGTTGGCCAGGCTGGTCTCGAACTCCTGACCTCAAGTGATCCACCTGCCTCAGCCTCCCAAAGTGCTGGCATTATAGGCATGAGCCACCGCACTCAGCCCTACCCAGCTAATTTTTGTATTTTTAGTAGAGATGGGGTTTCCCCATGTTGGCCAGGCTGGTCTCAAACTCCTGACCTCAAGTGATCCGCCCACCTCAGCTTCCCAACGTGCTGGGATTACAGGCCTGAGCCACTGCACCCAGCCTAATTTTGGAATTTCTATGGCGAGCAAATAATCTTACCTAGGGAATAAGATATAAAATAATAACATGTATTTTTACTTATGGCCAGTTTATAGTCTTAAAAAGAGAGAACCAAATATTCTGGAGAAATGGAACAGTATAAATATCATAATGAAAAATATTCATTTAAAAGGGATCTAAAAGACCCTCATATCTTTCATTCAATGCTTTAGTCAATTCCTTACATTGTGGTTGACTAATCTCTGCTTGAATATCTGGGGTATTGGGAATATCATCATCTTCAGAAAAAAATATTTTTACTTATGAAAGATTTAGACTGTAAGAAAGTTCTTATACATATTGAGTCTGTGTCTCCAATTCCCTACTAATACTAGTTCCAACTCTTAGGGGCTCACAGACTAAGTCTATTTCATCATCTTCCTAGCCTTCCACCTCTACGAATTCTACTGCCACCAACAATATCTCTAATGCTATATAGTGAATGAGATTTTCAAGGGTAGAGTGGAAAAAAATAATTTTCTGAAGGAGTAGCATTATGTTCACATTTAATTTTTAATTTTTTTCAAATTCGATTGCATGTGCTTATCAGAGAGAAAGAGAACAGCAAACAAGAACAGCAAGCAAGAGAAAAAGCAATAACATCCTAAGTAATGTTGATGATTCTGTCTACCATTTTTCCCAGTGAGTGTACACACCAGCAGAAGATGAGAATCTATTTCCTCTGTTGGCTCAGTTCCCAGGTGTCTCCCACAGTATACACAGCTTACCACACTGAACGTGATTTAAGTATTTTAGATGATTTTTTATATAAAACATGGCACCTAAACATAAGCCAACTACTTTATTTGGCTATCCACTAAGAAATAGCAATCATTTCCATCTTTGGAGAAAAACTCACTGTATTAAACCTACTGAGAGGTGGTATATTAGTCTTCAACATGGACTCTTTCTAGAAAATAATCAAAGAAAATTTTGGCTACGTGTGAGTGGTGTATTGTGCCACACTGAATTTAGAATCTACCCTTTTTCCACATGCATGGAAGTTATTCCAGGGTGTACTTTATGGCCAACCTCTCAAGTTCTCTTTTTAAGAGGAAATACTCAGGTCTCCCTCACTTCAAACCGACACTTTTGTGGTTTTTATAATTTGTATGGCTTGGCAGGAAAGCACATATGATCAAAGGCTGTTTGACCTTAGAACGTGACACAAGAAGAGCAATACTGGCTCCTCCAATTTCTTAAGGAGGGCAGCAATTAGTCAGATTTTGGGAAGAGAGAAGCAAATCAAAGCCTCATTACATAGCCAAAGTAAATACAGACCTTTAGTAAAGAAGGGATCCAGGTGTTTTCTATGAGCTTACCTGTTAGTCATACATAAATTAAGTGCCTACTTGTATTTCTGTAGCAAATGACAATCATTAAATTAGTTTTTTACATCCAGGAGTCTTATTAGTGACTATAGTTGAATATGGTTTTATTAGACTAAGCGAGTACTTTAAACTAAGTATGTAGTTTTCTATTGCTGCTATAACAAATTACCCAAACTTATTGACTTAAAACAACATAAATATATTATTTCATAGTTCAGGAATGTCAGGAGTCCAAAACAGGTATTATAGACTAAAGTCAAGGTATCAGCTGAGCCGTGTTCCCTCAGAAGGCTTTAGGATGTTGCATTTTCCAGCTTCTAAAGGTTGTCTACATTGCCTGATTTATCCTGATTGATGACCTCCTTTCAAGAATAGCATTGCATCCCCCTCGGCTTCTGTCTCCACATCTCCCTCTCCGACTCTGACTCTCCTGCCTCACTCTTATAAAGACCCTTATGATTACACCGGTCCCACCAGATAATTCAGGATAATCCTACCATTTCATGATCCTTAATTTGATCATGCCCATCAAGTCCATTTTGCCATATGAGATAACCTGTTCGCAGGTTTGGGGATTCGAATGTGGGCTTCCTCGGTGGGGGGTATTATTCAGGCCTCCGCACTAAGCTAAAGCAGGTGGAATTCTGCATTTTCTAATGTAAGTGTGGATTTCCTAATCTATAAGGCAAGGTAGGGAGAGAAAGCCATATTTGCCCCAGAGTCTGATCTTAGCACTTATCCTCCCACTGCCATATGATTTGGGATAAGCCGCTTTCAGGGTTGGGACTAAAGTGAGATGAGTTAACTAAGGCACACAACTTAAGGTAGCACCCCCACTCAGGTGCCAACCTGTACTTGCACAACTCTGAGACTGACAGTGAGTGCCTCCTTGAATTTCAAGCTCTAGGAGGCTTTCATGCCTCATCCTATGCCCTGCATTGCTTTATCTGTCTATGGTTTGGTTTTCTCATCTGTAAAATTAACGTACAAAGTTAATAATCATTGCTCCTTTTTATCTTGCTTTTTTGTTTTATTTTGTAAGAAATAAATGAACTAGTGGAGATGAAAGCATTTTAATAGCACAATGTCATGCATACATTAATAACAACTAAGGTTTTTTTTAAAGCATGAGGCTAGAATAAGGGATACTTTCTATTTTTCACCCAATTAGTATAATAGTTAATTTATGTAAACAAAAAAGTGTTAATGAATATGTTTATAAAGATGAATTAGGAATGTATTCATCTAGGAACTGTGTTCATTCGGGACAATGGTTTTTCAGTCTGGGCGATACATTGTCATCACCTGCGGAGCTTTACAAAGTGCTGGTGCCTGGCTCTTATCTCCAGAGAATGTCATTTAATTGGTGTGGGGTACAGCCTGGGCGTTGGAATGTTTAAAACTCCCCAGCTGACTCTAATGTGCAGCCAAGGTTGAGAACCACTGGTTAATGACTACTTTTAGAAGCCTCAGAAATGGGTTTTGAATTGATTTAAATTTTATGGAGGGTATAGCACACACATTTCCTGCCTGCAGAATGTATTCCATAGAATCAAAGTGACAGGCAAAATTCTCAAGATTGTATTCTGATTCAAACATAAAACCTTTCTGTTAACAATAGGAGACATCTAAACATCAAAATGCAAGTAAATGCTTGTTTTCAATGACAACAAAAAAGTACCGTGCGCAAGTAAAAAAAAAAAAAAAAGAACAACCAAATACAGTGTTTCTTATATAGATTAAATCCTATCTAATACAGTGGTTTTGTTCTTTATATTGACCAAGGCAGTGGTTCCAGATCTTGACTGAACATTAGAACCATCTGCAGAGCTTTTAAAATTCCAGTGTCCTAGCTGCACCTAAGATTGATCGAGTTGAAATCTCTGCAGGTGAGACCCAGCATCCGAATTTTTTTAAGCCTGCCCAGGTGACTTCCATGTGTCGGCAAAGTCAGAACCCATAGCCTAATTAACTTAAGCTCAAAGTCAATACAACCAACATTTATTGAGAGCAGGCCATTGTCAGAGATTGCAAGAAGATGCTCCCTACCCCGAAAGGCACTGAGTCTAACACCAGAGAACAAACATGGGGACACACAGTTGATAAAGGTAAGAGCAAGATGCAGTGGGAGCGCAGAGGAGAACAAGCTTGCAACAACTCCTTGGACAAGGCATGGGAGAGAGGAATGAACCAGACAACTACAAGGATCAGCGAGGGATTCTGCGAAGCTGAGATGTGAACTGGGTTGCTGCGAGATGGGCACTTGTAGGAGAGCACCTAGCATGTGCAAAGCACGGAGGCCTCTATGAAACAAATTGACTATGTCACATAGGATTACTGATTTTCTGAGTTAGAATAGGGTTATTTAAACTACCTTATTGCATAAAGAGCATTTTAGCATCATCAGCTCATTTAAACACAATTCTTGAAATACTATTTAGCAACATAAAGGGTCAAACTATCAATACACACAAACAGTAAGAAAGATAAATCTCAAGGAAATCATGCTGAGTAGGAAAGGCCAATCTCAAAACTATATATCGTATGAAATCATTTATGTAACATCGTTGGAATAACAGAATTCTAGTGATAGAACAGATCAAAGGTTTCTAGGATTTAAGGATGAGGGAAGAGGCTGGGTGTGGTGGCTCACCTGTAATCTCAGCACTTTGGGAGGCTGAGGTGGGAGGATCACCTGAGATCAGGAGTTCAAGACCAGCCTAGCCAACATGGCAAAACCCCGTCTCTACTAAAAATACAAAAAATTAGGTAGACGTGGTGGTGGGCACCTGTAATCCCAGCTACTTGGGAGGTTGAGGGAGGAGAATCACTTGAACCCGGGAGGCAGAGGTTGCAGTGAGCCGAGATCACACCATTGCACTCCAGCCTGGGCTACAGAGGGAGACTCTGTCCCAAAAAAATAAAAGGGGCAGGGGGGATGAGAGAAAGAGGAAAAGGGGAGAGTTGTGAGTATGAAGAAGTAGAAGGAGAGGGATAAGTGTAGTGATGGATTACTTCTGTATCTTAATTGCAGTAGACATATCAATCTACACGTGAAAAGGGACATACAGCTGTACACACTCACACTGTGCCAATGGCAATTTCCTAGGTTCAATATTGTGTTCTAGTTAAATAGGACGGCACCAATGGAGAAAACTGAGGGAAGGACACACTAGACCTCTCTGTACTATGTTTGCAACTTTGTGTATTTCTATAATTATTTCAAAATAAAGTTTTTCTTTAAAAAAGACCTCCTAAAATAAAATAAAATGAAATGGATTGTTACCAAAAAAAAGGCCCTGCAATTCTATTATTACTATATGACTCAAAAGGCAGTTTAGGGCCTAGAAAAGGAAAAACATTTCTCGGTGTTTCTTTTCTTTTTTTAAAATTTCTTTATTCTCTCCTTACTTCTCTGAACTTCTCTGTATCCTTTCTTTCTTTTCCTTCCATTCTCTTGCTTTTTCTTTTTTCTCCTCCAATATTAATCTCTTCTCCAAAACTACAGCTTGAAGAATACATTTATTATTTATTTATAAATAATAATAAAGGGCCTAAGTCATGGAGAAAAGTTAGTGATGTTCCAATAAGTCTCTGTTGTTACTAGGCTACAAGCCCATTCTGAAAATTTAGCTTACAATTTAAACAGCAGGACACTCATATGCTGTTTTATTAATATGCTAACTTAAGGCTAAAATAAGAATCAAATAACATCTCAATTATAACCACTTTGAGTTTCTTTAGTCTAATGGTGATATACTGGCAACAAAGAACAAAGTTTTGGAATGAGGACGAAAAATGCAGCTTAGATTTTAGAGATTAGAAAGTTTCTATGTTTACAGATATTGATTACAAACTGATATGTTAAATTATGTTTTGCTTAAAATTTGTTCCTATAACAATAGTAAGATGGTCCTTTACGGTGAGAATTTGTGTATTAACCTCACTAATATATCTAATGAATTTAGGTACTTCTGTTGCAGCTAAATGCTCTTGAAAAATTATCATTTTTTAAAAATCACATTTTTCTGTTGATTTCCATTTTAATAGCAAAAATAAGTTTGTTCCAGCAGTTCTTGCAACTGCAATCCATAGTGAGAAGTGGGTTGATTAGGAGGTTCTCCAAGGATAGGCAGCCAGGCTCGGGCTGCAGTCTGAACTCAGGCCTGATTAAAGATTCCCTGCTCTTCCCACTCAGTGACTGATGTTCTTCACAATAGACAAGATGCTGGAATTCAGAGGCCTCAGCACTTTCTCAATGAGGTATCAGTGCTGTAAATAAATCATTCCTTGACCTTTAAATGCCATTTATATTTCCAAGTAAGAAACATACACCTAAAATTATTGGAAGGGATAAATGGAATTTGTTCAAGCAACAAAAATAAATGGAGCTTTTTCCTTTTATAAAGAAATTTACATACTTCAGAAAAGCTAAAAATACCTTAATTGGAGAGAATATGAATATCCCTTAAGGAAAATGAAGTAGCTAATTGTACCAAGAAATTTAATGAGATTATCACATACCTTAATGGTTCTGGAGAACCATGGCCTTCCTTTTTTAACTGTTAGAGAAATCTGTACTTTGGTTAACTCACAGAAAGTGGATAATGCACCATAATGGGTTTCTGAAAAGCTACTCTATTAAGTTCTTCCAACTCCAAGTGACCAAATAAAGTCAAATCACAACAAATCTAGAAAAATAAGTTGTGAATTTAAAGAGCAGTCGAGCCTTCTTGAAAGTGAAATATAAAATAGATGTGCTAAGAGCTACTTTCAAAAAATAAAACCCTAGACCAAGTTTCAAATCCTAGGATGTATGGAGCAGTCCCTCATGCATGAGTTTCTTGCTGGTGGCAATATAATATGATTTGATGTGGAACCAAACTAGAGAGCTTGGAGGACCCAGAAGATAAACTCATTGTAGAACTCTGAATCCTGACAGTGACTTCACTCTTTCTCCTGTCATCTGCTTCCTAGCTCTCCTTACTCAGTTACCCATGATTCTCCCTGGTCCTAACCCAGTGCTCTTCTGTCTCTGGGCCTTCCCTGCAATGGGTATTATGCCCATTGCATCCTTCACTCAGTCAGTATCTATTTGTTGAGCATCTACTATATGTGAGGGACAGAGGAAAAGATAGAATCCCTGTCTTGATAGAACTTAACTGTAAGTGGGAGAGCAAACAAACAAACAAGATACAATTTTGGATTCTAAGAGCTAAGAAGAAAATCAATAAGCAATGTGATAGAGAGTAGATGGGCAGAGAGACTCATTGAATACATATTTGTAAGCATAAATAAGTGGCCTCTTCTTTTTTCTTCATGTTACTTGAGTGTTGTTTGAATTTTTACAAGAAAAATACAAAATGCATAATTGTAATGTTTTACATATTTAAACCAGTAAGTCCTACCCACTAACCTACAAAAAAAATGAAATTCTACTCCCTTATTACAGAAGAAGGAAGCGAGGGCCACAGAGGTTGAAGGACACTTTATCAAAATTGCATGGCTGGTTGAGAATGAACCCAGGTTTCCTGATGAGCTAGCATACTGGCTCCTAGAGAGGTCAGCATGCCGGGATCCTTTGCTGCATGTGTGAATTCTCATTTATTAAATCTATATCTGTTTGCAACATGTGGGTATTGAGGATAAGATGTATGGAGCTATTCTCTATATAAAGAATACGTGTATATTTTTCTATAGTTGTGGGAGTACAAAGGGATGGATCTGGGGAATTTAGAGTGGGCCAGAGAGTTCTTGAATAAGCAGGAACTCACTAAGAACAGGAAGGACTGATGGGAAGCTAGGATCTCTCTCGTTCTCTCTTTCACACAGGTCTGCACACACACGAACACACATACCTCACAACCCAGGTAAAAAGAGGACCTAACAATGTGGGGTAAAATGATGAATGGATAGATAGACACATGTCCTAAAAAAATAGCTGACTTCAAAGACCCATGTCCCTCACCATCACATCCTGAGAGATAATGCCTCTGCATGACACCACTCATTAAATGACAGTCTTAAAGTATAATGAAGTGAAAGGTAAACTGAGTCAGGATTTTCTGTGGCCATGATTTAATAAACATGGAAATGAAGAGGTGTCCTCCGGGAAGTAGAAGAGAGGACAAAAGAGTATGTCTCTTTGGTTTGGGGATCTTTGTTTTGTTTTGCAGGTTTTTTTCATTGCCTTTCATTTAGTGTGTGACAGGTTCTTTGAAGTGAAAATAAGATAAATATTGTATCTGCTGCTCTGATTCCAGCTAGTTTCTCAGGGCAATTATTGTGGGGGAGCTGGGAGAGAGAAAGGCTCTCTCTACCCTGCCCTTCCATGAGAAGTCTTCATGACCAAAGAAACCCTGTCCCCTCTCCACTCTTTACTCCTCCCTATGGGGAGAAGGGCTGTGTCTGATTGGTTGGGACTAAGAAATGAATCTGCATATTCTTGGCCCTTCATCTTTTCTTTTTCACTCTGAGTTCTGATCTTTCTGCAGGAAGCATGCACCTGCTCTGCATCTCGATCCCTTGAGTCTTACAAGGGCAGGCACAGAGCAGGGGTGCTGTGGTTAAGTCTTGCTACTTCTGGGATTCAGTATTAGTAAGCCTGCCAGCCTATAAATAGAAACTACATTTTCCAACATCAACTTCATTGGTAAGAAAAATAATATGGGCCGGGCGCGGTGGCTCACGCCTGTAATCCCAGCACTTTGGGAGGCCGAGGCGGGCGGATCACGAGGTCAGGAGATCGAGACCATCCCGGCTAAAATGGTGAAACCCCGTCTCTACTAAAAATACAAAAAATTAGCCGGGCGTAGTGGCGGGCGCCTGTAGTCCCAGCTACTTGGGAGGCTGAGGCAGGAGAATGGCGTGAACCCGGGAGGCGGAGCTTGCAGTGAGCCGAGATCCCGCCACTGCACTCCAGCCTGGGCGACAGAGCGAGACTCCGTCTCAAAAAAAAAAAAAAGAAAAATAATATGTTGGCTCCCAACCTACCTTACTCTTAAGCCTTATTTTCCCTTTGGTTCAGAACTCAAGTGAACAAGAAGGGTGCTATTCATTGGACCCCATCCAATCTCAACAACTATACATGGAATGGCAGAGAAACAGCCCTCTGGTCAAACTGAGTTTGGGGTTGATGACTTGGGACCTTGTAGTTGCATACTGCTTGACACCAGTCTACCAAGAATTATTCAAGTCAGAAGACAATCAGCATTTTATTTTTGCATTTCTTGAACAAATATTATAGAAATAAATATATTTCTATTATTAAACACTTGTGTGCACTTCATATAATTAAATATTTTTATTGCAATGAAAACAAATTATCCCACTTGGATGGGTTTAAGTCTAAGAAAAATGTCAGCTTGTCCATCAAGTCAGCCTTGCTGGCACCTGCAAGATATGCTTCCTTCTGCCTCAATTCCTAAAGTGCTTCTTTCGTATCACTCAAGCTACTCACCACAACAGCAGTCTATGGCAGCTGTGAATACATCTTCTCTCCCATTTCTAGTGTTGTTAGCTCCTGAAGCCCAGGAACCTTATCTTATTCATGGCTGTATGCTTTGCAGTATCTATTATAGAGGCATGCAATTTGTAGATAGCAAGGAAATGCAATTTTAAAATGTTTAAAAGCAAGCAGATCATAAACCAAAGGGCTTAGAGTTGATGGCAAATAATATCAGGTACTTTTCCTCTGCATAGCCATTTAATTACATATTTAAAAATAAATGGACATCAAGGGCAGCCTTGAAAAGAAGTTCCTAAGGAGCATCCTTGGGAAGTTGAGAAAGGTAGAAAGAGGGAGGAACAGTGACTTTTATCCTGCGTTATCTCATGTGGAGGAACGGTGACTTTTATCCTGCGTTATCTCATGTTTTTCATTATTTCTTAACCTTGATAACTTACATTTCTCAGGCTCTCAGAATCTATTAGCATAATGCAGGAACCCACCCCCCTACAAAATCCTCTCCTCCCCGTCACCATCTACAAATATTTGTCTTAGGTGACCCTGTACATTCCTATCAATGTAGTCTCCTGCCAGAAAGCCCCTTGAGGTACCTGACTCCGCCATTCTAGCTGCCTTGATCCTTGACTGAGGCTTCTAATCCCTTTCTCACAGGCAAAGCTGCTTTCTCAAGCTGGCAGATGGCCTCGGGACACCGGATCCTCACAGAGACTGAGGAAACTGCACCACATCACCTCAAAGAAATAATATGTTTATCTTTATTGTCTCCTAGAGAACTCTAAGAAAACAGTTTCTTCACCTTCTGCCTGGTGTCTCATCCTTTCTCCTTATCCTTTCTTCCACTAGATACACTGCAAACCTCTTCCACATTCAGAAGAAAAGGTCATGAAAATCTGTGCTTGAGGATCTCACTCACACCTCACCTGTGTCCCCAAAGCCTTTCAACAAGAACTCTTGCCATGCCGGCTGTTCATTGCTTCAGGCCCTGCCTTATCCTACGTTGATTGGCTTAAGAAGCAGCATGTTCACAACATGGAGAAACCCCGTCTCTACTGAAAATACAAAATTAGCCGGGCATGGTGGCGGGTGCCTGTAATCCCAGCTACTTGAGAGGCTGAGGCAGGAGAATCGCTTGAACCCAGGAGGCGGAGATTGAGGTGAGCCGAGATCGTGTCACTGCACTGCAGCCTGGATAACAAGAGCGAGACTCCGTCTCAGAAAAAAAAAGCAGCAGCAGCAGCATGGAGCCTCAAAAGTTCCGGAGAAATCATCCATAATTAGCCACACAGTTAGTCCAGCTCTGAGCCTGGGGCTGAGACATTTGCCACTTCCTGTCCCATCAGTGCTCCTATAAGCATGTCACTGCCCAGCTCCACAGCTCAGACCCCACCACAGTGGAGTGGAACTGGATAAGTGAGCAGGAGAGTAGAGACAAGAGCCCTGGGGTGAATGTGATCTCCACGGTCTCTCACTCCAGTTCCAGTTCTGCTGCTATGTCCATGTGACCTTGGAAAAGTAAGTCACTTTCTCCACTTGTTCCTCAGTTTTTCCCATTTATACATACGGTGGTTAGACCTGGTAATCCCTTTGACATGCTACGAATAAATGACAGTTTATATAATAGAAATACTAAATATTAAGTTTTGGGCCCTGGTTCCATCTCATTTGATCATTCACACAGTTCCTATATTATCCCGTGCTCATTCATGCATTTAAAGCTTGGGTCCATTTAAGATTACAAAATCCAAGAAATGCTAGTTTCAGAAGTCCTATTCATATGTTTTTTAAGACGAGAAAATAACTCGTTGCATGCTCACATGCTGTACAGCAACAAAGCCAGAGGCTGACAATGAACTAAGTGGGAGCAATACTTACTATTCCTGGTAGAACAACCAATCCAGTGGTGAAAATTCAGTAGCCAAGGTACTGTTTCTGGTTTAAGCTATGCTTTTTGCCTTGGCTGAGGAAATATACCAAAGCATTGGGTTTTATCTGACACTCAAGGAAAGCCATATCACAAGAACTGGAGTTTGCGTTGCAAAGTAGCAAAAATCATTCATTGACTTGAGCTGCAGGAGGCGTATGCATTGTGCAGTCCACACATGAGAAATTGCACCCCTTCTCTCCATGAGAAGCTGGGCTCAAACTGATTGCATTAATTTTATTGATCTATAGTCTGTGCAAGATAAAAGTCCTATGATTGCGTGGCTAACCCTGGTAATACTCTATGCTCCTTGACAGGTTTTCTGATAGGTCTAAGAGTTGTTTTCCCCCCAGGCCGCATCTTAAAGAACCAACTTCAGCATTTTCATAGGAGCCAGGGATGCAAGAGATCTAAGGAGTTTCCTGTGTTAACTCTCTTTCTCCAGTACAAGGATTCACATATTCTTAAAACATCTCTAAGTATCATCCAGCTTAGAGCAACATATGTAACTGGCAAGAAACTCATGATTCTTCAGTCCATCTTTTCCATTTTTGGCCAGCTTCAATGGTTAGAAAGTCCCAAAGAATTATGAGTCCACAATGTCTTCCTACCTAGGTTACCTTGATTTATAAACTCTCGGCCCAGCTCCTCACACATAGTACTTGATAAACATTAATTATAATACAGGTATTATACTGAAACAATTCCCTATAGTATATTAAGACCATGGATGTTGAAGGCAGGCATGCCTAAAGTGAAGTGTAACTTTGGGCCAAGTGTTCCTTAGGCCTTAATTTCCTTATTCATAAAATGTATAGTAATAGCTCCAACCTTACATGTATTACCTATTAAATGAGATAACGCAAGTCACATACCTAGTACAGTGACTCACAGTAAGCACTCAAAATATTTAGCTATTATTAATATTATCATCAATAATTATTTCTGGCGATGCTCTCTTCAATTGAAAAATTATCAGGCACATACACTGGAAGGAGAAGGATGAAATAACTTGTTGAAATAGTTAGCAATAGAAAACCTCTGCCTGATGGCAGAAACTCTTTCTTAGTCCATCTCTCAATCTCTTGTGCATAACACAGTACTTGGTGTAGGCTACATAAATATTTATTGAGTTGAACTGAACTAAACTTTCCATTAATGAGGACATACCAAGTGTAACATCAAACTATGTTTTCATAGACATTCACATTTTCCCATTAAGCTTTATTTAGAAAATATCTATGGCAAATGAATCCTCTGTTGCCATATTGACTGTTAAATCCTCTTTGCATAAATCCATTTTTACCCTTCTGTATTAATCAGGGTTCTCTAGAGGGACAGGACTAATAGGATAGACGTATATATAAAAGGAAGTTTATTAAGAAGTACTGACTCACACAATCACAAAGTGAAGTCCCACAACAGGCCGTCTGCAAGCCAAGGAGCAAGGAAGCCAGTCCAAATCCCAAAACCTCAAATGTAGGGAAGCCAACAGTGCAGCCTTCAGTCTGTGGCCGAAGGCCTGAGAGCCCCTGGCAAACCACTGGTGTAAGTCCACCAGTCCAAAAGCTGAAGAACCTGGAGTTCAATGTTCGAGGGCAGGAAGGACCCAGCATGGGAGAAAGATGAAGACTGGAAGACTCAGCAAGTCTAGCCCTTCCACGTTCCTCTGCCTGCTTTTATGCTAGCCGTGCTGCCAGCTGATTAGATGGTGCCCACCCAGATTGAGGGTGGGTCTGCTTCTCCCAGTCCACTGACTCAAATGTTAATCTCCTTTGTCAACACCCTCACAGACACATCCAGGAATAGTATTTCACATCCTTCAATTCAATCAAGTTGACACTCAATTTTAAGCATCATACCTTCCTTTATCTTTTCTACATCATTTGAATTATTGGATCTACTTTTGCTATTGCTTATGTAGATGGATATCACAATCTATTATTTATATCAGCCAATAATCATAGACTTGGAAGAGGCCTCGAAGATTGTTAAGTTCATCCTGTATATTTTACATATATTGAAACTAAGACCTAGTAAGAAGGAACAACATGTCCAAAGTCACCCAGGTTTTTAATAGTAGAACTAGCACCAGAAGTCCGGGCGTGATTGCTCATACCTGTAATCCCAGCACTTTGGGAGGCCGAGGCGGGCAGATCAAGAGGTCAAGAGATCGAAACCATCCTGGCCAACATGGTGAAACCCCGTCTCTATTAAAAATGCAAAAATTAAATTAGCCGGGCATGGTGGCGGGCACCTGTAGTCCCAGCTACTCGGGAGGCTGAGGCAGGAGAATGGCGCGAACCCGGGAGGTGGAGCTTGCTGTGAGCAGAGATTGCGCCACTGCACTGCAGCCTGGGCGACAGAGCGAGACTCCGTCTCAAAAAAAAAAATTAGCTGGGCATGGTGGTGCATGCCTGTAGTGTCAGCTACTTGGGAGGCTGAGGCAGGAGAATCGCTTGAACCCAGGAGGCAGAGGTTGCAGTAAGCTGAGATCATGTCACTACACTCCAGCCTGGTGACAGAGTGAGACTCTGTCTCAAAAAAAAAAAAAAAAAAAAAAAACCAACAACAACAAAAAAACTAGCCCGAGAAAATTACTTCTGACTCCCAAGTTAGAATTCCCTTTGCTCTACCACACTGTTAGTAAATACCAAGCGATTCATCAGTATGTGACATCTCTGGCATTCTGAGCTCTGTTCTGTGAGGGTAATTAGATGTATAGCCTCCCGTTATATTTGTTAGAGGCATTTAGAGATATCAGCTATTCTTTCGCCTTCACCTCCCTCTCTCTGGCTATTTCCACAGATTTTCAACTGATCACTTTTTAAAATCATATCATTTCTATGAATCAGGCTTATTTGGATGTGGGTGACAGGAAGCCAACTCAAACTAATTTATGCAAAGAACAATTATTGGGAAAGACTGCAACATGTCTTCTAGTGGTAAAGGAAGTGAAATAGTGAAGGACTTTCTAAAGAAAAGAACTGTTTGGGATTCATGAATCTTCTCTGTACTGCCATTTTCAATGACACCCAGTCTCTCTGTCTCTTTTGTTTTTAGTTTTAAACGAGAGAGAGAGAATAGATCAGCTCAGCTAATGTCCAGTGTCCAATTTGCTATAGTGAGAGTTGGAAGGTTACCCACATAGTACAGCTCCACTAGAGACCTCCCTTATCTGAGCATCAGAGGCTGTCCCTAAAGAAAAAGGAATCATTGTGAAGAGAGCAGCAGCCCCAAAAGGTATGTATAACATTTCACTACATATCTCCACAAGTAGATCGGGAGTTTCCAGAAGGCAAGGACCACGTCAACTTCATCTTTATACAGTATTTTCAAACATTTTTCTTGCCTTCTGTGTAATAAACACCTAATGCACATTTGTGGATCTGAATTGTATTAGATCTACTGTTTCTTTTTATCTAGGCCTACTGAACTAAGCTAAGAAAGCTACAGTATACAACTAATAAGAAAGAGGACTTTGCATTGCTTTTGGTTATTTGGAAAACCTCAAACCCAAGCCAATACATCCTCACTCCAGTGAAAAATACCTAACCACGCTTCCCTCCCCAGTTTCCTGTAGATACAGAGTTCCTCTTTCTCGGGCAGCCTCTCTACTGGAAGTGTTTCTTCCTGACATCCTGGAGCTTCCCCACAGCTAAGTCTTCAGTGTTTCAAATAGAGCCCTGCTGTGCTCAGGTCATTAGATTCTTGTCTTTCCTCTTCATATGACAGACATCGAGAGAACACATTCTCTTCTCCTGAGAAAAAGCTCCAATTAGATATGCTCATTAAAGCCCTGTGATTCTCCTGCTTCCTTCAAATGGACAACAAAAATGAATCACTTTATGCCGACCTGAAACCTGGCCAGGGAGCGCCTGCCCAGGCCACGTGCGGGCTGACTGCCAGGCCCTTGTGAGATGCACTAGGCAGTTTCCCTGTCAAATACCAGATTCTGCTGCTGCCTTCCAGCTGGTTATCAGAGCTGGCAGGCAACTGCATAAAGAACCCTGAACAAAAGATCACAGTTTACCCAGCATCAAAAGGATAATAACAAATTAAGGTGAAAACAAAGTCAAATCTGCCCCCATTCTGCCCCTAATTGGTCTCACTTACCCATTCCTGGCTTTTCAAGTATAGGCTATGTGCTCGCTTCGGCAGCACATATACTAAAATCAAGTATAGACTATGATGGCGTGTGGTGGGAAGAGCACGAGATGGGAAGTCAGAACACCTGAGTCTGCTCACAGGCCCTGCCTCTAACTAGTTGTATAATCTTTCAGCCTCAGGTACCTCATGTGAAAAGAGGATACTATTAAGATCTTGCAGGTCACATACTTTATTTTAAGGTATGTCCCAATACTTTACTACCACTGATAAAACCACCAGTATTAGCTAATATTTATCAAATATTTATTCTGTGTCAGACACTGTTTTGTGCTTAATTACTATGTATTTGTTTATTTAATCCTTATAACAACTTTTTGAAAGAACCTAGTAATATTATTTTTCCCATTTTGCAGATGAAGAAACTGAGATTTAGAGAGTGAAATAACTTGCTCAAGATGATAACAGCCAGTAAATTATAGAGCTTCACAACCCATGTTTTTCATCTCTGCAGTAGTAGTCCAATAACATCTCAGTTATTGGACTCAGTTTGAGGCAGAGGGAGGCTAAGCTTCCTCCTTGGCCTCCCTCTGCCTCAAACACTTGGTTTCTGGTCTTAAGTACATGATATTATCTCCTTCAAATTGGTTCACTATTTCTGTACTAACCGATGAGGTCTGATTCCTTTTAAAAACCAGCACATTTCTGCCTTCTAAAACCCACCATCTACCATCCTCATTTGCCAATGCATGTGTTGCCTCATTAAGTCATCCCTTTTATTATTATCAGTTACCTCTTGACCATTATGTCCCATCTTTCCAGCCAGATTTGAATACATGAAAGACCAGGACATGGATCACACTTCTTTGAACTACACTTAGTCCCTGGCACAATGTCTTTGTGCCAATCAGTAAATGTTAGTTGGGTTTAGTGTAGCTTCTTCCTAAGCTCTAGCCTAAACTATACTCCTTATTAGTGTCTATATGGTTATATGTGCTCTTTTTTGGGAACTATGGGATTAGAATTGTCGACCAGAAGCCTGGCAGCCCCCTCTGGGAGACATCCAGCTTTCATTGTGCAGGCAGCAGTGGCAAAGGGCACCCTGACCTATTCCTGTGTTCCTCTGCCAACTTGGTGAGTTACTTATGCCAGAGCTTCACCATGTCTGCACACCACCATGTGTCTGATGGGATCAGGACAAGCTTTCCTGGTGACGCCAGCCAAGAAAAAACAGCTGGCTAATGTGAAAAGGATGTTACCAGGCACCTGGCCCGCTTAGATCAGCTTTCTGTGCCAGCTTTGCATTCTGCATCAAGGCCTATGGTGACAGTAGGGATGACTACACCTTCTCTCCTCTCCAAAAGCTGGTCTGTAGGTGCCAAGTTCATAATGGTCATCTGTTGGGCTGTCTGTACATAGCACCTGCAGCTCAAACAACTAAGTCTGGAAGTTGCCAAGACCTTGGCACTCCCAGGGTATAATGGCAATGCCAAGAACTGAGGGGGCGACAAGTGTCCAAATTGTCTCATTGCCTCCTCTTGGAAGTTCCAACACCCAAATGCTGAAGGATATATGAAAGTTATTCCAGGTGCATTGTATTTTAGAAACATCATCTATTTCAGCAAATAGAGGAGATGCAAAATGTTCAGAAAATTGTGAGGAGCTTGGTGATTTTCAGGAAGGATGATGTCCTTTTATTGCTCCCACAATACTGAGTAATAAACAAACCTCAACGTGCTTTTAATAGCTAGCTGATCCCCGGTTTCACTGACAGCAAAGCAAGATAAACCAACTCTGGCTACAGCAAGAAGAGAAATTTGTAACCCTTGTTTTTCAATTGTACTCCTGCTGGGTGTGGTGGCTCATGCCTGTAATCCTAGCACTTTGGGAGGCTGAGGTGGGTGGATCACCTGAGGTCAGGAGTTCGAGACCAGCCTGGCCAACATGGTAAAACCCCATCTCTACTAAAAATACAAAAAATCAGCTGGGTGTGGTGGCACACCCCTGTAATCCCAGCTACTCTGGAGGCTAAGGCATGAGAATTGCTTGAACCGCGGAGGTGAAGATTCAGTGAGCCGAGATCATGCCACTGCACTCCAGCCTGGGTGACAGAGCAAGACTCCGTCTCAAAAAACAGCAAATAAATCAATGAATAAATAGTACTCCTAAGACTGCTTTGAAGGAGGTAGTGGGCAGGAAGGGTCCTGAATGGGGAAAATGGCAACAAAAGGAGAAAATACAAAAACATTTTTATCATTGTTTAAGTCTCTGTAAAGATAATTGACTTTTTAAAACAAAAATACTAACAAGGTACTGTGGGATTTATAACATAGGTAGAAGTCAAATGTGCAATAACAGCGCAAAGGCCAAGAGGGGAGAAATGTAGGCATACTCTTGCAAGGTTTAAATACTTGATGTGACACAGGATATCATGTGAAGAAAAACTGGAATAAAGTTAAGGTGAATACAACAACCCTAAAGCAGCCATTAAAATAAAACAAAAAAGAGTAACAGCTAATTTGCCAACAAAAAGAATAATAAAATAAATTATTTTAAAAAATCATGTGATCCAAAAAAGGCAGGAAAAAAATGGGGATGGAATGAAGGACAGAGGGGACAAATAGAAATGAAATAGCAAAATAGTATGTTTAAACCCAATCATACAAATAATCACATTTAATGTAAATAATCTAAATACTCCAATTAAAAGACAGACATGTTCGGATTGTATTAAAAAGCAAGTCTCAACCATTTGCTGCTTAAAAGAAATCAGTTTAAATACAAAAATATAAACTGGTTAAAAGTCAAAGTGTGAAAAAGATATATTATGCTAACATTAAATTTAAAAAATAAAAGCTAAAGTATCTTGATTAATAGCAGTCCAGGAAAATTTTAGAGCAAAGAATAGAATATTACCAAAGATAAAGAGGATCATTTAACAGTGATAAATGGACCAATTCATCAAGCAGAGATAACAATCCTAAATGCTTATGCACTTAAGAGTAGAGATGAAAGCCTGATATAACCACAAGAGGAAAGAGAGAAAGCCACACTTATAATTTTTCACATAATTTTTCACATAATTTTTCACTTTTTATTTTTGTAGGTACATAGTAGGTGTGTATATTCATGGGGTACATGAGATGTTCTGATACATGCATGCAATGCATAATAATCACATCACGAAACATGGGGTATCATTTACTTCATGCATTTATCCTTTGTCCGCACTTACAGATTAAGATTGCAACAACCTTCTCTCAATAATTACTGGAACAAGTAAACAGAAAACCAGTAAGGATATGGAAGACTTTAAAAAAACATTGACTACCTAGATTTAATTTACATTTTTAGGATACTACACCCAAAACAGCAGAATACACATTCTTCTCAAGAACAAAAGGAACATTTACCAAAACAGACCATAGTCTTGGTCATGAAGAAAGTGTCAATAAATTTTAAAGGACTCAAGTCATAGAAAGTGTGTTTTCTGCCTGCCTAGCAATTAAATTAGAAATTAATAACAGAAAACTGGAAAATCTCCACATATTCGAAAATAAATAACACATTTCCAAACAGCCCATGAGTCAAGAAGAAGTTGTACTAGAAGTTAGAAAATGATTTGAACTAAGAAAAGGAAAACTCAACTATCAAAATGGGTGAGATGCAGGTAAAGCAATAATAAGAGGAAAATTTATAGCAGTGAACATAAATAACAGAAAAAAAAGAAGAGTCTCAAATCAGTGACATCAGCTTCCATCTTAAGAAACTAGAAAAACAAAAGCAAATAAAACCCAAAGAAAGCAGAATAAAGAAAACAAAGATTAGAGCAGAAATCAATAGAATAGAAAACAGAAACACAATAAAGAAATTCAAGGAAGTCAAAAGCTGGTTCTTTTAAAAGGTTAATGGCTACATCTCTAGCTTGAAGGGGCTAGAAGGATCACAAAGAGCTCCAGGATTAAGGGTAGATCCTCACTAGCTGCAGGGAACCATACCTTGCCTGCCTGAATATGCCTAGGTCTCACATTGATGTCTCTCCCCTCAGCTTCACAGGCAATCATTCACTTGCTGTCTTTTGTTAAGGATGTTCTTTCCCAGGAGTCAATGAGTAGTCAGGGTTGGCATTTCTGAGGCAGATGCCAACAAGCATAACTTCAGGCATATTTAAAGAATTCTGATGATTTTGCATTTTCTGATAGCTTTGTGTTTTTCCACAGTTTGCAGATCTCTACCATCTAAAAACTTATAATACTGAGGCCAGGCGCAGTGGCTCATGCCTGTAATCCCAGCACTGTGGGAGACCAAGGCAGGTGGATCACAAGGTCAGGAGTTCGAGACCAACCTGGCCAACATGGCGAAACCCCATCTCTACTAAAAATACAAAAATTAGCTGGGCATGGTGATGGGCATCTGTAGTCCCAGCTACTCTGGAGGCTGAGGCAGGAGAATCACTTGAACCCAGGAGGCAGAGGTTGCAGTGAGCCGAGATCATGTGCCACTGCACTCCAGCCTGGGTGACAGAGTGAGACTCCATCTCAAAAAAAGAAAAAAAATATATATATATACACACACACACAACTATATATATATAGTATATATACAGTATATGCCGTATATACAGTATACTATATATACAGTATATGCCGTATATACAGTATACTATATATACAGTATATGCCGTATATACAGTATACTATATATACAGTATATGCCGTATATACAGTATACTATATATACAGTATATGCCGTATATACAGTATACTATATATACAGTATATGTCGTATATACAGTATACTATATATACAGTATATGTCGTATATACAGTATACTATATATACAGTATATGTCGTATATACAGTATACTATATATAGTATATGTCGTATATACAGTATACTACATATACTGTATATGTAGTATATATAATATACAGTATATGTAGTATATATAATATACAGTATATGTAGTATACTATATATACAGTATATGTAGTATATATAATATACAGTATATGTAGTATATATAATATACTATATGTATAGTACTGAGACATAGCTAGCAGAACCCTGGGGAAGGAAAAATCCTCAGTGTTGCTGTGAATATGGGACTTTACTAACCCTCCTTGAATCTTTGACTCTTGCCAGAGGAATCTGGCTTTCTCTTAAAACCTGAAGGTGAAATGCCTCACCTGGGCCAATGCCACTTACAGGGATAAGAATATTGAAGTTGGGGTAAGAGGTAAGTAAGAAGCCTGGATTCATTAAATACAAAAAAACAGATGCAAACCAAAAAATAAAATGTAAACGAAAAAATGTGCAAACCAACTAGCAGCAGTTTGGACAGACAAATACTGAAAATGGCATCAGGGGGACATGAATGCTAGCTCCATCTCTGAACCTGACTGTGTGATGCTTTCCATGTTATTTCTCCTTTCTAACTGAATGTGCCTCTTTGGGAAAAAAAAATGAGAAATGGATTAAATGATCTCTCAGGAGCTCTCTGGTTCTGTTATTCCTGTGAAACTCCTACATTCTTCCTGTGAAGGTGACAGTCAGTGTTAGGGAACCTTTGACCACATTGCTTAATCTCCAGGTTGACTTCTGCGAGGAATTGGTTTTAGGACTCTCCTGCCCTCCTTTAATCTAGTTGCTTATTTGCAGAAGGGGAATGTGGGAAATCTGCAACAGATTTAAGTTAAAAAAGGGAGCTTACTGAAGGGATTGTGGGCAGCTCATAGAATCACAAGAAGACTGGAGAGGCAGGAAAGAAAGCGGGGCCTAGGGCCAGCCAGGATCACAGCCATCATGTTCTCAATCTGGTGCCTGGAAGACCCCACATTCCCTCCAGGAACACAGGATGCCATGCTGGTACCCTGTCCCCTTCAGCCTTGACAGACACAGGAGATCACAACTGGCAGCACTGTGTGCTGTAGCAGCTGCTGCCAACACCTGCCTCTGGAATGGGCTCTTGGCTGCCCCTGCTTTTTGAGTCACAAGCTTCCAATTCAGTCTTGGCAGCTGGGTCTGATGGGCCTAGATCCTGTCAACCTAGTTCCAGGCACGAGAGAAAGAGGAGAGTGAATATTTGAGGTTTTCAGCATCTATAGTGAAGACAAGTTCTATCTCCCACTAAAACTTATGTAGTGAAAAATTCTTCCACAGATGAAGGGGTTCAGTTATGCCACAGCCACAAGAAAAGACAAATGTTTTAAACATCTGACTAACATCTGAAGGAAAAGAACGTGCTTTCATTTGTTGCCCTATATCATAAAGGACTCTAGGTTCTAAAATCTGGACGTGGAAAATAGACTGCAGTCCACCTAATCAAGCCCTTTCATTGTACAGATGGGAAATTGAACTTAAAAAGGGATGATAACCAGCTTGTCGGCTGGACCGGAACTTAAGTTTCCTGCCTTTGGGCCAGTTATCCCACTACCTCGTGCTGCCTTCTAAGACAAAGAACAGAATCCCTTCTTTGTCAAATGAAGTAAGACACCAAATGTTCATAAAACATATTTGTTTTTGCAATTTAGCTTGTTTTGATTTTTTGTGAAGGTTTTGGCATTAAACACATTAGATCTGCTCCCCTCCAGATTCCGACTCAATTAGTATGTATTAACCACCTGCTATAATGGCAGACAGTGCACTGATGTTCTCCTTAATGCAGCAGGAGGTGCAGGGATCTGTTTGCATCTGAGGAACAATGGGTAATGGGGACTACAGCACTGTGGAGCTTCTCTCACCATCTATTATTTCTGCTTTTCTCTGATCATTGTTTTATTCTCCCTTTTTGATAGATACCTCTGCATCTGGTCCTCCTGGCTAAAAGGAAGACAACTGTGGAACAGTTGCAACAGCTATGGGAAGATGTGTTAGAGTGTCAACAGATGGCTTGGCTCTTTTAGTCCCAGTACCAAAATCTCAAGGAAGAAGCAATTGTCTCAGAGTCTTTATCCCTGGTCCAGCAACTGTAGCTAGAGGGTCAGAATTACACGGTGCATGGCTGCTTCCAGAGTACCTCCCAGAGTAACTACAGGAGGCAGAGGGTAGTTCAAGAAAAGCTTGGAAATGCTCAGAGGAAACATCGATTCCATTACACAGATATGAATTAATTTAATACATTAGCCCCATTTATTCATCAAATACTTATTTAATGCTACTGTATTCTAGGCCCTGTTTTAGATAATAGAAATATAGCAGTGAACACAATAAACACAGAAGATAGAAAAAAGATAAATAAGCAAATATGTTTTGTGTCTGATAGTGGTAAATGCTATGGAAAAAAAATAAAGCAGGTTAAGAGTGAGGGTGGGGAGTGGGTATATGTGCACACATGCACCACTCTATGTAGAGAAGACAAAGAAAGCCTCATTGAGAAGAGGATGTTTTAGTTGAAATCTAAAAGAAGTGAGGGAATTAGCCATGAGGCTGTGAGGTAAAAGCATTCCAAGTAGAAAAACAGGAAGTGCAAAGACCCTGAGGCTGGAAAGTGCTTTGTGTGTTCAAGAAATAGCAAAGAAGTTGAAATGCACCTAACAGAGAATGAAAGGAAGAATGTCAGAAGATGATGTCTGAGAGGTGAGAGGAGCCGGGTCATATAGGGTTTTGGGCTGTATAAACCACTGTAAGGACTTTTTTTTTTTAACTCCAAGTGAAATAGGAAGCCATTCAAAGATTTTAAGAAAAATAACATTTCACACCTGTGTATTGTCTTAAGAGCAGGCTGCAAGTGTGTAAGGGTGCAAGCAGGGAGATCAGTTGAGAGACTATTATGACCATTTAACCAAGAGATGATGGTGGTTTAAAACAAAGTGATAGTGAAAAGATGGTCAAATTTTGGATTTATTTGAAGGTGAAACTGACTGGAGTAGTTCAACTGGATGTGAGAAACAAGAGAAAGAGGAGAACCAATGATGAGTTTTGACCTGAGCAACTGGAAAGATAGAGGTCACTGATATCTTTCAAAGTTGTTGGGGTTTGTTTTGTTTTGTTTTGTGTTCAGTGAGATGGTGGGAACAAAAGTCAAGCACAGTGAGTACAAAAGAGAAAGTGAGGAGAGAAATCAGAAACAGCTAGTATAGAAAGCTCTTCGGAAAATTTTGCTATAAAAGTGAACAGAGAAATGGGATGGTAGGTGGAGGTTAGGAAATGTTTATTCATTTTTAAGATGAGAGTGTTGAAGCATCTCGGTATGCTATGTGAATGATCCAGTAAAGAGGGAAAAATTGATGGCATGGGGGAGGGGAGAGAAACACTAAAGAGATGTCCCTGGGTAGGTGAGAAATGATAGAATGTAGGACACCAGGCTGACAATTTGCCTTAGATAAGAAAAGACAAAATTCAACCTTTGTAACTGGAGAAAAGTAGAGCACATGAGTACAAAAGCAGATAGGTGTGAGGCTTAGTAGGAGAAAAGTAGGGAAGTGCTTTCTTTTCCCAAGTTTATTTCTCTTATCAAAGTGAAGTAAAAAGTAAAGTAATCAACTGAGAGTGAGAATGGAGGAAGAGATCTTTGAAATTTGAGGAGATAGGAGTGTGAAACATAAGCAAATGGGAGATTGGATAGAGGATGGGGAATGTAATCATATTTCCAGGCAGCACTAAAGGCCCTGTTGAGATTAGTAATCATGAATGTAAGGTGAGACCAAGTAGTCCTAGCTAGCGCAATCAGGCAAGAGGAGGAAATAAAGGGAATTCATGGAAAAGAAGTAAAATTATCTCTCTTTGCTGACGATATGATTCTATACCTAGAAAACCCTAAAAGTTCTGCCAAAAGGCTCCTGGAACTGATAAACAATTTCAGTAAAGTATCAGGATACAAAATCAATGTGCAAGAATCAGTAGCATTTCTATACACCAATAACGTTCAAGCTGAGAACCAAATCAAGAACAAAATCTTATAGGAACAAAGCATCCAAGAAGTCTGGGATTATGTTAAATGACTAAACCTAAGAATAATTGGTATTCCTAAGGAGGAAGATAATTCTAAAAGCTTGGAAAACATATCTGGGGGAACAATCAAGGAAAACTTTCCCGGCCTTGCTAGAGACCTAGACATCCAAATACAAGAAGCAGGAAGAACACCTGGGAAATTTATTGCAAAAAGATCATTGCCTAGGCACATTGTCGTCAGATTATCCAAAGTTAAGATGAAGGAAAGGATCTTAAGAACTGTGAGATAGAAGCACCAGGTAACCTATAAAGGGAAACCTATCAGATTAACAGCAGATTTCTCAGCAGAAACCCTACAAGCTAGAAGGGATTGGGGCCCTATCTTCAGCCTCCTCAAACAAAACAATTATCAGCCAAGAATTTTGTATCCAGTGAAACTAAGCATCATATATGAAGGAAAGATACAGTCTTTTTCAGACAAACAAATGCTGAGAGAATTCATCACTACCAAAGCCACAACTACAAGAATTGCTAAAAGGTGCTCTAAATCTTGAAACAAATCCTAGAAACACATCAAAACATACCTCTTTAAAGCATAAATCACACAAGACCTATAAAACAAAAATACAAGTTAAAAAGAAAAAAAATACACTGGCAACAAATAGTACAATGAATGCAATGGTACCTCACATCTCAATACTAACATTGAATGTAAATGGCCTAAATGCTCCACTTAAAAGTTAAAGAACTGCAGAATTGGTAAGAACTCACCAACCAACTATCTGCTCCTTTCAAGATACTCATCTAACACATAAGGCTCACATAAACTTAAAGTAAAGGGGTGGAAAAAGGCATTTCATGCAAATGGACACCAAAAGCAAGCAGGAATAACTATTCTTATATCAGACAAAACAAACTTTAAAGCAACAGTGGTTAAAAGAGACAAACAGGGCCATTATATAATGGTAAAAGGCCTTGTCCAACAGGAAAATATCACAACCCTAAACATATATGCAACTAACACTGAAGCTCCCAAATTTATAAAACAATCACTAATACACCTAAGAAATGAGATATACAGCAACACAATAATAGTGGGGAAACTTCATTACTCTACTGACAGCACCAGGCAAGTCATCAAGACAGAAGGTCAACAAAGAAACAATGGATTTAAACTATACCTTGGAACAAATGGACTTAACAGATACATACAAAACATTTCATCCAACAATTGCAGAATACACATTCTATTCAACAGCACATGGAATTTTCTCCAAGACAGACCATACGATAGGCCAGAAAACAAGCCTCAATAAACTTAAGAAAATTGAAATTATATTAAGCACTCTGTCAGATCACAGTGGAATAAAACTGGAAATCAACTCCAAAAGGAAACTTCAAAACCATGCAAATACATATAAATTAAATAACCTGCTCCTGAATGGGCATTGGGTCAAAAATGAAATCAAGATGGAAACTAAAAAATTATTCCAACTGAACAACAGAATAACACAACCTATCAAAACCTCTGGGATACAGCAGAGGCAGTGCTAAGAGGAAAGTTCATAGCCCTAAGTGACTACATCAAAAAGACTGAAAGTGCACAAACTAATATTCTAAAGTCATACCTCAAGGAACTAGAGAAACAAGAACAAACCAAACTCAAAGGCAGCAGAAGAAAGGAAATAACCAAGATCAGAGCAGAACTAAATGAAATTGAAACAAAAAAAATACAAAAGATAAATGAAACCAAAAGCTCGTTCTTTGAAAAGATAAATTAAATTGATAGACCATTAGCAAGATTAACCAAGAAAAGAAGAGAGAAAATCTAAATAACCTCATTAAGAAACAAAACAGGAGATATTACAACTGACACCACAGAAATACAAAAGATCATTCAAGACCACTGTGAACACCTTTAAGCACATAAATTAGAAAATCTAGAAGAGATGGATAAATTCTTGGAAAAATACAACCCTCCTAGCTTAAATCAGGAAGAATTAGCTACCCTGAACAGACCAATAACAAGCAGTGAGATTGAAATGATAATTTAAAAATTACCAACAACAACAAAAAAAGTCCAGGACCAGTGGATTCACAGCAGAATTCTACCAGACTTTCAAAGAAGAATTGGTACCAATCCTGTTGACACTATTCCACAAGATAGAGAAAGAAGGAACCCTCCCTAATTCATTCTATGAAGCCGGCATCACCCTGATACCAAAACCAGGAAAGGACATAATCAAAAAAGAAAAGTACAGACCAATATCCTTGATGAACATAGATGCTAAAATCTTTAACAAAATGCTAGCTAACCAAACCCAACAACAAATCAAAAAGATAATCCCCCATGATCAAGTGTGTTTCATACTAGGGATGCAGGGATGGTTTAACATAAGCAAGGTAATAAATGTGATACACCACATAAACAGAATTAAAAACAAAAATCACATGATCATTTCAATAGATGCAGAAAAAGTGTCTAACAAAATCCACCATCCCTTTATGATTAAAACTCTCAGCAAAATCAGCATACAAGGGACATAACTTAATGTAATAAAAGCCATCTATGACAAACCCACAGCCAACATAATACTGAATGGGGAAAAGGTGAAAGCATTCCCTCTGAGAACTGGAACAAGACAAGGATGCCCACTCTCACCACTCCTCTTCAATAGAGTACTGGAAGTCCTAGCCAGAGCAATCAGACAAGAGAAAGAAATAAAGGGCATCCAAATTGATAAAGAGGAAGTCAAACTGTCACTGTTTGCTGATTATATGATCTTTTACCTTGAAAACCCTAAAGACTCCTCCAGAAAGTTCCTAGAACTGCTCAAAGAATTCAGCAAAGTTTCCAGATACAAGATTAATGTACACAAATCAGTAGCTCTTCTATACACCAACCAAGAGCAACCAAGTGGAGAATCAAATCAAGAACTCAACCCCTTTTACAATAGCTGGAAAAAAAAATATTTAGGAATATAGCTAACCAAGGAGTTGAAAGACCTCTACAAAGAAAACTACAAAGCACTGCTGAAAGAAATCATAGACAACACAAGCAAATAGAAACACATCCCATGCTCATGGATGGGTAGAATCAATATTGTGAAAATGACCATACTGCCAAAAGCCATCTACAAATTCAATGCAATCCCCATCAAAATACCAACATCATTCTTCACAGAATTAGAAAAACAATTCTAAAATCCATATGGAACCAAAAAGGAGCCCACATAGCCAAAGCAAGACCAAGCAGAAAGAACAAATCTGGAGGCATCACACTACCTGATTTCAAACTATACTATAAGGCCATAGTCACCAAAACAGCATGGTCCTGGTATAAAAATAGGCATATAGACAAATGAAACAGAATAGATAACCCAGAAATAAACCCAAATACTAACAGCCAACTGATATTCAACAAAGCAAACAAAACATAAAATAGGAAAAGGACATCCTTTTCAACAAATGGTGCTGGAAAAATTGGCTAGTCACATGTAGGAGAATGAAACTGGATCCTCATCTCTCATCTTATACAAAATCAACTCAAGATGGATTAAGGACTGAAATCTAACACCTGAAACTATAAAAATTCTAGAAGATAACATTGGAAAAACGTTTCAAGACTTTGGCTTAGGCAAGGATTTCATGACCAAGAATCCAAAAGCAAATGCAATAAAAACAAAGATAAGTAGTTGGGACTTAATTAAACTAAAGAGTTTTGCATGGCAAAAGGAACAGTCAGCAGAGTAAACAGAAAACCTACAGAGTGGGAGAAAATCTTCACAATCTATACATCTGACAAAGGACTAATATTCAGAATCTAAATAAACTCAAACAAATCAGTAAGAAAAAAACAATCCCATAAAAAAGTGGGCTAAGGACATGAATAGACAATTCTCAAAAGAAGATATACAAATAGCCAACAAACATGTGAAAAAATGCTCAACATCACTAATGATCAGGGAAATGCAAATTAAAACCACAATGTGACAGCACTTACTTTTGCAAGAATGATGATTATCAAAAAATCGCCACTATGTAAAACAGTGTGGAGATTCCTTAAAGAACTAAAGGTAGAACTACCATTTGATCCAGCAATCCCACTACTGGGTATCTACCCAGAGGAAAAGAAGTCATTATACGAAAAAGACACTTGCACACTCATGTTTATAGCAGCACAATTCACAATTGCAAAATCGTGGAACCAGCCCAAATGCCCACCAATCAATAAGAGGATAAAGAAACTATGGTATATTTATATGATGAAATACTACTCAGCCATAAAAAGGAATGAATTAGCAGCATTTGCAGAGACCTGGATGAGACTGGAGACTATTTTTCTAAGTGAAATAACTCAGGAATGGAAAACCAAACATCGTATCTTCTCACTGTTATGTGGGAGCTAAGCTATGAGGATGCAAAGGCATAAGAATAATACATTGGACTTTGGGGACTTGTGGGGAAGAGCAGGATGGGGGTAAGGGATAAAAGACTGCAAATATGGTGTGGTGTATACTGCTTGGGTGATGGGTGCACCAAAATTTCACAAATCACCACTAAAGAACTTACTCACATGGCCAGGCGCAGTGGCTCACACCTGTAATCCCAACACTTTGGGAGGCCAAGGCGGACAGATCATGAAGTCAAGAGATTGAGACCATCCTGGCCAACATGGTGAAACCCCATCTCTACTAAAAATATAAAAATCAGCTGGGCATGGTGGTGCATGCCTGTAGTCCCAGGTACTTGGGAGGCTGGGGCAGGAGAATTGCTTGAACCCAGGAGGCAGAGGTTGCAGTGAGCTGAGACTGTGCCACTGCACTCCAGCCTGGGAACAGAGCAAAACTCTGCCTCAAAAAAAAGAAAAAAGAACTTACTCATATAACCAAATACCACCTGTACCCCAATAACTTATGGAAAAATTTTTAAAAAATAAATAAAAGAAATAAACATTCTGGTGCTACTCCAGAAACCTTAAAACATACACACAGCCACACACACACACAGAGACACAATTTTATTTACAATAGCCACAAACACAAAAATAAAATACCTAGGAATACTTCTAACCAAGGAGATGAAAGATCTCTATAAGGAAACTATAGAACACTGCTGAAAGAAATAATGGATAACACAAATAAATAGAAAAAGTATTCCATGCTCATGGATAGGAAGAATCAATACCATTAAAAAGAAATCTACAGATTCAATGCTATTCTCATTAAGCTACCAACATCGTTTTTCACAGAACTAGAAAAAACTATCTTAAAATTCATATGGAACTTAAAAAGAGCCCAAATAGCCAAGTCAATCCTAAGCAAAAAGATCAAAGTGGGAGGCATCACACTACCCAACTTCAAACTATATTATAAGGCTACACTAACCAAAACAGCATGGTACTGGTACCAATACAGACACATAAACCAATGCAACAGACTAGAGAACTGAGAAATAAAGGCATACACCTACAACCACCTGATCATCAACAAGCCTGACAAAAACAAGCAATGGGGAAAGGATTCCCTGTTCAATAAATAGTGGTGTGGTAGCTGGCTACCCATATACAGAAAAATGAAAATAGACCCCTACCTTTCACCACAAACAAAAATTAACTCAAGAAGGATTAATTTAAATATAAGATCTCAAACTATAAGAATCCTAGAAGAAAGCCTAGGAAACACCATTCTGGACATCGGCCTTGGGAAAGAATTTGTGACTAAGTCCTCAAAAGCAATGGCAATAAAAACAAAAATGGATAAATGAGACTTAATGAAACTAACAAACTTCTGCACAGTAAAAGAAATGATCAAAAGAGTGAACAGACAGCCTACATAATGGGAGAAAATGTTTGCAAACTATGCATCTGACAAAGGTCTAATATCCAGAATCCATAAGGAATTTAAACAGTTGAACAAACAAAAAAGCAAATAACCCCATTAAAAAATGGGAAAAAGACATTAACAGGCATTTATCAAAAGGAGATATGTAAGAGGCCAACAAATGTGTAAAAAAATGCTCAACATCATTATCAGAGAAATGCAAATCAAAACTTTCATGCGCGTGCGTGTGAAGAGACCATCAAACAGGCTTTGTGTGAGCAATAAAGCTTTTAATCATCTGGGTGCGGGCGGGCTGAGTCCAAAAAGAGTCAGTGAAGGGAGATAAGGGTGGGGCCATTTTTATAGGATTTGGGTAAAGGAAAATTACAGTCAAAGGGGGGTTGTTCTCTGGCAGGCAGAGTGGGGGGTCACAAGGTGCTCAGTAGGGGAGCTTTTGAGCCAGGATGAGCCAGGAGAAGGAATTTCACAAGACAATGTCATCAGTTAAGGCAGGAACAGGCCATTTTCACTGCTTTTGTGGTGGAATGTCATCAGTTAAGGCAGGAACTGGCCATCTGGATGTGTACGTGCAGGTCACAGGGGATATGATGGCTTAGCTTGGGCTCAGAGGCCTGACAATCCTGTCTTCTTATATTAATAAGAAAAATAAAATGAAATAGTGGTAAAGTGTTGGGACGGTGAAAATTTTTGTGGGTAGTATGGAGAGATTATGGGTGATGTTTCTCAGGGCTGCTTCGAGCGGGATTAGGGGCGGCGTGGGAGCCTAGAGTGGGAGAGATTAAGCTGAAGGAAGATTTTGTGGTAAGGGGTGATATTGTGGGGTTGTTAGAAGAAACATTTGTCATGTAGAATTATTGGTGATGGCATGGATACGGTTTTGTATGAATTGAAAAACTAAATAGAATAAGAGAAGGAGAAAAACAGGTATAAAAGGTCTAAGAATTGGGAGGACCCAAGACATCTGATTAGAGAGTGCCTAAGGAGATTCAGCGTAGTCCTGCCAGCAAAGATTATTTATTTACTTCAAGAGTTTAGAGTGGCAGTTTGGGGATAGCACCAGGAGATATCAGCTGTGATGGCTTGGAAAAACAGGGTAAACCGGCAGTGTAAACAAGAGCAGGGCATGTATGAGTAGTTGAGAACGGTGAATAGGAGTATGACTAGACAGAAGACAGTAGGGATGACAAGTTTTTTGGGGCACAGTCCAAGTTGGTCTGGTGTCTGGAATGAGACTGGGGCCTAATAAAAAGGAACGTCTATACAGGAGCTCAAATGGGCTGTACCTTGTAGCATTCTGAGGACAGGTCTGACTTCTGAGAAGGGAAAGTGGTAAAAGTATTGTCCAGTCCTTTTTAAGTTGGTGGCTGAGCTTGGTGAGGTGTGTTTTTAAAAGACCTTTAGTCCGTTCTACTTTTCTTGAAGATGGGGGATCATAAGGGATATAAAGTTTTCACTAAATACTAAGAACCTGAAAAACTGCTTGGCTGATTTGACTAATAAAGGCTGGTCTGTTATCAGACTGTATAGAGGTGGGAAGGCTAAACTGAGGAATTATGTCTGACAGAAGGGAGGAAATGACTGCAGTGGCCTTCTCAGACCCTGTAGGAAAGGCCTCTACCTATCCAGTGAAAGTATCTACCTAGACTAAGAGGTATTTTAGTTATCTGACTCGGGGCATGTTGAGTAAAGCTAACTTGCCAGTCCTGGGTGGAGGCAAATCCTCGAGCTTGATGTGTAGGGAAGGGAGGGGGCCTGAATAATCCCTGAGGAGTAGTAGAATAGCAGATGGAACACTGAGAAGTTATTTCCTTGAGAATAGATTTCCATGATGGAAAGGAAATGAGAGGTTCTAAGAGGCGGGCTAGTGGCTTGTACTATAGCATAGCCTGCCTTTGCTTGTGTGTTGCTATTAGGCGTGGTGGAACTGTCATTAATAAATCAAGCGTGATCAGGGTGAGGAACAGGAAAGAAGGAAATATGGGGAAATGGGGTGAATGTCAGGTGGATCAGAGAGATACAGTCATGGGGGTCAGGTGTGGTATCAGGAATAATGTGGGAGGCCGGATTGAAGTCTGGGCCAGGAACAATGGTAATTGTGCAACTTAACAAAGAGTGAATACAGCTGAAGGAGCCGAGGCACAGAAAGTATATGCGTCAGGTATGAGGAAGAAAATAGATTTTGGAAATTATGAGAAATGTAGAGAGTGAGTTGAGCATAGTTTGTGATTTTTAGGGCCTCTAAAAGTATTAAAGCAGCAGCAGCCGCTGCACGCAGACATGATGGCTAGGCTAAAACAGTAAGGTCAAGTTGTTTGGACAGAAAGGCTACAGGGTGCGGTCCTGGCTCTTGTGTAAGAATTCTGACCGCACTAACCATGCCTAGGAAGGAAAGGAGTTGTTGTTTTGTAAGGGATTGAAGTTTGGGAGATTAATCGGACACGATCAGCAGGGAGAGCACGTGTGTTTTTATGAGAATTATGCCAAGATAGGTAACAGATGAGGATGAAATTTGGGCTTGACTGAAGTAATGGGGGCTGTCTGTGAAGCCTTGCGGCAGTACAGCCCAGGTGATTTGCTGAGCCTGATGGGTGTCAGGGTCAGTCTAACTGAAAACAAAGAGAGGCTGGGATGAACGGTGCAAAGGAATAGTAAAGAAAGCATGTTTGAGATCCAGAACAGAATAATGGGTTGTAGAGGAAGGTATTGATGACAGGAGAGTATATGGGTTTGGCACTATGGGGTGGCTAGGCAAAACAATTTGGTTGATAAGGCGCAGATTCTGAACTAACCTGTAAGCCTTGTCTGGTTTTAGGACAGGTAAAATGGGGGAATGGTAAGAAGAGTTTATAGGCTTTAAAAGGCCATGCTGTAACAGGCGAGTGATAACAGGATTTAATCCTTTCAAAGCATGCTGTGGGATGGGATATTGGCATTGATCAGGGTAAGAGTGATTAGGTTTTAATGGGATGGTAAGGGGTGCATGATCAGTCCCTAAGGAGGGAGTAGATGTATCTTATACTTGTGGGTTAAGGTGGGGAGATACAAGGGGAAGATGTGAAGGAGGCTTTGAACTGGGGGAAAAGGCAGCAATGAGGTGTGGCTGTAGCCTAGGAATAGTCAGGGAAGCAGATAATTTAGTTAAAGTGTCTCGGCCTAATAAGGGAACTGGGCAGGTGGGGATAACTAAAAGGAGTGCCTAAAAGAGTATTGTCTAAGTTGGCACCAGAGTTGGGGAGTTTTAAGAGGTTTAGAAGCCTGGCTGTCAATACGCACAACAGTTATGGAAGCAAGGGAAACAGGCCTCTGAAAAGAAGGTAATGTGGGGTGGGTAGCCTCTGTATTGATTAAGAAGGGGATGGACTTACTTTCCACTGTGAGAGTTACTCAAAGCTCGGTGTCCATGATGGTCTAGGGGGCTTCCAAGGCAATCAGGCAGTGTCAGTCTTCAGCCGCTAAGCTGAGAAGATCTGAGAAGGAGTCAGTCAGAGAGCCTTGGGCCAGAGTTCCAGGGAAGCTGGGAGTGGCTGCCAGGTGAGTTGAAGAGTCTGATTTTCAGTGAGGTCCCACACAGACGGAATACGGCTTAGGAGGAATCCTGGGCTGTGGGCATTCCTTGGCCCAGTGGCCAGATTTCCGGCACTTGTAGCAAGCTCCTGGGGGAGGAGGTTCTGAAGGAACCCCTGGCAGCTGTGGTTCAGGTGTTTGGAGTTCTTGTGTGCTGGAGATGTGGCTGGGGTTTGTCTCACAGTGCAGACAAGTAATTGCAATTCATAAATACATTGCTACTTGGCTGCCTTTACTCTATTATTGTACACCTTGAAGGCGAGGTTAATTAAGTCCTGTTGTGGGGTTTGAGGGCCGGAATTTAATTTTTGGAGTTTTATTTAATGTCAGGAGCAGATTGGGTAATAAAGTGTATATTGAGAATAAGACAGCCTTTTGACCTTTTAGGATCTAGGGCTGTAAAGCATCTCAGGGCTGCTGCCGAGCCATGAACTGGGCTGGGTTTTTCATATTTGATGAAAGAGCCTAAATGCTCACTGATTTGGGAGAGGTCTGATAAAGAAAAAGGAGCATTAACCTTGACTATGCCTTTAGCTTCAGCCACCTTTTTAAGAGGAAATTGCTGGGCAGGTGGGGGAGGGCTACTCACAGAATGAAACTGTAAACTGGACCAGGTGTGAGGAGGGGAGGTGATAAAAAGATTATAGGATGGAGGAGCAGAGGCTGAGGAAGAATTGGGACCTAGCTCGGCCTGGTGAGGACCAGCCTGGGGAGGAGGGGAGAGGTCAGATGGGTCTGTAGCAAAGGAATATTAGAAAGACTCAGCAATGCCTGGGGTTGGGACTGAGGGGACAGGTGGGAGGGAAAGAAGGAAGATTTGGGACAAGTTGCACTGGACACAGAGACTAGGGAGGGACTGATGTGTAAAAGAATGCCTGGACATCAGGCACCTCAGACCGTTTGCCCATTTTACAACAAGAATTACTTAGATCTTGCAGGATGGAAAGATTCAAAGTGCCATTTTCTGGCTATTTGGAACCACTGTTGAGTTTGTATTGGGGTCAAGCAGCATTGCAGAAGAAAATAAGGCATTTAGGTTTTAGGTCTGGTGTGAGTTGAACAGGTTTTAAGTTCTTGAGAGCACAGGCTAAGGGAGACAGAGGAATGGAGGGTGGAAGTTTGCCTATAGTGAAGGAGGCAAGCCCAGAGAAAAGAGAGAGTAGAGACACAGAGGGAAGGGGTTCGGGGCTTCTTACTCTCCAGAAAAGCAGGAAAGGGGTCAGGGCATGGAAATAAGGGGTTGAGCCACAGAGATAAGAGGTCAGGGCACGGAAATAAGGGATCGGAGCGCAGAGATAAGAGGTCGGGGCACGGAAATAAGGGATGGGGCACAGAGATAAGAGGTCAGGGCACGGAAATAAGGGATTGGGGATTCTTGCCCCCTAGAAAAGCAGGACTTGCCGCTAAGGGTGAAGGAGAAGGGGTTGAGGGGTTCTTGCCCCTCCCCAAGAAAAGCGGAGAAGGGATAGAGACACGGAGAGAAGGGGTTGGGGTACTTGCCCCTCCCCCAGAAAAGCAGGACTTGCCGCTAAGGGTGAAGGACCAAGGCAGGCATCCCTGCATGGTCTGACACCTCTGAAATGTGGGTGAATAATCAGAGAGGCGTCCCTGCAATGATTAAACACCAAAGGAAGGCTGCCTTCCCAGTCCATGACTGGCGCTGGAGTTTTGGGTCCACGGATAAAACGTGTCTCCTTTGTCTCTACCAGAAAATGAAAGGAATTGAAATTAAGAGAAGGGAGAGATTGAAGTGTGGCGCCAAGATTGAAAGGAGAAAGAGGTTGAGGGATAGTGAGGGAGGTTGGAGAACAGAGTAAAAAGAGGCTGCTTACCGGATTTGAAATTGGTGAGATGTTTCTTGGTCTGGTCAGTCTGACGACCTGAGGTCGTAGGTGGATCTTTCTCACGGAGCAAAGAACAGGAGGACAGAGGATTGATCTCCCAAGGCAGGTCCCCTGATCCGAGTCACGGCACCGAATTTCATGCATGTCCGTGTGAAGAGACCACCAAACAGGCTTTGTGTGAGCAACAAACCTTTTAATCACCCAGGTGCAGGCAGGCTGAGTCTGAAAAGAGAGTCAGTGAAGGGAGATAAGAGTGGGGCCATTTTTACAGGATTTGGGTAGATAAAGGAAAATTACAGTCAAAGGGGGGTTGTTCTCTGGCGGGCAGAGTGGGGGGGTCACAAGGTGCTCAGTAGGGGAGCTTTTGAGCCAGGATGAGCCAGGAGAAGGAATTTCACAAGACAATGTCATCAGTTAAGGCAGGAACAGGCCATTTTCACTTCTTTTGTGGTGGAATGTCATCAGTTAAGGCAGGAACTGGCCATCTGGATGTGTACATGCAGGTCACAGGGGATATGATGGCTTAGCTTGGGCTCAGAAGCCTGACAAAAACCACAGTGAAATATCATCTCACACCGTGAGTCAGAATGTCTATTATCAAAAAGTAAAAAAACTACATATGTCAGGTAAGGCCACAGAGCAAAGGGAATGCTTCTACATTGTTGGTAAGAATGTAAATTAGTTCAGCCACTATGGAAAGCAGATTGGAAATTTTCAAAGCACTGAAAACAGTACTACCATTTGACCTAGCAATCCCATTACTAGGAAAAAGAAAAAGAAATCATTCTGCCAAAAAGACACACGCACTCACATATTCATCGCAGTACTACTAACAATAGCAAAGACATGGCATCAACTTAGGTGCCTGTCGACAGTGGATTGAATAAATAAAATGTGGTACATATACACCATGGAATACTATGCAGCCTTAAAAAGAACAAAATCATGTCCCTTCCAGCAGCATGGATGCAGCTGGAGGCCATTATCCTAAGTAAATTCACCCAGAAACAGAAAACCAAATACTGCATGTCCCCATTTATAAATGGCAGCTAAACATTGGATACTTATGGACATAAAGATGGCAACAATAGACACTGGAGACTGCTAGAACAGAGGGGAACAGAGGGATGGGAGCAAGGATTGAAAAATTAACTGCCGGATATTATGCTCAGTATCTGGGTGGCAGGATCAGTCGTACCCCAAAGCTCAGCATCATGCAATATACCCCTGTAACAAACCTGCATGTGTACTCCCTGAATCTGAAAGTTGAAATTATTAAAAATAAATAATACAGTGATGCCAGGCAGCAGGCTTAGTTGCTATTTTCCAGCTACATTTAGCTGCATGTGTGCAGTCACAAAGTACATGGAGTATTGGATTTAACCAGATTTAAGGTATTGCCAGGCAAGTTTGATCAAAAGAGAGAGGGGAACAGAACTGAAGGTATTGGCAAGGTGATGATTATAATAATGGACTACTCTGGAAGCTAAGCTGAATAAGGTGGGAGGAGAGAACATAAGGGGGTACAAAAAGAGCAGAAAAGTGGAGGCTCAATGATGGTTGATCTTAATGGGGCTGAAAGATTGTTAGAGAGGAGGTATAAGAAAGAGTGGCCGGGCCAGGTGCAGCGGCTCACGCCTGTAATCCCAGCACTTTGGGAGGCTGAGGTGGGCGGATCCTCAGGTCAGGAGTTTGAGACCAGCCTGGCCATCAAGACGAAACCCTGTTTCTACTAAAAATAGAAAAATTAGCCAGGGCACGGTAGTGGGCATCTGTAATCCCAGCTACTCAGGAGGCTGAGGGAAGAGAATTGCTTGGACCGAGGAGGTGGAGGTTGCAGTGAGCTGAGATTGTGCCATTGCATTCCAGCCTGGGAAACAGAGTGAGACTCCGTCTATTAAAAAAAAAAAAAAAAAAAGGAGTGGCCTGTGAATCTGTAAAATTGAATTAGAGAGTGAAATGCTTGAAATAGAGAAGACAGAGAGATTGCAGTTATTGGTAATGACCAAAATATGATGAAAGAGTGATTCAGATATGGGGGTGAGGGGAGCAAAAACATAACAAGAATGGAGGAGGAATTACCTATGAGATGTTGAAATTAAGAGTTATGATTGGGAATAGTTATAAGTTAAGTTGTTTGCCTGAGATGTGGTAAGTGGAAGAGCGAGTTTCCAGTCGAGGTCTACATGGTTGCAATGCCTTGGCCATCATCAATATTCTACTGTATATTCTCCAATATAGCCACCAGTGCTGATAACTTCTCGGCCTTCTGGCCTTCCTTGTTCCTTCAATTCTCCCCTTTTCTCCTAATTTCCTCACCATTGAACACTTCCTGCATGCACAACAGACAACCAAGGCTCAGAGAGGGTAAAAAATTGCCTAAAATTAAACAGCTAGAAAATGGATTCATTTGCTACCCAGGGGAGAGGATGAGATGTATGTCAAACAGTTGAATGACTGAAACAAGAAAAAAGTGCTCCCTGTGAAGGAAATAACAGGGATAAAGGATTCAGACCAAGAAAGAGTGAGTTTTCGTGGCAGCCCTGAAGCTTCAGAGTCGTTTTCAGTTTTGACTCATTTGCTTCCTGAATGTTATGTGATAAGGGATTAGTGAAGGGGGAGCTTTTAAAGATTTAATAACGATGTTGTAAAGGTCATTACAAAGTTCTTATGATTGGTCATCTTTAATTCCCATTTTGAGAAACAGGAAGAAAAATAAACAGGAAAATCCCCAACAGGATCTAATTGAATAAAAATAGCACTGACAGGAAACAAACATCTTAAAACTTTCAAGAAGGAAGAGAGGACCATAAGAATTGAGAAAATCCTGCAAGACTGATGACTTTTAGTGGATATTGAAAATAATCAATTACTGTTAAATAGAACAGAGACCAACATCTGGGCAACAGCTTACTGCCTACTGGCAATCCCTTTCTGCCACGTCAGACATTTCCCAAAACTGCTACCTGCCAACACTCTGTAAAGAATGGAAATCAGACCTGGCAGTACCTCTGTGCTGGTGGCCAAGTTATATACCATCATGTATTGGCCTAAGGGGCAACTCCCTAAAAATAATAGCTAGCATTTACTGAGTGTCATTATGTATTAGACACTGGACTGTGGATTTTACATACAAGATTTTAAAAGAAGCTAGAAAACATCGCTATACCTAAAAAGTTTATCCTTTACTCCAAACATTTCTACTTCATCAATTCTAGGCCTCCATTAGCTTTTAGTGCTTTAAATGTGAATTAATTTATCAAATTACCCAGAGTTTGTTAAGTGAACATTTATAGAACACCATCGTATATGGGTGTCGCAGGGCAAATTCCAGAACTGGGGTTCAGCCCAGGAGGCCACTTGGGTTCTTGGCTTTTTGGCTTTGCACGCCAAGCCAGCAGAGAAAAGTGAAAGCAAGTGTATTAAGAAAGTAGAGGAATAAAATGGTGGCTACTTCACAGGCAGAGCAGCACCAAGGACTGCTGGTTGGTTATTTTTATGGTTATTTCTTGATTATATGCTAAACAAGGGATGGATTATTCATGAATTTTCCAGGAAAAGGGCAGAGAATTCTCAAAACCAAGAGTTCCTCCCTTTTTAGACTATATAAGGTAACGTCTAGCAATTGTCATGGTATCTGTAACCCGTCATGGTGTTGTAGGAGTGTCTTTTAGCATGCTAATTAATTATAATTAGCATATAACGAGCGGTGAGGACGATCAGAGGTCACTTTTATTGTCGTCTGGGGTTTGGTGGGTTTTGCCTTGCTTCTTTACCACATCCTATTTTATCAGCTGGGTCTCTGTGACCTGTACCTTTTGAAATCAGTCCTGCCAAACTCATCTCACGGACATTCAGATGATCACTGTGAATAAAGAGATAGAAAAGACACAGCCCTTCATGAGCTGATAATCTAGTTAAATAGTAAAGTCAGGATTTGTCGCCACTGCACTCCAGCCTGGGTGACAGAGCAAGACTCCGTCTCAAAAAAAAAAAAAAAAAAAAAAAAGTCAGGATTTGTCAAATCTGTATTATGTTTCTGCCTGTCATGTGTTTCTTGGTTAAAAACGACACTTGATTAGAAATCGGGAGTTTTCCTACTCCCTCTGCCACCAACTTAATCAATTGTGAAGACTGCAGGTAAATAATTGTCCTTCTTTGGAACCATTTGCATCTCCTAAAAGAAATGCTTTGGATCATGGTCCCTACATTCTCTTCCATGGCTGCCAATCTATGAATCTACTGCTATTTTATTTTTATTGATTTAATCTATATAGCACTGTGTGTCAAGCACTATTCTAGGCACTTTATAAATATTAACCTACTTACTACTCGTAAGTAGTACTATCCTGCTATGTAAGTACTATCATTATCCCTAATAATATATTTATATCAAAATTATTATTGTTCCCTTTACAGATGATGAAACTGAGGCACAAAATCATTTGAAACCCTTAAGATATATTTTACTCTTGAGATACTTATTTTGCTTTGCTGAGTGATACATAAGCAGCCTTTGAAATTTCATAATATGTAGAGTTAGGTCATTAGTCTGTAGAATCTGGTTTTTACTAGGGTAGGTAGAACAAAAATCTTGGAAAAAGCTGCAGTCATCCATCTGAGATGGTGAAACAACAGGAAGTCTGTGTCACAGTCACAAACCTACACACGACAGCTGCAACATCCACCCTTGAGCGACCAGTGGGAATTCTTGGGGAACCCTTTTTGTTTTTTCTGTTCCCCTATTCCTATATTGTCTCCTTCCCCCTCATTAATGAGAGAAGATATGTGAAAATGCCTAATACAGAAACTGGATCATCTTATTGATTAATTGGTTGATTGATTGGTTGGCTGGTTGAGACAGGGTCTCACTCTGTCACCCAGTCTGGAGTGCAGTGGTGTGATCAAGGCTCACTGCAGCCTCGAACTCTCAGGCTCAAGTGATCCTCCCACCTCAGTCTCCTGAGGAGCTGGAACTACCACCATGGCCAGCTAATTTTTAAAATTTTTATAGGGACAGGTTCTTGCCATGTTGCCCAGACTGTTCTCGAACTCCTGGGCTCAAGCAATCCTCCTGCCTCAGCTTCCCAAAGTGCTGGGATTATAGGCGTGAGCCAACTCACCCAGCCCCAACTAGCTCATCTTACACTCTAAAAAAATTGCCTTCCCTCCTTCTCTTGCTCTTTTTCCCTCCAGCCATCTTTCCTTCCTCCTTCACACTCAGCCTTTCAATCTTACTACTTTCATAGTGATGTTGTTTTCTGCCTTTCTAGCCATTTCCTAACCAAATGTGATTACTAATTTATATCCCAAAAGTGTCTATGTATCTCTGCAACATGATGCTGAATTGCCTTTGGCTTCCCCTTCCATCTACTTCAGAGTTCATTTGTCTACTGTTACCGTGACCATCCTGCAGCTGGATCCTCCCCACAGCCCTGCAGTGTCATCCCATCCCCTGCACTCCCCTTTGCTGCCACGTCTTACATGTCCCTACATTTCCAACTTTCTGTGTTGCTCTGTGCCTTAAAAATTCTCTGAAAGCACCAGGCTTGGCCTGACCTTAGCCATCTTGACACTCCACCTATCTGACAACACAAAGTGAACTTTTAACAACGTGTACTCATTGATTATATTACCAAATGGTGGTCAAAGGATGCCAGTTTTAGATATAGCAGCATATACAGAACAACGGATTTTTATAACTCACTTGGCACTAATAATATATTTTTAACTTTAATTTTTAATTTATTTTTAATTGACAAAAAGTTATATGTATTTACCATGTACAGCACGATGTTTTGAAATATGTAAACATTGTGAATTGGTGAAATCAAGCTAATTAACATGTACGTTATCTCACATACTTGTCAATTTTTTGTGGTGAGAACACTTATAATCTACTCTCTTGGCAATTTTCAAGACCACCATACATGGTTATTAACTATATTCACCATGTTGTACAATAGATCTCTTGAATTTATTCCTCCTATCTAACTGAAATTTTTCACCCTTTGACCACATCTTCCCAGACATGTCCCATCTTCCCCCACCGACCCCTGGTAACCACAATTCTACTCTCAACTTCTGTGAGTTTAACTTCTTTAGATTCCACATGTGAGATTATGCAAGATTTGTCTCTCCGTATTTGGCTTATTTCACTTAACATAATGTTCTTTAGGTTCATCCATGTTGTTGCAAATGACAGGATTCCCTTCTTTTCTTATGGCTGAAAAATATGCCATGTGTGTATATGCCCTCACACCATACTGCTGCTCATCTGACTGTCTCTCTCGCTAGACTAGACTGTGAGCTCCAGAGAGAGGGCTGTGTTCTTTTATCCCTGTGTCTCCACTTCTGTTCTGCCAGTGTCTATCACATGCAAATGCTTAAGAACGTTGCCTGGGCCGGGCACGGTGGCTCATGCCTGTAATCCCAGCACTTTGGGAGGCCGAGGCAGGAGGATCACTTGAGCCCATGAGTTTAAGACCAGCCTGGGCAAAGTGGTGAAACGCCATCTCTACAAAAAATACAATTAGCCCTATGTCATCATGGTGCATGCCTGTAGTCCCAGCTGAGGGACTGAGGCAGGGACAGAGGCTGAGGCAGGAGAATCATTTGAACCCAGGAGGCAGAGGTTGCAGTGAGCAGAGATAGCACCACTGCACTCCATCCTGAGGCCTAGAGCAAGACTCCCTCTCAAAAAGAAAAAAAAAAAAGAATGTTGCTTGAACAAAAAAAGCAGGAAAGAATGAAAGTACCCTACTTTGATTTTCTTTATCCGTCCATCCATTGACAGACAGACATTTAGGTTGATTCCATGTCTTGGCTATTGTGAATAATGCTGCAATGAACATGGGAGGGTAGATATCCCTTCAACATACTGATTTCATTTCCTTTGGACATATACGGAGTAGTGGGATTGCTGGATCATATTGATATTAGTAATATTTAAGGTATTGACATTTGCAACTTTTAAAAAATTAAAGAAGCAAGGTGATACTTACATTAGTGTGACTTTCATACATCATGACATCGTACTGAGTGGGAGATATAGAGAAGACGCCACACTGTTCTCTCCAGCAATGGGCAAGCCCCACCTACGCCCATGGGAGAGCCTCATTCAAGGGAACATCATCTATCAAATATGTCATAATGAGGGAAAAGTTTCAAACTACTGGAGAAGGAAAAAGGGCATGGATTTTGAGTCAAAAGACATGAGATTAGATCCAAGCTTTTCATTTACTTACAGTTTAACTTTGGCCAATTTACTGCTTCCATTTAGCTCTTGGCTGTTTTTGTCTATAAAAGGGAGAATTTAGTATATTAATCCCTGAGGTCCCTAATGCTTTGAACTTCTAATATTGCGAGATTCTAAGCTTACTGTCCAAGTTGTTCAAATGTCCAATTTTGTCAAATTGCATATAACTGCACCAATTTCTAAACTCACTATTAGGTGGCCTTCAGTAATGGGTAGCTCTGTGCTAGGTAAGGTTTGAGGATGCAAAGAAAAATATAAAGCATGGTTCTCACCCTCACTAAGTCTTAATCTATTTGTGGAGAGAAAATGAGAAAATTTGATAAGGCTAATTAGCATGAAGAAGGAGGAAATAAAATTATTCTAATTCTAGTTACACCTGAAACTCAGAAGAAAATTCAAAATAGAGAACTGGTGTGATCATATGTACTCTAAGCTAGGCTTTGCAGAATGGGCAAATTTTGATGGTGGACAAAGGAAAAGACCTTTACGTAGAAAGGAAGCAAATAATGAGTGTTTGAAAGGATGTGTGGGAAATATAATTGGATAGTAGGAGTAGAACTATATTATCAAAAGTTTAGAGAGAGGTAAGCAGAACATTTCAGATTTGTTTCCATGAATAATTAGAAGCACTAAAGGATTTTTGAACCAATAAATAATACAATAAATGTACAAACCAAATAACAAGTTAAGAGAAAGAAGAATCTTAAATATGACAGGTTTCAGATCCAAGGGCATGTTATAATTTATAAAAATAAAATAGTTTTAAAATAAAGGAGAAGAAAAAAAACAATGAAAACCTCCTGCCTCTCATTTCCTGGTACTACAATCTGGGGACTATTAGCTGGAGCGGTGGAGAGTTTTAATTGCCTGTTAATTGACACTGCATGGGGAGAGAACCAATTGCTAAGGTAACTGGGTCCCAAGCCATATGGGGCTTTGCAGAGTCATTCCAACACCTTGAGCTACCCTTGGAAATGAACAGGAAGTCCTGTTAAGCTGCTCAGTCCGTGGCCAAGCACTTGCTTCTAACATCCGCCCAAAAGAAGGCAAGGCAGTGATCTGGGCCAGCTGACATTTCTAGGTGATTTTGAAAGAGAAGTTTGACGCTGAAATTTTGTCAGAAAATCTGAAAAGATAAATTTCTCCCATTGGACTCCAATCTCTGCCAAAACGATTTTAACTGGGGCATACTAAAAATTTTTCAGCAGGACTTCATAGCCACAAGGTGTTAAAGTTGGAATTGTCCTTTTGCCAATTGGGGAAATAAGCCCAGAGTAGACATTTTCAAGGTCAGATTTTAATTAACGACAAACCTGGCATTAGACCCCAGGTTTTCCGAACCCCTAGGCGAGTGCTTTTTCCAATTCATCAAATGGCCTGTCACAATGTTACTTGTTGAATTAAAGGAGGAATTCCAGGAAATCTTCAAGATCAGTGTGGTGGAGAGCAATGCTGAAAGTGAGGTGGAGGTGGGGTCTTTAGTTCCTTAAAATTCCCAAGCATGTAGGGTACCATCTACAGAAAAGACTCTCCAATTCCATCAGTTTACTGGATGCAACTAAAAACTAAGGAAGACCTTAAATCTGGCGATCCTATAAGCAAAGTCTAGATTATATCTTGACAAATCGACTTCTAGCCCTCTGGATATTGTGATAAAGTCACCCTATTTTAAATGCAATTTCAGTCAGGGCGCGGTGGCTCACACCTGTAATCCTAACACTTTGGGAGGCCAAGGCAGGTGGATCACCTGAGGTCAGGAGTTTGTGACCATCCTGGCCAACATGGTGAAATGCCATCTCTACTAAAAATACAAAATTAGCCACACATGGTGGTGCATTCCTGTAATCTCAGCTGTTTGGTAGGCTGATGCAGGAGAATTGCTCAAACCTGGGAGGCAGAGGTTGCAGTAAGCTAAGAGCATGCCATTGCACTCCAGCTTGGGCAACAAGAGTGAAACTCCATCCCCAAAAATTAAAATTAAATTAAAATTAAAAATTAAAAATAAATAAAATGCAATTTCAAGCTATCCCTTCTTGCTCCCGTTCCCTCTCCTCCTTTTATCTTGTTCTAATTTCTTTTTCTACATAACACTTATGACTTTTTAACTGACCATGTAATTTTTTTTTTTTTAAACAGAGTCTTGCTCCATTGCACAGGCTGGAGTACAGTAGCACCATCTCGCCTCACCATAACCTCCGCCTCCCTCCCAGGTTCAAGCAATTCTCATGCCTCAGCCTCCCGAGTAGCTGAGACTACGGTGCATGCCTACAGGCCCGGCTAATTTTCTCCATGTGCCCAGGCTGATCTCAAACTCCTGAGCTCAAGCAATCATCCTGCCTCGCCCTCCCACGGTGCTGGGATTACATGTGTGAGCCACCACATCCGGCCCCGTGTGATTTCTAATTAAGCTTTTTGCATACGACCCTACTCTCCACACTGTAATGCAAGCTCTATGGAGCATCTTTGTCTGCTTGGTTCACATACATATCCCAAGATCCCAGAGTGCTCAGTAAATATTTTGAATGAGTAACAGAATACCAACTGGATCTGTCACTTACTGTGAACAATTAACATACTTTAAGCTAGGGTTTCTTATCTGCAACATGGGCAGAATAATTTCTATAATAATATAGAAATATTTTTTGCATGGCACTGGGCCCCAAGTTGGCACTCAATAACTACGTACTCTCTTCTTCTAAATGTTCAAAATCTCTCAGCCATGTCACTTCTAACCAATTCAGTCCACACCAGAGACGCTACATGTTCCTGCCTTGTAAATGCCTTGACATTCTTCCTGTGGCTTCAGAGAGTAAAGATGGGACTTAGCGGCATATTGAGTAGAGGAAGTAGTGGTAATTTGGGACCCAATAAGAAGCACTGGTTTCAGACCGGGCACAGTGGCTCACACTTGTAATGACAGTACTTTGGGAGGCTGAGGTGGGCAGATCCCTTTAGCTCAGGAGTTCAAGACCAGCCTGGGCAACAGAGCAAAATCTGGTCTCTACAAAAGAAGCACTGGATTTAGAAACAGGTAGATCCCATGATGAATCCTGGCTCTGACACTTTCTAGCCATATGACCTGGAAAAGGGATCTCTGTTTCCTAAGCCCTAGTTTCCTCCTATCAAAAATGGGGATAATAGTTCCTACTTAACAGTCAGTGAATGTTACTGAGGCCATATGTTTGCAAATTACCTCCACATTAGTAGATGTTTAAAAAACATAAATAAAAGCGGCTATTATTCCTGGAAATTGGTTGATTTATTAAAAATTGTCTTTTAAGGCCAGGCGCGGTGGCTCATGCTTGTAATCCCAGCACTTTGGGAGGCCGAGGCAGGCAGATCGCCTGAGGTCAGGAGTTCGAGACCAGCCTGGCCAAAATGGTTAAACCCCGTCTCTACCAAAAATACAAAAATTAGCCTGGAGTGGTGGCGGGCACCTATAATCCCAGCTACTTGGGAGGCTGAGGCAGGAGAATTGCTTGAACCCAGGAGGCAGAGGTTGCAGTGAGCCAAGATCACGCCACTGCACTCCAGCCTGGGCAACAGAGGGAGACTCCGTCTCAAAAAAAAAAATTTTATATATATATATATATATAACTTCATGATTGTAAATATTATATCAAGGCTTATATATGTAGAAATTACAGAATTTTATGGCCAGATTTTCTGCTTACATTCTTCATTTTGCATATGATGAATGGTTACAGAGAATGCTAATGTAAAAAACTCAATTTACTAAGAAACACTTTTATTAAAAAAACAATTTATGGATATGAAAATTTGGTAGTTTTCAAAACACTTTATAATTTACAAAACACTTTCACATTCACTGTTTCATGCAATCATGTTGTAACCCTCTACAGTGAGTTAGAACTCTGATTCTATGTCTTTTTAGTCATTCTTCCCATTTTTCTCACTTCGTGTTCTCACACTCTAATCCTATTAGACTTCTCCCAACTCTCAGATCGTTAAGTTGTACTCACACTGTTCCTTTTTCCATGTCTCTGCTCAAGTTGTTCTCTCTGATTGGAATGGCTTCTTTCTCCTAGTCCCCTAAATCTACTTTTTAAAAAGTCCTATCCATTGATCAAGGCCTAACTTTATCTTTTCTCTTCCAAATCCTCCCCAGGTCCCTTTGGCAGATGTCTGAAGACGACATCTATAGTTTTTGCCTTGCTAGTGTCCTTTCTTTCTTATTATGTTATCAACAAACCCTCTTTTCAAATTGTCTTGTTGGGACTATCAAATATCGTGCACAGTTTTCCCCCTAATGTGTCCTAAATTCACTTTCACCACTATACACAAGTGCAAAATTGGACATCTGACGTAAACCAAGCAAAAAGCCTCTCTGTGAAGAATATGGAGTTGATTCACAGACAGAGGGCCATCCTCATGTGAGCTCTAGAGTCTTGGGTGATTTCAGTAGCAGGATCCATAACCTCAGGCCACGGAGCTCATAAGGGTTACCTTTCTGGACCTGTCTTCAAAATCTTCTTATCAACCCTTCCTTCAATTCTGAGAACTGTTGGGTTTCCCTCAATAAATTATTCATTTTATTGATGAAAGTTTCTGATGTAAGCAATTAAGAAAACTGAATGGTTACATTCTCTCTAATATTTCCAGAGTTCTTTCTTTGGTCACTCTATCCCATTCCTCACATTTCTACTTTAGATTAAAAAAAAAAATGTTCAGATGTGCTTCTGCCTCTCCCATTGAACTATGAGTTCCTAACCAAGGTCTGTATCTTCTTCAGTTCCACTATTGTCACTTTCTTTCTTTTCTTTTCTTTCTTTCTTTTTTTTTTTTTTTTTTGAGACAGAGTTTCACTCTTGTTGCCCAGCCTAGAGTACAATGGTGCGATCTCAGCTCACCACAACCTCTGCCTCCTGGGTTCAGGTGATTCTCCTGCCTCAGCCTCCAGAGTAGCTGGGATTACAGGCATGAGCCACCACGCCTGGCTAATTTTGTATTTTTAGTAGACGGGGTTTCTCCATGTTGGTCAGGCTGGTCTAGAACTCCCGAACTCAAGGGATCTGCCTGCCTCAGCCTCCCAAAGTGCTGGGATTACAGGCATGAGTCACCGCACCCGGCCTATTGTCACTTTCATACCATGGGTCCTCAGAAAAATGTTACTGGAGTTGAAATTGAGAAAACACATTTTCTTTTCATTTCACACTAATTAAAATCCTCATATAATACTTAGTTCTAGAAGAGAACATTTCTCAAACGCTTGGAATAATTCAGTCTTAGGACTGGAAGAGACCTTTAAGTTCCAGAGCTACAGTCTGAATCTTAGGTCCTTATTATATCATTCCCATGAGGAATGGAATACAAATAGATATCACTGGGGGCCGGGCACGGTGGCTCACGCCTGTAATCCCAGCACCTTGAGAGGCCATGGTGGGTGTATCATGAGGTCAGGAGTTCAAGGCCAGCCTGGCCAACATGGTGAAATCCCGTCTCTACTAAAAATAAAAAAAAATTAGCTGGGCGTTGTAGCGGGTGCCTGTAATCCCAGCTACTCGGGAGGCTGAGGCAGGAGAATTGCTTGAACCCTGGAGGCGGAGGTTGCAGTGAGCCGAGATCGCGCCACTGCACTCCAGCCTGGGCAACAAGAGTGAAACTCCGTCTCAGGAAAAAAAAAAAAAAAGGTATCGTTGGAATGTCCGTAATGTGCAACATGATTGTCACCCAACTCTAGGACAGTTACTCGCTCTCTTATTTCCTCTTCCAATATTCAAGGGCTGAACCAGAGGCAGATTTGGTGTAGGAAAAAAAAAAAAAAAAAAAAAAAAAAAAAAACAGAGAAAGGACAGGGATAGGAACTCGCAGTTCTTAAAAGAAGCAAGATAGATCAACAGAAAAACCCGGGGGACTGGGCACAAGCAGTATCAATATTTTACTATGCTTGTAAGGCTTTTACTCCCATATACACGGAGGTCTTTAAAAGCGCATGTCAGCAGTGTGTGAGGGAAAATACAGAGCAGAGCTAACTGCTTCAAAGGGAGTACAGAGCCTGGATAGCCTGGCTCCTGGGAGAGGTCTCTAGTCCTGCAAAGCCTGTCCTGCCTTGTGTCAGGGTGGAAAGTGGGACTAATGTAATGCCCTAATGGGATTTCCCCATCTTTTCTGTTTATTTTTTCTTTTCAATCTTATTTCTCTTCAAGGTTCAATTATCATCAGGGGATATCTGTTTTATTTTTATTGGATTTTCTGTTCTCTTGATTTATAAAATCCCAGAAATAGTCAATGTATACTTTTCAAACACTCCATTGAAACTGAGGTGTGCAAGACAACAAGATGGAAGCTGCCCCTGGCTCAGGGGAGTGGACTCTACTCCTCAATCAGGAAAAAATGAGATAGGAATGAGAAACTTTCTTCTTTTAACTCCTTGTCACTGCACTTTGGGTATCCAAAATAATGGATAGAATATATGACTTCATTACTAAATTAAAATATCATCTGAAATCATTAACAAAAGAAGGATATAAATGGGGTTTCTTGTGTGTGTCTGCATAAATGTGTTGAAAAAGAAATTATCCATGGGTGTAGCTGAGGATCAGATGCAGGCCAACGGGAGGCTGATGAGGGCACATTAAAGCTGCCTTGTGCACTGCCTTCACCCCAACAGTCCATTTACCAAATTCTAATGTTTCAATTTATGCACCTACCAGAAACTCCTGTCCACCCCAACTAACACAGGGCATTTTCAAAATTTTTGATCTTTGTCTAACAGCTTAAAATTTGTATTTTATTATATTTTCAAATTGCCTGTTCTTTGTAAAAAGTACTAGGAAAAACCAAGGTGAACTTCATATAAAAGATAATTTTGACAGCCTGGACAACAAGGTGAAACCCCATCTCTATTAAAAATACAAAAATTATCCAGGCGTGGTGGCAGACACCTGTAGTCTCAGCTACTTGGGAGGTTGAGGCACGAGAATCGCTTGAACCCGGGAGGCAGAGGTGAGCCGAGATCGCGCCACTGCAGTCCAGCCTGGGCAACAGGGTGAGACTCTGTCTCAAGAAAAAAAAAAAATAAAAGAAAGAAAACTTTGAGATAAGCAAGACCTTTTTAAGAATGACACAAAACTCAGAATTGTAAAAAAGTGAGAAATTTAAGTATATAAAAATTGAAATTTCCAGGTGTTAAAAAATAATACAAACAAACTCAAAATAAATGACCAAGAAAAAAAATATTAGCTAAATATATAAAATACAAAAGGCTAATTTTATTAATTCATAAAACCTTTATAATTATACATTTCATCAGTATATAATAAAATTAATTAAAATATTAGTTTTTATGGGTACATAGTAGGTATATCCGGTTATGGTATACATGAAATCTTTTGTTACAGGCATAACATGAGGAATAATCACATCAGCATAAATAAGGCATTCATCACCTCAAGCATTTTTATCATTTCTTCATGTTACAAATATTCCAATTAAATTCTTTTAGTTGTTTTTAAATATACAAAGGTTTTATAATTTTATAATTGTAAAGGTTTTATAAATTAAAATAAATTTAGGCTTTTTTTTTTTTTTTTGAGACGGAGTCTCGCTCTTTTTGCCCAGGCTGGAGTGTAATGGCGCAATCTCGGCTCACCGCAACCTCTGCCTCCCAGGTTCAAGCGATTTTCCTGCCTCAGCCTCCCGAGCAGCTGGGATTACAGGCACGCGCCACCACGCCCGGCTAATTTTGTACTTTTAGTAGAGACGGGGTTTCTCCATGCTGGTCAGGCTGGTCTCAAACTCCCAACCTCAGGTGATCCGCCACTTCAGCCTCCCAAGGTGCTGGGATTGCAGCTGTGAGTCACCGCGCCCACCAAATTTAGCTTTTATAAATTTATAATTATAAATTATATTAATTTAAAAGGTTTTATAAATTAATAAGAAAGACTAAATTTTAAAATGGGGGAAAATGAAGTAAAGTGTTTCTAAGTACAAACTCTGTTTTCCCTCCTTTACACTCTAATTTCACACCGCTCTGGGAATCATAATCCAAATCCTTACGTGGCTTATCATCCTATGCATTATCTGCCTCCCCTCCACCTCTCTAATTTCATTGCTTGCCGTTATTCCCCTCACTTCCCTATTCCAGATAAACTGGCCTTCTTCCAATTTCTTGATTTCTTCATGCATTCTCTCCCCTTGAAACACACCCCCCTCCCTAAAAAGTAAAAATAAAACCCTTATCTTTTACAGACATTCAAATCTTACCTCAAATGACACTTTCGCGGAGAAGTCTTTCTTGAGCATTGCAACCCCCTACCCTATAGTAAATGAAGTTCCCTGTTATTTGGTCTCATCTTCCCCTACCTTTTCCCTTCATTATACTTTACAGTTTATTATAGACATACATGTGTTGATCCATTTATTTCTTCTACACTAGATGGTAAATTCACCAAGAAGCAGATCACTCTATCTCCAGGACTCAGTATATTGCCTGGCACAAAAGGCATTTAAGGAAGTGTTTTCTAAATTCAAGCTTGTTTTAAATTTTCTTACTCCTCAGATCAGACTGGTAAGCATTGTTCACTTAACTTCTTTCAGTATTATTGCATTATCTAACACTGGGTGTCAAAGTACAGTCCCTGGATCAGCAGCATCAGCATCATCTGGTAACTTGTTAGAAAAGCAGATTCCTGAGCTCCAACCCAAACCTCCTGAATCAGAAACTCTGGATATAGGGCCCAACAATCTGTTTCTGTTTTTTTTTTGTTGTTTGTTTGTTTGTTTTTGAGATGGAGTCCTGCTCTGTCGCCCAGGCTGGAGTGCAGTGGCACGATCTCAGCTCACTGCAACCTCCCCCTCCAGGGTTCAAGTGATTCTCCTGCCTCAGCCTCCCGAGTAGCTGGGAAGACAGGTGCACACCACCACACCCAGCTAATTTTTGTATTTTTAGTAGAGGCAGGGTTTCACCATGTTGGCCAGGATGGTCTTGATCTCTTGACCTCGTGATCCACCCACCTCAGCCTCCCAAAGTGTTGGGATTACAGGTGTGAGCCACCACGCCTGGCCAATAATCTGTGTTTAACAAGTTCTCAGGTGATTTTGATGTACACCAAAGTGTGAGAACCACTGCTATAGGATATTACTAGCATTAGTAACCTACAAACTCAAATGTCACGTGGCTTAATCACTGTAGTTTATTTCTCACTCATGTAACAGTCCAACATGGGTGCTCCACGAGGTTATTTCGGGACCTCAGCCAGGGACCTCAGCTCACAGAGGCTATGCCATCTGTGACATGTGGCTCCCAAGGTTGCCCTGGACTTTGATATCTAGTGGAGGAATAGAGTAGAGAGAATGGGGATAGTATGCCAGCTTATTAAGCACCATGATTCAGAAGTGACATGTAACCCCTCCACTCACATCCCACTGGGCACAACCAGTCATATGACCCCATTTTTTTTAATTTTTAATTTTAATGGCTACATAGTAGATATATACATTTAGGGGGTACATGAGATATTTTGATACAGGCATATGATGAGTAATATGAGTAAATGGTGTATCCATCACCTCAAGCATTTATCATTTATTTGTGTTACAAACATTCCAATCATACTCCTTGAGATGTTTTTAAATATACAAAAATTATTGTTGAGAATAATCACCCCATTATGCTATCAAATACTAGATCTTATTGATTCTATCTAAGTATATACTTTTACCTTTTAACAATATCCATTTACCTACCTCCTACCCTTCCCAGAGTCTGGTAAGCATTATTCTACTCTCTATCTCCATGAGTTCAATTGTTTTAATTTTGAGCTCCCACAGATAAGTGAGAACATGCAAAGTTTGTCTTTCTACACCAGGCTTATTTCATTTAACGTAATGTTCTCTAGTTCCAACCATGTTGTAAATGACAGGATTTCATCTTTTCATAGCTAATACTCCGTTGTGTATATGTACCACATTTTCTTTATCCATTTGTCTGCTGATGGACACTTAGGTTGCTTCCAAATCTTGGTTATTGTCAATAGTGCTATAATAAACATGGGAATGCAAATATCTCTTTGATATACTGGTTTCCTTTCTTTTGGGTATATACCTAGTAGTGGAATTGTTGGATCATACAGTACTTCTGTTTTTAGGTTTTGAGGCACCTTCATACTATTCTCCATAGTGGCTGTACAAAATCTACATTCCCATCAACAGTGTATGAGGGTTCCTTTTTTCTCCACATCCTCGCCAGCATTTGTTATTAATAATAGCTTGACTTTTGGATAAAAGCCATTTTAACTGGGAAGACATGATAACTCATTGCAATTTTGATTTGCATTTCTGTGATAGTCAATGATGTTGAGCACCTTTTCATATACCTGTTTGCCATTTGTATGTCTTCTTTTGATAAATATCTATTCATCTATTCATATCTTTGGTCCATATTTTAATTGAGTATTCGATTTTTTTCTCATGGAGTTGTCTAAGCTCCTTATATTTTCTGGTTATTAATCCCATGTCTGGTGGATAGTTTGCAAATATTCTCTCCCATTCTATGGGTTTGCCCTTTCATTTGTTGATTGCTTCCTTTGCTGTGCAGAAGGTTTTTAACTTGATGTGATCCTGTTTGTCCGTTTTTGCTTTGATTGCTGGTGCTTGTGGGGTACTACCCAAAAAATTTTTGCCCAGACCAAAGTCCGGGAGGGTTTTCCCTATGTTTTCTGTCAATAGTTTAATGGTTTGAGATCTTAGATTTAAGTCTTTAATCCATTTTGATTTGATTTTTCTGCATGGCAAGAGATAGGGATCTAGTTTCATTCTTCTACATATGGATATCCAGTTTTCCCAGCACAATTTACTGAAGAAACTCTTCTTTCCCCAATGTATGTTCTTGGCAGCTTTCTCAAAAATGAGTTTACTGTAGATGTATGGATGTTTCTGGGTTCTCTATTCTGATCCATTGATCTATGTGTCTGTTTTTATGCCAGTACCATGCTGTTTGGTTATTATAACTCTGTAGTATAATTTGAATTCAGATAATATGATTCCTCCATTTATTTTTGTTTTGCTCATGATAGCTTTGCCTATTCTAGACCTTTTGTGGTTTCATATAAATTTTAGGATTGTTTTTTCTATTTCTGTGAAGAATATTATAGGTGTTTTGATAGGGATGGCATTGAATCTATAAATTACTTTGAGTAGTACGGACAGTTTAACAATATTAATTCTTCCAATCCATGAACATGAATATTGTTCATTTCTTTTTGGTGTCCTATTTAATTTATTTCAGCAATGATATATAGTTTTATTTTAGAGATTTTTCACTACTTTGTTTAAGTTAATTTGTAGTTATTTTATTTTATTTGTAGCTATTGTAAATTGGATTATTTTCTTGATTTCTTTTTTCAGATTGTTTGCTGTTGGCATATAGAAATGCTACGAATATTTGCATGTTGATTTTGTATGCTACAACTTCACTGAATTTGTTTATCAATTCTAATAGTTTTTTGGTGGAGTTTTTAGGTTTTTCCAAATATAAGATCATATTATTTGCAAACAAAGATAATTTGACTTTGCCCTTTCCAATTTGGATGCCCTTTATTTCTTTCTCTTGTCTGATTGCTCATAGCTAGAACTTCAGTACTATGTTGAATAACAGTGGTGACAGTGGGTATTCTTGTCTTTTTCCAGACCTTAGATGAAAGACTTTCAGTTTTTCTCCATTCAGTAGAATACTAGCTGTGGGTGTGCTGCCCATGGCTTTTATTGTGATGAGGTATGTTCCTCCTATGCCCAGTTTTTTTAGGGTTTTTATCATAAAAGGATGTTGAATTTTATCAAATACATTTTCAGCAATCAATTGAAATGATCACATGGTTTTTGTCCTTCATTCTGTTAATATAATGCATCACATTGATTGATTTGTGTATGTTGTACCATCCTTGCATTCTTGGGATAAATCCCACTTGGTCTTGATGACTGATCTTATTAATGTGCTGTCAAATTTGGTTTACTAGCATTTGGTTGAGGATTTTTGCATCAATGTTTATTAGGGCTATTGGCCTCTAGTTGTTTGTTTTTGTTGTTGTTGTTGTTTTTGAATGATTTTGGAAGTATTCCCTCCTCCTTCAATTTTCAGCACAGGTTGAGTAAGATATTCTGTAAATGTTTGGGCGAATTCAGCAGTGAAGCCATCAGGTTCTGGGCTTTTCCTTGCTGGGAGACTTTATTATGGCTTCAATCTCATGACTTCTTATTGGTCTATTCAGGTTTTGGATTTATTCATGGTTCAATCTTGGTAGACTGTATGTGTGTAGAAATGTATCCATTTCTTTTAGGTTTTCCAATTTATTGGCATATAGTTGCTCATAGTATCCTGTAATAATCCTTTGGATTTCTGTAGTAGCAGTTGTAATGTCTCTTTTTTCATCTCTGATTTTATTCACTTGGGTTTTTTCTTTCTTTTTTTTTTTTCTTAGTTAGTCTGGCTAAGGATTTGTCCATTTTATCTTTTTGAAAACTTGACTTTTTATTTTGTTTATCTTTGGTATTTTTTTAATTTCAATTTTATTTATATTTGGGCTGATTTTTATTATTTCTTTTCTTCTGCTAATTTTGGGTTGGGTTTGCTCTTGCTTTTTTACTTCCTTAAGATGCATCATGGGGTTATTGTTTGAAATTTATCTTTTCTTTTCTTTCTTTCTTTTTTTTTTTTTGGAGACAGAGTCTCACTCTGTCTCCCAGGCTGGAGTGCAGTGGTGCAATCTCGGCTCACTGCAACTTCTGCCTCCCAGATCCAAGTGATACTCCTGCCTCAGCCTCCTGAGTAAGTGGGACTACAGGCACCCACCACCACGCCTGACTAATTTTTTGTATTTTTAGTAGAGACAGGTTTTCACCGTGTTAGCCAGGATGGTCTCGATCTCCTGACCTCATGATCCGCCCACCTCGGCCTTTCAAAGTGCTGGGATTACAGGCATGAGCCACTGCAACTGGCCCTATTTGAAATTTTTGTACTTTCTTGTTGTAGGTACTTATTGCTATAAACTTTCCTCTTATTGCTGCTTTTGCAGTACCCCATAGGTTTTGGGATGTTCTGAGTCCATTTTCCTTCATTCCAAGAAAATTTTAAATTTCCTTCTTAATTTCTTCATTGACCCACTGGGCATTCAGAAGCATATTGTTTAATTTCCAGGTGTTTGTATAGCTTCGAAAATTCCTCTTTGTATGGATTTTTAGTTTTATTCCATTGTGGTCAGAGAAGATATTTTATATAATTTAAATTTTTGAATATTTTACAACTTGTTTTGTGGCCTAACAGATGGTCCATCCTTGAGAATGATCCATGTACTGAGGAGAAGTTTGTGTATTCTGTAGCCATTGAATAAAAAGTTCCATAAATATCTATTAGGTTCATTTGGTCTTATAGTGCAGATTAAGTCCCATGTTTCTCTGTTGATTTTCTGTCTGGATGCTCTGTCCAACGCTGAAAGTGGGAGGTTGAAGTCTCCAGCTAGAATTGTATTGGAATCTCTCCCTAGGTCTGATAATATTTAGTTTATATATTTGGGTGCTCCAGTGTTGGGTGCATGTATATTTATAATTGTTTTATCTTCTTACTGAATTGACCCCTTTATCACTATATAATTACCTTGTCTCTTTTTACAGCTTTTGTCTTGAAATCTATTTTGTCTGATATAAATATAGCTACTTCTGCTCTTCTTTGGTTTCCATTTGCAGGGAATATCTTTTTCCATCCCTTTATGTTGAGTCTGCATGTGTCTTTATAGGTGAAATATGTTTATTGTAGGCAACAGATTGTTGGGTTTTGTTTTTTATCCATTCAGCCACTCCTGGGTTTTGATTGGAGAGTTTAATCTATTTACTTTCAATGTCATTATTTATGAGTGAGGACTTAATCCTGCCATTTTGTTATTTGATTTCTTGTTGTTTTGTGGCCTTCCTTCCTTCATTCTTTCCTTCCTTTTTGGGAAGGTAATATTTTCTGATAATATAGTACATTTTAATTTCTTTTATTTTTTGTGTATCTGTTGTAGGTTTTTTTATTTGAGGTTCTCATGAGGCTTGCAAATAACATCTTATAACTCATGGTTTTAAACTGATTTCAACTTGGCCAGGTGTGGTGGCTGATGCCTTTAATCCCAGCGCTTTGGGAGGCTGAGGTCAGAGAATCAGTTGAGGTCAAGACCAGACTGGCCAACATGGTGAAACTTTTTTGTTGTAGGTACTTATTGCTATAAACTTCCCTCTTATTAGCTGGGTGTGGTGGTGCACACCTGTAATCCCAGCTACTTGGGAGGCTGAGGAAGGAGAATTGCTTGAACCCAAGAGGCAAAGGCTGAGGTGAGCTGAGATCGCACCACTGCACTCCAGCCTGGGCAACAGAGCATGACTCCATCTCAAAAAATAAATAAATAAATAAATAAATAAATAAATAAAATAAGTAAACTGATGGCAACTTAGCACTGATTGAAAAAAAAATAACAAGCAAGCCAAGAGAAAACTAATAAAAACTCTACACTTTTTAACTTCATCCTCCTACTTTTTAACTTTTTGTGTTTTCTATTTATATCTTACTATGCTGTCTATGTCTTGAAAACTTGTTGTAGTTATTATTTTTGATAGGTTTATCTTTTAGTGTTTCTACTCAAGGTATGAGTAGTTTATATACCACAATCACAGTGTTATAATATTTACATATTTACATATTTACATACTTACACAATTATATATTATAATATGTAACTGTGTTTTTCTGTATACTTACTATTGCCAGAGAGTTTTGTACCTTCAAAGGATTTCTTATTGCTCATTAATGTCCTTTCCTTTCACATTAAAGAACTCCCTTTAGCATTTATTGGAGGGCAAGTCTGGTGTTAATGAAATCCCTCAGCTTTTGTTTGTCTGGGAAAGTCTTTATTTCTCCTTCATGTTTGAAGGATATTTTCAATTGTTACACTAGTCTAAGATACAAGTTTTTTCCTTCAACACTTCAAATATGTCATGCCACTCTCTCCTGGCCTATAAGATTTCCATTGAGAAGTCTGCTGCCAGACATGTCAGAGCTCCTTTGCATGTCATTTGTTTCTTCCCTCTCACTGCTCTCAGCATTCTTTCTTTGTCCTTGACCTTTGGGAGTTTGATGATTATTATTATTACTTTTTTTGAGATGGAGTCTCTCTCTGTCACCCAGGCTGGAATGCAGTGGCATGATCACTGCTCACTGCAACCTCTACCTCCTAGGCTCAAGCAATTCTCCTGTCTCCGCCTGCAGAGTAGCTGGAACTACAGGCATTTGCCAGCACACTCAGCTAATTTTTGTATTTTTAGTAGAGATGGAGTTACACTATGTTGCCTAGGCTGATCTCAAACTCCTGAGCTCAAGCAAAGCAATCTGCCCACCTTGCCCTCCCAAAGTGCTGAGATTACAAGCATGAGCCACTGCGCCTGGCTGGGAGTTTGATTGTTAAATGTCTTGAGATAGTCTTATTTGGGTTAAATCTGCTTGATGTTCTACAACCTTCTTGTAGTTGAATATTGATATCTTTTTCTAGGTTTGGAGAGTTCTCTGTTATTATCCCTTTGAATAAACTTTCTACCATAATCTCTGTCTCTCTCTACCTTTGGTGTTTCTGCAGGAAGATGATTGTTGCAGTGGCCTACTCAGCCATCTTCCTCTGCCTCCTGCCCTACCCCCATATGACCCCATTTAGATGGAAGAAGGCTGAGAAATGTAGTCCTCATTGGACAGCCACTTCTCAGCAACAGTTGTATACCATGGAGGAGAATACAAATTTCTGATGCGCAACTGGCCATCTCTGCCACAGTTACATCATGGAAAATGCCACTTTTGAAACTTACCTTTTATATAACTAGAATTTTGTAAGGGCACGTCAGTAACTCCCTGTCTCAGCAAAAATCTCTGGAAGGCAGGCTCTACATCTCTCATTCTGGTTCCCATGGTGTGACTCACATGGGCAAAAAAGAATCCATGTCATACTCTTTACCCATTTGGTAGAATTTGTTCCAGTTTACATTTTGTCCTGACAGCAGCTTCAGTTTCTAACATACCTCATGCCATCAGGCAACCTGAGTTTGTCACAGCCATTCTGCCATTGCATTCTCACAAACATCATCCTGGCTGACAGGGGGGGCCCTCCAAGACTCTGCTGGTTCCTTTGCCCCTGGGGAGGAAGAAAATGGCCCATGTTGGTCAGGATGGGGCAGCAAACAGGACACATATCTCCTGCCCCTTCACCCTCCTCATCTATTGATAACACTCCACCATGCAGAAGTGTCTTTGGTGGTTAGGTTTATCATCTTGAATTTTTATTTGTTTATGGTTTCATTTAGTAATTACCTAAGTTCTGACATACATGCCCTAGGCAGTAGGTTGAAAGATAATCTCAATGACCTGTCTTTTATACTTTTAACCATTTTTCTCACATCAAACTAGTGTACCTTTCTTCCCTTTTTTCCAGGCAGGCTTGTTCCTCAACAACTAGTGTTCTGTCAACAGCTAGTGGGAGAGGACAAGGAATGCAGGCAGAGGCCTGTTAATCTTTGGTGAGGGTTTGACTTTGGCTCTGGCCTGCTTAGTCCTTGTTCACCTAAAAAAACTCCTTAATTCCTCTTTGTTCACCATGAAAGTCTTCTTAATCTCTCATTTAAAGTTACCCATAGCACATGTGTGTACACACAACTAAAGCCCTGTGCGGGGACAACTGTAGATCCACATGCAAAAGAATAAATTTGGACCCCTACCTCATACCATATACAAAAATTAATTCAAAATGGATCAACAGTCTAAATATAAGAGGTAAAACCATAATATTCTTAGAAGAAAGCATAGGATAAACCTTCATGACCTTGAATTTGGGAAGCTACAACACCAAAAGCATTCGCAACAAAAGAAAGAAATTAAAAACTTTTTTACATGAAAGAACATTATCAAGAAAGTGAACAGACAGTTACAGAATGGGAGAAAATGTTTGCAAATCATATATCTGTAAGGGTTTAGTATCCAGAATATGTAAATAACTCATAATTCAACAACAAAAGGTAAAAACCCAACAAAAAATCGGCAAAACACATGAATTGACAGTTCTCAAAAGAAGGTGCACAAATAGTCCACTTGTCCTTGAAAAGATATTCGACATCATTAGTCATGGAAATTTCAAATCGAAGTCTACAATGAGATACCACTTCACACCCAGGAGGATGGTTATAATTAAAAATAATAATAATAATGAGTATTGGTGAGGATGCGAAGAAACTGGAACCCTCGTACACTGCTGGTGAGAATGTAAAATGGTGTAGTTCCTATGGAAAACAGTTTGGCGTTTCCTGAAAATGTTAAACATAGAAGGTATATATCCAAAAGAACTAAAAACATGTGTTGAAACAAATACGTGTATAGGCATGTTCATAACAGCATTATTTGCAATAGCCAAAAGGTGGAAATGACCCAAATATTCATCCACAGATAAATGTATAAACAAATTATAATATATACATACAATGGAATATTATTCAGCATAAAAAAGAATGGGGCACACTGATACATTCTACGACATGAATGAACCTAAAAACATTAAGCTAAGTGAAACAAGCAAGATATAAAACGTTATATATCCTATTATCTGTTTATATAAAATATCCAGAGTGGGTAAATCCACGCAGTCAGAAAGTAGATTGGTGTTTACCAACAGAGAGGTAGATGAAAGAATGGAGAGTAACTGCTTAATGGGGACAGGGTTTACTTTGGGGGTAATGAAAATGTTTTTGTGGTGGTTGCATAAAAATGTGAGGGTATTAAACGTAATTGAACTATTCATTTTAAAATGATTAATTTTACATTATATAAATTCCATCTCAAATTTTAAAGAAAATTAACAACTTAAGCCCTCACTTTAAAATCCCAACTACATTTTTAAGAGTCCCTAATTAAGCTGGGCATGGTGGCCTGTAATCCCAGCACTTTGGGAGACTGAGGTTGGTGGATCGCCTGAGGTCAGGGGTTCAAGACCAGCCTGGCCAATATAGTGAAAACCAATCTCTACTAAAAATACAAAAAATTAGCCAGGTATGGTGGTGGGCACCTGCAATCCCAGCTACTTGGGAGGCTGAAGCAGGAGAATTGCTTGAACCCGGGAGGTGGAGGTTGCAGTGAGCCAAGATCATGCCACTGCACTCCAGCCTGGGTAACAAGAGTGAAACTCCATCTAAAAAAGAAACTGATGGAGCTGAAAACCATGGCACGAGAACTACGTGACGTGTGCACAAGCTTCAGTTGCTGATTCGATCAAGTGGAAGAAAGGATACCAGTGACTGAAGATCAAATTAATGAAATGAAGTGAGAAGAGAAGTTTAGAGAAGAAAGAGTAAAAAGAAATGAACAAAGACGCCAAGAAATATGGGACTATGTGAAAAGACCAAATCTATCTTTGATTGGTGGACCTGAAATTGACAGGGAGAATGGAACCAAGCTGGAAAACACTCTTCAGGATATTATCCAGGATAACTTCCCCAACCTAGTAAGGCAGGCCAACATTCAAATTCAGGAAATACAGAGAACACCACAAAGATACTCCTCGAGAAGAGCAACCCCAATACACATAATTGTCAGAGTCACCAAGGTTGAAATGTAGGAAAAAATGCTAAGGGCAGCCAGAGAGAAAGGTCAGGTTACCCATGAAGGGAAGCCCATCAGACTAACAGCAGATCTCTTGGCAGAAACCTTACAAGCCAGAAGAGAGTGGGGGCCAATATTCAACATTCTTAAAGAAAAGAATTTTCAATCCAGAATTTCATATCCAGCCAAAATAAACTTAATAAGTGAAGGAGAAATAAAATCCTTTACAGACAAGCAAATGCTGAGAGATTTTGTCACCACCAGGCCTGCCTTACAAGAGCTCCTGAAGGAAGCACTAAACATGGAAAGGAACAACTGATACCAGCCACTGCAAAAACATGTCAAATTGTAAAGACCATCGATGCTAGGAAGAAACTGCATCAACTAATGGCTAAAATAACCAGCTAACATCATAACGACAGGATCATATTCACACATAACAATATTAACCTTAAATGTAAATGGGCTAAATGCCCCAATTAAAAGACACAGACTGGCAAATTGGATAAAGAGTCAAGACCCGTGGATGTGCTGTATTCAGGAGACCCATCTCACATGCAGAGACACACATAGGCTCAAAATAAAGGGATGGAGGAAGATCTACCAAGCAAATGGAAAGCAAAAAAAAAGCAGGGGTTGCAATCCTAGTCTCTGATAAACCAGACTTTAAACCAACAAAGATTCAAAGAGACAAAGAAGGCCATTACATAATGGTAAAGGGATCAATTCAACAAGAAGAGCTAACTATCCTAAATATATATGCACCCAATATAGGAGCACCCAGATTCATAAAGCAAGTTCTGAGAGACCTATAAAGAGACTTAGATTCCCACCCAATAATAATGGGAGACTTTAACTCCCCACGGTCAACATTAGACAGATCAGCCAGAGAGAAGATTAACAAGGATATCAAGGACTTGAACTCAGCTCTGCACCAAGCAGACCTAATAGACATCTACAGAATTTTCCATCCCAAATCAACAGAATGTACATTCTTCTCAGCACCACATCGCACTTATTCCAAAATTGACCACATAGTTGGAAGTAAAGCACTCCTCAGCAAATGTAAAAGAACAGAAATCACAACAAACTGTCTCTCAGACCACAGTGCAATCAAATTAGAATTCAGGATTAAGAAACTCACTCAAAACCACACAACTACATGGAAACTGAAAAACGTGCTCCTGAATGACTAATAGGTATGTAATGAAATGAAGGCAGAAATAAAGATGTTCTTTGAAACCAATGAGAACAAAGACACAATGTACCAGAATCTCTGGGACATATTTAAGCAGTGTGTAGAGGGAAATTTATAGCACTAAATGCCCACAAGAGAAAGCAGGAAAGATCTAAAATCGACACCCTAACATCATAATTAAAAGAACTAGAAAAGCAAGAGCAAACAAATTCAAAAGCTAGCAGAAGGCAAGAAATAACTAAGATCAGAGCAGAACTGAAGGAGATAGAGACACAAAAAACCCTTCAAAAAAATCAGTGAATTCAGGAGCTGGATTTTTTGAAAAGATCGACAAAATTGATAGACCACTAGCAAGACTAATAAAGAAGAAAAAGAGAGAAGAATCAAATAGATGCAATAAAAAATGATAAAGGGGATATCAACACCAATCCCACAGAAATACAAACGACCGTCAGAGAATACTATAAACACCTCTACACAAGTAAACTAGAAAATCTGGAAGAAATGGATAGATTCCTGGACACATACAACCTCCCAAGACTAAAACAGGAAGAGGTTGAATTGCTAAATAAACCAATAACAGGCTCTGAAATTGAGGCAATAATTAATAGCCTACCAACCAAAAAAAGTCCAGGACGAGATGGATTCCAAGTCCAATTCTGCCAGAGGTACAAAGAGGAGCTGGTACCATTCCTTCTGAAACTAGTCCAATCAATAGAAAAAGAGGGAATCCTCCCTAAGTCATTTCATGAGGCCAGCATCATCCTGATACCAAAGCCTGGCAGAGACACAACAAAGAAAAAGAGAATTTTAGACCAATCTCCCTGATGAACATCGATGCAAAAATCCTCAGTAAAATACTAGCAAACTGAATCCAGCAGCACATCAGAAAGCTTATCCACCAAGATCAAGTTGGCTTCATCCCTGGAATGCAAGTCTGGTTCAACATAGGCAAATCAATAAATGTAATCCATCACATAAACAGAACCAAAGACAAAAACCATATGATTATCTCAGTAGATGCAGAAATGCAGAAAAGGCCTCAGCGAAATTCAACAGCCCTTCATGCTAAAAACCTCTCAATAAACTAGGTATTGATGGAACATATCTCAAAATAATAAGAGCTATTTATGACAAACTCACAGCCAGTATCACAATGAATGGGCAAAAACTGGAAGCATTCCCTTTGAAAACTGGCACAAGACAGAGATGCCCTCTCTCACCACTCCTATTCAACATAGTGTTGGAAGTTCTGGCCAGGGCAATCAGGCAAGAGAAATAAATAAAGGGCATTCAATTAAGAAAAGAGGAACTCAAATTGTCCCTGTTTGCAGATGACATGATTGTATATTTAGAAAACCCCATCGTCTCAGCCCAAAATCTCCTTAAGCTGATAAGCTACCTCAGCTTACAGTCTTAAGTCTCAGGATACAAAATCAATGTGCAAAAGTCACAGGCATTCTTATACACCAATAACAGAAAAACAGAGAGTAAAATCATGAGTGAACTCCCATTCACAATTGCTACAAAGAGAATAAAATACCTAGGAATCAAACTTACAAGGGATGTGAAGGATCTCTTCAAGGAGAACTATAAACCACTGCTCAAGAAAATAAAAGAGGACACAAACAAATGGAAGAACGTTCCATGCTCATGGATACGAAGAATGAATATCGTGAAAATGGCCATACTGTCCAAGGTAATTTAGAGATTCAATGCCATCCCCATCAAGCTACCAATGACTTTTTTCACAGAATTGGAAAAAACTACTTTAAAGTTCATATGGAACCAAAAAAGAGCCCACATTGCCAAGACAATCCTAAGCAAAAAGAACAAAGCTGAAGGCATCACGCTACCTGACTTCAAACTATACTACAAGGCTACAGTAACCAAAACAGCATGGTACTGGTATCAAAACAGAGATATAGACCAATGGAACAGAACAGAGCCCTCAGAAATAATACCACACATCTACAGCCATCTAATCTCTGATAAACCTGACAAAAACAAGAAATGGGGAAAGGATTCCCTATTTAATAAATGGTGCTGGGAAAACTGGCTAGCCATACGTAGAAAGCTGAAACTGGATCCCTTCCTTACACCTTATACAAAAATGAAATCAAGATGGATTAAAGACTTAAATGTTAGACCTAAAACCATAAAAACCCTAGAAGAAAACCTAGGCAATACCATTCAGGACATAGGCATGGGCAAGGACTTCATCACTAAAACACAAAAAGCAATGGCAGCAAAAGGCAAAATAGACAAATGGGATCTAATTAAACTAAAGAGCTTCTGCACAGCAAAAGAAACTACCATCAGAGTGAACAGGCAACCTACAGAATAGGAGGAAATTTTTGCAGTCTACCCATCTGACAAAGGGCTAATATCCAGAATCTACAAAGAACTTAAACAAATTTACAAGAAAAAAATCAAACAACACCATCAAAAAGTGGGCAAAGGATACAAACAGACACTTCTCAAAAGAAGACATTTATGCAGCCAAAAAACACATGAAAAAATGCTCGTCATCACTGGCCATCAGAGAAATGCAAATGAAAACCACAGTGAGATACCATCTCACACCAATTAGAATGGCAATCATTAAAAAGTCAGGAAACAACAGATGCTGGAGAGGACGTGGAGAAATTGGAACGCTTTTACACTGTTGGTGGGAGTGTAAACTAGTTCAACCATTGTGGGAGACAGTGTGGCAATTCCTCAAGGATCTAGAACTAGAAATACCATTTGACTCAGTGATCCCATTACTGGGTATATATCCAAAGGATTATAAATCATGCTACTATTAAGACACATGCACACGTATGTTTATTGTGGCAGTATTCACAATAGCAAAGACTTGGAACCCACCCAAAGGTCCATCAATGATAGACTGGATTAAGAAAATGTGGCACATATACACCATGGAATACTATGCAGCCATAAAAAAGAATGAGTTCATGTCCTTTGTAGCAACATGGATGAAGCTAGAAACCATCATTCTGAGCAAACTATTGCAAGGCCAGAAAACCAAACACTGCATGTTCTCACTCATAGGTGGGAACTGAACAATGAGAACACTTGGACACAGAGCAGGCAACATCACACACCAGGGCCTGTTGTGGGGTGGGTGGATGGGGGAGGGATAGCGTTAGGAGAAATACCTAATGTAAATGATGAGTTAATGGGTGCAGCAAACCAACACGGCACATGTATACATATGTAACAAACCTACATGTTGTGCACATGTACCCTAGACCTTAAAGTATAATAATAATAAAAAAGAGTCCCTAATTAATCTTGATTTTTAAAAGAAACAACAAGACAAAACTGAAAACCCACATCATTTTAGCTGGTTTTATGATCTTGGGTGTTCTAAATATAGATTTTGGCACTAAAGAGATATTAACAAATATTTTCAAACCAAAATAAACTACATTACTAAATTTGGATTTTAAATCACAGGTTAAAAATCTCCTTTCATGATGGCTGAATAGGAACAGCTCTGGTCTACAGCTCCCAGCGTGAGTGACGCAGAAGACGGATGATTTCTGCATTTCCATCTGAGGTATTGGGTTCATCTCACTAGGGAGTGCCAGACAGTGGGCGCAGGTGAGTGGGTGCATGCACCGTGCGCGAGCTGAAGCAGGGCAAGGCATTGCCTCACTCAGGAAGCGCAAGGGGTCAGGGAGTTCCCTTTCCTAGTCAAAGAAAGGGGTGACAGACGGCACCTGGAAAGTTGGGTCACTCCCACCCGAATACTGCGCTTTTCCCACGGGCTTAAAAAACGGCACACCATGAGATTATATCCCGCACCTGGCTTGGAGGGTCCTATGCCCACGGAGTCTCGCTGATTGCTAGCACAGCAGTCTGAGATCAAACTGCAAGGCGGCAGCGAGGCTGGGGGAGGGGCACCCGCCATTGCCCAGGCTTGCTTAGGTAAACAAAGCAGCCTGGAAGCTCAAACTGGGTGGAGCCCACCACAGCTCAAAGAGGACTGCCTGCCTCTGTAGGCTCCACCTCTGGGGGCAGGGCACAGACAAACAAAAAGACAGCAGTAACCTCTGCAGACTTAAATGTCCCTGTCTGACAGCTTTGAAGAGAGCAGTGGTTCTCCCAGCACGCAGCTGGAGATCTGAGAATGGGCAGACTGCGTCCTCAAGTGGGTCCCTGACCCCTGACCCCCGAGCAGCCTAACTGGGAGGCACCCCCCAGCAGGGGCAGACTGACACCTCACAGGGCGGGGTACTCCAACAGACCTGCAGCTGAGGGTCCTGTCTGTTAGAAGGAAAACTAACAAACAGAAAGGACATCCACACCAAAAACCCATCTGTACATCACCATCATCAAAGACCAAAAGTAGATAAAACCACAAAGATGGGGAAAAAGCAGAGCAGAAAAACTGGAAACTCTAAAAAGCAGAGCGACTCTCCTCCTCCAAAGGAACGCAGTTCCTCACCAGCAACGGAACAATGCTGGACGGAGCATGACTGACGAACTGAGAGAAGAAGGCTTCAGACAATCAAATTACTCCGAGCTACGGGAGGACATTCAAACTAAAGGCAAAGAAGTTGAAAACTTTGAAAAAATTTAGAAGAATGTATAACTAGAATAACCAATACAGAGAAGTGCTTAAAGGAGCTGATGGAGCTGAAAACCAAGGCTCAAGAACTACGTGAAGAATGCAGAAGCCTCAGGAGCCAATGCGATCAACTGGAAGAAAGGGTATCAGCGATGGAAGATGAAATGAATGAAATGAAGCGAGAAGGGAAGTTTAGAGAAAAAAGAATAAAAAGAAATGAGCAAAGCCTCCAAGAAATATGGGACTATGTGAAAAGACCAAGTCTACGTCTGATTGGTGTACCTGAAAGTGACGGGGAGAATGGAACCAAGTTGGAAAACACTCTGCAGGATATTATCCAGGAGAACTCCCCCAATCTAGCAAGGCAGGCCAACATTCAGATTCAGGAAATACAGAGAACGCCACAAAGATACTCCTCGAGAAGAGCAACTCCAAGACACATAATTGTCAGATTCATCAAAGTTGAAATGAAGGAAAAAATGTTAAGGGCAGCCAGAGAGAAAGGTCGGGTTACCCTCAAAGGGAAGCCCATCAGACTAACAGCAGATCTCTCGGCAGAAACTCTACAAACCAGAAGAGAGTGGGGGCCAATATTCAACATTCTTAAAGAAAAGAATTTTCAACCCAGAATTTCATATCCAGCCAAACTGAGCTTCATAAGTGAAGGAGAAATAAAATCCTTTACAGACAAGCAAATGCTGAGAGATTTTGTCACCACCAGGCCTGCCCTAAAAGAGCTCCTGAAGGAAGTGCTAAACATGGAAAGGAACAACTGGTACCAGCCGATGCAAAATCATGCCAAAATGTAAAGACCATCGAGACTAGGAAGAAACTGCATCAACTAACGAGCAAAATAACCAGCTAACATCATCATGACAGGATCAAATTCACACATAACAATATTAACTTTAAATGTAAATGGACTAAATGCTCCAATTAAAAGACACAGACTGGCAAATTGGATAAAGAGTCAAGACCCATCAGTGTGCTGTATTCAGGAAACCCATCTCACCTGCAGAGACACACATAGGCTCAAAATAAAAGGATGGAGGAAGATCTACCAAGCAAATGGACAACAAAAAAAGGCAGGGGTTGCAATCCTAGTCTCTGATAAAACAGACTTTAAACCAACAAAGATCAAAAGAGACAAAGAAGGCCATTACATAATGGTAAAGGGATCAATTCAACAAGAGGAGCTAACTATCCTAAATATATATGCACCCAATACAGGAGCACCCAGATTCATAAAGCAAGTCCTGAGTGACCTACAAAGAGACTTAGACTCCCACACATTAATAATGGGAGACTTTAACACCCCACTGTCAACATTAGACAGATCAACGAGACAGAAAGTCAACAAGGATACCCAGGAATTGAACTCAGCTCTGCACCAAGTGGACCTAATAGACATCTACAGAACTCTCCACCCCAAATCAACAGAATATACATTTTTTTCAGCACCACACCACACCTATTCCAAAATTGACCACATACTTGGAAGTAAAGCTCTCCTCAGCAAATGTAAAAGAACAGAAATTATAACAAACTATCTCTCAGACCACAGTGCAATCAAACTAGAACTCAGGATTAAGAATCTCACTCAAAACCGCTCAACTACATGGAAACTGAACAACCTGCTCCTGAATGACTACTGGGTACACAACGAAATGAAGGCAGAAATAAAGATGTTCTTTGAAACCAACGAGAACAAAGACACAACATACCAGAATCTCTGGGACGCATTCAAAGCAGTGTGTAGAGGGAAATTTATAGCACTAAATGCCCACAAGAGAAAGCAAGAAAGATCCAAAATTGACACCCTAACATCACAATTAAAGGAACTAGAAAAGCAAGAGCAAACACATTCAAAAGCTAGCAGAAGGCAAGAAATAACTAAAATCAGAGCAGAACTGAAGGAAATAGAGACACAAAAAACCCTTCAAAAAATTAATGAATCCAGGAGCTGGTTCTTTGAAAGGATCAACAAAATTGATAGACCGCTAGCAAGACTAATAAAGAAAAAAAGAGAGAAGAATCAAATAGACGCCATAAAAAATGATAAAGGGGATATCACCACCAATCCCACAGAAATACAAACTACCATCAGAGAATACTACAAACACTTCTACACAAATAAACTAGAAAATCTAGAAGAAATGGATAAATTTCTGGACACATACACTCTCCCAAGACTAAACCAGGAAGAAGTTGTATCTCTGAATAGACCAATAACATGATCTGAAATTGTGGCAATAATCAATAGCTTACCAACCAAAAAGAGTCCAGGACCAGATGGATTCACAGCCAAATTCTACCAGAGGTACAAGGAGGAACTGGTACCATTCCTTCTGAAACTATTCCAATCAATAGAAAAAGAGGGAATCCTCCCTAACTCATTTTATGAGGCCAGCATCATCCTGATACCAAAGCCGGGCAGAGACACAACCAAAAAAGAGAATTTTAGACCAATATCCTTGATGAACATTGATGCAAAAATCCTCAATAAAATACTGGCAAACCGAATCCAGCAGCATATCAAAAAGCTTATCCACCATGATCAAGTGGGCTTCATCCCTGGGATGCAAGGCTGGTTCAATATACGCAAATCAATAAATGTAATCCAGCACATAAACAGAACCAAAGACAAAAACCACATGATTATCTCAACAGATGCAGAAAAGGCCTCTGACAAAATTCAACAACCCTTCATGCTAAAAACTCTCAATAAATTAGGTATTGATGGGACGTATTTCAAAATAATAAGAGCTATCTATGACAAACCCACAGCCAATATCATACTGAATGGGCAAAAACTGGAAGCATTCCCTTTGAAAACTGGCACAAGACAGGGATGCCCTCTCTCACCACTCCTATTCAACATAGTGTTGGAAGTCCTGGCCAGGGCAATTAGGCAGGAGAAGGAAATAAAGGGTATTCAATTAGGAAAAGAGGAAGTCAAATTGTCCCTGTTTGCAGACGACATGATTTTATATCTAGAAAACCCCATCATCTCAGCCCAAAATCTCCTTAAGCTGATAAGCAACTTCAGCAAAGTCTCAGGATACAAAATCAATGTACAAAAATAAAGACTTAAACATTAGACCTAAAACCATAAAAACCCTAGAAGAAAACCTAGGCATTACCATTCAGGACATAGGCATGGGCAAGGACTTCATGTCTAAAACACCAAAAGCAATGGCAACAAAAGACAAAATTGAAAAATGGGATCTAATTAAACTAAAGAGCTTCTGCACAGCAAAAGAAACTACCATCAGAGTGAACAGGCAGCCTACAAAATGGGAGAAAATTTTCGCAACCTACTCGTCTGACAAAGGGCTAATATCCAGAATCTACAATGAACTCAAACAAATTTACAAGAAAAAAACAAACAACCCCATCAAAAAGTGGGCGAAGGACATGAACAGACACTTCTCAAAAGAAGACATTTATGCAGCCAAAAAACACATGAAAAAAATGCTCATCATCACTGGCCATCAGAGAAATGCAAATCAAAACCACAATGAGATACAATCTCACACCAGTTAGAATGGCAATCATGAAAATGTCAGGAAACAACAGGTGCTGGAGAGGATGTGGAGAAATAGGAACACTTTTACACTGTTGGTGGGACTGTAAACTAGTTCAACCATTGTGGAAGTCAGTGTGGCGATTCCTCAGGGATCTAGAACTAGAAATACCATTTGACCCAGCCATCCCATTACTGGGTATATACCCAAAGGACTATAAATCATGCTGCTATAAAGACACATGCACACGTATGTTTATTGCGGCATTATTCACAATAGCAAAGACTTGGAACCAACCCAAATGTCCAACAATGATGGACTGGATTAAGAAAATGTGGCACATATACACCATGGAATACTATGCAGCCATAAAAAATGATGAGTTCATGTCCTTTGTAGGGACATGGATGAAATTGGAAATCATCATTCTCAGTAAACTATCGCCAAGAACAAAAAACCAAACACTGCATATTCTCACTCATACGTGGGAATTGAACAATGAGAACACATGGACACAGGAAGGGGAACATCACACTCTGGGGACTGTTGTGGGGTGAGGGGAGGGGGGAGGGATAGCACTGGGAGATATACCTAATGCTAGATGACGAGTTAGTGGGTGCAGTGCACCAGCATGGTGCATGTATACATATGTAACTAACCTGCACATTGTGCACATGTACCCTAAAACTTAAAGTATAATAATAATAAATAAATAAATAAAAGAAAAAAATCTCCTTTCATCTTAGTAAATTCTATATAAAGTATTTAAGAATAAACTTGCATCCTCATGAGATACTGAGATATGCTGAGATCCTATCTTATCATTTTGACATTAATTACTAGAAAACTATGAATAAGAAAAATCTGTAACAACAGATGGTTATATGGTTAGACTCTGTGTCCCCACTCAAATCTCACCTTGAACTGTAATAATCCCCACATGTCAAGGGTGGGGCCAGGTGGAGATAATTGATTCATGGGGGCAGTTTCCCCCATACTGTTCTCGTGATGGTGAGTAAGTCTCATGAGATCTGATGGTTTATAAATGGGAGTTCCCCTGCACAAACTCTCTTTCCTGCCACCATGTAAGACATGTTTTTCTTCTCCTTTGCCTTCTAATCACGACTGTGAAGCCTCCCCAGCCATGTGGAACTGTGCGTCCATTAAATCTCTTTCCTTTATAAATTACCCAGTCTCAGGTATGTTTTTATTAGTAGCATAGGAATAGACTAATACAGATGGAGTAGGGCCAGGTTAGGGTAGCAGAAGTCTATGTAAACACAATGAGAGACTTGATGTAACAGAGGAATTTTAGGTGTCCTGGAAGTGTGTTTAAAAGATATCAAAGTCAAAGACTGTACTTTCAGGAGCAGTTCTGCAATGATTGGGCACCTGAGCAGGGTAACTGACAAATCAGCTATTACTGTAGGTACCAGCTAGTTCTCAGCTACAACTGGACTGGTGCTTGATCAGACAAAATGATGCCCACTGATTTGAGCTCAAAAGGATGACACTTACTGAAGATTGATATTCTACCTCAAATCCTTACTTAATGTCAGCAGGGACACAATTCATTTAACCTCGTAAGCGTTGGTAATTTATTATAACATTATTCAAAGCATTTTGCAGGACATTCTTGCCTCCTCCATTTATTTTTGACCCTAGACTGACAGAATCATTTTCTCTATCTTTCTTCCCACGCTCATTCTCCCCTTTCTCTTTCTCTTCCCTCTCGTTCTGAACAGACGGTTTTGATGTCAAGAGCTGGAGAAAGATGTGTACTGGTTGTTACCCGCTACTCAAAAATCAGACCTGAACAGGTAGTCAGGACATATCTTGAGCAATATGGAACCAAATTTTTTTCCCACTAAGTTTAAGCTAATTTTTCCTATGAGTGACAAAGAGGGACATTGATAAAGAAAACCCAAAAGTTACCACCAGAATCCATCTTGAGATCGCATTTTGATGCATTCTTTCCCAAATGTTGAAATGGGTGAATTTTAGAGTTTGACTCCTAGTAACATCTGTGAGAAATATAAATGAGATGTGAAATGAAAATAGTGAAAGGTGAGAGAGAAAAAATTAGGCCTTGAACTAAACAAAAACAGATTAATCAACTTCTAAAAGACGCAGAATGAACACATTTGAGCTACTACCTTGAGCCAGGCAGTGAGATAGGCACCTAATATAGATGAGACAGAGGATACCAAAAAGAATAAAGACTAATAAGTTGTGGCCACTCCCTTCCAAGATAGAACTTGAGCTGGGACTTGAAATATATGGTTTTGACAGTTAGCAAAGTGCAGTGTGGTCAGTCACACCAAAGCAGTAATATGCATATTACACCTGATGTCATAGACTCAAAAATGTAACTTTGACTCTTGATCATTTAGAGGCTGATTACCTAGACAGGTTTATAGTTTTTAGTCATCTTTGAATGTAAGCTTTTCTTTCTCTGTGACAGATTTTCATCATTCCAGGTTTGTACATATTTTGGAAATTTTGTGTAATCTTGAGTACTTTGCTTATTACAGCTAAAACTGGTTCTCCCAGCCAAAGTAATTTCCTCCCTCCTCTGTGCTTCCACAGAACTCTGTTCACACCTTTATAGAGCATAGATTACACTGTATATTAATTATCTGTTCTTTTCTGGCTCCTTCACTAGAATAAGCACTCCTTGCAGAAAGTGATTATATTTTCTTAAGACAGGAAAACATAGTGGTCAGGCTTTGGACTCTCCACTCATTCTTCCCAAGTTCAAATCCCTGCTCCACTATTTCCTATCTTGCTGTAGAACCTTGGCAAGTTATTTGTTAACCTCTCTCTGTTTCAGTTTCTTCCTTTGAATGATAATGAACCTACTTCATGAGGATGTATTGTGAATATTAGATAAATGCGGTACTTTCTACAGTGCTTAGCACATGTGAGGGATCAATAAATGCAGGCTGTTACCCTATAGCCCACAGTTCCTAGCATATGGTAAGTATTTAATACAAGTTCATAGAAATATTAAGTTAACAAATCATTTTACAAGAGCTGCCTACGTTGGGGAATAGTTTTAGTCTACTTTTCCTGCCAAAATTTCCTTTAGATAAAGAAAGAAATCCCCTTTCAGACATTCCGTGATGCTGGAGTGAGTCACTCATTTCCCTTTGGTTTGAGGGGGAAATGACGGTAACTGTTTCTTCCTCATCTTGCCCAGGAACTGCTGGACTCAGCTGAGAACTGAAGACAGGGAGTGACAGTTGAGGTGCAGCTGAAAGGGTCCCTGCCCTTGCAGTTCTCTGCGGGCTGTGAGCACATTGTACATGCTGGTGCTTTACTAAACACTTCACATGTATTAACTCATTTAACTCATACAACAAATCCTTGAGGTTGGTGTTACGAGTTTCATTTCACAATTGAGGAGATTGCAACACAGAGAGTTGACGTAACTGGCTCCAGATCACACAGCTACTAAATGGCAGGGCTGGGATAAGAACAGAGCTGTTACCAGAGTCTGTGCTTGTGGACAGCACCCAAGACTGCCTCCCTGATTACCTTCCTGTCACTGTCTCCCTGTTGTGTGGAAATCCTGTCATGGCAGGTTTTCTTATCTTCCTCTCCAACCAAACTGTGGGACTCTTGATGGTATGGCCCATAACCCCCCTGATTCCCCAGCTCCTGTCTTGGTGCCTCGCACACAGTTAATATACATTGAGGAAATGGATGAATAATTGCACACATTGAAAGCAGAGCTCTAGGCAGAAGATATTTTGTTGGATTTATGTGAAGAGATGGAAAGCAGAGAAATCACGTCTGCATCGGTTTCCTCTAACTGGTTGAGCTCCCAGTAGAAGATGCCTCACCTCTTTTAGATCCAATGGCTCTCAGATGATGAAACTGGAGTCTTCCTCTCCATAACCTTCATCAAAACATTTCAAACAAATCACCAAATAGGAATCATTTAGCTTGCCTTTTCCCACATTAGTTTCAGACTTCCATAAGGGCGTTCACTTCAGGCTCTAAACAGCCCCTTCGCCCATTTATTCCCTCCTGGCATGGTTTAATTTCCCCAAACTTTACCTGCCGTGCTAACTGAGGCTGCATACATCTGCAGAACTCTCCCCAAAGAAACAGTCCTCCACGGATGGAGATATATCACATCTAAGTATTGAGCTTGTGAACGTCTACCAAAAGAAGCTTTCCATACACAGGCCTTCATTTACCCCAGGGATTGAGGTGCTTTTCCTGCCTTGGGTGGCTTCTCTCCACACATCTGAGGGCAGAATTGGACTCTTTACTGAGCTACACTGTTGCCTAAAGATATCATTAAGAATTGAATAAGGGACCAGGCACAGCAGCACATGCCTGTAACCCCAGCAATTTGGGAGGCCGATGCAGGTGGATCACTTGAGCCCAGGAGTTTGAGACCAGCCTGGAAAATATGGCAAAATCCTGTAACTACAAAAAATACAAAAAAATTAGCCAGGTGTGGTGGTGCACCCCTGTTGTCCAAGCTATTCCGGAGGCTGCGATGGGAGAATCACTTAAGCCCAGGAGGCGGAGGTTATAGTGAGCCAAGATTGCATCACTGCACACCAGCCTGGGTGACAGAGTGAGACCCTATCTCAAAAAAAAAAAAAAGAAAAAAGAAAAAAAATTTGTAAAAGGATTAAAGATTGAGTCCAGGATATTTTCCTGAAGAATAAAGTGCAGTTTGTAGCCAGGAATTGGAGTGCTTACAATGGGTTTTCTGTGGGCTCAAATTACATTTTCTCAACAATCTCTGTCACTTCATCTGAGAAATCATCTGAACCATCCCTGCTCAGGTTAAGGTTTTCTTTCTTTCCGAATTCCTATGACCACACAACTGTGACACAGAATTCCCTCCAAACAACATACACATACACACTTACACAAACAGATACACATACATGCACACACACATAGACATGCACACTTACACACAGACACACACACACAGACTGTAATCTGTTCCAAAAGCAGCTAGATCTTAGGGCTCACTCAAGTAATTTTCATACACTTGAACATAAAGCAAAGAAATCGCACAATTTAGTAGTGTGTGCATTCTTTGGGTCACTATATAAGCCATTTCTATCATCTGCTCATCACTCTTCACTAGAGTGAGAACCCCTTCATAAAGTTGAGTTGTTTTAATGCAACATTAAGAAAGTATGTCAGTGTTACTTAATTTATGAAAAAAAGAAAATAGCAATTCACTTCTCTGTTTAAAAAAATTGCCCTGCTCCTCTATGGCTTACTGACAGTAAAAAAATGAAAACGACCTGACCCATTCCTTTCTCCTGGTATCATCAACCTTCTTTTGTTCATCAAATATTTATTGACCCTCAATGTGCAGAGCGCAGATACTGTAATACTTCTTACCTATTATTCTGAATAGCCAACTTGGAGATAGAAGTAAAAGTGAATTCATATTAATAATGAATTAAAACTAATATTCAAGGGAGAGGTTGTACCCTAACAGGAAAATTTAGAAAAACTCATGGGATTATCTATACCAGTAGTTTTCTAAAAATTTCTTTAGCTTCAAAAACTCTTCGCATAAAATTTTAATTGGGAGCTCACTACATCAAATGAAGGTCATATTCTAATTGAGGTGGCTGAACTTGCCAGAGGAGTCAAGATCGGTCAGCATCTTCAGACCACATCATGGAGTGCAGTCGGGTCTAATCCTCTTATCCGTACCCATGAGAAGTTGTGCTCACCTGCTGAATTGCAGGTTCCCTTATTGTAATAGGCTGTCTTTAATGCCATGAATAGTCTATAGACTTTAAACCCTGGAATCCTGACTCCTTGTCCTTGGCCCCATTTGCCAACAAAATGTCTAATTAGGACAACCACTATTCTTCTCAGAATTTAGAGTTTGTGGGTCTGGGCATGGTGGCTCATGCCTATAATCCCAACACTTTGGGGGGCCAAGGCCAGCAGATCACTTGAGCTCAAGAGTTTGAGACCAGCCTAGGCAACATGGTGAAACCCCATCTCTACAAAAGATACAAGAATTAGCTGGGCATGGTGGCATGTGCCTATAGTCCCAGCTACTTGGGAGGCCCAGGCAGGAGGATCACTTGAGCCCAGGAGGCAGAGGTTGCAGTGAGCTGTGATTGCACCACTGCACTCCAGCCTGGATGACAGAGTGAGAGCCTGCCTAAAAAAAAAAAAACAAACAAAACAAACAAACAAAAATTAGAGCATGTGTCTGTGAATCAAGATATCTTCTTGAACCCAGTAGAAAATGTCTATCGTGAAGCATTTTAATGGGACTGGATGACAAAAATAAACAGTTCAATATATGCAACTGAGATAGCTGGCTAGCCATATGCAGAAAAATGAAAATGGACCCCTACCTTTCACTATACATGAAAAATAACTCAAGATGGATTAAAGACTTAAATGTAAGACCTCAAACTATAAGGATACTAGAAGGAAACCCAGGAAACACCATTTTGGACATTGATCTTGGGAAATAATTTGTGACTAAGTCCTCAAAAGCAATGGCAACAAAAGCAAAAATTGACAAATGGAAACTTATGAAACTAAGGAGCTTCTGCACAGCAAAAGAAACTATCACTGGAGTAAACAGACAACTTACAGAGTGGGAGAAAATATTTGCAAACTATGCATCTGACAAAGGTCTAATGTCCAGAATCTATAAGAATATTAAACAATTCAACAAGCAAAAACCAGTAACCCCGTTAAAAAATGGGCAAAGACATGAAAAGACACTTATCAAAAGAAGACATACAAGTGGCCCACAAAACATATGGGAAAATGTTCAATGTCACTAATCATCAGAAAAACGCAAATCAAAACCGCAATGAAATACCATCTCACACCAGTCAAAGTGGCTATTACTAAAAAATAAAAAAGCAACAGACGCTGGCAAGCCTGCAGGGAAAAGGGAATGCTTACACATTGTTGGCGGGAATGTAAATTAGTTCAACCACTATGGAAAACAGATGGGAGATTCTCAAAAAACTTAAAAGCAGAACTACCATTTGACCCAGCAATCTTTTTACTGGTTATATATCCATCAGAAATCATTCTACCCAAAAGACACATGGACTCATATGGGCATCACAGCACTCTTCACAACAGCAAAGATGTGGAATCAACCTACATGCCAATCAACAGTGGACTGGATAAATAAAATGTGGTACATATACACCATGGAATACTATGCAATCATAAAAAAAGAATGAAATCATGTTCTTTGCATCAATGTGGATGCAGCTGGCCACCAATATCCTAACAGAATTAGTGCAGGAACCAAAACCCAAATACCTCGTGTTCCTACCTAGAAGTGGGAGCTAAACATTGAATACTCATGGACACAAAGAAGGCAATAATAGACGCTGGAGACCACTATAGAAGGGAGGGAGAGGAGGGAGCAACGGTTGAATAACTATTGAGTACTATGCTCATTAACTGGGTGATGGGATCAGTCATACCCCAAACCTCAGCATCACGCAATATATCCATGTAACAAACCTGCACATGTACCCCCTGAATCTAAAATAAAGGTTTAAATTATAAAATAAAAATAAAGAAATGTAACTGGAGTGGAGTAGAGGTGCATGAATGAAGTGCCTACTCAGAAAGTATTGAGAAAACTGAAATATTAATATTACATGAAGAAATGCAAAAGTGTTGTCCTGCCTTGTACCATATCTAAACATAGACTTTAGGTGGATTAAGGACCTAAATCTTAAACTACAAAGTTGTCAGAAGAAAATGTAGGATAGTTTTGTGAAAGAGAGGAAGAAAAGAAAGGAAGATAAGACTGATTATTGACAAGGGTATGAGAAAATGGGAACAATTGGGTGCTGCTGGTTTTTGTTTTGTTTTGTTTTGTTTTGTTTGAGATGGAGTCTTGCTCTGTCGTCCAGGCTGGAGTGCAGTGGCTCGATCTCGGCTCACTGCAAGCTCCGCCTCCCGGGTTCACACCATTCTCCTGCCTCAGCCTTCCGAGTAGCTGGGATTACAGGCGCCTGCCACCACGCCCGGCTAACTTTTTGTATTTTTAGTAGAGACAAGGTTTCACCGTGTTGTTAGCCAGGATGGTCTCGATCTCCTGACCTCATGATTCGCCTGCCTCGGCCTCCCAAAGTGCTGGGATTACAGGCGTGAGCCACCGCGCCCGGCCTGCTGCTGGTTTTGAGTGTAAAACATACAGCCTTTGTAGAAAGAAATCTGGCAATATTTAGCAACATTAAGAACAGTTGGCTGGGCCAGGCATGGTGGCTCACGCCTGTAATCCCAGCACTTTGGGAGGCTGAGGCAGGCAGATCATGAGGTCAGGAGTTCAAGACCATCCTGGCTAATACAGCGAAACCCAGTCTCTACTAAAAACACACAAAATTAGCCAGGAGTGGTGGCAGGTGCCTGTAATCCCAGCTATTCAGGAGGCTGAGGCAGGAGAATCACTTGAACCAGGTACGCAGAGGTTGCAGTGAGATGAGATCACACCAATGCACTCCAGCCTGGGCGACAGAGCAAGACTCTATCTCAAAAAAAAAAAAAAAAGAAAAGAAAAGAAAGGAATGGTTGTACCTTATGACCCAACAATCCCAACAATGGATATACCCAGAACATTTCTCCCATGAGTTCACTAAGAGACAAATACAAGATAAAGCTAGGCACAGTGGCACACACCTGCAGTCCCAGCTACTCAGGAGGCTGAGGAAGGAGGATCACTTGTGCCCAGGAGTTTGAGTCCAACCTAGGCCACATAAGGAGACTCCATATTTAAACAAAAGAACTTAATTGTGGCAGCATTGTTTGTGGTATTAAATATAGAAGTTACCTAGTATTCACCAGAGAGGAATAGATGAGTAAAATGTGATAAGTTAATAGTCTGGAATTCTAAGCCATGGTCAGAGCAAATTAACATGTAGTCACATGGACAGACCTAAAAGCACAGTATTGAATGAAAATGTCTAGCACAGTACATTTAAGTAAATAAAAATCCATAGATAAAGCAGCATTTTCATACTTAAGGACATAGCAAATACAGTAGAATAAGTGTCTAAGGGGGAGAAAGGGCTGGGAATGACAATTATGAGTGGAGAAAAAATGTACAATAATAAAACATGAAAGAGTCTCAGTATGCATTAATGATGATAGTATTCTATGAACCAAAGTAATTAAATAAACTTTGCGAACGTGGGGTTAAAAAGTAGAACAGAAAAAACAGAGAGATGTTGTTGAAGAGATGATGTGATATAGAGAAAATTAACCTGTCCTGCAGGCAGGAGACCTGGGTTTTCATCTTGACTCTGCCTCTTGCCTGTTGGATAACACGTGCCTGGTACTTTCTTCTCTAGATTTCCATTTTCGTCTTTGATATGATAACAATATTAGGCTAAATTTCTAAGATCCTTTCCAGCTTTGTGCTTCAAGTATTCTGTTCTTCCATTCCCATCAATAACCTCTAGAATGCCATTCATAAGCAGCAGTAAAACCGTATCAGCCATTTCAGAACATTTTTAATTCACAGTGAAAGATAATCTAACTTATGAGAAATGTCTTTTGCTGAAGGTGTGTTTTTACACATCTGGCTGACAGAGTGGTATCCTTTGTTAAAATGTGCATCCTTTATTATCTTAAAGCAACAGTTTCCCTTTTCATGGATCTATGAATGAAAAGAAACAGCAAAAAACAGCTTAAATAATGTTCAATATGATCGGAGGTGCTATAGAACCAAAAAGCCTTTCTTGGATAATCAGAGCCTGGTTGATGATAATGATGATGATGATGATGATGATGATGACAATGATGATAAGCAAACTGAAAAAAAACATAAACCCAGGAGAAATTCAGCTTGTCTCTACACATCTAGCCCATAGAGGCCACCAGGCCTTTCTAGCCGGCCCTGGGCTGCTTTGGCTCTAACTTTAATTTACTTTAAAACACATCCTTGAGATGAGAGATGGAAAGCATTATGAAATGAGGAAGGTCATTTATACACCTGTGGACTCCATTTGCAAATTAAAATAACAAAATAGAAAAATACACACTGTCATGGAAAATCCATTCTGTATTATACTAGAAGAATTTTTTTGCCCTTTTAAGGGCTCATTAAAATGCAACAGTGCTCATTTCAACCAATTACTATTTTGGCTATGAATAGGAAAATATGTGTGAATGGCCAGCCCAGTACAAATGAAAACATTTGCATAACGTCAGCTCTTTCTTTTGTTGCATAATTAATCATTTAGAATTACATATTTGTAAATGTAATTTTTAAATGTCAGAAGAAATCATATTTTACTTATTGAACCACTCGAAATCATAATTACAGCTATCGTTTATTGAACACTCACTGAGTACCAGACATTATATGTATATTAATGGTTATGCTCATCACAATATAATAAAGTGAATATTACTATCACTGTTCTTGGATTAGGAAACTAAAGTTCAGAGAGAGTGATTAACGTGTCCAAGATGATAAGCAATTCAAAGCTAAGTATGACTGTTTATTAAAGCTTTTGTTCCTTATCACCATAACATTCAGCCTCCTCTAAAGATTTTTCTTCTGAAAATAATGACCCCATATTAACAGGTAAATTTATTGTGTATTCACTAATATGCCACTGTGCATACAACTATATACACATGGCCTCCTATAATTCACCAAACATCCCTATGAGATGTGGATACTCTTATTTATTTATTTATTTATTTATTTATTTATTTATTTATTTATTTGAAACAGAGTCTTGCTCTGTCTCCAGGCTGGAGTGCAGTGGCACGATCTCGGCTCACTGCAATCTCCACCTCCTGGGTTGAAGTGATTCCCCTGCCTCAGCCTCCTGAGTAGCAGGGACTACAGGCACGCGCCACCACACCCTGCTAATTTTTTGTATTTTAGTAGAGACAGGGTTTCACCATGTTGGCCAGGATGTTCTCGATCTCCTGACCTCATGATCCGCCCTCCTCGGCCTCCCAAAGTGCTGGGATTACAAGCGTGAGCCACTGCGCCCGGCCACGATGTAGATACTCTTATACACATTTTAGGTGATGAGAAAACTGAGGCTTAAGGAAAATAGTACCTGGTTCAATATAGCGCAGCTATAAAGTAATGGAATCTGGATTCAAGGTCTTGATAATTATTAGTTCTTTCATTAAATTTTTTTTTAAATTTTATATAATAAAATTGGCTTTCCTGATGTACAGTTCTAAGAATTTTAATACGTGTGTAGATTCATGCAAGCATCACTACAATCAGTATACAAATCAGTACCATCGCTTTACCCATTTGTAATCACACCTTCCTCCCATGCTAACCCCTGGAACTCAGTGATCTGGTCTCTGTCACATAGTCTTTTTCTTTGTGAGAATGTGACATAAATGGAATTTTGTAGTATATAACCTTTTCGAACTGACTTCTTCCACTCAGTATAATGTCTTTGAACTCCATTCTTGCTGCTGCATGGAACGATAGTCTCTTCCTTTACATTGCTGAGTAATTTTCTGTAATACAGATGTATCACATTTATTTATCCATTCATCTGTTGAAAGAAATTTGAGCTGTCTCAGGTTTTGGAGATCATGAATAGAGTCGCTATACGCATTACATGTAAGATTTTGTGTAAAGGTAAGTGTTTGTTTTGTGGGGATAAATACCTAGGAGTCAGGTTGTTGGGTCACATGGTAAGCATTTGTTTAACCTTACAACTGCCAACCTTTTCTAGAATGGTTGTATCTTGACTTCTCACCAGCAAAATATTACAGCTCCAGTGCCTCCACATCCTTATCAGCACTTGGTATTGTCAGTTACTGTTTTCTTTTTTTCTTTTCAGCCTTTCTTTTCCTTTTTTCTTTCTTCCTTTTTTTTTTTTTTTTTTTTTTTTTGAGATGGAGTTTCACTCTTGTTGCCCAAGCTGGAGTGCAATGGTATGATCTCGGCTCATCGCAACCTCCACCTCCCGGGTTCAAGTGATTATCCTGCCTCAGCCTCTCAAGTAGCTGGGATTACAGGCATGTGCCACCATGCCAGGCTAATTTTGTATTTTTAGTAGAGAGAGGGCTTCACCATATTAGTCAGGCCGGTCTTGAACTCCTGACCTCAGGTGATCCGCCCACCTCCGCCTCCTAAAGTGCTGGGATTACAGGCATGAGCCACCGTGCCTGGCCTAATTTCAGCCTTTCTAAAAAGTGTTTAATAGTATCTCATGGTGGTTTAATTTGCATTTTTTCTATTTGAACTTCTTCATGTGCTCATTAAAGAGATGCTAAACATCCCTTTCTGTGCTTATTTGCCATCTATATCCTCTTTAGCAAAGTGTCTATTCAAGATATTTGCCCATTTAAAAAAGTGTGTTTTTCTTACCATTGAGTTTTAAGAATTCTTTATATATTCGGAGTCCTTCATCAGAAATATGATTCACAACTATTTTCATCATCCAGTTCATAGCTTGTATTTTCATTATCTTAATAATGTATTTTACAAAGCAAACTTCTTAAATTGTTATGAAGTCCAGTTTATCAACTTTTCGTTTTAACGGATCATGTTCTTGGTGTCCTGTTTGAGAACTCTCTGACAGGAGGGTCTGGGTCAGAGAGAAGGAGAAAGTGATGGGAAGACACTACGGTACTGGCTTTGGTGATGGAGAAAGGAGCCACGAGCCAAGGAATGCAGGCCTCCCCAGAAGCTGGAAAAGACAGAGAAACAGTTTCTCCCCTAGAATTTCCAGAAGGATCGCAGCCCTGCTGACATCTTGATTTTAGCTTAATGAAACCCATTTAAGACTTACCTTCAGAAGTGTAAGATAATAAATTTGTAATAAGTAAATATTTTTAAGTCACTTAAAAAAATAAATAAAACAAAAAGCCTGTCTGCCTAACTTCAGGTCAAAAACATTTTGGTCCTATCAATTCTTTGAAAGGTTTTATAGGGCTGAGCCTCGTGGCTCATGCCTGTAATCCCAACACTTGGGAGGCCGAGGCAGCAGATTACTTGAGCCCAGCAATTTGAGAGCAACCTGGGCAACATGGTGAAACCCTGGCTCTACAAAACATAAAAATAAAAAATTAGCCGGGCGTGATGAAACCCACCTGTAGTCCCAGCTACTCAGGAGGTTGAGGCAGAAGGATCCCTTGAGCCCAGGAGCCCCAGGCTGTAGTGAGCCGTGTACTTGCCACTGCACTCCAGCCTGGGCGACCCTGTCTCAAAAACAAAAAGAAAAATAAAATAATAATAATAAAAAAAAAAACTACCAAAAACGGCTTTATAGTTTCATGTTTTACATTTAGCTCTATGATTCATTTTGAATTATTTTTATATAAAGTTTGAAGTTTTGGTCAAAGTTCTTGGCTTTGCATATGGATGACCAATTGTTTCATCATCCTTTGTTGAATAGACAAATCCTCTCTTCCATTAATTGTCTTTGGAAGCTTGCCAGAAATCAATTGACCATATTTCTACAGATGTCTCTGTGCTCTTGATTCTGTTCCACTGGTCAATACTGTCCTGAGATTACTGTAGCTTTATAGTAAGTCTTTAAATCTGATAGTGTGTGTGTAATTCTCCAAGTAGTTAATATTCTGAACCAAAAAACTATATGGCACAGATAGATCAGCTAGTGTCCTCTTTTCTTTTACCACCTGGAGGATGTTAATAATATGGTTTTTGATGTACAAAGGGGTGGAAAAGCAATGGGTCTGCCCTACTTTTCAGCTCAAGAGAGAAAAGTCCGGCTGTCGTTTGCAGCTTTTGCTCTTCCTGAACCACCTGGAAGCCCCCGTTAACCTAACATTCACTGTGCATTCATATATATTTATGCAACATACTTATTGAGTGTGTCTCTGTATTGGGCACTATTACAGAATTTGGGGAAGAACAGAAGAACAGGGCACACAAGGTTCTCCCTTCTTCAAAGATTATGTCAAACAGCAAACAAATAATATCTAAACAAAGAACACAAAACCAGATGGCCATTCTTCAGAGAACCAGAATTGGGTAAGGTAAAAGAATGACTCAGGTATCTTAGATTGCATGGCCAGAGAATGCTTCTCTGAAGAGGTGACATTTACACTGAGGTTTGAAAGACAAGAAGAAACCAAATGGGTGAACATGGAGAGGAAGAGTATTCTAGACTGTTAGTCTAAAAAGCTGTAGATGAAAACAAGTTTAGCATGTTTGAGAAACAAACAAAAATGACTGAGTTAGCTAGAAAGTGGTGAGCCAAGGAAAAGGTGTGAGGCAAGTTCTGAGAGGTGAGCAGGGGCAGGTTGCAGGAGGGCTCTGCCACCAGGACAAGAAGTTAGGCTTGACTCTAAGTGCTAGAGGAGGCCGTTAGAGAGTTTAAACCAAGACCAGTCACATGACCAAACACAGAACTGGGCTCCCAGATAAACAAATGAGAATAGGGCGTATCACGAGTCTTCCCAATCCCCATCCCCATAGAAAAATGTTCTCTGCTCACATTAAGCTTTTCTCCACACACACCACACACACACACACAATGATGTACATGAAATTCTAATGAAGTCAAGTTCAGGACTCCGTCTCTCATAACTTGCATATCATTTCTTCCTACTCTGGCCTCCAAGAGCGTGAGGAGAGGAAAGGGAAGAGGAGAGAGAGGAAGAAAAGTCACTTTCAGACTCTTGCTGCGTGTCAGGTGCTGCTGAGGGCCCACTACAGAGGAGGTTGAGCCCTGAGTGTGGGACAAAGCAGCCCCCAAAAGAGGAGCCCATCATCTCACCACCCCATGAGAAGTAGAAGCAGAGACCTCTGTTTGCAGAGACAGTGAGTTGTTTCATCACAGCTGCTGCTCCACGGTTCCCAATCTTCATAAACAATGAATTAAAGGAAAATTGGATTAAAATTATAGTATAAAGAAAAGTCTTGCATGGAAAGACTTTCCAGCTCTGAGGAGTTATAAGCACTGGACTGTATCTCTGAGCAGAGGGAAAAGAGAGTGTATTTATTCTATTTATTTAAACTCCACTTTGGATAAATAACGACCTCTGTGGAAACGTAAACACAGCACCTCGTCCCCATTACAGAATCGTGATTTCCAACTCTATGTCATCTCTTCTATCTTCACTGTGTATATATAATTTTTATGGGGATATTATCCCTGGATGCTTGCTTTCTAGAGTTCTGTTTTTGCTTAACATTTTACATATATTTTTCTACGTAGCAGCACAGTCTAAATATTTGCTATTTTACAGAGCTACACAGTGATACAATATAATAAGAATAGCCCACACTTACATAGTAATTACTATGCGTCAGGCACTGTTCTAACCACTTTACCAATTTTTACTTATTAAATGTTTTCTCACTAAAGCCCTCTCTCTAGCCTGGCTTCAAAATAAAGCAAAACCTGAAGCAAAGGATTCCATACACTACTTTATTTAAGGTGCAATTCCAGGGAGACAAGAGTGAAGGAAAAGTAATGTGAGGCAGGGAATGGGGAAGAATCCGTTTGAGGCTATGTGATTAATCTAGTTACCAGCAAGTGTGATAGATAGATCCATCTATCTAAGACTTCTAAGACTGTCTTCCCAGGAGACAATTCTCCAAAAGGCTACATAAGCTGCATTTTAGACAGTCGTATAGGGGGAGGGAGGAGGAAGTTTGTCCACCTGTTCCCATCTGCCCCATGAAATATTTTATCCACCCACCACTACCCTGAGACATACACACAGCACACACACACACACACACACACACACACACACACACTTCTGAGCTGGTGCATGTCACACCTCAGTTATCAACAGGGAAGCCTCAGGCTAGGCAACAAAGGCAGGCAAGAGGGCTGGAAGCTAGGTATCTATAGTTTGCCTGCACAACTTCACGAAGCCAATCTGAGCCTACATAAAACCTGGTTGTGGCAGCAATGGCTGGGACATACAAGAGATTCTATATTGCACTGGTTTGGGGGTGAAACACAAACAGAGTAAGTGCCTCCCTTAAACCACTCAGCTAGTGACTGATGGAGTCACAATTTGAGTCCAGGAAGCCAGGCTCTTCACAATTTTGTTAAACTATCCTTTTCATTGGGGGAGATGTGAATTGTTTTCCATTTTTCACCAAAATGCTCCAGAGCATAATAAAATATCACTGGACAAGAATATGGGATTCTGACCTGGCTCAGACTCTTAGAAAATCATTTCTTCATGTGTCTCAATCTGTTTATCTGTTTTTGGAAGAGTTCAGACTACGCCATCTTAGAGTTCTCAAATATTGAATAAGGCTGTTCTAAAAATCTGAGCAAATAATTTTTCTTAATGTATAAAACTTTAGGATGTAAATCCAGAAACCAGATCACTCAGTCATAGGGTAGGACCCTTTGTATAAGTCATGGTTTAAATGAGCAGATTGCCTTTGAAAACAATCATACCAATTTAATGCATTTACAATACCTTCCACAAATGTGAGTGCCTCTTTCTTTGCAGTCTGATCATCACTGGGATTAAATAAAATTTGATATAAAATATTAATATTTGATGATTTGATAGGCATCTCAGCATGGTCTTTTTTTCTATTTCCTTAGTAGCTGAGCAAGCCAAACATCTCTCTAAGTGTTTTTCATATCATTTCCTCTTGTGTAAATTTACTTTTAGCAAGTTACTTCTCCTCTCTAGGGTATCAGCTTTGTTATCCCTAAAATGAAAAGGTAGACTGAGATCTCTACAGCTGTTTTGAGGGTTAAGTGAGACAACCTAGAAGCAGGCCCAACAGCAGTACTACCTCAATTCAGTAACTAGTTAAGTAAGGGCTGTTCCATTTTTAGCATTTCTATGAATTTAAGAACCAGCCAGCATGTCCCCTGACCAGAAACTTTCAAGAAATGTCTGGGCCAGGCAGGGTGGCTCACACCTGTAATCACAGCACTTTGGGAGGCCAAGGCAGGTAGATCACCTGAGGTCAGGAGTTCAAGACCAGCCTGGTCAACATGGTAAAACCGCGTCTCTACTAAAAATACAAAAAAATTAGCTGGATGTGGTGGTGAATGCCTGTGGTCCCAGCTACTTGGGAGGGTGAGGCAGGAGAATTGCTTGAACCTGGGAGGCAGAGGTTGCAGTGAGCCGAGATTGTGTAACTGTACTCCAGCCTGGGCAACAGAGCAAGACTCTGTCTCAAAAAAAATTTTAAAAAAAGAAAGGTCTAGTCAACCAGATTTTGTCCTTCTTAGATGGTTCATATTTTAGTCATTCCTAAAAGACGGAGAGATGAACTTAAATGACCTGCATGTTTTTCCCCTGATCCTGCCAGTTTGTAATATTATTACATGATGAGAAACACATTATCAAATGCCTCTCCCAAGGTGGTGCTTATCTTGGTTGACTAACAGTTCTAGTTTTGCTCTAAGGCTGGAGCTTCTGAAACATTTGACGCATTTGTTCCAACTTATGGTGACCTACTTATTCCAAGTTTCAATCTTTTAGCAGATAAAATTAAAAATGGCCAAAGCAATGATGTCATTATTGTCAGTCTCTGGAGATTTAAGAGAAATAGGACAGCGCTCTCAAACACTAGGGTGGAGTTAGGGGGCTGGGAAACTGGGAATTTGCAAACAGATTACCATGTTTCCATTCTGGGACAGAGATTTTTTTAAAGCAGGGACTAATCCTTGGAGAGCGCCAGCCTCCTTTTTCTAAGTCTCTTTCTTTATTCCGCGGTGTTCCTCTTTATTTTTACTCTCCTGTGAAAATCTGTGTTCAGAACTGGACTAGGAGGCGGGAGAGATAAGTGCAAGCCCAGTTCTGCCACTTTGTAGCTCCGCAAATTTTCATAAGTAACTTCACGTCGTTGAGTCTGTTTCCTCATCTGTTTCCATGAGTACAGCCCCTTCCACTGATTGTTCGTAGTCTTCACTAATGAGCCTGTAAGGTTCTGGAATTAGTAGGAATACCTTATCTCTGTGCCCTGCACAAAGGTCCACCATATAATTTGTCATATAAACATGCTCTTTCCTCTTTATCATAATAAATTTTAATAAATCTCCCCTTGTTCCTGAACGTAACCACTATCATTTGATCTTTCTAAGGTTGTTCAGGTGTACTAGTTTTCCAGAGCTGCTCAAACAGATCACTACGAAGTTGGTGGCTTAAAACAACAGAAATGTATTCCCTCACAGTTCTGGAGGGTGTAAGTCCAAAACCAAGGTTTCCAAGAAGCCATGCTCTCTCTGAAAGTTCTAGGAAATAATCATTCCTTGCCTCTTTCCAGCTACTTAGGGTTTCTGGCAATCTTTTGTGTTCCTTGGTTTGTAACTGCATCACTGCACTCCCTTCCTTTATCCTAACATGGCAATTCCTCCCTTTGTGCATGTATCTTTCTGTGTCTCCAAACCTCTCTCTCCTTATAAGAGCACCAATTATTAAATTGGGTCCCAACCTAATCCAGTATGACCTCGTTTTAATTAAATTTGCAAAGACCCTATTTCCAAAAAAGGTCACATTCACAGGTTCCAGGAGGACAGGAATTTAGGGGGACACTATTCAACCCAGTACACCAGGATATCTCTATATCCCTACTCCTCGTATCACATCGCCTTGGAGCTGTCTCTTGCCTTCATCGTGAATAATCCTTCCCCTTGGATGGCTTCCCTTTACTGGAGTCAAAATTATTATCCTCATTGTTCTTGACAATAGGCTCTCCCTCCTGTAATCCATGTTTCACAGGAGACTGCTGTCAGGCTAATCTCATGAAAAAAGGACAGCTTGGATATCTTTACTCCTCTACTGAAAAACTTTTTGATGGTCCCCATTATCTGTTGGACTAAGGGCTACACTTCCTCAGAGAGAACTTCACAGACTTTTTCATGTGATCCCAACACACCTTTCCAGTCTTACTCTCAAGACTCCCCTCCACGCACACCCCACCTTGTCCTTAACTCCGTGGCCTGTCCTTTTCCCTCTCCAGCATGGTTTTTCCCTCCATCTGAAAAGCCATTATTTCTAATACAGCATGTATTATTCCCAACTCTCTAGAAAAGCCACCTCCTTTCCAAAGTCTACCAAGATCCCTACCCCGCACCCAGCCAGAATAGTCCCTCCAACTCCAAACTCCCATAATATTTTGTGCTTCACCTGATATTTTTCTTCTGGAAATTGTGATCATGCTATGTCTCTTTTGATTAGAACATGAGCTCTTAAGAGCAGGGACCGTTTCTTACTCCCTAGTTTCTGGTTCTTAGGAGATGTTTGGTACATATTTCAAAGGGAGTGAGGGACTGAGGGAGGGAGAAAAGAGGGAAGAGAGGGAGGGAGGGGAAGGAGAAAGAAATAATTCTAAAGTAAAGATTTTCAGAAGGTACTTCAAGGGATGTGCAAATATTTTGTATTTTAATAATAGTCAAGCTGATTAAAAAATTAAAATGTTATCTTTACCCCTAATTTTAAATTTTGATATTTGCAAAAATAGCTCATTTTTTTATAATAAGCATCTATTATAATTAGATTTTCCAAGTAAAGGTATATTAATAAAGTGTATTTCTATCTTATAAGTAGAAAGATAAGATTTTGTCCAGGCACAGTGGCTCACACCTGTAACCCTAGGACTTTGGAAGGCTGAGACGGCTGGATAACTTGAGGTCAGGAGTTCGAGACCATCCTGGGTAACATGGTGAAACCCTGTCTCTACAAAAAATATAAAAATTAGCTGGGCGTGGTGCCCACAACTGTAGTCCCAGCTACTCAGGAGGCTGAGGTGGGAGGATTAACTGAGCCCAGCAGGTTGAGGCTGTAGTGAGCCATGATTGTGCCACTGCACTCCAGCCTAGGTGACAGAGTAAGACCCTGTCTCAAGAAAAATAAATGAATAAATTTTTAAAAAAGGAAGAAGAAAAGAAAGATAAGATTTCTACTATGGTAAGATTTCTACCTAGAGAAATCTGGGTAAGATTTGATTGCATTTTAAAGAGTATTAAGCCACCAAAGTAGTGAGGTCACATATTGCCCCTGGCAGATGAAGTATTTGCATATCCTTTTAGACTCTCCTAATCCCAGGAGACATACGATGCTTGGGATTTTTTTTTTTTTTTTTTTTTTTTTTTTTTTTTTTTGAAATGGAGTCTTGCTCTGTCGCCCAGGCTGGAGTGCGGTGGCGCGATCTCGGCTCACTGCAAGATCCGCCTCCCGGGTTCACGCCATTCTCCTGCCTCAGCCTCCCAAGCAGCTGGGACTACAGGCGCCCGCCAGCGCACTCTGCTAATTTTTTGTATTTTTAGTAGAGACAGGGTTTCACCATGTTAGCCAAGATGGTCTCAATCTCCTGACCTTGTGATCTGCCCGCCTCGGCCTCCCAAAGTGCTGGGATTACAGGCTTGAGCCACCGCACCCGGACGATGCTTGGGATTTTTTAACCTATGGGTGAGATTAAAGGAGAGAGATGCTGTAAAGCCAAGAAGCACAGCAAAAAGGTAATGGACTTCAGAGTTACAAAGACTGTGACAACCCTGCCATTTATTAAGTGTGTGATTTGGGAGAAATCACTGAACTTCTCAAAACCAGTTTCTTTCTTGAGATTAGCTTTAATTTATAAGGTTGTTGAGAGGATTACATAATATCCTTTAAATGACTAACATATGAGACACTTACTAAATGAATCTACCTCAATTACAAGGGTTAGTTCTGGTGAGAGGTGCCGTTTCTTTGACTCCCCTTGGTGAATTAGAGCAGTAATTCTAACAGAAGCTGAGAAAGTGGATGAGTAGGGCCTTAACCTCTCAATTGCCCCGAGGGAAAGTTAGCTAATGAAAAGCCACAAGAGTGAATTATCTGCTGAATGCACTCTTTTGCGCAAGTACAAAATTACTTTCGTATAGATATCCAGTTTGTTAATTATCTTTTAGAAATCCAAGGAGAGTTCTTTCTAAAGTCTTGATAGGGACCAAGATTGAAGGAGAAGTAACTGATTTTACCCAAGAATCAAGGGAAACACATTTGGAACTAAAATAAGTGCCTGAACACATATTGCTTGATATGAGTCTGGAATAAATAAAATATTTTCCTGTCTGTGGTCCTTTTTCTCCAAGATTTGGCTTAAAAAAATTTTTTTTGAGAGATGACTAAGAAATAGAAAAATCCACTTCCTGAACTAAATTGGATTTTTTATTATTATTATTTATATTACATATTATTATTATTATTATTATTATTATTATTATTATTATTATTATTTTGAGATGGAGTCTCGCTCTGTCGCCCAGGCTGGAGTGCAGCAGCACGATCTCGGCTCACTGCAAGCTCTGCCTCCCAGGTTCACGCCATTCTCCAGCCTCAGCCTCCCAAGTAGCTGGGACTACAGGCGCCCGCCACCACGCCCAGCTAATTTTTTGTATTTTTTAGTAGAGACGGGGTTTCACTGTGTTAGCCAGGATGTTCTCAATCTCCTGATCTCGTGATCCACCCGCCTCAACCTCCCAAAGTGCTGGGATTACAGGCGTGACCACCGTGCCTGGCCCCAAATTGGATTTTTAAAAGAAAGCCAGTGACAGAATTTTTCTCCTACCAGTTGGGTTTCAAGTCATCTTTTCTTTCATGAAACTGTTCTCTCCTGGGCACTGGTGGGCACTGGTTTTAAGAGTCAAGAGTGCTGTAGGAGGACACGCCACACTTACCTGCAAGGGGCTCATTCTAGGTTTAACTCATTCCATCTAAAGGATTTTACCCACACAGCTGGCAATATCCACATGCCTATGGATGTACTTTCACTTTTCTGACCCAGAGTTTCGAGGACAGGTATTCATGGTCATATAGGGCTCATCAGGAACTCCCCTCCCCTATATGTATCTTTCTAAAACCTCATTACAGGGCCATTTCTCAGACCTAGCGAGAGGTGCAGCCAGCTGGACTTCCTGGGTCGAGTGGGGAGTTGGAGAACTTTTCTGTCTAGCTAGTGGATTGTAAATGCACCAAGCAGCATTCTGTAAAAACGCACCATTCAGCACTCTGTGTCTAGCTAAAGGATTGTAAATGCACCAACCAACACTCTGTAAAAACACACCAATAAGCGCTCTGTGTGTAGCTAAAGGATTGTAAACACACCAATCAGCACTCTGTAAAAATGCACCAATCAGCGCTCTGTGTCTAGCTAAAAGATTGCAAATGCACCAATCAGTACTCTTTAAAATGGACTAATCAGCACTCTGTAAAATAGACTAATCAGCAAGATGTGGGCGAGGCCAAATAAGGCAATAAAAGCTGGCCACCTGAGCCAGCAGCGGCAACCCACTTGGGTCCCTTTCCATGCTGTGTTAACTTTGTTCTTTCGCTCTTCACGATAAAACTTGCTGCTGCTCACTCTTTGGGTCCGCACTACCTTTATGAGCTGTAACACTCAACGTGAGGGTCTGCGGCTTCATTCCTGAAGTCAGCAAGGCCACAAACCCACTGAAAGGAAGAAACTCCGGACGCATCTGAACATCTGAAGGAACAAACACCAGACACACCAACCTTAAGAGCTATAACACTCACCACGAGGGTCCACGGCTTCATTCTTGAAGTCAGTGAGACCAAGAACCCACTGGAAGGAATAAATTCTGGACACACTAGAATCTTCGAATCTTCATTACTTAGATCTCAAAGAACTTAACTGACTGTCTTTTCCCTTCTAAATATTAGCTCCACTTCTTACTCCATCCCTTGAACAAGTATCAGGGCTCGAATTTTAAGAGTTTTACCACCAATCAGAATAAAGAAGAGACATTATTACCAAAAATAAATTTTATGGAAAGATGGAAAGTCTCTAGCATCTTACAAAGTAACTACAGCCGGTGCCCAGAGCTAATGTTTCCATTGACATTAGGGATGTCTCAAAAGTTTGAAAAGCAGCACTTTCCACAATGTAATTTATTCAGTGATACTCGGAATATTCAGTGATATTGGGAATAATTGGCTGTAACTCAGAAATGGGTATGTTTCAAATTGATTCGTATTGGATTCTGAGAGCAAGGGGAAGAGTGATTGGTTTCACTTTTTTAATTCTCTCAAAAGTATCAGTTCCTTCAGAGTTCTTCAATTTTTCATGCCACATCAAACTTTATGTTTTCTCTTTCACAGTTCTTGATCGTATAGATCTATTCAGCTTCTTTGCTCATTTTCCAATTACCCAGACCCTAAGAGTTGAAAAAACGTACAAGAATCTACACCATTTCCTATATGTCTGCAGGTGAATTTCTCCACTCTTTCCTATGAATAAGGCAAAGACGGTATTTTCTTAGAAGACTGAGGGGAGAAGCTGAGCTGGTGAAAACAAAATGTCTGTTGAAACTTGACAGGGCAGACTAAAAGTAATCTGAAAAGCTGTCACATATTATTAAATTCTGTTTCATTTACATTTGGATTAAATTTTTAGCCACGTGATCAGGAACTTGTTATGTGCTTCTCTCAGTCTCATTTCTCTCATGTGTAAACTATAGATATCTGGAGGCCGAGGCGGGTGGATCACGAGGTCAGGAAATCGAGACCATCCTGGCTAACATGGTGAAACCCCGTCTCTACTAAAAATACAAAAAATCAGCCGGGCATGGTGGCACGCGCCTGTAGTCCCAGCTACTCAGGAGGCTGAGGCAGGAGAATTGTTTGAATCCGGGAGGCGGAAGTTGCAGTGAGACGAGATTGCGCCACTGCACTCCAGCCTGCGTGACAGAGTGAGACTCCATCTCAAAAAAAAAATTAACTGGATGAGACAAACTTCTAGCTCTGGCCTTCTAAGGTTCTACAACTTAAAAGCATTCATACATGTTAACAAAGCTAAGAACAATGTAAAAATACACCAACTGAGCTCATCACCAACAGGGACCCTCAGCTGTTATTTTTGGTTGTGAGGATAACATTATTTTTAAATATTCTTCTGGATATTTGCTTTATTCGTGCTAGGTTTTAGGTTCTTTTGCAACGATGATTAATCCATAATATCCAATAAATGCAAAAGCAAGGAGAGTATTGCAAGTGCTAATCAGAAGAGGCCTGTAATAATTATGTAAACAGGGTAGGGCATATTTAAAATTTTAAAGTGGCATAATTCACTAGCCTTCAAGGAAATTTCTGAAGACAAAGGGCTATTCATGAAGCAGGTGCAAGGATCTGTCTACATCTTTGCAATCAGCAATAATCATCAAGAGAAAAAAAAAAGATTGATAAGCCAGAATACAATTAAAGTGTGTGATTCTAGCATTAGAATCAATATATTCATTCAGGAGAAGGCTATGAGTTTGGTCAAAAATTAAAAGTGAAGGCATGGAGCTTTGTTGATGAAACCTGTCATAAGCCATGGATAGTTTGTGTGGTTTAAGACTCTCAGTGAAGAGGGAGTGAGTGCAGGTACAGTAACTACTAAAGTGTTCCCCAAGACTGGGCACAGTGGCTCACGCCTGTAATCCCAGCACTTTGGGAGGCCAGGGTGGGAGGATCACTTGAGGTCAGGAGTTCAAGACCAGTCTGGCCAACATGGTGAAACCCTGTCTCTACTAAACATACAAGAATTAGCCAGGCGTAGTGGTGCATGCCTGTAATTCCAGCTACTCGGAAGCTGAGGCAGGAGAATCGCTTGAACCCAGGGGGTGGAGGTTGCAGTGAGCTGAGATGGCACCACAGCACTCCAGCCTGGGCGACAGAGTCAGACTGTCTCCAGAAAAATAAAAAATAAAAATAAAGTGTTCCCATACTACTTAGGAGAATTATCAAAGAGGGAGGTGACTTGCCTCAGTGGAATTTCCACCATATAAAATAAATTGGTTATTTTTGGAAAAGATGTTGGAGGAAAGGCATAGCTGTAAGGATGTGTGAATCCTTGGTTCTACAGCTTTGATGGTCATTGATAACAATTCTATGTGACGGAAATGAGTGTGTGGATGTTAAGATTAAATCCTTCTCTATTTGCTAAGGTAAGAATCTAGTTCCTCTCCGGGCATGGTGGCTCACGCCTGTAATCCCAGCACTTTGGGAGGCCAAGGCAGGCAGACCACCTGAGATCAGGAGTTCAAGACAAGCCTGGCCAACATGGGAAAACCACGTCTCTACTAAAAAATACAAAAATTAGCCGAGTGTAGTGGTAGGCGGCTGTAATCCCAGCTACTCAGGAGGTTGAGGCAGGGAGAATTGCTTGAACCCGGGAGGTGGAGGTTGCAGTGAGCCGAGATCGTACTACTGCACTTCAGCCTGGGCGATAAAGCAAGACTCCATCTCAAAAAAAAAAAAAAAAAAAAGACTCTAGTTCCCATAGGCTTAACACAAGAAAAGTTTACATCTGACTCATCTGGGAATGCAGTTAGGATGATACTTGGGTGATATTTCATGTAGTTATTCAGAGCACCAAGAACTCTATCTTGTGGCCCACCCCTCCTGCAGGATCCAAGGAGTCCTCCCTATTCACTTAAAGACATACAGAGGGGCTGTGGTGAAGACACAGCCACTCCACTACTTCACCCAAAGTGACTGACTCACATCATTTCCTCTCTCTTTCCATTGGCAAGAATTAGCCATGTGACTTCCACCCCAGATGCAGGGGAACAGGAGCATTAAATATGCCCTAGTTGGGCATCACTTTCTAGCCACAACCTACACTACGAAGGAGTCTTTGGTGGTCAGCTATCCATCTCTGCTACTGTGTTAAGCTGTTCTACCACTGCGTCGCGTTGCTAGAAAGGAATACCTGAGACAGGGTAATTTCTAAAGGAAAGAGGTTTAATTGGCTCATCATTTTGCAGGCTGCATAAGAAGCATGGTGCCTGGCATCTGCTCAGCTTCTGATGAGGCCTCAGGAAGCCTCAGGCACATCACAGGCCAAAGCAAGAGCAAGAGAGAGAGGGGAGGAGAGGTGCTACACTTTACAACAACCAGATCTCACGAGAACTCTCTCACTATTGTGAGGATAGCACCAAGCCACGAGGGATCCACCCCCATGGCCCAAACACCTCTCACCAGAGCTCACCTCCAACAATGGGAATTATAATTCAACGTAAGATTTGGGCAGGGACAAATATCCAAACTATATCAGCTACACCTTCTTTTTTAGAAAATGCTTTATTTTTAATTATTAGGAGTACACAATAGCTATATACATTTATGGGGTACATGTGATATTTTGATACAGGTAAAATCAGAGTAACTGGGTATCCATCACCTCAAGCATTTATCATTTCTCTGTGTTAGAAACATTCCAATTCCACTCTTTCAGTTATTTTAAAATATACAGCGCATTATAATCCCAGCTACTGTGAGGCTGAAGCAGGAAAATTGCTTGAGGTCAGGGGTTCAAAACCAGCCTGGGCAACATAGAGATACTTTGTCTCTACATAAAATAAAAAAATTAGCCAGGAGTGGTGACATGTGCCTGTACCCCTAGTTAGTCGGGAGGCTGAGGTGGCAGGATTGCTTGAACCCAGGAGTTCGAGACCAGCCTGGGCAATGTAGCTAGACCCTGGCTCAAATATATGTGTATACCCACACACACACACACACACACACACACACACACACACACGCACACACACAGAATTATTGTTAATTTAAAATTAAAGGGTCCTAACTGTAGTCACCCAATTGTGCTACTGAATACTAGGTCTTTTTATTTATTTATTCATTTTTTCTAAATGCATTTTTGTACTCATTAACCATTCTCACTTTATCATCCCCCCCCCCAATTTCTCATTTCAGTTATGAAGAGAAGGATTTATAACTAACTTCTCAGAACCTTTTCTGTTTGCTTGTAGAGAAATAGAGAAACTTCTGTGGTAGACACTCAAAAATAGGAGCCATGACTCACAGCATTGCGTGTCTATACAATGAGTGCATAAATGCAATTTTTAAAGAAATATACTGCTGTTTTTTTAAAGGAGGTTTTCTATCCTAGATTGTAAATGTGTTAATGTCAAATTTAGGTAATGCACTTATGTGTGTGTGTGTGTGTGTGTGTGTGTGTGTGTTTGTTGGCCCAGTATCTCTTCTTTTGAGAAACTACTCCATACTCCTTCTGTAAATATCTTGATTTACGTGGTTAAAGAAGGTGGAGGAAGGACTGACAAGGGTCACCTCATTACCTCAGCAGTTGCATATGACCTGGTCCTGGCCAATCAAATGGCTTCAGCTTACTGGCCACAGTGGGTTTTCAGGGATGGAAACCTAAGCTGGGCCAATCAGAACTCCTTATGGTGCCTTTTCCAAAGACTCTTTCTCTGAGCCCATAACGTCTAAACCCCATGTAAATGGAGCTGTCTGTAGGCGTCTTACTGTTGCATGGAGGTAGCCTAATAATGGAGCCAGAGAGCTGATGGGCATTATTTGAATGCCTGAACAGTCGTGGGTGAAGCCCAGTACAGGAGCTTTCTAGTTACATGAGTCTGTTCGTTTCTCCACTTACATTTTGTTTTTTTGCTAAATTTGATTTGAATTATTTCTGATAATAAAAGCTTTGAATTAAAGGGCCCTAACTATAACACCGGGTTTGGATTTTCCATCTTTTCATCATGGTTACTGTTCTGCTCTAAAACCTTTCATGAGGCCGGCTGCGGTGGCTCACACCTGCAATCCCAGCATGTTGGGCGGCCAAGGCCGGCAGATGGCTTGTGCCCAAAAGTTCAAGAACAGCTTGAGCAACATGGCAAAACCCCATCTCTACAAAAAATAAAAAAGTGGGCTGGGCGCAGTGACTCATGCCCGTAATCCCAGGACTTTGGGAGCCCTCAGCAGGTGGATCACTTGAGGCCGGGAGTTCGAGACCACTCTGGCCAAGATGGTAAAACCCTGTCTCTACTAAAAATACAAAAATTGGCCAGGCATAGTGACTTGTGCCTGTAGTCCCAGCTACAGGGAGGCTGAAGCATGAGAAGCACTTGAACCTAGGACACTGAGGTGGAGGTTGCAGTGAGCCAAGATCATGGCATTGCGCTCCAGCCTGGGCAATAAAGTGAGACTCTGTCTCAAAAAAAAAAAAAAAGGCCAGGCATCGTGGTGTGCGCCAATAGTCCCAGCTACTCATGTGGCTAAGGCAGGAGAATCACCTGAGCCCAGGGAGGTGGAGGCTGCAGTGAGCTGTGAGTGTGCCACTGCACTCCAGCCTGGGCAACGGAGTGAGACTGTTTCTTAAGATTAAATAAATAAATAATAAATAAAACCTTTAATTAGCTTATTAATTGCCTACACAGCCAAATTAAAGCTCCTTTGCTTCACTTTCAGAGCCTTCCACAATAAGGGTTCACTTTTCTTAATCCAAGAACATAAACCTTAGAATGTGCAAACACTTATTTCTTACATTGACATCTGGTTTTAGTTCATTTATGTCTTAACCTGTTTCAACTTATAAAATTCCACATATGTTAGGACAGTTCCCATGGAAATTATTACTGCTTTGAGGGTAGGGACTACGTCTTTCAAACCATGTGCCTATAGCCCTAGCCAATCAGGACAGGAGGCTGAGGTGGGAGGACTGCTTGAGCCCAGGAGTTGGAGACCAGCCTGTGCAATATAGCTAGATCCTGTATCCCTGTATCCAAACAAACAAAAAAAAGGTATATATATATATATATATATATATATATATATACACACACACACATATATATACATATATACACACACATATATATAATATATATATACACACAGAATAAATTATTTTTAATTTATTGTTAATTGTAATGGTGTTCAGCTACCATCCACTTCTCTACCCCTTGTAGCAGTTCAATCTTAGCATGGTATAGAAACCGTAAAACACTCTGGAAATACTTGTTGAATTACATTCCCACTGTGATATTTCTTTGAGAAGTAGACTTTAATTTTGAACAGGCTACTTTTTCTTTTTCCTGAGAGAGAAAAACTATCTAAGTAGACAATTTGGGGAGTAAATTTACAGCTTTTTTGCAAAAGGTGCTGAGCTGACCAAAGCCTTCTTGGAGGCCAGCATGAAGGTCACCTTTTCCTTTATTTCACTTTCAACACAGTTATAGCTCAGGTACCAATTCAGAGAGGGTTTTTCAATAATTGACCAAAGTGGTAATCTCTTCGAGATGTGAAAAAGAAACCAAGTGCTTCACAGATCAGCTACCCAGAAGTCGAATATCTGTTCTTCCTTATTCCCGGCACACTATGGTGTATGGCATTTGTTGAAAGAATAAATGATTTCCCCCTTCCCTTGGGCCTTTTTCCTCCACCTCCAGGCCTCACCAATATTAGGAAGACATAAAATTGAGATGTAACAATTCCTCATACCTTTACAGCATTTTTTTTTTTTTTGACAGAGTTTCGTTCTGTCGCCCAGGCTGGAGTGCATTGGCATGATCTTGGCTCACTGCAACCCCCACCTCCCAGGTTCAAGTGATTCTACTGCCTCAGCCTCCTGAGTAATTGGGGTTACAGGCTCCCACCACTTCGCCTGGCTAATATTTATATTTTTAGTAGACACAGGGTTTCACCATGTTGGCCAGGCTGGTCTCAAACTCCTGGCCTCAAGTGATTTGCCTGCCTCAGCCTCCCAAAGTGCTTGGATTACAGGCCAGACCACCACGCCAAGCCATCTTTACAGCATTTTTTTTTTTTTTTTTGAGACCAAGTCTTGCTCTGTTGCCCAGGCTGGAGTGCAGTTGGCATTATCTCCACTCACTGCAAGTTCCGCCTCCTGGATTCACGCCATTCTTCTGCCTCAGCCTCCTGAGTAGCTGGGACTACAGGTGCCCACCACCATGCCCGGCTAATTTTTTGTATTTTTTTTTTTTTTTTTTTGAGACGGAGTCTCGCTCTGTCGCCCAGGCCGGACTGCGGACTGCAGTGGCGCAATCTCGGCTCACTGCAAGCTCTGCTTCCCGGGTTCACGCCATTCTCCTGCCTCAGCCTCCCGAGTAGCTGGGACTACAGGCGCCCGCCACCGCGCCCGGCTAATTTTTTGTATTTTTAGTAGAGATGGGGTTTCATCATGTTGGCCAGGCTGGTCTGGAACTCCTGACCTCAGGTGATCTGCCCTCCCCGGCCTCCCAAAGTGCTGAGATTAGAGGCATGAGCCACTGTGCCCGGCCGGATGCTACTTTTTTAGGGGGAGACTCTGATCTCTATCCAAAGGGAGGTGACCTTGTCCTCAGACTGGAGTGAAACATGATACACTAAATCTTGTTATAACAGATTGACGCCTACCCTGGGAGGGGAAGTTTTTCTTAATGAAGGCCATTAGCTAGTTTGCATGATTACATTTATCCATGCTCCTTATCTATCTCTCCACACCTGCCCTTCTGAGGCACACAAAGACATCCTCCTTGACACACTCCTCCTACCCAGGTGTTATTGATGTGTTGTAGAGGGTAACCTCTGCCCTCAAGAATGTGATTCAACAGTCTGTGAATCTGTGGTTTGCCTGTCCCACAGGATTATTGTGGGGATGAACATTAAAATGAGATCATATACATTAAATCTAATGCATTATGTAAATGTAAGGTAATGTTATGTTTCTAAGCCTCTAGACATTTTCCATCTTTGGAAAATAATAGAACAATGTCACCACAAGACAAATGTTCAGCTGTTCACAGAGGAAGTTGAACTCTGACCCCCCTTGAGCGTTCCACACATTTGTTAACATCCATTTCTCGATGATGTCCATTTATTTAACACCTCTGATCAATAACCTCGTTTCTCCCCAGTCTCTCTTTTACTAGCCTCTTCGGTAGATTTAATTAAAGTAATGCACTTTATGGGGATATGAAACCAGGCACTTGATTATGTCACTTCCTGGTGCAGTTCCTCAGCTTCCCTCTTATAAAGCAGAAATTAGGAGGGGGAGAGGGGAAGAAAGGGTACAACTTGCTTCTGCTCCATTCACAGCGGCATGAAGCCGAATGAAGACTGGTCCAGAAAGTGTCTAGAATCCTATAATTCCTATAATTATCTTATTTTTAAAAAATGTTACATTAGCCTCAAAACCAGTCACATTCTTTTGAATGCCATAAAACCATTAATCTTCAGAACAAACCCATGGCTAGTTAGCTCATCAGTAGAAAACATGAATTCCTATGTAGGCAAAAGGATGACTGAGTTTAACGCAGGGATGGGAGAGGCTGGTGGTGGAATAAGTACGGCACACATCGTGTTTTCTTAACAGTAATGTGCTAACCCAACAACAATTCTTTGAAATGTGGGAGGGGCTTGGGGCATGGAAAGAAGATGCCTGAGAGGAATTAGAATAAAAGGAATTCATAAGGCACAAAACTGAAATAATAAGAGTCATAGATTAATTTTACTTTCCTGAGAACCTTCTGACTCCTATAAATATTTTCTCTGTGCACCTCTGACCACAGCAATTTAAGTATTGTGCCCCCCCACCCCAAAAAAAAACAAACAATAACAACAAAAATCAAGAAATACCTTTGACCGAGTGGTAAAAGCAGTAAGGTTTGAATTGTGTGATATATAAATCCCTGAACATATTATTTGGTGCATTGATACCTACATGTATGTTCATTAAAAATTAGGGCCTAATACATTTCTTCCATTTATTGAAGAAATAGTGGCTTTTTCAAAGACAGTTAAACTGAAAAACAGAGATAAAAGCATTCTTATTTCTCAAGGATGGCAAAACTTGTTTTGAAGAGTCAGCAGCATCTAGCTTCCAAAAGAAAATGGGATTGACTTGTATGTGTCATGCCCTGGAGGTTTTCTGTGTGATTTTGGAGGAATCTCTCGATCTCTCTGTTTCATCTGCAAATGTGCTAACAGCTTTGGAATGAGTACTTGAACAAGCATGGAGTAATCACTGGCTAAATAAAAGAGGTTTTGATGAATGCTCTATATTTCCAGCCAAACTGAACCACTCAATGTTTCTATAAACATCACACATTTTCCTGACTCCACACTTTTTCTTATGCCATTTCTCTCACTAGGAATGCCACGGTCCTGTCTTGTTCTTATTTTACCTGTTCTCCAAGGACAAGGTCAATTGTCTTTTGTGTTTTCAGCTTTTCCGCCTTCTTTACGTGGAAGTACTATTCCTTCTTCCAAACCTGCAAAGATAGCTCTTGTTCTCTATCTCTTATAGATTTGTCGAATAACATTTTTAATGTCTTTAATTAAATGACTTATGCCCTTCCTTTAGAGGGCAGGGATTGCGTGTGATTTATCTCAGAACTTGGCATGTGATAAGCACTTAGTAAATATTTATCAGGTAGATGGCGTGCCAGTTAGTTTTATGTGTCAGCTTGGCTAGGCTCTAGTACACAGTCATTTAATCAAACACTTATCTAGGTGTTCCTGTGAATGTATTTTATAGACGTTGTTAATATCTACAACCAGTTGACTTTAAGTAAAGGAGATTACCCTAGATATTGTGGATGAGACTTATCCAATCAGTTGAAATTCCTTAAAAACAAAAACTGAAGTTTGTAGAAGAAATTCTGCAACATCAACTCCTGCAAACCTGCCCTATAGTTTTCAGACTTGCCTGCCCTACAGATTTTGAACTCGTCAGTCCTCACAACTGCATAAATTAGTTTAAAAAATAAATCTTTCGGGCTCCAGTAGGATGAAAATGTTTGCTTTGTTCACCGCCATATCCTCACTGTCAAGAACAATGCCCGACACATAAAAGAGATTCAATAAATATGTTTTCAGTGAATGAAGACATAAAAAGACAACTTTATGAAAAATGCCATATTAACTAGGTTATGAAAATTTACTAGACTATTTACTAGGTTTTTGCTAAATTTGGCTATTTATAGTTTTGTAGTATATAGCTATGGACTGCAAACATATAGCTATGGACTGCAACATGCAGCCATTTATTGGCAATTGATGCACAGGCCCTCACATTCTTTGGCTTTTGTGCTGACATGTGGAAAAAAAATTCCAGTCCTGCCATTCTGTGTGTTCCCATAAGCAAGTCACTTCTGTTCTCTTCACCTTATCTTGTTCAACTGTATTATTAAGATTTTGATGTTATGATAGAATTGGAAACTCCTTTCCACTCTTCTTTAAGATCTGTGATTTTTATGCATGGCTATATCCTTAATTTTGCATATAATTTTGTCATCAGACATACTTGAATGTTATTTATTGCCTAAAGATTGTTATGTCTTTTTATTACTATCACTAATTATTATCTGAAATTTATAAAGTTGCTTTTCTCCAAAATACATAAAGAAAACTGCAGCCCAGATTCCTAGGAGCAGATTTCTTCCATATCTTGGTTGTGAAGAAATACAGACTCCTTAATGCTTTTTTGCCAAAACCACAGTTTCTTGTGTCAACTGCTTTATAAGTCTGGTTATAAAGTTCTATACCTATGTTCATCTCACACCTGGGCTTCAGAACATCATCCTTGGCTTCTAACTTTAGGGCCAGAAAATCATTTTATAACTGTTTTGCAGCCTCTTGTAAATACTTCCTGGGGTACTTTCTTCGGGTGCCTTTTGTTTCTGCTTACCCTGTGAGGAGAGGGATTTCTGGAGTCTGACAAACCTGCTGGGCCCTGGCTGGACCCTAAGAACCCAGAGACCATGTAGCCATACCCTAGGGCCAAGCTGCTGAGTGAATTTCATCAGCAGGCTTTGCTTCATCCCCCACCAACAGAGAATAAGAGGCCATTAGCCAAGATGTGTCAAGGAGGGGGTCTTAATGCACTTATAGATTCTCTTCTCTTTTGATTTTAGGCTAATTCTTTTAGAGTAAAGATCCTTAGAAAAAAATTAGAACATTCAACTATGGAATGTCAAGCTGTGCAAGGATAGACTGGGGGAAAATAAACAAACACATTGTGTTAAGAATTTGTAGGGAGCACTGCTTTATTTGTCTTCTCATGTTAGAGCTGTAGCCTCAGAATGTCACGCCTGGATGACACCTTATTTATTCATTTACACAAGAGGAAGAGGAGATTCGGAGAAAAGGAGAGGATTTTTCTCTGATCATGAAACTAATGGCCAAAGCTGAACCAGAACAGAAATCTCCTGACTTTCAGCTTTTGTCTGAATTTATTTATTTACAATGTATATCCGATATATTCCTATCTATCCCCCTTTAAAAAATTTAAGGCAGGCTGGGCGCGGTGCCTCACGCCTGTAATTCCAGCACTTTGGGAGGCCAAGGCAGATGGATCACTTGAGGTCAGGAGTTCGAGACCAACCTGGCCAACATGGTGAAACCCCGTCTCTACTAAAAATACAAAAATTAGCTGAGCATGGTGGTATGTGCCTGTAGTCCCAGCTACTCGGGAGGCTGAGGCACAAGAATTGCTTGAACCTGGGAGGCAGAGGTTGCAGTGAACAGAGTTCACAGCACTGCACTCTGGCCTGGGTGACAGAGTGAGATTGTCTCAAAAAAAAAAAAAAAATTAAGGCAAATCTCAATAAAATGCATGTACTCATATCCCCAAGATAGTTTAAATAGACAAGAATAATCACAAATTAGATAGAATAAGGGAGCTATGTTTTCTTTTAGTCTATCTTTCTTCCTTTTTTTTCTCTTATTTTTTTCTATTAGACTATAAAGAAACATTAGAGAATGTAAAGGGTGTGAGGGTATTTTTTTCTGCTGCTTAGAAAGTACTAACAGAGTAAGCAGAATTAGAAGTCATGGTCCAGAAAGTATATTTATGGCTGTGTGTGTGATAATATTGTCAGGGCTGAAGGAACATCACAATTTTCTTCATATCCTCTCTCTCTCTCTTTCTCTCTGTCTCTCTCCAGGTTATACATTTGGAATTTAAAATTAGCTTTGGACCACAACTCAACACACCAGGTCTCAGATCAGGGGAAACAACTCCTGCTATTCTTGTGCTGTACTGAGTATGGTTGGAGGTGAAAACAAAAAAGAAAGCCAAGTTTTTCAATAAACTTCTTACAGTGTAGGGTTTAGAGAGGTTTTGTTTTTGTTTTTGTTTTTGTTTTTCTGTGAAGGAATCTCCCTCTGTCCCCAGGCTGGAGTGCAGTGGTGCGATCTCAGCTCACTGCAACCTCTGCCTCCCAGGTTCACACCATTCTCCTGCCTCAGCCTCCTGAGTAGCTGGGACTACAGGCGCCCGCCACCACACCCGGCTAGTTTTTGTATTTTTAGTAGAGACAGGGTTTCACCATGTTAGCCAGGATGGTCTCGATCTCTTGACTTTGTGATCCGCCCGCCGCAGCTTCCCAAAATGCTGGGATTGCAGGCATGAGCCATAGTGCCCGGCTTTTTTTTTTTTTTTTTTTTTTTTTTTTGGACAAGATCTAGAAAACAAAACAGGCATTATAACAATTCCTTTGCCAATGGTATAGACGTGCTCAGAGAACTGGCTTCTATCATTAAACAATGAGCATGTAAATTAATATGTTAAAGGAAGACCCTTTCTTTTTACTGAGAACTTCTCCAAATATAAATTTGGGTTGCACGGTATGTATATGATGTCTGTGGCATGTTTCTGTACCACAGAACTTCTTTGTATCGGGTGGAATGAAATAACCTGCTAGAATCGGACAGTAAGAAAGCCAGAAACGGCTGGGCACCCTGCCTCACGCCTGTAATCCCAGCACTTTGGGAGGCTGAATCACAAGGTCAGGAGATCGAGACCATCCTGGCTAACATGGTGAAACCCCGTCTCTACTGAAAATACAAAAAATTAGCCGGACGTGGTGGCGGGCGCCTCTAATCCCAGCTACTTGGGAGGCTGAGGCAGGAGAATGGCCTAAACCCAGGAGCGGAGGTTGCAGTGAGCCGAGATCGCGCCACTGCCCTCCAGCCTGGGCAACAGAGGGAGACTCCGTCTCAAAAAAAAAAAAAAAAGAAAGAAAGAAAGAAAAAGAAAACAAAAGCCAGAAACAAGGAAATATGTATTTTTAAGCCTAGAAAAATAAAAGACATAATCCTTGATCTTCGTTGGGCCTTACATGAAAATAGATCTCAAACACCTTGTGTTTAGTGCAGAACATAGCTCTGTCATGGAGTGACTCCTTGTAGGAAGCTAGTTTTCAGTTTTCCTGTTAACTGAAAATGGATCATAGAGTCAGAGCTTCTCAGAGTTGAAAGACATTTCAGAGGCCATAGTCTCAGCTCTTTACTAACTTAGGAACCTAGCATAACCCTGATGGGTGGATAACACAGCCCTGAACACCTTCTGTGATGGGGAGTTTACTAATTCATAAAGCAGCCTATTCAGTGCACAGTGGCTCTCATTGTGAGAAAATGCTTCCACATCCTCAGTCAAAGTTTTATGTCTGTAGCTGCCATCAATCCCTCCTGGTTCCACCCTCTGAAGCCACATAGGAGAAAAAAAAACTAAATTAATTTATATTTAATTAACTAATTGACCACAGCAAAGCAAGCCAAACAGCTCCACTTTTCCCATGACAAAGGATTATGGTCTATCCTTGGCACTCGATCCAGTACCCAGAGTATATGTAAAGTAGGATACGGATTGGTGTGGAGAACCCAGAACAGGGCCTTTTGGCAAGTTCAAGGGCCAGAACAAAATGTAACAGTATCAACGGATTGATTGGTTATGAGGGCCCCACCGTTTCACCAGAACAGCTGATGGGGTTAAGGCAGTCGTAATATGCGAAGAGGATTTTTCGAGTTATTTTAAATTACCTGCAATTATTACTATGCCCTTTCTTACCTGATGTGTAGAGTTTAAGTCAAATGGGTTTTCCCAAAAGTGAGAAGAATTGAAAATATGAACTTAATTTTTAAAGTTATTTTGTCGTAAACTTTATTGAGCAAAGGGCCTGAGCTTAGATTTTAAGGTAGAGAGAAGAGGAACAAAAGGCTTTGTTTACAGTAAGGTAACTTGAATCAAAATTTGGAATCAGATTGTGTATGTGAAATGCTGATAAAGCGTACCCATTCTCTAAAATGTGAGAGATTATTGGTGTTTTTCTGTATACTCAATGGGTGCTAACAACAGATTCAGTGAGGTTTCATGGAAAGAACTTGGATTGTAAATCAAAAGACTCAAATTTGGGGTCTGAGCCTGCATTTACTTTTTAATCAAACATTTATTGAATATCTACTATGTTCTACACATCCAGTAAGAGGTACTGGTGATACATCTGTGATCAAGACAGACAGTGTTGCATACATTTTTGTGAGGGAAACAGGAAAGTTATCAGGCAGATACAAGGAAGTGTGAGAACGAACAGTGACGTAAGTCCAGAGGGAAGGAGAGTCTACAAAGGAATTTACCTGACCTAGACCTGGGTGTGTGGGGGTGGAGGAGATCCAGAAAAAGCTCTTTGCAAGGAAATGACATCTAAATAGAGAGCTGAAGGATGACAATTAGCCACAAACTTCACTATCTCTCTGAGCTTTAGTTTCTTATTTCCAAAATGCAAAAAATAATAATAGTCCTCACTAACCTGCTTCAGTAAGAGGCTGTGAGGAACCGATAAATGAATTTTGTGATGAGCGCTTTGTTGAACTGTAAAGTGCTCTATTATCAGGAGGAATTGTTAATAATTGCTATCAGATATTGTTATTTCCATCCCTAGAGTTCATTTCCTTCTTTTCACACGCACAGATTTTGCTTCCCTGAGTATAGCAGGAGTAGAGAATAAAACAAGAGACTGGATGAAGAGATTGATATTGCTGCACTTTTCTCCATAGCTAGATCATTCACGCCCTCAAGGTCATTAGAGTACAGGGTTGGGGGAGAGAGAGAGAGCAGAGAATAAAATGAGAGACTGAGTGGAGAGATTTACATTGCTGCACTTTTCTCCATAGCTAGATCACTCACGCCCTCAAGGTTATGAGGATACAGGGTTGAGGGAGAAGCTGGGACTAGGCCCTCTGAACCATGTGAACACATCAGAGCAGGTGGGCTTCACATGGGCCTCACTTTATTAGGACTGAATAGTCTGAATAGAGAGGGTTATTTATATTGTTCTGGGGACCTCGCTAATATTTCAATGGCCTAAGGCCGGGCGCGGTGGCTCACGTCTGTAATCCCAGCACTTTGGGAGGCTGAGGTGGGCAGATCATGAGGTCAGGAGTTCAAGGCCAGTCTGGCCAACATGGTGATTCCCTGTCTCTACTAAAAATACCAAAATTAGCCGGGTGTGGTGGTGTGTGCCTGTAATCCCAGCTACTCCAGAGGCTGAGGGAGGAGAATTGCTTGAATCAGGACCCAGAAGGTGGAGGTGGCAGTGAGCTGAGATGGTGTCACTGCACTCCAGCCTGGGCAACAAAGCGAAACTCCGTCTCAAAAAAAAAAAAAAAAAAAAAAATTAAACGGCCTAATCTCATTAGAAGTAACAGTGCCCGATTTGCCCCAAGCAGGGACGTGCGCACCTCTGTTTATGACTACCAAAGAGATTTAGCTGTAGTCTTGATTGTCTACCTATTGCCAGGAAAAATCAGTAGCCAAGTAATTCCAAATGTCAGCAGTTTCTGGTTTACTGAGATTTAACTTCAAGTGAAATGAGTGCATTTTGCCCAAGGGCCACTCTCCTGTTTTTATTTTTATTTTTTAAATTATAATTTTGATCAAATTTCGTGGCATTTTTCATGTTCCTTCTGGCAGTCTGGAAACACAATAACAAATATTTAGTAAATTTAAAGTTAGTATGAAAAATAGAAACAGAATTGTCTCTACTATCTAGTCAAGTTTCCCTTCTCTTTCTGTGCCCTCATTCTCCCATCTGGTAAATAAGGGGGGTAGATGGAATTTATCATCTAAGTTCCTTCTACTGTCAACATTCCACACGTCTGTGATGTTTGCCTCTCTTTTTCCTGCCTGCATTTCAAATCATAAAAAACCCAGGCCACTTCCATTTGTTAGACTTTTATTGAAAATCCAGCTGCCCAAGAAGGCCAGATCTTGTAGCCTAGGCTGCTATTTAAATCTCCCTCAGACCAGAGAATCTTTGTTTAAAATTATATTTTGTTAATCCATCATGTGGATGTGGAGCTTGCTATTTTTAATGCAGGCTCTGCACAGCCCAGTTATTCATGGCTGAGAGTTTGCCACAGAACTTCAGAGCTGTATTTAACAACAAACAGCTCCAGAGAAGCAAGATGAAGACTTCTTTCACATGCTAATAAAATTTGGGAGTTGGGAGTAGAAGGGCAAGTTCTACCTCTAAGTGTGACAGCAGTTTGGAAATGCAGGCTGTTACTCTGTTCTGTTTGATGCTGCAAGAGCCAGCAAAGGAAAAGCCTACCTTAGTGCTTGTTTAGATGGTAGACTCCACTGACCTTTGTCCATCTGTCAAAATTCTAGAGATATGCATTTTTATTCAAGCCTCAGACACTCTTTAACATCTTCTAATAATGATTTTCTCTCTCTCTCCACCTTCCTCTCTATCTCTCTTCCTTCTCTTAGGTCATATAACATACACAGGGAGAAAAAGGCATAAAAATTGGGGCATTTAATTAAATGCATGCAGAAATACTTACATTTATAACAACACTTAACTAAATACTGGGAAACCATAGATAGCTTACATTGAGATATTTAAATTGTAGCAAAAATCACCTAAATTCTGACTTCTTGGACTTTGAGGGATGGTATTAGTTCATTCTTTTTTATTATTATTTTTTCTGAGAAGGAGTCTCCCTCTGTTGCCCAGGCTGGAGTGCAGTGGTGCAACCTCGGCTCACCATAACTTCCACCTCCCGGGTTCAAGCGATTCTCCTGCCTCAGCCTCTCAACTAGCTGGGACTACAGGTGCATGCCACCATGCCTAGCTAATTTTTGAATTTTTAGTAGAGATGGGGTTTCACTATGTTGGCCAGGCTGGTCTTGAACTCCTGACCTTGTGATCTGCCCGCCTTGGCCTCCTAAAGTGCTGGGATTACAGGTGTGAGTCATCGTGCCCGGCTTCATTCATTCTTTTATATATTCATTTGAACATATAAACTAAGGTCATAAGATGGGTCAAGAACTAAATTAAATGCAGTGTTTACACAGGTGAAGAAACACAGTACTTGCCCTTGAGAAGCTCAGAGGTTAAAAAGTCTCCCAATAGATCAATTCAGGAAATTATGGTTTTTGATCGTTTTTCTCTATTCTTCTAATTCAACAAGGGATATTGACACAATCTTATCAGCGTTCTATTAGAGCCTAGGAAGGTGTTAGTTTACCATCCAATTACATTATCTGGATATGCGGGCTCACTGAGGGTCCATGATTCATAGAAATCTGATCTGGCTGACGGGAAGGAGAACAGACAATGAGGAACATCAGAGAGACCACTCACTCATTCAAACCCCCAGGGTCCAGCACTACGGCACAACAGGAATACTTTCTGCTAACAACCTGTTGTTTCTTTATGGATATAAATATCATAAGAAAAGGTAAAATTAAGGGAAGATTAGTGATGCCTCATTCATATGTTTGGAAATTAACAAATAAAAAGTGTTTCGATTTTGTTGTCTGAAGTATTTCTTAACTGTACATGGTTTGGAGGTAACTAGAACCATTCTGCTCTATGGAATGACTGCCTCAGCCAGCTGTCGCACAGGTGCCTGCCATTGATCACTAGTGAAGCACTGACAGATGGGAGTGGATCACTTTGTGCTGGAGTTCCAAACACTTATGTGGCTTCTAGTACTGCCCAGGTAATGTTAATATCCTCTCAGGATGAGAAGTCAGGGCAGCATAGCAGAGCTGCGAAAGCCAGAGCTTGCTTTGTTTGTTTGTTTGTTTGTTTGTTTGGAGATGGAGTCTCACTCTGTCACCCAGGGTGGAGTACAGTGGCGCGATCTCGGCTCACTGCAACTTCCGCCTCCTGGGTTCAAGCAATTCTCCTGCCTCAGCCTCCCAAGTAGCTGGGACTACAGGTGCACGCCGCCACAACTGGCTAATTTTTTGTATGTTTAGTAGAGATGGGATTTCATCGTGTTACCCAGGCTGGTCTCGAACTCCTGAGCTCAGGCAATCTGCCCGCCTCGGCCTCCAAAGTACTGGGATTAGAGGCGTGAACCACCACGCCCTGCCTAAAAACCAGAGTTTTTAAGTCACTTCCTCATCAGTCCACCAGCATTTATCTAGGCATGGATCCTCTCTCTTTCATACTGAGTGGGTGAGGAAGTGTGTTTCAAAGAGAAGGAAACGAAAAGTAAGAGAAATTAACTGGTTATGCCACAATTCTTCACTCATTACTTGATTCAATAAACATAGAGGACCCTTCGGTAGGACCATATGCTGCAGGAAATACAAAGATGAATAAGATGTAGCCCTCATCCCCAAGAATCTTTTAGTCTAAAACTTGCATTAACAATGATGAAGTGGTCAGGTGTGGTGGCTCACGCCTGTAATCCCTTTGAGAGATCTAGATGCAAGGACTGTTTAATCCCAGGAGGTTGAGGTTGCTGTGAGCCACGATTGTGCCACTGCACTCTGGCCTGGGCTACAGAGGAAGACCCTGTTTCAGAAACAAACAAACACACACACACACAACCCAAAACAAAAAGCAATGATGAAGCAAGGTCAAAATTCATTAGCATCATATGAAAGCTTCTGAGAGTAGGTTCTGAGGAAGGAAAAGTTGCCACCAGCTTGAGGGGAGGGTCTCCGGAAAGCTGTAAGAAAAAGGCAGACGCGGATTGGTTTTGGTGTAAACGGAGTAAAGAAGAGAGGAATTCCAGGGGGAGGTCAGTGGTCAGGTCTGTGTTTTCTAAAGATCACTCTGGCAACAAGTTGTTACTAGATTGAGGAACAGTGAAAGAATTAATAACAATAATAGTAGAAGCTGATAATAGCTAAGTACTTATTATGTCAGTCCTTGAACTAAGTGCTTGACCTGTTTTATCTCACGTAATCCTTAAAACAACCTGTGAGACAGGAATTATTATTCCCATTTTATAGGGGAAGGCATGGAAGAGTCCGTACTTCCTTCCATGTCTAACAAAACAATTTGTATTCTTGGCCATGAGAACTCGGGTAAGAAAGTGAAACAGACCTGATCTAAATCAGGGACTGTGGGATAGAGAAGAGAGATTTTGGAGAATTAGGGAGGAAGATAACCTATGTTTCTCACAGCCAATGGGCCTCCTAAGTGTTTGAATGATACACCCCATAAACACTAAAACCACCTCTGAGACTCTATTCTGCCTAAAGGACTATGACTTAGATTGAACCTGCCTTGTCATGTAAGCCTAACTCCATGGTAGGAGCCATGTCTTTTGGTTATCACTGTCACATTCTGTCACTCCATCTGGCAAATGGTGCGTACTCAAATTTTATCTGTTGAATGAGAAAATTTTCATCTTGTCATCCAACATTTCTTGGAACCTGGGGCAATACATTGTTTCCCCTCTCCCACACCCACACTTCAGTTTCCCTATCTTTATATTAGAGTAGGTTGAATCTCATTAACTCATTATATGTTAAGATAAATAAGCTGTTATTCAGGTCATTAATTACCTTGGGCAAAGGTAGGGATATCTAGGGGTTAGTGGGAGTGCCAATACTGGGTTAGATGTGGACCCTCTTTTTTTATACGCTCAATCCTATCATCTTGGCAATCCAAGAGGAAAAGGGTAGAAGACAGGTTTCATATTCCTTAAGGCAGTTTCCTTTACTATTTAAAGGTATTGGAGTTCTTGGGATAGAGAGGTAAACGCGCACAGAGATGTCCTCCCCCAGGACACCGCCCTTAAAATCAAACGGAGGAAGACTTTCTTCTCCTTGAATGCGCTTGGCAAACCCTGCCCAGAAAGGGGATGGGGGGACGGCCGTGGAGGTGGAGAAAGAATGCATCCACACCTCGCGCGTCTTCCCAAGTACGGATTGGCAAGTGGTATATGCGTGCAGACCTCTGTCATTTATTTATTTTCCTTTCCACTGGGTGCGCTGTCCCTTTAAATGGAGACGCTGGTGCTGGCTCCGTAACACCGGAGCCGGCAGCTTGTTGATTTCAGAGCTGGTGAATTTCACATTGTTTCCACTTCACTTTCCTCGCCCGGGGGAGGCTCCAGTTGGCTCTACGACCGCCGTTGCCGCTGCCAGAGAGGGCCAGGGCAGGGCAGGGACGCGCAGCATCGGGGCGGGCGTGGGGCCGGAGAAAAGGGTGTCGGGGCCACACACGCACCCTCGCTGCAGTCCAGCTCCTCCCGAAGCTCGCACGCCCAGAGCGCACGGAGCGGGGGACTGCCCGCCCAGACGCCCGCCCGCCAACCCGCCCACGAGCCGGGGCCAAAGCCTGGGAGCCTGCGAGGGGAGGAGGCCCAGGGGGGCGGGGTGGGGGGCGGGGGTGGGTGCCGCGCTGCCGCGGAGCTGCTACTCGGCGCGTTTTGCATGAAGATGGCGGCTCCCACCGCCAACAAGGCAGCCTCCCTGGGCTGTAACAACAAGCCTGCGTTCCCGGAGCTGGATTTCAGGTCGGGAGCTCGGGTGGAGGAATTGAACAAACTCATCCAAGAATTTACGAAGCACGACCAGCGGGAATACGACGACCAGAGAGCGCTGGAGATTCACACAGCCAAGGATTTCATCTTTTCCATGCTGGGTAAGGAGGAAAAAGGGGGAGGTGTGTGTGCGTGTGTGTGTGTGATGGGAAGCGGAGTAGAAAACCCATTGCCGCTTCTCGACCTCTTCCCTTCTGGGTTGCCTTCCCGAGCCGGTGCCTTGGGTATAAGCCATCTCTGTTCCGCCTCTCTCTTCTTTCTCCGCCGAAAGCCGAGCTGCCTGCCCTCCCCTCCTTACTATACTTTACGCCGGGTCTCCCTTTCCCCCTGTTCGCTTGCTCTTTTGTTAATTTCTCCGCCACCTGGGGCTGGCAGGCAGGTGAGGCGTTCGCGGTGAAGCGTTGCACTGTTGGGGGAAGCCCCTGGAAGCGAGTGCAGTCCAGGTGAGCCCCTGAGGTGCCTTCAGTTGAGGGATTTGGCTGCCGGAGGCAGGGACCTCCGCTTTCCCGACGCCGGCTCTTGGGTGCTCTCCCGAGCTTGGGAGCGGAGACGGCTCAGGGCTCTGGCTTGGCGCCCGAGCGACAAGTTGCTTCTGTCGTCTCGCGGCGCGGCGCTGTCATGCCGAGCCCCCGGTGGCCAAACTTGTTGGGTGTTCCCGAGTAACCCGCTGAAGTAGTCTAGGCGTCCGGAGTTCCTGCAACTTTGATTTGCAAATTGACTTCTCTTATGAAGCGATCGGAAGCATTTCCGGTGCTTCTTCAGGGCTCTCGCTGAGCTCGGAATTCTTAATTCCCAGCTCTTCCGTGACTAGGCGCGGAGCTCTGGCCGCAGAGGAGCGCCGGTTCCCTGCTCTTTGTGTATTGTCTTAGCGCTGGCCGAAAGAGGTGCCCAGAGTTTCCAACCGCGGAGACGTCGGGGGCTAGAAAATGTGTCCCCCACTCCCACCTCCAGCCCCTCACCTACGGCTCCTGAAACATGATTGAATGCTGTGTAAAGGAACATAATTGAGCCAGGCCCGGGAGACCGAGCCCACCCTCCCCAGGTGTCCTGCCGTTGGGATTATTGCTACTGAGGTGTAGTGTGAGTTTGCCAGGCGCCTGGGTTGTAACTTGCGGCTCCGCCAGCGGATCCGTGGCTGTCAAGCGGTGCGTGGCCGGCGGTCAACATTCCGAAGAACTGGTACTCCAGGGTAGCGCTGCTCTAACGCTCGTCTCTGGGTGCTCTCTACAAATAGATAAGCCAATTTTCCAGGTGTTGAAAAATTTGATTGGGAAAGGTCTTTTGGCCACAGACTAAGACAGGGCTTTTCTCTTTCTCCTGCAATCTAATTGGGTTTCAGCCGGCTGTTGCTGCTTCTATCCTGGGATACCTTCTTCCTTCTAGGTTTTCTTCTTCCTCACTGCCCAAGGACGGGGTAATACAGACTGAACGTGTCTGTGTCCGCTGGTAGTTGTTCACGCGTTGGGAAGTTAGATGAAACATGTTAAAACTCTAGGCTGGTTTTTACCTTTTGCGCCGCACTCTTCAAGTGTGTCTTACGTTGCGTATGAGGTTGAAAAACTATTGAGAGATTCAGCCGTTCAACTATGTAGATGAATAGATGAATTAAATATATATATATATATATATATAAAACCTGGTAGGAGTGAGCTTCCACAGGGAAGCCTAAAATGCTTACAAAGCCAAAAGCCAACACAGTGATTGTCAGGAAGGTGGGGCCACACACAGAAGGCTGAGCGCAGTTACTTAAGTTGTTTAGTTAATCATAGCCTTTCTCTGTGGCATAAATAATGGAAGTCTGCCATTGTGTTAATACAGCCCCCAGATCAGTTCTGATGTCACTTGCGTAGGTCATTTACTAGAAGAAGGTACTGGGTCACCACCAGTTAGGGTAGTCATGGGTCAGGAAATGGGATAATGTAGGGAGGGTAAATTTAAGTGCCTGGCTCATGAGGAACTTCTGTGCTTAACTCCAAAGCTGATACACTGAATCAGCAAAGCTTTTATCCAAATATAAAAAAGTAAATTATTCTAGGGTGCTTAATTTTTGCATGTGTTTAATGCCATGGGTGGCATTGTGTTGACAGGTAAACTAGATTTGCTTCTATTCCTTTTTACCCAGTTGACCTTGCAAGCAGTCTTTCTTGCCCCCTGGGAATTTAGCATTTCCACCTGCAGGAGAGAAGATTCAAGAGAGTGTCATTTAAGCCTTTTGCCCCTCTGGACACTAGAAGGCAGATGGCGAAATGAGCTTGCTTGCCTGTGTGTGGTGCTGCATTCATTTGCGAGTTCCTTGCTTTCCTTTAATGAGATGCTGGCTGCTCTACACAAGTGGAGGTTTGGCGACAGCAAGGGTTCCTATGTGGATTTACTTTTTCTAAAGCAGATTTTGGCTTGGCTTAAAGAACAAAATCATTTTTTTTATACACTTTGTTTCACTTGCCATAGCTTTGGTTCTTTGATGACTATGCAAATGAAGTCTCTTAATGACCCCTAGCTTGTTAAGGTGTTACTTGGGTGGTACCAGGCCCTCATTTCAGGGCGGGGGGGTGGAGGGTGGCCAGTCCTCTTGGCTTTGTTCTGTATCTGAGCTGCACCTGGGGATTGTTAGCAGCTTACAGATATTATCCCCTCACACAGAATGAAGTGGCCAACCACGAATTGGGTGCAAGCCTCTTTAGTGGAGCTGAGAAAAATACTGCCTCATGTTTCAGGCAGTTGGCAGGGGTGAGGCATGTTACTCTCTTTTTGTGTAAGATTGTTAGCCAAGTCTGAAGCCCCTCCAGCTTCACAGATCCTTTTCATTTTGTCTAGTTTGGAGGAATTTTACACTGAAGAGCAAGGAGGTGGTAGACAGCTGTCATAATCAATGACCTGTCAACACCAAGACACTCCACTGTCTTATCAAAGTAGGGTTCTGCACAGGCTGTGGGGTTGATCTGAGCTTGCTGGTGGTCACTGTGGTCTCTGGGGTCTGTCCTGATGCTCTCTGTTTGTACAGAGATTCTGATTTTTTTTTGGAGGCAGGTGTTAGCTGCAATTGTCTAGATTCACTTCTTATTCCTCTGTACCTTGGTCTTTTAGGAGAATGATTGGTGTTATTATCTAGTTAATATTTGAGAGCCCAGACTGTGCGAAAGGCTGGCAGTGCATAATAAACACCATTTATCAAAATTCAGGGAAATTGCCAGAGTTCATTAATGTTTTAATAATATTTGGTATTAGCATAATGTCTCTGCCAGCTCTTTTGTTATCTTCATTCCCTGGTGAGGTTCGATAGAGACTGGTTTGTGTCCCCATTGAACAGATGCAGAAAAGGGGGTATGCAGATGCTGGAGAAGGCAGGAAAGAAACAAGCCGTCACCTAACCTACAGACCAAGTGGTCGGTACCATGGCATGATTTTTACGGTAGTTAATCATTTACTAATCATCTTCTCAGGGCCAGGAACTTCACATAGACTTTTGAGGAGGTATTGCTTTCCCATTACATAGATGAAGATATTGAAATTTAGTGGGGTGAAGAAAGTGGATATCCAGGGTCACAAAGCTAATAGATGGTAGAGATGCTACTGAAACTCAGGTCAGCCTTACTCTAAAACATGTTCCTCTTCTCCTACTTGAGACTATTAAGAATAGATGCATAAAATCCAGAGGAAAGGCTTTGTTTTAAAAAATCACTTCTTTCAGGATTTTGTTTCGATTTTAGCTATAAGTTTTAGCGTAATATAAGTAGATTTCTGGAACAGTCTGAGTTCAAGTATTCTATAATAAGATCTCCTATTTGAATTTTTGATTGAGAAAATCATAGTAATTATAATAAAATGTTAAAATCTATAGTTTCATTCCCAGTCTGCCTCTTGTTGGCTTTGTGGTCTTAGTATTTTCTCTCTCTTTTTTTGAGACAGGATCTTGCTCCGTTGCCCAGCCTGGAGTGCAATAGTATGATCATGGCTCACCGCAGCCTCAAAGTCCTAGGCGTAAGCTATCTTCCTGTCTCAGCCTCCCTAGTGGCTAGGACTAGAGATGTGTACCACCGTGCCCAGCTAATTTTTTATTTTTTAAAATTTTTGTGTAGATGGAGTCTCACTATGTTGCCCAGGCTGGTCTCAAAATCCTGGCCTCAAGTGATCCTTCTGGCTTGGCCTCCCAAAGTGCTGGTATTACAGGCATGAGCCACCATGCCTGGCCAGTTTTTTCATTTATTAAACATGGATAACAGTAAGCATTGTTTTTCAGAACTGTTATGTCAGAATGTGAAATTACTTTGCTAACTAAAAAAGAATATATACGTGAGTTTATTATTTAAATAAATGTTTGTTTATTTATTTATTTGAGACAGGGTCTCGCTCTGTCACCTAGGCTAGAGTGCAGTGGTACAGTCTCAGCTCACTGCAACCTCTACTTCCTGGGCTCCAAGTGATCCTCCCACCCCAGCCTCCCAAGTAGCTAGGAGTGCAGGCGTGTAACACCACGCCTGGCTAGTTTTTTGTATTTTTGGTAGAGACAGGGTTTCGCCATGTTGCCCAGGCTGGTCTCACACCCCTGAGTTCAAGCAATCCTCCTGCTTTGACCTCCCAGAGTGCTGGGATAAAAATATACTTTCTTAGAAGATCCAGTGAACTTAAATTGGAATTATTTCTGCAGCTTGACATCTGAAAGAACTATGCAGTACAATTAGGGTAGCCCAGGAGGATTTTGGCTCATACCATGTGCTGACCATTGTGCTAGCTACTTTGCCTAAGTCCATTAGCTCATGTAATCTTTTTTCCACAACTTTGTAAGCATAAGTATCATGCCTATTTTGGAAGTGAAATAGGTGTTGTTACCCTTTTTAAAGATGAAATGGTGAGGCTCAAAGAAAGAAGTCAAGAACTTAGGCCAAGATCATTCAGAGTTGGAGACTGAATCCAGTTATTCCTGACTCAGAAGCTCATGTTCCTTTTACTGTAGTAGCAATCAGTTTCCATCACTTTTGGGTGAGACATACTATACTCAGTAGCCTGCCTAGTCTGTAGGAGCAAAGATAATTTCTTTTTTTCTTTTTTCTTTTTTTTTTGAGATACAGTTTTGCCCTTGTTGCCCAGGCTGGAGTGCAGTGGCATGATCTTGGCTCACTGCAACCTCTGCCTCCTGGGTTCAAGTGATTCTCCTGCCTCAGCCTCCCGAGTAGCTGGGATTACAGGCGCCCGCTACCACACCTGGCCAATTTTTGTATTTTTAGTAGAGATGGGGTTTCACCATGTTGTTGGCCAAGGCTGGTCTAGAACTCCTGACCTCAGGTGATCCACCCACCTCGGCCTCCCAAAGTGCTGGGATTACAGGCGTAAGCCACCATGCCCCGCCTGAGATAATTTCTTTTTGTCTTCCTGTCTCTGTCCCTCTTTCTCTCCCTCTGTTTTTTTCACGCATTTGACAAATACTTAATGAATGTAATAGTGTTTGCCAATCAGCGTGCAGGGTTCTGAAGATAAAATGGTGAACAAAAACTTTGAGAAATTCATAAGGGCCTTCAGGGACCCCTCCCCTGTTTCCTTTGCCCACCAACTCTAGCAGGATATTTTGCTGGCTGTTTCTCCTTTCAGGCCAATAAGTGCCATGTGGCCATTTCAAAGATGTAAATGCTTGGTGTGGTGCTCCTGGACCTACCATATTTTTAGGCACTTTCTACATCTCCAGAGTGGGTAATTTTGAAGCCCTACCTTTCCAGTGTTTGATTGCTACTTTTCTGTTAATGAATTCCCCCAGCAGGATTTACCATGGAAATTTATGGTGCGTTGGTGTTTTATGGGCCTCCATGTGCTTGGAAAGTTCCCGAGAGTTGTATTCACTATGTGCTGCATCTGTAGAGTGCACAGGATCATCTCGGAAGTTTGTTCTATCTCTGAGAACATTATGTATCCAGGGCAGGGGATCTCTCCAAACATTCATTTTTGTGCTAGTTTGGATTGGTTTCAATTCCCCCTCCATGGTTCTGGGCAGTGGCTGCCCTTCGTCCTTGAGAGAAGAGGCCTAGAACTGTCGACAGTCCTGGGTCTTCCTGTCATTCCTTGTCATGCCACTCATTGGATAATACATTGCTCACAGTTAGGCTGAGCCCCTTTTTAATTCACAGAAATATTAGATTCTAACAATTCAAAATCTCTGGTCCCATTCAGACCTATTGAATCCGAATTCCCTAGAGATCCCCCAACAAGCTGCTCAGCATGTCAACATCCTGTCCTGTGTTAGGCTTGATGTTCTGCATTCTCTGTTCTAGGCACAGTGAGCATGATCCCAGTTGACTTTTGAGACTAGAACCAAGCTGCTGAGCCTAATGAGCAGATAATGTCTGTCTGCTCCTGGAAAGTAATAGTGGAGTTCTTCCACCTGGGACAGAGACAAAAAGGCATAGTGAGTGAGACAAGGGTGTTTACTATGTCACAGGTTTTAATAGGACTTTACTGTATCATTTAATCATCACCATTACACTTTGAGGTTAAAAAAAAAAAACTGTGGTGAACCCTAGAATTAGAAAAATATAGGAATTCATCCAAGTTTACCAGCAAGTGAGTGGCATAGGTGGGACTTAACCTGGGTCAGGATGAATACAAAACCCTGGCTTTTAACAAGGACAATATTCTGCACTCAGGACCAAGAGACCCAGATTTTACCTCTGAATCTCCAGTTATTAACATTTGCTGTGTGACGTTGGGCAAGTCACTCAGACTTTAAGCCTCAGTTTCTAAATATATAAGTTGGGCTTAATCATTATATGTACTTCATGTGTTCAGGTGCATTCAATTCTGAATCTGAAAGTTTTTATATAGTAAGAGAAAAGGGAATTTCTGAGTTCTTGTACCAGCTCTGTTTTGTACTATGTGGTATGTGTTTTACCCTAAGTCTCCTAACCTATGTTGGGCCTAATTCTGCCCGTTTTCCAATGATAGAAAATGCAAAGGAAAAAGTAAAATCACTCCTAAACTTGAATCACCATTAATATTTTGATGCACATTTCTTCTAAACATCTGTGTTATACATATGCTTATACCCAGACATATGTGTACATTTACATAACAGGGATGGTATGGGATCCATGCTCTTTTATTAGGAGTAAATTTATCAATATGCTGTCCTCTACATTTTAAAGAGGAGCTATAAGTTGAAACTTGTAGAATGATGTTTTCCTAGCTTCTTTCATTCATCTCTTTTTATTCCAAAGAAGATGCATTTCTAGAACTTAGAGCACATTCTGTTATTTATGTATATATGTATGAATGACAGGTCTCACTCTGTTGCCCAGGCTGGAGTGCAATGATGCCATCACGGCTCACTGTAGCCTTGACCTCTTGGGCTCAAGCGATCCTCCTACCTCAGCATCCCAAGTACCTGGGACCACAGGAGAGCACAGCCATGCCTAGTTAATTTTTAAATTTTTTTTTTTTTTTTTTTTTTGTAGAGATGGTGGTCTTGTTGCCCAGGCTGGTCTTGAACTCTTGGGCTCAAGTGATTCTCCCACCTTGGCCTCCCAAAGTGTTGGGATTACAGGCATGAGCTACCACGCCCCACCTCTATTCTATTATTTAATAATTGGGAGTAATGAATTCTCACATTGGTGACCTCCGAGGATTTTACCTACCTTATTTGCCATCTTCTGAGGATTTTACCTACCTTTCCATGCCGCCTCCTGTCTCTGCATGTTCTACATTGTCATGTAACATACACCCCAATTTCTCACTTTCTTTCTTTGCTTAGGCTCTTAGGCTCTTTTCTCTCTCTCTCTCTCTTTCTTTTTTTTTTTTTTTTTTTTTTTTTTTGAGACAGAGTCTTGCTCTGTCACTCAGGCTGGAGAGCAGTGGCCGATCTCAATCTTGGCTCACTGCAACCTCCGCTTCCCGGGTTCCAGTGATTCTCCTGCCTCAGCCTCTGGAGTAGCTGGGATTACAGGTGCGTGCCACCATGCCTAGCTAATTTTTTGTATTTTTAGTAGAGATGGGGTTTCGCCATGTTGGCCAGGCTGGTCTTGAACTCCTGACCTCGAGTGATGCACCCACCTCGGCCTTCCAAAGTGCTGGGATTACAGGCGTGAGCCACCGTGTCTGGCCGAGGCTCTTCATCAGAGTTCCCTAACCTGGGTCCATGGAAACAGCATGGAACCTGTGAACTTGAGTGGGGAAAAAAGGACATCTTTATTTGTATTAACCTCTAACTTAAATATAGCATTTTCTTTCATTATAAATATAGATGGGAAACCATAGTGTTATTAGTGGTTCGTATGTTTTTGTTGCCAATAGAAATCCCAGGCATTTTTATTTCACATTACAGTTGTTGCAGATATCTCAAAAAATGTTTACTGCTGCTTTGAAATTATGGTGGATATTAGACTTGCTGCTAGATTTTATTATTTAAGGCACTAATAATCACATAGGGTACTCTATCACAAATTTACTTTAAAAAGGCATTTATTATTATTTTTTTATTTTTTATTTTTTTTTTTTGAGACAGAGTCTCGCTCTGTCACCCAGGCTGGAGTGCAGTGGTGCGATCTCGGCTCACTGCAAGCTCCGCCTCCCGGGTTCACACCATTCTCCTGCCTCAGCCTCCCGAGTAGCTGGGACTACAGGCGCCCGCCACCATGCTTGGCTAATTTTTTTGTATTTTTAGTAGAGACTGGGTTTCACTGTGTTGGCCAGGATGGTCTCGATCTCCCGACCTCGTGATCTGCCTGCCTTGGCCTCCCAAAGTGCTGGGATTACAGGCGTGAGCCACCGTGCCCGGCCGCATTTTGTATTTTAATACTGATTTTCTTGGAAATCCTGTGTGATGTTATCATATTCACTTAAATATGCTATTCTCTGCAGGGATCTATAGGCTTCTACAGTCTGTCGAGAGGATCCATGTCACAGAAACAATTAAATGTCCCAGGTTCTACAGATGACCTTCTGACACCTTATGTCCGCTTTATTTTTTTCTCCCAGCTCAAATGCCACTTGACTCATGAAGCCTTCCTATATGTCTTTGAGAAGAAGAAAATTTGGCCCGGCGTGGTGGCTCATGCCTGTAATCCCAGCACTTTGGGAGGCCGAGGAGGGCGGATCACGAGGTCAGGAGATCGAGACCATCCTGGCCAACACGGTGAAACCTCGTCTCTACTAAAAAAAAAATACGAAACATTAGCTGGGCGTGGTGGTGGGCGTCTGTCATCCCAGCTGCTGTAGTCTCAGCTACTTGGGAGGCTGAGGCAGGAGAATGGCGTGAACCCAGGAGGCGGAGCTTGCAGTGAGCCTAGATCGCGTCACTGTACTCCAGCCTGGGCGACAGAGGGAGACTCTGTCTCAAAAAAAAAAAAAAAAAGAAGAAAATTTACCTTTCCTGTGTTTCCTCCTAATACCTGGTCCCTTTTGTGGCCCTTAGCCTGTTCTTTCCCATGCTTTAAAGAATACCTGGCTTATTTATCTTTGCAGCACCCAGGGGGTCATGCACATAGTAGGTGCTCACTAAGTGTGATGTGACTTGAGTCACTCTTTAAAAGAGCTCTTCCCAGTGAAGCTTTTTATTGCAGTCTCTGAGAAATTAGCACTTTCTAACCTTGTCTCTTTATGATTTTTAAAAATCCATTGAGTTATACTTTATCATTTTCTGGAGTCCAGAAAATTTTGATCTTATCTCCTTATGTGGCAGAGGGATGTAGGGCAAGTTTTTCTACATTCCTTAAGACCTATCCTAGGGCAATATAAGAAATGTCCATAGTGATTGCTGTAGCTTGTTGACTGGGAACAGCAAACTGCAACTCATGACTCATAGGGATGTTCCCTTCCTTGTGGACCCCGGTGTTTCTTCACAGGCATGTGAGGGTACTTCCGGACCTCTGGCATGCCCATACTCAGGGCTTTTCAGAATGCACAGTGGGCACACGTTATCTTTCTCATTATGGCGTTTAGTGTGCTTATCAGTCATCCTCCAAGTGCCTCCACTTGGATGGTTAATCTGGAACGCAAGTCGTAGGAATTCTTTATTATTAGAAACTACTGTTATTTGCGATCAATACTAATTTATCTTTGCACAATGCTTTATAGATGACAATAAATATTCACATTTGGTATGGTATTATCCTTAGGTCAGGCCTTTGAGAAAGGTTGTATAGGAAGTATTAATCCCCATTTCTAGATGGGAGTACTGAGACTCTGGGAGGTGATGTGACTGATTCGTAGGTCACAGAATCGGTTGGAGATCAAGACTCCACCCAGCTATTGGGTGTCTTCTGCCGCAGTCAGTATATCACCTGCAAAGAGCTTGTAGACTTTTCTACTCTTAGCCATCTTTCTTGGGTTGAGGGGGTTGATTCTATAGTCGCAGACAAGGGAGGGATGCGAGGTTTCATTCCCCTTTGGACTTCTCTGCTCTTCACCTGAGCCAAGGGTATATAGGGGGTGAATCTGACTGAGAGTGGAATGAGTAAATACAAGCCCTATAGACATTCATTCCCTAGGTCTGATTTTTAGGCCTTGCCCAACTCATCCTTAGGGCTTGTGACAGTGTTTACAATAGACCTGGGTAAGTACTTGCCAGCTGAGTGATCTCTTTTAAGAACTGTTCATAATTATGCCCTTCTGTGAGGCCCTGTTTCCAGGAAACAGCTATCTGTTTTTCATCCACTTAAGTGCCTTTTCATGAATTCACTCTACAGAAGATAAAGAGATAACTAGGGATAGTGCTGCTATGAATAAAGCTGACATGGGGAACTGTTCAATTTGTTTATATTTTATATTTTTTCCTTAACGCAAGAAGACTTGTGAGTTAAGTCAGTAGTGGGAGTTGGTATAAGTCTTGTTTAGGCTTTCGTCTCTTCCAACTAGTATTTGAATATCTACAGTGTGTGTAGAATGGTGTTAAGCATTCATTCATTCATAACTTCATTCAACATATGTTGGCATGCCTGCCATGTGCTAGTGTAATTACTGGTGCAATTACTATGTAAGTGCACAGAGTAGTGAATAAGAACCAAGACCACTACCTCCATAGATCTTCTGTTCTCTGGAGGATTTAACAAAATTAAGCATGCAAGTAAACAGGGGTGTGTGCTCTAAAAGAACAAGAAGCAAAGAATATGATGATGGTGGGCAGCTGGGTAGGATAGAGTGAAGAATGATTGAGAAGCCTTCTCTGAAGCAGAGACGTTTGAAATGGAAGCAGCAGCAGCAGCAGCCATCTGAAGACTGGGTGGAAGTGTATTCCAGGTAGACAGACAGCAGGTGTAAAGGCCCTGAGGTGAGGGGTAAACTTGAAAGGAGCTTTCAAGGTGGCTGAAATTTTAGCAAGTTTAATTTGGTCTCCATAAGGAGGTATGGTCTATGTTCAGATAAGGCTTATGATGGGGTGGGGCTGCCTGCCTTGGCATTTAGTGAGCTGCTTTTTGTGGGTAAAGGTTTTCCAGGTGGGACCACACTTTTGCTAGACTCCTGTTAATAGCATGCAGGGATGGCGGGGGTGGAGTAGGAGGAATGTAGAAGAGTTGGATTACAAGTCCTCAAAAGGCCCTCTGTCGCCATGTGATTCTCAGATTTTACCCCTGATAGTCCTAGGCCAGAAACAGTGACTTCTACATTTTATGATTTATGGTTCAAACTGCAGCTTTCATGGGATGATGCTGATAAGCCTCTATTTTTATCTAGTCCTCCACAATTTACAAAATGCTTTCATATGTATAATCTGATTTGATTTATTCCTCAGCAACCCTAGGAAGTAAGTATTATTATTGTATCTGTTTTAACACAGGAAGAAACCATAATCAAGAGAAGTTAAGTAACTCATTCAAGGTCACTAAATGGTTGAGGTGGGATCAAACTCAAATCCTTTGAAACTCACCTCATTCTTCATATTACAATACTTTTCTTTTCCTTTCCTTTTCTTTTTCTTCTTTTTGAGACAGGGCGTGCTCTGTCACCCAGGCTGGGGTGCAGTGGTGCGATCTCGGCTCACTGCAGCCTCAACCTCCCGGGCTGAAGCAATTTTCCCACCTCAGACTCCTGAGTAGTGGGCACTACAGGCACACACACCTCCATGCCTGGCTAATTTTTCTTTTCTTTTCTTTTCTTTTTCTTTTTTTTTTTTTTTTTTTGAGACAGGGCGTGCTCTGTCACTCAGGCTGGAGTGCAATGTCTTGATCTCGGCTCACTTGAACCTCTGCCTCCCGGGTTCAAGCGATTCTCCTGCCTCAGCCTCCCGAGTAGCTGTGATTACAGGCGCCTGACACCACCCCTGGCTAATTATTGTATTTTTAGTATAGATGGGGTTTCACCATGTTGGTCAGGCTGGTCTCGAACTCCTGACCTCGTGATCCGCCCACCTCGGCCTCCTAAATTGCTGGGATTACAGGCGTGAGCCACCATGCCCAGCCACGCCTGGCTAATTTTTGAATATTTTGCAGAGACAGGATCTCGCCATGTTGCCCAAGCTGGCAATAATTTAAAAACAAAACAACAGCTTTTCTACCCCATCCCACCCTGTCACAAGGAATGGAAAGGGGATGATTTCTGGCCTGGAGAAAGGCACTGAGTGAGGCAGACTGTAAGTCTGCCTGTGCCTGATGGGCATTCAGCTGTAAGCACTGTTTTAGGCTGCTTCAAGATCACCCTTTTAGCAGCTGCAGCTGTTCTTCATAGCAGCTGCTTGCGCGGATTGTGTTGTGATTAATAAAGGCAACTCAACAGTTTGTTCTTTCAACTGTGCCCTTGGTGTGCACAGCCTGCTTTTCACACAGTTTTGATTTGGAACAACACAATCCTACGGGCATATGGTGCCTGCGGGCTCATTACCCCGTTGTGAGAAAGATGGTCCACCTAGGTCAGAGCTGCGGAGCCCAAGGCCTCCCAGGGACTGGACGGTAAGGAAGATGAGTGTGGTGGGTGGCTCAGTAAATGCCGACTCCTCAGTATGAGTCAGGGATGCCAGGAAGGCAGGGTACATTGGTAAATGGAGATCACCTCTCATCCCTGTTTTCTGATGGGGCCACTGCCCTTCAACACCTGCCCGTTGTTCTTCCACTGCCGTGGTTCTGGAACTTCAGTGTGTATCAGTGTCCTGCTTGTTGAAACACAGATGGCCAGGCCCCACTTCCACAGTTTCTGACTCTGTAACTCTGGAATGGAGCCTGAGAATTTGCATTTCTGATGAGTTTCCAGGTGATGCAGCTGCTGCTGGTTGAGGGACCGCACTTTAAGAACCGCAGCCAAGGGCCCGGGGCCGAGGGTCTGGGCTGATAGAACTTTAGATGTTGTGGATTTTTATGAAAAATCTCCAGATTTTAAGTATTGAGAATAAATCAAATTTTAAAGAAACACCATGGGGTTTAAAACTGTAGGTCAAACAGAACACTGCCTATCAACTTATCGCCTCTGATCTGAATACTTTCAGGAAAGTTCTTTTGCAGCCTGCTCTGAAAACTGAGACCCAGAGAAGGGTGGCAGTTCATCCACAGCATACAGCTAGTTTGGGGCAGAATCGTGACTAGAACCCGGTGTCCTGCTGTGTGTTTGTCCTTGCATACTGTCTTCTGAATACATTTTCTCTTTGAATGGGAAAACGTTTGAAAATAATAATAACCACACTAAAATATTGCGAACCGTGTTCCAGGTGTGGTTTTAATTACTTTATGTATGTTAGCTAAATCAGTCCTAACACCAACACTATGAGGAAGGTACTTGTAATAGGCTGTTTTTGCATTGCTGTAAAGACATCCCTGAGACTGGTAATTTAAACCGAGGTTTAATTGGCTCACAGTTCTGCAGGTGGTATAGGAAGCATAGTGCTGGCATCTGCTCAGCCTCTGGTGAAGCCTCAGAGAGTTTCCAGTCATGATGGAAGTAAAATGGCAGCAGGCACTTCACATGGCGAATGCAGGAGCAAGCAAAAGTGGGGGAAAAGGTGCCCCCATACTTTTAAATGACCAGATCTCTCAACAGCTCAGAGTGAGAGCTTGCTTGTCACCAGGGGGATGGCCCAAGCCATTCATGGGGGATCTGCCCCATGATCCAGACACCTCCCACCAGGCCCGCCTCTAACTCTGGGGATTACATTTCAACATGAGATACCGGTTGTTGGGAGAGCAAATATCCAAACTCTATTAGTACTATTATCCTTATTTTACTGATGAGAAATCTGAAACACAGAGAGGTTAAGTAATTTGCCCAAAGTCACAGAGCTACTAATAAAGTGAGGATTTAACCCAAGAAGTCTAGCTTTAGGCAGAAATTGGCAAATAACTATGAACTTTTTTCAAGCCTTCATTTAAAAAAGCAAAATAAAACCTCTTACCATGCAAAGTACAAATCATGGACAGATTCTTATAATTTTAATGCTGCCAGGAAACTCGAAAATTAGGTGGCTTGACTTCCTCCCTCCTCCGTTTTATAGACATGGAAACTGAGGGCCAAAAAGAAAAGGGGACTTGATCATCCTGAATGCTGCCTTTACTTTTGGGCGGAATGGAGGTTATGTAAATGTTGGGTAATTAATGCTTTAAGAAAGATACTTGTACCTGAGACAGTTGGCTTCATAGCATTTGTGCTCCAGGGAGGATTCTGCTGACTTTGAAGACAGGGGAAGTCACTCCAAGAGGGCTGTGCTTCAAGGTAGGGAAAATTTCCCCTGTTACAAAGCCACCTTGTAGTTTGAAGTTCTCTTAATTGCTATTAGAGGAAGGATGCTAAATAAATAGCCTCATAGGCAAGGTGTATTTTTGGTCTGTCGTGTTTGCTTTGGTCTTTTGATTTGTTCTTCATCTCTTTCTCTCTGGTTTCTTTCCTCTAAAAAGTGTGACCTTTTCTTATGCCTGTGCTGTTTCCACAGCTTTGAATAGCATGATGAATATTTTGATCTCTGAACAACTAATATCTGTAATCAAGGCTGGCGGGCTGGACTCTGGACTATAGGACCGGCCTGTGGCTGGGAGGAGTTGCCGCTGCATGGGCTGAAACACCTCCTCAGGATCTGAAAGAACCAGCATAACGTTCACTCCCTGTGGCTGGTCTTAGAGCTTAGGAGGATTTAGGGTGTTGTAATAGGATTCAAAGAATTAGAGAGGAGTTAAGCTAGTGGGAATCTTTCTGAGATCAGCTCATCCACCCCATCATTTTACTGATGGAGAAACTTAACCCCTAGTGAACAGTGACTTGCTCAAGGTCAAACAGTGATGGTAGTGATGAGAATGATGAAATTGAGAAACTCTTCCTCACTGTTGGCTAGGCGATGTTCCAAGTACTTAGAATTATTAATCCATTTAATCCTCACAACAGTCCTGTAAGGAGAGTACTGTTACCTGTCCGCACTTTATAGATAAGAAACCTAAAGCCAGGAAATCACCTTGCTCAAGCTAGTGATAGAGGCTGGATTCAGACATCGGCAGTCTGGCTCCTTCCCTCTTTGCACCTTCACAAAACTGACTACGCCGGGCTCTATGTGGTTGCTGGTATACAAACGTGGGGTGGTGCCACACACTGAGCAAAAGAACAGAAGTGAGGGGGTAGTGGGCAGAGTGGAAAAGATAATGGTTTTGATCTCCTGAAAGCCGGTTGCTAATTTACGGTTCTGATTCCTGGTCCAGAGCCCTTTTCACTCTATCAGTTGGCCTTCCTTGGCAGCTCCCAGGACAAACATTCTTTTGATGCTTGTGATTTTGTTTATTGAAAAGTCCTGGATGAAATCTCATCCTATCTACAGCCTCCTTTTGAAAGTAAGAAGGTGCGTCCCAGCTAATTGATTGATTTAAAGAGGTATAAAGGCCAATTGGGCCCTTGACACTAAGTAAATTAGGGCAGCCTTACGAAGATGCAGGCTTTCCCCCCACACTCCCCCAATGGGTTTAATTTCAGATTTAGAACATTTAATTAGGACATAGTTAATGTAGTCTATCATTGTGGGGATAATGGGGGAGCAGATCTATTTTTCAGGGAAAGGCAGATGCCAAATGTATTTTTAGGAAGTTGACTTTGAGGTCACAATTTATAAATTGAGTTGGGTTTTATGTGAACTAAGGGATTGGCCTCTTTAGTGCTGTGAGTGACCCTTATAGTGACTAAAAAGTGACTAATGATTTGTTAATATGAATAACCCTTCCAGCTTTCCTGCTTTCCGAGGGCATATGTTTGTACCTTGACTTGTTTTAAAGCATTGAAGCATATTCATTGGATGAGATACAATTGTTGTTGGGGTGAAATAACTGCTTGAGATCCTGGTGCTCATGATGCAGAGGAATGGAATTGAAATTCTCAGAGAAGCCCCATTCCCAACCTACTTACTCAAGGCTTTCTGGCAATAAAGTCTTTTTTTTTTTTTTTTTTTTTGAATTTTTAGTAGAGACGGGGTTTCACCTTGTTAGCCAGGATGGTCTTGATCTCCTGACCTCGTGATCTGCCCGCCTCGGCCTCCCAAAGTGCTGGGATTGAAGGCATGAGCCACCGCTCCCGGCCGCAATAAAGTCTCAACAGGAATGGAAACATTCATTTCTCTATGGAATAGTGAACTATCTGGACAATGTAGAACCTCATAGGAAACAATTTAAAAATCTCTGTTTCTTGGGGAAGAGGATTGATGGGAAATGATCCACCTAATGTCTCTGTGTCATCCAAGACCAACCAACCCTGGCTCCATCCTCTCTGCCATCTCGGGCCGTTCACCTGGGTATTATCTCTGCCTTCTCCATCTGTAGTTATTTTTCAGTACTGTTTCCTTCCTGAAGCATTCATACATCCATCCTTCATCAGTTTCTTCAACAGAGGCCTTGGAGACCTTTGTGCAACAAGTCTTTTTTTTTTTTGAGACAGAGTCTCGCTCTGTCACCCAGGCTGGAGTGCAGTGGCGCGATCTCAGCTCACCATAGCCTCTGCCTCCGGGGTTCAAGTGATTCTCCTGCCTCAGCCTCCCGAGTAGGTGGGACTACAGGCGGGCGCCGCCATACCTGGCTAATTTTTGTATTTTTAGTAGAGACAGGGTTTCACCATGTTGGCCAGGCTTGTCTCGAACTCCTGACCTCGTGCTCTGCTCGCCTCGGCCTCCTAAAGTGCTGGGATTACAGGCGTGAGCCACCGCGCCCGGCCTGTGCAACAAGTCTTCTATGGGGCCATAGGAATACAATAGGGAGCAAATCTTCATGTTACTTATACAGTCTTAGGAGATGGGCAAAGAAAAAAAAAAGAAGCTTTACAGATTATGATCAATACCCTAAACGAAAAAACCAGCCAAACCAGAACATGGTGCTGTGACTTGGCATTCTTCTCCAACTTGACCCTGTTGACCATTCTTGTCCCTTTTAAATGCTTTCCTCCCTTGGCTTTCATGACAACGTATTCTTTTTGATTTTCTCCTTTTTCTCCATCCCTGTGTAAAGGATGGATTTGTCCAACCCTTGGTGACTGCTTTTCTCTTTTCTCCCCTCAACACTTTCTGTGATTTTTTTTTTTTTTTTTTTTTTTTGAGACAGAGTCTTGCTCTGTCACCCAGGCTGGAGTGCAGTGACAGTGATCTTGGCTCACTGCAAGCTCCGCCTCCCGGGTTCACACCATTCTCCTGCTTCAGCCTCCTGAGTAGCTGGGACTACAGGCGCCCGCCACGACGCCTGGCTAATTTTTTGTATTTTTAGTAGAGACGGGGTTTCACTGTGTTAGCCAGGATGGTCTCGATCTCCTGACCTCGTGATCCGCCCGCCTCAGCCTCCCAAAGTGCTGGGATTACAGGCGTGAGCCACTGTGCCTGGCCTCTGTAATCTATCTTAAAGTGCCAGTCTCTGTCTCCCAAGCCTGTGTTCCAGCTCAGACCTCTTGACTGCCTCTTTGACAATTCTACTTGGATGACTCAAAGGTGACATAAGGTCAGTGTTTAAAGTGAATTTATCTGTGCCCCAAACCTGCTTCTTCTCAGTCAGCCACACTACCACACACGAGGTGCCCAAGACACTAACTTGGCAGCCATCCTGGGCTTCTCCCTACCCCAGAGCTGAAGAGGAAATGAGGCCTGTCAATTCTGCTACCTTTTTTGGACTATGTTTTCTTCTCTCCATTCCGTCACCATAGGCCAGGCCACTACCATCTGTCTCATGGATTGTTGTAATAATCTCACTGGGATTTTGCTTCCAGTCTTGCATCCTTTCAAGCCCTTCTCCATGCTGAGTCATCCTTTAAGTACGCCTGAACCCATTATGGGCATCCCATTCTCTTTTATTTATTTATTTATTTTTGAGAGTCTTGCTCTGTCACCCAGGCTGGAGTGCAGTGGCGTGATCTCGGTTCCCTGCAACCTCCACTTCCTGGGTTCAAGTGATTCTCCTGCCTCAGCCTCCCAAGTAGCTGGGATTACAGGCGTCCGCCACCATGCCTGGCTAATTATTGTATTTTTAGTAGAGACGGGGTTTCACCATGTTAGTCAGGCTGGTCTCGAACTCCTGACCTCAAGTGATCCGCCCACCTCAGCTTCCCAAAGTGCTGGGATTATAGGCATGAGCCACCGCGCCTGGCTGTTCAAACTCCTTAGCCTGTTCTACAAGGTTCTTGGAAACCCAGCTCCAGCCCACATCTCTAGCTTCCTCTCCTATAACCACTTCCGTTTTACCATGTATTTCTTGTATGCCTGCTATGAGATAGGCACCATGTGAGGTACTGGCCTTGCATTATATGTTAAGGTAAAGACACAAACATTCTGAACATGTTTAGAGGGCCTCAGTGCTCTTTTTCCTGTTGCCTCTTCATCCACACACTGAACTCTCAGAAGCTCTTACTCTCATTTCAACCACGTTGGCCTTTCAGTTCTTTGAAAATAGCACATCCTCCTGCCCACAGAGGCCTTTGATGGAAAGCCCCATCTCTCTCATCCCACTTAACTCTTACTGATCCGTGAGATCTCAGCTCTGTCAAATCTCCACTTCTTGGGGAGGCCTTTTGGGCCAGCCTAGAACAGGTCAAATTTTTCCCTGGCCTTCTAGCGTCACAGGTTTCTTAGTTGCACCAGTCGGTTATGAATTTGCAATTGTTTGTGCTTAATGTCTGGTATTTTACACTGCCATAGAAACTCAATGATGGCCTTTTGTGTATCTGTTTCTGTCTTTTTTTTAATTGCCTGAAAAGCAGATCAACAAATATTGCTGGTATCGTTGGCTATTTTACCTTCGTTCTTGAACTTGGGCAATTGGGTGGTTCACCATTCATGATGAGGCACTAAGATGGCTGTGTGTGTTCTGAGCTTTAAGTATATACCTTGATGTGTTTTGGGAACTTATCTTTCCTTCCTAGTCTCCCACCTCTTTGTAGCATATAATCATGAAATTATAAGACTGACATCTTTTGAAATTGTCTAGTCCAGTTATTCCCAACCTTTTCTAAATATGAGAATTTCTTTTTTCTCAATTAAGAAAAGTATGAGATAGTGATGCACACCTGTAGTCCCAGCTGCTTGGGAGGTTGAGGCAGGAGGATGCTTAAGTTTAGGAGTTTAAGACCAGCCTGGGCAATATAGTGAGATCCCATCTCCAAAAAAAAAAAAAATACGTGAGATTCATGTGTTTTTGGTTGTATTTTTGCTGTCAGTTTTTTTTTTTGAAAAATAAATAGTTATAAAATGCTACTGTGAATTTAATTATGCAAATTACTTTAAATTTTATCTTAATAGCATCTACATATACTTAAAAAGTAGTAGTATATTTGCATGAGAGATAATACTATAGCACCAATACCTCCATGCCCATGTGGTCTCTCAGTCAGGAACCAGCTATTAGTATTGGTCCTTTATTTTTAAAATTTTTTTTTTTATTGAGACAGGGTCTTGCTCTGTCACCCAGGCTGGAGTGCATGATCACAGCTCCTGGGCTCAAGTGCTTCTCCCACCTCCACCTCCCCAGTAGCTGGGACTACATGCCCTCTCAGCTAATTTTTGTATTTTTAGTAGAGATGGAGTTTCACCATGTTAGCCAGGCTGGTCTTGAACTCCTGGGCTCAAGTGATCCTCCTGCCTTGGCCTCTCAAAGTGCTGGGTTTACAGGTGTGAGCCACCATGCCCGGCCTTTGGTTTTTTATTTTACATACGTCAGATTTGGAACTGGTTGCCTGTGGGCTCATTCCACCCCTCCCCCATATGTGTTTGATCTGACCAACATGCTGTTTTTAAAATTTTGGAGCAAATATTTAAAAGCTGGGAGATTTTCTTGAAAAATGAGAAGAACTAGACGTGATTTCCTATATGGCCATAATCACCCGGACTGAATAGCAGCTGCCTCCTCTAGATGTGCCACATTTTCTTCAGTTTGTCACAGTCCTCACTAATCTCTATCTTATGGCAAGTTACTGGTAAAATGGGAACTCAAAACCTAATGACCTAACCCTTGGTTAGTGGGGCCTCCTGTCAGTCTCCACAGAGGCTTGTGAGCAGGAGCCCTGGGGTCAGGAGTCAGGAAACCTGGGTCTTTGTCTTCCACTGTTGCTCATTGGTTTGATGACCTTGAACAAGCTATGCAACCGTTCTGTTTGTTGCATAGTTTGTTGCATCAAACTAGCCTCTCTGACTAGTTTGACGACTTTGAACAAGCTATGCAACCTTTGTCACCTGTTACCACATTCTAATAAATACCTCATGGATCCCACGAGGTTGTTTGATCTACCGAGGGAAAATTGTTTGCTACAAGTTGCAGAACTTGTTTGCTATTAATTTCCCCGTTTTCTCTTTCCTTGTCTCTCTTCTCCTCCTTCCATAGAGGAATTTATGTCTTGTTTCACCTTGATGGTTCATTTTAGAAATCTGAGAAGGGAACCATAGGTTTTCCCTCACTTTCTCGCCTGCCGTTTCTTCCGCAGGTTGTGTCTGGAGGCAGCTCTGCTCCTTTCATCCCATGCTCTTTGCTCCTCCTAGGGGGTCCCACAGCCATAAGCAAGCTCCTGCAGTGACACCCAAGACACACCAACGCTGGAACTTTTTTCTCTGAATATCAGAGTTCTAGCTGGATTATTGCCTGTTGAGATACTCAGTAACTAGCCAATGATGGTAATTATTTTGGTGTTGCTAATATCCATGAACTGCTAACAAGATACTGGGCCAGTAGGGGAAGACTTAGTTTCCAGTGGCAATGTCTTTGTAGGCAAAATTTGTGGTTCTGTGTTAAGTTTTCATTGTCTGAGATGAACAATACCAGTGCTTTTGTCCTTGTGGATCTGGAAGGGAGGGTAGGCATCAGTGCCACAGAAGAAGTAAATATGAAGGAAAGTTGGGTGTGGTGGCATGCACCTGTTGTTCCAGCTTCTTTGAGGCTGAGGTGGGTGGATCACTTGTGGCCCAGAGGTCGAAGTTGCAGTGTACTATGACTGCACAACAGGGGACAACATAGAAAGACCTCATCTCTGAAACAAAAAAAGGCGAAGGACGCTGGGTTGTGTGGTGTAGTGGGAAGAAAGAACGTGGACTTTGGAGTCAGGCAGACCTACCTGTTACAGCTTGTGTGGGACAGCTTGTGTGGGACAGCTTGTGTGACCTTGGGCAAACTATCCTTTCTGAACGTTAGTTTCCTTGTCATTGTAACAGGGATAAAAGAATGTTTCATCTTTTAATTTTATAGCCATGTTTTTTTAAAAAGGTTTTGTAGAGGATGAATGCCAACTTCATAGGGTTGTTGTAAGGATTAACTTAATGCATGTGTTGTATGTTAAACGAGCAGCGGAGTACATAAAACTGCTCTTCTCTTCCACGTTTTTGTGGAAAATCCTTTTTTTCCGTCTCCTTAAGTAGAATTAGTATGTTGCCTGTAAAAAGAGAAGTAGCATAAAGTTGTCTGAATAAAGGTCTAGTGTGATTCTTTGTGCAAAGAATTTGACTCAACAGTTTCTTAGGCCAGGCATGGTGGCACACATCTGTAGTCCCAGCTACTTGAGAGGCTGAGGTGGGAGGATTGCTTGAGGCTGGGAGGCAGAGGTTGCAATGAGCCAGGATCGTGCCACTGCACTCCAGCCGGGACAACACAGTGAGAGCTGGTCTCAAAAAAACAAACAAAAAAAAACCCCAAAAACCCAACAACTTGAGTAGGTAGAATGAAGTTTCTAGTGATTTTCTAAATGTCTTATAAATAAACAAAAGCTAGATTTTCCAGGAAACTGAATGAAATTTTCTTTTTCTTTAATAGTTTTCTGGATGTTTTAAAAGGTATATAATTGGCCAAACAGTGTGCTTATTCCAGCCACTCTGTAAACCAAGCCCAAGTGGGCCTTCAGAAGCAGAAGAGAGTCTTTGCCTCTCTGCAGTGAGTCGTTGGCTTCATTGATTGAGGACCTCTTGCCTGGCTGGATTAAAGTGATTGAAACAGATTGAAATAAAGCTGAGGTTTCAAACGGATGCTTATATTAGTAATTTTTACTTAGAACAGAAGAGATATAATTGAGAGAGACCTGATTTGGAGATGATGGGGGACTATGTCTGGGTGTGGGAGTATGGAACTCCCTCTTGAAAGTCTGCATGTGAGATTTAAGATTCCACCAATCTTCTTGAGGGTGAAGGTGGTGACATGGGTTGGGCACCTGCTGGTGAAATGAAGGAGGTGAGCACTGGACCAGAAGGAATGGTATTAAGAAAACACTCCTGTTCCTTCAGGCCCCTTGAGAAGCGGGAGCCATGGAGTGATTCCCTAGCAGGCCCCCTTGGCCCCCTCCCCCCCAACCCAGGCCACCGGATTCGTGCTTCTGTGTAGGACTGGCTGGTTATGTGGAGAGGGTTAGTGAAAAAAGAGTTGGTGATGAGTTTGATGCCCAAAGAACCCTCTTAGATGAGACGAGCTCGGGAATGTGCTCTGAGATGTCAGACAAAGAGGAGATTTCTTTATCAATGTTTGTCTTTCTTATCAGTCTTATCTTTTTGTGTTGTGATGAGGTGAGAAAAAGCCTAAAGGGAGGTTTCCCTTGAGGGAGAGCTGCCTGGTGAAATTGGCACACCCTAGTTAGAATGCATGCACCTGCTACTCAGGTGAGAGATGGAAGAATGGGGTGGGAAGCAGCAAAAGGATTCTTAAAGAATGGTGGAAGGTGGAGGGACGGAGATTCATCTCTAGTTTGAGCAATAAAGTGGAAACTCCAATCGCTTTCTCAGAAAAAAAAATGACACTGTGTTATGGACATGGGCAAAATGTTTGTAAGACTGGCAGCTTTTACATGTTCTCAGGTTTGTTTCTCCAGTTACCTGTTGCCTCCCTATTAAAATGAGAGGTGAAGACCTCTCAGGTGAAAATAGTCCCTGTGCTTATCTTCAAGGGAAGCCAGGTACAGGATTGGGCAAAAAGCTGCGGAAACCACGTTCTACTCAAAAATCCATTGGAGGCCAGGTGGGGTGGCTCATACTCCTACCACTTTGGGAGGCCGAGGCGAGTGGATCACTTGAGGTTAGGAGTTTGAAACCAGCCTGTCCAACATGGTGAAGCCTCGTCTCTATTAAAAATACAAAAAAATCAGCCAGGCATGGTGGTGGGCGCCTATAATCCCAGCTACTCCTGAGGCTGAGGCAGGAGAATCGCTTGTATCTAGGAGGCAGAGGTCGTTTTGAGTCCAGATTGCGCCACTGCACTACAGCCTGGGTGACAGAGCGAGACTCTGTCTCAAAAACAAAACAACACAAAACAAAAACAACAAAAATTTGCTGGGGAGAGAAGAGCTTGAACAGGGAACAGAATGGGAAAACAAGAGTGGCTCTTTAAATTATTTCTTTTTTAGAGACAGAGTCTGTCTCTGTTCCCTAGGCTGGAGTGCAGTGGCACAATCATAGCTCAGGCAGCCTCTAACTCCTGGGCTCAAACAATCCTTTTGCCTCAGCCTCCACAGTAGCTGGGACTATAGGCACAGACCACTATACCCAGCTAATTTTTAAATATGTAGTAGAGATAGGGTCTCTCTATGTTGCCCAGACTGTTTTCAAACTCCTGGCCTCAAGCGATCCTCCCACCGTGGGCCTCCCAAAGTGCTGAGATTACAGACATGAGCCACCCCCCAGCCAGAGGTGGCTCTTTAAAGATGTGGGGGACGGGAATCATGCACTGGTTTCGAAAGGGAGAAAAGTGCTTGGACACGGGGGAATGCCTGGACTGGACCCTGAGAAATGGGCAGTGAAGCCCACCTGAGGCTAAGTGCTAAGTGCTGAGAATTGTTAAGGATGTTTCCCAGATGTTTGAGGAAATGCGATGTTTTCCCATACAGTCAAGGGGTGTTGGCAGCCTTCTTCTGTCACTTACTGTGTCATCTTCAGCTAATCACCTCCTCTTTCTGGCCCTCACTTTCCCCAACTATAAATTGAGGAAATTAGGCTTCCCTTCCTGGTCTGTGATTTTAGGACTCCGTAAGTAGAGTTGCCTCTTACTGATATCAAAACCTGTGTTAGGTAGCTATACTTTTGAAATGATGGGTTAGATGTAGAGATTTGCAGTGGTGGTCGGTTTGAGGGCAGTGATTTATATTTCAAGGAAATGTTTGGAACGCAGTTTCGGTTCTCATTCGAAGAAGTAAAGACGTCATGTCACTTGACACATGGGGAAACCCACATCGCTGGCTGTGGCTCTCAGAAGAGTGACTCATTAAACTCCAGGGGTGCTTTGACCTGCGTTGGGAGGTTGGTAACTTGGCCCCTGCTGCTTTTGGTGGTGCAAAAGCTCTGGGCAGCTGGCTGGGCTGAATGTAACTGCGTCTTGGAAGGCACCAAGGCGGCCCTGAGCAGTTTACATTGACTGTGGAAGCCAAATATTGTCGTGCAAATTAAGTAGGACACCAAAAGGAAAATTCATCTTAATCTTCTTTAAATACTTACTGCTCATTTGCCAAGGTTCTAAGTAATACAATTTCAAAGGTTCAGAGGTGTCTAATACAATTTTCCCCCTTTTGTACATAATTCTATGCCCTTTGTGTAATTCTGTTAGAAACATTAGGGTAATTATAGAGCTACGTTCTGCTTTTCAGTTGCTATAATATTAGCCTGGGTCTGCTCGTACCAGCTGTATTAATAAGCAATGACTATGGCCGGGCGCGGTGGCTCACGTCTGTAATCCCAGCACTTTGGGAGGCCGAGGCAGGCAGATCACCTGAGGTCAGGAGTTCGAGACCGGCCTGGCCAACATGGTGAAACCCCGTCTCTACTAAAAAAATACAAAAAGTAGCCAGGTGTGGTGGCAGGTGCCTGTAATCCCAGCTACTCAGGAGGCTGAGGCAGGAGAATCTCTTGAACCTGGGAGGCAGAGGTTGCAGTGAGCTGAGATCATGCCAGCCTAGGCATCAACAGCGAAACTCTATCCCAAATAAAAATAAAAAAAGCAATGACTGAAGTTTAGCAAACTCCTAAATTAAGACTTTTTCTGAGCCTTTCTCTGTAGCATGTATTTGCTACTAGAGGCAGGCAAGGTCATAACCTAGGGTGAGCTTTGGGTTATTAATTCAAAGACCCAGTGTCTAAATCCTCATCTGTAAAATGGGGACAAAATTATCTGAACTCCCAGTCACTGGATGTGGGGACCAGTGAGCCTGCTGGGTGTGAAAGCACGTTGGGAGCTGAAGATGGACCCTGCCTCACGGGCAGTGGGGGTTGTTATGTAGCACGATTCCTGAAGTGTGGGCCAAAGGAGCTGCCAGTGCCACATGAATTTGTGAGTGGTCGTCATGGGTGTGTGTCATGGAATAGAAGTGTTAATATTTAATATCTGGGCTAATAATTGTAATCATTGTTTGACACAAGAGAATGTACAAGATGATTTTACCCTATGAAGTAAATGAGTTTGTTTTTCTCCATTCTACAAACCAAGCAGTAAAAGTGCAGGTGGGTTAAATAATAGGCCTAAAGTCGAATCAACCATCGGAATGTAATTTGTTAAAACTTTGCCTTTTGTTCACAGCTTTTAGAGTTTTTCTTTTCTCATGGATCACATTTTTGGGAAGGGCTTCCCATCACCTCTATACCAGTAATAACAGCTGACATTTATTGAAGCTTGGTCTGTGCCGACACATTTTACAGATGAGAAAACTGAGCTAGAAATGTTAAGTAGTTTACCAGAGGTCATGTAGCTGGTGTGGAAGACCCATTTAAGTTTTGCTATCTTAATAACAGTAATAAAAGCATTAACATGTATTGGCTGTTTGCTAGGTGCCAGGCATCATGTTAAACAGTGTCATCTAGAACCTCATTTGGTATCACACTAAGCCTGCAAGGGAAGCCCTTGAAAATGTTATGCAGAGGGAGGACTCCTACCATCTCTCTTCTCTTGCAATGGATTTGCAAATACCTTTCTTTTGCCTTTCTTTTACCAGCTTGGAAACAGCAAATTTCCAGTGCCTCTTATGATACCAGCTTTTCCTGCTCTTGTTCTGTTACATTAATTATTTTGTTCTATTTATTAATTATTTTCCTGCTCTTGTTCTATTACATTAATTATTCTAATCCAGATGTTATGAATCGGCTGCCTGCAGTCTGAATTTGGCTTGCAGCCTTGTCCTGTTTCGGCCTTCAATGTATTACAAATGCATGGTTGAATTAGATGGCAATGTCTAAAAATTCAGGTGACCATATGTAAATCTGTATTTATGTTTTCTCATGAAAAATTGCATAATACACCTACCTGTTTGAGATAAAATGACTCACCCAATTAATGTGACCAGAAAACTTCTATAAGAACTTTGTACAAGTCAGAAGATGATGTGTGTTTTGTAGTTTAAATAAGTCTCCCCCTGCGTGGTATTCCTTTTCTTTGAGATAAGCCGCTAAGAAATAGTGAACATGACCTCTAAAAATACAACTCTAGACTGGGGTAGGAGATGTTGCTATCATTTCTTCCCCCACGCAGGATAAACTGAGTTTTTATGAGTAATATTTAAAATCACCATTCTTTCTTCCTCTCCCCATGTCTCTGCGTGGACCTAGTATTTAGGGACTCCTGAGAAGCACGTACATCTTATATCAATAACCGCCTGCCATGGAGGATGTGAGGAGGATCGTTATGACGTAATGCCATATCCTCAGAGCATGTATCATTTTTGCCGAAATTTGTTTGTTTCAAAGGTTTTTAACCAGATAGCACAATCACTTGGCTTCATGGCTTTCAAAATTGATGAGTTTGTACCTGCACAGTCGGGAATGGCAGGGTATGCCAACTGTGAACTTTATAGGTAGGATTTTTTTTTTTTTTTCTGTAATCATTGCTTACAGAACAGATTGCATCAGACTTTTTCTATACCTAGAAAATTATCATGTGGGAAGTTCAGGTTTCGCTTTTGTCCTGATGCCCCATCAGACCTTACAAGCTAAGCCTGCCCCATTCTAAAACCCAGGCTTTCTTTAAAGGACAAGTACAAGCTCTTTGTTTATTTGGTGTCTTGAGTTTCCAAGATATGCTCAAATTATGATTTCCCTAAGTATATTGCCTTGAAAATACCAGGAAAAAAACCTTCTTAGTCTTTTTATTTATGTTGGGAATTTCTCCTGGCATCTGTGATCAGTGCAAATAGATCATCTACACAATGATGAGAATTTCTGTTTGCATATTACCATTAGCTAGTTTTATATACTAAAAATGGACCTACATACCTGTTCTGTGAGGGAAGCAGGGACATGCTCCACTATTTATTGCAAGGAGATATTTTTCCAGAAACACCAGAAGGATGTCAAGAAAAGGTTGCTCTTGGTTCTTGTTTCTGTTATTCTGGGAATAAATAAAGGTAAAAAGAATTGTTTTTTCTGCCTAGCTGTAGTTTCAGAAATGGCATTAGACATGTGTTATTTCTGGAAATCTGTCCTTCACAGTGAAGTCATTTCTGGTGTCTACCGTTGGATTTTTTTTTTCCTAACTGACTAAGCAACACTTTTATTATTTTATTTTGTTAAACGAAGTGTTGACTCTGGATGTGGGTGTTCAGGACCTTAATTCTTTTCTGTTGGAGGTCATTGGACTGAGTTCAGTCCCAGCAGTGATAAGAGTTATAATGTTTTCTTGTTATGTTGCACGCTTTAGAAATAGTTCACAAAACACTTTTCACATCTTTATACTCTGCATACATGGATTTTTCTTGTTTGTTAGGTATTTTGGCTTGGGCTTGAGAGTCACCCTGGAACAAGCCTCTGGAAACTGTATTTACACATTTAAAAACAAAAAAAATCTTCCTGTGATAAACTCTAGGGCCAGCAGAGGTAGGTAGGACCTGGCCTGGGCAAGTGTCTTGTAATTTCCCTAGAGGCTGCAGCCTCAGGGAAATGCTGCTGGAGCTAGGTACAATAAGACTTTTTAAAAAGAATAACACTATCAAGTAAAAATTAAGTATTAATTGCAAAGTTAGAGCTTCAGAGCAAATCAACTTCCTGTAATAAGCAGCCCATTGAATTCTTTTCTGCCAAGAGCTCCTGCTCTCTGGGTCTGTGCATTCCAGCCATTCCAAGCTACTCACCAGTCTGTTCTCACATGCTTCAGTGTCTTAGTTCATTTTTTCCCTTTTTTATGTGTTATAAGTACTCTTTGAAGGTCCAGCCCCAAAACCATCTTAATAGAGAAACCATCTTAATAGAGAACTCCTTAACCCTTTTGTCAGAAGGGTTTCTCTGCCTGCCTGAACTAACTGTATATTTGTGTGTGTATCTGTTTGTTGAATACATCATAAATAGATTTTAATTCTTCTGCCTGGTGACATTTCCACTGGATTGCGTGCTTGCTGAAGGCAGGGACTTGGGTGGGTTCTTTCCATGCTCCTCCCAGTGGCTGGCTCCCTGTCATGCATATGTGAACCATAAGGGGCATGATTTGAGCTGGTAGAGATGATAGAGTCCCTTAGACTCTACCAGAGTCCAGATCGCACCACTGCACTCCAGCCTGGGTGACAGAGCTGGACTCTAGATAGCTTGGTCTGGAGTTCACAGGTCAAAGAGGGTAGCACCTTCTCCTTTACATCATTCTGCTGAAAGAAGCTAAGAATTAACATTTTAGGAAAAATACTTGCAAAGAGGGGAGGGATTTAGTGAGTAAAGACTCAATAAATAAAATACCTTAGTGACAGAATGTTTTAGGTGAAATAAGTCATATAAACTGCTTCGTGCTCACCTCGAAAGCACAATAAATGGGAGCTGTATGATCATATGGTAAGAGCTTAAGAATTGTCAGTGATAATCCCTGTCCTGTAGGCATTCATAGTCTACCAGATAATAGAGCATTTCTCTGAGGACGGAAGACTTTGGTTAAGTCAACCTGACAACCATAAAACATTAGAGGAAATAACTGTATTTTGTGGATAAGATTTTCTATGGGTAGAAATTCTTCTTTTGATTCTTCAGAGATGTTGATGGTTGCTTAGGAGCGCGCGTGCTTTAATGAATGTTATTTCTTTAATGGAATTTACTAGAGCTTCCAAGATATACTGCGTTTAACCTTCTTATAGTTTGTTAATGATTCCCAGCTCTTGCCTGGGCCTCTGCACTTTGGCTTCTGGATGTGTTTCTTTGGCTTAGTCATTACTTAATAGATTGAGGAGGAGAATCTTTCAGGGCATTAGATTTTCATGGCTATTTAAGGAGTTCAGATTTAAGTGTAAGGCTGGAATAAAGCTGATTGCTAGGAGGTTTTTGTATGATGCTCTCCATTTTAGAGGTTCTCACTAAGTGGATAGTGATGCCTGGTGCTGGGGTGCAAAGGAGCCGGGAGACTTTTTCCCAGAACGGAGGAGCAGTGTTGGTGCCCTTCTAGTCCCCAGATATGCAATTTAAATAAAGCCTTGCTAGATTCTCCCCTTGCAAATGCTTGCAGCCTACGCGTCCCCTGTTGCCTTGTTCCTCAGTATGGGACCCGTGAACCAGCACCAGCACCTGGGAGCTTGTTTGAAGTGCAGCATTTCAGGCCCCACCCAAGCCTTACTGAAGAGAAACTGCATCTCCACAAGGTCCCAGGGTGACTCAGATGCACATTCAAGTTTGAGAAGCAGTGTCCCTTCTAGAACTGCAAAAGGTAAAGCAGATCTTAGGGCTGCTAGCGTTCAAAAAATAGGATGCTTTTTATTTTTACGTAAGAGCAAAGCAACCTGTTAGTAAAGGGAAAAAATATTTTTTGTTGGGCTAAGCCATTATTTAAAACTTTATTTTGGAACTTCAAACATATAAAAATAGAGACTGGTATAATGAACCCCCATATACCTTTGTTTTTTCTGTAACCTCTACCCCACCGTGGATTATTTTAGATCAAACCTAGACGTATAATTTATCCCTAAATATATCTTTTTCCTTTTTTTGAATATTGTGGTAAAATACACATAGCATAAAATTACGATCTTCACAGTTTCTAAGTGTACAGTTTAGTAGTGTTAAGTACGTTCACATTTTTGTGCAATCAATTTCAAGAACTCTTTTCATCTTGTAAAACTGAAACTGTATAAATATTAAGCAACGTCTTTTTTCCTTTTGAACATACCATTTTCACTCTTCAAGAAAAGTTAACAATAGTTGGGTGTGGTGGCGTGTTCCTGCAGTCCTGGAGGCTGAGGTAAGAGGGTTGCTTGAATCCAGCAGTTTGAGGCTGCAGTGAGCTACGATGACATCACTGCACTTCACCCTGGGAAACAGAACGAGACTTTGTCTCTTAAAAAGTAAAGTTCATTGATATCGTCAAATGTCTGGTTAGTGTTCACATTTCCCAGAGTGGACAAAGAAACCGAAGAATTTGGTTCAGCGTCTTCTCGAAATGAATTGGTAGCCCTGTTTGTATAGTGAAGAATCTAGGGACAGTGGCGAAAGTGGGGATTTTTTTTTTTTCCTTTCCTTAACTTACAGCTTGACAGGATTTTAAATGAAGACTTTGTAATTTCCAGTCTTCTAATTTCAGAAAACAGAGTTTTACAGTAGAAGAACATGGACTTATGGATGAGAATGGAATCTGAATTAGTCATTGCTTCTTAGAATCAGGCAAGATATTTACTCTTTCGTTATTTTAGGTAAAAAGGTACTGTGAAAATTGAATTAAATTGGAATTAATGAACTAGAGTTATATTTCCAGCAAAGGTAAAATTCAAAAACGTAAGGGTTAGAAAAGCAAGTTGTAGAATGACTAGTACATGACACCATTTATTGAATGTTAAACAATAGTATAAATTGCTTATGAATCACACATATGGTAGAAGTATGAAATGTGCTTTAGAGTGACACACTCGTATTTCAGGATAGTAGTCATCTCTCTAAATGACAGCAGAGTGGAATGGAATAACTGTATCTGTAGCTTTCTTTTTTAAATTATTATTCAAAAGCCCGAAGGAAATGTAGCAAAGTGTCAAGATTTGCTAAAGGTGGCTGATGGATAAATGAGTACTCGTGGTATTAATTCTGTTGTGTGTTTGGAAATACTACAAGGGAAATACCTTAAGAAAACTAGTCAACGTACGTGAAAATATTTTGTAAACTCAAGTACTCAAGAATGTTAGCAAGTATGATTTTTATTTATACTCCCATCTCATCACAAAACAATGGAGACTTTGTCAAAAATTATAAAAATAGACCAGGTGCGGTGACTCACGCCTGTAATCCCAGCACTTTGGGAGGCCAAGGCGAGTGGATCACGAGGTCAGGAGTTCAAGACCAGCCTGACCGAGATGGTGAAACCCTGTCTCTACTAAAAATACAAAAATTAGCCGGGCATGGAGGTGGGCGCCTGTAATCCCAGCTACTTGGGAGGCTGAGGCAGAGAATTGCTTGAACCCGGGAGGCGGAGGTTGCAGTCAGCCGAGATCGCGCCACTGTACTGCAGCCTGGGCGACAGAGTGAGACTTCATCTCCAAAGAAAAAAAAATTATAAAAATAATTGAACTAGTGGGGTTTAAAGACGTAAGGAAAATAATTAAAAAGAGCCATTTGTGATGTGTGTGGGATTGTCCAAAATTTGAATACGCTTTCTGTTCATCACTTTAGACTCAGGTGAAGTTCCAAAGAGTTAATAATGGTGGGCCATGGTCATTTTTGTTTTTATTGGAATTTATAGTTCTCCTGCTTCCAAGGAAGATTTGAGGTGGCAGAGTCCCAGCTTGCTGTGGCCTTGTGGCCCTGAAAGTATCTTCTACTCAGAGAGCCTGCACATTGCCCTGTCATTTGTGCCTGTCCCTCTCTAGGCAGCACTACTTCAGAGCCATCTGAGACGAATGGTGGTTTTAAAGATGATTGAGAAGGAGCTTCTTGGAGCTTCTTAGAGGACTGTTGTGTGTTTAATTACCTTTTCCCGTAGGCTGTAGGAAAACTCCCCACTTCGGAGTTTTCCTGCTGTGCATGTGGAGGCAACTGATCAGTTCTCATTATAATAATCCTTGCCTAGAGGGTGTGATAAAGGTCACAAATTTGATATTTATTCATGAGTAGAGGACTGAAACCCATCACTGTAGATGTACTTTCTGGCAATGGAGAAGATTTGGGATTTTAAATCAAAGAGCATGTCGTGGGAGTGGAGAGCAGAAATATTGTTAATTAAGCCACGTTGACAGAAATGATAGAATTTATCTTGCCAAGAGTTTAAATAATGTGCAATTTATGCAGGTTGTCTATATCAAGATCTCTTAGTTGTGGATGTTTTATTGTTAGTAATTAAATTGGGCTTACAATGTAGTCACATCCGGTATCTGAAGATAGCTTGAAGTCTGTCTTTAGTCTAACCCTTGCTATTATGATTTCATTTCCCTCACAGAACCAATTTTTGTCCTCTTAGTCATATTTATTGCTCTTACCTCAATTCTCAAATATCTCTAATCTTCCAGAAACATATATAATTATCTTTTAAGGGTCTGAATTGTGCCAGATGTAGCAGAAGAATTGCTTCCTGGCTCTTGCATGACACTAAATCTTTTTGTATCAGATTTTACCTCTGTAGAATAGGAATGACACTCTGTCCTTTCCTGAGTGATTCATGGATTTGTCCACGTATTCAGATATTTATTGGGCTCCTCTTATGTGTAGGGTGCTGTGGTGGGTGTCATGAGGAAGGCAGGCGTGGAAAGGGGACAGTTGTACACATGTGTGCATGTGAATAGAGAAAAAGAGGCTCCATTCAGCCTCAGATTTTCTGTTTGACTTTGATCAGGATGGAACAAGACATGCACCTCTGGCCGGGTGCGATGGCTCACGCCTGTAATGCCAGCACTTTGGGAGGCCAAGGCGGGCAGATCACGAGGTCAGGAGATCAAGACCATCCTGGCTAACACGGTGAAACCCCGTCTCTACTAAAAAATACAAAAAATTAGCCGGGCGTGGTGGCGGGCGCCTGTAGTCCCAGCTACTCGGGAGGCTGAGGCAGGAGAATGGAGTGAACCCGGGAGGCGGAGCTTGCAGTGAGCCTAGATCGCGCCACTGCACTCCAGCCTGGGTGACAGAGCAAGACTCCGTCTCAACAACAACAACAAAAAAGACATGCACCTCCACCTACCTGAGTCTCCAACACTATTGAAGTTCACTTCAATTTCAGTTGCCATATAGTTAAAAGGGAGAGAGGATTAGTGCAGAATTAAAGAATGATTTACAATGTTTGAATGGTGGAGAAGTTAAGGAATGATAGGTTTAGAATGTAAACAATAGTAATGAAGGAAATGCAGGAAAATGCAGTTTTACATCACCACGTCAACACTGGACCCTAACTTTGAAAGGTAGGGGAATGTCCCATCTGATATACGCCCATGCCAAGGGCTTCGGACATGGCTTTTCATGTGTGTGAATCTAACTGGTTTTGACTCATGTTCACCTACTTTGCTGTGACAAGGAGCCTCAGATGCTGAGAGTCAACCATAGAAACAGATCAAGCTTGAGAGGGTTGTGAGATTTGATCTAGATTTGATGGTTGCCTTCAGGCAGCAACACCACTATTAATAGAACTTATTTTTTTATTTTAAATTGACTAAAAGACTCCCCTGTTTCTGGCAGTGAGATGTCTCTAAAGGGGAATCAAGGAAGCCAGAATGAAGGTGATTTAAGCCTCAGATCAGGGAACTATTTAATAGTTATGTATCTTTGGAGCTAGAAACTAGCTTTCAGAGGGAGGTGACTCTCCTAGTATTACAGAGGCATTCCTGGGACTGGAATGCTGATCTTTTGGTCTACTGATCCCACCGAACTCTGTTGTCACAGAGATACAACTACAACTACTGGATCATGTTTCCAGATACCTTCTAATGGATCGTTTCCTTTTCCCCATTCTTTCAGATAATTGTCAAGGATTTATATTCCTGGCAATAAACAGAAAACCTAGTTATAAACTAAGCTAAAAGCCATGTTTAAAATTCCCTACGCTTCAGCCACTGTCAATAGCTGTCTTCCACACTACCATTTTTAACCTAAAATATAAATGTTTATGTATATGTTTTACTCTCATGCTATGCTACAAACTAGATCTTCTTTTCTTATGTTTTTCTTGTCAATAGATAATTTTTAAAAAGTTTTAAACATGACTCATACAAATATAAAATGAGTACATGGCAAAGATGTATTTAACTCGTTAATGAGGGAACCAGTAGGAAGCTAAAGTGGTTCAAAGAGCATTTGAGGAGCTGTGTAGTTAATAGGCCCTGAAGAATACCGGCACAAGATTGCTAGGTTAGATATGAAACTGGTCAGGCTGGGCACGGTGGCTTACACCTGTCGTCCCAGCACTTTGGGAGGCCGAGACGGGTGGATTACCTGAGATCAGGAGTTTGAGACCAGCCTGGCCTACATGGTGAAACCCCATCTCTACTAAAAATACAAAAATTAGCCGGGCGTGGTGGCTCATGCCTGTAATCCCAGCACTTTGGGAGGCTGAGGTGGGTGGATTACCTGAGGTCAGGAGTTCGAGACCAGCCTGGCCAACATGGCAAAGCCCCATCTCTACTAAAAATGCAAATTAGCTGGGTGTGGTGGTGGGCACCTGTAGTCCCAGCTACTCGGGAGGCTGAGGCAGGAGAGTCACTTGAACCTAGGAGGTGAAGGTTGCAGTGAGCCAAGATCGTGCCATTGCACTCCATCCTGGGTGACAAAAGTGAAACTCCGTCTCAAAGAAAAAAAAAGGAAACTGGTTGATGTCCTGTAGGGCAGTAAACCAATCACATCTGGGGATCTTAGTTCTACCAGGCAGAGAAATTATATACATCTAAAATGGATAAAAATCTCAGTTAACATGTAACTTCATAAAGTCTGAACCATAACCAATGGTAAACAGTCAGTGAAACACAGGTACATCATCTCCTAGAGAATCAGATGACCCTTGGGTGCACCTATGAGACAGTACACCAGTATGGCATTGAAAGGACATGCTGCCTTCCTTTTGCCTTATTTCCAAGTGTTGCATAGTGTTTTGTCTTATCCTTAGTGTCACTGCCTTTAGCAAAGGAGCATATACGTTCATTCATTTGGCCATTTTGTTTAATAATGTGCGGGGCGCAGTGGCTCATGCCTGTAATCCCAGCACTTTGGGAGGCCAAGTCAGGCAGATCACCTGAGGTCGGGAGTTCGAGACCAGCCTAACCAACATGGAGAAACCCCATCTCTACGAAAAATACAAAATTAGCAGGAGAATCGCTTGAACCCAGGAGGTGGAGGTTGCAGTGAGCCAAGATTGTGCCATTGCACTCTAGCCTGGGCATCAAGAGTGAAACTCCGTCTAAAAAAAAAAATTACTAAATGTCAGTTTTGTGCCAAGTCTTAGGTTAGGCATTAGACATACATAACTGAATGAGACAGACGACCCTTGCCCTCAAGGAGTTCAGAGGCTATTCCGTCCTATAAAGGAAGTAGCCAGGCAAGAGTTCCCTTTAGGAAATGTTCTTTTGTGGGATAAGCAAGAGGAATCATCCTTTTTGGTTCACAGTTCCTTTGGATCCCAATGTTTATAAGACTGGGATAAAATGCAAATATCACAGAGAATGACAACCAGAGTTCAATACTTTTGGGGACAAGAACAGATAAACATTGATGCCGCTTCGTTTTGCTCATGTGGCATTTATAGCTCCCTAGTGATACAATTTCACAGGAATTTTGTGTTAGCCATCTGACCTGATGGGCCCTCTTTGGCCAGTGCCGCCAGGTTTCTCCAGAAGCCTTCCTTTCTTGGCCTCCACAGGTACCGAATAGCTTATTTCTCTTGGTTTGGCCAGTTTGTGACATAAGCTTCTGCAGCTTCTGAGACAAACACCTGCCAGCGAGGGTGCTCTTTCCCCAGAAGGGTTGTGGTAACTGGTAGACAGCTCAAACTTCGTAGCGGTCAGTACAGTTTTCTTACAGCAAAGCTATACGTTTAGGGTATTTTGTGTGTGTGTCAGTTAAATTTAGCTTCTCATTACCAAAAATAATGGGGAGGGAAGGTGGCTGACATTTGTTTTAGAACCATAAAACATCGAGCTGGAAGGAGCCACAGAGATCTTCTAGTTTCCCCTGCCCCAGAAACAGAGCTACAGAGCAACCAGTCAGTCATTAGCCTATGTCCTCCTGGTGATTCACTGTTGGGTCCAAGACTTTTGTCTAGTTTTGGGGTCCTTCCTCCATAATGGTGGTTCTCAGCTGGATTCATGGGTGGGATATAGAAGTCCTCCAGAGGGGATAAAGGATGCTTTTGTTTTAAGTTTATATCTTTGTTTCTGTTTACAAAGATAACTTGCTACCAAAAAATGCAATTAATACTGAAGGATATTAAGATGAAAGCAAAATCTTTCTGAAATCATAGCACCTAGAGATAATTACTGTGAACAATTTTTGGAACATCCAGATCATCTTCTATATAAATACATACATCTATATGTATTTATATATAGATGTGTATATAAATATATATGTTTGTGTGTACATTCTTTATAATTTTCAGTAAGTGGGAAGAGCAAAATTTTCTTGCAATTGATTTTTCTATAATCTGAAAAATGATTGTCATCTTAAGCACTAATGAAAATATTTCCTATTGGTTTATATTTTATTCATATTAGTAAATTCCCAGTAACATAACTTAAACTTTTAATCTTCTTAAACTTCACTGTAAATCTAAAGACAGGTTATGTCTTTGGAACAGGTGGATGTGCTAACTGCAGAGATGTGCCACCCTGGCTCCCTCTGGGGGAGGGCTTGCTGACAGTTACAGGTGGTGCACTCTGCAGACAGCCTCTTGCTAGCTGTCAGCTCCTTGAGAGTCCGTCCCCTCCGACAGCTGCTCGCCCTAGGCCGTGCTTTTCCTGGGGGACTCACATCTGGAGACATCTGGTGACAGGCAAGGTTGGAGTATGAAGGCTCACTGGACGCCAGACACCCCGTTGAGGCTTTGGTGGGTTGCTTTCTCTGCCTCATCCTGCTTCCTCCTCCTTCCTTTAAAAGGATAGTTCTTCTAATAAATATCTTGAACCCCAGACTTTGTCTCAGCATCTGCTTCTGAAGAATCCAACCTGAAACAGTGGATTTTATTTTATTTTATTTTTTTCTGAGATGGATTCTCACACTGTCACCCAGGCTGGAGTGCGGTGGTGCAATCTCGGCTCACTGCAACCTCCGTCTCCTGGGTTCAAGCGATTCTCCTGCCTCAGCCTCCGGAGTAGCTGGGATTACAGGTGCCCACCACCACGCCTGGCTAATTTTTTTTTGTATTTTTAGTAGAGACAGGGTTTCACTATGTTGGTCAGGGTGGTCTCAAACTCCTGATCTTGTGATCTGCCTGCATCGGTCTCCCAAAGTGCTGGGATTACAGACGTGAGCCACTGCGCCCGTCCTTATTGTTTGTTTCTGAAGTGGTTTAGTAGCCACTGGTGAGGCAAGAAATCCTGCCATTTCTCTTGCTGGAGTAGTCCTGGGAGCTGGTAGAATCCTGGGGAGCTGAGGATCTGCCAGTCCATTCCTCTTCTCAGAGTGAGCTCATCCTCTCCTTGTCTACTCCTTGTCAGAGGTTTGGCATTTGAGGAATTTGGCCTTGGGCAAGGTGCTGAAGCTGACTGCTTTGTGGTTTTAAGGGAAAGCTTAAAAGATTTTCTCGCTATGGGTATTCTCTGCAATAAAAATCCATTTTAATTGTTTATGACATTAATCAATGAAAGATTTATCTGCTTTGGGAGAAATTTCTCTAGAACAGTTGAAAGCTTCTGCCTAAAAGTTGATTAAGAGAGATTTTTCTTCTTTGGCCTCCAACGGATACCCCCTTCTCTGCCCCTCCCTGCTTCCAACCTGCCACTTAATGGTGTCTTCTGTGAAGCCCTCTGTGTACAGCCTCTCCAATCACTTTTTAATTTCCAGGGGAAATCGTAATCTCACTAATCACCTAGAAAGGAATGTGGAGATGGGAGTATGAAGGACGCAGTTCAGGCCTTGAGGCCCAGCGGGCGTTTGTTTTAGTCACCGCATTTGCTCAAATGCTTTGTGCCCGTGGTTAATGCTGGGGAGTATTGGTGGACCCTGCCTCTCTGTCTCTCAGAGTCCCCTTGGAGACCTTCACTCTTCACTTCAAGGCTGTGTGTGCTGCCCAGCTCTGGTGCTGGTGACATCAGTGGAAAGAGAGCCACAGGTGCTGTCTGGTCCCTCGGAATCTCTTCTCTTTATTATAAAGTACCGCTGGAGGCAGAGAAAGAGATTTTTGAGCTTTCCTTCTAGCCCACAAAGCTCAGTTTTATTTGGAGCTTTTAACCTTGAGCCTTAGCCAGCCCCTGATGTGTGGATTTTAGAATCAGTGTGAATTTTAGGGAGATAGGGAAGGCCTGCAGAAGTTTGACCACTGCTTCTTGAGCACCTCTTGCTGTCTTTTTCTTTTTGAGGAGGGTGGGGGCTCCTTTAGAATTATGCTGGCATGGTGATTCTTTTTTCTTCTTCTTCTTTTTTTGAGAGACAGAGTGTCCCTCCATAGCCCAGGCTGGAGTGCAGTGGCACAGTCTTGACTCACTGCAAACCCCACATCCCGGGTTCAAGCAATTCTCCTGCCTCAGCCTCCCCAGTAGCTGGGATTACAGGCATGCACCACCACGTCCAGCTAATTTTTGTATTTTTAGTAGACACCAGGTTTCACGACGTTGGCCAGGCTGATCTCGAAATCCTGACCTCAAGCGATCCGCTCGCCTTGGCCTCCCAAAGTGCTGGGATTATAGCCATGAGCCACTGCAGCCTGCTCTTCAGCACAAAACACCCATCCCATGGCTAGCATGTTGCCGAGGACCGAAAAGTAGAATTGTGATCTTCACAGTCAGGTCCGCAAGACTTAGCTTATAGAAATGCTGACACATTCAAAGTCCTCACTTGCTTAATGGATGTTTTTTAGGGCTATAAAAAAGTTAATTTTTCATGAAAGGGCAAACTAGACCAGAAGATGCTGCTGAATAAGTCTTTATTCTATTGAAAGTAATAGGCAAAAACCTAATACCATAGAAATTGCTAAGCTTTTTATTTCTTCTCCAATTTTCTCTCTAAGGGGAGAGAGGTCTATAAAGGCGTTCATCTGTGTCCACTTTTTAAATGACTTAGTCCTGCCACTGAATTTGCCTGGGGGAAGAGAACTCATAAGTAGATAATACACCATGGAGTCAAGCCTTTTGAAGTCATTTTGTCGCTCTCTCCTTTTTTTTGGGTGTTGAGGTGAGGATAAGAGGAGGGCGTGAACCCGCGAGGCGGAGCTTGCAGTGAGCCGAGATTGCGCCACTGCACTCCAGCCTGGGCGACAGAGCGAGACTCCGTCTCAAAAACAAAAAAAACCAAAAAAAAAAAAAAAAAAAAGAGGAGGAATTGTTTGAAGATGTTTCGTACGGGCCGTTCCTGCCTAGTATATGGCTTCTCCCACCGTTGCTGCCTCTCAGTGTTTCTTTTTCTTTTTTTTTTTTCTTTTTCAATAACAGGTTCATGTGAAAGGAGGGTAATGATTTATTTGGGAACCCCAAATCTTTAACTACTTGTATCTTTGGCCCTTTCAAGTTCTGACAACAGAAATGCCCATCAGAATTTAGACGTGGCAACTTCTGGAGACAGAGATGCGCAGAGCACATATATCAGTCTGCAGTACTTGCATGTGAGTTTGCTAGATCCTCAGCCCCAATCTGAGTAATTTGGTGTCACTAAGCTATTACTTATTCATAAAGACACGTTGGATAGGAGTTTGAGCTAGATTCCTTGAGCTGAGTAACTACAGATACATGTTGTACAGTATATATGTCAAATATATAATTATGATTATACAGTACACCATGGGAAAACCTCTAGATGAGGTCTTGTGGGAGGACAGTGAGATGACTGTAGAGTCACTGACACTGGTGGCCAAGGAGGCCATTGTGGATGAGTTGATATACGCGATGGGCAGAGCTCAGGGTAGAGGACTGGCATGAACAAAAATTCAGATATTGTTAAAGGATACGCATGACCTGTGTGGTGAAGGGTAACTAGTTTGAAATGGTTCTGAACACTCAAAATGATTGTCAGATTTTATTATTTGGAAGTTCAACTTCATATTTTCCTCAAATTATGACCTAGATGTGAACTTTTTTGTTTTTGGTTTGTTTTAATGAGCTCAGAATCATCTTGAATGATTTGAGAGGGTAATACAGTTTAAATACAACATAGGAGATGGTAATCTCCAGGAATTTCTTCTATCTTTTAAGTTACATAAACTAAGAAAGTATGTGTTCAGCCAAGGTTTCTGTGGAATCCTTCAGGCCCTGGCTAACACAAATCCTGTTGTAGTACGGGGTCTTGGGATTGCTTAGAAATCCATTGTTTTTCTTCCGTTCCTTTCTTCCTGTTTCTCTCCTTCTCTTTCATACATTCCACCCATAAGCCTGTATTAATTACTCACTGTGGACTCAGGCGCTGTTCTAGAATCTGGAAATAAACTCGAGGGCAGAGGGTGGCTCATCATTTCACTCAACCAGCGGACTATTAGAATTCTGGGTATTAAATAGCGGGTGCCACAGGAGCACATAGGAAGAGCATCCAACCTACTTTGGAGCCCTGAGGAGTTTTTAGAGAAAGCTGGAGCCCGAAGGACCAGTAGTAGGAGGTAGCCAGACCAAAAGGGAGGAAGGAGTGGGAAAGAAAGAGCACTGTAGCCAGAGAACATATTATGTTCAAAGGCCATGAACCCAGGGAAAACATGGCTCCTGGGGGAGCCACAGGAAGCTTAGTATAACTAGGGAAGTGGCAAGAATTGAGAGGGAACAGGGGCTAGATCATAAAGCATCAGCCTCAGGATGTAGGGCGCTATCCTAAGGGCAACATCTATTGCAGCGTTTTAAGTGGGGAAGTGAAATGCCCTTTTGGAAGACCAACCACTGTGGCTACAAGGTTGAGAAGCGGTGGAATGGACTAACAAAGAAGACCAGTTAGGAAAGTGTTGCAATAGTCCAGGAGAAAGGATTGTTGCAGTAATCCAGGAAGCCTGAACTGGAGTAAGAGCAGCAATTATGGAGAAAACTAGACAGATTCTAGAGATAATTAGAAGGCAAAGTGAGCAGAGTTGTTTTGATGTGGGTTGTAAGGACAAAGGCAGAAATAAATTCAAGATGACAGCCATGTTTCTGTCTTGGGTGCAAGAACGGGTGGTGGAGTCATTCTCAGAAAAGGACTACAGAGAGCCAAAGGAAGCAAGTTTCAGGATGAGATAGAGTTTTGGCACTGGGGCTGCTGAGTTGGCAGTGCCTGGGGGAGCATCCGAGGAATTTTACTGACTTTCTACCATTGCCATTGGATGTCTTAACACTAGAGGTAGTGAGCATAAAAGTGTCAGAACTGTGGGGATTTGTGGTTTGGCAAGGGACCTTTAATTTACACATGAGGAAAGGACTCTAGAGAGGTGGAGTAACTGGCTTAGGGGCACATAGGTACATCCTGGTTAATCTGGGACAAGTACCTACGTCTTCAGCATCTGTCTAGGAGTACTTCCACTTCTATTGTTGGTTTAGTAACCTCTAAAAAAACATGTAGAAATGAGTGTATGTAGCCATGTCGTCCCTTGCTTGGGAAGAACTGCTGATAATAAAAATGTGGGGCCATAAATCTCATTTGATTCCACCTGCCCTGTCTTAACATGATTATGGCAACTTTGTTAGGCAAATGGTTGCTTAACACTGTGGAAAGTCTTAATTACTCTTTAATAGCTATGTACAGAGGGAAAGTGTTAATATTTAATCATGTTATTGTCTCTAAAAAAATTTAGTACTCCATTTGTACATCCATTAAATATATAAATGCATATTTGCTACATTTCCATTTCATTCCAGATTTCAGGGACACAAAATATTTTCTTTTTAAATTATTATTGCTGTATAAACATAGCGAATTTAATGAAAAATTAAAATTAAAAAATCCACCTACAGTCTTTCTAAAACAACAACAACAACAAGAAAAATTCAAGCTTTATGTTCTTTTCATCCTTTTCTCTACGCATCCATGTGGCAATCCTGGTTTACATTCTCTTTTCTGTTTTCTTTCACCATATATTTTACCATGCCGTTTATTCATCCATTCATCCATTCGTGCAGCAAACAGCAGAGTATCTTCTAGATGCCAGGTAATCTGAAGGATGTTAGGGTTTACAGCAGTGTCAGTCCTCAGGAAGCTGACATTTGGAGAGTAGGGGAATGGCTGCATGCACAACACATTACATAAGTAATAAATGATGTCTAATAAAAATGGTAATGGAGGCAGCAAACATGGTGTAGCATGGTCTTTCCATGTTGTGGATGTAACATAACTGCTTTCCGTTTGTTAAACACTGTATCAGTCGGGGTCTCAGTAGAAGATAGGTGGCACACCCAAATTAGGATAAATAGAAGAGTTTTTTGTTTTTTTTTTAATAGGGACAGTTTACAAAGGTGTAGTTAGGGTGAAAGGAAACCACCTAGATGGTGCGTCTTCAGTGCAGTGACTGTAAAGCACCCCTAGACCTAACAGCCAGGGGAGGGGGAGATTTCTGAAACCCTGAGGATCATTTGGTAGAACGGATGCTTTGAGAGACTGGTTGAGGAAAGCAGCCATCCCAACTGACCTTGCAGAGGAGTTAGGAGAATAAATGCTCCAAGCTTATGTTCCTGTCTTCCTCAAATCTTTCTCTGTTTTTCTGCTGTGCTCCCCACTGGCTGGACGCTACTAGAAACCAGCAAGCAATAGAGTCTCCATGCAGTCCATAGAGGTCAGCTTTCCAGGGCAAGGAGCTGGGAGGAAGCGAATATGAAGGGGCACACAGGATATCCAGCACAGACAGTCCATATAAAGTTATTTTTAAGGGCGTTTTGACAGGAAGCACTGGATAAGCAACTATACATACAGGATAATAAAGTAAGTGGTGGGGATAGGGCTGGAATTGGGAAACTGGGAATTAGTGACATCGTTTAGGTAAATTTTGATGTTTGTGGATGCATTTGTTTTTAAACATAAGACAGTGTGAGGTTTCATTAGTGTATCAGCTTAGGTTTTGTAATGTATCCTAGTCATTGTTAGTGATAGAGCTTTGGAGAATGGACCTTGATTCTAGCTATGGTTCTGACTCATTTATTCATTTGTTCAGCCATTCATTCAACAAATGCTTTTTCTTCTTTTTTACTGAGGTACAACTTTTGCATGGTAAATGGCAAAATTTTTATGTACAGCCCAGTAAGTTTTTACACAGTATAAACTGGTGTAACTACTGCTACCCAGGTCTATGGAGAGAAATTGCTAGACCCCCTGGATGCTTCTTTATGCCTTTCCCATTCACTTCCTCTTGTACCCGTCTTTGGTCTTTGAGTAGACACTACCACTCATTTCCATTGGGAATCAACAGACATTTTTAAAAGTACTTTCAGTGTGCTAGGAAAACACTGTGCTCAATGCCAAAGTGAAGAGAATAAATGCACTAAGGCCCAGCACTTTGGTCGGCCAAGGCGGGCAGATCACCTGAGGTCAGGAGTTCGAGACTCGCCTGGTGAATGGTGAAACCCTGTCTCTACTAAAACTACAACAATTACCAGGCGTGGTGGTGTGCGCCTATAGTCCCAGCTACTCAGGAGGCTGAGGCAGGAGAATTGCTTGAACCCGAGAGGCAGAGGTTACAGTGAGCTGAGACTTCCCCACTGTACTCCAGCCTGTTGACAGAGCGAGATTCTGACTCAAAACAAAAACAAAAACAAAAAAAGAAATGCACTAAGAGAGTCTCCTGTTTCCAGGGAGTGCAGCTCCCAGACGAGGACAGCGGTCAAAGAGTGGTAGAGGAGGGATAACAAGAGAGGGGCCCAACAGAGGCTGCTTGGTTTCTCCAGTGGTGAAATGGGCTGAATGGTAGGAGTGGGATGAAGGGAAGGTTGCGGTGAACTCACTTGTTCCTTAGGCAGAGCTTTTCAGTTTGGCGTAGGGATGGGATGTAGGTAGAGAGGTGGAATGGGTGTGGAGACCTCCTGCAACTGGTTACTTGCGGTCCTGAGAAGCCTCATCCCCTTTACCCTAGTATCATAAATATTATAAATTACAATTTCACTCTCTTTGTGTGCTATGATGAAGCTGGGAAGTTTCCAGGGGACCACAGTCGAGTACTGTCATTCTAGAAATGCTCCTTGGAATATAGGAAGTGACACACTTGGGTATTGTTAACCGTCACTTAACTCTAATGTAATCATACTAATAGTAATTGTGCATACAGCAACCATTCTATTGTAGCCCTTGTCAAATTGGAGGGAGGCAGATAGAGCCAGGGGTAGGTAATGGATTCATTTTGGAGACAGTGGGGAGGGCAGCACATGAGCAGACTCCACGCCCATTGGTGTAGAGGACAAGGGTGTATAGGCAGGGGACACAGCATTTTGAGTTGCTTGCTTGGTGGGGGGGGGTGTCTTCTAAACTTGTGAATTTTATGTTTAGTGTTTTGCTGAGTATCACTAAATTTGGGATCTGTTGGGTTAAGCTACTGGGGAGCTAATGAATCACTTATGCTGAGCTTCCTAAGGGAACAGAGGTCAAGATCTAATGGCACCCCTAATGTGTGTGTGAATGAAACCTTGTCTGGGGCCCCTGTTTTTAAAGACATAGGGTGGGGACCTCACTGCTTTTGAGTTATTAATTTTCTATTGTTTTGTTATGTTTTGCTGTCCTGACTGGGAGAGGGGCTTGTCCAAAGATGAGCCCAGAGAAAACCTAGAACCTGATTCTGTTTCATAATTTTAGCCATCCCCGTAGGGAACATTACCGTCATCCATGATTCTTTTCTCTGTATTGAAATATTTAGCCATAAAGTCAGAGCTTTGCAACTTTTTTTTTTTTTTTTGAGACGGAGTCTCGCTCTGTGGCCCAGGCTGGAGTGCAGTGGCGCGATCTCGGCTCACTGCAAGCTCCGCCTCCCGGGTTCACGCCACTCTCCTGCCTCAGCCTCCCGAGTAGCTGGGACTACAGGCGCTCGCCACCACGTGCGGCTAATTTTTTGTATTTTTAGTAGAGACGGGTTTTCACCGTGTTCGCCATGATGGTCTCGATCTCCTGACCTCGTGATCTGCCCGCCTCGGCCTCCCAAAGTGCTGGGATTACAGTTGTGAGCCCCCGCGCCCGGCCAGCTTTGCAACTTTTGATCCTTAGACCCTAGGGAGCTAGTGCAGAAGGCAAACAGTGAGCTCCCTTACCTTGTGATACATTTGGTTGGTCTCTGTTTACCTTTTTTATTGTAAACGACCTCAAATCCTTTTTAGAAACAGGTGGGGTTTTGAGTAATAAACGAGTAAACTTTTCTTTATCCAAATCCAAACAGCCAGAAAGCTAGGTAAGGATTATTTCCACACCTCAGTTTTATGAGAGACAAACTTGGATTGTGATTATATAAAAGAAAATGAGTGAAATGTTTAGGATATGTCATAAGATTAGTTCAGCTCTACCTCCATCTACTGCACCGGTGGTTTTTCTGTTTCAGCACCACGTGATGTCTCTATCCAGTACCCAAGGGCATTTCTAGTTACTGCAGGGCCTTTTGAACCACCCGGGAGAGTCCAAGTAATTTCCCCTCACCCCCCTTGCTGCAAACAGTGTTGTCCCCATCATGTCACTCCCCTCTGTCATCCCCATCATGTCACTTCCCTCTATAGTTAAAAAGCATCCCTGTTAACCTGTTTTAAGGGCCGTTTGGCTTCTCCCCACCTCCACAGCCCATCTTTGGCCTCCACCCTCTTCATTCTCTTGGCTCTGAGTTTTTTTGAGGCCCTTTATCCTGACCACTCTTGGCTTCAGACCTTGGAACATGCTTTGCCTTCCTTATTCTTTGACCTTCTTCCCTGACTCTGCAAACGAGGCTAGGTTTTTGTTTTATTCCCATACCTGCACCTCTAATGTCTATTCGTTGTTATACAATATCAGCTCTTCTTTATAGAACATAATCTCCATGAGGACAGACTCTGTGTTATTCTGTGTTCTACTGTATCCCTGTATCCCTCTCAGTGTCGGGTAAACAGTAAATGCTCAAGAGAGATTTGCTGAAAAATTGAAGTATATACAAGGGCCACATTTTTGGCATAAGTAATCTATATTTAGTAGGTCCATCAACCCCTAAATAACCGTCATTTTTCATAAGGTAGTATCCTTCCTTTTCTAGTAAGCCTGGGTGCACTCAGTTTGCAAGTATGTGTAACTTTTCATCATGCCAGGTGATTGTCAACAAGGGCGGGGTGGGTGGAAAGTGGATTCTATGAGAATAGATGGACTCAGTCCGTGCCTTCGTGAATATGCCCATGTTCCGTGTGAGTTGAAGCTTCACAGGTGGAAACTTTCATGTTCATGATCCCCATTGATGGCCTTTTAATAACCTCTGAACTTGGCAGAGCAGACGTCCTTATCCCCATGTTACAATTCAGATAACATTTGTGATGACAACAACAATGTGTGGTTGAGAAGTTGCATCCAACATTTGCTCTGAGGGTGGTAATAACCAACTGTCCTCACATTGGTTGGAAGGAGAGAGGTATAGAATTAAAATAGCCACAGGAAACCATTCCCAGTTGGGTCATAATATATTTTGGCCTTAAGAGATATGATGAGAAACTATCTCCCTGTTTCTACATCGGTTTTGCATTTTTTTTTTAAACTCCTCGAACTTGTTAGCCTTTGCAATCTTCCTTCCTTCCTTCCTTCTTCTCTCCTTCCTTTTTTTTTTTTTTTTTTTTCAACGGAGTCGCCCAGGCTGGAGTGCAGTGGTGCAATCTCAGCTCACTACAGCCTCCACCTCCCAGGTTCCAGTGATTCTCCTGCCTCAGCCTGGGATTACAGGCTTGCACCACCATGTCCAGCTGAGATTACAGGCGTGCGCCACCATGCCTGGCTAATTTTTGTAGTTTTAGTAAAGGTGGGGTTTCACCATGTTTCCAGGCTGGTCTCAAACTCCTGACCTCAAGCGATCCACCCACCTCGGCCTCCCAAAGTGCTGGGATTACAGACATGAGCCAGTGTGCCCGGCCAGCCTTTGCATTTCTAAGAACAAGGGTAAGCATGACAGAAATGCCCATCAGATCCAATGTGCTCACTCGTCGTGCTCACTAGTCTTGGGCTTTAAATGTTTCTGGCTTATTTAATCCTTTTACAGATGAGAAGCTGAGGGTCAGAGGATGCCATTTGCTAGAGAGACACAGTCAGGAATCCTGACTAGGTTTCCTGACCCGTGTTAGGGATTCGTGTTACAGAAGTCCTCCCTGTGGATTAGGAAAGACAGAGGGGCAGTCCTGATTGTGTGCTTTTGAGGTTATTGTGTGTCTAAGCAGTCGTGGGCCAAGAGCATCCGTATTTGGTTGTGTAATTTATTTCATGATGATAATTATTAGCCTTATTCATTCAGCTAGGCTTTCTGATAAGTCTCAGGATCTTGCTCCACACTTAAGCATCATCCATCCAAGTACTATTGATATGCAGTTTATTTTTTTTCTTGGAATTGCTCTGCATGGCTGTAATATAATTTAAAGGCTGAAGCTCCCTTATTTCCTGCTGTTTGAGTACCTTTCCTAGCTCAGCTCAGCAGGTTATAGACTGCTGATGGCTGCTCAAGGAGCAGTGATGTTTTTCATTATTGATAATGTCAGTGGCAGGCTTGTTGCTGTGTCCTGTGCAGGCTGGAATAGGCTCATTGATGGCAGATATGCTTCCTTCCTGCAGAACTGGCCATGGCCCCAAGTGCAAGGTGAGGTCAAGTGGCTTTTTATGGGGAGGAGAAAGGGGGGTTTTCAGAACCAAGAGGCCAGTAAGAATCTGGGTAATTGGAAGCTTTTACTTTCCTTTGGGAAAGCCAGGAAACCCAACTGTGACTAGAGCCTGGGTTGAGTCAGACACATATTACATGACTCTGGATAGTTGTGCTTGGAGTTTGTTCCAGTGATTTGGGGACAGGATGGTTACATCATCAGGCCTCGGCTGGAGCCAGCTTTCAGGTTTTGGATTGTTTTATTCACTGTGTCAGTCTCCTCCACTACTCAAGCCTATCACATTATTCCACTTCTCCTTCCCTTCTTCCTTTCCTCCCTTCCTCCCTTCCTCCCTTCCCTCCTTCCCTTTTTCCCTCCTTCCCTCCTTCCCTCCTCCCCTCCTCCCCTCCTTCCTTCCTTCCTTCCTTTCTTTTTTTTTGACATGGAGTCTCACTCTGTCGCCGAGGCTGGAGTGCAGTGGCTCCATCTTGGCTCACTGCAGTCTCTGCCTCCCGGGCTCAAGCAATTCTTCTGACTCAGCCTCCTGAGTAAGTGGGATTACAGGGGCACACCACCATGCCCAGCTAATTTTTGTATTTTTAGTAAAGATGGGGTTTTACCATGTTGGCCAGGCTGGTCTCGAACTCCTGACCTCAAGTGATCCACCCTCTTCCTCTTATTTCATTACTAAATGCTGTATATTTCTTTTAACAACTAGTCTGTGGCCTACCTAATTACTTAATGTATTATTTCATGGACATAGTTCCGGTTAGTAGCATAGTCCCCAAACTTAGCATTTCATTGGCTACGTCATTTCCCACTGTGCTTTGTATGATAGTTTGCTTAGCTAGCCATTAATGTCAGTCTGTTGGGTTATCTTACTTTTCATGATTATATGTGGCAGTGAATTGTATGAAAGAGTTGCACTTACAGAATCCTAGGGATATTAGAGACCATCCTTCCTTGGGCATAGCACAGACCAACCTTTTCATTTTATGGACCACAAAATGGAGCCTCGGTATATTGAAAAATTTGCCTATATGTCTTTTCCCCCTTTAAGATGATTCCTTATTTTGCCACTGATGACTGATTATTTAGGAACGGAAAAAATCAAGGGCAAGTGAAAATCCTCTTTCCATTAAGTAGCAGGGGTGTCAGCAGCAGCAAAATTAAAAAAAAAAACTTAATACAAACTTGCTTAAGCAAAATATTAATTTATTAACTGTCAGTGAAAAGTTCATGGTTAGAGGTGACTTGATCAAAGGAGTCAAATGATGTCACTAGTCCTTGTTTCTTTCCGTTACTTGGCTCTGTCTCCCACTGCGTTTTCAAAGAGATTCTCTCCCCTCTGCTCCACTTGCTTCTTGTGTTTCAAGTTCACTGGGAAGATGGATTCTGTAGAGTCAGACAATGAGAGTCCAATATAAGCATGCACCTAGCCCTTCTATCTTTTGGATATGACTGCCATAGTGAGGATGGGCTAAGAGCTGGAGGACCACTGGCACACATGAAGATCACAGAATCAGAGTTGTTAGGGCTAAAAGGGCATTTATAGATCCCTGTATCCGTTACTGATTGCTGCATAAAACTACCCCCAAACTTAGTGGCTTAAAATAATACCTTATTATATCTGGTGATTCTTTGAGTCAGAAATTCAGACAGGGTACAAAGCGGATGGCCTACAATTGCTGTATGATTTCTGGACCTCACTGACCAAGCATTTTTCCCCTTCCCTCATTCCAATCTTCCTTCCTCCCCCATCCCCAGCCTTTTTGTGTGATTAGCTTGGCCTTTCTCATAGCATGACAGCCTTAGTCTAAGTTAGCTTCCTTATGCGGAAGATCCGGGCTCCCAGAGAGAACATTCCAAGAGATATGAAGTGGAAGCTGCCAGTTTCTTAAGGCCTGACGCTGAAAACTAGCAAACCATCACTTCCCTCTTACTCTGTCAAGCAGTCACAGAGCCCTCTTAGATTCAAGGGCACAGGACCTAGCCCCAGCCTCTTGATGGGAGAGTGTCAAAGAATATGCATGCAGCCATCTTTCACCTGCCGTGACCATCTAGTCACATAACCTTTTCTCAGATGAAAAACTTGAGGCCTGAGAGGAGCAGCAGTTAGTCCAATTTCTCTGAGCCCTCTCTTTAGAAATAAAAAACAGCAACCAGGACAGAAACCTGTACCCTAACCAGCCAGAGTACCTGTACTCACCACTTTCTGCTACCTTCTCCTTTTGCTCTGTGTCACTGAGCCATGGAGGTACATAGTGGGGTGACAGCCAGGGTATATTGTTTTTTCTTTGCAAATAAGATACTGACAGAATGGTGCTTGTCAGTTTTGAGGGAGCTGCTTTGTATCAGCCTCAGGCTCCATGACTCTGCTGGGACCCTTTCTCAGCCAGAGAGAGAGAGAGCCTGTTTTGATTGTGTTGTAGAGGGCATCTTTGCTTGTTGCATTTTTGCTTCCTGGGAGGTGTGTGGAGGTCGGGGTACAAGGGGCTGAAGATTACAGCTCCTTATTTGAGCAGCCTTTTCCTCCCTCTACCCAATACTCCTCCCATTCATCAGTGAGCCACTGATGCATGCCTGTTGGAAAGTCAGTCATTTTATAACCTAATATTGCAATAGTTTCTGGGTTTATTGTCTCCCTCCAACCTGCGGCTTCACACCATCTGGTGTGCATGCAGGCGCACAAGGGAGAAAGCTGAGAGGGAGGGAAAACAGCTTTCCCCATTCCTTCTCCCTTCTGGGAGGAAGGAAAATTTACATTCTTTTCCTCATGTAGGACTTGATGTCAGTTTCTAGGTGTGTGAAGCGGGAGGGGAGAGATGGTCAGAGCACATGGTAATGGAGGGTATTTCAGCAATTGGTCAGAAATCCAATTAAGTCTCCTCTTCTAAAGATGGGAACTTTCTTCTCTCCTAAGTTATCTTTTACCTGGTGTGAGGACAATTTTTATTTTTTTAATATTCTTACATTTCATGTATCATGCCTCAAGAACAGGCAGTCTTCATGGATAAGCCAGACAGTTATGTTAATTTAGAATTCATTTATGACCTAAGGGACCTGAGAAAGAATAAATTAATTCAGAATTAAATGTGGATGTGTACGTGCATGTCTACATACACGTGCACGTATGCATGCTGAGATGCATTCTATCTTTAACATTCTAAATCAGGTAAAAAGAAATCTCAACAGCATACATATTGGGCTGGGAGTAGGTCAAGGTGAATAAATTAATTAAATGTAACATTCTTTGATTTCCTTGCGTCAGTTCCCCTCTCAGAGAAAGAGAGATCTAACCAGAAGACGCAATCTAATTGATGTTCTTTTGTTTTTTTAATCCCAGCAAATTAAAGAGACTTTGCCAGTGATGTTTTTAGTTCTTTCAGGAAGAATGTGATTCCTGCTTACACTTGTACATTGTAATTTTAGTATATATTTAAAGTTTGCTGTTGTTTTCCTAACCTGAGCATTTTGGGGAAATTCTGAGCCTTAGAGATGAACAATTAGCTTGAAATAATGATATTTAAGAAGAAAAATCTGTTGGTACACAAGGGTCAGTGGCTCTAGTCTCAGTTTCTGATGAGTTCATTTCATCATTACCCTTGGAATCAGAAACTTCTTTTTTTTTTATTTATTTATTTTTTTAGACAGGATCTTCCTCTGCTGCCCAGGCCAGAGTACAGTGGTACAATCATGGCTCACTGCAGCCTCAACAACCTCCCCGGCCCCAGCAATCCTCCCGCCTCAGCTTCCAGAGTGGCTGGTACTACAGGCATAAGCCACCACACCCAGCTAATTTTTTATTTTTTGTAGAGACAGAGTCTTACTATGTTGCCTAGGCTGTTCTCAAACTCCTGGGCTCCAGCAATCCTCCTGCCTTCACCTCCCAAAGTGCTGAGATTACAGGCAGGGATCAGCAACTTCTTAAAGGTGGCTGATAAAGACAATCATATGTTGAACACAGAAGAATGGTGAGGATGGGGTGGGGGTTGGGGAAGATTGGGAGGGGGCCTGGTAGACCAAATCTGCTTCTCTAAGCTTCATCACAGCCACAGGCATCTTACAGCTTCAATTCTCACTTTATCCTTAACTCTTTTCTTAGGACTCCCAAATTCAGAATGCAGAGGTGTGGTTAATTTGATCATGTTTCTGAAATGTCTCTTACTTGTAAGATGAAGCAAATCAGTACTTGCTCTTCTTGCCCTTCCAGTGGAATGTTAATGCATGTACTTTGAATTTCTACATACTCCTGCTGAACCATTTCTCCAATATACAATCCCACAAGCCCTTCTACATGCTTCCTATGAAAATCAAGCAAAACTATGAAAGGTGACAGCATCCTGGGAGCAGGAGACTGAGGGCTAATCTTGGGTCATCTTCTACCTTGCAGTTCACCTACCTCTGAGCCTCCTTCCAGCCTCATTCATGCTGATCAGCTCCCTGGGTTGCTGTAAGAATAAAGCTCAGGGACACATGAGAGTGTTCTGGAAGGGTGGAAAGCTCCACATGCAGGAGGTTACATAATTATGTTCTAAGATTGTTCACAGCTGTCAAGCGCGACACACTGACATCCTCATGCTCCTCCACCGTTGAGAAGCAGCTGTTACTTTCATTTCAGCCTCTCCCTTCTCTGTAGGCCAGATTGAGGAGAAATGAATGAATTAAAAATCTGTTGGGGGTGAGGGAAAACCATCTGAGATGTCTTCTGTCTGGTTTTTCATCTGTGAGTATTTTAATATTCCCATTGAAACTGCAAGGTGGGTATATAAGCAGTGTAGGAGGAGGAATGTGGAACTGGAGTCACTCTAAAAATGAAATAGTAGAAATAACAGTGCTCTGGGTGAGAGGGCAGTCACTGAATATGACTCTTAAAAATTGGAGTTGGGATCAGGCATGGTGGCTCACACCTGTAACCCCAGCACTTTGGGAGGCTGAGGCGGGCAGATCACCTGAGCTTAGGAGTCCGAGACCAGCCTGGCCAACATGGCGAAACACCATCTCTACTAAAAGTACAAAAATTAACCAGGCGTGGTGGCGGGTGTCTGTAATCCCAGCTACTTGGGAGGCCAAGGCAGGAGAATCGCTTGAACCCAGGAGGCCGAGGTTGCAGTGAGCCAAGATTGTGCCATTGCACTTCAGCCAGGATGACAAGAGCAAAACTCTGTCAAAAAACAACAACAACAAAAAGCACGGTGGTTCACACTTGTAATTCCAGTTCTTTAGGAGGGCAAGGGAGAAGGATTGCATGAGGCCAGGAGCTCAAGAGCAGCCTGGACAGCACAGCAAGACCCCATTTCTGCAATAACAGTAATGATGATAACATTAAAAAGAGGACTGTCTGAGCACCTGCGGGGTTTCCTGGACCAGTTCACACACAAACTGGGGTACTTCAGCACAGCTCTTGAGGTTTATTTCTTGTCCTTCCCTCCTTATTCCCCACATTTATCTGTATCTGGAAGAGTTAGGCCAAGGCCTTTTGACATGCCTAGAAAGTACTTCCCTACCTTGCTCACCTGGAGCACACCTACTTTTTAAAGATCTAGCACAAATGTAAACTTTACAGAAAGCTTTCCCTGATACCCACTGCCACAGAGGATTATTCTTCACTTTTTCATACCTCTGTGTTTGTAAATGCCTCTGTCACAGCATCCACTACTGATGTAAAGACATCTGTCACATTATGTTTTTACATTTTCTTGGTGGGGAGTGTCTTAGTCCATTCAGGTTGCTGTAACAAAATATCATAGACTGGGTGGGTTATAAACCACAGAAATTAATTTCTCACAGTTCTGGCTTCTGGAAAGGTTAAGATCAAGGCTCTGGCAGGTTTGGTGTCTGGCGAAGCTCCCTTTCCTGGTTCACAGACAGCTGTTGTTTCACTGTGTCCTCACCTGATGGAAGGAGAAAGGGAGCTCTGAAGTCTCAAGTGCAGAAATCCCATTCATGAGGGCTCTGCTCTTACGACCTGGCCTCTTCCTGGAGGCTCCATCTCCCAATAATCATCACCTTGGGGATTAGGATTTCAATGTGAATTTTGGGGGGACACAAACAGACTGTAGTAGACAGTGAGCTCTTTGAGGACAGGAATCATGTCTTCTTCGTCCTTGTCTTCATAGGGCACTGCAGAAGTTTTGTCACATATTAAGTACTCAGTAAATATTTAATAAGTGTATGAATGAGTTAAAAAGAAAAAAAACTAAACTTACACCATGTGCTAACGTTCCTTTTGATTCAAGAATTAATGTTAGTGCCCCATCACAATTCCCACTTGGAAAACAACCGTTAGTCCCGTAGATATAGACAGAATGTCACCGAGTTGGGTGTTTGTGTATGCGTTAGTTTCCTAGGGCTGCTGTAACAAATCACCACAAATTGGGTGGCCCAAAACAGATGTGTTCCCTCACAGTTCTGGAGTCTGGAAGTCTGAACTCAAGGACCTGGCAGGCCAGTGCTCCCTCTGAAGGCTTTAGGGGAGAATTTTTCCTTGCCTCTTCCTAGCCTCTGGTGGCTGCTTGGCAACCCTTGGTGTTCCTTATCTTGTAGCTGCAACACTTCAGTTTCTGCCTCTATAATGATTGCTATGGTTTGGAATGTTTGTGTCCCCTCAAAATTCATACATTGAAACCTAATCCCCAGTGCTGTAGTATTAAGAGATGGAACCTTCAGCAGGTGATTAGGTCATGAGGTCTCTGCCCTTGTCAGTGGGATTAGTGCCCTTACAAAAGAGGCCTCAAGGAGCCACTTCTCCTTTCTGCCATGGGAGTGTGCAGCAACAGGGCACCATTTTTTGAGGCAGAGCGCAAGCCTCCCCCAGGCACGGAATCTGCCAGTGCCTTGACTTTGGACTTCCCAGCCTCAAGAACTATGAACAATACATTTACATTGTTTATAAATTACCAGTTTAAGATATTTTGTTATAGCAGCCCAAATGGACCGCAGCAGCCATCTCCCATCTGTGTATGTCCGCGTCCGACTTTCCCTTTTCTCTTAAGTGTATGAGTCATTGGATTCAGGGCCCACCTTAATTCAGTGTGAGCACCCTACAAAGACTCTGTTACTCACAGTTAAAGGAGCAGGAGGAGTAGGACCTGAACATACCTGTTTTGCAGGACACAATTCAACTGACAACTGTACATTGTTCTTATCATGGAATCTTGACTCCTGTCTCTCCTCTAAATGGTCGCCCAGCCTCTGTTTCAGCACCCTGAGGAAGTTACTTCTTCTAGAGGCAAATTTGTATATTTGGGCAGCAGCTTTCTGAGAATTATTATTATTGAACCCAAATTTATCTCCCTGCTGTCTCTATTATTCTACAATTCGAATGAACATGGAATACAATCCTACTTATGTTTCAGAGGAGAGAGGGAGCTTTAAGGTTTTAAGATGGTGCTCCTGGCCTCCTTTCTGAATGTTCCCAGTTCCTTCAAATCATCATCCAGTCTATAGTTTCCTTACCTCACTTCCTCCACGTTGGCAGAACTTTCAGGGTGTTGGTTGAAACAGGTGTGGTAAGAGCAGCACAGATGAAAGCAGATACATTTCCTTCCAGGGAGTCTGCTTCTGTTCATGCAGCTTCAGTCACACAATCTTGGCCGCCAAAGCACACTCTTGAAACATTTGAATTTACTGTTGGTTTCATGTAATGTTGCTAAACTGTGTTCCTTGAGCATTGTACTGTTGAGCATTTTGGCCACAAGACCAAGGCTTGGCTCTTGTGTGGTTGTATTTTACTCTGCTGTACCTGGCCTGTTGCCCCAGTTTGTTGAAACACTTTTATTGTAATGTTGTCATTGCACCTTGCATGATAATGGATTTTGGTGGGGGGAGAGTAGAGACATGGTTCATGATAGAAATGGGTCTATGTTTTTGTTTTTTTGTTGTTTTTTGGGATGGAGTTTTGCTCTTGTTGCCCAGGCTGGAGTGCAATGGCGTGATCTTGGCTCACCGCAAACCTCCACCTCCCGGGTTCAAGTGATTCTCCTGCCTTAGCCTCCCGAGTAGCTGGGATTACAGGCATGCGCCACCACGCCCGGCTAATTTCGTATTTAGTAGAGACAGGGTTTCTCCATGTTGGTCAGGCTGGTCTCGAACTCCCGACCTCAGGTGATTCACCCGCCTTGGCCTCCCAAAGTGCTGGGATTACAGGCGTGAGCCACCGCACCTGGCCCGAAATGGGTCTATGTTAAAGGTCACTGTGCTGCTGCTTTATTCCCAAACACCTTATCAGAACAGGACCCAGACGTAATTTGGGGATAGCTATGGAAAAGGCTTTAGGATTTTGTACTGTTACTCTAGGCAACTGAGGAGGATGCAGCTCTCTCATACCATTTAGCAGGGTCTCCTGTGACACTTGGGTACTAATTAGATGCCCGCAGATGCTGGCAGTCCCAGCCCCTTCCTATTTGAATGAATGCAGAGATGGTCACAACCAGAACCACAGGGGACTTGGAGATGGTAACTCGAAGGATTGAGAACCGAGCCCAGAGGTCAGATCTGCATACCTGGCTCCACTTCTTGTTTGTGACTTTGGAGAAAGTACTTTGTAAAATTGGGTTAATAATAGCATCAACTTGAAGGGTTGTTAGAATAATTCCCATTTAGTTTTAGCCAAGATGCAGTCAGCAAGGTAAGCTAAGGCCCGAAGAAGTCCAGTGATTTGCCTGAGGCCACTTGTGTGTCCACCTAAACCAGGAATGGTGTTCAGCCTTTTCGTTTCTAGTTTAATGCTCTTTCTTTTAAACTACTCTAGCACTTCAGAAATCATCAGCTTATGTTATTTATTTTCTCATTCTGCTTTTGTTTATGGAATAAAGGAAGGTAAATACACAGAATTGGTATTTAAAACCTTTCTCACTAAAATACTGATTGGGTTCCTCTGTGGTGTCTATGGATTTATTTCAGATGTGTCTGGATTAGCTGGGAGACATTGTTGCCCTCTGAGACAGGGACATAAGGAGGGGAAGTTGCCCCAGTCCTTGCGTTTTCTCAAGACTTGATAAAGTCTTCCACTTCTGCTGGCAGAGCTGGCTCCCAGGGCGGGCTGGCACCATGTGCAGACTGTCTCTGCATATTCAGCAACTGCTTGCATCCTGAAGCCACACTATCTCCATTTAATTTGCAATGTGGACTATATTTTCTCTCAATTTCTGTGGATTGGAGAAGTGCATTGTGCCAGCTTTCTTAAATTGCCACTATCAATATTCTACTGCCTTTATTTTTTATGCATGCTAATGACATTTCTCCTTTTGAAATATACTTGTTTCCCAGATCAGTCTTTGCAACATTAAAATTAATAGATAAATAAATAAATAGATAAAGAAATAAACAAAATAAAATAATGCCCACATTTTAAAAACAGCCTTCTACATCAGGGTCAGTTTCTGCCTAGCAGTTTGTGGCATGAATCTGAACTGGATGTAGAAAATCACTGCTCTGCTGTGCTGGGGAGACCCTGGTTGGCTTTTCTGGGTCGGTCAGCACGTAGCCAAGAGTGAAGAGGGAGGTAGGCTTTTGGCTCAGAAAACTACTCGGCCATGTGGGGCACAGTTTGGAGGCCTGTCCTACATTCATTGGCTTTCAGGAATCATCCTTTACACCACCCCAGGTGAATTGCTTTCTAACAAGGCCTGTAATTTTGGGGACACCAGGGTGGTCTCCTGAGAGTGAGTGGTGGCCCTCCACCCTTGTTTATACACTTTCCACATTTTGGGCTTCATTCTGCATCCTTTCTGCTTTAGTTTCATTTATGCATCTTACATTTCAGACAGAGGAACCTGTCGTTGGTGCTATTCCAGCCCCACACTTCCCCCACACTTTCTCCATGTTGGTCAGGCTCGAAAAGTCTAAATACTTTTCCATATTGTTTCCTCCACATGGGATGTTTAACTGTGGTCTCAGTTCTTGTCAATGTCTACTTTTTCTGAACACCGTCCATTTAAAGGTGATTTCAAATGGTGTCTTCTTCACAAAGCCTCCTCTGATTTCTGCTTTTATTCATTTGTTTATTCATTCTTTTCAAAAGACATTTTATTGAGTACCTAATATGTCTGAGGCTCTGGGCTTGGTACTGTGGATAAAGTGCTGAAGAAAACACACAGATCATTGCTCAGAGCCCTTAGTTTACTCAGGGGAGAGAGAAAAAGTGTGCATGTAGGATGTTAGATGGTAGGGCAGGGATGGGGTTATAACTTTAAATAGGATGTTCCAAGAGGGAGGTCTTACTGGAAAGGTGAAATCTGAGTTAGGATCTGACAGCAAAAGTGCTGTCTTCTTCCCCCGCTCCTCATCTGGCACTGTCTGAGATCTATTTTGGGCAGCAACCATGTCGGGGGTGGGGGTGGTTTGACAGGAGGGAGAGATTGAGAGACAGTGGAAGATGAGAGAGTATGCATGTATCTGTGTGTGTACTCTCTTCTAGTGCCGTCTAGCATTTTTCCTCATGGTACTTAATACATTATTTTGGAGTGAATATTTTTATCAGGCTTGTTTTGCTGCTCTTCTCATTGAGGTGAAACACGATTTGCTCTGTGTTGTGCAGTACTGCTCAGGGATGGATCAGGATCCCTCTGGGTCCGTGGGCTTTGTGTGACGCTGTTGGAGCCGGCCAGCATGGCTTTGCTGTGGAAGTTGCTCTGTGAGCCCAGCACACATGAACCCCTTCCAAAGGCTTAGTTTTCTCAACCTTAAAATCAGGAAGTTGACTAACTGATTCCTAAGAGCTTTCCTGGAGCCAAGGTTTTTCCATTTTGTATGATAAAATTCTCACCGTGTGCAGGAATCCTTTGTGGATGGTTCCAGCTCACAGATTGTTTCATGGTTTATGCTGATGGTTTGTACGCTGTAAATAGAGCCTATATTGCAATACCTGTATACCTGTAAATAGAAGTATATTGTCTTTGACACTGTCTTCTTCCTGGGAGGATATCCTCTCCAAGTAGATTGTGAGCAGTTAACTGACAGGCCTGGGGACATACCTTGTGTCCTTTATAACCTGCAATAGACTGCACATTCAGGGCTGGTTGATTCATAGCTCCATCTGTCTATCTGTCCATTTTTTAATTGAGTTCCTAGAAAGTATGATAAGCATTCAGTATTAAATACTAGAAATGCTGAGGGGGAAATGTGAATCCTGATCTGCAGAAGTTCACAACTTGTCAAAGGAATAACATTATTTGTAAAATACTTTGTCGTTTGCATGGTCCGTTCACATTTGTTTTGATGTATTGGTCTTCAGACATCTTTAGGATTCAGATATGAATTATAATATGATGTTATATTTTATGTCCTTTAAATTCCAGGAGTGTGACTTGGAAAAAATTGAGAGAATGAGAACAGTGGAAATGGTGCTGGTGACATGGGGTTGGGAGCCCCATCCATGAGACAGTGTCCTGAGGGGCAGGAGATAGCTGGTGGGAGACATAAGTCTGTTCTCTCTTTTCTCTTTTTTGGCCTCAGGTCCCATGTGTCTCTTATGATATATGCATTAAAACATGTTGGCCTTAACTTTTCAGTGAATTTACAGGTTTCCAAGGCCACTTTTTTGTTTGTTTGTTTTGTTTTGTTTTTTGAGACAGAGTTTTGCTCTTGTTGCCCAGGCTGGAGTGCAGTGGTGTGATCTTGGCTCACCGCAACCTCCATCTCCTGGGTTCAAGCGATTTTCCTGCCTCAGCCTCCCCGGTAGCTGGGATTACAGGCATGCACCACCATGCCCGGCTAATTTTTGTAATTTTAGTAGAGATAGGGTTTCTCCATGTTGGCCAGGCTGGTCTCGAACTCCCAACCTCAGGTGATTCACCCTCCTCAGCCTCTCAAAGTGCTGGGATTACAGGTGTGAGCCACTGCGCCCGACCTAAGGCCGCTTTTATCATATGTGATTTTGCCAGATCCATTGACTTATGAACTGAATTCCTCGTGCAGCATGTTTCCACCTTTGTCCCATGTCACAGATGAGATGGTCTCAGAAGGAGGAGTCTTCTTCCCTATCTGCATGGAAGGCAGAGTCAGGATTGATCATATGCCTTCCTAACCCACAACCAGGTTTTTTTTTTTCTCTTTAGCCTAATTTTTGTAATTCCACAGGGATTATGTACACGTGGAGTAGTCACGCTTATGGCAGGAACTGGGTCCAGAAGTTCGGCAAGATGCGCACGCTGAAAGGGATAGAAGAATGGTTTCTCTTTGAGTCTCCAGCAGCTCTAGGCTGTGCTCGGCTCCTTCTGGCCTGGGTTGGAGATGCCTGTTTAGAAATCTGTAGCTGTTTCTCCTCTGGCATCTAATGAATTCTGGCTGACTTTGAATGTTCCCTTGACACGACTGCAGTTCTTTAAAGCCCATCTTCCACATGGAATTGGCAGGTTCATTTAATTGTTTGGGAGCCAGATAAAAATGCTTTGTTCTTTGTTCTTACATTATGCCATTTCAGAATATCTCTTCTCCCACAAATTGCCGAGACTGTTCAATTTGAGCCTTCAATTGCTTCTCTCTGAGCAGATCTTTCAATTATTTTGCAGGGCCTGTTGTTTTTGATTAGGCAGTTAGAATATCAGCTGGGTTTCTTAATCTATTTATTCATATTTCTGCTTGCCTTTCTTTTTTCTACCTTTAAGTCTCTTTTATTGTGAAAAGCATGCAGTCATAGCAGCTGTAATGAAGTGCAAGTACTTTTTTCTTGTTTGCTGGCTGTAGTATGTGATCATTTTTTCCTTTGCTTATGTTTTAGGGTGATAATAATGTCCTCATCATTGTTATTATTTTTCTTTTTAAATCAGTTACTATGCTTAGATCTCAAACAGACAGAAGATAATTAGTAGATAAGAGAAAAACCAAAAATGCTGTGATTTGGCCAGGCACAGTGGCTCACACCTGTAATCCCAACACTTTCGGAGGCCCAAATGTGCAGATTGCTTGAGTCTACAAGTTCAAGAACAGCCTTGGCAACATGGTGAAACCCCACCTCTACAAAAAATAAAAAAATTAGCTGGGCTTGGTGGAGTGCACCTGTAGTCCAGCTACTTCGGAGGCTGAGGTAGGGGGATCGCTTGAGCCTGGGAGGCAGAGGTTGCAGTGAGCTGAGATTGCACCACTGCACTCCAGCCTGGGTGACAGAGCAAGACTGTCTTAAGAGAAAAAAAACAAAAAACAAAAACAAAACCCTGTGATTCAGATTTCAGAAAACACGCAAGGGCAATGCCAGGTGCTGAGGTAGAGCCATGAGAAAGATTAACTGGGTCTTTTCTTCCTGGTGCTTATTGCCTAATTTCCCGTTTCCTTATTTCTCCTTATAGCAATCAGGTAGGATAGGCATTGTGATTCTCATTTAACTCATGGGAAAACTGAGATTTAGAGTAGTGAAGTGATCTGCTCAAGGTTGCAAAGTTAAAAGAATTGCAGCTGGATTTTAAACCTAAGTGTGGAGTCTCCAGGTTTAGTGTTAGAGTCTGTGTGCAAGCGACTGTAAGTTACTGCCTCAAACCAGACCTCTAATAAGACCAGAGTGTCCCCTCTGAATGCAATCAGAGTCTCCTCCTGAGTGATTTTATTCTGAACATTGGAAACATGACAACATGTAGGTCTCTGATTCTGCCTTTGTCTTGCTTTATTATTATTATTTTCTTATTAAGTTTTTATTTACTTTTTGAGACAGAATCTTGCTTCGTTACCTAGGCTGGAGTGCAGTGGTACGATCTCGGCTCACTGCAACCTTTGCCTCATAGGTTCAAGTGATTCTCCTGCCTCAGCCCCCGAATAGCTGGAATTACCTCTCGGCTAATTTTTATATTTTTAATAGAGATGGGCTTTCGCCATGTTGGCCAGGCTGGTCTTGAACTCCTGACCTCAGGTGATCCTCCTGCCTTGGCCTCCCAAAGTGCTGGGATTACAGGCATGAGCCACCATGCCCAGACTGTCTTGCTTTATAACTTCTTTGAAGCTTCATTTTCTATCCTGTAAATGGAGGAGGTAGAAAAGGAGGAGAGAGAAAGTGGAGAGGAGGTTAGTCATCAAGAGAATGGGTTCTAGAGTATACAGACCTAGTACTGAATCCTGGCACTTCTGTGTTTTGACTCTGTGTTTTAGAAACTGGAACTTCAGTTTCCTTATTTGTAAAATGGAGATGATACTGCATAGAGGTATACCTCAAAGATATTGTGGGTTCAGTTCTACACCACCACTAGAAAGTGAATATTGCAATAAAGTGAATCGCACAAATTTTTTGTTTCCCATTACCCTATACTGTATTAAGTGTACAATAACATTTTGTCTAAAAATATACATATCTTAATTTAAAAATACCTTATTGGCTGGGCACAGTGGCTCACACCTGTAATCACAGCACTTTGGGAGCCCGAGGCAGGCAGATCACGAGGCCAGGAGTTAGAGACCAGCCTTGCCAACGTGGTGAAACCCCGTCTCTACTAAAAATACAAAAATTAGCCAGGCGCGGTGGTAGGTGCCTGTAATCCCAGCTGCTCGGGAGGCTGAGGCAGGAGAATTGCTTGAACCTGGGAGACAGAGCTTGCAGTGAGTCAAGACTGCACCATTGCACTCCAGCTCTGGGCAACAGAGCAAGACTCCATCTTGGAAAAAAAAAGAATTATTGCTAAAAAATGCTGATAATCATCTGAGCCTTCAATTTTACTTCACAATTACTCATTGGTACATGAGTTGCAGAATAGATATTGTATCAGCAGACTGAAAACAACATTAGTTTTATTGTACATCTCCATCAGAGTGCTTGAGTGACCAAGTGCATTGTCAGTGAGCAGAAATATTTTGAAAAGAATCTTTTTTTCTGAGCAGTGGGTCTCAACTGTGGGCTTAAAATATTCAGTAATTCACCACGCTGTAAACAGATGTGTTGTTATCTAGCCTTTGCTATTCCATTTATAGAGCACAGGCAGAGTAGATTTAGTGTAATTCTTAAAGACCTTAGGATTTTCGGAATGGTAGATGGACATTGGCTTCCATTTAAAGTCACCAGCTGCATTAGCTTCTAACAAGAGAGTCAGCCTGCCCTTTAAAGTTTTGAAGCCAGGCATTAATTTCTCTCAAACTATGGAAGTTGCATTGACATCTTCTCTGAATGCAAGACTGTTTCATCTCCATTGAAACGCTGTTTACTGTAGCTACCTTCATCGGTTATTTTAGCTGGAGCCTCTGGATAACTTGCTGCAGCTTCCACGGCAGCACTGGTGACTTCACTTTGCACTTCTATGTTATAGAGATGACTTATTTCCTTAAATCTCATGAGCCAGTTTCTGCTAGCTTCAAACTTTTCTTCTGCAGCTTCATCACCTCTCTCAGCTCTCAGAGAATTGAAGAGAGTTAGGGCCATGCTCTGGATTGGACATTGGCTTTTGGTATTCTATCTAGACCACCAAATCTTTCCCCATATTAACAACAATGCTGTTTAACTTTCCTATCATTCATGTGTTCACTGGGGTAGCACTTTTAATTTCCTTCAAGAACTTTTCCTTTGCATCCACAGCTAGGCGAACTGTTAGGCACAAGGGGCCTGCCTTTCAGCCCATCTCAGCTTTTGACATGCTCTCCTCACTAAGCTTAACCATTTCTGTCTTTCGACTTAGGGTGAAGGACATGTGTCTCTTCCATTCACTTGAACACTTAGAGGCCACTGTAGGATTATGCACTGGCCTAACTTCAAAGTTGTTATGTCCCAAGGAATAGGGAAGCCCATGGGGAGGGAGAGAGCTGGGGTAACAGCTGGTTGTGGAGCAGTCAGAACACACTATGAGTGTGATTCATGGTGCCCCAAGACAATTACAATAGTAACATCAAAGATCACAGATCACCATAACATATAATAACAATGAAAACGTTTGAAAGATTAAGAGAATTACCATAATGTGACACAGAGACGCATGTGAACCCTGCAGTTGGAAAAGTGGTGCTCACTTGCTCGATGCAGGATTGCCACAGACCTTCAATTTGTAAAAAACACAACTATCTGAGAAGCACAGTAAAGCAATGCACCATCAAACAAGGTGCGCCTGTACTTGTAAGTCTTTTGAGAATAAAAAAAAAAACAAAACACCAAAAACACCAGAAATGTATGTGGAACATTTAGCGTAGTGCAAAATAAATATTTTCAGCTATTTTTCTGTTTGGGTCATTGATTCATTTGCATATTCAGCGTGCATGCATTGAGTGACACTCAGGTGGGAACACCACTGCTGCTGTTGCAACCCCTATTTTGTTACTTAGGTACTTAGGGGCACAGTAAGGCATTATAGATAAGACATGGTTAAATCTGTGGTGAGCTGAAACTGCATAGGTGTCCAGTGATAAAAGTTACCTTCTATTAAATGCTACCTTAGTGTGAAAAACCATTTGTCACGGAAGTGCCTCCTAAAGAAAGGAGTGTTAAATTCTGACAGGGTCAACACGGGATGGAATGGCGGTTGGTTGGTGTGGAGATGTGGAGTGAGTGTCCAGAAGTGGGAGAAGACCTTCGAGGGGTGATGTGGTTGGTGGGTGTGGTTGGTCTCAAAGACCAGGTTAAGGAGTCTAGGCCTCATTCATTCATTTGTCCATTTATAATGCTGGGACTATATGGAAGATGGATCAGAAAGTCAATATACTGAATATAAACCAGGTAAAAAGCAATGAAAATGGTCTCAGAGAGAGAGAGAGAGAGAGAGAGAGACAGAGAGAGATAACTGAAAACTGGATTTAGGGCAGTGATAAGGAGAAAGAAAAGTAGCTAACAGAAATGAAAGATGATGGGATATTTTAAAAAGCACTTTTAAGAATCTGGATTTCAGATGGTCATAAAAGTAGGAACAGGAAAACCTGGAGTAATTTGGAAATGCAGTGAGAATGCTACAGACAGAGGATGATGGGCATCTTGGTTAAAGTGACTGGAAGTGGGGGTCAGTGGTGGGGAGCTCATTCTGAAAGTTCTAGGGCAAAATTGGAGGATTTGCCAGTCAACTGACCTTCACCTGCTTCTGGCAGTCATCCACCTCTCAATTATGTTAGCCATACTAACAAATGGACATTGGTTTTTATTTTGCTCTCATTATTTAACATTTCCTGTATTTATTGCTTTTGGATTCAAAAGGATGCAAGAAACTTAGTCTGTTTTTTCTTTTCACTATGAAGTAAAGAGACTGTTTTCCTTGTTTGAGGCAATTGCTTATTTCTCCTTCTGTTTTTCCCCCGTTTAAAATGTCCTGCTACAAAATGACCTCTAGAACCTGTATATGAAGCAGGTTGCAAGGTGGTTCAGCTGAGTGCTAGAATATATTTAAGAATACTTTACTGACTGTCAGTTCAAGCAAAAAACAAAGCAAACAAAAACCTGCTGCTTTGAAATAAGGGCTATTTGCTTCCTATGGCTTTCTTTCGCCTCACAACCTGTCTTTCCAGTTTATTAGCTTTTGTAGCAATTACATCGATTGAAGAGTGACCATACAAATAGGTCTGCATTTTGGAAATGGGTGCTGTGCATGCTGAGTGGTGTCTCTGAGTGTGAATCCTGGTGAAAGGATGAAGGAGGCATCTCGCCCCATATTTTCTCTCCCTGAACTGGTCTGTCTCAGTTCTGCTTTCTGATCATTTCCCCTGTTGGCAGAACCTGCCCTTGACCCTCAGCCACAGTGAGTCAGTGTACACTGGCACGACTCCAGATGCCTGGGGGATAAAACTTTGCCCAAGTTTGCCAATCATTCCTCGAAGCTGCCCAGTTGTTCTAGTCTTTGTTGATGTTTCCTAGAAAATTTTGGCTCCACATTTGTCATGGTTACTTAGTTTATTTGACAGCATGTCTTGCTTTGTGTTGGATACTTTAGAGGATACAGCAGTAAGACTTGGGCACTGTCTTGGAGTAGCTCAAAGAAGAGGAAGATAAATAATAATAACCTTTTAAAAATCGGCCAGGCATGCTGGCTTACGCCTGTGATCCCAGCACTTTGGGAGGCCGAGTCAGGGGGATCACTTGAGGTCAGGAGTTCAAGACCAGCCTGGCAAACATGGCAAAACCCTGTCTTTACTAAAAAAAAAATACAAAAATTAGCGGGATATGGCGGTGCATGCCCTTAATCCCATCTACTCTGGAGGCTGAGGCAGGAGAATCGCTTGAATCCGGGAGACGGAGGTTTCAGTGAGCCAAGATCGTGGCACTGCACTCCAGCCTGGGCAACAGAGTGAGACTCCATCTCCAAAAAAAAAAAAAAAAAAAACAGACAAAAAAAAAGTGTACAATTTAGTGGTTTTACTATATGTACAAAATTCACATTGATCACTCTCTAATTTTGGAATATTTTTATTGCCCCCAGAAGAAACCCCATACTCATTAGCAGTCACCTTCTACTCCCCACTCCCCAACAGCCCTTGGCAGACACAAATCTCCTTTCTGAATCTATGGATTTGCCTATTCTGGACATTTCATATAAATGGAATTGCATAATAGGTGGCCTTTTGTGTCTGGCTTTTTTGACTTAGCATAATGTTTTTAAGGTTATCCGTGTAACAATACTTCATTTCTTTTTATAGCTTAATTCTATTCTATGGTGTGGCTATACCTCATTTTGTTTATAGGAGCCATATCTTGAGTGTGTTCTATGTTCATTGTTCCATGAGCTTTACCTTTTAAATTCATTCGTCTTCATAATTACTTCATAGGTGCAATTACTATTGCCATATTGCCAGTAAAGAAGAAGGCATAGATAGGTAACACAGCTAACAATAAGTAGCAGAGCAAGCTTGGTTTAACTGCAGAGTCTGTGCTCTTAACCTTACTCTTCCCGCCACACACTGTGAGTCACAGGATAGAAGACATATTTAAAAATGAGTGTAAACGTGGGAGGAAGTTACAAAGGTCTTAAATGACTGTGGAGTTCAGTAGCTCAGAGTTGGGGGTGGCCTGTGGCGTGGGTGTCTGTTACAGTGTGCTGTACTTTGTCATTTGTACTGCCCTTCGGATTATGGTGCGCAGTGGATTTGAGGCATCACAGGGGATCTAGGCCGCAGGGAGACGGGACGGGGCTCCCAGTCCACTGACAGGTTTGCTCAGGGCTGATTCGGCAGCGTGCAGGGCTGAGCCTGAGGCCAAAGGTTTTCAGACGTGTATGTGTATCTGGGTGGGGCCTGGCCTGTGCAGGCAGGGACTTGATAGCAGGCACCTCTTTTCTGTGGAATGTGGAGAAGTACAAGCAAGTCTAACCATGCTGCCCGGCTCACCACACATGCGATGAATGACGGAATGAAGGAGAGATATGGTGGGTGGGTACTAGAGTTGAGAGCCTCGAACCTCAAGTTGCAGAGACCGTGCAGTGGCCTGCCTTGAGAGGTATACAGTCTGTCCACATCTCTGTTACTCTGCTGGAGCTTGCTGTCTAGATTCTACTAGGAGCTATCACCCAGGTTCTTTCCTTCAGTGTAGAGTCTGTCTCCTGGGAGATCAGAAGTCCCAGCTTAGTCTTTTCTTAGTGGAACCCCAGAAAATTGTTCTATGGGCCGGGCGCGGTGGCTCATGCCTGTAATCCTGGCACTTTGGGAGGCCGAGGCGGGTGGATCATAAGGTCAGGAGTTCAAGACCAGCCTGGCCAACATGGTGAAACCCCCTCTCTACTGAAAATGCAAAAAATTAGCCTGGTGTGGTGGCACGCGCCAGTAGTCCCAGCTACTCAGGAAGCTGAGGCAGGAGAATTGCTTGAATCCAGCAGGCAAAGGTTGCCGTGAGCCAAGATCGCACCACTGCACTCCGGCCTGGGTGACAGAGTGAGACTGTCTCGAAAAAAAAAAAAAAAGAAAATTTTTATATGACATGTTTCTGTCTCTGACAGTTTATTCACTCAGCAAACATTTATGAGGCTCTTCTGTGCCAGGAGTTGTTCTAGGTCCTTGGGACATATGAGTGAGCAATATATAATATAGAAAAGGACTTTTGCTGTCTTTATACTATTCTGCCAGGGCAAACAGAATAATAAGCAATAGACATAAATAAATATAGTTTTTTTTATTTAATAGAATAAGTGTCATGAAAAAAGGTTGAAGTAGAGCAAAGTAAAAAGGGATATAAAGTGGTTGAAATATTAAATAAAGTAAGACGGTGACAGCCGAGTGTGGTGTCTCACGCCAGTAATTCCAGCACTCTGGGAGGCCGAGGCAGGTAGATCACGAAGTCAGGAGTTCAAGACCAGCCTGACCAACATGGTGAAACCCTGTCTCTACTAAAAATACAAAAATTAGCTGGGCGTGGTGGCACATGCCTGTAATCCCAGCTACTCAGGAAGCTGAGGCAGGAGAATCGCTTGAACCCGGGAGGCGGAGGTTGCAGTGAGCCGAGATCGCGCCACTGCACGCCAGCCTGGGCAACAGAGCGAGACTCCACCCCCACCCCCCGCCCCCCCCCCAAAAAAAGAGACGTGAAAAACTTGCACTTGAAGATGGTTAACGAATTAGCCATGAGAGCTTTGGAGGAAGAGTCTCACAGTACAGAATTCGGAAGGTTCGAGTAACAGGCTGGGAGGCAAGTGTGAGCATGGGAGCACGGAGTGGTGGGAAGCCAGCTTGTCACTCCAGTGGCCAGAGGATCGTGGTTTGTCCTCATAGTGGAATGCCAGCCATTTCAGGACTGAGCAGGGGGCTGCCCCATTGAGAATCTCATAACAAAACTGAATCTGTGATATGTTAAGCACAATTAGAATAGACAGATGAGCCCAAGAAATAAAAAGTTCCTGTGGTGGGTCCAGAACTTGGGGAATTCCAGGGTTACGCTGTCAAGTTCCCAGGGGCCCTCTGAATTCATTTGTTTTCTTTTCTTCTCTTCGGTCCATCAGAACCCCAAGGGGAAGCGAGCACTTTCCATAGTGGAAGCTTAGCCATGCCTGGTTTTGCTGGATGGGTTTTTCTGCTGCTGGCTGTACATGACCAGGTCTGGGGTCTTATTTGTTCTAGGAAGATTTAGAAATTAGTACTTAATCATTTGCCTACCTTGTGTATATACTTTGAAAAGTAGAGATACATGTGTATAACACGTAGATTCTGGATGCTGGTGTATAAAACTCTGACGGGTTGGTTTACTTCATTTCACAAGGTTTTATTCACGTTAGAAATATGACCAGTAGTATACTGTTAGTCTGCGAAATAGTGGGTCTATTATACAATCCCAATTTATCTTTGTTGGGAATAGGAAATGGGTCATGCAATAGTCAGATTATCTCCCATATGAATGGGTGGCTTCTTGTGGCATGCATCTATAGTAGTACAGTTTAAAAGTACTGATGTCTTTTATTTTATCTGGCTTGATTTGGAGCCTTACCTGGGCCAGAGTTTTTTGAAGATGTCCCCAGAGTTTAAAATTTATGTTATATTTGTTGTACTCCTTTCTTCCCTCCCCATTAGAGATTTGTGGGATAGCTTTTTGGCAAAATGTCAGTGCAAATGTTTGTAGAAGTGGGTGAATGAATTAAAAAGCAGAGTAGGCATTTAACTGGCAGGCTGAAAGAAAAATGTCAGTTTCCGTGGGTTAAGCAGGATCTTTGCAGCATATTTAGCACTTGACTTCTTCCAGATTTGCCTACATGAAGTAACCTCTCTGTTTTCACACATGAAATATTTAAATAACTTTAAAATATGTGTGTAATGCCGGGTATGTGACCAGATGGAAGAACACTTCTTGGCCGAAAATGTAAACAAGCTGCCACCAATGTTAATGTTACAGCTGTAGACATAAATGTATTTTGGTTGGTTTCATTTTATTTTTGAGCATGTACAGTTCATCAAAGTTAAGCCCAAATTGAATTCTGTTTGAATGTTTTTTTGATGGTCCTTCATATTTATATTGATTTTTAACCTGTCCTTCTCATCTAGGATATTTTTACCCCATGTAAAATGGATGCAACTGTTTGTTTTTCAGATCATGTCCAAATAATCATTTTTGTCTCTAGTTCCCCAGGGAAGAGTGTTATGCAGACAGTTTTAGGATGTTTTAGCCAGTTAATAAAGTAAGTTGTCAGGTAGGCCGAGGAGTTACTGAGTTTGTAGTGTCTGGACAACTGATCTGCTGCTGTGTTGAATTGGGAATTGTTGTTTGTCCTGCAAGAACTTTGATTTTGGAGCATTATGGTGAAGGGTGTTTCATTGTTGTGACTGTAGAACAAAGGAAGTTAAAGCATCTACTGTGTGTCACCGGCCATCTCATTTAATCCTCATGTTTCATGTGAGTTGATCATATTTTACAATGAGGAAAATTCGCCTTTTGAGAGACACCATTTCCAAGACCCCTAACTGCTAGTTCGTGGCACAGCTCAAGTAAGGACCCCGTTTCAACCTGCTGAAGAGCCCATTCTCTTTCCACTGTCTCTGGTTGTTTTTAGGGAGGGAATAAGGTGATATTTGTCAAGCATGTCCCAAATGATTGGGTGTGACAGATTTAGTGTTTCTTAATCTCTAGATAATTAAATGGAGAAACTATGCCTTTACATGTTTATGAATTCATTTTCAACATTTAATCAGCAAAGTAATGTTGGGTCTCTGAGACCCAATCATCTGAATCTTGTTTGACAAATAATCGTGTGAGTGTCTGGGGGATTAATGAAGGCTTAGATTCCTTACAGCTCCCTTGACCTGGAGACCATGAAGTCTCAGGGATGACTCTTTCCAAGGTATTCCAGAGCCTCTGCTTCCCTATGGTGATGAGTCTTCCCCCAACTGGGCTCTAATTGCTGCCTGTAGATAAAGGAGTCCAGGGAACCCTCAAATCAGACCACTTGGGAGATTTTAAATTAATTGGCATTTAATCAAGATGTTTGCAGGGATGAAGGTGCCCATGCGTGCAGCTGCCATTGTTTGTGCTTACACCTCACATCTTGAAACAGGTATAAGAGAAAAGTGAAAATGAGAAGCCCCAAGAAAACCACAGACTCCAGGTTTATGGTATGAGGAGCAAGAATGATAAAGGTGGTCCTTGGCTTTGTTTATTCTAGGGAGTGTGCTTCTCAGTAGTGCACGTTTGGAATATGGCTTGGTCAAATGATGGCTGTTTCTCTGATTCTAAATGAAACAGCATGGATTTCTTGTTCAGGGAATTTTTGGTATGTTTCAGAAAGAGATTTTTCTGAGATCCCAAATCTCCAAGTTCCATAAGAGGTGATGCTATGAGTGGGTTAGGAGTTGGAACTGTGTTGTTAGTGACCCTGTGGGGTGGATTTGTTTATGTACATGTGAACACATTGAGCCAAGGGTGTGGTTTGTGGCATTGGGGCAGGGGAGCAAGGAAGAATGGTAGAGCAGGTAATTATATATAAAAACAAAATAAAACAAAATACCAAAACTTTGTTATGAAGATTCATTGAAATAATATATATGAACTGCTCCAAGCCTGGCCTATAGTAAGCACTCTCTAAATACTGTTTTTAATGTTATTACTCTTGTTTTTATTACTGTTATTTTATGTATCTCAGATGTGCATGGAAGAAAGGCTTATATGGATTAATAAGATACACTATGTAAGTTTTATAACATTTAACTAAAAGATCAGATAATGACTGTGATTAGAGTCTAAACCAGACAGAAGATTGGACATTTAATCAGAATGTTTCAGTGACTTGGCTAAAGGCATTAATTTTATTTTATTTTATTTCATATATATAGTTTTGAGACAGGGTCTCAGGCTGGAGTACAGTGGCATGATCATGGTTCACTGCATCCTTAACCTCCAGGGGCTCAAGTGATTCTCCCACCTCAGCCTCCCAAGCAGCTGGGACTACAGGTGTGTGCCACTAATGCCCAGTTAAGTTATTTTTTATTTTTTGTAGAGACAGGGTCTCACTGTATTGCCCAGGCTGATCTCGAACTCCTGGCCTCAAGCAATCCCCCTACCTCAGTCTCCCAAAGTGCAGGGACTATAGGCATGAGCCACCGCGCCTGGCCCCCAGCCACTGGCCCCTGGCCTCTGGCATTATTTTAGAGCATAAAATAATGTGGACTCCTGTGTACCACTCTTTCTGAGCCTCTGGTGGAGGGAAATGAAGTAGATCAGAGTGATATTTGACATTTCAGTCTCTGTTGCCCTTTCCTTAAGGCCCTTCTGAGCACTGTGGTGAAGGCAGAGATTATCAACCCGTTAGGGTGTGGAACATTCAGAGCTGAGGCGAGAATTATGGGCTAAGGAGCAGAGCTGGAGGATTTGCTCACCTTTGTGACTCTTCGGTCTTGTGATGGGAATTTAAAATTGGAGCATAGGAGCATAGATGAGGATGCTCAGCAAGTCAGGGAGTGGAGAGGAAACACTTCTTCATGGGAATTGTGATTCATAGCTGCAAAACGTTCTCTACCACAAAGCTCACCCTTGGCTCTACAGTGAAATGAGAACCTTTGGGGATGCGAAAGGCAGTTGCCTGACTTAGGAATGGTACATTGTCCTTCCTGTGACATGTAACTGATGAAAGCGGTCGGAGTTTACTTTTACCCTGGCTCTTAATTATAAAGGGAAAGAAAACCTTACTCAGTAATTTATGTCATTTGAGGAACATGTGCCAGTCACCCTATAATCCTTCTGTTACTTTTCTGTAGGTTTCTTCATCATTTAGTCTGCAACTTCCGAGTTTCCCAAGGAAGTGAGACAATGAATACATGTTTCTTTTACTTTTGAATCAAATGTACTTAGCAGCCAAATCTATAGTGAGTAGAGAATCACTCTTGTTTAAGTGGCTGTTAATCACCAGTTGTAAAAGTTCCAAGTGGGAACGAAAGGGGCAGAGCTTTAATCATGTTGGCCTTCCTTGGGAGGAAAAAAGAGAAAGAGGCTGCCAACCGCCTGGCCGAGAGATGGGAGGCTTGGAAACAGACTTTCTCCTACACATCAAAGGGGGGCTCTTGGCTTATTCAGGTTTCTCTTTTTCAGGCAAAATACGGTTGTATGTGAATGGTGTCCTTGTGAAGGAACAGGCTGGAATCAGGCCCTAAGAGTTAATGTGAAGAAGGGGTCAGGTTGATGGGAAAGGGTGTTGAAGCATTTCCTCTCGCCCTGGAGCCTCCAGCCCATCAGAATTGGGGAGCTCTGTTTGAGAGGTGTCCCAGGGCTCCATCTAATCTCCTTCAAGAGCTTGTGCTGGCCCCATCTGCCAGAGGGGAGAGATATCAGGAGACATGTGCTTGTACACAGAAGTGGATGGGTGGTCTTTGGATTACGTTTTAAGCTTTTGCATCTGCTCATTTACTTATAAGTTGGTGAAAGGAAGGGACAGGGGAAGCTAAAGAGCACAGCAGTGGGGAGAGGCAACTAGAGATTGGCAGAGGTTTTGGGAAGAGATACTTCTGCCTCTGAAACAACCACATGAGTGGGAGCATCCATCTCATGACAGGGTGATGAAGATAGGGACATTTAATTCACATGAGCACCAACTAACATTCAGGGCAGCCAAAGCTGTCTACACTCCTTGCCTCCAAAAAGTATGGAAGTAAAATAAAAATAAGCTTGAATGTTAATGGGACATTATGTGTCCAGGCTTCATCATCACAGAGGGAAGGACAACGTAAGTGAGAGTGCCTGGCTGCATTAGATGCCCCGTGGGCTGGCGAGGCTGCGGCACCCGGGGATTCAGGTGGATCAGGATAGGTTTCTAGCTAAGAGAGGCAGAACTAGAAAGAAAAAAGTTGAGCAGAAATCAAAACCTGGACAGAAATAGCACATTTCATAATCGGCAGATGAAGTAAGCATGGTAGGAGAGGAGGAGTGGGAGTTCCGGGGCTGGGAGGACAGGTGCTCTGGCCCAAGTCTGGTAGTGTGGGACTCATATACAAACGGAGCATACGTTTCAAGAGGCTCCTTGTCTGATCGTGCATGGAGGGTTGCCATGGCTGCTTATGAGGCTGGGCTGGGGGCTGTGTAGGTACTTCTCTCTTGCAGTCTTTTTGACAGGTTGGCAAAGAAGAGGATATTTATTTCTATTTTATAATTTGGGTAAACAGGCCTCCAGGAAGTGAAATAACCTGCAGGTTACATGGCTAAGTGGTAAAGCCAGAAAGTGAATATAGGTTTTCTGTTACAATTTTTAGGGCGGAGAGGGACTCTCTCTTCCCTGACCCAGCTGTCTTGCTATTTATATGTACATACTGTATACAGACGTCACTGTTTCCCAAGTAGAGATATGTTTATATTTCTGTGAATTTATCATGTCCAACTTTCATGAGCAAATGTCCCTACCTCTATTGCTTTTTAATCTAAAAGGACGCTTGCTGAGCATCTCTGTGGTCCCAGCACAGTATGATGTTAGCAGGACTGGCCTCTACGCTGTGATGACAGTCTCCTTGTCTGATCATAGCAAGCAGAGAAGCATAGCTTACTCAAGCTGGGTTCTTAGCACTTGTTCCTCATAAGAAAGCTGATGAGCATTCCACTCTGACATGTCAAAGACAGAAAGGAGCTTTCTTTCAGCACTTGTCTTTTGTAGTTCCACTGACAGGACTAACTTAGTGACAGAGGATCCTTTAGCAAGCTCCCAATGTGGGTGATTGAGCCTCTCCCTGTCCAGGGTTGAATCATGTTATTCCCTTAGTAAATCTGGATGCTAGCCCTCATGTAATCTTCAGGCTCTGTGACCTGAGCTAGTAGCTTTAACTTTCTCAGCCTCAATTTTCCTAACTACAAAATGAGTGTAGGCTAAAAGACCTCCCATGCATTCTAAGCTAGCTGGGCACTAACCTTGTGTATCTGGGAAGGAAAGGCCACATGTGCTCTTTTCACCCCAAGGGCATGATAACTTCTTTACCTCCAGTCTCTTAAGACTTCTGTTAGTCAAAGACACAGTCTGCCAAAGGCTAGGGTCCTTTTGTCAGTTTTCCTGCCATAATTTCCACAAGAATGGCCCTAACTGCACTTAACATGCACAGTGGATGTGACAACCTTGGAGTAATTGGACCGTGTCCACTTCCCAAAGAACCAAAAAATCCCTGGATCTGAATGTTCCTTGAATCTCCATTGATGATTTTTCTTTTGTTACATAGGATGACTTGATGAGATTGATAATACTAATATTGTTCTTCAGGCCTTTCCTCCTCAGACCTGTCAGTGTTATAAAGGATTATTTTTTGAATTTTCTCTGTATTACTTCCATGTGTTCTCTTTTATTATCATTATTATTAGTTGGCTTCATTTTATTAAAGATAGTGTAATTTGGAGTCAGTTCTTGTGGCCGAGTTGATTTAAGAGGAAACGAAGCTTACATAGTTACTATAATTTTGTGTCTATAACGTCTACAATATTTATGGCATTAATTTTGTGGTGCAATGCATTGTATACCAGAACAGCATGTTATATGCATGAATGGTGGTGCTTTGACTGAAAAATGTGTCCTGTGGTAGCTTTGTCCTCAGGCACAGAACTAAATATGCACACATATTCAATGACCAAGTGAGTGGTTAGAAACCTCTGGCTCTGACGGGCAGCCGTGGGAGGCCAGTGTTCAACGTGGTAGACCATGTTCCTGCCGTACTTCCCATTCATCTCTTCAATCCATTCCTACTTCAGCTGTGCCCCAGTTCAGCTCTTTATTTCCCCCACAGGGTCGTTACAGAAGGCTCCTGGTTGACCTCTCTGCCTCTGGTTTTACAACAGCTATTTCATCTTTTATATGCCCCCCGAGTGGCGCCCTCCTAGCTACTTCCCAGTCATCTCCTTGCTCAAGCACCCTGCTTGTGCTCCATTGCCTGTATAAAGCGTAGACACTCTGGCCTGCCATCCCTGGCTCTTGACCCACTGCCCACGGAGCTTTTCTGAAACCCTCTCACCCCTCTGCCTGGTTCACTTCTACTCATGTCTACAGCATATTACACTCTACCACTTCTTACAAACTCATCCTTCCTTCAAAACATGTTCCTTTGACAAAGAACCCCTAACCTTTAGGGATTTCTTGCTCTTCCAAACCCTAGCAACTCCTAGCGAAGCCTAATGTATTATTAGTTACCTATTGCTGTGTAACAGATTACTCCACACTGTAAAACAACAAATACATATTATCTCCCATAGTTTCCGAGGGTCAGGAATCTGGGAGTGGCTTAGCAGGTGGCTCTGGCTCAGAGTTGCTCATAAGGTTGTGTTCAAGCTATCGGCCAGAGCCGCAGCCTTTGGAACACTTGACTGGGCTGGAGTATCCACTTCCAAGCTCGCCTGTGAGGCTCTTGGCAGGAGATCTCACTTCTTCTTCACTTTGTCCTCCCCATAGCGCTACTCAACATCATGTCAGATGGCTTTTCTAAAGTGAGTGATGAGAGAAAGACAGACAGACAAAAGACTAAGATTGAAGCTGCAATGCCTTTTATAACCCAATCTTGGATGTAAAAACCATCACGCTTATTTGTTACACTGACTGCTACCTTTGATACAAGGTGAGAGGTGACTACTTAAGGGTGTGAATACCCGAAGGTGGGGTTGTTAGGGGCCACCTGGCAGGCTGGCTGCTACACCTGCCTTATATTGTTTTAGCATGCATGTGTTCTGTTTTGCCAGCTAGCCTGGCACTGTTTAAGTTTGCAGGCTGGTCTCATTGACTGTGTGGTTCCCTTACTTCATCCAAAGTGCTTTTCATGTAGATAATTATTTTGTTTTCAAAATAATGTGTTGCCCTCTCCTCCTTTTTTAAGAGATAGAGGTAACTGGTGCCTGGAAGGATTGGTTATCTAAGTCAGTCAACTACTATGTGACAGAACATGTGAATTCACTCCTAGGTCTTTAAATCTAAAACCCATGTTCTGTCCACTATACAAATGGTATGCTGATTTTGCTTTCTATAAAATATTTTCCACAACCTGCCTCTTGTCTATAAGCTTTGGTGTTAATTAAAAGGAACAACTTGGAAGCTCCCAATGATTGCAGGGAAGTATTTGTGTGTAACAATCTTCAGGCGGGAAAAGTTTCCAAGAAGTTGTCTTAACCAACTAAAACCTCATCTTCCTGGTCTTCATCTGTTCAGCAGTTGCCTATCCAAAGCCTCTGATTTATCTGACTGTTCTACTGATCAAGGGAGCTTAAGAGGCCCATATGAATACCATGTTTTAGCAGTTTTTTTCTCATTAAGTCATCTGGGGAGATTCAGCTGGTCACCTCCCACCACGAGAAACTTTCTACCATAGCGCCTCACTCATCTGTTTCTAACAAGTGATGCTCTTGCGAACAGTCTCTGAGTTTTCTAGGCTTAGAGGGATTGCGCTGGAAACTAAATTGGGAACTCTCCCAATAACGCTCTCTGGATACCACGACTTAGCTTCAGAGGGAGGTTCTAGGAAAAGCAAAAAAAAAAAAAAAAAAAAAAAAAGAAAAAAGAGAAAAAAGTCTTTGTCATACTCCCAAGCACAAAGTTACGGTGGTTGAATTCAATAAAGGAGCTTTGATTTTCTTTTTCATTTTGAACAAAATACTGGTCCTTTTGGTTGACTTTGAAAATGTGTAATATGTATGTTTCTAATTTCAGTTATTTGCCCTTTTCTGCAGAAAGGGGAACACTGCAGGTGGCTTTCTGAAACTTGAACGCCTCGAATTTTTGTGTTCCCTCTCATGATCATCTTTTATATCTGCAGGGGACATTAGACTTATAATGATCTTTAGATTTTTGGCTTATTGGCTAAAGATATCTCTTTTTGAAACATTTTTATTGAAGTATGTCTTCTACCCACCAATGGTTGGAGGAATTTTAAATATTGTTTTCCAATCTCTTTTCTTATCTCTGCATAGGGATGCTTTTTATTTTTTACCTGCAGTGGCTGTGGGGTGGTTTCATGTTACATGCTTCTCCACAGTGAGTTTCCCTAAAACGGAATTTTTTGAATCTCTTTAAAAAGTCTGAACATACTGGGAAAAGATGAGAAAGGGATTTGAAAAAGAATTGAGAATGAACTTTCTCAAATACTTTTATGCTCCTAGGTGGTTAGAAGGTTGTTTTCTGTATAGATTGACATATAGATTGACATTTTCTTTAGCGGCTATACTCTGAATCAAATTCCTTCCTCTGGAGCTCTGGGAAAGCTCCCATTCTGATGACAGTAGAATTCTGTCTTGCTAGTTTGTTTTTACATATATCTAGATCTAGACTTAGGTAAATAATATACACACACACAGACACATATATGTATATGTAGACATACCTGCAAATACAAAATATTTCCAGAAACTTCTATATTTATGTGCTATTTCTTCTTACTGTCACCTTCAATGTAAATGGACATTTAAACATTTAGGGAGCAATTAAGTCTTCAAGATGAGTTGCTTGATGAAGTAACATTTGGGCACTTGTTTAAGTACATTTTACAGGGCCCATCCAGTTCTAATTGCCAGGAACACCACAGGTAGGACAGGTTTAGCAGAAAGAAAACATAGTTTGGAGCAGGAAGAAGAGTGCCCCAGAGAGAAACAGAAGGCTGTTTTGCTCCTAGAAGGAAGGTACGTAAATCCAGAGTGGGTACATGCAAAAGGAATTAAGGTGACCTGTTTGTATTGACCTCTTCACCTTCTGATATGTATATATTTTTGCTTATAAGCATGCTAGTAATTGTAATTGTTAATATTTATAGCACTCAGCTATTTTTTCCAGCAGTCATGTACTTTATCTTCTTTAGCCCTCACAAAATCCTTGCCTCCCAATCCACCCCCTCACCATCATGAAGTCATAAGTAATTTTCATTTTGTAAAAGAAAAAGGTCGTAACTTAGTGGCTAAGTGGTGTACATAGCTAAAAGTGGGAAAGTAGGGTCTCAAACCCAGGCTTTTTTGACTTGTAACTCAGTACACTATGTGCCTCTGCTCCTAACCTAAATGGGCATTCACTAGTTTGACTTCAAAAAAGGCATATAATACAGTGGATACTTGGGTTCTCTCTTCTATCCCTGCTCCAAGATTCCATGAGGGCAGAGTCAAAATCATGTATGTATTTTTGTATCTCTAATTTCTACTTCATTCTTGGCATGACAGAAACATTGGAAAGTATGCTGGTTTAAAATATGTCCACAAGGCCAGGCGTGGTGGCTCACACCTGTAATCCCAGCACTTTGGGAGGCCGAGGTGGGCAGATCACGAGGTCAGGAAATTGAGACCATCCTGGCTGGCACGGTGAAACCCCATCTCTATTAAAAATACAAAAAAGTAGCTGGGTGTGGCGGTGGGCGCCTGTAGTCCCAGCCACTCGGGAGGCCGAGGCAGGAGAATGGTGTGAACCCGGGAGGCGGAGTTTGCAGTGAGCCGAGATCGCGCCACTGCACTCCAGCCTGGGTGACAGAGCGAGACTCCATCTCAAAAAAAAAAAAAAAAAAGTCCACAGATTATTTAATACTCACTTCAAAGAGCCCATTTTTCTCTTGAAGGTGGGTTGGGCCTAGTGACTTGCTTCTAATGCATGGACAAAAGTGGAAGTGATAGTGTGCAACTTTATAGACTAGTCATTAAAGGCACTGTGGTTTCCTCCTTGCTCTCTCTTGGATCACTTCCTGTAGGGGAAATTAGCTGCTATCATGAGCACACTTAAGATGTCTTATATAGATGCCCATGTGTTAAAGAACCAAGGCCTTCTTCCAGCAGTCAGTGAAGAACTGAGGCCTCTGGTCAATGACTTGGAAACAGATTTTCAGCCCCAATCAAGCCTTCAAATGGCTGCAGCTCCAGCCACGAGTGATGTTGCCGCAGCTTCATGAGAGAGCCTGTGCAGGAGATATGCAGCTCTGCTGCTCCTCGTTTCTCAACTTACAGAAACTAAAAGATAGGAAGTGTTTATTTTTATAAATCCCTAAGTTTGGGGGTGTTCTGTCATGTAATAATAGAAAACTAATGTAGAAATAGATGGGCGGTACCTCCAGGTTTCTGATGTTTCTGATACTGACTTGATATGAACTGTGATTTGTTGGCACTGGCTACTTCTCAGTTGTTTTCTTTCAACTATAATATGTGTGTGTGTTTCTCAAATTAGACAATCACCTGGGGATCATTTAAAAATACAGAATCTAAAGCCGGAGACTCATGATATGGAATGTCCTAGGATGGCGTTTTGGAATCTATATTTTTTGCAAAACCTTTTGAGATGATTCAGATGCAGACGGCCCAGACTCATTCAGGGATTGTCATTTGGAAACCAGTGAGCGAGAGCCCTTTCCTTGATTCAGGTCTGACAATCAAGGTTTGCTACAGGATTCCTCCATTCGGTTCTCTCCCAGGAGCTCATCTTAATGCCTCTGTGCCGAGGGGCCTCGGAATGATGAACTATTGCAGATCCGCAGCTCGTTCTCCCCTTGAGCTGCGTCTTGTGCTTGGTGGGAAGCCCAGGTGGGACAGGGGTGGAGGATGGCCTGTTCAGGCCTTGAGTGTGACCAGGAGCCGAGACGGAGACATGTTCCAGTGCTGTGGCTGAGACTGATGTGTGCTTTTACTCTTAACAATAGGCATGTTTATGTGGGAATGTCTCTCCATGTTTACAAACTTCAGAAGGCCCCTTTGGGAAAGAAAACCTCTCAGAGAAGAGTAAGTAGCAATGGAGAGCTCTCTCGGGAGGAAACGTGTGGGCTTTCTAGGGTGAAACAAGAACTGCTAATACTTACTCTGGTCAACAGATGCTGACATAGTTCTGGACTCAAACAGGGCATATTTTAAACATGTATTTTTTAGTTCTTCAATGTCATAATCCTGATGTAAAATGGGTTCTTCAAGCATTATGGCCATACCCTGGGTATGGTCTTTGATGTATGCCGTTTGGATGTCTATGCCAAGTGTTTTGGTGTTTTGTATCATCTGCATTTTTTAAGAAGAAAAAAGTACAGATGTCTGAGGTACGTGTTTCTTCCCATGAGCCCTGTTGGAGTACCTCTTCTGACACTAAGTAACTGTGTGACCTTGGGAAAATTAGCTACCAGCATTAAGATGAAAGTCTTTTCTTTAGAGCAAGGAGAAACCTAGGCAGGATGATTGATCCATGTAAACAGTTAAATCTGTTCAGTGTTGTATTAGCTTGCTAAGTCTGCCGTAGCAAAATACCACAGACAGGGTAGCTTAAACAGCAGAAATTTGTTTTCTCACAGTTCTGGAGGCTGGAAGTCTAAGTTCAAGGTGTCAGTAGGTGTGGTTTCTCCTGAGGCCCCTCTCCGTGGCTTGCAGACGGCCGCCTGCTTGCTGTGTCCTCACATGGCCGCCTTCTGTGTTTGTGCACCCTTGTGCATCCAGATATCTCTTCTTATAAGACTACCAGTCAGATTGAATTAGGACTCCCTCTAACAGCCTCATTTTAATTTAATCACTTCTTTAAAGGCTGTATTTCCAAATACAATAATATTCTGAGGTTACTGGGAGTTAGGGCTTCAACATAAGAATTTGTGAGTCCACAACTTAGCCCATAACAAGCACCCAGGCTGCTTTTGTGTGTTAGAGGTCTGGGTGACGCAATGGCTTGGGGTGGGTGCCAGACACCCTTGGGTTTCCGTAGCAAAAGTAAAATAGAGTGAACTCCCTAAAGACATTTGGTCCATTTTCTGCTTTTTCAGAAACATGCTCTGAGATTATCTCTGTTAGGGAGTCACAGAATGCTACCTTCAAGGAATGCCCTCTATTTAATATTAAAGGAAGCTGAGGTCCAGGGAGGGATACAGCTATGTCTATAATTAGATCTCTTGATTTATAACCCAGTTCCATCCACTCAGAAACAAACCAGAGCATATAACCATACTCTCTGACCTCACTATTGCCTCACTCCAACACCTCAGAGACACCCAGCTTAGAAGTGGTGGGACTTTTTTTCATCTCCAGAGAGGGAGGATATGATGGTGCTTCACTGGGAATGTGCTAAGAACATTCTGAAAATAGTGACATCCTGTAATCAAAAGCTTTTTGTCTGAGGGAAGGCCTTTTTTTTTTTTTTCCCCCAATCTTTCTTCTTCTTGATCTTCCAAAGGAGGTCAGGTTTTTCACCATGAATTCTAGGATCAAGGCTAGTAAATCTGTAAGTTGGCAGAGTTTTGTTATATTTAAGCAAAGGTAGAACAGAGACAATAGTAGAAGTGATTCATCTAAATTTTTTAGTTTAATTCCAGAGTTAAGACTGAAAATGATTCTTGATGTCTTAATAAATAGTTTTAGACCAACAGACGGTTAAAATGTTTTAAGAAATTAGATCAAATTGTCATCATTTTTTTCTGGAATCTATAAGTGATTTGGGAATCAGGGCCTAGCATTTTTCTGGATTAAGTGGAATAAAATTTGCAAATGTGCTTGTATGTTTTTAAGACTTTTTTTTTTTTTTTTTTTTTGAGACAGAGTCTCGCTGTGTCGCCCAGGCTGGAGTGCAGTGGTGCGATTTCAGCTCACTGCAAGCTCCACCTCCCAGGTTCACGCCATTCTCTTGCCTCAACCTCCCGAGTAGCTGGGACTACAGGTGCCCGCCACCACACCCAGCTAATTTTTTTGTATTTTTTTGTAGAGACGGTGTTTCACCGTGCTAGCCAGGATGGTCTTGATCTCCTGACCTCGTGAGCTGCCCGCCTCAGCCTCCCAAAGTGCTGGGATTACAGGCTTAAGCCACCGCACCCAGCTTTTTTTTTTTTTTTTTTTTAAAGACACTTTCTAAAGATCCCTGGCCAAATAAAATGTGAACAATCGGCCAGGCGTGGTGGCTCACGCCTGTCATCCCAGCACTTTGGGAGGCTGATGTGAGCTGATCACGAGGTCAAGAGATTGAGACCATCCTGGCCAACATGGTGAAACCCTGTCTCTACTAAAAATACAAAAATTAGCTGGGCATGGTGGCATGCGCCTGTAGTCCCAGCTACTCGGGAGGCTGAGGCAGGAGAATCGCTTGAACCAGGGAGGCAGAGGTTGCAGTGAGCTGAGATCGTGCCACTGCACTCCAGCCTGCGTCAGAGCAAGACTCTGTCTCAAAAAAAAAAAAAAAAAAAAGAACAATCCTCTCAAACATCTGTACCTGTGGTAGAAAGTAATTGTCTGCGCAATTCAAGGAACATTTCAGTCTATCCCAGAAAGAAATTCTGCCAGCATTGCATTTGTGTTCCCAGTTTGTCTTGCTCTCACGGTAGAACAGCTGGCACTTCTTTGTGGTGTTTGGTTTCCTTGTTTTTGTTCCTTGGCTGAGATGTGAAGGACTTGGGAGGGGCTAAGAAACCTCAGGAAGGTCGGAAAAGTAGTGGCAGAAGACACAAAAAGGAGTGGCCCCACAGGAGAAACAGCATGTGCAAAGAGGAGGCATGATAGAAAAGCAGTGGAATGGGGATGAGAAAATCTGGATTTTTGTCTTTTTTCTTTCTTCTTCTTTTTTTTTTTTTTTTTTGATATAACTGGGGAAAATTACTTCCTCAGTCCTCATGTCCTTATTTGCATCATAACTGGATTTGGGTTTTTTTGTTTGTTTTGTTTTGTTTGGTTTTTTTTTTTTGAGATGCAGTCTCGCTTTGTCGTCTGGGCTGGAGTGCAATGGCATGATCTTGGCTCACTGCAACTTCCACTTCCTGGGTTCAAGCGATTCTCCTACATCAGCCTCCTGAGTAGCTGGGACTATAGGTGTGAGCCACCATGCCCGGCCTCATAACTGGATTTGAGTCAGAGAATCTGAGGGACCTCAGTGTTGCTGAACTCGATTCATTCATTCACACAAATTGGCAGAGTACCTGCCATGTACCATGTACCTGCAGTGTGATTGGTCCTGCAATTCAAAGATGAATGAACTGAGATCGTTGACCTCAAGCTGCTTGGTTCAGTAGCAGAGACAGACATATGAGACAACCATTTGTGATGCCATATTGTGAGTGTCATGGGAATACAGGGGAGGATGGGATTAGCCTTGATGGAAAGAGAGGGAAGTCTGCAGGACTCAACAGAGGAAAAGACCTTTCCCTAGAAGGAGAAGAGGGTGAAGTTAGCCTGGGCAGCCAGGCTGGTAGGAGAAGAATCATAGAGATTGAAAAACTTCATTGCAACAACAGCGAGTAACACTATCCCACGCTCTAAAGTATTGACAACTTAGTCATGTCCTTTTGAGACACTACGTGCACCCAGAGTTCTAGGGTTGTTCTGAAGGTTGATTATGGAAACCCTTGCCCCACGTCTCCTTGCTCTGTAAGGCTGGAAAAGCATAGAATCTATTTTTGTGCTCTGACTTCGTAGCCCATCTGTCAGAAAATGCCCTTTTCACAGCAGGGTCCTAGTGACTTAATTATTGTTTGTGGAATATTTAGAAGTTTAGGTCAAGGATGAATTTCTGTTGCGAAACTGAAGGCACACAAATGAGATGTTTAAAAATGAAGTGGAAGTTTTTTGTTTTTGTTTTGTTTTTGCAGAAAAAAGATTTTTAATGGCTTGAATGTGCTGCCATAGTTGCGTCAGATTGTCAGAAAATTATGTTGTACATCTGAGAGAGAAAAGAAGAGCCTTTTGAGGAGCTGCGCTAAAATTATTTTTTGTTTAGTCTCTTAACTCTTTGGCTTGAATGAGTCATTGACTTTCCTTGCCAAGATAGGGTTAGCATTTGTTTTGTGTTTTAAAAGCAGGCCAAGGGATTGCCACGAGGGGAGACAACCTGAGCAACTGAAGGAAGAATTGCTAGAAATTGTGTTACAGTTGTTTAGTCTGAATGTGATTAGAAACAACAACAAAAATGACCTAACATTATTGACTTCAAAATTTGTTTTCTGCTTTCTTCCAAAAAAAAAAAGGTCTAAAGGAAAAAGATTTTACTATAATGTGTCCATTAAAATACAGGGCAAAGCTAACATCTCACAGGAAATGTTTTATTTGACATAGGTAGATAGCTATTGTTTGAGGGCATAAATTTTAGATAAAAGATTCCTGGCAGTCTATGCAAAAAAGGAAAATATGGTTGCCTAGCAACTTTTATTGATTGATTTAAAAGAGACAGGTCTGTCAGTAGATGTACTCTTCCCCCCGGTCCCCTTTTTCTTTTCCAGGCAGAGTTTCATTCTGTTGCCCAGGCTGGAGTGCAGTGGCTCGATCTCTCGGCTCACTGCAACCTCCGCCTCCCGGGTCCAAGTGATTCTCCTGCCCCAGCCTCCCGAGTAGCTGGGACTACAGGCACACGCCACCACGTCCAGCTAATTTTTGTATTTTTAGTAGCGATGGGGTTTCACCATGTTGGCCAGGCTGGTCTCAATCTCTTGACCTCGTGATCCGCCCGCCTCAGCCTCTCAAGGTGCTGGGATTACAGGCGTGACCCACCGCACCTGGCGAGACATACTCTTTCATATCCTTATTATGCAGATTTTTAAATATTATAAACATTGAATAGTGTAATTTGCCATCACTTAAGTAAGTTTTCCAGCTGATGATAAACTTTACTTGGTAAGACAAGTTTTTTGCATTGGCCTTCAGTAAAATCTTTCACTTAGTTGAAAGCATTTTTATATGGGGAGGAGATGTAACTAAGGCAATCTAGGTTTGTGATTTTCTATTACAGTTTGATCCAAGAAAAAATATCAGTAAGTGTGTCAATATTATCTTGTTTAGATCAGTGTTTTGAAACTTGTGTGTTCGTAAGAACTGCCTGGGGCCCTTGTTAAAATACAGATTCCAATGCCAGCTGCAGATTTACTGAATCAGAGTCTCTAGGCAAGGGGCCTGGGTGTGTATTTATCAAAGGCACCAAGTGATTTCTTATGCTCAAACAGGTTTAAGGAACACTGCTGTGGATGGTTCTCCTTGACTGTTTTTTTTCCTCTCAGCTGGGCTTTGTAGCAGTCATTTTGAGTATAAATTGTGATAGGAGCCTGAGGCAATAGCATTAAAAGTGAGTTGGCAAAGCCCAGCAGAGCCAGTTTAATTAGCTAGTTTGGATAACTGTAATGTCATTTCCCCTTCTCAAGCTGTGGTGCTTCAGGATGCTGCCCATCAAGTTCCTTCATCCTTCCAGTCTTTTCATCTGTTATTCCATTGATCCTTACACCATCTCTGTGTAGTGGACAGAACAAGTATAATAATTGTATTTCATTGATTTTTTTAAGATGCTCCCCTTTCTCACAATTGTACATCCCTAATAATAGTAGGCACCTTAGAATCGATTGTCTGAATTTGAATATTTTTCACTATTCTAGTGATTTGTAAAGCAACGGTGCATCTTATATCCAAAAGTGTTGAAGATTTGATGAACTGCCATGGCTCCTTTCACAGATGAGTCATCTGAGATACTAAGAAGGTGACGTGACTATGGAAAATTGCTACTAGTTGAGAAAACCCAGTCTCAGATCCATCTTTCTGTTCTTGTACTAGTTTGCTGCTGCTGAGTAAACAATTATTCCAAAACTTAGTGGCTTAAAACAACATTAAGCATTTATGATCTCACAGTTTCTTGGAGTCAGGCATCTAGGAGTGGTGTAGTTGAGTAGTTCTGGTTTGTGGTCTCTCATGAGGTTGCAGGGCTGAAATCATCTAAAATTTGACTGGGGCTAGAGTTTCCACCGGACTCACATGGCTGGGAAGTTGGTGCTGCAGTTGGGAGGCCTCGGCTCATCCCCATGTGGGCGTCTCCACAAGGTTCCTTTGAAGTGCTGCGACATAGTGACTGGCTTCCACCCAAGCATGTGATCCAAGGAACCAAGGCAAGAAAAGGTTGCAGTGTCTTTATGACCTAGCTTCAGAAGTCTCATACTATCACGTTTACCTATTTGATTTGCCACACAGACCAACCCTCATTCAGTGTTTGAGGGGACTACGCAAGGGTATGGGTATCAGGAGGATCACTGGGTGTGGGCTGTTTCCTTGAGACCACACAGCCTTTTTGACATAGTTTTGTCCTTATTAGCTTGACCATCTCATACCCATAGGTCGGTTCTTAAATTGAATACATGGAAACTCCCTGTGATTTCTGTTCCTTTCTAGCACATGTAGAACTTTAACATGCCTACAGATCCACTGGATCTTCTGTTAAAGCACAGATTCTGATTCATTAGGTCCCAAATGCAGGCTGAGATTCTTCATGCTAGCGAGCAGATGATGCCTTTGCTCCTGGGCCATGAACAACACGTTGAGTGGCAAAATGAACAGACAGGCAGGCTTCCAATAGCACTATCTCTAGGGTTGCACTGCAACCAAAACTCCTTTCTCCTTCTCAAGATGTACTTGCCTCCTCCTTTTCTTTTGCAGAGAGATAACTGGTTTGGGGAGAAGTAACCAGAGAAACAGAGGAGGCTGCCTCATGAAGTTGGTTTGCAGAAAGGGGTGTATGAAGCAGATAAGAGCCATGCATTATTAGGTAGGCAGATTACTGCAGCTGTGAGTGTGTTCATAGTGAAGGTCAGGTTTCAGACAGCAACAGCTGGGTGCTCAAAATGGTGAGGTAATTAGCTTGCAGGGGGTGGGGGTGCGGAATGGAACCTAAACAGTGCTTAAAATGAAACGTGTCAATGCATTATTCAGAGCTCAGATGTCCATCAGTGGATCCTCATCTTTTTTCTCCTCTCTCCCTTTGACACCCACACACACACACACACACACACACACACTCACACACACTCATCTTTGAAGCATTAACATACTAACAGTCAGGAAAACTCTATGTTCATAATATATTTTTTGAATAAAATGAAGAACGTAGCCTGGTGTGGTGGCTTACAACTGTAATCCTTGCTCTCTGGGAGGCCGAGGTGGGAGGATGGCTTGAGGCCTGGGCAACATAGCAAGACGCCGTCTCTAAGAAAATAAAAAGCACAAAAAATTATCTGGGTATTGTGGCATGCACCTGTAGTCCTACCTACTTGGGAGGCCAAAGCAGGAAGACCCCTTGAACCCAAGAGTTCAAGACTAGCCTGAGCAACATAGCAAGACCCTTGTCTCTACAATAAACAAATAAATTAGCTGGGCATGGTGGTGCATGCCTGTGGTCCCGGCTACACAGGAGGCTGAGGTGGGAGTATCACTTGAGCCTGGGAGGTTGAAGCTGCAGTGAGCTGTGATCGTGCCACTGCACTCCAGCTTGGGAAACAGAGCGAGATCCTGTCTCAATATTTATAGATACACCATACATACATACAAACATAAACATAAACAGAAGAATGCTCTAGACTGCACTCCAGCCTGGGAAACAGAGCGAGATCCTGTCTCAATATTTATAGATACACCATACATACATACAAACATAAACATAAACAGAAGAATGCTCTGGAAGAATGCACACATGAGGCATTGATTTGTCAAAGGAACAACAGTCATTATCTGAGGTTGCCCATTAAATGTCATCCGGTCCATACATGGCTGGTAGGAATGCAGAATGGTACAAGCATTTTTTAAAATAATGTGACACTTTACAAGAAAGTCAAACACACATCCACCCTTAAAAAATGGAACGGCGATCGCACTTCCAGGTATTCGTCTGAGAGAAATGGAATTTATTTCTACACAAAGGCCTGTACACAAATGTTTACAAAAGTTTTATTCATATTAGCAAAAACCCAGAAAACGGTGAATGGATAAATAAATTGTGTCACATCTGTACAAAAAGAAGCAAGCTATTGATGAATCAACAAAATGGGTGAACTTTAAAAGCATCATGCTAAGTGAAAGAAACTAGTTATAAAAGGCTACGTACTGTGTCATTTATATGTCATGCAGGAAACAGTAAAACTACAGGCATAAATCAGAACAGAGATTGCCTGGGGGCTGGGAAGGGGATTAACTGCAAAGGGGTGTGAGAAAACTTTTTGGGGTGATGGAAATATTCTGTCTTAATTGTGGTGGTTATACAACTTTATACCTTTGCCAAACTTACCGAACTGCATCTTTAAAAGGGGGTGAGTTTTGGCCGGGCACGTTGGCTTATGCCTGTAATCCCAGCACTTTGGAAGGCCGAGGCGGGTGGATCACGAGGTCAGGAGATTGAGATCATCCTGGCTAACACGGTGAAACCCCGTCTCTACAAAAAATACAAAAAAATTAGCCGGGTGTGATGGCGGGCGCCTGTAGTCCTAGCTACTCGGGAGGCTGAGGCAGGAGAATGGCATGAACCTGGGAGGCGCAGCCTGCAGTGAGCCGAGATTGCACCACTGCGCTCTAGCCTGGGCGACAGAGCGAGACTCCGTCTCAAAATATATATATATATATATATATATATATATATATATATATATATATATATATATATATATATATATATATATGGGGGGGGTGAGTTTTATTGTATATAAAGTATACCTTAATAAGTATGACTTAAAAAAATATATCAACCTGTCCAAATCTACCATTTTCCAAATGAGAAAACAGGCCCCAGATGAGGAAATGACTTGCTAGGTCTTGTGAGTCAGGGACACAGGCATCTTGGGCCCCACTCCTGCTGCACAGGTGTGCTGGATCCTTGGCCTCCTGTCCCATTCTAGAGCACACTCCAGGTAGGACTCAAGTGCTGATCTTCATTTCTCCATGCGTCACTGTATGTGGCTTTTTAAAACCCACACTTCACTGTGCTGCCCTTTGGGCTGTTGACCTATAATTTGGCTGGAGGGCTCCTAATTAGAAAATAAAACAAATTTGCATTCAGCCAGAATCCAAAGAACGTCGTATTAGTCCATTTTCACACTGCTGATAAAGACATACCCAAAACTGGGTAATTTATAAAGAAAAAAGAGGTTTAATGGACTCACAGTTCCACATGGCTGGGGAGGCCTCACAAACATGGCGGAAGGCAAAAGATATGTCTTATATGGCGGCAGACAAGAGAATGAGAGCCAAGCGAAAGGGGTTTCCCCAGATAAAGCCATCAGATCTCATGAGACTTATTCACTACCACGAGAACATTATGGGGGAAACCAATCCCATGATTCAATGATCTCCCACCTGATCCCTCTCACAACAGGTGGTAATGATGGGAGCTAAAATTCAAGATGAGATTTGGGTGGGGACACAGCCAAACCATATCAAACAAAAAGCTACCAGTGAACTTCTATGCACATATGTCATTCAACTTTTATGGTGGGGAGCGGGAAGCAAAACTTTCAGTTTATTCAGAAGAGTGCCTTAAAGGACACTAAGTGTAGACAGAACAGAATGTTCTAGAGATAAACACCAACATCTTGTTGCAGAAAGCATGTAAGATTTGGAATGAGCGAGACCTGGTTTTAGTTTCTGACTCTACTTTCCACCTTCATGCCCCTGAGTAGCCACTTAACTTCTCTGTCTGGGAAATAGTGACCATAATTCCTACATCACAGGGCTTCTGTGAGGTTTAAATAAGAAGCTGGGACGTAGAGTACCTCTCCAGCTTCAATAGACTTCTCTAAGTGTCAGCACTGGGCTATGTGTTCCACACACATCATCTTAAACCCTCACAATCATTGTTCCCGTCGTGGAGGTGAGCCAGCCCAGGGAACACAATCTGCCAGTGATTATACCAGCTGGGCAGACCAGTGGTCATGAGTCAATTTCAATAAACGACTGTGGATCTGAATCAAGTTCTATTTATAAGTTAATAGGTTGGGGAGCTTGGAAAGTGTGAAATTTTGCTTCTTAATTTGAGAGGAAGCTTTCTTTTATACTTTTTGCCCTTTAAGAAAGACAGGGTGCCGGGCGCAGTGGCTCACGCCTGTAATCCCAGCACTTTGGGAGGCCGAGGCGGGTGGATCACGAGGTCAGGAGATCGAGACCATCCTGGCTAACATGGTGAAACCCCGTCTCTACTAAAAAAATACAAAAAATTAGCCGGACGTGGTGGTGGGCACCTACTGTAGTCTCAGCTACTTGGGAGGCTGAGGCAGGAGAATGGTGTGAACCTGGGAGGTGGAGCTTGCAGTGAGCTGAGATTCCACCACTGCACTCCAGTCTGGGCGACAGAGCAAGACTCCATCTCAAAAAAAAAAAAAAGAAGGAAAGGGAAAACAATTGAAGCCAAAATTGGGATGCTGAGTGAGTGCCAAACTTCAGCTGAAAGGAAGCTGTCCTCCCCAATCTCATCTGCACTCAGCCTCCTCTGTGTCTAGAAAAAAGTGCTCCAACCACCCGGAGACCTTGTGCTATTTAGGGTCCAGCTAATACCAGAGATGCAGGGAGATTCTCTCTGAGGGCATTCTCTGTAATCTCAAACTTGTCTGCCTTCTGAGATTAAGAGGCCAGTTTAACACTAACTGACATGGGGTCAACTAGGTTTAGGGTTGACTTTTATTAAAACTTAATTTATTTTTCCCTTTTATAATCACAATGATATACAAGTAGGTTTTCCATCTTCACTTGAAAATAATTTCTCATTCTGTCACACAGCCAGGCTAAATTTACAAAACACCAACTAGTTTTAATAGCCCAAGACAACTGGCAAAATACCAACTGGCAAACATACTGAAGACAATAGAATTGATTCCCGTTCTCTGTGTTTAAATCCCTCCACCATTTGCTACACGTGCCTTGACTCAATTTTCCTTTCCTGACTATAGTCATCCAGTATTAAGTGGCCAGTTAAACTTACCTTCCTACAAGCCCTGTGTACCATTTTGTGTTATGGATGTTGTACTCAAAGGGCATAGTTTGGTCTGAAAGTAAGTATGCAAGGTTCTAGTATATGGAGAATATGATAAATGTTAAACCTCTGTATGGGGAGAAAAAAGCACATAGTGTTTTAAGTCCTAGAGATTCCTCTACTGCCTAGGGCAGAATTACTATCCTCGTGAATAGTGTAGGAGCCTGAGGACCAGAAAAACTGGAGTCAAGACTAGTGGTGAAAATGGGAAACTGTAGACAGTTTCCCAGCACCAGCCTGGAGCTGTTGCTGCTAGACCACACCACATTCCCCTTGTGTAGGTTATTTAATAAATTCATTTCACAACCCATAAAGCACAGTAGGAAACAATGCAATTACTGAACCATTGGAACACAGCTGCCAACATCTTGTTTATTCAGAATTGTCCAAACACTTCCATGTGGGGGCGGGACTGATGCAATTTGCTGGTTCAACAGTTGACATTGATAAATTGGAGTTTCATTTCCTCTACCTTCTGTTGGAGGTGCTAATGAGCATTGAAAGGCTGGAGAAACACAGAAGGGAGAGAAGGGAGAATCTTGCCTCATCTACATACTAAGTAATTGAGCCTGGAAGATGTAGACTTGACACCATTAGGTAATAGGTGGACACATTTGAAGTCACTAATAAGGGCCAAATGCAATTAGTGTTGTGAAAATTTTAATTATTTAAATTCCACTTGCAGATTGTGTGGGCTGGAAGCTTCATTTAATAGGAGAGAATGTTTGCTTTTCCTAATATTCTTTTATGTTTTCTGATTTTTTTCTTTTTATTTCATGGGCACTATGCCAACATTCCTTGGCTTCTGGAAAATGAGGGAATTGGACTAGATGATCTCTGAGGCCTCTTCCATACTCCATTGTTTGACTTGCTCTGGCATGAGAATTTGCCTGAAATGAACTGCATTCCCCTACGCACACATTTATCCAGGCCTCTGTTTTCCAAACCACTAATTTACTCATTCATTCAGCAAGCTTACCATGTGCCAATTACTGTGTTAGGAACTAGAAGTAAAGTAGCATGCAGGCTGCAGTGAGCCATGATAGCACCACCGCACCCCAGCCTGGGCGACAGTGAGTCCCTGTCTCCAAACAATAAAGTAGGTAAGTGGCCTGAATATCACCAGACCTCGATTCTCGAGAGCTGGCTTTCTAAATGGGGGACAGGAAAGTAGAATATATTGGGGCTATTCTTGGGTAGAGTACACGGCAGAACATGAGCACGTAGGAGGACCGCTAAGCTAGACATAATCAAGGACAGCTACTCGGGGTATGTAATGTTTTAGGCAGATCTTTTACATAAGAAGGTAAAGATTGAGAGGAAGAAGAGTTTGGATAGACTTTGTTTGGTGTACCTCTTAGGACTTTCTGCGCACCTTTTCTATATGTGGCATAGAAGAGGAAAAAAAATTTCATAAAAAACACGGTTTGCTTGACGTAGGAACATGAAGTGGAAATAAATTGGAGTGATTTTTGAAGAATGAATGGCAAAGAGTTAACACTCAAACAGGTGACGTTATAAAAAGGCTAATAATTTTAAATGAAAACCTTAAATGCATATATTTTATAATTGCCTGCTTAAATACAGGCTGTGGGCTGCATAGCTGAACTCAAGCGCCTCTTTATAAACAGCTATTTTAACGAAATTTTTAGAGTTGAAAATACTTTAAAGGTTTTTGATACTAATCATTTCACACAAGGCAATTGATGTCCAGAAACTTTATTTATTTATTTATTTATTTATTTATTTATTTATTTTCAGAAATCAGACCATGTAATGGCTAAGCCATCTTCCCATCTCTCTGAATCCCTTTCTTCTTCAAAGGGTCAACTCAAGATATTACCTCTTCTAGAAGCTTCCTCTCATAATCCATCATCTCCCCTTATTTTCTATAAACTCCAACTTTAAACTTTCCATCATTAAAAAAAATTTAAAATACATGAATGTTTTGCCACATTATTTGAGGTCTTATTACATCTCCCAACCTACTTGAGCAATTTATTTTTTCTTTGATCCAACAAATTGAATTTTTACTATGAGGGCCTTAGACACTGGGGTGTGACATTGTTCTTGTCCTCAGAAAAAGCTTTCGGTCCAAGTGGGAAGATGGATAACATGGTTTTAAGGGGTGAGGTCCTAAATTCTTCCTTCGGAATTTACATCCCTCAGTGATCTAACCCTATTCCTACTGTTCCGTGTTCTCTTGGTGAAGCTGGATGTATTACAAAACTAGACATTGTCTTTTGTACTCACTGAGGTCTCTCAAAAACAAGTTCCTGAAATGCAGTGATTTTCACTGTCTTTTCCTCAAAGGTTGTTAGGCCATCTAGATGTCCTCAGATAGAAGTATTTCTGCTATGTTTTGGCATGGGAAACAATTATTATTTCCACAGTTTAAATTTTTTTTTTACTCTGTTAATCTGTCAGTTTTATTAAAAAACTTTATTTGAATAAAACAGGTTAACATGAGTACTGGAGTTCTAAATTAACCTTTTACACACATGAATATATGTCTTACAGTCCAAGCTAGCCATAAGTATTCTTTTTCCTGTCAAGCTCTGAGTAGACTTATTTTGGAGAAGGGTGTTTTTTTTTAAATGGAGTTCCACTCTTGTTTCCCAGACTGGAGTACAATGGCGTGATCTTGTCTCACTGCAACCTCTGCCTCCCAGGTTCAAGCGATTCTCTTGCCTCAGCCTCCCGAGTAGCTGGGATTACAGGCATGCGCCACCACACCCGGCTAATTTTTTGTAGTTTTGGTAGAAATGGGGTTTCTCCGTGTTGGTCAGGCTGGTCTTGAACTCCCAACCTCAGGTGATCCACCTGCCTCGGCCTCCCAAAGTGCTGAGATTACAGGCATGAGCCACCGTGCCCAGCCAGAGAAATGTGTTTTGTGAAGCAGCGAGTAGACGCAGTTAGGAATTCTCTAGTTGCAAGTCATTATAGAGATTGTCAGACATTTACTCAATGTTTTTAAAGCAAATTGGATTCATTTTTGTATGACATGAATTAAAATTAAACCTAAACAATTTCTTTGCAGGTGATTTTGATTTTATTTTAAATGTGTTTGGTTAACACCACCTGTAAATAAACTAGAACATAGGATCTTTGGTGTGAAAATAATTTAGATGTGTATTTAAAAGGTAGATTTAACTTTAAATGAATATTATACTGGCTTATAAATGTATCAGATATGGCGTATTTTATTATATTTTATCATATCCGTTTAGTAGAAACTATGGAGATTGAATGTCAACTGAATGTTGCCATTAGGGTGATGGCCAGACTGTCCTGTAAGGATATAGGTTTACACGTTTTCAGGTGATCTCATCACCTCTGCGTGGTAATACTTGACTGATACCAGGGTGTCGGAGTGCTCGTTTAAGAATCAGGAGACCTTGCCCTAATTATCTTAGTTCTAACACTGACTAGCTGCGTGGCCTCTAACTACCAGCAGTACCTCTTTGACATTCAGTGTTCTCATCCATACAAGGAAGCAGTTACATTAGATGTTCTAAGGGTCTGTGCAGTTACAAAGTGAATGAATGTGATCAGTGGAATATTTCTGTTTTGCACGCAGAAAAGCAAAAGCCGTAAAGGATACAGTGACCTGACCATGGCCACGGGGAAAAATCACTGGCTCATCGGGAATAGGTCAGACTCTTTCTAAGTTTTGGCCTTCATGCTTCCTCGTGGTCCCCAGTAGCACTTCCCCGTGGTGGACCTTATTCTTTACAATGCCAGTGATTTGCATTTGCTCTTACATCTATTAGAACTTCTATGTGGATATCCAAAAGGGGTGGGAGGAATAAAGTTACTTGGTGAGTTCCTATACTATTAATGAAGTCTCTGCCTCCATGCCTGTTGAGACTGGTATCTGAGGTGAACTCCTGTCACCTTTTCTGTTGAATCTTATTTTGGGGAGAAACCAGTAATTGAAGTGAAACAGTGTAAGTGACTCTCCAATGTATCACAAGCTCTCTTCAACTCAATTTAGAAACATCTCTTATTAGGAATGAAAACTTTAAGCAGATGCCCCATTCCAACCTCCCACCCCCACCCCGCCTTTTTTCTGTTGGACTGTTATGCTTGTTTGTGGCACATTTAATTAGCTTCTCAGGGACTTGCTGTGAATAATAGCTCCCTCACATTTAGAAATGCGATAGGTATACACTTGTTTGTTTAGAATCAGATCACGTATTTCCATGTAAAGATATTTCAAATAATGCCTGGGTTCACAGGTGCCATTTTAACTCAGTTTGCAACCGGAATGCAGTACTCATCCTATTATCTTGGGTTTGGGGAGTAGGAGGCTGTATAGGAGGGGAGGGAAAGGAAGAGGAAGAGAAAAAAATTGAGCACAGTTTTGAAATTGACAAAGGGTTTCCTGGGTGCTGCCTCTTGCTGCCTCCCTGTCTCCTACTTCTGTCCTCAGGACCTTCCAGGACCCTGACGGCCCATCATGGCACTTTGTAGACCTCCAAATCACTCAGTCAACTCTGAATCCAACTCCCACTGTGGCAGGGCTGGTGTTCTTTGCTGCGTTAAGAATGTTGTTCTCCAATTCCAGACATTTAAACCAAAGAGTAAATGTTAATTAGCGCCTTAACTTCCAGAAAGCAATTTCCAGTTTCCCTTTTAATCGTGACAATGAACCTAATTGGTAGAATTAGGCAAGAAGAGAGGGAAGGGGCAGAAAATTCTGGACTGAGAACTTGCCTCTAGGTTTGGTGCTCCCTGCTTGTGCCTGGATCTCCCAGCTTCCTTCATTTCTGGATCCCATAGTGTTTGAAAGCTGCAGGTGCTCTGCGGTCTCCCAGGGCAATAGCGAAGTTGTGAGATGAGGTTGAGGAATGAGGTGGGAGCAGGTGTGGATAGTTCACACTACTGACCTGGATGAAATGTTTGTGAGTCAACCCTACCTTTGGAGTCAGAGAGCTTGGTTCAGCTATCAGATCCACTGACTATGTAACTTTGAGCATTTATTTAACCTCAAGGTCTTCATCATAAGAGGGCATTATAAAGATTAATAACAATTCACAAGAAACCTTTTGGCCCAAAGTAGGTGCCCAGTAAATGAGTGATGTTATTAAGAGCCCAGGTGGTGGTGGATAGTGACATTAGCAATATCAGGAAGGCAGCAGCATTAGTCAAATAAACGATGTGTTCATTGTTATTTGAAGGGTACGTAATGTTCTGTTTGTTTGTTTAAAATGGATTTGTGAGGGATGGGTGTGAAGGATGGCTTGAGGCCAGGAGTTCGGGACTAGCCTCAGCAACATAGCGAGACCTCATCTCTACAAAAAATATATATAAAAAAAAGCTGGGTGTGGTGGCACCGCCTGTAGTCCTGATTACTCAAAAGGCTGAGGTGAGAGGATTGCTTGAGCCCAAGAGTTTGAGGCTGGAGTGAGCCGTGATCACACCGTTGCATTTCAGCCTGGGTGACAGAGCGAGCCCCTGTGTCAGAAAATAAGATTTGGGGGGATGGAAAACAGGGTGGAGCGCGAGTTAGGTAGTCAGAAGTTGTACCTCCAGATGCTGGCTGAACGAGGCAGCGGAGCATCTGTGAGGAGGTTGGGCCTTTGCAGAGAGAGCCCGGGGCGGGACGCCGGAGGAATATTTGACACAGTCTGAGTGGCCGCTACGCAGACGCTTTCATCAGCAGTCATTCCTCGTCTGTCTATAGGCGAGAATCAATAACAGAAGAAAAAGGTGACAAATCATTCATTGCCCAGAGACTGGCTGTAAATCCAGTGCCTGTTATTTTCTTTCTAATCATTTTAACAAAACTTCTGTACGAGTCCTTTCCCTGCAACACAGAACCTCATCCCTGGACTTTGAAAGGCCTTTGGAAAGATCTGAAATTACATTTTGTATTATCCGAAGTTGTTATCTCGGGGGAGTTAAAGGTCTACTTTGCTCTTTGTGCTTAAGTTAGATCAGCGTTCATAATGTCATAGTTTTCTTTTTTACAATCTGTTTCATGATACTCATAAATTTTAGAGAAATCTGTCTGAAGGTTCTGCATACACCTCTGTGTGTTTCTGGGGGGTGTGTACTTTTATACATCTTAGCTCTGACTTGCTGTTATACAAACTCACTCTTAATATCGCATCTCCCTCCCCTTTCTCTCCCCACAGAAACACAAACACACTTATTTATGTATAGAGTCCTGAAAGTCAGAAAGGACATTAAAAACCATGTATTCCACCCAACTTACTTGGTAGCCAAGGAAACAGAAACCTAGGGAGAGGAGCTGATTCCCCTACCCCCTTGTAGGGAGCACCAGGACTAGGCCCTGGGTGTCCTGCTTCAGGTTCAGAGCTTGGGATGCAGAGCTTGTCCCCAGAGCAGGAGCTGCAGGGCCTGCTCTCCAAGCTGCCTGCACTTTCACAGATGGATGTCAGGTGCCTCCCAAGCTGGAGTACCTGGAAATGGGTAAAAATAGTTGAACAAGTGAGTACAGTTGGCGAAAAGTAAAGTCTTTTTAGACAGCTTTGGAATGATTAGAGAGGGGACTTGGGGACCACTCCAGCAGTGGTCTGCATAGAAGATCTTTTGTAAGCACTGATTTATTTTTCTGCTGAGGGGCCAGCCTCAGGCAGAATTGGGAAATAGGCAGCTTGATATGATGCAGTGATTTTCTAACCCTTTCTCCATCTCCCTTTTAAAACTATAGGACTCTTCCCTCAAATAGAAGCATAAGAGGAAGCCCAATAAGTAAAACCGATCCAAGTGGTCGAAGCGGGGGTGGGAGGCCCAGGTTCTGCTCACTTGACTGTCACATTCTTTCCTTGCACTTCATCTTCCACCTTCACCCTCCACTAATTACAGGGCTTCTCCGGAGGCCCAGCCCTTGTGCTAGGTTTGGAAACCACCCTTGCCGTGAAAAGCCAGTGTTTTGGATTCAGGCAACCCTGTGTTAGTCACCGTGGGCAAACCCCTTCACCACTGAGCCTGACTTTCTTTTCTTGTCAATTGAGGATTAAGTCTCAAAGATTTTTGCATGTAAATCTTAATATATAACTGGGCCTTAGCAGATACTCTGTAAACATTGATTCCTATCTCTCTTTTCTTCTCCCTTCACTTTTGCCCCCGGATGGCCTCTCCCTCTTCAGGAGCCCTGGGATCTAGCATTCTTCAGACATGCTCAGCTCTCCAGGAAAACTATGAGTCACTTATATTCCAGGTCAGGTCAGCCTGTCTTGCCCAAGAGCATTTCCATTGGCAGTTCAGATTCTAGCAAAAAAAAAACTCAATTCCTGCCTCTCGGATATTCAGTTAATTGAGAACTGGCTCAAACAATTGACATTCAAGGGAACTGTATTGAGGGACCTTGTCATCATTCATTTATTAAGACCAGCAGTTGGCCTTCTATCTCCAGTTAAGTTGAGCACTGGTCTAGGCACTTATATAACAATATAGTATATATATTCCTTAAAATCCTCATATTCTGCATAATTGCATTAAAAAAACCAGCATGACTTATAGGAAAAGCAGAGTTATGACCATATCCCCCAAAACCTATTTGACTTTGTAACCAGGACATTAACAAAAGCAAAAGAAACACGAAAAGATAAAGAAATACCACTCTAAAAAGGACTTTACCTTTAAAAATGGTTGAAGATGGCTTGATGGATTGTAAGGAAAAGTTGTTGAATTTTGGAGACAAGGATACAATGAAGTAAGATCATAGGCAACAATACAAAAAGAAAAGCCACATACTTTCTGAACCAAGAACCACATGTCTGTCTGAGCTGAGAACTCTGTGACTTGCTGTATTCTGTGTTTGAGTACATTTTTTTTAGCTGCTAGTTCTTGATTGTACAAAATATTAGCATTCTAGGAAAATTGCATGTGAAAGCAATCCAACTTTTAATTGTGCTGACATCATTTTCCTATCTGCCAGTCCTGTACAAGCAGTTCATGTTACAGTGACATATTCTGTAGTAGGTCAGACTGTTTCTAGATATCAGTGGCCTAAACCCCAGACACAGAACACAGGGGGATGCAGGTGAATAAGGCTCCGTTCCTGTCTTCAAAAAACTCATGGTCTCATGTGAGACATGAGAATGAGCTCAAATAGCTGTAGTACAAATGCTGTATGAAGGGGGACAGGAAATAATTTGTATGATTGTGGAGTAAGGTTAGGAGGCAAAAGCTTTTAGGTGGGTAGAATTGGCAGGATTTCAGCAGGCAAGGAGGGAGGGCACACTGAAGAGAACAAGTAGAGGCTTGGGGACTGGAAAACACTGGACATATTTGGGGGACTAGCATATTGTGGGGGATCCGTTTGGGGGCTGGGGCCAATTAAGAACATAAGGGAGCAGTTAAGACAGGGACGAAAATGGAGATTGGCCTCAGAGTGGGGGAGGCCTTGGCTATGGAGATGGGGGCACCGTGGAAGGATTTTGAGCAGGTGAGTGATGTGATTAGAGCCCATCCTTCAAGAAGCTCCTTCTGGCAGCCTATGCTGGGTGCGGTGGTGGGAACAGAGTGTAGTTCGGAGGTATTGCAGTTGTCCCTGTGAGAGATGTGAGGACCCTGGCTGGACTGTTACAGTGACACACAGTGGCATGGGGTGTGCAGGAAGGACACTACACCACAAACATTTTAAGGACAGAATCTGAAGTATTTGTCAACTGAGTGATGGTGCAGGGCTCTGGTGGTACCTGTTTAATGATGACAGATTTACTGTTTGCAGTGATGCTAGCTGTCATGATTGAGTCCTGTAAAAGATTATATTAAGCTAAAACTAACTGTAAAAATCAGTATATCTGTTTCTTTCCCTTCCTTTCTCTCACTTCTTTCCCTTCTTCCTTCCCTCCTTCCCTCCTTCCCTCTCTCCTATCTACCAGGTGCTTTGTGTTAACTTTTCATTCAGAGTGTTTTCTGTCCCTTACAAAGCTGACAGAGTTGTCAAGAGGTTTCACCCACTCAACCCACATTACTTGACACACAGTTACTTGCATTACAAAGCACTGCATGAGGAGCTCTTGGTAATAAAGGGGTGACTCAAACACAGATCCTCCCCTCCAGGGTCACGTCTGTGCTGTTGAATGTTGAACCACATGACTACATTACTAAATAAAAACTAAAATTAAAAGAAAAACAGGGAGGGAAGTGATAGAATAGATAGAAAAAGTATTGGAATATTTATTTTTAAAAGTCACATGCCCAAATAACAGGATAAAGACGAGTGTTATTCATTAACCTACAGAAGTGTGAACAGAATGTGATTTTAAAAATACAATTACATTTTCTCAGGATTGCAAAGTTCCAGAAACTCTGCTTGGAGCTTTATGTAACTGTTTCAATTAAGTGTCCCAAGAACCTTATGAGAAAGATGATATTACCCCCATTTTTTTTTTAATGGGGAAACTGAAGTTTCAGAAAGTCAAGTAACTTATCCAGATGCCACACAGCTAATAAATCATGAAGCTAAGGTCCACATTCAAGCGTGCCTGTATCCTAAATTAATAATCTTTCTATCACGGCATCCACATCATCCTTTCTGGCATCCTTCTTTTCTGTCTTCCTTGTTCACCTCAAAGCTGTGAATCTTACCAACGACGATGTGACATCCCATCGTGACAGTAGAATTGCTGCAAACAGCATGTGGGCATTTGAAATTCACCGGCAAGAAGCACTGTGTTCTCACTCACTTTGAAAGCATACCAGTAAAATCAGGTATTAATTTTAAAAATTTATGTTCAACCTCAGGCCTTACTTTTTGGGTTGCAGCCAGTCCAGCAACTAAAGAAAAATTAGGAAGGCATGACCTCTAGTGGAAAGACTGAAAACTTCATGTGATTTTACTGGAGAGTTTCTCCTCAAACCACCTCTTGTTAGACTGGAATTATGGAATTTTTCATCTGAAAGTTACTGTCATAACAAGACTTGGGTCTGTGTACAAAATGTCATTTTTGTCACTATCTTAAAAATGGGATTTTTGCATCTCACAATCGTAGCACACCTGAGTCCTTTAATAACCTTTCTCAAGTCGGAACCATCTTTTTTTTTAAAAAAAAAAATTGTCCTCTCGTCTTTTTGCCACTTCACTATAAAACCCAAACTGGACTTTTGGAAGGGACACAATATAAATACAGCTGTCTGCATTTAATCTGTCGTCGTCTCTCAATTCAACCCTGGGACAATTGATAGCTTTGGAAATTGTACACCTCTATTCAAACTGTGTGATCTTTGGTTTTGAGAACTGAGCTGTAATTGTGCCCATCACTGCAGGTTTATTGCTTGGCTGCCAAGTCAGCTCCACACTTGATACTCACTGACCCATATATGTGCTCCCAAGCCAAGTGTGGTATGGGCGCCAATTGTCCTTAAGGATTCGGCTGGTGATGCAATCACTTTATCTATGCTTGAGATTGAATAGAGGACAAAAATCCATCCCTATCTGATGGGTAGAGGAAGATACGGGCCCTGAAAAAATAGCAGAAATCTAGCACAAATACATCATTTTCTTTCAAACTAAATGAATACCTGGGTGGTTAGAGATGAATGAATTCCCCAATTGTACAGAATGAGACCTGTCACATCCCTCCTGAATCTCAATTACTATCATGTTTCCAAAAGCCCGCCAAAGTTGTCTTCCCTGATTTGAAAAGTAGCCAATCTCAGCTCTTCAAGATCTTAGAGAATTACTGAGACAGTAAATTCCTTCCTCTAACTTGACAGCTTTGCCTTTCCTGATTTCATGCAGTTAAACTTTCTGCTTTGAAATTGAGAGAGAGGCAGACTCAATTTTTAAAAGCATTTCAACATTGCTAAACACATGTCTCCTTGGAGATTATGCTTCCATCCTTGTGGGGTGAGACATGGGAACCTGCATTTTTAACAAGCCTCTCGGTTTGAGACCCACATATGAAGCAGGGAGTTCTGGATTGAGAGTCAAGTACTTTGGGTTCTATTTCTGGCACCTGTGCCAGGTTCAGTGCTGTGTCACCTTTGCTTTCTGGGCCTTAGCAACCTCATACATACCATGGCAGTTGGAATAAATAACCTTGAAAGTCAGTTCTGGCTCCAGTAAGCTCCAATTTATTCATTCTTTGTGTGGGGAACACATATATAACTTAAACTTCATTCTCTGGAGACCAAGACTTAGCGAATTTTAACTTATTCAAACAACATCCTTTAATACTATGAAATTAAAGAAACTCTTATTTCTCCCTTAGTAGCCATCATTTGGTTAATAATTTCTGGCTAGAATGTTTGAATGCCACACTGTTCATCCACTGACTTGCTCCATTTTTAGATGGTTGGGGGAAAGTAGATGAAAGAAGCCATCTCTCAAAGTATGACTTTCCCATGTCAGCATTATGAGACTCATCTTTGACTTTGTCTAAGAATTTTTTTTTTTTTTTTGGGATGGAGTCTCGCTCTGTCGCCCAGGCTGGAATGCAGTGGCACAATCTCAGCTCACTGCAAGCTCCACCTCCTGGGTTCACGCCATTCTCCTGCCTCAGCCTCCCCAGTAGCTGGGACTAAAGGCGTCCACCACCACGCCTGGGTAATTTTTTGTATTTTTTTTAGTAGAGACAGGGTTTCACCGTGTTAGCCAGGATGGTCTCGATCTCCTGACCTCGTGATCTGCCCACCTTGGCCTCCCAAAGTGCTGGGATTACAGGTGTGAGCCACCGCGCCCGCCCAAGACTTTTTTTAATTGAGCAGGCATGGATTTAAAAACACTGCAGCTTTGTCCTCTTTTAAATGATCTACCCGTGCTTTTAAACTGCAAATTTCTACTTCTGCAGAGGGCTTTGGCTGGTTATTTCAAGTCTGATTTCTTTTGATCCGAACATTTTCAAGCTCAAACAATAGAGTATGTTTTTACCCAGATACTGAAAACAGTTATCAGGTAGGCAATTCTGTCTCAGCAGATTCAGCTCTTTATTAGTCTGTTAGCCTGTCAGTATTTTTTTTTTCATGTCTGTTGTCCTTGGAAAAACTCATTTGATCCCTTAGTCCTTTCTTAAATTACAGGGATGGGTGTAGCTGTACTAATCTGAACTTCTGGATGTATCAAACATTCCAACTTTATACGATGGAAATACTTCTAAGACTTATTAACATATCATTATTTTTCAAACTAGCATGTTTTTAGGATATTACTGATTTGTTATTTGAAAACTAGATTGAGGAAATTAGTATTTGAAATAACATTTACTTATTTAAACGAAGGCAAAAACAATAGAAGCAGGAGGTCATTGTTAATAAGCCATGTGGAAAATTGATTAATAGCTATTAAGCACTTGGTTATTGACACTTAAAGACAAGTTATTTTTCATCAAAGATGTGTGTTTATTTTGCTGGCATAGGTAAGGAAAGAAGGGAATCTTATCAGTAACCCAGGCAGTCTGGCTATAACCATCATAGATTCCTCCCAATAGAGCACACCTTACATTTTGAGCCCTTTCTCCCACCTTACAACAAATTGACAACTTGATGGGAAAAAAAATGATCCCTCTATCTTTCCTTCAAAATAATTGTGTGTGGTCAGATTAGTTTTAGTCTGGTTTAGGCCGGAGAACTAGGTGGATACTTTGTATACTCATCTTGACTAGTTACTTAGGGCTAGGAGCCTCAGCCTCCACATCCCTACAATGAGAATTCTAGAGCTGTTCATCAAGTAATTATAGGGAACAAATGGGAAAATGATTGTGGCCATTCTCTGGAAACTGCAAAGCGTCATACAATATATATATTGTTTATTTAGACTTGATGGAAGATAGGTTAAAACATTTTCTTTTTATTAATCTTCTGAGCTCCTGAAGTCTTCAATGTATTTATTCACTTATAGTCAGAATGAAATAGTCCTGAAGGAAGAGTAGTGTCTCAGCCTCATAACATCAAAGACTGTTTCCTCTGACTTCTTTTTCTTTTATTCCTGGAAACTGAAGCTTTGTTCATTAAAAAAAAAAAAAAAAAATTAACTGCAGTAAGTGCAAGCGGACAACTCTGCCTTGCAAAGAGCTCCTGAATATGCATTGGGAACCCATTGTCAGCCATGTTGCTTGCCAAGACAAAGCATCTTTCAGTCTTGGCTCAACCTAGATGATCCCTTCAGCTTCTAAATTATCAGGAGGATTTTCTCAGGGAAACTAAACAGAAAAGTTACAAGTCACTGGGTGGAACCTCAAAGTAAATAGGCCTGGGACTGATGCTTTTAATGTAGTCTTATCACATTTTAGCCCGTTGATCAGCTTGTTTCCCCAAAGATTTTATTCTAAGATTGTAAGACGTCCAAGCCCAGCTAGAAACTCTTAGTAAATGAGTAGAGTGTGGATGCCATCTCCTGGCAGTTTTTGGGAATGGCTTAGTAAGGAATCCATTTATTTATAGGTTCTCCACGTATGCATCAAGGGAAAAAATACATGGTTTTAATCTTTTTAGAAATTAGGTATTAGACTTTGATCTTAGATCACACTATAGTTATATAGTAACTTTTCTCCTGCTTCCCTGATGAGGTTGTTGACTAAAAATTGGTGCTTTGGAGAATGTCCTAGAGCTAAATTATCCTCAAAGAACAAGAGGAGACGTGTCTGTGTAGTTACAGTATAGTTCATGAACAAGCCCCTAGCTTCTCCTTCATCTCTTCTGAGAATGTGATATGAGTCCCTTGCTTGCAGATATAGAGGATCTGGAGTCTTTCATCATGTCTCACAATGACAGTGTTGTCAGTCGAAGTATATCACCTGACAGTTTCATCCACCATAAAGATAGAGTTTATTTCAGAAAACTTTGTCATTAGGCTCCACCATCTATTTACTGATTCAGCTTACTCTGCTGAACTTCTCTTGTGTTAGGGTGGGAGATACACAAGTCATCAGAGGGACACTGACAGGTAAACACATAATTGATAATTAGTGTAAACACTACACTAAAAAAAGTACAGGCCGGGCATGGTGGCTCACGCCTGTAATCCCAGCAGCTTGGGAGGCCAGTTGGGAGGTCAGGAGTTTGAGACCAGCCTGACCAACATGGTGAAACCCTGTCTCTACTGAAAATACAAAAATTAGCCGGGCGTGGTGGCGCACATCTGTAGTCCCAGCTACTCGGGAGGCTGAGGCAGGAGAATTGCTTGAACCTGGGAGGCAGAGGTTGCAGTGAGCCAAGATTGTGCCACTACCCTCCAGCCTGAGCAACAGAGTGAGACTCCATCTCCAAAAAAATAAAAAAGCAAAAAAAACAAAACACGCACACACACAAAAGAAAGTACGGACAAAGGTGATTGAATGAAGAAACTAAATATATCATTTAGAAGTATTTCTGTACAATTTAGAGGAATAGAGACAGAATAATCCTCAACAGAGGCTGAAAGAGAAACTTTGTTTTGGTCTTTAAATTTGGCTTGAGGCTTTCATGTATAAGTAAGGTCTGTTTGAACAAAGCTCCACTCTGATGGTTGGTTCCTGGAGTGAGTTCTTTTTTTTAATCCACCCTCCCCAACCTTAATCCCCATTGTTCTCTTTGGAATTTAAGAAAGAAATGCCTGTATCTGAAAAATATATGGATTTTCACCTCTCCAAAGCTTTCCAGAGGTCTTAAAATGTCCCTTGGGAAGTGAGGAGAATTGAGATAACAACAAAGCAAGAAATAATCAGGAAGATGCTAGCTGTAAATGCACAGAAAAGCAAGCTTGCTGATCTGTGAAGGCTAATGAACTCTTTTTGAGAATTGTTCTCAGATCTAGTTTTATAAGACTTGTAATGGATCTATAACTGATTGTGGGAAAGAGCAAGTAATCCCTTACCAGTAGCTTAGGCTTCCAGGCTCCTCATGGCCAGTTGTCCATATGAAATGTAATGTCATCAAGAATTATTAACAGACCTGAGCCTGTCTGTCCCTGCTTTACACCCCCCACCCACTACAGTTCCAGAAACAAGAATTACTCTGCTGTGGTAGTTCACTTGGGAGGTGACACAAAGAAACAGGAGTGAGGGAATACAGCAATTGAGACAGATGAGAGAAAAGCCAATAAAGATTCTGTCTATTAATAAGCTATTGAATGGGTTCATCTGAGAGGTTGTATAGAACCCAATGTAGAATCGCCCACAGAGTCTGGGGAAGCTAGGGCATTTATCTACTGATTCTGCCCCAGTGGTTGACAGTCGCCCCAATGGTGTCAGTTCTCTTGCATTAACTCCCCTGCACTTCCTGGCAGTGGCTGGAGAGAGAATGCCCTTAGGCAGAGGGGCAGAGTCACTGGCACTTGAGGAGAGGGGCTGGGAACATCTCGGGGACTGCCTGTCACAGCTGCAAGTGAACCCAGGGATGGGCTGGGGACACAGGGCAGGATATCAACAAAGTCATACGCACATGTGCGTGCGCACACACACACACACACAAGCATACTCATATATTAGGAAAAATGTAAATTCAAGTGAGGTCTGTAATAATAGGAACTATTAATTTTGTTTAGATATGAGAATGGTGGTTATACTTAAAAAGTCTTTAGACAAATGTCTGTGTCTAATTGAGAAAGTGATGTTTATGGGTAAAATGATAGGTTGTCTGGGATTTACCTTAACATATTATGCCAAAAAAATGGGATAAATGAAATAAGAATGGCAAACATAATTGTTGAAGTTAGGTGATGGATACATGGGAATTTATTTTACTATTATATCTACTATTGTATATGTTTGAAAATTTCTAAAGTAAACAGTAAAACAAGTTAGTAAACTCGTCTAAAGTAAGACAGGGTCTTCTTTGACTAGCCAGTGATAGTTTGTAAGTCCTTTAGAGGAGGCTTCTTTATATAAATTGGGATCATTTTAAAGCTAGTTTAGCAAATTCGATAGTTTGTAAGTCCTTTAGAGGAGGCTTCTTTATATAAATTGGGATCATTTTAAAGCTAGTTTAGCAAATTCAAATGTGTAATGTAGATCACCGATTCAAGGTCTCTTTTACATGGATAGTGACACCTTTTTTTAGGGTGCTTGTTACAAGGAGCATTATCTCTTATCACAGTTTGATGGATACCAGTTTTTGTTTTTAGAGAAGACACAGAATTCTTTCTTCATGTCCCAGTGTACCCGATAAGGGTTTTGTACAGAGACAAAATGTGACTGTAATAGGTACTGCTGTGTCTGTAAAGGGAAAAGACTTTCTTCCATTAGAGTTCAATAAAAGTTTCTGGCCTTGTGGTTAGTATGTTTTTGGCAGTCATGTTCCTGGCTACCTCCACCTGTCTCCTCAACCTAGTAGTATAAACTTAGGGGATATGACCTTCAAATTAAGGCTCTGATGTTGGGTTAAAATAACAAATTAGACTACGCATCTGAATATGTGGGAATATTTTCAGAGTTTGTTCTGGGAGCCTGAAAGAATTTCAGGGATGCTGTTGTGATTAAAACACTTGTGGAATGTTCTCTGAAAGTTGTCCAAGAGCTAAGTGTGCAACACAGATGCACACGCACACGTGTGCACCCACATAGCTGTGTGTCTCAGCACTAAGTATCTTTTTATAATGTCATCTATAATCGTCTCTTTCCTATGATCCTTGACCCATTTGCTCATATACTTTATTCCCCAGAGATGACTAAAGTCAGTTTTTAATCTGCTCTAGAAATCTGTTTACTCCAAAATAGAATTTGTTCCATTTTTGGATGGAGAAATAAATTTCTACTTACTGTTTCCTATACAGTTTATGTGGCAGTTCCAAAGGCCCAAGGTATTACATTGTTTATTCTCTCCTAGGAAAGCCCATTTAATGCAGGAAAGCAGCATAGGATCAACTTGAATTTGGATCCCAGGTCAGCTATCATGGCCATAAACAATTTATTTGGCTGCTATTTTTCTTAATTTCCTTATCTGTAAAATGGGGACACTAGGCTGGGCATGGTGGCTCACGCCTGTAATCCCAGCACTTTGGGAGGCCTAGGCAAGGCGGATCACGAGGTCAAAAGATCCAGACCATCCTGGCCAATACGGTGAAACCCCATCTCTACTAAAAATACAAAAATTAGCCAGATGTGGTGATGCGTGCCTGTAGTTCCAGCTACTCGGGAGGCTGAGACAGGAGAATTGCTTGAGCCAGGGAGATGGAGGTTGCAGTGAGCCAAGATTGTGCCACTGCACTCCAGCCTGGGGACAGAGCGAGACTCCATGTCAAAAAAAAAGGGAAGGGGGACACTATTGCCCACTTGAAAGGGCCAAGAAGATTGAACGAGATGACACAGGTAAGCATTTGGCCTGTGCCGTAGTGCATGGTAGTGGCATGAATGTTTGTGCCCTTCTCAGAGAGTCCTTGTCATGAGATGTATGTACTTCAAATGTGTACTATAAACTCAGCTCTTCTTTTGCTGTTATGTGTGTCATTGCTGGTGCTAGTTATCTCTTTGTAAAACTGGTGAAGTCGGCTGGAGGATGTGACAGCAGCAGGGCTGCAGTTTACAAATGACATAGAGTAGGCCAGATGAGAAGGAAGGGCAGCATCCAGCCTTTGGGCGTAATGCTCAGATTATGGTCTTCTTACAGCCACTGTGACTGGGCCCACACTGGATGGTCATAGGTGGCTATAGAAGTCTACGTTATAGTTGTCTGTCTTAAGTAGTAGGTTCTTGGGATGGGCAGCCACCTCGGAAGACATCTATACTGAGACTCCATCCCTGCTGAAGATTCTGATTGATCCTCTCTTGGGATAGGAAAGGTACTGCCTCCACAGGCAGCATTGCTAGAAAATTCTGCCGGATGGATGACTTTACAACATTACACTGAAAACTTCTCTCTATATGTTCTGCTTAGTGAAACCATGTAGGCAAATTCCATTTCTTCTGTACTAGCACAGCTTATCAGATATTTGAAGATGGCTCTCATAGCCTTTTTGAATTTTCCATTTTTCAGGCTAAATAATTTTCACTCCTCTTCTTCCTCTTGTGCATTTTGGCTAGGACCTTATTCATTTCATTCAGTGCTATTATCTCAATTTCTAATCATATGTTGATTCGTGTGTGATTATCTGATTAGTGTGGGAGCTGTTCATGCAGCATATCACAGATTCCCAGTTCTCCCAGCATGTGGTAGAATCGTGCTTTCTTTCATGGGTGAGGGTGGGACCATGTGACTAGTTTTGACCAATGATTTGTGTATGAAAATGATGTATGTCATTTGCATGCCAGAGCATTTAACTGCCAAAAAGAGAATGCCCAGAGCCTTCTTTTCCTCCAGCAGAGTGACTGTGAAGTTCCTTCTAGACATGGCTTGCTCTACCCATCTGGGTCCTAAGTTAAGGAAAGAAAAGCGCCCCCAATCCCTCCCGCCCCACTCACCCTTGATGGTCATCTAGTGTGAATGAAAAATAAAACTTGGTTGTTTTGAGTCACTGAGATATTAGCTTTGTTACTCAGCATAACTTCACCTGTCCTGATTGATAGAATTAACATTTGGCTTTCTCACTAAATCATCAGCATTATGCAGTGGGGGTGGTGTATGTTTCTCTTCACCTTTGTCTCTTCAGTGTCTAGCACAGCACTGGCTCATAGGAGACGCTCATACTTACTGTGTGAATAAGTAAAATCTGAGTTTTGAATCCTGTCTTTATCCTTGTTGCAATTTCTTAGACTTGGCCTACTTCATTATTTTTCTTCCAAAATGTAGACTTCCCCCCTTCTCCTCCCCAATTAAACACAGCTTTCCAGTTTCGGAGTAATTAAGTAGTTGACATATACATCTCAACGTGAGAAAGGAATGGAAACCGGACCCAGCTGGGTCCTGGGCAAAGGGTCAGTGATGGGGTACAGTTGACTTCATTCAGAGCATCTCCATCACAAGCTTATGGGTTCTTGGGAAGATCAGGAGAGCATTAATGTGGTCATCCCTGATATATTTCTGTATCCTTATGTAGCTGTTTAACACCATTACTCTTGCTCTTCACTTTTTTTTTTTTTTTTTGGCCTTTCAAGAATGAGCCTTCAGAAGTGAACACTGTCCTTGTAAATTGTCAGTCTGTAACTTTTGTACCCTATTGTGACTTTGGGAAGCTGCTAGGTAGGGCTAATAAGACTCTCTATTGGGTCTTGCCAGTAAGTTCTGAATGGCAAAAACCATGAGTTCTTAAACTATCCTAAGTACTGAAAAGAAAGGTCGGGATTTATTTGATGGGAAAAAATATATTGATAATATATCGATATGTGTATGCATGTGCCAACAAACCCTGTTCACTGATTACCAACTAAGCACAAAACTACACACTAAGAAATTTGTTGTGCATTTTCTCATTTTATTCCTGTGGCCACCCAACAAACTTGTACCAGTTGTTATTCTACAATTTTGTTTAAGGAAACCAAGGCCCACAGTGGTTGATGTTGGTCATAAATGAATTGGACTCGAATCCAGGTCTAACTCATGTTCATTCTGTTTAAAATAGCTTAGTAGACTTTGACAAAGCCCACCAATTTTTAAGACCTTCAGTTTTAATTTTTAAGAAGGAAAATAATGGAAGATTAGAGAGGCATTTTTCTCTTCCCATCTTTTAGATGATTAGTAAACATATGCTGACAGGCTTTCATATTATATTGTAGGGCAAATTCCATAATCCTAGGTTACGGTTAATGAGGTATTCAGGTTGATTGAAAGAAATGGTATACATAAAAAGCGGGTGCCTTCTAATCTAAAGTCTGTACTAGCAATGCAGCAAAAGAATGTTGACCACAAGGAGGTTATAGATGTCACCTAAGATAGGATCTTTCATTTGTGACGCCTTTTCGTGAGTTACTGTGCCAGATGCTTCACGGTTGACCCTTGAACAACACAGGTTTGAGCTGCACAGGTCCACTTATAGGTGGCTATTTTTCAATCAAATACAGATTGAAAATATACTATTTGCAGGATATGAAACCCACTTATACAGAGGACCAACTTGTTGTGTAAGTGGATTCCACAAGGTCAGCTATGGGACTTGAGTATGGACACATTTCAGCATATGTAGGAGCTCCTGGGACCAAGGGACGATTGTGTATTGTTGTCTTGTTTAGGAAGAAAGATACACCATGAACACAGCCCACAATGACAGTAGATGTCGAAAGTGCTAATTTAGTTCAGGTCAAGACCCTCCACTAGGATGTACAGGTTGTTCATTCCATGGGGTACCTGGGTGAGAGGACAAGAAAGAGCTAGAATCCAGCCTGCCCTCTGCCTGCCACCCTGTGTGTCGTGCCACACGATGGCATTCACTCAGAGGAAGCAGCCTTGACTAGCAGCAGTCTTGGTACAGCCAGGGGAGAGAATACTTCATTCATTTCCCTTCATCTAACATGTTTTGTGTGCCTTGCATGTGCTAGAGGCTTTAAATAGATTATCTTGTTTAATTAAATCTTTAAAATAACTCCGTGGAATCTGTGTTTATTTGCTCTTCCAGTTTATGTGTGGTAGGAAAAGGGAAGAACATATGGGGAACATGAGCTAAATATCTACGATGCGCTTAGACACTTCATAGCAATCCTGTAAGGGTGGGTTTTTATATGCGTTTACTTACTTTTCATCAATTTGTTTGTTTTTTAATAGATAAGGAATTGGAAACTCAGAGAGGTTAAGTAATTTGTTAGCCTCACTTGAATAGTAAATGACAAGCCCAGGATCCAAGCCCAAGCCTATGTTGAGTCCAGTGTTCTTGCGTACATATCAGTGTCAAAATGGGGAAATACTAAGAAAGACTCCTTTGGAGTGACATCTTTTAAATCAGCCCTGTTACTATATATATATTCTGGTCAATAGGGCATTACCATTACCATACGTGAATTAATCAGTCTTCTAAAAAAATAAAATTATATGCAGTTGTCTCAAATTATGCAAAATAAAGCAGACTCTTTGACATATAAAACATATTATCCTAATTGTGAGTACTAATAACTCAGAATATTATTGAAAAACTGGAAAGCTCCGTTTTTGTCTTCTGTATTTCCAGGGTCTTACAGTCTATTTGGGAATACTAATGGCTCTATCAAGGCAGACCAGGCCCATTCTTCTTTATGATAAATGTGGATGGTCAGACATGTTCTGCCAGTTGTCCCAGGTCCCACTAAAGATTTGACCAATAAAAATGAAAAACTGGCACATTGCCCTGAGACCTCTGCTACTTCCCTCTTAAGCCATTGTGCATTGTCATGGGGAGATCAGGACATATGTGTTATTCTGGTCTTTGCGCAAATGTTGGAATGCAACAATGCTGGTAATCTGTCACTAAGGCCGTATGACCCCACATGAGTGATTTCTCCTCTTGGAACCAGTTTTTTCTTCAGATAGATGATTTCTGGGCATGAACGAGGAAAGGCCTAAAATCTTTTCCAACTGGGGTCATTAAGAATTTCATGGATTAGTGACTTTCTTAGAAAAAGGTGGCTATGCCCACATCTCAGACGTTCCTCAGAATGTCAGGTAAGCTTGACAAAAATACTTCCACCCTGGAAACATAAACCATAATATTTTTATAGGAAGGTTTTATATTGTTTATTGTCAACCAAGGAGACTTACCCTAGGGGATGCATCAGAATGAAAGAAGGACTTTGTCAACATCATCACACCGTGTACCCTTCCTGCCATTAAAACCCACTGCTGGAATAAGGCACTGTTTGTTACTGGTATGTGCTACATGAGTTGGAGCTAAAAAAGGAAACTCTTTTATATGAAACAATGACTATTACTGAGATATTCAGGCATATAGTCAAAGGTATATAAAAAGATAAAATTTATCTAATTTTGTAACTTTAATTATAAGACATAAAAATTTTACTTCTTTTATAAACCTTTCTCCCTTCAACATATGTAAGTGTGTGTGTGTGTGTGTGTGTGTGTGTGTGTGTGTATCTGTTTTAAAGAAGTCTATACAGGTACTATTTTGACTTACCTACTTAGTATTTCTTGAACTCTCTGAGTTTTCACAGACTTACTGGGGTGGGGTTGTAAAGACAACAAGAAATCATACTTAGTTTTTGTGCTCTAGTATTAGCAATCTGGCATTATATGTTTGCATGATGAAGGTTTGCAGTTTCAATTTAGTGGAATATGATATAGTTTTATTCACTAGAACATAAGTCAGGGACAGAGTTCCATTTTTCACTTGATATTCTAAAGATAATCAGTAAATAACTGAAAGCATGACGTGAAACACATTCCTTAAACTTAGGACCTGAGTATCTATATAAAAGGGTACTATTAAGATATTCTTAAGTAAAAACTCTGAAATATATCAAAACCAAGAAACAGTGAATTACAGGAAAAGAGGTTGAGTGGCAGTTTTACTTAAGAACAAGCATATGCCAGTGCCTCCATGAAAAGAAGAGACCCACCCAAGGGAATAGCTATCCTCTATCCTTCCTTTTTTGTTTTGCTGCTAACAAGCTCAGTGGTGTATGTGCATCTTCCTTCTGTTCCCACTCATAGCTTTGGATAATCTAACAGCTAAACAGCCAGAGTCACTAGATCTTATCCTCCAGTAATTACACAGAAAACCTCGGATCATTGCAGAGATGGCACTTGTTGGAACTGATCCCTACAGCCAAAGCGTACAGTTGAAAATTTTCCCTCCTCTGTCTTTTTCCCTTCCAGCCCTGTGTTTTGGTTGCATGGCAACCCATCTGCCATGATAGCTGATGTCAGCTCATTTTCACTTAAACTTAGCCCAGGAAAGTTTTCAAGGAAGACATTTGGGCTTGTATAACGCTGGGGAAGGCTCGAGTTCTGTTACCATATCGTTTGTAAAATTGCAGACTAATGGGCTCAGGGAGGCTAAATGGAAATGTGGATGTAGGAAGGGATTAGCTTCTGGAACAGTGTGGCCTTAGGGACTTTGTTTCTTATAGGGGCTTAGTAAATGTGTGTCTGCAATACTCTTTCTGCTACTAAAGGGCTTTCTTCACTTTAAAAGGAATAAGAAGTGTTCAAAATTACCCTATCTCCTGAATATTAGAATTTAGCCAAATACTTGATGTTGACTCCTTTGAATAAAGGGTCAACATTTTAACGAGATGCATAAGCATCATTGAGAGGAAAGAGAACCTTTTATCATTGGCAGGAATTTTCTAGTGTGTATATTGACAAGTGAAAACAGGTTAAAACTTCTTAAATCCAGCAGAGGGCAGAAGGGAGTTTTAGCTATGGCTTACCCAAGACTCTCCAAACAAGATTGTAACAATCCAAGGCAAAATTCAGTGGCACTTTTGTAGACAAATTATCTCCAGGTTGTTAATGCACAAGTTACCCTGATTATATAGACGAGTCTTAGTTGGTGGGCTCAAAGCCAGTTTGCTTCTGTCCAGGACAAAAGCATATATAGGATTTTGAGTTAGTTACGCCTAAGAGGAGACAACAGTGTGTACTCAAATAACAATATCACTTTAATAGATTCAGATCTTATTTACTAACCACAACACAGCATTTCACAGTACTTCTCACGTATATTTATGGTATTCTGAATGGTAGAATGAAAGGATGTTTGAAATAATGAAGAGTAAACGATTTCATTATCAAATATATCTCACTGAAACTGACTGTTCCAACATGTGAGTTCATAAAATAATGAAAATGATTTTCACAACCTAATCTGGAATCTGAGAAATCAATTTTATCCTTTAAAGCAATAACCAAAACGTGGGATGGTAGTATTTCTTTACATGGCAAAGATGAGGTTAATATTAAAACATAATGACATTTGAGAAATGGATCTTTGTCTTGGCATTTATAAGAACTTTCAATCCGGATTAAGTTTGGCTTTAAAAAAGAAAACACTTTAAAAAGGAAAAACATATTTTCCATGCTGAAGACGGTTTTTGTTTGGGTAGTAGGTAGTATCTTCTGTTTTGCTTGGATAGTATTTAGTGTAGTATGTTGGGTTTCTCAGGACGCAGCCTCTGAAATGGAGTTAGGATGTTTATGAAGCAGCACCCTTGGGATCTACACCTGTCGAAGTGGGGAAGGAAGCAGGTTCAAGTAGGAGAAGCTGAGCTTCCCTGCAGGCGCATCATTCGCCACAGCCAACCCCACTGGGAACTCAGAGTTTGAGTGGCCCTTCAGAGTATCCTGAGCTGGGACACTCCCACACCGATCAGTTATTGGATGTGCACCTGCAACCCCCATCCCAGCCACAGGACCTGACCTGGCTAAGACAGCCCTTTGCAGCTGAGACAATCCTTAAGGGCTAGCATTTAAGCAGCTGGAAGTCCTTTATTGAAGAGGGACCTGGATGCCGTATCACAGTGCAGATAGTGTGAGAAACAGCCAAGAAGTCAGGTTTGTTGGATGTTCTTTCTGATGAATTGTTGACACTATAATGTTGGCTAACTTACGGTTTTAAAAAGAAAATGATAACTTGCCATATTTCTGTGTGTAAAGAATTGTACTAAATAAAAGACTTTTTCATGGTTAATGTGGTTTGGAAAATAGGATTTTAAAGAGCATATTTTAATAAATGAGCGTTAAATTTTAAAGTATAATTGTCTTAGTTCATTCAGGCTGTTATGTCAAAGTACCTAAACTGAGTAGCTTATAAACAGCAGGGATTTATTTCTCACCATTCTGGATGTCAAGAAAGCCAAGATCAAGGTGCCTGCAGATTCATTGTCTGGTGAGGGACAGCTTCCTGGTTCATAGATGGCTGTCTTCTCACTGTGTCCTCACATGGCAGAAGGGGTAAAGAAGCGCTCTGAGGTTTCTTTTATAAGGGTACCAATCCCACTCATGAGGGTTCCACTCTCACGCCTGATCACCTACCACAGGCCCCAGCTCCTAATACTATCACATTGAAAGTTGGGATTTCAACATGTGAGTGGGAGTCACGAACGTTCAGAGTATAACAATAATAGTAAGAAAACACAGGCATATGGTTTATTTGATTTGGGATTGTCCTATGAAGAGCAAACTATGAATTATAATGAATAATGGAATATTATAATACTTTGTGGTAGGTCTTGATCTTTGGGGAAACACTGTTAAATAAATCACAGGATGACGCTGGTAGTTTGTCAGAGAATCAAGCGTAAGCAAGTATATAATGAAGGAGGGAAAATGTATATGTTGTTTATGGAACAGTCATTTAAGTCTAGCCTTTAAGAATTTATGTTAATTCCATCTATTAATGCTATCTACCTATTAATTTCATGCATTTTTTCCCTTATCATTTAGTCATAGCTTGAATTATGTTCCTACTGCATGCACGGAGTCTTCTATACCTGCTTAATACATGAGACATGGTTCTCAAAAGGACCCACAATCTCTTAAAAAATCACATTTGTTAATATCATCGCCAATTTAATCAGAAACGTATACAATTCGAGAAGATGTCACGCTCATGGTGCGGAGTTTTCTAAATTTAATTTTCCCTTAGAAATTTCAGCTTTATCATTGGCAATAAATATTGTCAGTAGTTTCCTTGAAGCCAGGCTCATTTTGTTCATTTCTGAAGAAAATGTCTACCAAATACCCAAATCTAAATAGCCATAGTTTTCTGTTGTTCTTTAAAGTAAAAATGGCGTTCCATGAACAAAGAGGCTAGTTCAGCTCACAACTCAGTTACGTGAGTGCTTTTCCTGAAGACAGATTTCCTATTTCAGTATGAGGAAGACGGGTTTTATGGTTATTTCCATTTCATCACACAGACTATTAGGAAGATAGTCTTTCTAATGGCTCAGAGGTTGAGATTCAATAAAATAACTTATTTTTCTTCTCCATCAAGGATTTTCTTAAGTAAAACTGGGTTTTTTAAAAAAAAATTGCTAATGCATGTCAGTGGTAAAGAACCTACTGACTGCTAGTACAGTTTGGCATCAGTGTCTTTGCTGCTAAGGCACTGGCAATATTATCCTCCCTTGTTTCTGTGCCATTAGTACAATGGCAACACAGTAAAAAAGTCAGACAAGACTGGGCGTGGTAGCTCATGCCTGTAATCCCAGCACTTGGGGGAAGCCGAGGTAGGAGAATTGCTTGAGGCCAGGAATTTTAGACCAGCCTGGGCAACATAGCAAGACCCTGTCTCTTAAAAAAAAAGTCAAACAGTGTGTTAGTATTATTATAAAGAGAGTTATGAACTCATTACCCCTGAAAGTGTCTCCAGCCCACACTGAGAACCGCTGGTACAAAGAAGAGTGTAAGCGCAAAGAGCCTGGGGAAAGAAAACCGCTTAGGCAATAGATAAAAAAGGCCGAACTTCATATGATGGCAGGAGAGATGGAGAACAGGGAAGGAAGTGAGAAACCCTGGCAGAGGTTCCATGGAAAAGATTTGGCAGTAGAAGGGCAGCAAAGAGTTGAAATGTACTGAGGTTTTCAGTCTGCATAACTGAGTGGATGGCAATTCCATTAACTGAGATGATGACTGGGGGAAGAGGGGCCCTGTTTTATTATTGAAAACGATACTGCTTTTCACACTGAGAGAGAAAAATCTATCATAATTCTTGCATTTGGAAAAGGGTGGATTCTAGCACTAGTGAGAAAGTACTGTTGGCCAGGTCTCTGCAGCAGCCTGAGATTTGATTTAGTACTGATAATGAGTTTTGGTTCTTGGAACATCAGAGCATTCTGTTTCATGCATAAGACTCTTATGTCTGTGTTTCCTGTAATAGTGTTGTTTTTTTCTTCTTTATTTCCAGGAATGGTGCAAAAGCTGGACCAAAAGCTTCCAGTGGCTAATGAATACCTGTTGCTCTCTGGAGGTGTCCGGGAAGGCGTGGTGGACCTGGACTTAGATGAGCTTAATGTCTATGCCCGGGGTACTGACTATGATATGGACTTTACCCTCTTGGTGCCAGCCCTCAAGCTGCATGACCGTAATCAGCCTGTGACACTCGACATGCGCCACTCAGCCTTGTGCCACTCTTGGCTGAGCCTTCGGCTCTTTGATGAGGGGACAATCAGTAAATGGAAAGACTGCTGCACCATTGTAGATCACATCAATGGTGCCACCAACTACTTCTTCTCACCTACCAAAGTGGCTGACTGGTTCTATGACTCTATCAGCATTGTCCTATCAGAAATACAGAAGAAACCCCAGCGAGGGATGCCAAAGGTAGAAAAGGTGGAAAAAAATGGGACCATCATCTCCATCATTCTGGGTGTAGGGAGTAGTCGCATGTTGTATGATATTGTCCCTGTGGTATCTTTCAAAGGTTGGCCTGCAGTGGCCCAGAGCTGGCTCATGGAGAACCACTTTTGGGATGGGAAGATTACTGAGGAAGAGGTCATCAGTGGGTTTTACTTGGTGCCTGCTTGCTCCTACAAGGGTAAGAAGGACAATGAATGGCGGCTGTCCTTTGCCAGGAGCGAGGTGCAGTTGAAGAAGTGCATCTCCAGCAGCCTCATGCAGGCCTATCAGGCCTGCAAAGCCATCATCATTAAACTGCTGTCCCGGCCCAAGGCTATTAGCCCCTATCACCTGCGGAGCATGATGCTCTGGGCCTGCGACAGACTTCCTGCCAACTACTTGGCTCAAGAAGACTATGCAGCCCACTTTTTGCTGGGCCTCATCGATGACCTGCAACACTGTCTGGTCAACAAGATGTGCCCCAATTATTTCATCCCTCAGTGCAACATGCTGGAACATCTGTCTGAGGAGACAGTCATGCTTCACGCCCGGAAGCTGTCCTCTGTGCGCTCAGACCCGGCAGAGCACTTGCGCACCGCCATTGAGCATGTCAAGGCAGCCAACCGGCTGACACTGGAGCTCCAGAGGCGAGGTAGCACCACCAGCATCCCCTCTCCACAGTCTGACGGAGGGGACCCCAACCAGCCTGATGACCGTTTGGCAAAAAAACTGCAGCAGCTAGTGACTGAGAACCCGGGAAAGTCAATCTCTGTCTTTATCAATCCTGACGATGTCACAAGGCCCCATTTCAGAATTGATGACAAATTTTTCTGAGTGTTAGCTGACTTTTTTTTTTCCTGATTCTTAAACTCTGATAATGTGTCGTGTGGTTTGTGATGCTATCTTTCTGTTTTTTACATATCCAGCCTAGATTGGATTTGTTAAGAACAAATTTTAAGTTTCCTGGTTCTGCAGGATGGTGCAGGCTCTGAAACAGTATATTACTATTTCATATTCTGCCTCTGATTTCGTTGTTTACTTTTTGTAGTTATTGTCATGCTCTTTAGTTTGTTGGAGTTTTTTTTCTTTTTAAGGAGATCTTAAGCCATAGATGAAAATGCCCATGAATCCTCTTGCTTTTTTCTGTTTCATACTTGGTGCAAATTTGTTCATGGGTATGGGGAAACAAATCTCTTTCTGATGCTTAACGATTCTATCCTATTATTTTTATTATTTTGTTTTTGTCTTTTTTCTTATGAGCTTTCACCACTACTGATATTTGAGAATCATATGAACCTGGGAACTACTTGGCATGTTAGCTGGATTTATTTATTTTGGCCAGTGACCAGAGTAGTTTCCCCCCTTTTCCACCAAACAATGTAAACTTTGAAAGTGATAATACTACAAATTGTGTTTTGGAGCAACTTCATTGAATGTAATTGTCCTCAAATCAGAGAACACTGGGTGGTTTGAAGGGTGTCTTTGACAGTTTTCCAAGCAGAATTAAGGTTTCCAAATGTTAATTTTAGCATATGTAATTATTTGAAGCCTTATTTAAATCCTATTAAAGAACATACCATTATAATTATTATTTGCACTAATCTTTGCCATTGTCAGAATTGCAAAGTGTGTTTCAATATAAATTAACAACCACTCTCGAAATTCTATCATTTTTTCATTTTGCCCATTTCTATCAGTGAAATGATTCTTTGCATTTGCTTAGTTCTCCTTCAGTTGTGGGGTCCTGCTTTGCCCTCTTTGATATTCCTGGTTCCTGTCTTACTGAGAGAAGTTGTTAAAGCTTTATACATGTTGACCCCATCTAAAGCTGGGGAAAATATACACTTGATGAAGTAGGTGTCTTTGTATTTATTTCTTTTGGGGTCATAGAGGTAAGCTTTTTTGTAAAATCTCTACTCTTCCTGAGAGTTTTGAGAAAAACTGGCAGGAAGAACTTATAATCCCCAAATAGAAGATACCACGTCTGTTCAAAAGCAGGTATTGCTATAGAGCAGCACCCAGGAAATATCTGTGGGTGGCAGCCTTGGTATAGAGGTGTCCTGTCTTCATGAGTGAAGTTACTTGCCTGATTAGGTGCTGGAAGGTATTGGCTCCCTGTTTTGGTGTGGACTCATGGCAAGCTGGTGTTTAAGAGGTCAGGAGGCCTGCTGATCTTTCAAAGGACACCCATGATGTCTACTCATAGAAAGGGCAAGTAACGTGTTCATTTTGGTCTTGAATGTCCAAACTCAAGGGTTGGATTTTGGCCAATTGAAATCAGACATATGCGATCTTGGGTTTTTGCATGGAAATTAATGTAATGCTTATAAATGAAAAATGAAAACATTTCAACCATCTAAGTCAAACACAAAAATAATAAAAAAAGAAACATACTGGCCTTGAAATTTTGTTGTTGTTTGTAATCTGGGAATTATTTTCTTATTAGTATTATATTAGTATATTTATATATTAGTATATTTTCTTATTAGTATTATACTAACAGCAATTTTCAATAAATACAGCCATGGGCTTGCTAGTGTCTTTCGGACCAGTTGTCCATATAGTGAACAACCAACATTCAGTCTTCCTCTTTCCCCAGTTTTACTACTAATGTCTATCCGCCACATCATCCTTGTCCTTCTCAGGAAATGATTTCATCCCTAGTGCTGAAAACGCGTCATAATTGGAAAAGCTGATCTGCACAAACCATCTCCCTGGCCACAACATTAACAAGCGACACAGAATGTAAGCCGCTCCAGTCAGGGACACGCTCAGCGTTCCAAACTGGAATGCTGGGACAGAAACATACACTCTCCCTGGATATGGAGGAGAAAGCATTTGGATTCTTTTGCTACTGACAACTATCACACGATCTTTATTTATTTGTGTATTTATTTTTAATACACTTTAAGTTCTGGGTTACATGTGCAGAACGTGCAGTTTTGTTACATAGGTATATACGTGCCCTGGGTGATGTGCTGCACTCATCAACCCGTCACTAATGCTATCCCTCCCCCAGCCCCCTACCCCCCGACAGGCCCCGATGCGTGATGCTCCCCTCCCTGTGTCCGTGTGTTCTCATTGTTCAACTCCCACTTAAGAGTGAGAACATGTGGCGTTTGGTTTTCTGATCTTGTATCACGCAATCTTGACTAGAGCTAGCTTTAGGATGAAGCTGACGTTGGATGGCGTTATGGGAGCTGGGAATTAAAACATGACCTACCACACCCGCCACATCTGAGATCTCCACTAGACTTTCTAGTTAAATGAGTCAACACTTGGGTTATTTTAGCCAGTTTGAATTTGGCTCATCAAAATATTTAAACTGGTATACCAAACTACTTCAGTATATTTAAACTATTGCCGTTGTTGTGTGCCTCTTTTCTTTCTCGGGACAGATATCAGGGTTACCGTGTATTTTATCTAAGAGCTGGTTTATGCTATCTGATTTGATTCAAAAAAAATAGCCTCTATAATAATTATGCTTCTACTAAAGCCTGTTAAAAATGTATGATACTTTGACCATTACATTACACTTTGTAGATTAAAATAGTTGTAAACCATCAAAGTAGCAAGCATATTACAACAGCTGTTTCTTTAAGCTATAAACGACCATAACTATTCTCTGAACTAGTGTCTCAAATACACTTAGCAATATTTGCAATATTTTACGTGCCATGTTTTCAGACAAAACTCCATTACAGGCATAAAAAGAAACTAGTTTCAAAGATCCTCTTGGCCCTGTTTTTGTTTTGTTTTTTGTTTTGTTTTGTTTTTGCCACTTCTAGTCCTAGTGAAGATCACTCTACAAATTCTTGGTTAAACGTCTCGAAAAAGGTCCAGAGGCCTCTGGGCTCTAGTAATTTTAAAATCCTTTAAAAAATTCCTGGAATTTCCTATTGGTACTATAACCTCGGACTTTTGGCTCAGATGCTGAGAGGGCTAGAAATGGGATGTAGTCCAATACCTTTTCTTATCTGAAATTTAAGCAAATCATTGAGTTACTAACCAGTCTGTCCTCCTGAAGTTCAGAAGATCGGTTAAAATCACTTCTGTTTCAAGCACAGAATACAATGCCTTAAGGCTGGAGTCATAATTTTAACATTATTCATGGCTGACTTTTTGATCGGGGGGTATTTACAAGCTATTACTCAACGGGCCTTCAGTTCTCTAATGAGGCTGGTTTCACCTATTTTGAGAGTAGGTTATTCTCTGTCCCCTGGCTTTCTCTTCTGAAATGGAAGATCCAAAGATGCCAGTAAAGGTTGGTTTAGAAGTGGGTGGAGCCAGGACCAGACATTTAAAAAATATTTCTGAAAGTACTATACAGAATTATTTCAGAGAAAATGAGAGGCAGGCATATGTAGCTAATCTTACTTCTGGGTGGAGAGGTGGGAAAAGTGGAAAGGACGTTAGGAGCTCCTAGTCACTTGTGTACCACAGGCACACGCACATACATGAGTGTGAGCACACACACATATTTTTATATCACCAACTGGAGGTTTCTTTGGGGTGACTTTTATAATGCACTTCCTTGGAGAATTAAGCCCCCTGGTCATAACTAATCGTTGGTGGTTTGGAATCAGATCACTGCCTCACCAAGAGGAATTTTCTGAGTTGGAGTTCAGCCTTTGCTGGTAATGCTGGGAAGGAACAGGAGGCGTGTTGAGCAGCGGTGTTGGTCTCCCAGGGTCTGGGGGCTTCCTGTGGCTTCAAAGCTCAGCAGTGGTCTTTAGAGAAGGTGCCTCAAGTTCCATCCCGGTAAGCTCTCTCCAGAACCTTTCTCTGAGTCACTGAAGGGGCTGTTGGTATGACTGTTTCAGGTAGGAATCTGGGAAAGACTTCTTTCACTCTCCCACAGTCTTGCCTAGAGGATAAGCCTTTCTGTCATTAAATGGAGCACTAGCTACTACTAATATTAAAGGAAGAATAGGGATCAATCTCTGTTGCTGTTTCTTTATTAATGTCAGGTAAATACAAATGTATTTTTTAGATTATTACAGGGATGTAATCAATGCCCCTCTTTGAGGAAAACAGTTAATTTTAAAAATGCAACTCTTGGCCAGGCACAGTGGCTCACGCCTGTAATCCCAGCACTTTGGGAGGCCAAGGCGGGTGGATCACCTGAGGTCAGGAGTTGGAGACCAGCCTGAACAACATGGCAAAACCCCGTCTCTACTAAAAAGTACAAAAATTAGCCAGGCGTGGTGGCGGGCGCCTCTAATCCCATCTACTCAGGAGGCTGAGGCAGGAGAATAGCTTGAACCCAGGAGCCGGAGGTTGCAGTGAGCCGAGATCACGCCACTGCACTCTAGCCTGGGCAACAAGAGTGAGACTCCATCTCAAAAAAAAAAAAAAAAAAAACAACTCTTATGCTATAATTTCTTCAACAGTTAAACAAAGAATGTATAATCTAAACACTTTAGAATAAATATTCACCAATGGAGAATTACATATCTAAAATTCTACCTTATGTTAATTACCTGGAAAAATATATTTTTATTTTTTAGGACTGAAGCTGTAATAATTTACAATAGTTTATGCCCATTTCCAGTGCTATTAGCAATAAGTTCAAAAGCAGCATGTTTCGTAAACCATTTCCTATATCACACTGAAATTTTATATTGATTTAATGTAACTATTTTTCTGAGTTTGAATTGACAGTTTTTCTCCGCGGTTGGGTCTCGACATTCAGCGATCATCAGAGAGACCGTATGACTGGGTTTGTGTGGTTAAGAATAAGCAAGAAATCTCAGAAAAGTCTAATATTAACCATCATGTAAATACACTGTTGTTCAAAGATGTATAAAGACATATATAGCCTTAATTTGGTATGGCAGCTAAGATGAGAATGTTTGCACTCTGGACCACTCTCCCTCTCTTTTCAAGATGAATGGACTCCTAATGTGACCTTGGTGAGGGCGCATTGATATATTTTTCTCTTGCCATTTTCTGCCTCACCAATTAATCACAGAAGATAAAAGGGGCTAACTTTGAATATAGTTGAAATTTTGTTTCTTTGATTTTATATCCTTATCCGTAAAATATGGATTGGGGTAGCTGTTCTAGCTTTCACTAAAATTGCCTCAGTTTCCAAATTAGTCTCAAGTTTAGATTTATATATCTACACATTTGGAGTATCCATTTTGACAATATTATTTTTAAAAATCTTACTAAGTTGCACCAACACCTACAGTGGAGCACAGGAAACATTTATTGAACACCTGCATGTACAGTTCTTGCTAGATGCTTTATATTCATGAGCCTATTGAAGTATCACAACAACTCTAAACACGGTAAGTCTAAACTTCAATACTCAGGAATTAGGTAACTTGTTCAAAATTACATAGATAATTAAGTGGTAGGGCAGAGTCAGTGTTTGAACCCATTTGTTTGTTTCAAAAATTAAGAACTTTCTTCTGTGTTATACTGCCTCTGGTATTAGAATCTGTTTTTATTGTTTAAGATAAATTCTATTATGTGCCTGCATAGGGGGGCCTGCATTCAGATAACAGGTAAACCTTGGACTGTGTTCTGATACCAGAACCCTGAGTATTTCCAGAGCTTTTCATCAGCAGAATAGATGGATCATTTAGAGAATGCTAAGAGAAGATAAATGACCATTTATGGAAAATTTTCTGTTTAGGGCAAGGAAATGGACCAAATGTCTCTATCATTTTAACTTCTGAGCTCAGAGGAGTAGGCAGAAGAACTGTTAGTTACTATTAGCAAAATACTACTCTTTTTAAAGATGTAGGGAGAGAGGTATTTACGAATTAGCTACAAATGAAAGGTATGACAACTTTAATGGCTCAGCTGGCCTTGATGTAAAAATGAAATACATGTAAATAGACCACTTGTATTTTTAAAACAGTATTTCTGTAATTTAGAGGGAGTTTTTGAATATTTTTTGAATATGATATCTTTTAAAAATTCTGAGCATTTGTAGACTTTGGTAGACTAAACCCCCTACAAAATCTTACTGCTTACATTTTATAAATCTATAATTTACCATTTACATTAATACTTTTTTAATAGAAATAGGAATCTCAAACGACTTTTTATAGACTATCACCAAACTGAAGACTGTGAGGTGTGGTTTGAATGATGCCCTAGGTGATTGACCCAAGAGGCAAGACAGCATTCCTTGGTTGTGATAATTGAAGCTACCCTGAGATAAACAGCAGCTTGTTTCTGATCCTTGTTCCTTCCAGCCTCAACACAGCCTATGCTTGGAGGACCAAAGCAAATAATCTGCTATCATGAGCCAAACTCTTCATTTATGGGAATTAATAAATCTAAAGAAGCGTCCCATCTCACAAGATAATAAGAATGATTAAAAGTAAAGTCAGACTCATCTGATCTTTTGTGGTGATGGGCAGGTACTTTCTATAATGATTGTGGAAATTTACCAAATGACTGTCCTCCGAAAAGGAACCTGTTGAAGGAAGAATGTTCTGTAGTGGGTAGGAAAGGCGGGTTGAGGCAACCTGTGGACCAATAGTGAGTGTGTAGACAAGGGGCTGGACAACCTGGATGCAGACGGTTCTGACATTAGCTATGACACTTTAGGCAAACCTTTCCCTTTTCTGGGTCTTGTTTGCTCTCATCGTTTGTAAATTGAAGATGAGATGTGTGGCCTGTCTTCAGAGCCTTCATGAAGAGCTGTAAAAGAACAAACACCAAGACAACAGCTACACACAAATATTAAGCAATGATAACCTATGACGGTTAAATGGGATTTGCAGATCCTGGCTGGGGCTGTAGATAAACTGAGATGGACAGAAGTGGCAGGGAGTGCTCAGATAGGTTGGAATAAATGAGAGGACGTTGCTTCTGCTTGTCTCGTTCCTTACAACAGAGTGGTATCATTATTCTGAGACCTCTCCAAGGCCAATCTCGTGGTCATAGGCACAGATCTCTCTGTACCCTCTGCACAGCTGTGATTGTAACATTTTATAAGCTGTTGCTTACAAAAGGATTTTACTGGAAAACAAACTATTTTTGGCTCTCAGGTCCTTAAATATAGCTCAAGCATTGACCTTCACTAATTCACACATCAGTGTTGTTCAGCTTTTTTATACGAGAATCCTAAAAGTAAGCCATTTGGGGGTTTGCGTGACAAGAAGGTAAGTCCAGGTTGGGTATATAACCTGCTTAAATTTGCTACCTACCATGTGTTCTCCGTGTGGTAGAAACCTTTGGGGACAGTGTCTCCTATCAGAATCCTGTGACTGACAAGATCACAGCACGACTCCAGCCAGCGGAATCATTCCTTGTTGTCATATTGACGTTGCAGTCATCTTGTGTTTTTCTATGCTAATGGTGTGGAGAAGAAACTAACAAAATGTAAAAAGAGTAAATAACAAAGTAACAGTCTATGAATGGCTTCCTTAGCAGTGAAGGTCCTGGCCTAGAAAGTTTCTGAATTTTGGCATCACCTGCCTGTTTGTTTCACATAGTTCTATGCCCAGACCCAGTCTCCTTATATTGTTGTTAGTAACAATTATATCGAATATTAAGTGGGTGAAGAGACCCCATCCAAGTTTCTACATTAATTTCTGTTTTCAAATTTCTGTTTTTAGATATCCTGAAATCTTTTGATCAACACAAAAACCTCGTGCTTCAACCTATCCTTAATTCTTTTGGACACTCCTTTTTCACTTTCCTGTTACTTGTTAGAGAATCACTATCTTCTAAGTATTCCCACTAGACAGCCAAAAATATTTTGACAAGCTTTCTGAGGTTTGTACTATAAAAATTATAGATATTAGGGGATTTTAAAATAAATTTAGAGACTGTGGTTTTTCAAGCTACACATACTCCTAATTCTAAAACACCATGATGCAATAACCCTCCCCCTACCTCCATTAAGAATAATTTATCTACATGGAAGGCCAAGTGGATGTTGAAGGGCTTTTCTAAATTTCTTCTGCCTAATTTGACCTCATAGAATAACCTGCCTCACTAGAAAGAATTATTTATAAAGAAATGTCTCTATAGCTTGTTGGTCTACACAGACTTTGCTCAAATCTTGAATCTCCTATTGTGTCTGGAATTGGTGGGTTCTTGGTCTCACTGACTTCAAGAATGAAGCCGCGGACCCTCGTGGTGAGTGTTACAGCTCTTAAGGTGGCGCGTCTGGAGTTTGTTCCTTCTGATGTTCGGATGTGTTCAGAGTTTCTTCCTTCTGGTGGGTTCGTGGTCTTGCTGGCTCAGGAGTGAAGCTGCAGACCTTCGCGGTGAGTGTTACAGCACATAAAGGCAGTGTGGACCCAAAGAGTGAGCAGCAGCAGGATTTATTGCAAAGAGCGAAAAAACAAACCTTCCACAGTGTGGAAGGGGACCCCAGCGGGTTGCCACTGCTGGCTCCGGCAGCCTGCTTTTATTCTCTTATCCGGCCCCACGCACATCCTGCTGATTGGTAGAGCCGAGTGGTCTGTTTTGACAGGGCGCTGATTGGTGCGTTTACAATCTCCGAGCTAGACACAAAGGTTCTCCTCCCCACTAGATTAGCTAGACAGAGTTTCCACACAAACGTTCTCCAAGGCCCCACCAGAGTAGCTAGATACAGAGTGTCGATTGGTGCATTCACAAACCCTGAGCTAGACACAGGGTGCTGATTGGTGTGTTTACAGACCTTGAGCTAGATACAGAGTGCCGATTGGTGTATTTACAATCCCCGAGCTAGACATAAAACTTCTCCACCTCCCCACCAGACTCAGGAGCCCAGCTGGCTTCACCCAGTGGATACCGCACCAGGCCTGCAGGTGGAGCTGCCTGCCAGTCCCGTGCGGTGGGCCCGCACTCCTCAGCCCTTGGGTGGTCGATGGGACTGGGCGCCGTGGAGCAGGGCGCGGCGCTCGTCAGGGAGGCTCGGGCGGCACAGGAGCCCAGGAGGGTTGGGGGAGGCTCGGGCATGGCGGGCTGCAGGTCCCGAGCCCTGCCCCGCGGGAAGGCAGCTAAGGCCGGGCGAGAAATTGAGCGCAGCGCCGGTGGGCCGGCACTGCTGGGGGACCCGGCACACCCTCCGCAGCCGCTGGCCCGGGTGCTAAGCCCCTCATGGCCCGGGGTCGGCAGGGCCGGCTGGCCACTCCGAGTGCGGGGCCCGCCGAGCCCACACCCACCCGGAACTCGCGCTGGCCCGCAAGCACCGCGCGCAGCCCCGGTTCCCGCCCGCGCCTCTCCCTCCACACCTGCCCGCAAGCTGAGGGAGCCGGCTCCGACCTTGGCCAGCCCAGAAGGGGGCTCCTACAGTGCGGCGGTGGGCTGAAGGGACCTTCAAATGCCGCCAAAGTGGGAGCCCAGGCAGAGGAGGCGCCGAGAGCGAGCGAGGGCTGTGAGGACTGCCAGCACGCTGTCACCTCTCACTATGGTGGGTAGGCACTTGTGGAGCTTCATTCTAGTGAAATGGGGGTGAACATGAAGGGAGAAATCAGCTCTAGAAAATAGGGGTTCTAAATACACATACACACACATCTTTATATAAAAGCATAGTGTGGTATTAGGTTAGTTTAAAAAAAATAAGAACTTCTGTTCTGCACCTGTGTTTCAGGGTATGATTAGAGCAGCTTCGATTGGTGACCTATCTACCACTACTGGCCATGTGACTTTATTCTGGTTTCTTTTTCTCTCTACTTCAGTTTCCCAAGGGCTATGTGAGTGTGTTGGATTTTGAATACCCACCTTAGGGGATACCACGATGTGCTGGTGGTTGGGCTCCAGATCCCTCATCTTTCACTCAATGGGGCAGCTCTAGGATTATTTGCCTTATGAACTAGAATTTCCTCTAGGAAGTTATTTGAAAAAAAAAAGTGTCACTGTTTTAAGTATTAAAAAGCATGAGATAAGATTATCTCTAAAGGCCTTTCTAGCTTTCTAAGGGTCAGTAATTCTAGAAAGCAAATGCTAATGTGTTGGGGAGTGAAGGATGAGTGGAAAACACTTCAATTCTTAATTGTTCACTCAACAATATTTATTGAGCACTGAGGCTCAACAAACCATGAAAAACTAAAAAAAAAAAAAAAAAAAAAAAACAAAAAACCACTTTCCAGCTTCCTGGAGTTTTTAGTCTAGTGAAATGCGGATGAACATGGGGGAGAACATCTACCCTAGATGCTCAGATATAAAAACTAGCAGTTATATAAAAATTCCATAATTTAAAAGTCGAAAACAAATATTGAAATCTATTTTCACATAGATCAGCCCACATTGGCACAGTAAATTAAGGTTTCTCAAGCTTGGTACTGTTGACATTTTGGGGCCAGATAATTCCTTGTTATGGGAGGCTCCCCTGAGTATTATAGGACCCCTTTGCAGCATCTCTTGCCTCGCTCACTACATGCCAGTAGAATCCTGCACCTCCAGTTTTGACAAACAAAAATATCTCCAGACATTGCCATATGTCCTCTGGGGAGCAAAACTGCCTCTGGTTAAGAACCACTGTAGTAAATAATTATACCTTACCTATTATTTTTTAGGGGTATGGATAAATTTTATCTTACCTGTTATTTCCTTGGGGATACAGACAATTATGTCTAGCTAAAAGTAACAATGACCATTTAATGTTGGTTGTATTACATTTTTAAGAGACGAAGTGCCGATGAGGCTTTCCATAGTTCTTCATTCATCACTTTTATGTTTGTAACTATTGAAGTTCTTGCTCAACCAGCTAATCAACCAGCATTTCCAATGATTCTGGTTACACTCTTCAAGATGTAGCTTTTTTCTTAAGGAACTGACAGTGTATCCAGGAAGATATTGATTGTGTAGGTAGAAGTATAGTGAGTAGCAAAGGGAATATACTGAAAGGGTTAAATGAATGACCAGATAATAGTTGTCATAGACATTGAGTGTAGGGTGAAATCTTGGGCTGGAATATTTAGGGAAGGCTTTGAAGGATAGTAGCTTAAAACCATGGAGACAATTGGAAAAGTGTTATAGAATGAAGGAAAAAAAGAGAGAATAAGACATGGAAAGACTACGCATGGGAAAGAGGGACAAGAAATAGAAGTAATCATATTATTTCATTCATTGAGGTCTGAAAATGGTTCTTGAACTGTAGTTTGAACTCAGGAAACATAGCTACAGCAGATTGGAGTGGAGATGGAACTTCACTTCCGATTTTAACTTTTGTCAGCCTGGGAAATATATAAAGCAGCTTGACAGTATTTGAGATTCAAATGTTAGTTGTCATTGAAATGACTTCACTACTAAATAAGTTTCATGTATGAACGCTGTTCTACCTTGTTATTTTTGGTTGAATTCATTAAGAAACATTATCAAGTCGTTAGCAACCACTAATTTTCAAAGCCAATCAAGGTTTATTAATAGCCACTAAGGGAAATTCTTTTCATTCTGATAAATTTCAATCTCAGCCAGTGTCCCAAAATGTCACACACACAAAAAAATGTTTGCCATTGTTATGTTATTGGCCTTCCGTGTGGCTGGGCAATTAAGAATATTCCACTTCTTTTCTCAACAAAAATATTCAGAACTGCCAATAGTTAAGTATACAAGAGCATATGAAGTTGACTGTTGATGTGACTGGTTCATAACACATAATCAAATACGTTGCTCAGAGTACTTGTTGATGAATAGCACAATGAATAACAATAGGATTAAGCAGCACATCTTCATACATTTTGGTAAATTTATCCAACTAAAATGTCGTTCTGCTGCACCCATATTTTTATCATTATTAGTTGTCACACAGTTTTGCAGATTCCACTTCAGATTGTACAGAATTAGTGTTTTTCTCAGTTTCTTTGAAAATGTTCTCACCCATAATTGTTCCACATACACTACTAGAGGCCAGTTCTTTAGTCACATCAAACTCCGCATTGATTCCTCAAATAAACATAACTGAGCAATATTAATAATACCTGTGAACTCATCAAGAGCCAAGGAAAAACACTTAAAATTATTTGTCTTGTTTTTAAAGTGACTATTGATTTTGCTTCTGGCTTCATTTTGTCTTCTGTTAATATCCCTCTTTCTTAGCCTTAAAATTTCATATTAAAATTTGTTTACAGGTTGACCATTCTGGGAACTATTTACTAGTTACCTAGAGTTTCATTTCAGGTTAAATAAGACTTTTTTTAAACTTGAGAAATCTTTCTTGAGTTATAGTTTTAAATATTTGTTTTACAGCAATGTTTGACTTTTTCCTTCTGGAAATCTGTTAATACTCATATCCTATTTCCTTTGCCTGTCTTTTATTTCTGTCATTGTCTTAAAATCGTTCTTTTTCCTATTCTGTGTTTTATTTTATTTTTATTTATTACCATTTACAATCATTTTCTTATTGAGATTTCTTTGTTTATTTTTATCTTGCTTCCAATTTGCTCTTTTCTTTTTTAGAAAAAGAGATGTCAAACTCATAGTACATTTGCAAGTACAATGCAAAGACTTTTATTTTTCTGAATATTTTAAGAGTATTGTATTAGTCTGTTCTCATGCTGTTATAAAAAACCACCCAAGACGGATAATTTGTAAAGGAAAGGGGTTTAATTGACTCACGGTTCTGCATGGTTGGGGAGGCCTCAGAAAACTTACAATCATGGCAGATGGGGAAGCAAACACATCCTTCTTCACATGGTGGCAGGAGAGACAAGTGCCATCAGGGGACATGCCTGATGCTTATAAAATCATCAGATCTCTTGAGACTCACTTGTTATCAGAAGAACAGCATAGGGGGAGAGCAGGAACCACCCCCCATGATCTATGATCTAATCACCTCCCATGAAACCCCTCTCCCAACATGTGGGGATCACAATTTGGATTATAATTCAAGATGAGATTTGGATGGGGACGCAGAGCCAGCCCATATCAAGTACATATCAAATACATTGTACATACAATGTCCCATCACCACCGAATACTTATTTCCCATTAACAGGAAAATTTCCTGCATAACCACGGTAGAACTGTCGAAATTAGAGAATTGACATGGGTATGTTGTTATTATCTAATCCTCAGACTCCATTCAAATTTGGTCAGTTTTTCTAATGCTGTCTTTTATAGCAAAAAGATCCAGTTCAGATTCTCACATTGCGTTTAGTTGTCACATTTTTTCAGTCTGCTGTCTAGCACCTTTTCTCAGTCTTTCCTTAACTTTAGGACCTTGACCCTTCTGAAGATTACCAGCTAGTTATTTTTTAGAATGTCTCTCAATTTAGACTTGTTGGTTTTTCCTACATGTTTAGGATTAGTTTTACATCATTGGCAGTAAAAACATTATCTAGATGCTGAGTTTTTAATGCATTCCATCCAGTGGTACATTATTTAGATTTTTTTTTCTACTCAGTTAAGAAGTTGTCTGCCTGTTTCTCCATTGTGAAGCTTATTTTTTATTTTTATTTTTGCAAAGTGTTTTGTAAGGAGGTACTTTCAAACTGTAAATATCCTGCTCTTCATCGTATTATTACTTAATCCGCTTATTTAAATTAGGATAGACTTATGCATTTTTTAATTTAAAAGTTTATAATCCATTATTATTATAGTTTATTTTGATGATCAAATTGTCCCAGATTTGTCCAGTGGGAATTTCCTAAAGATGGCTTCTATGTCCTCTTGAATTGATCCCCATCACTCTTTGAACACTTCCTTATTTTCATGCACAACAAGATGTTCTAGACTTATCTTCTTTGGTATTTTCCTTGCCTTGGCCCAGGTCTGCAATCATTCATTCCTCCAATCATTCATTTATTTTTATTTTATTTGTGGTAGAGAATGGTCTATAGAAACTAAAAACCGGTGCTAGGTATGCTAATTGCCATTAGTGTGTCACTTCTCTCAGGTCCTCTCAGTTGAGAGAACTACAGTGCGCGCGCACACACACACACACACACACACACACACACACACACCAGTATTTATTTCTATATCCATTTACAATTTGAAAATAATGAGGTCACCCCAATACCCCAACTGTAATCTACCTTTGAAGGGTTCATTTTAGTTTCCTTCATTTTCATTTTATTTTTCATGGTGTATGTTTATTTTCTGAGAAAACTGGCCTTGATATATTTATGTATTTGATCAATCTCTCTGTGTGTAACTAATCTCCTATTCTTTCTGCCACCTCTTTGCCACCCAACCCGCAGTGCGGATCCCCTCTCATCCTACTTGATCTCTAACATGGCCCCTGGGCTGCTGCCCTCCCCCTTGACACTCTCCTTACCTGGTAATTGACCTTCTCTGGGGTAAATGCCCACTCCCCCAACCCCCCAACAAACATGCATCATTCACATAAATGCCTACTACACTTGGCCTTGTCTAATAATTTTTGGACTGAATTGTTTGAGGAGAGGGACATTTTTTCTTTCTTAATTATTTTCAGAGATCTCTGAGTTCTTGTTTCATTTCTTCCTAGAAATATAATTTCTAACTTTTCACTTCTGAGATTTTCTATCTTTGATCTGTGCTATTTCTTCAAAGGTTCAATCATTTTCTTCATGTGTTATAGTTCATTTTCATCTGCTTTATGACCACATTTTTCTGTGTTACAGTCAGATATGATAGGGCTTATTTTAATATTTTTCTTGTAACTTGTGTTTAAAGGGTTCAATTGAATTCACTTTTTGTTTCTCATGTTTAAATAAGGTGAATTTTTCTGGGCTATAAAAAGGAGTTTCCTATTGGGTGGAAGAAAGGAAGTAGGGTTTCTTTCCCAGCTTCAGAGCTCAGTAACTCTTCTCTGTTATCACCATGAAAAACTTAAAACATGGCCTCTCTGTGTGGCCAAGTTAGACCCAGTAACATTTCCTGCCTCTAGCTTTGTGTGCTCCAGGCTCAACCTGTTTGGGCCTTGGTTAGTGCTCTCTGCTTTAGACTTTGTTTTGCTGAGAGTACTTCCTTCCTTGAATCTGCCTCCTCAAAGACTTTCCTCCCCTAACTATGGAGCCTTCTCTCTCTTCTTTACCATCAGTGGCCCTCTCCTCTGCTCAATGTGATTTTTGTTTCCAGTATTTTTTTTTTCCCGCAAAATGGGACTTTATCCTTCTGGAAGAGAATACGTGTTGATTATATAATTTTCAAAGGCCCCGACTTACTGCAGCACTTTTTAATCTATTCGTATTTACAATTCTCACTCTGTGAGGGTCTTTGTTTAACGAATATTTTCCAGAACAACCCATACTGGTTTTCAATTTGAATGGTGTTTTCTCTTCTTGTGGACAAGCATTCATTGATATTTTTTAGTTTCAATAGCTTTTAGGGTACAGTAGTGAACTTCCACTATTCAACAGTTATTTCATACAGGTTCTGCTGCTGTTGATGGCTTGATGACAACTGGTTTTCAGGAGAATATTGTTGAAGATGTTCATGTCTTTTCCCCCCTGTATTGATGGATGTCTTCTTTTCAGAAAGTTTTGGTAAAATTTAAAACTACATCATTCTGTGCCGACCCACAGCAAGTGCTCCTGGTTTTTCAATGAAGTGAATTCTTCCTGGGCTAGTTATTAGCAACAGGAGAGTGTGGAAGGGCCAGGAATTCTCTCTGCCTCAGAATGAAGTCCCACATGAAGCAGGGTTTGTGATTGTAAGCGTTAAGTCCTATTCATGTTGGCTAAGAAAAATTAGCAATCGCAGAGCTTTTTGGCCATCACAGATTTTCTCCATCCTTCCACTTGGTAGCAGATGTGGCATCTCAGAAGCTTGCTTTCTCTTGCTCCTTTCTTCATTTGTCCTCAATTCTTTGGCTTCTTTCTGGTGTTAAAAGCAGCTCATTGAAGATCCCAGGTGCTGCTTCCTCATCTCCAAACAAAAGGTCATTGCTTTTGCCCTTCTTAATGTGCCTAATATTTTGGAGGCAACTGAAGCCAGCTGCTGCTACTCGAGATCTGTAGTGGGTGTGGTCCCTCCCCACCCACCTTCCCCGGGTCCAATTTTCACCACCCTTGACAGCTCTTCTTCAAATATATATGACTTAGGGGCAGGGGTGTTTCCTAGTTTTGTCTTGAAGAAATAAGTTTTGTTTATTTTCACTTCAATTGTTGCTTTCAATTAATCACTAAAAGAAGTGAGCAAAGATCATTTTACTTCCCCATCTTTACTCACATCTTGTCTTTTCATGTAGAAATGTATTGAGTTTTTTTAAAATATAAAAATTACCAATTTTTTTCATTTGTGATTACTGATTTTAAAACTATTCTTAGAAATGCCTTTGATGTTATAAATATTCATATATTTTTGTTTCATTTTGTACATTTTAATAATACTTAATTCCTTAATCCTGCTGGAGTTTGTTTTTGTGTAAGGTTTAACTTAGATGTCTAATTTACCTATTTTTAGAAATGATTAGCCAGTTTTCCCCCCAACCATTTGTTTATATCTGTCCTCTCTCCACTGGTATGCAATGTTACAGAATGTACTGAATTCTAATATAGACTTTCTGTAGCATCTGTAATCATCTGTCATTCTGTTTCTGCTTCAAATCCATAGTGGTTTAATTATTGTGTCTTGAATATATGTTTTATTGTATGAAATAATAAGTTTATCTCATCTCTTTTATATTTTTCCTAAATTTATTTTAGCTATTCCAGATATTTTTGAGTTATTTTGTTAAATTGATTAATTGATATTTTTATACCATTGAGGTCCCTTTCAGAAACATGAATTCATTTCATGTCAATATATCAGTAGATGTTCTAGTTTTCTTCATGATTCCCATTACTGCAAATGTGATTTCCACTCTTATTCCATTGTATATTTTCTGAATAGTTAAACGGCTATAGAAAAAATTTAGTATAGGCTGGGAATGGTGGCTCATGCCTGTAATCCCGGCACTTTGGGAGGCTGAGTGTGGCTCTCTTGAGCCCAGAAGTCTGAGATCAGCCTGGGCATCATGGTGAAACCCCGACTCTACAAAAAAATACAAAAATTAGCTGGGCATGGTGGTGTGCGCCTGTAGTCGCAGCTACTGGGGAGCCTGAGGTGGCAGGATCACTTGAACCCAGGAGGTCGAGGCTGCAGCAATCTGTGATTGTGCTACTGCACTCCAGCCTGAGTGACACAGCGAGACCCTGTCTCAAAGAAAAAAATTAGTATCAAGGTAAGGCTGGCTTTGTGAATTTAACTGAAAAGATGGCCATCAAAAATTAATTTTAAGGATTTAAATGTTAAGAATTATCTGTGTCTTAATTATTTAAACGAATTTCTATTAAAACCAACTAGGACTGATGCCATGTTGTGGGAGGCTTGCATTTGCATTTTTAAAAAGAGTTTTTAATAGTATTTTTTAGGTCATAAGAGAGACAAAACCATCTACTTAATTCAGTTGTTTAATAAACATCATGTGTCAACACTGCGCAGTGTTGGGGACACTGAGGTAAGACATATTCTTTGCTCCTCAGCTTCTCAGGAATTTATTTTAATGGATTAAACTAGCAAATATTCCAATGTTAAATAATGATTAAACTGGCAGAATAACCTGAGTTTAAGTTCTTTCGACAAATCTTTCATTTGATATTATCACTACTTAAACTAATTCTGGTAGGATGAGTGCTATAATCTTCAGATGAATTATTGATTAGCTTTCTATTTGAGTCCCCGTCATAACTTCTAAAGCAGCATTTTTCAATCGTATCTCTATCCTAACCCAGCCTTCCCAAGGGATATTATGCAATACTATTAATGCCAGTGATTTCACTGGGTTAGTGTTAGAATAGTTTAAAGAAACTGCATGTTGGTTACCCACTACCCACCTTACACATGTGAATTATCTTTCTAGAGTTTATAATACTCAACAAATCCCTCACATATGCTTACTCTTTTGTTATGTGTAAGATGAAGTCACAAATAACAATTTTTCACTTGCTTATCATAATCTTTTCCCTAACTGTCCCATAATTAGGGCAAAGATTATATTTTCCATTTTACAATTGACTGACAAGGCTGAGGCTTAAATAAAATGACATGGATTCCAGCCTCCTCACTTTAAATGCTAGGTCTTTCCTCTGGACTAAGCTAAGGGCAGTGTCGCTTTGAATCTCTTTAAAGAGCTATGAAGAAGGTAGCTTTTAATTTACATAGCTGCTACTACAGGTAGTGCTGATCTGGGTGCTTGGTGTCTAAATTTCCTTTTCAGTTATCTTATAGCTAGATAATTCTTTTCTTCTTCTATGCCCTATAGTGGTTCCTAGCGTTTCTTTATAAAGATGAGCTTGAAAGAGCTATGTGACAGCCTTCCAACTCAGTATTTGGGAACTGACAGAAATTATAGAAGTTGCTTCTTTATGAAGACATCTCATCTTATCTTGCTAACTTTCCACCTTTGCTCAGTTTTATACCAATTTGTTATTCAGAACCAACTGTAATTTTTTTATATTGTATAAGAGAGAGAAGGTATAGACTGTGAAATGAGAATAGTAAGGAAAAATTACTGAGATATAATTTTCTCTTCTATTTTATATTTCATAATGAAAGGAGAACTATAAAATTATTTTAGACCTTTGAGATTATAGTCTTTAAGTGAGTGAGATAATACTTCCAAGAGTAAGCATATAGTTATGGGCAGATAATGAAAATACAGTTCCTATATAGTGTTTTCAGACAGTCTTTATTGTGAAATATGCCATTAAGTGAAATACATACAAATGTAAATATGCAGCTTCACGTTAACAAATTTTTGTAAATGTGAACACCCATTTAACCACCACTGAGGTCAAGAAACAGAACTTATCCAGCACCCTCAGCCCATCTATGCTTCTTCCCAATTCCAACCTTCTTTTCCCCTAATAAATATAACTGTGTCCAATTTTATGATAATCTCTTCTTTTTCTTTTCTTTATGTTTTTTCTGTAGCCCTCTGCATTTTTAGGTGATTAGTTTGACTGTGTTTTAACATTTTGTATAAATGGAATCATTTTTTCATGTTTGGTTTCTCTCACTCAATTTTATGTTTGTGAGATTCACCTATGGTGTTTCAGGAAGCAGTAGTTTGTTAACTTCCAATGCTGTCTGATATTCCACTATATAAACATGCCACTATTTATTTAACTATTTGCTGTTGATGGATATTTAACTCGTCCCCAGTATTTACTTATTAATAATACTATTGTGGATATTTTCATCCATGTCTCCTAGTACTCATACCTTCAAACCTTTTGGACATAAAACCAAAGTAGATTGTTACTTAAAAATGTTTCAAATATTTTCTCCCACTCTGTGACTTGCCTTTTCATTCTCTTTCATATTAAAATGAAATTAAGACCTCTGCTTATGTTTTGAAAAGCAGAGGTCTTAATTTTGTTTTAATATAAAGTATATCAATCTTTTCACACTGTTTATGTATCCCAGAACTTAAAGTAAAATAAAATAAATAAATAACAAATTAAAGAAATTTCTTCCTAACTTGATAGTTGAAGTCATTCTTCTATATTATCTTTTAAAAGCTTTATGATTTTTCTAATTCGAATTTATGTCTACAATCCATCTGGGGACATTAGGGTTGTTTCCAGCTTTGGGCTATTTTTGGCAGTATTTTATGGTTAGGAAGAATGCTGACATGCACATTTCGCACACTTTTTTGTTAGACATATGCAGTTGTTCCTTTTAGGTATATACCTAGAAATAGAATTTTTGACTCGGAGGATAGTAGATCATTCCAGGTATCTAAAGTGTTGTATCACTTTATACTTCCACCATGAATGTATGAGATTTCCAGTTGTCTCACATTCTTACCAACACATTGTGTTGATAGTTTTTTTTTTTTTTTTCTAATTTGTAGTCACTTTGGTGGGTACATACAGGTGTTTCATTATAGTTTTAAATTGCATTTTCTTTTTTTTTTGAAATGGAGTCTCACTCTGTCACCAGGCTGGTGTGCAGTGGTGCCATCTCAGCTCACTGCAATCTCCACCTACTGGGTTCAAGCGATTCTCCTGCCTCAGCCTCCTGAGTAGCTGGGACTACTCAGTCCTGAGACTGCTACTACATGGTGCACACCACCACGCCCAGCTCATTTTTGTATTTTTAGTAGAGATGGGATTTCAGCATGTTGGCCAGAATGGTCTCTATGTCTTGACCTCATGATCCACCTGCCTTGGCCTCCCAAAATGCTTGGATTACAGGCGTGAGCCACCACACCCGGTCTTAATTTGCATTTTCTAATAACCAATGGTGTTTAATAGATTGTCTTACACTTACTGGATATTTTTATATCTTTGTTGGTAAATTGCCTGTTCAAGTTATTGCCCATTTTTGAAATTGTGTTATTTTGTCTTTCTTTATTAATATGTAATTGTTCTCTATATATTTCGGAAACAAGTCCTTTATCTAAAATGTATTTTAAACATCTTTCTCTGCCTATTCTTTCTATCCTCTTAATGATGTATTTGATGAACAGAAGCTTTTAAAGTCCATAAGTTCTCGGCCAGACACAGTGGCTCATGCCTGTAATCTCAGCACTTTGGGAGGCCAAGGCGGCGGATCATGAGGTCAGGAGATCAAGACCATCCTGGCTAACACAGTGAAACCCCATCTCTTCTAAAAACACAAAAAGTTAGCCAGGTGTGGTGGCAGGTGCCTGTAGTCCCAGCTACTCAGGAGGCAAGCTAGTTACTTCCTAGATCAAAAGCAAGCTAGTTACTTCCTAGATACAATGGGGGTAGGAGAATGGCGTGCATTCGGGAGGTGGAGCTTGCAGTAAGCCGAGATCGTGCCACTGCACTCCAGCCTGGGCGACAGAGCGAGACTCCATCTCAAAAAAAAAAAAAAAAGGCCACAAGTTCTCTCGTCTTTTATGATAATTGTTACTTGTGTTCTGTTAAAATTTCTTTACCTGACAAATATGTCTTGAAATTATTCTCGTTTGTTTTTTCTAAAAGCTTTATTGTTTTACCTTTTACTATTTAGATTTATAATCTATCTTAAGTTAAATTTTTATTATAATCTACCTTAAATTAAATTTTTGTATGATGTGAGGTTTGGGATTAAGGTTGTTTTTCTTTTCTATATGGATGTCCAATTGACCTAGTACAATTTATTAAAAGATCATCTTATCCTCTCTGAATTGCTGAGGTACCTTTGTTAAAAACTAAATGACCACACACAAACATACACACAAACACACACACTCATGAACACTTTATTGTGTTTTATGTTTAATGTCTCTCTGCTTATGTCAATGCCACACTTTTAATTACTGTGTCTTTAAAGTCCTGAACTCTAGGGGTGTAAGTCCTTTCTCAAGACAGTCTTGGCTATTGTAGGTTTTGTGTGTGTGTTCATATAAATTTCAGAATCAGTTTTTATCAATATTCACAGATACACAAAGCATGCCAGCACTGATTGTGATGGTGTTAAATCTATAGATTAACTTGGGGAGTGGAACATTTAATAATTTGTAGAAAAGATGCAATCAAAAGATGCAATCTTCCAATTACAATTGGGAAATTTTATCTTCCAATCTATGAACATAGTCTAGTTCTTCATTTATAAGGTCGTCTTTAATTTCTTTCAGATATATTTTATAGTTTTAAGTTAGAAATGTTGCACAAATTTTATTAGACTTAAAAGATATTAGACTTTTTAATGATACTGTTCATATATATATACATATATATACATATATACATATATATACATATATACATACATATATAAATACATATATATGTGTGTATATATATATGTATATATATATATATAAAATTTTCTTTTTGAGATGGAGTCTCACTCTGTCACCCAGGCTAGAGTGCATGGTGTGATCTCAGCTCATTGCAACCTGGGTTCAAGTGATTCTCCTGCCTCAGCCTCCCAAGTAGCTGGGATTACAGGCATGAGCCAATATGCCCAGCTAATTTTTTCATGTTTTTAAAAAAATCTAATTGTGTTAGTCCATTTTGATGCTGCTGATGAAGACATACTTGAGACAGGGAAGAAAAAGATATTTAATTGGACTTACAGTTCCACATGGCTGGAGAGGTCTCAGAATCATGGTGGGAGATGAAAGGCACTTCTTACATGGTAGTGGCAAGAGAAAATAAGGATGAAGCAAAAGTGGAAACCCATGATAAACCCATCAGATCTCATGAGACTTATTCACTATCATGAGAATAGTACAGGAAAAACTGGCCCCCATGATTCAATTACCTCCCCCTGGGTCCCTCCCCCAACATGTGAGAATTCTGGGAGACATAATTCAAGTTGAGATTTGGGTAGGGACACAGCCAAACCATATCATTCTGTTCCTGGCCCCTCCAAATATCATATCCTCACATTTCAAAACCAATCACGCCTTCCCAACAGTCCCCCAAAGTCTTAACTCATTTCAGCATTAACCCAAAAGTCCACAGTCCAAAGTGTCATCTGAGACAAGGCAAGTCCCTCCTGCCTATGAGCCTATAAAACCAAAAGCAAGCTAATTACTTCCTAGATGCAATGGGGGTACAGGTATTGGGTAAACACAACCATTCCAAATGGGAGAAATTTGCCAAAACAAAGGGGTTACAGGGCCCATGGAAGTCCAAAATCCAGCAGGGCAGTCAAATGTTAAAGCTCCAAAATGATCTCCTCTGACTCCAGGTCTCACATCCAGGTTACGCTGATGCAAAAGGTGCATTCCCATGGTCTTTGGCAGCTCCACCCCTGTGGCTCCTGGCTATTTTCATGAGCTAGTGTTGAGTGTCTGCAGCTTTTCCAGGTGCATGGTGCAAGCTGTCAGTGGGTCTACCGTTCTGGGAGTTGGAGGGTAAAGGCTTTCTTCTCACACCTCCACTAGGCAGTGCCCAAGTAGGGACTCTGTGTGGGGGCTCCAACCCCACATTTCCCTTCCACATTGCCCTAGCAGAAGTTCTCCATGAGGGCCCTGCTCCTGCAGTAAACTTTTGCCTGGGCATCCAGGCATTTCCATGCATCTTCTGAAGTCTAGGTGGACGTTCCCAAACCTCAATTTTTGACTTCTGTGCACCTGCAGGCTCAATGCAACATGGAAGTTGCCAAGGCTTGGGGCTTCCACCAACTGAAGCCACAGCCCAAGCTCCACATTGACCCCTTTCAGCCATGGCTAAAGCAGCTGGGACACAGGGCACCAAGTCCCTAGATTGCACACAAGACGGGGACCCTGGGCCCAGCCCACAAAACCACTTTTTCCTACTGGGCCTCCAGGCGTGTGATGGAAGGGGCTGCCATGAAGGTCTCTGACATGGCCTGGAGACATTTTCCCCATGGTCTTGGGGATTAACATTAGGCTCTTTGCTACTTATGAAATTTCTGCAGCCATCTTGAATTTCTCCTCAAGAAATAGGTTTTTCTTTTTTGCTCTGTTTTCCTTTTAAAACTGAATGCTTTACAGCACCTAAGTCACCTTTTGAATGATTTGCTGCTTAGAAATTTCTTCCACCAGATATCCTAAATAATCTCTCTCAAGTTCAAAGTTCCACAAATCTCTAGGGCAGGGGCAAAATGCTCCCAGTCTCTTTGCTAAAAGATAACAAGAGTCACCTCTGCTCCAGTTCCCAACAAGTTCCTCATCTCCATCTGAGACCACCTCAGCCTGGACCTTATTGTTCATATCACTATCAGCATTTTTGTTAAAGCCATTCAATAAGTCTCTAGGAGGTTCCAAACGTTCCCACATTTTCCTGTCTTCTTCTGAGCCCTCCAAACTGTTCCAATGTTGGCCCGTTACCCAGTTCCAAAGTTGCTTTCACATTTTCGGGTATATTTTCAGCAACACCCCACTTCTGGTACCAATTTACTGTATTTGGTCCATTTTCACACTCCTGATAAAGACATACCCAAGACTGGAAAGAAAAAGAGGTTTAATTGGACTTACAGTTCCACATGGCTGTGGAGGCCTCAGAATCATGGTGGCAGGTGAAAGGCACTTCTTACATGACAGCAGCAAGAGAAAATGAGCAGGAAGCAAAAGCGGAAACCCATAATAAACCATCTGATCTCATGAGACTTATTCACTGTCACGAAAATAGCACAGGAAAAACCAGCCCCCAAGATTCAATTACCTTCCCCTTGGTCCTTCCAACAACATGTGGGAATTCTGGGAGATACAATTCAAGTTGAGATTTGGGTGGAGACGCAGCCAAACCGTATCACTAATTGTCCAGTTGCCATATTCTTATCATGTTTTTAGCTAAATCTTTTCCTTTGGGCTCTTTCTAATATACTGTTTATTATGAAATGATTTTGTCTTTTCCAGTATTTTCTAGGCTCATTTCATTTTTGTTTCACAATTATCCTGTTTCTTTGCATATTTCTCTTCTGTGTTTTAAAATTCCTAATTTGAAATACTTTCTCATACCTCCAAATTCTTGTTTGATTATTTTGAATTCACACTGGAGTGTTTTGTTACAGTTTCTTTGACTTTGTGATTGCTATTTTGGTAGATCCTTTTCATTGGCTAAATATTTTGATTCTTACTTCCTATTTTATTCCTACAGTAGCTTGTATTAATGTGGCCAGACAAACTCTTTTCATTTTAAAATTTCGTGGATTTTCCTCTCCAAGATATGACAATGTTTCAATGAAGGAGATGTGTGAAGTGTTCAGATGTTCAGAATAATATTATTATTATTTCTTATTTCAAGCATGATCTCTGATGTCAGTTCAGTAAAATGTAGTTTTATTAAAAATGGTATCCTTTGGGGACAAGAGGTAATATGAGTTCTGATTTTCTAATATTCTTATTGTAGTAGAACATAACATAATCTTGGATTTTACCTATGATTTCAGAATATGTTCTTCTTCTACATATGTTTTCTTCAGTGACTGCCACTTGTTCAAAATTTAGATATCAAATTTAGGAGTAAACCTTTTCCCAGGTATGGAATTTCAAATATTATAAAAACTTATGCTATGTATTTCTCTGTAGTTTTTATTGTGAATTTCTGGTGACATATAAATGTTTCTACTCTCTATTCTATTCCTTGGTTTTTGTTCCTTCTGTAACAGTTATTAAAAGATATTTATTTAAAGCACCTAGTCCCTATAATAGTAATATAGAAAATCTTTTGCATTGTACAGTAGTTCCTTTCATTAGAGACTTTGAGAGCACTTTATAGGCATTGTCTGGTGGAGAACATTTTTAGAAAGGATAAACAATTAAAATTCTTCTATATAAATTCATTGTGCTTTCCTAGGCTAACAGGAAAAGAAAAAGAAATAAATGTCTTAGGAAGACTGAAAGACTAATCTAGTGTTTTCTCATTTATGCTTCTTGATCAAGCATTTGGAGAAATTATTTGAAAATGTTGAAGACTAACCAGAAGGGAAATGTCCAGATAGTAAGGAAGCCCAAATGGATGTTAATTTATTTCAATACCTTCTACAGAGTCTGAGAGGCTTAGAGATTAAATCCATGAGCAGAGACGGTTTCAACCCTTAACCGTCTATTATATCCTTAACCTACTATTATATCCATCGCCTACAACTGTTCCCAGAGACAAACATCATTCTGTTCTCCTAGGTTCATGTATTACTGCCTGAATGCTTCTCTGGTGAGGTTTATGATATCACCAACCGCACAATGTCTGTGTTGGCCACGGTCCTCTTGGGGGCAGCAGAGCAGCAGTTGCTGTCTACTTGGCAGTTACTGAGGAGTCAGAGAAGTCCTGGAATTGAGGGAAGCTCCAGACTGAGAGGAAGACCAGAAGACAAGAGTGGAAGTGTTAGGATCAAGAAAAGATAAAAATGTATACAGCTATGTTCTGGAGGCAGATGTGAGCTGAAAGTTAAATACAAAGAGAAAGTAATATTTGCTTTCTCATCAAATGTTTCCTCAGTCCTTAATTTGGGACAGATCCTTGAGTGTTGTAATGAGGTCTCTGCCCAGTGTAATATTGAGACATATAAACAAGTGCCATGAACTAAGTGCAATGAAGATAAGCAACAGGTGCTGTGGGAATTCCAAAACAGGGACTGTAGGAGTGGGGAGGTGACAGATGGTGGAGGTGGCAATGGGGAGGACTTCATATGTGGATGACATTCATGGCAGGTCTTAGAGAATGACTTGCCAGAGAAAGAACAGGGAGACATTAGGGTATATACTGCACGCCTTGGGAATGGTGAGCTGTTCAGCTGAGCTGTAACATAACGTCCCTGTGTGGAAGTGGGGAAGACAAGGCAGTCAACTTTGCCAACTGTGCCTCTCCCCTCTAAGAAAATATCTCTTTTAATATACTCTGAGGACAAAGTCCATAAGCCCTCTTCATCAATACTCCTTATTTCCACGGCTCTTTGGGGTTCTTCCTTAAGAGAATGAAGAATATTTTGTTTTGCAGAAAATTGAGAAGTTTTATTGTTTGGTTAAAACCAGAAATCCCCAAGGGAGATATGAAATATGAGCCCTTACTCCGCTACAACATCGCAAGATAAGGACATGGGATAGGGAGAAGGGACTTTACCGGAAAGATAAAAAATGTCAACGTATCATTTAACCTTTGCTCATCGTTCTCCTTGGGTCCTCTTCGTGAGCTCTAGGCATCTCCAGACCCTCTGGACTTAAATTCTAAAGGATCCAGAATTTTTAGGCATCTTGGCACCTTGATCCTTTCCCTTCACTCAGCCTCAATGAATCAAAAAATACCCAGAAAAGCATAAACCTTACAAATCAATTAGGGGAGCGGTAGCACATATGCTATGAAAAAATTAGTGCAGTTTATCACTGATTAGCTTGTCTAATATTTGATGTGATGTGGGGCAGGGGTAGTAACATTGTTTTATTCTTGAGTTAGGACCCCAGACTTCCAGTGCCTAAGGAAAGGACCCCAGAACCTCTTCCCAATTCAACTTGAAACATTTTTAGACTAACATTAGTGTCTGGCACAGAATAGATAGTCAATAATAATTAGATGAACCCGTTAACCAATTGATTGGACTATATGAAACCAAAGGCGTTTATGAGGATTATTATCCCTGAGTTTGCTGCTCTGGCTCTTGCCTAAACAAATTTGAGACCAATGATACTTGTGAAAGAAAGTTATAGAGATGTGCTGACAAGTCACTGTATTCCCTAAAGCAAAGTTTTCCAACCAATGTGCTATTGTACAGTCTAATGCTTGTACTTTGAGAAACTGAACAATTCTGTGCTTGGAGTGGCAAGCAGGCTCTCCTTCAAATAGGGCTCCTAAGCCACTTACCTCAGGTCATAAATAGTCTCGTCTGAGACTCCTTAGAAGGCAGCATGATTAGAGAAGAATCTGAGGGTATGTTCCATGGTACCCACAAATTTTGAAGAATGAAAACTCCCATTCTCTGCTTTGGCAGCTCTGAGGTCTTGTTCAAGGAGATGTTCCTCCACCTGGATTTCTCCCTCAGCTGCCAATTGCTGAGTGCTTCTGCCAATTTTAGACAAGAGGTATGCAATGGTGAAGACATTCATATTCCAATTGATCAAAAGGCATGGCAGAATATCCAAAGTGCAGCCAGTTAGGGTTTGTAGGAGGCTGACTGTGGGGCTCTTGTGGTAGAGTTCTCAAACCCATCAGCCCTAATATCTGATACTTTTTTGTGACTGATTTACCCTTTTACTGGAGTCTGAGCTACCTCCAGTGTGACTGCTATAACAATGCAAGTACCATTTGCAGAATATGTTCAGACAATGCAAGTTAAGGTATTATCACCGTTTTGAAATACTTAATATAAAAAATGTTTTGCATTCAAACCCACTTACAAATCTTAGGAAAATGTACTATTTCATTTGTTAATGAAAGTTAGGAAAAGTTGTTAGATTCTTTAAATGTAATTTGAACTACAAATAGTCCCTGACTTACAATGTTTCAACATGATTCTTCAACTTCATGATAGCTGTATAGGGGTACTAAGTGCATTTTTGTTATTTTTGACCTATGATGCGTTTATCAGGATGTAGCCCCATTATAAGTCGAGGGGCATCTGTATTTTAAATATTTAGATGATTATAAAAATGTGGCTTTATCACCTACTTTTGGGAATGGTTTCTCATCAGTGATGACTATCAGGAATTTCGAGAGCTCATCATTAGAAAGTCTTGTCAGGAATTTTATGTGAATCATAAAATCTGAATTAAAAATTTTATGCTCATTGACAAAACTTTAACTTTCTTATCAATTTTTTTATAATTTTTTTTATTTTGCAGAAATGGGATCTCACGATGTTGCCCAGGCTAGTGTCAAACCCCTGGCCTCAAGTGATCCTCCCAGCTGTGCCTCCCAAAGTGCTGGGATTACAGGCATGAGCCACCATGCCCAGCCACAAATTTTTGAAAATATTTTATTTAGAAATTCTATCATGTCTAATATTTAATATTTTTCCTAATGTTTTATTTTACTTATAATTATATATTAAAAAGAAAAGCAAACTTTTTTCACCAGAGGATTTATGGAGTGTCCAAAATAACCTTCTATTTTCTGTCATGCAAATATTATTGCTTACTGTAAAGTACCATGATGTGCACATTCACCACTGCACCCCAGCCTAAAAAAAAGAACATGTTCTAAGTTTTTGAGACAAGTTAGGACACTTGCCTTAAAAAAAAGAACATGTTCTAAGTTTTTGAGACAAGTTAGGACACTTGCCTTGACTTTTTTTTTTTTGGCTTCCTATAGAGCTGCCTTCAGGTCTTATGATTTACTTCTTTAACATTTGGCTTATGAAAAGATTATAAATCTGCTGCATTTTTAGTGTTATAGATATTGTTTATTTAAATATCCAAATTGCATGTGATAGGAACCGTTTTGAATGTCTCACTGTCTTGGTGGACTTAGTGTGATCTGACATGAATTTCTTTTATCACCCACTGTGAACTCAGCAACCTGTTGAATTTCCTTTTTGCACTGGCTTCCAGAACAGTAGTTTAATTATCGATTGTGGTAACAATTATTGCTAAGACATATTAGAAATATTAAAGTTTGATATTAAAGTGGGATAAATTATGCAGACAAACAATCAAGAGTTATAATCCCCCATTCATTACAAAGAACTTGATGTTAAATGAAGATGAAAATCTTTATTGCCTAGATGCATCTACATATATGGAATTTTCCTCTTTTTTTTTCTTTTTGCTTTTCTTCCTAGTTTTAAGAATAATGTCTTTGCTGATATCCAGACATCACTCAGGCCTGATATAACTCTTGATGGGAATGTATACCACTCTCCTAAGCCCCATGCATATGAAAGTCAGGCAATTGAAGATCTGTACAAACCATGGTGCTAATTATGACACAGGAAAGCAACAAGGGTTGAAAATATCAGAATCTGACTTAGTATTGTTACTTACCATAGGAAAAAAAAGACCAAGCCCTGAAAAGTAAGAACATTAAAAATTTTACCTCCTGCTACAGTTAAAATGAAATAATTTTTAAGTGATTTTTATAAATGCAGTTCAAATTACACATCAAAGACATGCTAAACATGTCACACTGTCACGTTGTTTCTTCCACACAGTCCCTCACTATAGGACCATAAAAACATTTCCCAAATGATGGTGAGTGCTTTCTCTAGCTTGTCCTCAGAACCACTAACATCTCACATCTGTTTCCTTCTATATTGCATCAGATATATCTATCCTTTTCTGTGTGTTGTATTTATTAAAACACTCTTTCAGCCGGGCGCGGTGGCTCACGCCTGTGATCCCAGCACTTTGGGAGGCCAAGGCAGGTGGATCACCTGAGGTCAGAGTTCGAGACCAGCCTGGCCAACATGGTGAAACCCCCGTCTCTACTAAAAATACAAAAAATTACCTGGGTGTGGTGGCCAGCGCCTGTAATCCCAGCTACTCGGGAGGCTGAGGCAGGAGAATCGCTTGAACCCCGGGGGCAGAGGTTGCAGTGAGCCGAGATCGCGCCATTGCACTCCAGCCTGGGCAACAAGAGTGAAACTCCATCTCAAAAAAAAAAAAAAAAAAGAAAGAAAAAGAAAAAACAGTCTTTCATTTTTGAGAAGGGTTACAAATTGGTGAAGCTTATATAAATATAATTCTTAGGATTATATTTATTTTAGATAAGTGCACCACTGTTTTCTTCTGCTACTTTACTGCATTTTATCTTTTATATGCATTTACCTGGATTCCACTGTTAGGTTACATTCTCTTTGAGAACAGCACTTATATGTTGTTTAAAAAAAATCTAGCAACCAATGAGTTCCACATATTCTGATGAAAATAATAGGTGCCTATTCCCCTCAGCTCTATTTTGCCTAGTTGGAAACATGACTTTAAAAGAAGCTTGGGCAAATCAGTAGTCAGAGGTCTGGAAATCAGGAAAGTCCTGAGTTTTCAAGTCTAACTCTGGTGCTAATTTGCTCAGTTATTTTTGGTGGATTTTTTTCAGCATTGCTTTTCTTGTCTATAAAATTAAGGGATGTGGGCTAGCTAGATTTTCTCTAAAATTTCTGTCATTGTATAGTTCTGTAGAAATAAATTATTATAAACCTTAAACTATCTTTGATTTAGCCCTGATTAAAATGAAAATTGAAGTCTGAGGCTATAAGGTATTTTGTATTGTTTTGTTTTGTTTTTTAAAGCAGGAGCCTTGAGAGCCTGATAAGCTGTTGACACAAGTGCTTTTGAGAATAGCAGGTAGAGTAATTACTAGCTTATTTTTAAATTGACAAAGGAAAAGGTTAATAAATGTTTGCATATCTTCATTTACCACAAAATGTAAGTAAATCTGTACTTACTTGCATCTAATTATTAAGGAAATGGAGTTTGTATCTCAATTAGTTAACCAAAAGGGGAGATATACTTTCCTATCATGTTACAATTTTTATTTCAATAGCAGTTCCAATAGTTGTTGGCTTATATCCTTGAAATTATATTTATTATAATTACATGCATTTGAGAAAAATATTTTTTATAGAAAACTATCTAAAGTTATAAACTGTTCACCATGGGACGTTGTACATGCTTAGAAACTGTGATAATTAACCTGCTATGACCTCACCAATTTTGCTTTAATTAACTCAACCAGTATCAACACTGTAGTTTCTATTAAAATGAGAACACATATAAAATGCTCTTCTCAGTAAACAGTCATTTTACAAGTAAAAGAAATGTCTCTAAGTAAAACACAAGATCAAATATTAATTTTTTACAGCTGATACTAAGAAATCTAAGTTATCTCAATGTATTATTGAAAATTCAGCAACATAATGCTCTCTCTTTTTATGATAAAAAGTCACATAAAATATCTTTTTTATTATTATTTAAGTTTTAGGGTACATGTGCACAATGTGCAGGTTTGTTACATATGTATACATGTGCCATGTTGGTGTGCTGCACCCATCAACTCGTCATTTAGCATTAGGTATATCTCCCAATGCTATCCTTCCCCCCTCCCCCCACCCCACAACCGTCCCTGGTGTGTGATGTTCCCCTTCCTGTGTCCATGTGTTCTCATTGTTCAATTCCCACCTCTGAGTGAGAACATGTGGTGTTTGGTTTTTTGTCCTTGCGATAGTTTGCTGAGAATGATGGTTTCCAGCTTCATCCATGTCCCTACAAAGGACATGAACTCATCCTTTTTTATGGCTGCATAGTATTCCATGGTGTATATGTGCCACATTTTCTTAATCCAGTCCATCATTGTTGGACATTTGGGTTGGTTCCAAGTCTTTGCTATTGTGAATAGTGCCGCAATAAACATACGTGTGCAAGGTCACATAAAGTATCTTTAATAAATTTATTGCATTTCCAGGAAAGTAAAACCAATTTCATGTTTTGTTTATGTTAATTCAAAACAACTGATCAATACTCATGACATCAACCACCTGTCTCAACACTCAACCTCCAGGGAAAAAATATTGTTGTGACTCTTGGTGCCAGTGTTAGTCTTCTCATCTCCTCTGCACGCTATTCCAGCTGTTAGTTGGTGGCTACTCTAACCCACACAACTCAGGAAAAGGGTTAGGTATTATTGGAGAGTGTGGCTGTTTAGGTAACAGTAACAAGCACATACCCTCCTGTTGTCATGGGTTGCTAGTTTATCTCCAGTTGGGTAGAGGAAATGAGTTGAAAAAAGTAGGAGAAAGCTTAGGTAAACTGTGAAGGAGTATATGAAATATGTAGTTAAGAATTTTTCCACCATTGTCAATCATTGCAAATTAAAAATGTATTGCTCCAATGTAGTGATTACAATACACTGAATATATCTTAGAAAAGGTTAAATTGATAATAGTCTCCATAGCATACGGGCATATAAAATATGAGTAGAAATGTGTTTGGAGTCGAAATTCCAACCAGGCTGTCAATTTGACCACTTTAGCATTATCCCAAGCTCACTATAATCTTTCAATGATTCTAACACTCTGGAAAATAACTTTCCCCTTGATTGCAAATACCAGTTTTATATGCACAGAACCCAGAATTTACCGATGGAGTGAAAACTTACAGATGGTCTGCTGAGAGCTCCTTTCCTCATCAATTTACTTATCAAGAGAATTATTACATTAGTGACACATGATCCTAACCATTGACCCTAGTTGTTTGGTTCAGGAGTGGACACACTTAACTCAAGCTAGGTTAGAGTCACTTCTGTCTCAGATTTCTGATCTTCGAGCTAAGAACTGTGTTGGCATCTCTTGGTAGGCTGCAAGGTTAGCATGTAAAACATCATTGGTGTTGGCAGCTATGTCTCCCAAAGTGTAGAGAGGACTGTTATAGTAAGAGTAGAATGAAGCCATTCCTGGAGAGAAGCAGAGAAGAGAGGTTGGGGGGGGGGCGGGAATCCTGAAGACTCTCAAGTCCCTGATTCCAGCTGTTCCTGAAGCTTTCTATGGCTTTGTTATTCAAATATTTTATAAGATATTTCCGTATTCTCCCAATGTATTCCCATTTTGATTAAGCTAGCTGGAATTTTTGTATTTATATAAAACAAAATCTAACTAATATAGCTTTCTTTTATTAACAGTGTCTAATGGAGCTAGACTGAAATTCTGTGTTACCAGAAAGTGATACCACATAATATCCATGGTCTCTACAGAATGCGCTTCAGTCTGAAGTTGAGGGTTATGAAAGCTAGTCTACCAATAATTCCCTATGTATCAATAAATGTGTAATTTTGACTGTTCAGTTAACTCAGAATGGCAGATATGAACATTCAAACGTAAGAAGACATAAAGATATGAATGTGAATCTATGTGTGAAATCGTTGCATATCTCTTTAGGGGTGAAAAAATTAAGAAAAGTTTATATTTGAGGTAAAAGTTATCTTTGAAATCATCTAATTCATTCTCATGTCTTTTCCAGATGGATGAACTTAGGCAAGAATGAAGATTGGTTTATAGTAATTAATAATATTACTATGTTTTCTTGACTTGGGGATCAGTGTTCTCTGTGGAATACTTTGTGGATGGAAGAACATTAACTTGCTCTGTGAACTTTTCTCTCTAGGTCACAGTTTGTCCCTATAACCTGATTGAATCATACCAGACGGTAAATAAGATTCATTCTGGCTCTAATATTCTATGATTCAATAATTTTTGCTGCATAAAATTATTATACGATGTTTATACATCTATACTGAAATTCTTAACAAAGAGAAAGAAAAAATGAGAGGAGAAAAAGCTAGGCCAGAAGGACAAAAAACCCAGAAGTGACACAAATTCAGATGAAAATATAATCGATTTATTTGTTGGCAGTTGACAAATTGAATTATTAAAGTCTTTTTAGGAGCCATCTTGCCATTTACATCTGGCTTACAAATAAATTTTACTATTTAATTTTTTTAAAATTTTACTTTAAGTTCTGGGATACATGTGCAGAATGTGCAGGTTTGTTACATAGGTATACACTTGCCATGGTGGTTTGCTGCACCCATCAACCCATCATCTACGTTTTAATCCCTGATTGCATTAGGTCTTTGTCCTAATGCTCTCCCTCTCCTTACCCCCAACCCACCGACAGGCCCTGGTGTGTGATGTTCCCCTTCCTGTGTCCATGTGTTCTCATTGTTCAACTCCCACTTATGAGTGAGGACATGTGGTGTTTGGTTTTCTGTTCCTGTGTTAGTTTGCTGAGAATGATGGCTTCCAGCTTCATCCATGTTCCTGCAGAGGACATGAACTCATTCTTTTTTTATGGCTGCATAGTATTCCATGGTGCATATGTACCACGTTTTCTTTATCCAGTCTATCATTGATGGGCATTTGGGTTGGTTCCAAGTCTTTGCTATTGTAAATAGTGCTTCAGTAAACATACATGTGCATATGTCTTTATAGTAGAATGATTTATAATCCTTTGGGTATATACCCGGTAATTGGATTGCTGGGTCAAATGATATTTCTGGTTCTAGATCCTTGAGGAATCACCACACTATCTTCCACAATGGTTGAACTAATTTACACTCCCACAAACAGTGCAAAAGCGTTCCTATTTCTCCACAGCCTTGCCAGCATCTGTTGTTGCCTGACATTTTAATAATCGCCTTCTAAATGGCATAAGATGGTATCTCATTGTGGTTTTGATTTGCATTTCTCTAATGACCAGTGATGATGAGCCTTTTTTCATATGTTTGTTGGCTACATAAATGTCTTCTTTTGAGAAGTGTCTGTTCATATCCTTCACCCACTTTTTGATGGGGTTGTTTTTTTCTTATAAATTTGTTTAAGTTCCTTGTAGATTCTGGATATTAGACTTTTGTCAGATGAGTAGCTTGCGCTTGCAGAAATTTTCTCCCATTCTGTAGGTTGCCTTTTCACTCTGATTGTTTCTTTTGCTTTGCTGAAGTTCTTTAGTTTGATTAGATCCCATTTGTCAATTTTGACTTTTGTTTTAGTTGCTTTTGGTGTTTTAGTCATGAAGTCTTTGCCCATGCCTATATCCTAAATGATATTGCCTAGGTTTTCTTCTGGGGTTTTTATGGTTTTGGGTTTTACACTTAAGTTTTTAATCCATCTTGAGTTAGTTTTTGTATAAGGTGTTAGGAAGGGGTCCAGTTTCTGTTTTCTAAATATGGCTAGCCAGTTTTCCCAACACCATTTATTAAATGGAGAATCCTTTCCCCCTTGCATGTTTCTGTCAGGTTTGTTGAAGATCAGGTGGTTGTAGATGTGTGGTGTTATTTCTGAGGTCTCTATTCTGTTCCCTTGGTCTATATATCTGTTTTGGTACCAGTAGCATGCCGTTTTGGTTACTGTACCCTTGTAGTATAGTTTGAAGTCAGGTAGCGTGATGCCTCCAGCTTTGTTCTTTTTGCTTAGGATTGTCTTGGCTATATGGGCTCTTTTTTGGTTTCATATGAAATTTAAAGTAGGTTTTTTTCTAATTCTGCAAAGAAAGTCACTGGTAGCTTGATGGGAATAGCATTGAGTCTATACTTTGGGCAGAATGGCCGTTTTCACAATATTGATTCTTCCTGTCTGAACATGGAATTTTTTCCCATTTGTTTGTGTCCACTCTTATTTCCTTGAGCAGTGATCTGTAGTTCTCCTTGAAGAGGTCCTTCATGTCTTGTAAGTTCTATTCCTATGTATTTTATTCCCTTTGTAGCAATTGTGAATGGGAGTTCACTCATGATTTGGCTCTCTGTTTGTCTATTATTGATGTTTAGGAATGCTTGTGATTTTTGCATATTGATTTTTGTATCCTGAGACTTTGCTGAAGTTGCTTATCAGCTTAAGGAGTTTTTTGGCTGAGATGATGGGATTTTCTAAATATACAATCATGTCATCTGCAAACAGACAATTTGACTTCCTCTCTTTCTATTTGAATACCTTTATTTCTTTCTCTTGCCTGAATGCCCGGGCCAGAACTTCCAATACTATGTTGAATAGGAGTGGTGAGAGAGGGCATCCTTGTCTTGTGCCGGTGTTTAAAGGGAATGCTTCCAACTTTTGTCCATTCAGTATGACATTGACTATGGGTTTGTCACAAATAGCTCTTATTATTTTGAGATATGTTCCATCAATACCTAGTTTATTGAGAGGTTTTTTTTTTTTTTTTTTTTTTTTTTTTTTTTTTTTTTGACGGAGTCTCTTTCTGTCACCAGGCTGGAGTGCAGTGGAGCGATCTTGGCTCACTGCAACTTCTGCCTCCCCAGTTCAAGTGATTCTCCTGCCTCAGCCTCCCGAGTAGCTAGGACTACAAGCATGTGCGACCACACCCAGCTAATTTTTGTATTTTTTAGTAGAGACGGGGTTTCACCATGTTGGCCAGGATGGTCTCGATCTCCTGACCTCATGATCTGCCTGCCTGGCCTCCCAATGTGTTGGGATTACAGATGTGAGCCACCGTGCCGGCCCAAGAGTTTTTAGCATGAAGGGATGTTGAATTTTATTAAAGGCCTTTTCTGCATCTTTTGAATCTTTTGAGATAATCATGTGTTTTTTGTCATTGCTTCTGTTTATGTGATGGATTACATTTATTGATTTGGGTATGTTGAACCAGCCTTGCATCCTGGAGATGAAGATTTCTTGATCGTGGTGGATAAGCTTTTTGATATGCTGCTGGATTTGGTTTGCCAGTATTTTATTGAGGATTTTCACATTGATGATCATGAGGGATATTGGCCTGAAATTTTCTTTTTTTATTGTGTCTCTGCCAGGTTTTGGTATCAGGATGATGCTGGCCTCATAAAATGAGTTAGGGAGGAGTCTTTCTTTTTCTGTTATTTGGAGTAGTTTCAGAAGGAATGGTGTCAGCTCCTCTTTGTACCTCTGATAGAATTCGGCTGTGAATCCATCTGGTCTTGGGCTTTTTTTGCTTGGTAGGCTATTAATTACTGCCTCAATTTCAGAACTTGTTATTGATCTATTCAGGGATTCGACTTCTTCCTGGTTTAGTCTTGCAAAGGTGTATGTGTCCAGGAATTTATCCATTTCTTCTAAGTTTTCTAGTTTATTTGCGTAGAGGTGTTTATAGTATTCTCTGATGGTAGTTTGTATTTCTGTGGGATCAGTGGTGATATATCCCCTTTATCATTTTTATTGTGTCTATTTGATTCTTCTTTTTTTCTTCTTTATTAGTCTAGCTAGTGGTCCTTCTATGTAGTGAATCTTTTCAGAAAACCACCTCCTGGATTCATTGATTTTTTGAAGGGTTTTATGTGTCTCTATCTGCTTCAGTTCTGCTCTGATCTTCGTTACTTCTTGTCTTCTGCTATCTTTTGAATTTGTTTGCTCTTGCTTCTCTAGTTCTTTTAATTGTGATGTTAGGATGTTGATTTTAGATCTTTTCTACTTTCTATTGTGGACAGTTAGTGCTATAAATTTCACTCTTAACACTGCTTTAGCTGTGTCCCAGAGATTCTGGTACGTTGTCTCTTTGTTCTCATTGGTGTCAAAGAACTTCTTTGTTTCTGCCTTAATTTCCTTATTTACCCAGTAGCCATTCAGGAGCAGGCTGTTCAATTTTCATGTAGTTGTACAGTTTTGAGTGAGTTTCTTAATCCTGAGCTCTAATTTGATTGCACTGTGGCATGAGAGACTGTTATGATTTTTCTTTTGCATTTGTCGAGAAGTGTTTTACTTCCAATTAGGTGGACGATTTTAGAATACATGCTATGTGGTGCTAAGAAGAATGTATATGCTGTTGATTTGGGGTGGAGAGTTCTGTAGATGTCGATTAGGTCCGCTTGGTCCAGAGCTGAGTTCACGTCTTGAACACCCATGTTAATTTTCTGTCTCATTGAACTGTCTAATATTGACAGTGGGGTATTAAATTCTCCCACTATTATTGTGTGGGAGTCTAAGTATCTTTGTAGGTCTCTAAGAACTTGTTTCATGAATCTGGGTGCTCCTGTATTGGGTGCATATGTATTTAGGATAGTTAGTTTTTCTTGTTGCATTGATCCCTTTACCATTATGTAATGCCCTTTTTGTCTTTTTTGATCTTTGTTGGTTTAAAGTCTGTTTTATCAGAGACTAGGATTGCAACCCCTGCTTTTTTTGTTTTCCATTTTCTTGGTAAATATTCCTGCATCCCTTTATTTTGAGCCTATATATGTCCTTGCACATGAGATGGGTCTTCTGAATACAGCACACTGATGGGTCTTGACTCTTTATCCAATTTGCCAGTTTGTGTTTTTTAATTGAGGCATTTAGCCCGTTTACATTTAAGGTTAGTATTTTTGTGGGTGAATGTGATTCTGTCATCATGATGCTAGCTGGTTATTTTGCACATTAGTTGATGCAAGTTTCTTCATAGTGTCATTGGTCTTTATATTTTGGTGTGTTTTTGCAGTGGCTGGCACCAGTTTTTCCTTTCCATATTTAGTGCTTCCTTCAGGAGCTCTTGTAAGGCAGGCCTGGTGGTGAAAAAAATTCCTCAGCATTTGCTTGTCTGGAAAGGATTTTATTTTTCCTTTGCGTATGAAGCTTAGTTTGGCTGGATATGAAATTCTGGGTTGAAAATTCTTTTCTTTGAAAATGTTGAATATTGGCCCCTGCTCTCATCTGACTTGTAGGGTTTCTGCTGAGAGATCTGCTGTTAGTCTGATGGGCTTCCCTTTGTGGGTAACCTGACCTTTCTCACTGGCTGCCCTTAACATTTTTTCCTTCATTTCAACCTTGGTGAATCTGATAATTATATGTCTTGGGGTTGCTCTTCTTGAGGAGTATCTTTGTGGTGTTCTCTGTATTTCCTGAATTTGAATGTTGGCCTGTCTTGCTAGTTTGGGGAAGTTCTCCTTGGATAATATCCTGAAGTGTGTTTTCCAACTTGGTTCCATTCTCCCATCACTTTCAGGTATACCAATCTATCATAGGTTTGGTCTTTTCACATAGACCCATGTTTCTTGGAGGCTTTGTTCATTCCTTTTCGTTCCTTTTTTTTCTCTAATCTTGGCTTCATGCCTTATTTCAGTAAGTTGATCTTCAGTATCTGATATCCTTTCTTCTGCTTGATCGGTTTGGCTCTTGATACTTGTATATGCTTCCCGAAGTTCTTGTGCTGTGTTTTTAGCTCCATCAGGTCATTTATGTTCCTCTCTAAACTGGTTATTCTAGTTAGCAGTTCTTGTAACCTTTTATTAAGGTTCTTAGCTTCCTTGTATTGGGTTAGAACATGCTCCTTTAGCTCAGAGGAGTTTGTTTTTAATCCACCTTCTGAAGCCTACTTCTGTCAATTTATCAATCTCATTCTCTGTTCAATTTTGTGCCCTTGCTGGAGAGGAGATGTGGTCATTTGGAGAAGAGGCATTCTGGTTTTTGGAATTTTCAGCATTTTTGCACTGGTTTTTCCTTATCTTCGTGGATTTATCTACCTTTGATCTTTGAGGCTGTTGACCTTTGGGTGGGGTTTTTGTTGGGGGGTTGGAGGGGGCGTCCGTTATGTTGATGTTGTTGCTTTCTGTTTGTTAGTTTTTCTTCTAACAGTCAGGCCTCCTCTTCAGGTCTGCTGCAGTTTACTGGACGTCCACTCCAGACCCTGTTCGCCTGGGTATCACCAGTGGAGCCTGCAGAACAGCAAAGGTTGCTGCCTGCTCTTTCCTCTGGAGGCTTCGTCCCAGAGGGGCACTGGCCTGCAGCCAGCCGGAGTTCTCCTATATGAGGTGTCTGTTGACCCCTGTTGGGAGGTTTCTCCCAGTCAGGAGGCACAGGGGTCAGGGACCCACTTGAGGTGGCACTCTATCCCTTAGCAGAGCTGGTGAGCTGTGCTGGGAGAATTCCTCTTGTCAGAATCCGCTGCTCTCTTCAGAGCCAGCAGGCAGGAAAGATTAAATCCACTGAAGCTGTGCCCACAGCTGCCCCTTCCTCCAGGTGCTCTGTCCCAGGGAGATGGGGGTTTTGTCTGTAAGCCCCTACCTGGGGCTGTTACCTTTCCTTCAGAGATGGCCTGCCCAGTGACAAGGAATCTAGAGAAGCAGTCTGGCCACAGCCGCTTTTCCGTGCCCATACCTCCCAGCCTCCTTAGCCTCCTTAGCCTCCTTAGCACTATCAGGGGAAAACCGCCTACTAAAGCCTCGGTAATGGCGGACGCCCCTCCCCCGACCAAGCTCTATTGTCCCAGGTTGACTTCAGACTGCTGTACTGGCAGCAAGAATTTCAAACTAGTGGTTTCTTAGCTTGCTGGGCTCTGTGGGAGTGGGACCTGCTGAGCCCGATCACTTGGCTTCCTGGTTTCAGCCCCCTTTCCAGGGGAGTGAACCGTTCTGTCTTGCTGCAGTTCCATGTGCCACTGGGGTATGAAAAAATACTCCTGCAGCTAGCTTGGTGTCTGCCAAAACAGCCGCCCAGTTTTGTGATTGAAACCCAGGGCCCTGGTGGTGTAGGCACACGAGGGAATCTCTTGATCTATCTGCAGATGGCAAAAACCATTGGAAAAGCACAGTAACCTGGCCAGGTAGCACAGTCCCTCATGGCTTCCCTTGGCTGGGGGAGGGAGGTCCCCAGCTTCTTGTACTTCCTGGGTGAAGCGACACCCCACCCTGCTTCTGCTCTCCCTCCGTGGGTTGGACTCACAGCCTAACCAGTTCCAGTGAGATGAACTGGGAACCTCAGGTGGAAATGCAGAAATAACCCACCCTCTGCGTTGGTCTTGCTGGGAGCTGCAGGTGGAGCTGTTCCTATTCAGCCATCTTGGCCCCTTCTTACTATTTACTTTTTTACTTTTAGTCTAAGCACAATGTTTTTCAATTAAGAATACACCAGAATCAGATTCAGGACATAATTCCGTGAGGAACACTTACAACTTTGGCCTGGAGGTTAAAATGTGTTATATTTTAAAAGGCTTAGCTGTAATGATACTATCGAATTTATCGTATCTTAAAGCTAGTTACAGGGAGAATATTAACAATAACTTGTTTCTGGGTAATGTGGAAATTTCCATGACATGTTAAGATAGACAGATTCCAACACAGTTGTTTTATGGGAAGATATGGGCTTGAATCTAGGTGCCACTGCTTATTGTCTGTGCATTCTTGGCAAGTTAACCAAACCTTTCTAAGCTTCAACTTTTTTTGTTTTTTCTTTTTTTTGTAAAATGAAGATACTATTTACACCTAATTCAAAGAATTATTGTTTGTATTAAATGAGATAATGTGTGTAAAGGACTTACCATGGTGCTTTGCATGTAGTAAGTGTTCAGTAGCTGCTCCTTTTAGTAGGTCCTAATGAAGTACGGCACTTACACTGGAGATAACTCTGATAAAGCACTTTCAAGCAAGGCAGACTCCAGATTTCTGTTGGCATTCCCATAAATAAGTAATCTTATTAAATCACGGACATGAAACTTTAATGATGAATTGGAAAATTTCAATCCAAACATATTTTACATGATTCAAAGTGGTATTTAAGGCAGGGTGAGGTGACTACACCTGTAATCCCAGCATTTTGGGAGGCTGAGGCGGGTGGATCACTTGAGCTCAGGAGTTTGAGACCAGCCTGGGCAACATGGTGAAGCCCTGTCTCTACCAAAAATACAAAAAATTAGCCGGGTGTGGTGGCACATGCTTATGGTCCCAGCTACTTGGGAGGCTGAGGTGGGAAGATGGCTTGAGCCTGGAAAACAGAGATTGCAGTGAGCCTGAGCAATAGAACCAGAACTTGTCTCCAAAAAAAAAAAAAAAAAAAGTGGTATTTAATATTTATAGAGTTGTTTGTGGTTTACAATACTTTTACATATAAATAAAAGTGTGTGTATATATGTGCGTATATGTATAATTTTGAATTTTTTCCATCCACCAAATAACCATATTACTAACTCCATTCTTTTTAAATATTTTTTTATTTTAAATTTTTGTGGGTACAGAATTTTACTGGGTACATGAGATGTTTTGACACAGGCATGCAATACGTAATAATCACATCATGGAGAATTGAGTATCCATCCCCCAAGCATTTATCCTTTGTGTTATAAACAGCCCAATTATACTCTTTTAGTTCTTTTAAAATGTATAATAATTAAGTTACTATCGATTATAGTCACCCTGTTGTGCTATCAAATAATAGGTCCTATTCATTCTTCTAACTTTTTTGTGTGTGCTTATTAACCATCTTCCCCTCCCCCCACCACACTCCTTCTTCCCAGTTTCTGGTAACCATCCTTCTACCCTCTATGTTCATGAATCCAATTATTTTGATCTTTTAGATCCCACAAATAAGTGAGAACATGTGATGCTTGTCTTTCTGTGCCTGGCTTATTTCACTTAACAAAACAATCTCCAGCTCCATCCAAGTGGTTGCAAATTACAAGAGCTCATTCTTTTTTTGTGACAGAATAGTACTCCATTGTGTATGTGTACCATATTTTCTTTCTTTATTCATCTGTTGATGGATATTTAGGTTGCTTCAGAATCTTGGCTGTGGTAAACAGTGCTGCAGCAAACATGGGAGTGCAGGTATCTCTTCGATATACAGATTTCCTTTCTTGGGTATATACCCACTAGTGGGATTGCTGGATCATATGGTAGCTCTATTTTTAGTTTTTGCAGGAACCTCCAAACAGTTCTCCATAGTGGTTGTACTAATTTACATTCCCACAAACAGTGTACAAGGGTTCCCTTTTCTCCACATCCTCTCCAGCATTTGTTACTGCCTCTCTTTTGAATATAACCCATGTTAATTTACTCAGGTGAGATGATGTCTCATAGTTTTTATTTGCAGTTCTCTGATGACCAATGATGTCGAGTAACTTTTCATATGCCTGTTAACTCCATTCTTTAGATAAAGAAACTCTTGAGAGGTTTGATGTTTACATGGCTAATCACTGTTGGTACTGTCATTTAAAATCAGGACTTCTGACTAGTTCTGGCCCATTCTCTATTTAATTAATATGTATTGAGCATTTATTAGGAGCAAAGCACTATGATGGGCACTAAGAGAAATATATTGTAGTACGTACCTTTTTTCTTCTTTTGCTCACCTAGCACTTTCTTCTAGAACTGCCCCTTTGTAGGAGCTTCCTACAATTGTCTGAGAATTGCTGCTACCCACCAAACTCACAGGATAGGGTGACTGAGAGAGCTTCCACATCAGTCTCACCCCAGCTATCATAAGCAGCCAAAGGAACCACTTGATGCAAATATGGGAGATTCAGAAATCCTTTAATAGAATCTGCACCATGGTTCATGAAAGAGAGAGAGAGAATATGAATGTGTGTGTGTGTGTGTGTGTGTACTTCGGGTAAAGTGGACACTTGATACCTTCAAATCCAATTTGAATCTTTCCCTGAGAATTTGGCCTTAGAAAAGAAAGTTATCTGTATAAATGGACTGAAATATGTAACACTTGGGAAATTGCAGCAGTTACATTCTGCTACTGAGGAGAGGAGAAAGCCAGTCTGAGGTGAGACGGAAAAGCCAAATCAATATTCAGAAGCCCCTCAAGATATGAAATAGAAAACATCTGGAAAGTGACTTTTTCATTGTTCTTGAGCCCAGCTGCAGTCTTTCTTAGAGTTTCATGATCCACTCCAATGTTCTTATGTTTTTCGGTTGTTAAAGTAGTAGAATTATATTTTTATTCTATGTAACAAAGATTTATAATTAATAAAAAATCAAGATTAAAGACATAAGATTTCTGCTTCTATGAGCAAGAAACAACATTATATTTCCCAAATGACTAATATTAGGCTAATTGCCTAAGGAGTATTATAGAGCTTGTTGAAATGCATATTCTAGGGCTTCTTCACCTGCAGGTTCTGGTATAGGATGGCTGCAATTTAGCCTAGACATCTGTGTTTTTAATAAGCTTTTCAAATGAGTCTGATGCACAGCAAGAATTGGAAATCTCTGGCAGAAATACTTCTGTAAATATTTTGAGAACATGGCAATGTGACTTCAAGATGGTGCAGGCCATGTCAATTATGATACATCAGCTGTATTTCAGTTTGGGTACTGATTAGATGGTAAAATTAAACATTTCCTCTTGTGGAGCTGTTATCCCTTTGATGTGTTAGGAGGAGGAGAAGAGAGAAAGCAATGTAGTCAGACTTGGGGATTGGGGGCGGGGGTGGAAGAACAAGGAAGAACTGAAGATCAGAACTGGGGATGGTATGTAGGAAACTGATAATACATTGTGGGTGGGCAGAGGGAATGGACTCATCCCTCAACTTGACCCAGAAACAATTACAGTGTTAGGCATCCCTGGCCAGAAGCAAGGGGAAAAGCAAAAGCAGTACAAAAGCTCTTTTGATGGAAGAAGCCACTGTCATGCCTCTGTGTCTCTTTTCTTGACCTGGCCACTGCTGCGAAGGTAGTTTATAGATGTAGTGGATGATATTTACCTAATCTTTGCCTCCTGACCTCATGGGATATTGCCAGATGGGTATCTTGGGAAGAATTATTTCCTATCCCAAAATTGGCCCTGCTGTAATTTGCATTTACCTCAGCACCTTTCAGAAGTGCAGGCCATCAGCAATGCATGAAGCAGCTCTAACCACAATCAAGTTACAAGGACACTCATGAGAAGCTTTTCCATCTGAGAAACACAAAGAGCTCCATTGATTTTGCTAACACCCCGGAGGTAAGTGTGAGAGCAACACAAATTGTCTTGGCGGTAGAGTGAGGAGAAGGGATAGCATAAATGATTCTTGAGTTGTTTCCTAGCCTTGCCAAAAAGCATTACTGGGAAATGGAAACTGGATGTGATTAAATTCCCAGCAGCTTAGAAAGTCATTGCAGGAGGGAAACTTAGAGATTATCCAGGGCATAACTCTTTTTACAATTGAGAAACTGAGCTCCTGAGAAAGGAAGTGATGTGTCCCAATTCACACTTCTAGTTGGTGGCAGAGAGTCAAGTTTAGAATTTAGGCCTCCCAACATCGAGCTTAGTGTTCAATAAATGTAACCATGAGTAAGACTTCTGACTGTGTATAGGGCATGCAAATATAGCCAGTCCGAGAAACAGAATTCTAACAACAATTGTATTAGTCAGTTCAGGCTGCTATAACAGAATACCACAGAGTGGATGGTTTAAACAACAGAAACTTATTTCCCACAGTTCTGGAGGCTACAAAGTCCAGGAGCAAAGTGCTTGCTGGTGCCTGCTGAAGGCTTTCTTCCTGACTTGCAGATGGTAAAATGTGACTTTACATGGTGTGTGCGAGGGAGAGGGAGAGGGAGAGCGCATGCACACATGCACACAAGTACACTCTGGTATCTCTTCTTATAAGGACACTAATATCATCAGATCAGGAACCCACCTTTGTGACCTCATTACCTAAACCTAAATTACCACCTTATAGGCCTTATGTCCAAATACAGTCAAATCAGTGGTTAGGGCCTTAACATATGACTTTGGGTGGGATACACAATTCAGTCCATAGCGATGACCATCTTCAGACTAGCCTGCATCCTCTGTCCTTGGTCACATTGATGATTTAAATGGAGGCAGGTACTTGCTCTCACTGCCAGCAACAAAGACACTGCTTTTGAAAGGAAGAGGATGCAAAAATACTTATCAATAGTGACTTTTTTTTTTTTAATTTCACTTTAAGTTCTGGGATACATGTGCAGAATGTGCAGGTTTGTTACATAGGTATACATGTGCCATGGTGGTTTGCTGAACCTATCAACCCGTCATCTAGGTTTTAAGCCCTGCATGCATTAGATATTTGTCCTAATGTTCTCCCTCCCCTTGCCTCCCACCCCCAGCAGGCTCTGGTGTGTGATGTTCCCCTCCCTGTGTCCATGTGTTCTCATTGTTCAACTCCCACTTATGAGTGAGAACAAGCGAGACTTTGTTTTTTTTTTTTTGAGATGGGGTCTCACTCTGTCACCCAAGTTGGAGTGCAGTGGCATGATCTTGGCTCACTGTAACCTCCACGTCCCAGGCACAAGTGATCCTCCCACCTCAGCCTCCTGAGTAGCTGGGACCACAGGCACGCACTATGATGACTGGCTAATTTTTTGTAATTAATGACACTTTTCGTCTATTTTATTTTCTGTGGTGTTTCATTATGAAGACATAAAGGGCCATAGGAAAAATCGGCTCAATACAAGTCAACTAATATTGATGACTCTCTTAGAGGGACAAATGGAGTCACCAATGGTAGTTGATTAGATTGAGTAGTTATACAAATTGAGTAGTTGTGTGGGTGTACAATCCCTTATCTATAATTCTGAAGTCCAAAATGCTCTGAAATATGATAGTTTTTCTGTAAATGTATAGCAAATGCTCTTGGTCACAAAACTTGTCCTGTCCTTATATGAAGTTGTTTATACTCTTTACTTAGCCCACTTATTAAGAATATTCATATGTTTTCTGAAGAAACACGAAAGCTTTCAATATTGGGTTCCTGCCCCAGATCCTGCTGGGGTGTTTTTAATATAGTAAGACAGACACTGAACTATCTTTCTGAAATACAAGTAAGTATAAATTCTTGAAACACATATGGCCTCAAAAGGTTTTAGACAAGAAAGTTTGAGTTTGTACTAAAGTGAATATTCTATTTCAAGGAGTAAAATTACATATGATATGGTAGCAGGAAAAAAGCAAGGTTAAACAGAAGTGATTGTTCTGTCAAAGTCGCTAGGAAATGAGCCAATGTCGAGGCCATCAGAACAGAGCAGGTGAGAAGGCAACTGAGCCGCGTGGAATTGCCGATCCTACTTCTGCCTGGCTTCAGCGACTGCAAGTGGAGTCACGGAATTCTTCAAATAAAATGTTTAAGTCAGAATCTTTGGATTTGTATTATATAGGGTTCTGAGGAGGAGAGCCATGGTGATTTGGAAAATAATATGCAGTCGTTTTTAGGAATTTGGCAATGCTGTCTCATTGAGCAGACTGACCTCCAGGGAGAAGCTGACTTTCTGCCGTTTCCTTCTTATGCATGTTTCCTTGTTAGAAATTAGCCAAATCATTTGACCTGCATGACTACTTTTTTTTTTTTTCATTTAAGTGGGAATGGTGCAAAGTGCTTACTTTACCATATTCTAATCAAGACATAAAATATCATTTTAAAAAGACTTATAGTCCCACATAGGCCTTGTTCACAAGGTCACATGACAGTACAGCCTCTGGTTCTGGTAGAGTGACTTCAGAGCTGGGTGTTAAGAGTCATGGCTCTAGTTTCAACCTCAATATTAATTTCTAGTGCAACCTTGAGCATGTCATTTTCGCCTCTCTAGACCTGTTTCCTCACCTAGAAATCAGAAGGCTTGGAAATAATGATCTGTGAGGTCTGTTTTGTGATTAATGCTGAACCTACGAGTAACAAGATGATAATGATTATACTAGGACCTTCTAGTTTGTTTAGCAATTTATAGTTTATAGACAACTTCACATCCATTAAGTCACAACAAATTTGTTAATATATGCTAAGCAAATATAACCCTGGAAGTATTATATAGTAAATGCTGAGCAAGAATAATACTGAGATGTATTATTCTCTTCCAAAAAAGTTAAGAGAAAAGGGACACTACCTGACCAACATTACAGAGCAAACTATTGTCCAATTACAAAAGGGACAGACCATGTCTCCTGACTTCTTAACTACCCGCCCCCCTACCCCCCGTGATATTTCTACTCCGGCTCACTACCTCACTAGTTTCAGAGATGGCTTGCTTAATGGCGTTCCCCGAGAAAACACACTTGTGACCCTAGTGTGGACCTAAGTGAATAGCTTTTTTTTTTTTTACATTTAACAGTATTGTACTTGGACAGAAAATAGCCAGATCATGTTTTAGCTTCTGTTAGTCAAGACACTAGTTTTCCTTAATGGCTGAGAAGATACTGGCAGATGCAATTTTTAAAATGTATATGAAAGAAAGACAAAAGAGGGAGTCACTTCCCTCCCTGGGCCCCACTTTCCCCATCTGTAAATGAACCTGGCATTCAAGGGCCTCTGCCTTCTGCCTCTGACCTTGCCCAACACCACTCCTCTCTATACTCTAAGAACCCAGTTCCTCTATTACCCACGAGGCAATCTCACGCTGCTTTTGCTTCCGTAACTCTCTCTTCTCTTATTTATCTTCACTATTCCAATTCTCCTTTTTTTCTTAGGCCAGCACAAACTCCCTGAAGCATTCTTTGAATTCCTCTGCTGGAAGCTAGTGTTTCTTCCTCACCTGCCAGTCACCTGTTTGACTTGTGGATGATGCTTAACAATTTCTGCCTCATATTATAGTCATTTGTTACCTGTTCCATGTCCTTATCTCACGAATTCTCGATGACAGACACATCTCTGTGTCCTGTTTCTTCTCCAGGAGTGTGGACCTCATGAAGTACAAATTTAATAAATATCTGAACAAACAAAGAATGGATGATATTTGAGGTCCTTTCTAACACAGACTCTGATTTTAGAGTAACATCATACTCATCCTGAAGCAAGTTTAATAAGAATTCATTTAGAAGTAAGATATTTTTTGTGAAGTTATTATAGAGACTTGTCTAATCAAAAACTAAATGATCTTGGCTGAATTCTCCTTCTTTAAAAATAAATCCATTCAAAGGTAGATGCCATGTAGTAGAAAAAAATGCTACCTGGGTTTTGTTGTTGTTGTTGTTGTTTTTTGGTGTGGGAAAAGTGAAATTTGAGATACTGTTCTATTTCTTACTAGCTGTGTGACTTTAGACAAGTCATGCCACTTTTCTGAGTCCATTTTTTTTTTAACCAGTAGGTAACGATGTCTTCACGGGGTTGGGAAGAGTTAAGGTGATAATGGATGTGAAAGTGTGTTGCAAACTAAAAAGAACCCCACACATAAAAAGGGTTATTATTATCATTACCATTATTATTATTTAAAAAGTCATTTCCACGGGATGTAAATGCAGTCTCTACAGCTCCTCTGGGCCTCTAAGTGTACAGACTGTATTTACAAGTTTATAAAACTCCCAATATGGAGTTGAATAACAGCCAATCAATGCTAATGGCGCTGGATCCTTATTTACAGAGTGCCTTTCCTCTGAGATCAAGAGCTGTTAATAGCTAAATCCATCAAATTTTAATTAATTTCCATTCCGTAGATTGTCTGACAAATATTTACTGCATGCCTACTATGTGTCAGGCAGCATTTTAGACAGTGGGTGGGTCATTAATATTGCTAATGATCTACTTACCTTATGGAAAACTGCAGATCCACAGTTACGTGCAGACAAAGTCAGGGGCAGGGCTACAGTCCAGAGCTTAAGGTGGGTATGGCCTACATTGTGCTAAGGATAATTGTTTCATGAGCTGAAGCTGGGCAACTTTAGTAAGAGGTGACTCTTTGGTAAGAGTCACATATCTTCATCCACAGAAAACTGGGCCTTTTCCTTATTTGCCCATAATGAGAAATGATGTCAGTGGCTGAAAGACACATTGTGTGACCCAAGTTGCAGGGGTTAGGTTTCTGGGCTGCTTTGGTCAGCTCAGTTTCAGACACTTTGGAATGGAAAGTTTAAATGTAGCTATTGATTGAGAGAGATTTGAGTCTGTCCCAGAGCTGACTCCTGCAGAGCCCTGCACCTGGCTGCAAACGCATTTCACAGAGGTGCAATTTCACTTTTATCATCTAGAGAGAACAGATTCTTTTCCAATTGGAGGATTTTTAAGATGCTGGGATCAAAGCTCCACTTTCATGTGCGGTTGACTCAGAGAACTAGGAGTCAGCAGGGATATGGTGAGCCAGCCCAAGATGCTACAGGGAGCATTAGGCATGTTTCCCATTTCCAGCCATGTAGCCTCTCAGACATTTTCTACCAAAGGGTTCCGAGTAGGCCTCCACAGCTTTGGAATATCCCTAGCAGTTTTATCTAGAACAGGAAAATCACATAGATAATTTGCATCATCTTGAATGGCAGGATTGTTGACAGTCATTTGACACATTTGCTGAAGGATTATCACTTTTTCTCACTTTTGAGAAAGACCCAGAGATGACAGGGCCACCTTCCTCCAAAAGCTCACTGTGGGGTGATTAAGAATATAAATAATTAGAAGGGACCACTCATTCAACAAATAGTCCTTGATAGAGTTTTTTTTTTTCCCCAAATCACACTCTTCAAAGAGTAAAAAGGATTTGATGAAACCAGAAAGTGTTTTTTTGTTTTTTTTTCTATAATGTGGTATTTGAGATACTTTTGTAGCTGACTATGAAAAATTTTGAAGAAAAACAAAAACAAAAACAAAAAACAAAGATGGTTTGAGAATGGGTGCATTCCAGAGGTGAGCAATGTCCTAGAGGCAGGGAAATGGAAACTGACCCTGGGCACCAAGCATCGTCCTGTGAGGGCAGATTGGAGAGTACAGCAGGCAAGAACTGGATAAAGAGTTTCTGTGGGTCACTTTGGCAGCCAGCTTAACTCTGTGAAGGCAATACTGTGAAACTTTGAGAGTGCTATTTGGAGGCATTTAAATGATTGACCATGTACAACCTCACTCGCTGGTCTACAGTTATCTCACAATTCACCCAGTCTCTTATATGTAATAGATTTCTCTGAGCAACTGGAAAGCCAGCCTCTCCTCAGATAACAAGTGCCATTGTAATTCGTGATGAATAAAGGCTCAGAATGACCTACCACCGTGATTTTTCCAAACACTTGGGATTTTGTGTGTATGTCATTGATAATTGTCTTGCTTTTGGCAAAGTGGCCCTAGAAAAGTAGTAACCATACTGAATCATTCATTTTATTTTGATAAATAATATATTGGCTTGGATGAGAAAAAAAAAACTCTCCTATCTTCATTTTGATTATATTCCTTTGGATCACAGGCTCACCTTTCTCCCTGATTTAAATATAAGAAGCCATCCTGTTTTTGGAAGTAGTTACTTCTTGTTCTTCACTTGATTGTTATAATATTCTTAGTGATTTGGGAATTAGTGTATTTACGTAGTTATCTAAGTAAGTGTTCATCAAAGTATAAACTCACTTCTAGGTTTAAGTGTGAATTCTATTTAAAATTCTTTAAGATATTCATCAAATATATACGTGTGTGTGTAGGTGTGTGTGTGTGTGTGTGTGTATGTGTGTATTTATGACATTACTCTTTTAAAAATACCCAGAGCCCCCAACTGACAACAGTGAGAGAAGTGTAGAATAGTGGATAGGACCTGGCCCTGGAATGCAAGAGGAATGGATTCTCCAGGGACTCTGCCATTTACCAGCTTTGTGATGCAGGGCAAGCCACATACCTGTTCTGAGCCTTGATTTTCCTTCAAGACAAATTCTCACCCTTTCCTGCCTCCAACTAATACAGTAATTCCCCTTTATCTGTGAAGGATATGATCCAAGACCCCTAGTGGGTGCCTGACACTGCAGATAGTCCTCAATGCTATATATGCCATGTCTTTTTGATTTGAAAACAGAGATGACTACCAAGTGACTAACAAGCAGGTAGTGTATACAGCATGGATATGCTGGCCAAAGGGAAGATTCATGTTCTGGGCAGGATGGAGTGGGACAGTAGGAGATTTCAACACACTACTCAGAGCTGGGTGCAATTTAAAACTTATGAATTGTTTATTTCTGGAATTTTGCATTTAATATTTTTGGACCCTGGTTGACTGTGGGTAACTAAAACCCTGGAAACTGAAACCATGGATAAGGGAGGAACTACTGTATTTATTGAATGCGAGGTGTGGCACACTTCTCATACAATTATGGATGCTTCTCTTACAAAGCTTGAAGCCTAAAAGGGTGGGGGGCAAAGGTTCTCCAGCAATTTAAGTCATCATGCTCAAGAAATGCTCAAGGTTCTATGAGAGCCCAGGTTGAGCGCATCAAATCATACTGGAGGATATGAAAAAGCTTCCTAGAGGAGCTGACATTTGCACTAAAGTTTGAGTGAAGTAGAAAGAGAAAGGGGCACACTGTTTTTCCAAATAGGGAGAGCAGCATGGACGAACGCAGAGGCGCAACACAACTTGCTATATCTGGGGGAACCATGGGAGGATCTTGGTAGGAGGTAGGAGAGAGGATAAGAATGGGAAAGGTGGGATCTGGGGCTGCAGTGGTGAAGTCTCTTTTAGGCTCAGCTGGCAATACCATTGCTGCTAATAATAACTACCTTTTGTTGACTGAATTGAAAATACAAGTTAAGCTCATTTTTAGATTTCAAAGATTGATAAAATTAGCATTGCTGAGTGCCTAGCTTTTTACCAAATAGTCATTTCTAATATGCACTATACAATTTCTCAAATGTAAACAAGTATTAACCAGATCTGCTGACTTAACTGAGATCAATTAACAATGTCAAGAGCTAAAGGATTATGGAAATGTTGATGTCCTTTTGTGATATAAAATTTTACAACTGTTCATTTAAATATTCACCCCAGTGCTTTGATAAACTGACCCAAATCTTAGCATATTATCGAGATAATAAGGGTTTACTAGGTAGTATTTATCCTACTTTAGTTCTCTTGAGCATAGACGTTCAGTAGATTTTTTATTTCTTGGCACAATTTTATGAGCATTCAAATTAAAACTATTTTTCATGTTTAGTGTAGTAGTAACGTATGAAAAGCTAAACAGGAAAATAAAATAAAACCTTAAATCCAAAATTGCAATGAGAGAGAAGTGTTGAAATTCAATCCACCAATGATTACTGAATCCATCCACATGTTAAATTCAACCATTTTTTTTAAAGCTCTGTTTACTTGATTTGTTTAACCTTGTGAACTTAGGAATAATCATTTGCAAACTTGACAATAATACTGTCAGCCCTCCGTATCTATCGGTTCTACATCCATAGATTCAACCAACTATGGATAAAAAATATTTAAAAAAAGATTGCATTTGCAATGTTCACATGCAGTGAACATTGAATTTTTGTCTTATTATTCTCTAAACAATGCAGTAAGACAACTATTTACATTGTGTTAGGTATTATAAGTAATCTAGAGATAATAAAATAAGTGTACATAGGTTAAATGCAAATACTATACCATTTTATATCAAGGAGTTGAGCATCTGTGGATTTTGGTATCCAAAGGAGGCCCTGCAGCCAATACCCTATAGACACCAAGGTTCAACTGTATAGACAAAGGGCACAGTATATGGAGTAAGTGGTTAATAAACTGTACATATCACTTACCAGGCTTTGTGCCAAGCTCTCTCTTGACCTTACCTCCAGGGCAGAGCAGTTGGAAGAGGTGAGCCAACAGGATTTCTGTGGGAGCAGAGGCGCCAGGAGAGGTAGAGCTGGAAGGGCTGTTATCCTGAAGGTTCTTTAAGAACTCGTGGAATTGGGAGGAGCCAAGATGGCCGAATAGGAACAGCTCTGGTCTACAGCTCCCAGCGTGAGCGACGCAGAAGACGGGTGATTTCTGCATTTCCATCTGAGGTACCGGGTTCATCTCACTAGGGAGTGCCAGACAGTGGGCGCAGGCCAGTGGGTGCGTGCACCGGGCGCGAGCCGAAGCAGGGCGAGGCATTGCCTCACCTGGGAAGCGCAAGGGGTCAGGGAGTTCCCTTTCCGAGTCAAAGAAAGGGGTGACGGACGCACCTGGAAAATCGGGTCACTCCCACCCGAATATTGCGCTTTTCAGACTGGCTTAAAAAACGGCGCAGCACGAGACTATATCCCACACCTGGCTCGGAGGGTCCTACGCCCACGGAGTCTCGCTGATTGCTAGCACAGCAGTCTGAGATCAAACTGCAAGGCGGCAGCGAGGCTGGGGGAGGGGCGCCCGCCATTGCCGGGGCTTGTTTAGGTAAACAAAGCAGCCGGGAAGCTCGAACTGGGTGGAGCCCACCACAGCTCAAGGAGGCCTGCCTGCCTCTGTAGGCTCCACCTCTGGGGGCAGGGCACAGACAAACAAAAAGACAGCAGTAACCTCTGCAGACTTAAATGTCCCTGTCTGACAGCTTTGAAGAGAGCAGTGGTTCTCCCAGCACACAGCTGGAGATCTGAGAACGGGCAGACTGCCTCCTCAAGTGGGTCCCTGACCCCTGACCCCCGAGCAGCCTAACTGGGAGGCACCCCCCAGCAGGGGCACACTGACACCTCACACGGCAGGGTATTCCAACAGACCTGCAGCTGAGGGTGCTGTCTGTTAGAAGGAAAACTAACAAACAGAAAGGACATCCACACCGAAAACCCATCTGTACATCACCATCATCAAAGACCAAAAGTAGATGAAACCACAAAGATGGGGAAAAAACAGAACAGAAAAACTGGAAACTCTTAAAACGCAGAGCGCCTCTCCTCCTCCAAAGGAACGCAGTTCCTCACCAGCAACGGAACAAAGCTGGATGGAGAATGACTTTGACGAGCTGAGAGAAGAAGGCTTCAGACGATCAAATTACTCTGAGCTACAGGAGGACATTCAAACCAAAGGCAAAGAAGTTGAAAACTTTGAAAAAAATTTAGAAGAATGTATAACTAGAATAACCAATACAGAGAAGTGCTTAAAGGAGCTGATGGAGCTGAAAACCAAGGCTCGAGAACTACATGAAGAATGCAGAAGCCTCAGGAGCTGATGTGATCAACTGGAAGAAAGGGTATCAGCAATGGAAGATGAAATGAATGAAATGAAGCGAGAAGGGAAGGTTAGAGAAAAAAGAATAAAAAGAAATGAGCAAAGCCTCCAAGAAATATGGGGCTATGTGAAAAGACCAAATCTACGTCTGATTGGTGTACCTGAAAGTGATGGGGAGAATGGAACCAAGTTGGAAAACACTCTGCAGGATATTATCCAGGAGAACTTCCCCAATCTAGCAAGGCAGGCCAACGTTCAGATTCAGGAAATACAGAGAACGCCACAAAGATACTCCTCGAGAAGAGCAACTCCAAGACACATAATTGTCAGATTCACCAAAGTTGAAATGAAGGAAAAAATGTTAAGGGCAGCCAGAGAGAAAGGTCGGGTTACCCTCAAAGGGAAGCCCATTAGACTAACAGCGGATCTCTCGGCAGAAACCCTACAAGCCAGAAGAGAGTGGGGGCCAATATTCAACATTCTTAAAGAAAAGAATTTTCAACCCAGAATTTCATATCCAGCCAAACTAAGCTTCATAAGTGAAGGAGAAATAAAATACTTTACAGACAAGCAAATGCTGAGAGATTTTGTCACCACCAGGCCTGCCCTAAAAGAGCTCCTGAAGGAAGCGCTAAACATGGAAAGGAACAACCGGTACCAGCCGCTGCAAAATCATGCCAAAATGTAAAGACCATCGAGACTAGGAAGAAACTGCATCAACTAACGAGCAAAATCACCAGCTAACATCATAATGACAGGATCAAATTCACACATAACAATATTAACTTTAAATGTAAATGGACTAAATGCTTCAATTAAAAGACACAGACTGGCAAGTTGGATAAAGAGTCAAGACCCATCAGTGTGCTGTATTCAGGAAACCTATCTCACGTCCAGAGACACACATAGGCTCAAAATAAAAGGATGGAGGAAGATCTACCAAGCAAATGGAAAACAAAAAAAGGCAGGGGTTGCAATCCTAGTCTCTGATAAAACAGACTTTAAACCAACAAAGATCAAAAGAGACAAAGAAGGCCATTACATAATGGTAAAGGGATCAATTCAACAAGAGGAGCTAACTATCCTAAATATATATGCACCCAATACAGGAGCACCCAGATTCATAAAGCAAGTCCTGAGTGACCTACAAAGAGACTTAGACTCCCACACATTAATAATGGGAGACTTTAACACCCCACTGTCAACATTAGACAGATCAACGAGACAGAAAGTCAACAAGGATACCCAGGAATTGAACTCAGCTCTGTACCAAGCAGAACTAATAGACATCTACAGAACTCTCCACCCCAAATCAAAAGAATATACATTTTTTTCAGCACCACACCACACCTATTCCAAAATTGACCACATAGTTGGAAGTAAAGCTCTCCTCAGCAAATGTAAAAGAACAGAAATTATAACAAACTATCTCTCAGACCACAGTGCAATCAAACTAGAACTCAGGATTAAGAATCTCACTCAAAGCCGCCCAACTACATGGAAACTGAACAACCTGCTCCTGAATGACTACTGGGTACATAATGAAATGAAGGCAGAAATAAAGATGTTCTTTGAAACCAACGAGAACAAAGACACAACATACCAGAATCTCTGGGACGCATTCAAAGCAGTGTGTAGAGGGAAATTTATAGCACTAAATGCCCACAAGAGAAAGCAGGAAAGATCCAAAATTGATACCCTAACATCACAATTAAAAGAACTAGAAAAGCAAGAGCAAACACATTCAAAAGCTAGCAGAAGGCAAGAAATAACTAAAATCAGAGCAGAACTGAAGGAAATAGAGACACAAAAAACCATTCAAAAAATCAATGAATCCAGGAGCTGGTTTTTTGAAAGGATCAACAAAATTGATAGACCGCTAGCAAGACTAATAAAGAAAAAAAGAGAGAAGAATCAAATAGACACAATAAAAAATGATAAAGGGGATATCACCACCGATCCCACAGAAATACAAACTACCATCAGAGAATACTACAAACACCTCTATGCAAATAAACTAGAAAATCTAGAAGAAATGGATACATTCCTCGACACATACACTCTCCCAAGACTAAACCAGGAAGAAGTTGTATCTCTGAATAGACCAATAACAGGATCTGAAATTGGGGCAATAATCAATAGTTTACCAACCAAAAAGAGTCCAGGACCAGATGGATTCACAGCCGAATTCTACCAGAGGTACAAGGAGGAACTGGTACCATTCCTTCTGAAACTATTCCAATCAATAGAAAAAGAGGGAATCCTCCCTAACTCATTTTATGAGGCCAGCATCATTCTGATACCAAAGCTGGGCAGAGACACAACCAAAAAAGAGAATTTTAGACCAATATCCTTGATGAACATTGATGCAAAAATCCTCAATAAAATACTGGCAAACCGAATCCAGCAGCACATCAAAAAGCTTATCCACCATGATTAAGTGGGCTTCATCCCTGGGATGCAAGGCTGGTTCAATATACGCAAATCAATAAATGTAATCCAGCATATAAACAGAGCCAAAGACAAAAACCACATGATTATCTCAATAGATGCAGAAAAAGCCTTTGACAAAATTCAACAACCTTCATGCTAAAAACTCTCAACAAATTAGGTATTGATGGGACGTATTTCAAAATAATAAGAGCTATCTATGACAAACCCACAGCCAATATCATACTGAATGGGCAAAAACTGGAAGCATTCCCTTTGAAAACTGGCACAAGACAGGGATGCCCTCTCTCACCACTCCTATTCAACATAGTGTTGGAAGTTCTGGCCAGGGCAATCAGGCAGGAGAAGGAAATAAAGGGTATTCAATTAGGAAAAGAGGAAGTCAAATTGTCCTTGTTTGCAGACGACATGATTGTTTATCTAGAAAACCCCATCGTCTCAGCCCAAAATCTCCTTAAGCTGATAAGCAACTTCAGCAAAGTCTCAGGATACAAAATCAATGTACAAAAATCACAAGCATTCTTATACACCAACAACAGACAAACAGAGAGCCAAATCATGAGTGAACTCCCATTCACAATTGCTTCAAAGAGAATAAAATACCTAGGAATCCAACTTACAAGGGATGTGAAGGACCTCTTCAAGGAGAACTACAAACCACTGCTCAAGGAAATAAAAGAGGATACAAACAAATGGAAGAACATTCCATGCTCATGGGTAGGAAGAATCAATATCGTGAAAATGGCCATACTGCCCAAGGTAATTTACAGATTCAATACCATCCCCATCAAGCTACCAATGACTTTCTTCACAGAATTGGAAAAAACTACTTTAAAGTTCATATGGAACCAAAAAAGAGCCTGCATTGCCAAGTCAATCCTAAGCCAAAAGAACAAAGCTGGAGGCATCACACTACCTGACTTCAAACTATACTACAAGGCTACAGTAACCAAAACAACATGGTACTGGTACCAAAACAGAGATATAGATCAATGGAACAGAACAGAGCCCTCAGAAATAACGCCGCATACCTACAACTATCTGATCTTTGACAAACCTGAGAAAAACAAGCAATGGGGAAAGGATTCCCTATTTAATAAATGGTGCTGGGAAAACTGGCTAGCCATATGTAGAAAGCTGAAACTGGATCCCTTCCTTACACCTTATACAAAAATCAATTCAAGATGGATTAAAGATTTAAACGTTAGACCTAAAACCATAAAAACCCTAGAAGAAAACCTAGGCATTACCATTCAGGACATAGGCATGGGCAAGGACTTCATGTCCAAAACACCAAAAGCAATGGCAACAAAAGCCAAAATTGACAAATGGGATCTAATTAAACTAAAGAGCTTCTGCACAGCAAAAGAAACTACCGTCAGAGTGAACAGGCAACCTACAAAATGGGAGAAAATTTTCGCAACCTACTCATCTGACAAAGGGCTAATATCCAGAATCTACAATGAACTCAAACAAATTTACAAGAAAAAAACAAACAACCCCATCAAAAAGTGGGCGAAGGACATGAACAGACACTTCTCAAAAGAAGACATTTATGCAGCCAAAAAACACATGAAAAAATGCTCATCATCACTGGCCATCAGAGAAATGCAAATCAAAACCACTATGAGATATCATCTCATACCAGTTAGAATGGCAATCATTAAAAAGTCAGGAAACAACAGGTGCTGGAGAGGATGTGGAGAAATAGGAACACTTTTACACTGTTGGTGGGACTGTAAACTGGTTCAACCATTGTGGAAGTCAGTGTGGCGATTCCTCAGGGATCTAGAACTAGAAATACCATTTGACCCAGCCATCCCATTACTGGGTATATACCCAAAGGACTATAAATCATGCTGCTATAAAGACACATGCACACGTATGTTTATTGCGGCATTATTCACAATAGCAAAGACTTGGAACCAACCCAAATGTCCAACAATGATAGACTGGATTAAGAAAATGTGGCACATATACACCATGGAATACTATGCAGCCATAAAAAATGATGAGTTCATGTCCTTTGTAGGGACATGGATGAAATTGGAAATCATCATTCTCAGTAAACTATCGCAAGAACAAAAAACCAAACACCGCATATTCTCACTCATAGGTGGGAATTGAACAATGAGATCACATGGACACATGAAGGGGAATATCACACTCTGGGGACTGTGGTGGGGTGGGGGGAGCGGGGAGGGATAGCATTGGGAGATATACCTAAGGCTAGATGACGAGTTAGTGGGTGCAGCGCACCAGCATGGCACATGTATACATATGTAACTAACCTGCACAATGTGCACATGTACCCTAAAACTTAAAGTATAATAAAAAAAAAAAAGAAAGAAAAAAAAAGAAATAAAGAACTCGTGGAATTAAGGAAGAGAGATAAAAAGCACAGCTGGAAGTTGAATCTGGTATCATGCTGACTAGGGAAGTGAGATCGTTAACACAAGTCAGACACAAACCTGGTGGCTAAGTAAAGAGAGACAATCTAGGAGCAAATTGCTTAGTGAGTGGAGTCAAAGGATGGAGATCTAAATTTGCATGTGGTCCATATTTATTTTGCAGTCTCAACAGCTTGGGAAGCCAAGGCTGAACCCTTAAAGGAGCTGCACTGGGAAGGGAAGATCTGGTGGAAAACTCATGCAAGATTCAGGCTTTGCAGGCAAGGAGCTAAATCTGACATGACAGGTAAGCATGAAAACAGTCAGAACTTCAGATATGGTAAACTCTGTGTTCAACTGAAATCCCAGGAGTGTTAAGGCTTCCTCGTCAATCCACATCTAGCCAACCTTTTCTTCTCATCTTCTTCCATTGCAGGAACACTAAACTATTTACTTTTCCCCAAATCACCCTACACTGTCTTCACTGAGCCTTTTAATGCTGAAACCTCTGTCAGGAATGGCTTTCTCTACTTCGTGGAAAAGGCTTTTCAATGTTCCCTGCCCCTTCCCTGGCTGGGAAAGTAATGCACTCTCTCTCCGTCTTTGGGTTCCTGTAGCACAAGTTTATATAAACACCAGTGGTGGAAGATGGCTCACCTACCAAGTATATGTCCTTGAGGCACGTACAAAGGTCAAGAATTTAAATTCTGTAAGTGTTCGGTTGCATTTTTGACTCTATTCCTCACTTGCTGCATATTTTGGGCAAATAATAGACCTTGGAGCCTCAGTTCCTTTTCAGTATTGTTATGGGGATTTAATAATACAGTAGATATAAAGTACCAGGCATAATGATAGGCAAAATTTAGGATGTTTGGTTTGTTAAATTCAATCTTTGGAATTCATAATATAAATGAACATAAATGTAAACTAGTTGTATACCTTATAATGGATTTTAGGAGCTACCTTCAGCTTAAGAAAGAAGTTTGATTTCCTAAATTATCATGCTGCCTTTTTGATAAATTCTTTGATGCCACACAAAGACAAGCCATTCTCTTCTCTTGGCAGTTTACTGTTTTATCATCATTATAACAATAAAATGGTGACATTTTAGTCTTATTCAATATATAATCCACAAAGTTATTTCAGTCAATTTCATAAGCTTATTTCATTTTCTCAGTGTTGATTTCTTGATTCTGATTTTCAGTTTATCATTGAGATGGATGAACTATCCTGTTTCTTTCTTTTTTTCTCTCTCTCATTCCTTCCAGCTTAGTTGCATTCAGATTCCAGTGGTTCTCTATTCAGGGCCTAAGTAATACTTGCTGCATGATCTCCATGCTTTAAAACAACTAAAAAACAACAACAAAAATAATCCAAGTAGAGAAAAGGCACCATTTCTGTTGGCAATTCTCCCACCTCCATCTGTGCTGCCCAAAAGTGTCTGCTTTCTGTACTTACAAGACATTAGTCTTTTGGCACTATCATCCAGAGCAAATAGTGCTGAATGTAATAATAGCAAGTGATTTGGCATGTGCATCAATGTGAAAATAGAGTTTACAAATGCACAGTAATGTATTCTGCAAGAATACATCATCTTTTTAAATGTGTTTCTTGAACATACTTATGTTCAGTGAGAAAAACCACATCCATTATTAGAAAGGTAGAGTGTCTCTTCATATTCTGGGAAAATTTTTGATAGATGATTGCTATATTTAGCCATGGAAGCTAACATCTCACTTAAGGGGGGAGTGCCCTCTGTTCAGGGAGAAAACCAAGAATTGGAGTATTTTAAGTTCCCTGCTTAAAAGAAGAAATAATTGGGAGGAAACCAAAGGAAGTGGGTAAAAGGATCAAACAGTAACATTCAGCTACATTCAGAGCTTGAAACTGGAAAATAAAAATCAATAGAATATTTATCATTCATGCATTTCTTTTTCTAAAGCACTCCTTCTTTCCTTGACCAAGTCAGGATACTAGCTCAGCTCATGGAGGTCTGTGGAGCCAAGCAAGGAGATTATTAATGAGGATTGTGTGTGCGCTGCTTGTGGTGGTGGTGGGAAGGTGTGTGCGCTGCTTGTGGTGGTGGTGGGTGTTTCAGGAGATGGGAAAGCCAAGACCAGAGGGAGAAGAAAGTAAGACTAAAAAAGGCCAAAGTCTAAGAAGCCAGAAGTGGAGAACTTTTTTTTCTCCAACTTGGAGATTTGGGGAGAAAAGAGCAAGAATGAAGCAGGTTGATGGGAAACACCGACAGTGTTGATAATACTACCCAATGCAGAACAAGCACGGCTATTCAAAGTTCATTTTTATTTGCTCCTGGGGTATAATGAAGAGTGAATCAACTAAATTGAAAAGTTCTGGAACATTTTCAAACTTCATTCATTTAATTACTCATTGACTGCTTCATTAATGAATTCAGAATATAATTACTCTATGCCTGCTATATGCTGGGCACAATGCTATGTGATGGGAATACTCCACCTGTCTTAGCCTATTCAGGATTCTGTAACAGAATACCACAAACTTGATGACTTATAAACAACAGAAATCTATTTATCATAGTTCTGAAGATTGGGAAGTCCAAAATCAAGGCTGCTGGTAGATTTGGTGTCTAGTCAGTGCCCACTTCTGCGTTCATAGAAAGCAGTCTGTGGCTGTAATTTCACATGGCAGAAGAGGCAAGAAGCTCTCTGGGATCTCTTTTATAATGGCTTTAATTCTACTCATAAGTGTTTTTCCCTCATGACCTAATAATTGCTCAGAGTCTCCACATCCAAACACTATTATGTTGGGAATCAGGTTTCAATGTATGAATTTTGGGGGAACACAAACATTCAGTCTATAGCACTGCCTTTATAGAGAGACAGATATATAAATAAATGGCAGACATAAATAAAAAATACTGAAAATGCTATGAAGATTAAGAGAAGGCTTCTTGTGAAACACTTTAACTGGGTTTTGAAGGATAAATAAGAGTTTCCTAAGCCAGAAAAAAAAGTGAGCCCCAAGGTTATAGCCAATCTTGTAGCTCTGTGAGATTGTATTTATCCCTTCCTCTGTATCACAGCCTGAATCATCTGCCAACTTGGCTTGTTGGCATGATGAAGGCAATAAAAATGAGATAAACAAGTAAAAAGATATAAGGGAGAGGGGGCAATGAGGCGGGTAGGTGGAGATCATTTTGATGGGGTTTGTATTTCTTCATTCAGTAGTTGAGTGGTATTAGTGGGGCCTAGTAGAATACTATTGTTTTACTTCAACCTATTTTCTATTTTTTACTTAAATACTTTGCACTTCATCAACATGTGGAAGTAAAGTGTAGTAAAGGTATTAAAGTGACAATATAAGATAATGGCTAAAAGTATTGACTTTGGATTCTAGCAGTTCCAAGTTCAGATTCAAAAGTCTTCCCCTCTCTAGGGCTCAGGTGTCTCATCTATAAACTAAAGGAGTTGGGCTAGAGGAACTCTAGTGTTCCTTTCAGGTCTGACTGACTTTGATTCCAAAAGGAATACAGCATTCCATGGGATAGCCTAGAAGCACTGCTGGCCCAACACAGATGCTTCCAGTATTAGGTCTGGAAAGGGCCTTATAGACTGTTTTGTCAAAGTCCCTTCTTTCACAGAATAAGAAACCAAGGATACATCTCAATCTTTCCAGCATCCTTTTTATAACAGCTACTACTTTTTAATTATTAATAGCTTGTGATTCTTCAGAAAGAAGGGGAAAATGTTTAATGAATAAATTTAGAAGCGATTGGATAGACTAAATAAGAAGTTTGTCAGTCATGGTAAATAAACCTAAATTTAAGATCAGATGAAAAACATTTTCATCTGATACTTTAAATTGAGACAGATTTTAAGTGACTGAAAGGGGCTGGCAGCATCAGCATCATATTATCACAACCCTAGGCCTAGAGCTCAGTATGCAAGAGAACCCTCTGGGCAGAACAGCAGTCTTGGTTCCACCTCTAACTATAACTCTTTGCTTCCTTTACAGTCCCATGGTCACCTTGCTAGGGCAAATGGTTAGAGAAAAAAAAATGTAAAAAGTTGTGGAAACACTTTTTTAAAAAAGCTATCAGATAGACAAATCCATTTGTCATTTTTTTTAAGCTGCAGAGTATCAGTACTATCTACTATCAGCAATTGGTTATGACCTCCAAGTCCCTGCTGATAATACCCTTGTGTCAATACACATGTGGGGTCCATTATGCTATTGCATTCTTTTGCTGTTATTTAATTTTAGTTGGCTTAAATTACTCATTACTCTTTTCCTCCCTTTTAAAAAGCAGGGTTTTTGGAACCAATAACATAGCTAATTGTTTCATTTCTGCATTTCACTTTCCCTGGGTAGCCATAGCCGCTATGTGAATTGAGATTTGAATATAAACATAAACCATGAAGATTTTTCATCAAGTAAGAGCACTACTAATAAAATAGAGCTTTGTTATTATTCATCACACGAACAATACACTTGTATCACATCTATCAGGTGTCGTGTAGAACACATTGTGGAGGTTTCTTATTGGCAGCAACACATTTAGTATAGTTATCGTTTTCCAGCCCTTCAACAAGAACTTCTGGATGTATTTACTAAGTGAAATAAATAAACTTCTGAAACAATGCTTTGCAGTACAACACACATAGGACTAGTCCTAGTCCTCCAACCTAAGAATGTATACAAATTTGCATAGAGGGTGCCATAATGAGATAGGCATCAGCAGACTACTTCTAGTCTTGTTTATAACTTGCTATTTGACTTGAGAAAAGTTGTCCTCCTCCCCGCTCCTAATGGGTCTTTTTTCTTACTTTTGTTTAATAAGTATTTGGGCTACAAGATTTATGAAGTTCATTCCAACGGTGAAACTATAATGTAAATATTATGAGTCCACAGATTTATGGTGTATCCCAGCACCTACACTAGTGTCTTGCACACAGTAGGTTCTCAGTAAATGAACAAATGATGGACTTTAGTTAATTTCTTTATGACTGAATACTCGTATGCTATTATTACAAAAATATCGAGCATCTGTGTATTTGGAATTTTGAGGGGAGGGTGGGAGATGTATAGGATGAGAAAATGTCAAATGTCCACATTCTTTAGATGCAGCATTTTTTATGATGCCTTTTTGGACCAAACCTTGATGTACATTTGGTCTATTCTTAGCACCAGGGCTCAAGGATTGGGTTGGTCTTCATAATGATCCTGAGCAGATTCAAGAAGTTACTTTTGCGTATTGGATTGCCAGGTTATTTCTTATTCCTAGAATGAAAAGGGACAATCAACTGAAAAGTTTTATTTTCTAGTATCCTATTTTGACTGATTAAGGTTTTGACTCACAACCTAAACATTAATGAAATTGGCATACCACATTTTAAGTGGGCATTATGCCAGTGTAACAGATGGGCCTTGAAATTGTCAGTTGATAGCTTGTGTATAAATTTCTAATATCGTCAAGTGGAGAAAGTCCTTAACAAGAAATGTAAAAAACGTTTGTGAGTTGGCTTCCAGATGCCTTACCCATGCATCATTACTCTGTTACACGACTCTGCAAGTCTCTTTAGATACTTAATAGCCCCTAGAGAGATCACTGTTAGACCATGTAAATGGGTAACTCCATGGAAAAATATACCCAGATGAGCTGCATCTTCTGCCCTTTCCTGTCTTCTCAGACTGTTCCTTACCTTCATTCCTTCCCTGCAACCTGAACCATTTTTATTGAAGCTTTATCATGTGTCACTGCCTTTTTAGGAAGATCATTCTTTCACCCTCACTCAAGGAAGAGAATGAGAACCTTGCACATAGTAAGCAATCAAGACATGTTTGCTTTCTGAGGGACGCTGTCTAACTTCTACAGCATGGTCACTTTCACGTAGTTTTGCCACGTCAACCCATCTTCTTCTTGTGCTTTGAAATTTTAATCTTCCTATTCTTTCATCTTCTATGACTAATTTCTTCCAGCCTCCTAGCTTGTTTGCAAAGGCATAGCCCACCTATTAGCTTGCTTAAGAGGAATACCTGAACTCAAGTGCAGAGAAAACTGAATGTAGGCCTGATTATTTATGGTCTTTGCCCAAGAGTAAGCACGGAGCACACTTGTTAACTGACTTCCTGCCTCATGGTGATCCTGTTGCTTCTTACAGGTCACTTATGACCTAGTTTATGCCGTCAAGGATTGCTGATTGATGCTTCTCAGTTGCCAAGTGAATTGGCTTTATGGCCACCAAAAAAAAGCTTTTTCTCATTAAACTCATTCATTTATTCATTGGATATTAAATAAGACTTTCTAAGGATGACATGCTCTTCTAGAAGCTGGAAAAACAACAGTGACAAAAATGGACAAGGTCCTTGTTCTTGTAGAGCTTACATTCTGGTGACAGTTTGAACTGACACTCTCAGTGGAAACTGAGCTGACCATTTGTTTCATCTTAGAGTGAGTACTCACTTCTAGAGGTGAGTTGACCTCAATGTCATCACCAAAAAGTCTAATAGACCAACTTCTCTTTTTTTGTAAATATAAAATATGTTATAAAAGATATTAGTTATAAAAAATGAACAGTAAGAAAATAATTGGGCACAAATAAATGGTCACACATTTCTCTCAATTTACATTCAGCACTTCTGGACAAACAGCATGAGTATATGGAAAAATTGTATGCAGGCTGGTAATTGGTTTGGCATTTTAACAAGGCTTTTAAAATAGTTATAATGTAATGTATTGCTGTTAATTAATTTCAATCATTTATATTATTTCTGTACATTCTAGTAGGAACTAAAGGTATATGGTCATATAATTTATTAAGCCAGAACTGTTTTTGATGGGCAAAGGGGGCATTCTTTAAAAGTATGTTGTGACAATGAGTATAAAACGGGAACATTTTGGGAAAACCAGAATGCACATTCACCCCAAATACAAGAAACCCGGTCTCACCTAATTCTTGGCACTTTGAAATAGCAAATTGCCAGGCTACTAGTCTATTTCCCCTATTCCAGGATTATCATTAAGTGAGTTCATCATAACTAGATCAAATTATGTTTCATCAACACTTTTATGAAGCAATTCTTCCTTTAAATCCTCTTCCATTTTGGGATGGGGGGATTAGACCCTTTTCTTATTAAAAAGGAGGGAACCTTCAGGGATTCCAGCTCTAATCCTTAGCCTGGATGGATCCAAGACCCTATATATAATAGTGAGTACAATTTATTGAGTGACCAGTATTTTAGACACTTTTATAAGTATTATGGTCAGTCCTTACAACAGCTCTGCCTACAAGAAGATATTACTTACTTTTCCAGATTAAAAAAATAGGACCCAAATGGATTAATTGCCCAAGATGGTACCATAAATAATAAGAAGCAAATTGTATTTGAGCCCACGTCTGTCTGGTTCCAGAATCTATTTTTTTCACTATGCTCTACTGTCTCTCTATTCAAATGTATGATAGAAAACTTAGGTGAGATAAAGAGATATGATCTCTCCCAGATACTCTGGAGTTTTGTAGCTCTGATCCCGGAACAGTACTAAGCATTTCTCTGCCTCCGTCCACTTTCCTCTTTGACATTGGAGATTCACATCTGGCAGAGAAACCTGGAAAATGATAATAACTTCTTATGTCCAAAAGTACTTTTGCACACTCACATGGTCCCTGCCCCACACTCATACCCCAACCCTGTGAAGCTCACACTTCAAGAACTAGCTCTATATATGTCTCCTCCAGGAAACTTTCTTAAAACCCTCAGGCTGGCTGACTGCCAACTCTTCTGCACCTCCTACTCCACCTGTGACAACCTATCTTATACCTTACGATAGCTTTTAAAATCATTTATGTTTCTATCATCTTCAATAGACTTTATGCTTCTGTACGGCAGAGATCATGTTTTATTCATACTTTAACCTCTCTGTGCTCCAGGTTGCTTATCTTTAAAACAGAGATCATAATAGTACTAACCTCATAATATTTTATTTTATTTCTTAAATTGACAAATAATAATTGTACACATTCATGGGGTAAACAGTGACATTTCAATACATATAATGTAAGTGATCAGATCAGGGTAATTATTATATTCATCATCTCAAATATTGATCATTTCTTTGTGTTGGGAAACTTCAATATCCTCCTTCTGCTGATTTTAAAGTATGTAAAATATTATTATTAACTATAACCATATTACAGTCGTATAGAACACTAGAACTTATTCCTCCCACCTAGCTGTAATATTGTATCCTTTTACAAATCTCTCCCTCCTTCCCCCTACCCTTCCCAGCTCCTCCTATCCTTTGTTCTACTTTTTACTTCTATGAAATCAACTTTTTCTTTTATCTTACACGTATGAGTGAGAACATGTGGTGTTTAACTTTCTGTTTCTTAGGCTTATTTCATCAAGCATAATGTCCTTCAGTTTCATCTATGTTGCTGCAAATGACAGGATTCCATTCTTTTTTATGGCTGAATAATATTTTATTGTGTATATGTACCCCACTTTCTTTATGCATTCATTTGTTGTTGGACACCTAAGTTGATTCCATATTTTGACTATTGTAATAGTGCTGCAATAAACATATGGGTGCAGATATCTCTTTGATATACTGATTCCCTTTCTTTTGGATAAATTCCCAGTAGTGGGATTGCTGGATCATATGGTAATTCTAGTTTTTTTTTTTTTTTTTTTTTAGAAAACTCAATACTGTTCTCCATAGTGACTGTACTAGTTTACATTCCCACCAACAGTGCATAAGAATTCCCTTCTGTCTGCTTCCTCACTAGCATGTGCTTTATTTTCTTTGTCTTTTGATAATAGCCATCCTAACTGGGATGAAATGATATCTCTTTGTGGTTTTAATATGCATTTCTCTGATGATTAGTGATGTTGAACTTTTTTTCATATATTTATTGGCCGTTTGCATGTTCATATAGCTTATTTAATGAATAAAGATAATATTCATTAAACATTTAGAATCCTTATAGTACCTGGCACATAGTAAGCTCTGAGCAATGTTAGGTCAATATTATCATCATTTTGTTATCATGGTGATTGTAGTTAATGTCACATAGTAAAGTACACAAAAACATGTATGCTAAATGTTATTAATTCATGAAACATTTTTATTGTTTCCTATGTTCAGGACACTCTAGACTACACTGAAGTAAAAGGAGGCCATTTAAAAATATGAGTGGGAAAAAGGAACAAGATATATACATAAATCATTCTGGTACAGAATAAAAAATAGTGATGGAAGAGAAGTAACTCATCAGTTTTGGAATCATTAGTGAGCGGATCATCAGTGTTCTTGGTAGAGAATATTTTCAGACTAAGAGTATCAGGGAAGACTGTAAGAAGGAGATGGATCTAGAGGAAAATATAAGATTTGAATTTGTAGATACTTGTGGTAGGTAGTGGTTTGATGAGGTCAAGATATTCCAGCAATGACTATGTAAGCAAAGGTAAGAAAAATCTTGACAGAGGAGCTATCATGAGCAAGAAGGTTGTTTTCCCAGTCAAGGCTTATCAATTGCATTCCAGATGTGCTGACCCCTGCAATTTCCCCATACGTGGGAAACTAGACTGCATAATTTGTGGTAGTGGGGGTCTGTGATCCCACTTTCCCCTGGTTTAAAAACAATCTTGAGGTTTGTTTAGGATAATAGCAATTGTTGTCTAGGAGTTAAGCTTGGAGAAGAATGGAAAGATCTTGAATGTCAGAACACAAATTTTGCATTAAATTTGATTTGCTTTCTATTTAATAAAGCAGCTGGGTTCTTAAAATTATGAATAAAAATAATGATAATTTATGAACTAGAAGGTTCTCCCTGTTCTTATTCACTGTAGATAATGGGAAGGCAGTTATATGAAAAATCATTCTGGACTATAGATGGCTTGCCTCTGCCTTTGAGGTATGACACTTAGGTTCTGAGCCCAGATCTGGTTCACCATGTGACTCTTTTCAAGTGCCACTCCTCCCCTGCCTTTAGTTTCTCCGTCTGTAAAAGAATAAATATGAAGAGTACATAGAGATGCATTCTAAAGATATCTCCTATTCTAAAACCTTTGAGAAGGAAAGAACATGTAACGGGGTGCAGTATTAAGAGCAGAAATTATTTATCTCAATGAAATAGACTATTGTTCTTAAGGAGCAACACTACTCCCACCCTAAGCTTACTTCCTAAGCCTATTCAACATTGAAAAGAAATCCTGAATTTTATGATTCTTCCAAACACGTACTTTGGCATACAGTTGGAGAACCTAAAAATTAGTAGGCCCTAGGTTGTGGCCTCTGCAATCCGATACTCCTAAATGCTGAATGGATCCAGGCGTTGCTGACCCACAGCAGTTCATTAGTGGGAGTCCTCCACTAATAATGTCCATGTCTGGCTGAACCATCCGTGGTTAATATTTGTAATCATGGCCCTCAGGCATTGGAAAAATCAAAGGATGCCCTCTGAATCACCAGAAAAAGATTAAATTAGATACAACTCCAGGTTTCTTGTTGGGAGTACATTTTATTATATTTCAATGTTTTGAAAATTGGGACTAGAAGCCTACTGTGGAAGGATCTTTCATGAAGTAGAGTATGTGACTAATCTGCACATCTCCTTCCTTAACCATTTCAGATAACAGAGTTTTCTGGACTTCTGGAGAATAAGATTATTATTCTCAAGGAGAGATGATCACCTCAGGAAAATCTGGACTATTGAAAAAAAAAGGTAGTAAATACAACACAATTTTTCCTGTTAAACATTTTGCATATAAACGAAATACAGTGTGGGCTTTAGAAATATTTTGATATGAAAGTAGCACTTCAAGAGATTTGTGGTTTTGCATCTTCCTCTAGAGCTCTGTACAAGAAAAATACTCTATCCCTGCAACTTCACAAAAATGATTAGGTATTGCTTTTGGAAGTACTTATTATCAATAAGACGCCTCCCCACCTTTGGGGACTTCTTGCAGGTTGTTGGAAAAAAGCTAAAAAGAGCACCTCAAAATATCCTCAGTGGCTTTTTTGAAGAACTTTAGAAGCCTTGGAGCCTGCTCATGGAACAGTTTTGAGGTGGAGGCAGGCAGGAAAACACTGAGTTTGAGTAACAAAGAAGCGAGAGAATATTAACCTTTGACAGCTCCATAACTACTCTCACCCCACTCTCGAAAAACAAAACAAAACACATACAGGAATATAACAAGCAATGTGAAGTCAGTGGGGAGAGGAGAGGGAAGCAGACAGCTGGAAAGTTACTGCAGCAAGTAGAAAGAGAAACCCAAATTGTGAACATTAAAAACGATTCGTAAATCTCTCCTCCCTGCCTTCTGAATAAAACCATACCCTGCCTGGAGACACTAGCCTCCTCTAAGACTTCAGTAATTCGTCCTGATGCACGCAGTACTAGTCCAATCCATTTTCTAGTTTGCAGAGGAAAATCCGGTCCGGCGTTTATTTTTAGCAGCGCTTCCCTGTGACCGAATGCTACAGCTCCTCAGCTGGGATAACTGAGGACCGTATTGGGGAGGGAGGCGAAGGGGGCGGGGGAGCGGGAGGCGGTGAAAAGGGGAGGGGGGACGCCCTGCGCATGCGTGCCAGCGCCCATGCAAATCTGCTGTGCATCCAGAGAGCAAAGTGGGATGATCTGTCACTACACCTGCAGCACCACGCTCGGAGGACAGCTCCTGCCTGCAGCTTCCAGACCCAGGTAAAAAAAAAAAAAAAAAAATCTGAGCGGGCACTGTGCATGCATTTCAGTATCAGATGCGCGTCGCAACGTATCCCCTGTAGAGGCAATCTGCTGCTGCTCCTAAGTGTCCTTTGGTGGCTGATTGCAGCTTCAAGGTTTAAGAAATCCCATCTTTCAGGAAGCCTGAGGGGAAGGAAGGAAGTACGGGCGAAATCATCAGATTGGCTTCCCAGATTTGGGAATCTGAAGCGGGCCCACATCTTCCGGCCAACTTCCATTGAACTTCCCAGCACTCGAAAGGGACCGAAATGGAGAGCAAAGGTATGTGGTTGTCCCTATCGGGGGACTTCCCGCTGCATGTGCGTGTGGCCAAGGCAATCCTCGGCGAGGGGACTGCAGTGCTTGGGGAGCGAGCATCATACTAGGTCGATAGAGGAGGAGATGCTATGTCCATTGCAGCACTGGGGAAGTGTGGCAGGAAGGCGACTTCTTTTTAACTCCCACAGCTTGGAAGACAGTGTTTAATACTCCATCAGTTGCGTAGTGAACTGTGATGAGTTTTTTGGGGGGAGGTGGGGAGAGTCCCCCCAAAATGGAGGAGGAGGAGGAGGTATGTGTTAGTAAAGCAATATCTTTTCTGTATAATGGATGGACTCAAATAAATCTATTTCATTTGCTTTAGAATTGCTGACAGGCACGTTTGTACCTGATATCCAATAATGCATTGCTAAAAAAAAAATGTTTGAATTTCACCACCCCCACCTCATGAAGATGGTATTTCTGGGTGTGTATGACCACATCCTACTGCATTTTGAATATATATCAGCAGAGAAATTGGGTCTATTTGGAACAGCATGCGTTAGAACTGACCTCTAAGAAGAACAGTGTATGGGAGTACTGCTTGGCTTCCAAGCATAATGCATTTACTAGTTCTGGACATGTACATATTAATGTTCTCCTCATAAGCAAATCTGCATAATGTATGCATGCCAACTGATAAATGAACTGTAAAAATCAACTTCTGAATGGCATATTGAACACACATAAACACAACGACTATTCTAACCACAAGATTAGATATCTTTTGGATTTAACCCCATCTATGCAGGTCTGTTTCTCCTTCTCCTTAAAACGCCCACCAGGTTGTGAGAGCCTTGAGTGATATGGTGGTCAGATATCCAGGAGGCATACTGGATGTATTTAATTCTGGCGAAATCAGAAGAAATGATGTCAACTTTTATGAAACTATATTCATTACCCAGAACTCGGGAAGCTATATTTGAAACAAGATTTTATTTTTAAACCAGGAATGTCAGTCACTGTGGTAATGTACTTAGGATCAGGGAATGGTGGTGAGTTACCTATTTCTGGGCTGATTAATGAAACTGGAGTGTTGAATGATAGCAGTTCTATGTTCAATAAAGTGTTTTAAGTATTTAATTGGTAGATTTAAAGTATTTGAACCTAGGCAAGCATTTATAGTATAAAAAGAGCTGAATCAACATGGATTAAGACTAGCAGGCAATTTTCAGTTCAGGCAGATTATTCTTATGATACATTGATGGGCATCTCCACGTCTGACAATGATGTACACATATGAGAGAATCCATGTCTATAAGTATATTTGAGGCATATATTATTAACTCTATTATACTCCATTTTAAAATAAAAAGGCAGTCCTTAACATATAAAGGTTTGTAATATTCTAGCTGACTAAGTATTTCTGGGACATAAGGTTAACAACAGAAAAAGAATATCATTTTACTATGAAACAGTTTTTCTTGCTTAGATGACACCTGGTATTTGGTCACTAAATTTAGTTATTTGACAAAGGTTCTTGGTAACAGTTTTGCCTCCAATGTGTATACTAATTCCTGTTCAATCATAAAAAGAGGCTATATCTCTCGGCAGTAATCTTTTATTTTCCTTCGTTGCCCATAAAACATGCTACGTGTCACTTAGCATTCCAGGTGGTTTAATGATCATATTGCTAACAGTAGAGTTCTAGCTGTTCTTTCAGTCTTTTGAATTCAGAAAGGAGAAAGAATCTCAGAAATACATCCGAAAAGAATCAGTTCAGAAGTTCTATGTCAATCCAGACAGCAATGATATAGTGAATCACAGCACTGATCCAAAGGCAACGAAGACTTTTGCTGTAGGCCAACATTGTGGTCATTTTGCAGAGGTCCCATAATTGCCTCTGAAAAAAAAAAAAAACATGATGAAAGTCTTTATGCATGTTAGTTCCTGGACTTTCTTAATGAAGCTGTGTTAGCTGCTTGGCAATCAGATTAAAAATGGCTAATTACTTATACATTGGCCTCACTTTCTAAGTTGGTGCAAATGGCACAGCTAACGATGGTAGCTAACTTGAAATTTTTATTCCAGCCAAAAAGAGTGTATTAAGAGAAATGTGTATTTGTGCAATACTGTAATTGGTGCATCTTTCACATTTTATGCTGCCGTGTACAAACTTCTTCCCCCAACAGATTCAAATCTAATTCTAGGAAGACATTCTCAAATGTATGTATATATAATACTTTTCTAGTAGAAACTCTTTAAAGATAGAGTCATATTGCGTGACTCAGTTGAGGGTTCAAGAGTTCTCTATCCCATACCCAGATCTAATGGCCTGTTTAATCTTGAATCCCATCGCCAACACTTGACAACTTTCACATTACCTCTAGCATTTGACAGCCTTTCTTAGAGCATTTGTCCAGCATCCAGAAAGTTGAACTTCAGCTATTTACAAATAAGATCAATTTATTTTTGCTTCCTTATTTACAACTTTGCATCACTCCCTGTCATACAGGGTAAAGAAGAGAGGAAAATACATCAGTTGACCTGAGGTTCAATTCATGATCTAATTTCAGCGATTTTTGTGCACCATGTACTTAACATTGTCTCAAAGATTTGGGTTGGTACGCAGTCCGAGCAGCTCTGACGGAATTTGTGCCTTGCGTATCTTAAGGGCTTGAGATTCTTAAATGAGTTAAAATGTTTAGTATTTAGAGGAGTGGTTCACAAAGTTTGCTGCACACTAGAATCACCTGACATACTTTCTGAACATACTCATCCTGAGATGGCACCGCATACCAATGAAATTAGAATATTGGGGTGGAAGAAAAAAGCATATATGTTTCCTTTAGAGGTCCCTATGTACAGCAGTGTTTGGAAACCACTGATTTAGACTCTTGATAGTCAAAATGTGGTTTGCAGACAAATTTTTTAGAACTGCAGAATCTCCATATTTACTCCAGGTCTATTGAGTCAGAATTAGAATTTTGACAAAGTACCTAGGCAATTTGTATGCACATTAATGTTTGAGAAGCATGATTTGGAGTGAGGAAACAGGCTTTTTCCTTCCTTTCCTCCTTCCTTCCTTCCTTCTTTCCTTCCTTCCTTTCTTCCTTCCTTCCTTTCTTCCTTCCTTCTTTCCCTCTTCCCTCCCTTTCCCTTCCTCCCTTTCTCCCTCCCTTTTCCCTTCCTCCCTTTCTTCCTTCCCCCTCCCTCCCTTCCTCTCCTCCCCTCCCCTCCTTCCTCTCCTCCCCTCCCCTCCTTTCCTCTTCCCTCCTTTCTCCCCTATTCTCCCCTCCCCTTTCCTCTCCTCTCCTCTCCTCTCCTCTCTCTCTCTCTCTCACACACACACACACACTCTCACCTCCCACTGACCCCCACCTATATCACATTTTTCTTTGTCTAGGTAGATTTCCAGCCTCAAGCTGGCATACTACCTATAGAAACACCTGTAGAGCTTTTCAAATGTAAAGATGCTTAGGCCATACCCCTAATAATGTGAGTTTAATTAGTTCTGGGGTGGGATCTGGGCATAAGTAGTTTTAAATGGCTCCCAAGTGATGCTAATGGATGGCCAGAGTTAACCACTGATGTAGGGCATTACTGCTGGTGGTCCACAGACCAGCAGCATTTGCATCACCTGGGAGCTTGTTAGAAATGCAGAATCTCAGTCCCTACACCACATCTACCAAATCAAATCTGGATTTCAACAAAATCTAATGGTCATTTCTATGCACTTTAACATTTAAGAAGCACTGGTGTAGATCTCAGGGAACTGATTGCACCTGAGAATGAATGACACCACTCCAGGCACCTCAGTAGAGAAGATTTGATATTATCTGTCTAATCATTATGAAGGCTCATGGATATGTGATCATGTTCTAGGTCTTCTGGTTGTTTTTGGATACAACAAAAATGAAATGAAAAAGAAACTGCGTGATCTAACTCATAGTTAGATCAGAAAACAAACTTACTTTTAAATACCCTTGCTGCTCATCCTCCAATCACTTACTTTCAACCCCCAATTACCCTAAATATTTATTCTCTACATTCATTTTAAGCTCCTGACAAAGTCTGCTGTTAACTCATGGTAATGTGATGATATTTGACTACTTAAATCAAGGCACTTCTAAACAGAGTGAATATAGTTTTATCCTTTTCTATTGTCATACCTCTCTGTTCAACCCTTTTGAGATTCCTATGACCTAAGTACTCGTTTGTCCCTCACATACTGCGTTTCTTACAGTCAACATTGTAATTTTTGTGCTTTTTATTTAAACAAATATTTATTGAGCATCTGATATGTACCCAATGTGCTTATTTCTGAGAATGTGAAAGAAAACTAAGATGCAATCTCTGAACTTGACAATTTCACTCTTCTATCTTCACTAATATATTAACCTTCTCGTGGGCAAAATCTGAGCCTTTAACATTCCAGCAACCACCTAAGTGTCTATCTCAGGTAGAATATTTAAGTTTGCATAGTAGGGATTCGAATTATATGCGTTGGATAGCCTTAATTAGTTTTTTTAGGCCAACTTCATGGATCCAGAAGATTGTAAGTTGGGAGAAGTGTGGGAAACTTAGCTACCAGGAGGGCTCCCAGAAACATCAGTGTGATTCCAGAACATGGAAGGGAGTAATTTGACCCACTCTCTCAAGAGAGACCTGCACATGTATTTCCAAGGAAGATTCAATTCTTTGTTCTAGATTTCATACCAGCCATCAGAGTTCAGTCAGGGCCATGAACCAACACACTTAAGGTATAGAACAGTCATTTCTCTGAAGCCAGGATGATTTACTCTGCAGCAGAGAAAGGAAATGTCTATGCAATCATTAGTATATCAGAACTGGAAAGCGATTTTAAGAAGAGCCATTTTGTGGTTAAACAATAACAACAACAATAATAAAAGACTGAGCCAGTATAGTGAGATAAGTAAAACATAATTCAGTAAAATCATGATGTATAGTCACTGAGTGTAGGAAATACAGTTTCTTACTCCACCTGTCATGGTGTAAATTTGGACAAATCTTTTCCTCTTTGGGTCTCAAGATTCTTAAATATCAAAGGGGGTCCAGTTCATTTAATTTAAAATACCGAGTTGCCACATTGTTCCAGGCACATTATTAAATGTGGGGGACAGAGGTATAAATAGTTTATTGACTTGCCCTCTAAAAGCTTACAATGTAGGGATATATGAACAGGATCAAGAGCTGTTGATTTCTAGCATTTTATGTGTCTTCTCCATTCATCTTTCAGAGTTCTAGTAGGTTATCCGGGAGGCTAGAATATAAAGTCTTACAGTGATTAATGAGCTCCAAAGAGGCACTTAACATTCCACAGCAATAATTCCTGCCTTTTGTTTCCCCTTTGGTTTATTTAAACAAAATTATTGTGTGGGAGAACATTTGAACTCAAGCTATGTATCTACTATAAAAGCTATTCCACCTGACTAGCTACCTGCCTAACCTGTTTCTTGCTTTAGGTTATTATGAGGCTTGTTACCCTCAGTAATAGGTCTGGGGGAGGCCAACCTACTTGCCATTCCCTTATCCTTTTTCTTTTGTGCTTTTAAGTTTTTGAAGTACCAACCTTATTAGGTTTGGTGTTTTGTGCTACTGATTGACCAATAATGGTTTATTGCATCTCTTAATATTGGGTTTCCTGATTTGTCACATATTTACACCCATAAATAACGTTCGTGAAACACTTTGTACTTTTTCAAAAGGCTTTTAATATATACAATCTCCCTTAAAACCCTGTGATTTGGCATTTTAACTTTATTTTATAGATAACAAAACAAAGGATCATAAAGACTAAATGACTTAGGCAACTCATCTTACCTCTGTTTCTCTGCAAAATAAAAATTCTTATACCCATCCCAAGTGCTGTACCATAATATCATGATTATGAAATAAAACTCATGCTAATAAAGTATTTAGAACTCTTTAGAATTATAATCTGACTTTCATCATTTTTAGCTGTATCTCTCTTTACACTAGACTGTGAGATCCTGGATGGTAGAAATTGGTCCTCTGCCATTTTTGTAGTTTTAGCAGCAAGTATACTGCACGACACTCAATAAATCACCCTTCATTAACTCCCACAAAAACTTCACTTTACCAAAAGGGATTTCTTGTGTGCTTATTCTACAGTTTTAATAGTAACGTCTCCAACACCTGAATTTGTCTCTACATCTTATGGGTTTGGGGATGGAGATATATTGAGTCAAGTATTACACCTTGGATGGGTTTAAAACATAAACTGTGTAAATTCTGGCCACTAACAATGGTCTTAATCGGGGTACATCTCAGAACCACCAGACATCCTGTAATACCTGCAAGTCAGATATTTAAGAAACACTCAGGTGATGATGTATGTCCTCAATTATGAATCCATCGATAAGCTCCAAGATGGTTACTAGGAAACTATAACACATACATGTGTTCTTTATCAGGAGCACTATAGGACTTCTACTGCCTGGGCCTTGTCTTTTATTACCACCCTCTTTAGTGTTAAGAGAGTGTGTGTAGAAGAGAGATTTCATTTCTGTACTACAGACTTGGGATTGAAAATAGATATGCAAAATAGATGGCAAGAGTTTGAGGCTAAGATGACATGCCATTTTCCCCAGCATCATCTTCCTCATCTCCTTATTAGCATCCTTGCATGCAGAGCACGGTAGGATTTTTTAAGGATCTATGTCAATAGTTCTAATTTTAGCTTTCTCATCTCTCCAGTTACTTTTTGAAATAGTCTCTGTCTCCTTGTCTTTGGGAATGTGAGACTCCCACCCAGGGAGGCCGTGGTATTTAACTGCTGCGATGCTGCTGATGGCACCTAGGCAGAAGTCCCAAAGGACACCTGTTGCCCCTTCACAGATCTTTTCTTTTTTCTTTAGCGCATACTCTGCCTGGCTTTTTACCTGAAACAAGCCCCATTACTAATGATTGAAAAAGCACACATAATTGAAAGTGGGACTTTAAACTACGTGATAGAAGTAAAGGCATGCTGCCATTCTGTGGTTAGGTTTTTGTTTCTTTCTTGTTTGTGGATTGGCCATTAGCCTGAGAAGCAACCCAAAGGGACTAGACTGCAGAAAAAGAATCCAGAAACTTTCAGAGGCTGTTCAGAAGATAACTAAATGCACCAAAGAGTCCTTTACCAAGCAGGCAGGAAGAGGCAGCAATGCCAATCTCTCCCTACCTCATTCACTTCTACAATTATCACCCACGTGAAACAGGTTTTCCTCGAATCCTCCAGTACTGATAGCACTCTAACAGATTGAACAAACCTCAACACAGGTAATTTGGGAAATTTCTTTTCAGATACTTGGGAACTGAAAAATCTAGATATGCTTCCTGCTTCAAAATGTGTTGGGTTGTTTTTCTTGTTTTTCTTTTTTTTTTTTTTTTTTGCCCTTAGTCTCTTTCACATATTATAATAAATTGGGGTTAGATACTCTACAAACAAGACTATTATATAAGATTTATTATATGATCATTCTAATTGTTTAAATCTGGAAAATTTAAAATTAGACTATTTACACATTTTATCTAAAGGCTTTTCCTTCATTTCAAAACATGTTCAACATTTCTAGCACTATTTAAAATTGAATTTGGTTTACTTCTTTCTTCTGGGATTTAAAAGAGAAATATTTGCTATGTATCAAGATAAAGGTTTTCATGTAAATCACTCTTTATTTTCAAGCCTACAAATAACTTAACATGAGATGAAATGAGTACTTTTTTACTATGGGCTTTGATTTGCATCAGCATAAAAAACAAACGATTATGCAAATATAGCAAGACCCTCAATAACAATAACGTAAACATGAAGGAGACAACTAAAGCAATAGCACAGACCAATCAGTGCCAGTCTTTTAAAATGAGACCATTGGTTGATTGATTCAATAAGCAGTATTTCCTTAGAACCTGCTGTTTGTTAGCTGTTCTAAGGCTGAGCTTTTCTAACTGTAGTATGCACACTGGTGGAATTATGACATTGTATACTCTGGTGATACACTGAGGCATAAAATACACATGGTGCATGTTCCAATGAAATATAACTAATATTCTAATGTATTAATCTAACAGACTACTTAGATTATTCTAATCTAATCTATTAAATGCTAGAAGATCTGGGATCAGGTTCTCGTTCTTCTATTCCATGGATGAACCTCAGTGTACTAAACCTCTCTCTCTTTTTTTTTTTTAACTCGGTTTGCCCATTATTGATTTTTATTTTCTTGTTACAAAGAAATTGTTATTTTAAGCTTGTTTGTATTCTTTCTTGATCCTCTTTAGGCTTAACTTCTACAGAAAATAAACAGGGTGATCATAATTACCACATCAAATTTTAAGGACTCAGTGTGGGTTTGAGCTAGCTTTTTAATGCTGTGAATTGTGCAACTGAAGTTGTTGGATTTATAACTTTATTGAGGAATTAATTTGATTCTGAGTGAGAAAGCACTAAGAGGAAAAAAGTGCTACTTGGCTAAAGTTTGTATATGGCATGATTGTGACCACATAGGTAACAGGTTCATGTCTAAATTGATGGATGGCTGCAGTGGCCTTGTGGAAAAGACGCTGTCTTGGGGATCCGGAGACCTGGATTTGAATCCTAATTCCCGCCCCATCTTCAGTTTGAGCTCGTGGCTTTCTTTCTATGGCCTTGTTCTTCATCTGCAAAACAAGAGTGGATTAGAGGCAAGATTCTTTTCACTTCTGGGATTGAAAGAACCAGCATTTGTGAAGTGTTTATATAGGAACTACAGTGGATACATTCTGTTTAAAGATTTATGATCAGCTGCTTGTTCTCTCCTATCTCTTTTGGCGAACTTGATGGCATTTTTGCTTAGCAGATTGTACATTATGTTTTTATAACGTCTTTTCTTCACCCTCATATGTGTCCTCTTTACAATTAAGATGAGTTTATTTATACAACAGTCATATGTGAAGTTGATTTGGTGGATATGGTTTTCTTCTCTCTGCCAGCCCTAACCAGCACCTTCTTGCTAAAAAAAAAAAAAAAAAAAAAAAAGAAAGACTAACAGAATAATGACAAACAGTCCAAGGGCTGAGTGTTTTACTGACATTATTGATAGGAAGTCTGATTTTCTTTAGTTCTCAATCATTAGTAATATATTACTAAAAAACAATTGCACTCAATCCTTCATTGCCTTCAAACAATTTAAAAACCAATAACTATGTCTTCCAATGTTTGATTGGCTACTGATCATTTTAGATAGAAGAAGCATTTTCTACCACCAGATGAAAGCTATCCAAGGTCTAAGGGTTTCATGGTTAATAAACTGAATTTCTTGATTATGCGAAGAATAAAAGAAAGGGAAATATCTAACAGCCATTAACATGTTTATGAACATGGGTTATAATCAGAAGTGTTTATGACATAATGGTAATTATAAAAATAGTACATGTGGATATATGCACTAATTATAATGTAAAATTTGGTCATTGGCAAATAGTAGATTGTATTATGCAAAAAGTGACAATATTTGGATAATGACGATTGAATTATAAGTGGAGTTTTATCCTTTTTCACATATTTTATTACAGTTTTTTTCCCATAAAGCAGATTTTCTTTCTATGCTTTATGGGGAAAAAAACTGTAATAGGTGTTGGGTTCAGTTATAAACTTAAACAGATCCAGCTAAACTTAAAAAAGCTCTTTATTCTTCATGCTTTCATGCTTTATTCATGTCAAACATTGAAAGGACATTTGGAAAGATAACTGAGTCTTTTGAAATAATGCTTTTGCAGCTTTTACTATGTTTAGGCACTGTACTTTACATATATTGACTCACTTAAGCCTCATAAAAACCCAATGAGGCAGGCACTATTGTCATCCCTATTTCAGGGATGAGAAAAGTCAAGCATAGAGATGTTAAGTAATTTGCCCAGGTCACACAGCTAGTAAGTTGCAGACTGGCTTCAGAGTCTATGAGCTTAACCACTACTTAACACCCAAGGCATACTTTAGTATAGTCTTATAAGCCAATCAACCTTCCTTTGTTACTGAAAAACTAGTCCCACTGTGTATGTACAGATTTTATTAACCTTCAGAATACCCAATCTCTGCAGGCTTAGTCTCACTCAAGCCCTGGGCCAATAAGATACAGACTTGAGGAATCACTGGGCCTTCCTGCCTGTTATCAGGTGGGTTCAAGAAAGAACCCACTGCTCTTATGTGCCTTAAGTTGGCTTCCACCCCTAGGGGCTTAATTAAGCATTGGGTTGCAGCTTCTTTTTCTAACCCTCACATTGAATAACTGTTCTGTTTACCTGGGCAGCTCAGTGGTGTGGTAGAAAGATCGTAAGACTTGAAATCAAACACACAACTAACAACTTTTTAGTCTCTGTAACTTGGGTAAGATATATTTCTGTATCCTTGCTTCCTAATTTGTACAATGACGCTCTTTCTAGGTTAATGAGACAAACGAGGAAAATATATATAAAGAACCAAGCTTAAAATTAGTACTTAATAATTACAGCTGCTACTGTTGTTATTCTTGTTGTTAGCATTTGACCCTTAGGCTTACTACTTCCTCTGCTTCTGTATGGGGCTGGATTCTTTCCTTAAAATCCCTAAGATTCCTCTTCATCTTACCTAGTTTTATTTTGCTCATTTTTATCTGTTTGGAACCAGAGAATGCCATGCAGCTGTGGTATGCAGTTTAAAACAATGTAGTTAAGATATACTCGTTTTAAATTATGCAATAAAAACTGAGTGGCAGTGACATCAATTGATTCCTATACTGATTTTTTAAATCATAGTTTTACTATTTTTTTCCCATTATCTGGCTTACAATGAAGTCTAATTTCTTCAGAAGAAAGAACCTGACTATTTTAACAGGGATGTTGACGTTGTTGGCTGGGTCCAGGAAACATTGCATTGTTTATGTCAGAATCGTAAGGACAACTTTCTGACCAGTTTTCCAACTTAAGTGTGTACAAAAACACAGATCACTGGGCCCCACCCCTAGGGTTTCTGATTCAGTGAACCCAGGGTTAGCCCGGGCTTTTGAGTTTACTTTTCTACAAGTTCCCAGAAGGTGTTGATGCTGCTAGTCTAGATCTTTGAGAAAACCTGGTGTAGACAATCTAGTCTAAGATTCTCTTGCACTTGGGAATTCAATCTAGAAATAGATGTGTATTTTGCTGGTTATTCAGAAATATCAGAATAAGGGATCAGGGATAGCATTCTCATGAGGGAATTCCATAGCTTAAAAGAGTCAGTGATATCACGTATAGACAATTAGCCCAGCATTATCCACAACCACACTGGTTAATTAATTAATACAAGGATCCATGCTTGGACGTATCCATTTATCTGTGCCATGCACATTGCTTGTTACTGGGGCTAGACATGAAAAACCATGCAGTTACTGACCTCAAGAACACCTCACAAATTAGCTTTTGAAGATATGCATAAAGAGAAACCTAGGAAGAACTGACAGCTGGCAATACATGTGAAAATTTAGATTAAATTTACTTTTACCATCACATTGTCTGTGTGGATTGCTCTGGCTAGGCATTAGAGGCTAGGAACCAAGGACTAAGACAAGGTTTCAATTATCCCCTATTACACTAAATATCTAAATGTAATCTTTTGGGAATATAGAGAGGAATTTGACATCTAGGAAGGAGTTGGCATTTGAACTCACTCTTGCAGAAGGGATAAAATGAAAACATTGGAAAATCATTCTAGGCTGATGAAATATTATATGCAAAGGTAGAGAGACATTGATATACATGTAGTAGCCAGGAGAAGATTAATGGATTGCTTAGTTCATTCATCCAGTGTCCATTTATTGTGCTGGACACTGTTTTAGGTGCTGAATATAGTACTGACACTCTTTCCTCATGAACCATGTAAGGGTTGGGACAGGACACAGTAGATGATGAATCATATAAGGAAGAAAGGTTGGAAGCAAATTGTGGAAGCCTGTTACAAATTATGTAATGTAGGTGATGATTTCATTTACATTTCAAAAACATTGACTACTGTAATCATCTTTAAAAAATTAGATTCCTAGGTCTTCTAGAATACAATTCTACTTACAAAGCTTTAATTATTCACTAGCTTTTCAAGAACACATCTACTGTGCAAAGCAAGATATACGTACAAGAACACTGTCAGGGCCAGAAGAAATGCAGTGACCCAGTATTTCACTCTGATTTTTGCCAGTCTCTGCTGCTAACACACTTCTCTTGCTTAATGGAACAATGAGTTTCATTTCTGTTCACTTTTGGCTCTCAACTCTCTAAAATTCTAGCGTTGAAACTTATAGACTAGTATTCTAGGGTAAAGTTCCTTTTGAAAATAACCTTTCGAAAAGTGTCAGGCTTAAAAATTATTTCCTTGGCCGGGCGCGGTGGCTCACGCCTGTAATCCCAGCACTTTGGGAGGCCGAGGCGGGCGGATCACGAGGTCAGGAGATCGAGACCATCCCGGCTAAAACGATGAAACCCCGTCTCTACTAAAAATACAAAAAATTAGCCGGACGTAGTGGCGGGCGCCTGTAGTCCCAGCTACTCGGGAGGCTGAGGCAGGAGAATGGCGTGAACCCGGGAGGCGGAGCTTGCAGTGAGCCGAGATTGCGCCGCTGCACTCCAGCCTGGGCGACAGAGCGAGATTCCGTCTCAAAAAAAAAAAAAAAAAAAAAAATTATTTCCTTAAGATCTATAAATAAGACTCAGAATTATAACAGACTAAAAACTATGCAAGTACTAATATACGTGCATTTTGCAACTGTGCTATATGAATTTTCTCAAACTCATCTATGCTTAAATATATGAAGACTCACTTCAGAAATATGTTTGTCTCCAAACTCACCCATCACTTTCAATGGCATATTTTTGATATTATGATGACCCTTCCTTAGCGAAGACAGAGTTCTAAAAGAACAGTTTCTGAATCCAATTCTGGTCTTGATTTTTGTTTTCCTAATTCCTAGCCAAAGACATTGGGCAAGGGTCCTAATCTCCATAATCCTGGATTTCCTTATCTATATAATGGAGATAATAATAGTAGCTATTTATAGAGTTGTTTTTACTACTAAATAAGATAGTGTAAGTATTTACCACACTACCTGGCATATAATAAGCATTCAATAAAATGTAGATATTATTATTTTAAGTATCTCAGAACTGCTCTGGTACGAAATCATCGCCATGGGGTTTTGCTGAGTCTGATGGATTCGAGTTTGCTTAATTGTTTAAATGAAATTCAAGCACCACACTTGCAATGTGTGCCTTTAGTTGTAGCTCAGTGTAGTGCTGTAAAGTATGGCAGCTCCACAAAGATTTCACTTTTGAATCAAACACTTAAAACTGCTCCAGGAAGACACATCATACCAAACTGCATCATCGTGATCAATGGTTGAAGTCTAGAAAGCACCTTGTACAGGGAAGGTCTCAGCTTGATTGGTAAAAGATTTATGAACAAGATTTTGAAGATGAAGGTCAGCAGATGATTTTCATCTAATAACCATAAGGTGCAGTTAGACAGATGGCAACGACAGCCTTGTCTTGTCTCTGAGCAACCTCTTTTAATCTCAACTGACCCCAGTGAATCGTGTCTTAGTAAAGATGGGAGGATGTTGGGGAACACACTGCAATCTCCTGTGATACTCAATTCCATCAGAAATGCTTTTAGAGCAAAAGCAGTATAAAAACAATCTCTCATGCATAACATTTGAGGTGATTTCTTCTTTCTTTTTCTGTTTTTACTTGCTATTTTTGTCACAGTTATACAAAGTATATTGTGAAATATAGTACTTTCTTGTCCTCTCTCCCATTTTTTCCTCTACAATCACTTTCGACTCTTGTTGATATTTACCTTCATATGCTAAACAATATTCTCTTCTTACTACCTCTTAATTTCTCAGCGTCCCACCAAGGAAATAGCTTTCAAGTCTCTCCCTTTATCACATTCTTACCACAACATGCCTCCTTTCCATCTCACCATCTTTCCAAGGCTGTTACATTGTTATTTTTGTTAGATCAGTATTTAGTAGTTGCATGATTATGATTATGTAAATACTTTCATGACTAAGACAAATTAAACTATGATTACTTTTGTCATAAGATTTTGTTTTTTTTCTGTGGTTGATAACTGTCTTGTTTTTACGTGCCCAGCTTTCTACATACTTTGTACTATATTTAACTCCAAGTCCCTGCCAGTTATCTGAATCTCATCTGAAGACACTCAGATGCACAGATATTCTATCAATTTCATCGTGAAGTAATATCCCTCAGAACCTGATGACTGGGTGCTATGTGCACCCTTTTTCTGTGCATTGCTTTGGTCCCAGGGTCTCTTTTTCCATCACCCTAGAAAATTTTTGCAGGTCTCTGCTTGGATCTCTTGTTCTCCTGCATCCTCTGTATTAGTTCACTCTCTTATTTTGGTGGAATACATTCTCCAACAGCTTCCTAAAAAAAAAAGGATACACAGTAAAATTTCTGAGCCTTTTCATATCGGAAAATATCTTCATTTTTCCTCATATTTGAACAATCGTGTGGTTAGGTATAGAATTCTAGATTTAAAATAAGTTTTCTTCAGAACTTAAATTACACCATTACAACATCTTTTTTTCTGCCAGTTTTGTTGTTCTGGTCTGATATCATTCTAACATTCTGATTTCTTATTTTTTGTACATGCTTGATTTTTTTTTCTCTGAAAACTTTTAGTGTCTATTCTTTTTTCTCAGTGTTTTGAAAATTGATAGTAATTTGCCTTCTTATAGTTTCATTTTCACTCATTATGCTGTGTATTTACTGTGGAAACTCTTCTTTAATTCTAGAATTTTTTTCTTTAATTCTTTAATCTCTAGAAAATTGAAAATAATTTAGTTTTTGAAAATATTTTCTTAATGATCTCCTACTCTCTTTTTTTTGTTATTGTTGTTTTGTTCTGGTATTCTGGAAATCTTACTTGTTTATATTTTGGATTATTTTTCATAGGTTTCTATTTTTCATATGTTTTATTTCCTGTTCTCTACCTCTTTTGTCTTTTCTCTATTTTCTAGATTATGGGCTCAAGTTTATCTTTTAATCTTTTTCTTAGATGTTTTCTTTAATTTCTGGTATCAGATTTTTAATTTCCAAGAGGCTTATTTGTCTGTTTTCTTTAATTGTTCAGTTTTATATTATGCCGTCTTATTTCACAGATGCGATATTTTCTAATACTTTGCTGAGAATAATTATGATTTACATTTTTTTTTTTTTTTTTTTTTTGATCGTTCTTGGGTGTTTCTCGCAGAGGGGGATTTGGCAGGGTCATAGGACAATAGTGGAGGGAAGGTCAGCAGATAAACAAGTGAACAAAGGTCTCTGGTTTTCCTAGGCAGAGGACCCTGGGAACTTCCGCAGTGTTTGTGTCCCTGGGTACTTGAGATTAGGGAGTGGTGATGACTCTTAAGGAGCATGCTGCCTTCAAGCATCTGTTTAACAAAGCACATCTTGCACAGCCCTTAATCCATTTAACCCTGAGTGGACACGGTACATGTTTCAGAGAGCACCGGGTTGGGGGGTAAGGTCATAGATCAACAGCATCCCAAGGCAGAAGAATTTTTCTTAGTACAGAACAAAATGGAGTCTCCTATGTCTACTTCTTTCTACACAGACACAGCAACAATCTGATTTCTCTATCTTTTCCCCACATTTCCCCCTTTTCTATTCGACAAAACCGCCATCTTCATCATGGCCCGTTCTCAATGAGCTGTTGGGTACACCTCCCAGACGGGGTGGCGGCCGGGCAGAGGGGCTCCTCACTTCCCAGAAGGGGCGGCCGGGCAGAGGCGCCCCCCACCTCCCGGACGGGACGGCGGCTGGGCGGAGATGCCCCCCACCTCCCGGATGGGGCGGCTGGCTGGGTGGGGGCTGCCCCCCACCTCCCTCCCGGACGGGGCGGCTGGCCGGGCAGGGGCTGGCCCCCACCTCCCTCCCGGACGGGATTTACATTTTTAAAGAAGTTTTAATCTCCCTCTATAACCTCTGTTTCCAGTAAGCTTTTTGTTTGTTTTCATTTCTATCTTTCATGTTAGAGATTTCCCGAAGATATTTTTATATTTGGTTACCTGTTCATATTTAAAAGTGGGTGTAGGGGGCTAAAAAGGTGACTGGAAGCTCTGTGTTCATGGGTGGGGCTTGTTGTCAATGATCTTAGTTGTAGAGTGATGTTGGTGGGCTTTTCACTGTGGAGCTCCTGAGGTCCGTATCTTTAGGTCTTACCTCTTACGTTTCCAAGATTCCTCAAAGAAGACTCTTCCATTCTCTTGCCTGAATGGGAAAGACCTGGCTGTGAGGGTCCTGTGGGTTTTGGAAATCCGTAGAAATGTTCACTTAATCTCCTGATTTTCAGTGTGGTATTCACTCTGTCCACTATGCAGAGAGTTTCTGCTCTATCCACTACAAAGAATAAATATCTAGTCTTCTCCTGGGATTGTGGAGAGCAGTTGGCTAGATGCTTGATGTTTGGGAGAGGATTTGAGGTTATAATACCGTCCTAAAAACAACCTTTCCACCATTTTTGCATAATTTACCCTTTTCTCCTTCAGCTCACTTCTAGACAAATCTGGTGCTACCACTGTCTAAACTTTTGAAGATTGTGCAATCCAAGTTAGTTGCCTGTTGGCTTTCTCCACTGCTGACTTAGGACCTCAGCTTTCTCAGATCTGAAAAATATATCTTCACCAGCTGGTTTTCCAGTTCTAAAATTTTGTTGTTGTTGTTTTCTTCTCTCTCTTTTGTTCCATCTTTAAAGAATTATGCAAAACATATAAACACACCTGCATCCATTTATTGTACTTTTAATTATGTTTCAAGTAGGAATGAAAGTAAAAGCCAGTGTTCAATATTTTATCCTTACTTGAAAGGATAAAATACAAAATACTAAATAATATTAAATACTAAATACTTACATCCAAAAATACTAAATAACCCCATGGAAAGATACTCTCAACTCAGAAGTGCTTGATGTAGCATTTTGGGGAGTTCTCAGCAGTGCCCTGGCCAGCTCCCTCAGTTTATCCAATATACTGTAGGCTGTCAGACGTAAGGGTCATTAAGGTATTCTTCCCTTGAGAAAACACCATGCAAATAGCTTTAAAAAGTTACTGGCTTAAGAAAATTACCAAGGTCATCTCCAGACAGGTTTTTAAAGTTACCTTTGACATTCTCATTTGTCTGTTCTTCCACTTTTCAAGCATACATTGGACACATAGCCTGAGCCATGCATATTGCCATGAGTTGGCAAAACAGGATAATGAATAAGAGACTGACCTCATGAACCTTCCATGCTATCACGGAAGACAGACACCAGTGTTCAAGATGCAATATGGTAAATGCCATCATAAAGATATTAACAAGTGCTGGAGGCTCTAGGGGGTGGAAGTGATTAAGTCGGTCTTCAAAACTCATGATTGGAAATGTGTCTTAACTCTCACTATTCAAGCAATAATTTTCCAGAACAATCCCCTGGCCAATTTATAACTGGAAAACTTAATAATTTCCCAGCACCATAATAGAGTCTTAACTTGGTCAGAAGAGAATTTGAAAGTGATTTTCAGCTTCTTCATTTTATCTGGGAAAACCTGGCTCAATCCTGGTGAAGTCAAGACTGAAACTTAGGTTTCTTGAGTCTCATAGTAATATACTTTCCACTAAATTATATTGAGCCCCCACCCAAAAGCCCAATTATTTTTTGATATGACTGAAATTTTAATCAGTAGCTCTGAGTCTCAGAGATCTGGACATACTGATTTTAAAGACCTCTAAGAAGTTCTTTCAAAACAGTAACTTAAATGAAGGAGCTGTACTTTGGATACAGATACAGGACTCCAAACTCGTTCATGTAATGCCATAAAGAGAGAATGGCTTGGAGTTTTCATTGCTTCTTTTGAAAGCAGGGCTACCATTCTTAAGCTAGAAGAACAGGGCTCTTCTTATTTGTACAGGTTAGTATTGATTGAACTTCAAATCAGCCAGCAAATTCAGGGGATAGTTGTCTGGATGAAGCTTCGGTGTGTCATTTTGCAATATATTTTTGAGACATTTCTGTGTTTACATTGCCTTGAAAGTACACAACAGATGTATAAACATATAATTTAAACATTTTGGAGAGGCAGACAATGTTGTCTTCAGTGAACACTTAAGAATGTAATGTATTCTGTTAAATGTATGGTTTCATGACTTAATTAATGATTAGCAAATGGTATATTATGGGAAAGCTAAGAACTATAAAAATATATTGTTCAATTGTCAGTTCTTTATCAGTAATATAATATTAACAATAATTACATTACTCATTCAAAGCACAATACATCTTGCAAGTGATATTATAATATCTTCCCAAAGTATATTAACTTTTTATTTCCACAAATGCTTAGATTGTAATTTTCTCAATAAAGCTTTTGCTTGATCCTCTTCTGGTAAGAAGTCCTTCTTTCCCTGGTCCTTCAAATCTCTCCTGTAGTGTTGATTTCTTTCTGTGCTATACTATAGTTCCTTGGGTCCTAGCTTGTTTTCTAGGCTGTGAATTTCATGAAGGCAAGGGCTGTCTTCTTCTTTGTAATTTCAGTGGCTTGGCACATGTTAAGCATATAATAGAAGGTAAATTGAGTTAATTCTATAGGGACTATGTCATTCTGCTTTGTAATTTCAGTGACTTGGCACATGTTAAGTATACAATAGAAGGTAAATTGAGTGAGTACTATAAAGCCCTCAATATATTAACATAAAATCTTTGTTTATTTAATTTTTATAGCACTTTTCATTATATCTGAGGCATAAAGTAGCTAAAGTCTCAGGGATGATGTACATGTAACACACATGCTTCAAGATTTCCTTCTTTCACTTTTGAAACGCCTTTCATCTCTCACCCTAGGCTGTTAGAGCCCTCTAAATAACGGATCCTATTGGCTGGACAAGGCAGTTCACACCTGTAATCCCAGCACTTTGGGAGGCCGAGGTGGGTGGATCACGAGGTCAGGAGATCGAGACCAACCTGGCTAACACGGTGAAATCCCGTCTCTACTAAAAATACAAAAAATTGGCCGGGTGTGGTGGCAGGCGCCTGTAGTCCCAGCTACTTGGGAGGCTGAGGCAGAAGAATGGAGTGAACCCAGGAGGCGGAGCTTGCAGTGAGCCGAGATCGCGCCACAGCACTCCAGCCTGGGTGACAGAGCGAGACTCCGTCTCAAAAATAAATAAATAAATAAATAATAATAATAATGGATGCTATTCCATATGACTGAACTTCCTGTTGTCCATGGAAGAGAATCATCAATCCTCATCCCTGGGAAATCTGGCTCGGCATAAAAACTTTCTCCTGCACCTTGGTGGAAGAAATTCCTGTGCTGTTTCTAAAAATGAGAAAGAAAAAGAAAAGAAAACATTCTCTGTTGTTCTCATTCTTTTTTTTTTTTTTTTTTGAGAAGGAGTCTCGCTTTGTTGTCAGGCTAGTGTGCAGTGGCACAATCTTGGCTTATTGCAATCTCCACCTCCCAAGTTCAAGCGATTCTCCTGCCTCAGCCTCCAGAGTAGCTGGGATTACAGGCACCTGCCACCACACCCAGCTAATTTTTGTGTTTTTAGTAGAGACGGGGTTTCACCATGTTGGCCAGGATGGTCTCGATCTCCTGACCTCGTGATTCATTTGCCTCAGCCTCCCAAAGTGCTGGGATTACAGGCGTGAGCCACCGCACCCAGCTATTGTTCTCATTCTTGAACAATGGGGAACAGCATGATTCTTTATTATTATTTGTGTATCTGTGTTGTGACCTGTCTTCTGGTTCTCTTCCTTCTTGACAAAGACTGGATGTGCCATTCTCGGTCAGCTCCCATGAAGCCAGCTCTGAACACCTCCTTGCATTCTAAGTACAGCCTTGTCATTAGTTACACCCCTGGCATTAGTGACTGAGATTGCACTTCTCAGGACCTTTTGTGAGTCCCAAAAAAGAGACTTCTGCATCAGTTCAAAGGGTGGCATTTCTGGAGCTACAACTATTACAACCTTTGTTGTTGAAGATAACCTGGGATTTCTGCTTCTTGAGGCCTGAGGTTAGAGATGTTTCAGTTTCCTCAACTCAAAAGCGGAAACTGAAATAAATGGGTAATGAAGGCCTTTCTTGTCCTTGATGTGTGAATCCATTTTCTGGACATTCATTTCTGTGACTGTCTTGTCCTTTTCCTCAACAATTCATCTGTTACTTTTGCATGGGTTATTCATCTGGTTAGTATTAACATTCTTTTGAAATCATCTTCTATATTAATAAACACTTCACAAATCTATTGGTGAAGTCGCCTTAGAATCTTGGCTTAATGGGATTATAGTGAATAATTCTTTTTCTTTGATTCTATCTCTGTAACAAAAATTGCTGTGGATTTATGTATAGAAAACTAGATATGTTGTAAAAAGGTCAGGGTTCAAGTTTAGCTCTGTGACCTTGGACATTTCATTTTATCTTTCTAGGCCTTAGTGTGTTGTAAGCGGAGGTAAATATCTTGCATCTGGGGTTCTTGCGGCGGGGATTCAAGGAGAGAAAGTATTTGGGAAGTGCTTTGTAAACGATATTGTACTATATGACAAGCAAGTTGTTATTAATAGAGGCCTGACTACTCCCAATTGTTTCTGCTTGGTCAGTTAGTTCTAGATGAGTAAATTGGAGAGGACAGAAAGGAAGGAAGTGGCACTGGGCGGGGAGCCGGGTGATCTGGAATTCATCCGGGTGCTGTTCGGCGGTCAGTCGGTGACTTAACGTGACCTTGGCAAAGTCGCTTTGCCTCATGTGCTTCTGTTACGTCATTGGTAATATGAGGTGGGCGAAAGAAAAGATGATCCAGAGACTTTTTTCCAGTTTATAAAAGCATGTGATTATTAGAGTTTAAATTATGAGATTATTATTTATTTAAGGATATCATTGAGTTTAGATTATTAAATCATAAGTCTTACCAATAGTGGGCCCAAATAATATACATATTTTGAATATATAATTTCAATGAATTATTTTAAAGAAAATGCCAAAACTTCATCTTTTAACCACTGAAAAGGAACTAATGAAGTCTCCTATTCACTACATTTTTGTATTGTATTTGGAAGGAATGTGTGTATTTAAAGGGAGGCTAAGGATTAACAGATGAAATTCTGTATGAGAAACCAATTGTGTCTACAGCACCTAAAGCACATTCTGTTGTGATATATTCTCTAGTTACTTTAAATTTGTTTGTTTTCCTTCATTTAACCAAAAAATGAATAATTGTAAAGAATCAGGCACTATGTTAATCACTGTAGTTAAGATAATTCCTATTATAAGACATGGTTGATCTAGTGTAGAAAGCAACATGGCTTAAAAATTATACAGGGATGCCTCGTGTCATTGTACTTTGCAGATGTTGCATGCGTCGCATATTGAAGCTCTGTGGAAACCGAGAGTTGAGCAAGTCTATTGGCACCATTTTTCTAAAGCACGTGCTCACTTCAGGTCTTTGTGTCACATTTTGGTAATTCTTACAGTCTTTTAAGTTATTCTATTATTATAACTTTCATGGTGATCTGTAATATTTGATGCTATTATTGTAATTGTTTTGGGAGTGCCACAAGCCATGCCCACATAAGACAACAACTTAATCCATAAATGTTGTATGTGTTCTGACTGCTGAAGGAAGAGAAACAAATTTAAAGTTACTAGAGAATATATCACACCAAAATCTGTTTCCAGTGTTGTAGACATAATTGACTTCTCAAACAGAATTTCACCTGTTAATTCTTGTGTGTGTTCTGACTGACTGTCTGTTCCCCATCTTTCTCCCTCTTCTCAGGCCTATTTCCTGAGACACGAAGATATTAAAATTAAGCCAATTAGTCACCCTAAAATGGCCCTTAAATGTTCAAGTGAAAGGAAGAGTCACATGTCTCTCACTTAAAATCAAAAGCTAGTAATGATTAAACTTAGTGAGGAAGGCATATTGAAGGCTGAAATACGCTGAAAGCTGGGCCACTTGCCCTAAACAGTTAGCCAAGTGGTGTATGTAAAGGAAAAATTATTGAAAGAAATTGAAAGTGCTACTCCAGTGAACACAGGAAGGATAAGGAAATGAAACAGCCTTATTGCTGATGAGAAAGTTGTAGTGATCTGGATAGAAGATCAAATCAGTCACAACATTTCCTTAAGCCAAAGCCTAATACAGAGCAAGGCTCTCTCTTCAATTCTGTGAAGGCTGAGAGAGATGAGGAAGCTGCACAATAAAAGTTAGAAACTAGCAGAGGGTGGTTCATGAGGTTTAAGGAAAGAAGCCATCTTTGTAACATAGTGCACAAGGAAAAGCTGCAAGTGCTAATGTAGAAGCTGCAGCAAGTTATACAAAAATATCTAGCTGAGATAATTGACAAAGGTGGCTACACTAAACAGCAGATTTTCAATGGAGACTTCATAGTCTTCTATTGAAGAAAATACCAACTACAACTTTCATAGTGAGAAAGAAGTCAATGTCTGGCTTCAAAGCTTCAAAGGACAGGCTCACTTTTTTGTTAGGGGCTAATGCAGCTGGTGACTTTAAATGGAAGCCAATGCTCATGCACCATTCTGAAAATAGTAGGGCCCTTGAGAATTATGTTAAATATACTCTGCCTGTGTTCTATAAATGGAACAACAAATCCTTGATGAAAGGCCATTTGTTTAAAGGATGGCTTACTGAATATTTTAAGCCCACTATTGAGACTTACTGCCCAGAAAAAGAAAGATTTCTTTTAAAATATTACTGCACATTTACAATGCACCTGGTCATCCAAGACTTCTCATGGAGAAATACAAGGAGATTAATGTTGTTTTTATGCCTGCTAACACAACAGCCATTCTGCAGCCATGGATCAAACAGTTATGATCCATGAATGATCAACAGCCATCCTATAGCTATGGATCAAATAGCTATGGATCAAAGAGTAATTATGACTTTCAAGTCTTTTTATTTAAGAAATATATTTCATAAGGCTTACTTGCTGTAGATAATGATTCCTCTGATGGATCTGGGCAAAGTAAATTGAACATCTTCTGGAAAGGAGTCATCATTTGAGATGATATTAAGAATATTTATGATTCGTAAGAGTAGGCCAAAGTATCAACATTAACAGTAGTTTGGAAGGAGTTGATTTCAATCCTCATGAATAACTTTGAAGGTTTCAAGACTTTGGCTTATGTCTATAATCCCAGTGCTTTGGGAGGCAAAGACAAGAGGATTGCTTCAGTCCAGGAGTTTGAGACCAGCCTGGGCAACACAGTGAGACCTTGTCTCTACAAAAAAATTTTTAAAAATTAGCTGGGCACAGTCATGCAATCCTGTAGGAGGAACTGTCAAACACTTATAAAACCATCAGATCTCCTGAGAACTCTCTCACTATAATGAGAACAGCATGGAGGAAAAACTGTCCCTACAATCCAATCACCTCCCACTAGGTTTCTCCCTTGACATGTGAAGATTATGGGGATTAAAATTACTGATGAGATTTGGGTGGGGACACAGAACCAAACCATATCACAGGGTTTGAGAGGATTTACTCCAGTTTTGAAAGAAGTTCTACTGTGGGTAAAATGCTATCAAACAGTATCATATTCTATAAAAAACTTTTGTGAAAGGGAGAGTCAATCGATGTGACAAACTTGAGTGTTGTCTCATTTTGAGGAACTGCTAAAGCCATCCCAATCTTCAGCAACTACCATCATGATCAATCAGCAGCCATGAGCATCAAGGCCAGATTCTTCACCAGCAAAAAGATTACGAATTGCTGAAGGCTCAGATGATTGTTAGCAATTTTTTAGCAATGATGTGTTTTCAAATTAAGGTGTGTACATTATTTTTTAGACATAATGCTCTTATACACTTAATAGACTGTAGTATCATGTAAATATAACTTTTCTATGCACTAGTAGCCAAAAAATTTGTGTCACTTGCTTTATTGCAATATTCACTTTATTGTGGTTGTCCGGAACCCAACCCACTATATCTGTAAGGTATGCCTGTATAAGGAAGATAAAACACAATTCCAAAATTATAGGATAAGGGATTAACTTTGCTGAAAAGATAGAGGGAATATAAAAACAGCATATTTAAAATGCTTTATAGATTATAAGTGTTTCTTATGTACCGTTTTATTTAAATATTAAACAGACTTTGTCAGGTATAGAACGAAATACCATCTTTTGGTAATCAGTTTGGAATCTCCTGCAACTCTCAAAGCCTGAGCAATGTAGAGAAAATACTAATAACATATATTGTTATTTAAATAATTAAGGTGGATAGTTATATGTAATCAACTCTTTAAAATTTCTGAAAGTTTTGCCTAAAATGACTTAGACTAGTTTTTTTTAAATTTAAATTTTTATTTTTTAACAGAGTCTTGCCCTGTTTCCCTTGCTCAGGCTGGAGTGCAGTGGTGCAGTCTCAGCTCACTGCAATCTCCTCCTCCCGGGTTCTAGTGATCCTGCCACCTCAGCCTCCCGAGTAGCTAGGACCACAGGTGCATGCCACCATACCTGGCTAATTTTTGTATTTTTGCAAAGCTAGGGTTTCGCCATGTTGCCCAGGCTGATCTTAAACTCCTGGACTCAAGCAATCTACCTCCCTCATTCTCCCAAAATGCTGGGATTACAGGCGTGATCCACTGTGCCTGGCCTTTTTACATTTGGGCATGAATATTACCCTATTAGTCATTCTCTTTTTAAATAAGAAGGCTATAAGAAAGTTTTCAACTTACATAATGTAGGTATTTAGTTCTATGTATATTTTCAAGGTGAATTTCTCTAACACTTATAGCACATTTGTTTGTGATCACAAAGCTAGGAGAAACCTTAGTTCCATTACCTAACTTTAGAATTATCCACAATAGCCAAGATATGGAAACAACCTAAGTGTCCATAGAAAGGTAAATGGATGAAGAAACTGTGGTATATATATAATAAACTACAATTCAGCCTTTAAGAAAGGAGAGCCTGACATTTGTGACAACATGGATGAACTTGGAGATCATCCCATTAAGGGAAATAAGCCAGACACAGAAAGGAAAGTATGCATGATCTCACTTATACGTGGAATATTTTTTAAAAAGTCGAATACATAGAAATAGACAGTAGAATGGTGGTTACCAGGTTATTAGAGTTGTGGTGGGAGGTGCTAAGGGAGGGAGGGTAAAAAGTTTCAGTTATGTAGGATGAATAAGTTTGAAGATCTAATGTACAGAATGAGGGCTATTGTTAATAACATTGTATTGTATTATATACTGGGAATTTGCTAAGAGCAGATTTTAGGTGCTCTTACAAAAAAATGCTATCTGAGATGATGGAAATGGTAATTGGCTTGACTGTAGTAATCATTTCACTATATATGAAAACATCATGTTGTATACTTTAAATATATAATTTAAAAAATAATCTAACTTTACAGATAATGAATATAATATGCCTTTTTTCATAAAATAAAATTATTTTCATAAAAGATGTGTCTTGCTCAATCACAAAATCAGGACTATAATTATGGTCTCTGAGACCAGTTTTCTTGCCGCTATACCACAGTCAGAGTAAAGATCGCAGCAAGTAGAACTTCATTTGATATGGGAGGTGCCTAAAATTCTCTTGGTTGCTGTTTTTCTGTCAGCACAATATTTTTACATGAATTCTTTGAAAAATAATTAATGTGGTGTTTAAAGTTACTACTGCTTGTTGATGAAAAGAGTTTCACTGTGTAAAATATTTGATTAAATTTATTCTGAGCCAAATATGAGGACCATAACCCATGACATAGCCAGAGGAGATACCAAGAACATGTGCCCAGAGTGGTCGGGCTACGGCTTGGTTTTATACGTTTTAGGGAGACATGTCATCAGTCAATACCTGTAAGATGTATGTTGGTTCCATCTGGAAAGACAGGACAACTCAAAGGGGCAGGGCTCCCAGGTCATAGGTAGATTCAAAGATTTTCTGATTGACAATTGCTTGAAACAGTTATTATCTGAACACCTGGAATCAATAGCAAGGAGTGTCTGGGTTAAGATAAAGGGTTGTGGAAACCAAGGGGTTTTATCATGCAAATGAAACCTCCAGGTACCAGGCATCTGAGCTTTTATCAGACTTAAAAAGGTGCCAGACTCCTCTTAGTGAATTATCTCCTGGACTAGGGAAAAGATCAGAAAAGGGAAGAGGATTCTCTACATAATGTAGATTTCCTTACAAGAGACAGCTTTACAGGGCCATTTCAAAATATGTCAAAAAAATATATTTTGGAGTAACATACTTCAATTTCTTTCAGGGCCTGCTACCAGTCATGTTGGAATTTTATTGCTACAAAGAGTCTATTTTGTCAATCTTAAGATCTCTGTTTGAATGTTAATGCTGGTCAGTTGTGCCTGAATTCCAAAGGAGCAATGTATAATGAGGCATGTCCGACCCCCCTCTTCCCATCATGGCCTAAACTAGAGTTCCAGGTTTATTTGGAATGCTTTTAGCCAAGAAGGGTTCTATAAGTTGTTGGAGGCCTTAGAATTTTATTTCTGGTTTTCATATTGTACAGTACTAACATTTCAAGGAAGTTTGACTCTTTTGTGGCCTCAAATGCCTTTAATAATGTATCTGCTCAAACATGTTAAGTAGTTAAACATAAAACAAGGAGATATGGTGGTCAGAGTTATTGCTTCCATCCTTGCCTCAGTTTCAGTGACAAATCTTTAAAAATGAAATGTATCTTTTTATTATGATGTGACAGGACTTTATTTGGATTTGTTTTATTGCTAAGTAAAATTCTAATTTTACTTTATATGAACACATTAAATATAGTGAGCCTTAAATTTCAATAACTGTGGCTACAATTTAATTTTTTCTAAGAAAAGCCCAATTTTCTGGTTTTATGAATGTGATCTTTGTTTATATGTTATATTACTTGGATATTGTTAAAGCATTGTGTCCATTTTTGGACTGCAGTTTAGAAGAAGCTCATAAAAATAGACAGAGTATGTATATAAAATGAGCACTTTAATGGCAGGTTAAGAGAACTGACGTTGCTTAACCTGAAAAAGAGAGAGCTCTGGAAACGTGCTAATTACCACCCTCAGGCATCTGAAGTGATTTTGTAAGAAGTACTGTAGTTTTTCTTTCCACTTAGAAAGGAGAGATTTGGGTTCTATCTTGTGTTAGAGGTGATGGGAGCATCTCAGGGATTCAGCAAGGGTAATTGCAGTTTTCATCTGTTAATATCTCTTAAGAGAAGGATACAATGAAATGATTAGGTATGATGAAATAACTTACTCCAGCATGGGACATTGTCTCTCAGGCCTTCCTCCTAAAGATGAGGAACTAGAAGCTCAGAGAGTGCTGGAGAGAGAACTTACATCAAGATCTTGCATCAAGCCTTACATCAGGGCTTTTGCATGTCTCTGCACTACTTCTGAATACTTACTGAGTGATCTAATATTTCATTAGAGTTGACTACACAAAATTAATTGGAATGGGAGGTCAAGCTCAGGATAAATTGAGAAATGCACCTCTTTCCAAGTACTGCAGGTGATGGCTTATTTTGTTAGAGTGGTGACTTTCTGCTAGTGTGGCTGAAGAGGAACAGATGTGTTGATTTTGATTGATTTGCATTTAGAAATTATGCAATATTTGTAACGTGTCCTAGATCATTGTGCTCTTCTTTTATAAAATAGAAATAAGCGTGTAGGCGTGGATATATTGCACCCCACCATGACCGAATAGTTATTACTTGGAATTTTTCACACCTAGCAGTGGTGCTGATGTTTCAAGTATAGCTTTTTGAGAGCCATGATTACCACTGACTCATTCCTTTTCTATGACTTGAAATCGTGTAGGAAAGGGAAGAGTAGATAAGTTTAAAGAGATTTCCTTGTTGCAGAAAACACTAAGGTATAACAAAATGAAAGAGTTGCAAATGGCATGGATGATGTGTTGCCCAAACCCTCCTCTGAGAGATGTAAAACTTGAAGCCAGGAAAAAGACATGGCTGGTATTTGGAGATAGGTGAGGACTAGAAACCAGGAATAAGAAGGAAAAACAAAACTGAAAGCTGCAAATGGGTTATAAGGATTTATCGGGAAACACTGATGGCAGGTTTTTAGTGGCTAAGACAAAGTTATCACCCATATCTTTATACAGAAAGAGGGAAGACAACTCTTTCATGACATATAACTCTCTTTAAAGCATTAACATACGGAACTTTTCTGAAAGGGTCAAAGGGGACTAATACTGAAAATGGAAGTGAACAATGTGATGAGCACTCTGAAAGGGTGAGGTGTATTGACAACTAAGGTCTTCTCACTGGTATTTTGTGGTTTCTTTTTGAAAAATGGAGGTGATTCTCACCTTTTGGGGGAAGATCTGTTGCTATTTGACCATCATTGGCAAGTATCTAACTGTTTCACATCTCCAGAGAACCAAAGGTAAATTATAAAGCTGACAGGAATATAAAAATTCATCATTTCTGCTCAGTGTATGAATTTGGATTAATATTTAATGATTCATTAAATTTTTGTATTTTGTCTTCTTCCCACTGTCAGTGAGTAAGGTTTAATGGAATTGAATGAAGTCTATGTTTACTCACTTTTATGGCTTCTGTGTCCTCAGGATAATGTCTGACGCATATTAACACTCAGTAAATATTTTTATTATTGTTGTTGTGTATACAGCCATTGCTATTCTTATTTTTGGTATTATATGATATTGGTGTTTAGAAGGGACTTAGAACCTGGTGTAATTCCTGTATTTTGTGATAAAAGACTGAGGCTAGGAAAGGGCCTGTATAAACTTATACAGCTACATAAACAAAACTTGGTTATACTGACTTCATTTATCTCCTAGTCCAGAACAATACATTTTTGAGTAAACAACTTTGTTAGAGGAGGTCATATATAGTATATAGTTTTGATGAGCATGCACATTATCTGAGATTCAATACTTTAATAACCCTCTTATTAATTGATTAGTTAATTCATTAAAATATTGATTTGTTAATTCACCAATATTTCTTGAGACTTATTGTGTGCTAAGCACTGCTTTATATAGAGCAGTGAACAAAAGCCAATAGAGTTGTCTGAGTTTATGAAGTTTACCTTCTGTGATGGGAGAGAGACTATCAAATAAATAGAACATTTTATGTCAGATGTTGGCAAGTATCATGAAAAAAAAAAGATCAGGCAAGGGGACAGGGGATTTTAGGAGACATTAGCGGATTAATTTAGAATTTTACTTAGGTAGGTCATGAAAGACCTCACTGAAGAGGCAACATTTGCACAAGCACTTGAATTAGGCAAGGGAGCAGCAATGAGCAAACAATGGTCTATTTGGGAGAGCAGCATTTCAGATGGAGGGAACAGCAAATGCAAGTCCTCTAAGGAGTCGTGTGCTTGGCATATTTGCAAAGCATCAAGGAAGCCAGTGAAGTCAGTGAAAGTGAGAATGTTGGAGATGAACTTTGGTGAGGCCACAGTACATCTCCATCTTCATGGCCCATGTCTCCTGACCAGTGGCTTCTGTCACAGTCAAATCTCAGATATGCAAGGCAACACTCCTGGGACTAGTCAGTCCACCTTCTCCCTATTATAGGGTGCTTTCTGCCATAACCAGCTCCTTCAGGCAAGTAACATTTGAGCCTTCTGCCAGGTTGAAATAATAAGTGCCTCCTGAATACTAAACTGGGGATGGGAGTTGACCTTCAGTGAGTGCCCTTGTATATCAGAAATTTGGGACAGTATCAATAATTTCCCCTTAGAGAATGTGCATTTCTCTTCTGATGCAAGAGCCTCAGATTGCTGATGGGAGAGACAAGAAATGCAAAGTAGTTTGCAAGAAGTGAAATTCTTTCTATTCTGTTTCCAAAAGCAATGCAAGTCTAATGTATACCTTCGAAGAGTTGTTGTAGACTCAGACCATCTTTCATTTAAGAGAGCTGTGTGTTTTTCTACAAGGTTCCTCAGAGCCCCTCTAGTAACCTTTGGGGAATCATTGCATTGCTAAATCACCACATTAGCCTGCTGCCTTCTGGAAAATGCTGATCCCATTGCTTCTGTCAGCAGGAGAAGTCAGCCCTTGGGCTGGAACCAACCATATTGAGAACTAACTGAGAGGCGGGGGAGGGTGGGGAAGCCCTTAAAAAGAAGTTCAGATCTTCAGGGTAGTGTGGGGGGCAAACAATCCTAGGAAATGCTGTACTAAATAGAAAGCACCTGTTTTTATTATTGCTAATCATAAAATCACTTTTAAAAAAAATGCATTACAGTTTATAAAGCTTTTCCCTATCCCTTACCTCATTTAGTCTCCTCTTCAATCTAGTGTGGCCTTGTTATATAAAATGATACAAACCAGCACATCTGTATCACCCGAATCTTGTTAGAAATGCCCCACACAGACCTACTGAGCTAGAATTCACATTTAACAAGACCGCTAGCCCCTTTAAGTTTAAGAACATTGCTATAAAGCCTACAGAACAATAATTTCTTCTGATTACGGTAAGGAAATAGAGAATTAGCCTCATTGGGTGACTAAGCCAAGGTCACCCATTTAGTAAGTAGTGAAGTCAGGCTTCATACCCAAGCTTTGTGCCTCTTGTTCCAGCAGTCTCTTGGCTGCAGTCACTTCCCACTCCACAATCCCTTCATAGCATGCCTGCAATGTACTAGCTTTTGAAAGAAAAACAACCCTTTTTCTCTGAACCCACCTGCTCTTATTTTCTCCACCAGCTGTTCTGGGCTCCTCCCTCATCTGTTTGCTGATTCTAGAAGTGCAAACACACTGAAAAGCTCTGCAGCCATTGCCCACATGGTGCCCTCAATGAGTGAATCTGATAAGAATTGCTAGCATCAGTCACTTGCTCAGAGCTTCTCTGCAAAAACCTTCTGGCCTCACTTATAGGAAAGGGTAAGAATTCAGAACAAGACAACAGAGATCATGCAGCTGGAACATACTGGTGGGTACAAATGGGGTTTTCCACTATTGCTTACTGTTAGGAAATGATTAAAAAAAAAAAAAAAGCTGAGCTTAGCATCACAGAAAAACACATGTGCAGAGAGCTTCATAGCCCACCATTAAACAGAATCTTTCTCCGTCACCCAGGTTGGAGTGCAGTAGTGAGATCTCAGCTCAGTGCAACCGCTGCCTCCTGGATTCAAGTGATTCTCCTGCCTTAGCCTCCCAAGTAGCTGGGATTACTGGTGCATGCCACCATGACTGGCTAATTTTTGTATTTTTAGTAGAGATGGGGTTTCACCATGTTGGCCAGGCTGGTCTTGAACTTCTGACCTTAAGTGATCCACCCTCCATGGCCTCCTAAAGTACTAGTATCACTGGCATTAGCCACTGGCACCCAGCCCTTAAGGATATAAAACGTGCAGAAAGTGAGTGCCTCATCCTCGCCAACTAATTGACCCAATAAGTAGGCAAAACTTAGTCTGCTGGGTAAACAACCCCTCATCCATAGGAATCATACTTTGAGTGAGGGAAAATTCTAATAGAATTTTAAATATTTGATTGATAAATCCTGAACTAGAATTCCTTAAGTAAGTAAAGCTCACTGATCTCAGGTTGAATTCTCACATTTTATTAGTTAGTTTGTTAACTGAAAAAACTGACATAAGACATTTCCTGTGAACCTACTACATACATGAAGGTCATCAGAGTAGGTGATAGGAAAGTTTCTGGTATGAGTGATATCTTCCCTAAGAGCCTGCAGTTTAACAGAATTCACGTATATGTACATGCAAAATGATAATGGAACACAAAGGGACATTTCTCCCTTACCTTCCACCTCAAAGAATGAAGTCTTAATCTAGGAGGTGGCATTTGAATTATTTATGGACAGAAGGTAAGTTTGGGACATTCAGAGTCTGCAGAGTAGAGAAAGTCATGGGCAAGGTGAAAGGAACAATGTGAATAAGACACAACGAAAAATGCTAGGTTTGTATTTGGAATAGCAAATAATGTGTTGAATATGACTTGTAATCTATCAACTCAGAGATAAATATGCTTTTGTTTTCTTTTTTTCTGATTGTATATATTTAAGGTTACATGATGTTTTGATACACATAGACACAGTGAAATGATTACTACTGTCAAGCCAGTTGACACATCTGTCGTCTCACATAGTTATCTTTTTTTTTGTTAAGAACACCTAAAATCTACTCCCCTAGCAAATTTTTAGTATATGTACAAATATTATTCACAGTAGTCCTTATGCTGTACACTAGATCTCTACTTATCCTACACAACTGCAACTCTTTACCCTTTGACCTTCACCTCCCCATTTCTCCCCACCTTCCAACTTTGGTAACCAGCATTCCTCTCTCTGTTTCTATGTATTTGACTGTTTTTTAGTTTCCACATATAAGAGTGATACAGTGTATGCCTCTCTGTGCCTGGCTTATTTCACTTAGCATAATGTTCTCCAGGTTCATCCATGTTGTTGCAAATAGCAGGGTCTCCTTTTTTGAAGGCTGTATACTATTTTACTGTATACTATTTTACTGTGTACATATATATGTATATATATGTACGTATACGTATATACCCCATCTCTACGTACATATATATGTATATATGTACGTATATGTATATATATGTATGTGTATATATGTACACACACATATATGTATATACACCACAATTTCTTTTCCATTCATCTGTTGATGAACACGTAGATTGTTTCCATTATCTTGGCTATTGTGAATAATGCTGAAGTGAACATGGGAATGCAGGTATCTTGATAAAGTACTGATTTCATTTCCTTTGGGTGTATACCCAGAAGAGGGATTGCTGGGACATGTGATAGTTGTATTTTTAATTTTTTGAGGAACTTTCATACTGTTCGTCATAATAGCTACACCAATTTACATTCCCACTAACAACGTATAACTGTTCTCCTTTCTCACCACCCTTGCCAACATTTTTTATGTCTTGTCCTTTTAATAATAACCATCCTAACAGGTGTGAGGTGATATCTCATCGTAGTTTTGATTTGCATATCGTAATGACGTTGAGCACCTTTTCACATACCTGTTTTATATTTTTATGTCCTCCTTGGAGAAATGTCTATTCAGGTCTCTCACCTATTTTAAAAGTGAGTTATTTGATTTTTGTTATTGAGTTGTGAGTTCCTTATATTTTGGATATTAACTCCTTATCAGATACATGGTTCACAAATATTTTCTCCCAATCTTTAGTCTGCTTTTCCATTCTGTTTATTGTTTTCTTTGCTGGGCAGAAATTTTTTTGTTTAATGTAGTGACACTTGTTTATTTTTTCTTTTGTTGCCCATGCTTGATGTCTCAGCCAAAAAACAATAATAAAAATCACTGCAAAGGAAAATATTAGTAAGTCTTTTTCACATGTATTCTTCTAGGAGTTTTACGGCTCTGTGTTTAGATCTTTAATTCATATTGAGTTGAGTATTTTGTAGTGTAAGATAAGGTTCTGATTTTATTGTTTTGATGTGGATATATAGATTTCCCAACATCATTTATTGAAGAGACTCTCCTTTCTTCATTGTATTTTCTTCCCCTTTCAGAAATTAGTTGACTATATATGCCTGGGTTTATTTCTGGCCTCCCTATTCTATTCCATTAGTCTATGTGTCGGTTTTCATGGTAGTACTATATTGTTTTTATCTTGGTAATATAATTTGAAATCGGGAAGTGTGATGCCTCCAACTTTGTTTTTCTTTTACAGGACTGCTTTGGCTATTCAGGGACTTTTGTTGTTCCATAAAAATTTTAGAATTAATTTTCCAATTTCCATGAAAAGTGAAATTATAAGAGGGATTGTGTTGAATCTGTATATTGCTTTGAGTATAAAAATTTTAACATTATTAATATTTCAATATATGAACAAGACATATCTTTTATTTGTATCTTCTTCAATTTATTTCACCTTATGGTTTTCAGTATACAGATCTTTCACCTCTTTGGTTGAATTTATTTCTAACCATTGTATTTTTTTAATGCTATTATAAATGGGCTTATTTTCTTGATTTCTTTTTTGGACAGGTAATATTTAGTGTAAAGATATACAATTGATTTTTGTATTTTTTTAATCCTGCAACTTTACTAAAACCATTCTAAGAGTTTGTTGTGAAGTCTTTAGGGTTTTCTACATAAAGGATCATGTCACCTGCAAATAGGATAGTTTATATTTGGATACCTTTTATTTTTTTTTTTCTTTTCTGGTTATTCTTGCTGGTACTTCCAATACTGTGTTGAATAGAAGTGGTGAGAGTAGGCATCCTTGCCTTAAGCCAGACCCTAGAGAAAAGCTTCTGGTTTTCTCCCATTGATTGTCATGTAGACTATTCATAAATGGCTTATAATATGTTGAGTAAATTTTCTTTGATGCCTATTTTTTGTGAGTTTTTATCATGAAACGATGTCAAACTTTGTCAAATGCTTTTTCTGCATTTATTAAAATGATTTTTTTTTTTTTTTTTAGACAGGGTCTGCTGACTCTGTCACCCAGGCTGCTGGATTATAGTGGTGTGATCTTAGCTCACTGCAACTTCCACTCTGCAGGCTCAAGTGATCCTCCCAGCTCAGCCTCCCAGGTAGCCAGGACCACAGGAACCACACCACCACACCTGGCTAATTTTTGTATTTTTAGTAGAGACAGGGTTTCACCACATTGTCCAGGCTGGTCTTGAATGCCTGAGCTCTAGCGATCTGCCTGCCTTGGCTTCCAAAGTGCTGGGAATACAGGTGTGAGCCACCGCATCTGGCCTGATCATGTGGTTTTTAATCTTTTATATTGTTAAAGTGGTGTATCACATTGGTTAATTTACCTATGTTAAACCAACCTTGCTCCCCAGGGATAATCTCACATAGTCACAATGTATAACTTTTTAGATGAGTTGTAAAACTTGGTTTACTAGTATTTTATTGAAGATTTTTGCATCGATGTTCATCAGAGGTATTGGCCTGTTGTTTTCCTTTCCTGTGCTATATTTTTCCGGCCTTCATATCAGGATAATAGTGGCCTCATAAAATGGGTTTGTATGTATTTTCTCTACTTCTATTTTTTAAAATAGATGAATAGGATGGATATTAATTATTCCTTAAATGTCTGGTAGAATTCAACCATCAAGGCATCTGGTCCTGGGCTTTACTTTGTTGAGAGGTTTTTAATTACTACATTAATCTCTTTATGTGTTATTTGTATGTTCATGATTTCTCTTTCTTTGTGATTCAATCTTAGAAGGTTGTATGTTTCTAGGAATTTTCCATTTCTCTTAGGCTATCAAATTTGTTTACAGATAATTTTTCATGATAGTCCTTCATGTCCTTTTTATTTCTGAGGCATTTATTGTAATGTTTCCACTTTCGTTTTTTATCTCGTGTCTTTTTTTAAATTCTTAGTGATTCAAGCTAAAAGTTTGTTAATTTTATTTTTTCAAAAACTCAACTCTTAGTTTTGATTTTTAAATAGTTCTAGTTTCTATTTGATTTATTTCTGCTGTGAGCTTTATTACTTTTTTTCTTCTGCTAACTTTGGACTTAGTTTCTTTTTCTTTTTCTAGTTTTTTGAGGTAGAATGTTAAGTTGTTTATTTAAGGTCTTTCTTCTTTTTAATGTAGGCATTCACTGCTGCCAACATCCTACTTAGGAGTGCTTTTACAGTATCCATAGTTTTTAGTGTGTTGTATTTCCATTTTTGTTTGATTTAAGAGAGTTTAAAATTTCACTTTTGATTTTTTTCTTTGACTCATCGGTTGTTTAGAAGTATTTACTTTAATTTCCACATATTTATGAATTTTCTAGATTTTTCTCCTTTTATTGGTTTCTAGTTTCATACCATTGTGGTTGGAAAAGATACTTAATATGATTTCAATATTCTTGCATTTACACAGCCTTGTTTTGTGACCCCACATTTAATCTATACTCGACAATGTTCCGTGTGCCATTAAGAAGAATGTGTTTTCTGTTGCTGATGGATAGAATGTTCTGTAAATGGCTGTTAGGCTCATTTGTACTGAAGAGTAATTCAAGTCTAATAGTTTATGATTGATATTTTGTCTAGATAATCTATCCATTGTTGAAAGTGGGTATTGACACCCACTTCTATTATTGTATTCCTGTTTATTTCCCCCTTCGGATCTGTTAATATTTGCTTTATATGTTTTGGTGTTCTTATGTTGGATACCTATATATTTATCATTGTGGTAGACTCTTGATGCATTGACCCCTTCATCATTATATAATGACCTTATTTGTCCCTTATAACAGTTTTTGGCTTAACGTCTAGCTTTTCCAATATAAAAGCTACCTCTGCTCTCTTTAAGTTTCCATTTGCACTAAATATCTTCAGTCTGTGTATGTTCTTAAAGGTGAAATGAGTCTCATGTCAGCAGCATATATTTGGGTCTTGTCTTTTTTAAATAATTTATCCACTCTATGTCTTTTGATTGACAAATGTAGTCCACTTACATTTAAAGTAATTATTGATAGATAAGGATTTACTATTGATATTTCATTAATCATTTTCTGGATATTTTGTAGATCCTTCCTTCCTCTCTTGCTGTCTTACTTTGTGATTGGGTGATTTTTTTTTTTTTTTTTTTGTAGTGTTGTGGTTTGATTTCTTTCTTATCTTTTCTGCATCTACTATAAGTTTTTGCTTTGTAGTTACCATGAAGCTTATGTAAAACATTTTATAGTTATACCTGTATGTCTACTTTAAGCTGATACCCACTTTGATCACAGGCAAAGCTTTATGGTTTTACCATTTCCCCACATTTTATGTTGTTGATGTCACAGTTTATTTCTTTTTATATTGTATATCACCATTAACAAGTTAATGTAGCTGTAGTTATTTCAAATACTTTTTTTCCTTTCAATCTTTATAGTGGCACTATAAGCAACTTACACACAACCATTTCAGTATTATGGTATTCTGATTTTGACTATATATTTACATTTTCAGTGAGTTTTATGCTTTCATATGTTTTTATGTTACTAATTAGTAAGCCTTTTGTTTCATCCCAAATAAGTCTCTTTAGCATTTCTTATAAAGCAATTCCAGTGGTGATGAACTCCCTCAGCTTTTATTTGTCTGTGAATGTCTTTTTTCTCCCTCTTTTCTGAAAGACAGCTTTGCTATGTAATGTATTTTTGGCTGGCAGTTTTATTTCTTTCCACATTTTGAGTACATCATCACTCTCACTTGGCTTGCAAGGTTTCTACTAAGAAATCTATAATGGCCTTATTGGTATTCACTTGTATGTGATTTGCTTTTTTTTTCTTCCTGCTTTTAAAGTTCTTTCTTAGTTCTTAATTTTTTATTGTAATGTATCTTGGTGAACTCTTCTTTGGGTTGAATTTGGTTGAATTCCTTTGAGCTTCATGTACCTGCATGTTCATTTCTTTCCCCAGGTGGGAAGTTTTTAGCCATTATTTTTCTAAATAATGGTTTTCTGTCCCTTTCTCTCTCTGTTCTTCTGAAAATCCTATTATGCAAAAAATAGCTCTCTTGATGGTGTTTTATATATCACATAAAATTTTCATTCCTTTTTTTCTTTTTTCTACTCTTACTATATGATATAAAACAATCTGTCTTCTAGTTTGCTTATTATTTCTTCTGCATGATCTATTCTTCTTCAAGCTCTCTATTCCATTCTGTTGTTCAGTCATTGTATTATTTAGCTCCAAAATTTCTGTTTGGTTATTTTCTAATGTTTTCTATCATTTTGTTGAGCTTATAATTTTGTTCTTTTATTGTTTCCTAATTTTTTAAACTGTTTTTTGTGCTCTCTTGTTTGCTGAACTTCTTTTAAAACGATACATATTTGTACATATTCATGAGGTGCATGTGATACTTTGTTACATACATAGAATGTGTAATGATCAAGTCAGGATATTTAGGGTATACATCACTTTAAGTATTTATCATTTCTATGTGTTGGGAACATTTCAAATTCTCCCTTCCAGCTATTTTGAAATATATAATACATTGTTGTTACCTGTAGTCACCTTACTCTGGTATCAAACATTAGAATGTATTCCTTCTATCTATCTATGTGTTTGTACCTATTAACCAACCTTACTTTATCGCCAACATCCATATACCCCTTCCATCTTCTGATATCTATCATTGTACTCTCTACATCCTGGACATTGACTTGTTTAGCTCCCACATATGAGTGAGAACATATGTCTTTCTGTGATTGGCTTATTTCACTTAACATCACCTCCAACCAATTCAGTCCACGTTGCTGCAAATGACATAATTTTATTTTTTTATGGCTAGATAGTATTTCATTATATATATATCCCACATTTTATTTATCCGTTTGTCCACTGATGAATTTTTAGGTTGATTCCATGTTTTTGCTATTGTGAATACTGCTGCAATACACACGGGGGTGCATGTATCCTTTTGACATACTGATTTCCTTTTCTTTGAATAAATATCCATTGGTGAAAATGCTGGATTATATAGTAATAGTATTTTTAGTTTTTCAGAAATCTCTATACTGTTTTATTTTTTACTGAGCTTCTTTAGAGAATTATTTTGAATTCTTTGTTATAAAATTCATGAATCTCCAATTCTTCTGAGATCAGACAGGATTGGGCATATTCAGAGTGGTATGGCCATAGACAATGTCCAATTCTTTAAGGTCACTTATTAGAAGTTTATTGTGTTCCTTTGGTTTCATATTCCTCTGATTCTTCATAATTCTTGTAGCCTTACAAAGCCTTACAAATGTAGCATTTGATGCGTGCATTCTTTTTCCAAACTTTATAGACTGGTTTTGGTAAGAGAAGACCCTCACCTGTGGCAGAGGTTGGGGGGTGGTTATAGAGGGATGCATGCTGGGGCGTGCCATGGCACCAGGTGTAGTGGTGTGGGGCACCATGAATGGAAGTATACAGTAGCTCCAGGTCAAGGGGTGGATGTGGTGTCTCATTGGCTCAGAAAGCTGGGGGTCCATGACATTGGCAATTAGGTCGTTCTTGGTGGCAAGAGCTGTGTGAGGTCTGCTATGGCTGTGAGGGTCCTCAGTAGTGTCTCTGAGTTTGGTGGCAAGGGGCTGGGGCAGAAAGTGATGGGGACCATAGTCAGTGGTGTGCGTGTGCTCAGCTGTGGCGGCTGGCTGAAGGCATGTGTGTGGCAGCAAAGGTCAGTTGCTGGCTGAAGGCATGTGTGTGGCAGCCAAGGTCAGTTGCTGGCTGAAGGCATGTGTGTGGCAGCCAAGGTCAGTGGCAAGCTTGTGCATCGTGGCAAGGGCTGGCAGCAAAGGAAGGGGCTAGGACTGACTGCATGTGCACATGTTGTGGCAGAGGTTGGCAGTGTACACATGCATGATGGCAGGTGTCAGCTGCGGGTTGGGACAGGGGTCAGGCTGACTACATGTGTGTAGGCAGTAGTGGGCCTGAGCTGGAGATATGCACACCTAGGCAGCTGCAAGGGCCAGTTCTGGGTACAAGAATAGTGGTGGAGGCAGGAGCTGGGGGGTGGGGCCTGCTACTTACACATGCACAGGTACAGGGGCAGGGTTGGGTGCATGCCCTAGCCTGCTGCAGGGGACAACCTTGGGTGTGGACATGGTGGTGATGGCTGGGCCCCTGGGCCGGAGCTCCTTTAGAGACAGCAGCTGTTCTTTGTTTCCTTTAAATTAGGCCAACCCAATTCTGACTTTGACTACCTCTCCTTGGTGGTGAATTATTTGTCAGTCACTATTGGACCTTATCCCACCTACCAGGCAGAGTCAAAGTTCTGCCTGGGTCTTATGAGCCTTAACCCATTTGTGGTCATTGGCCACTGTTATGGAATATGTGCCATGTGTGGGGCGTGAGAGTCTTCACTGCCACCAAGAACTGCCCTTTGCCTGGGGTTCAGATCCCCAGGCAAGTCACATGGCCATCACTCCCCAGAATGCTACTGACTGTCTCCACCCTGCTTCCTCTTAATACCCCTGTGTATATGTTTTTAGTCCCAAGGCAAATATTTGTCTCATCTAGAGATTCTTTTTTTTTTTTTTTTGATGTGAGAGACTATTTTATTAAAAATAAATCAGAGGGCTGGGCACGGTGACTCACACCTGTAATCCCAGCACTTTGGGAGGCCAAGGCGGGCAGATCACGAGGTCAGGAGATGGAGACCATCCTGGCTAAGATGGTGAAACCCCGTCTCTACTAAAAATACAAAAAAATTATCCAGTTGTGGTGGCGGGTGCCTGTAGTCCCAGCTACTCGGGAGGCTGAGGCAGGAGAATGGCATGAACCCAGAAGCCGGAGCTTGCAGTGAGCCGAGATGGCACCACTGCACTCCAGCCTGTGTGACAGAGGGACACTCCGTCTCAAAAAAAAAAAAAAAAAAAAAAAAAAAAAAATTAGAGAAAAAAGTCATTGTCTTTTTTTTGTACTTTAAGTTCTCGATTACATGTGCAGAACGTGCAGTTTTGTTACATATAGATATTCTTAAGAAATCTCTTTCCCTCATATACCTCCATCCCTGAGCCTTACACATCTCCTTGCTGAGTATAGTCTTTTCTAAGACCTGTGATCTCCAAATAACTTCTGTTTTTCTTATTGAAAAAATACCTGAGTCAAGGAAATACTACCTTAAGTAACCCACTTCAAATAGCACAGGAAAAAGAGAAGAACAAATGTAAGTTAATATCTTAATAAACAATGGCACTACATTCAGAACAACCGGGGCATGAGGTCGGTGAGATAGAATGGTGGGTGCCCAAACTGGACACTTTTTGGGGTTGTGGTGATGGGGAGTGGTGTGGGATGTCTTCCATTGACTTCAGTGACTCTCCTCGCTAAGATCATACAAGCCTACATTTCAGTCTCGGTTCCAACTTTCTGACCCTTTTTATCATTTATAAACTTGCCTCTGTGCCTGTCTTTCTCTCTTCTTTGTTCAGAGCAAGAGTTGGCTCTCCTTTCATTTTAAGCCAGTCAAGGTTTCCCCTAGATGCTGTCACCTCCTGTGTCTTGTGGGATGCTGCATCAGCACCTACTTCTAAGACGCTGATATTTTCATCCTCTCTACTGACTTCTCAGCTAATCGACATGCTCACATCTATCCTATATGAATACGAAATCAGCACATGAAAAGCCCTTCTTTTCACCTTCCAACTCTTTCTAGCTCCTTCCTTCTCCATTCTTCACAACATCCCTGATTGCGCCACGCTTTGCCTCCAGGGCTCAGGAGTGCCTGAGAGACAGCCTGTTCAGTGTCAGTCATGGAGACAGATGGGCTCTGCCACTTACAGTATATTCTCCTGGAGAAATATACTGTAAGCTTTTCTAAGTCCCATGTTCTTAATTTAAAAAATGATAACAGTGAGGACAACCTTAAAATACTATTGTCAGGATTCAAAAACAAAGTAAGTAAATCTTTTTATCACAGTCCTTATATATAATAGATAGGAAAGATTTGGAAGTATTATTATTTTTCTCAAATATTGCACCCTTAGCCTGAAGTCCGATTCTCTCCCTCTTCCATCCTTCCGGTTTTCCTGGGAAATTTCTGCTATCTATTTATACTCTCCTCCGTGCTGGTACCTGCTGTCACCTCCTTCCCTACCTTTCCCCTTGTCTGATGTGCCCCCACTACTCTCTCACGATACCTAAGAAACTGTTTTACAGTTATTTGAATTTTTGTCTCCCTCTCAGTTCTGCTTTGCGAGCTCTTGGAGAACAGGAACTGGGGTGTAAATCTTTTATCCCTGTGCCTTTGTTATTTGGTTGTGAGCACTCAAATGCTTGTTGAGTATAATTTTATTTCACAAACTTTTATAGTGCTTACTGTGTTCTAAACACTTTAGAGATATTAACTTTGTAGGCCAGGCACAGTGGCTCACGCCTGTAATCCCAGCACTTTGGGAGGCCGAGGCGGGCGGATCACGAGGTCAAGAGATCAAAACCATCCTGACTAACACGGTGAAACCCCATCTCTACTAAAAATACAAAAAAATTAGCCGGGCGTGGTGGCGGGCCCCTGTAATCCCAGCTACTTGGGAGGCTGAGGCTGGAGAATGGCGTGAACTGGGAGGCAGAGGTTGCAGTGAGCTGAGGTCGTGTCACTGCACTCCAGCCTGGGTGACAGAACGAGACTCTGTCTCAAAAAAAAAAGATACTAACTTTGTAATCTTTACAACAACACTATGATGTGGATACTATTATCTTCATTCTACAGATGAAGAAACTGAGGCACAAGGAGGTAAATATGCCCAAGGCCACATAACACAAGTAAATAGGGGAGTTGACATTTGAACAACAAGGTCAGTCTCCCTCATCCACGTTGTGTTTATTACTATCTGCCCTGGGTTAATATTATTATAGATTCCTTGCCTGCTTGAAGGATTGTAATGAAGACTATGATATGAATGAACTTTGTAGACTGAAAAATATTGAATGGATAAAGAAAAAGTGTTATCTAAATATAAGTCATGACAACTAAAAAGAGAGCATTATAAACATAACACTTTATAGAAATTTGATGATGATCATCAAAATACGCTTTTAAACCCTGATTTTGAATCACTGAAAAGAGAGACTGCTATTCTTATATGCTTTTCAAAGGTAAGCTGAAACTGAAAAATAGTTTAACATATGTCACCTCTGGAGTGTGGTCCCACAGTCATTTTTCTGCAGGGATCAATTCTACTTGAGAACAGCTGTTTAGAGCAGATGAACTTCCTAAAATGGCCCTGGAGAGAAAAAAGCAAACGGGCAGCTGCTTGACCTTTTTCCAAATGAAAAAAAAACAAACCCTGATCAGTTGGTCTTGATTGGCATGTTCAGAGTCAAGGAGCTTTAGATCTGTTTTTATAACAAATCACTCGTGATGATTACTCACTGCTCACTAACATTGTATCACAGATCTTCTGGTGGGTCTGATGCGTATTTCCGTTTTAACCCCGTTAACACAGGCAGCTTGGACAGCATGTGCCCTCTCAGTGGTGACCTTTGGGGAAAAGCAACAGAGAGTGTTTCTGCAGATCGCCTGTGTCAGAATTACCTGGAAGGGTTGAACCATGCAGGTTAATGGGATCAAACTTAAAACTACCGATTCATAACCTTTGGGAGAGGATTCTAAGATGTTGCATCGAGAGCAGGCACTCCCAAGATGACTCTTAGGAATACAGGGACTGGGTATCATGGAAGGGAGATGCTGGTCTCTTACAGCATCATACAGGATGAGAACGACTCTGGAACTTAAGTTGACCTTTCACAAAAGAATTCCAGATATTCTTTCTTCTGCTGGTTATGATCAGTTAATTGATGCTTCCTATTGCGCAGGGAATGGAGGTTGAGTTGCAGCCGAACAGAAAGATATTCCTAAGTCTGTTTTGGCTCAGTTTACATCAGTGATTTCAATTCTGTTGCCTGTGCCTTTAGGAAGGAAAGAAAGAAATGAATTTTCTGGATGACCAACATTTGAATTGCTTGAGAGTGATAAAAATAAGCCCCGCAGAGTAGCATTTAAAGAGATGATATATTAGGCAGGGCTTTATTCAACACCTGAATAATGATGGCTGCCCCCTAGAAAAAAATTTTTTTTTAAACTTTGTAACAGCTGCTTAATAGAGCGGGGAAATGTTTCTGTTTTAAGCCCTGTTAGGAGGTGCTGGTGCAGACAAGTGTGTCCTCTTTGACATCTTGAAACAATTTTTTATGTCATTCATCACACCAACATAACCATGATTTGAAAACACTATCAGTAGCTAGTCTCTTATAATCACATAACACCGATGCTGCCACCACAGCACACCAGTAACTGTAAGCCAAGGAGCACTTGTAGAAGGTGTTTAGAGTCCATTTACTTGTCTGAGAACACATATAAATTATAATTATTGTCTAGTAGGTATATTGTACGTAATGCTGCAAGTCAAATCTGACACTAACCGCTCAGAGTTAGCACTGACTCCACAGGTTAAGGACGCAATCCCCAACAAGATTGCACTGATTTCAGACGCTGGCTGCCAGTTCGGGTTCCTTGGGCTGCTTTCACTGCTCACCAACTGAATACAAATTTGGAAGGGGATTTCCCATGACCCTCTCAGGTTAGATAATTCATTAAAACAATTCACAAAACCCAGTAAAGTATTAGGATTATAGTTCTATTATTAGGGATACGATTCAGAAGCAGCCAAACGAAGAGACACATAGAGTGAGGTTTCTAAGAGTTTCAAATATTGAGCTTTTATGCCCTCTCCCCATGACAGCATGTCACCCTTCTGGCACATTGATACATTCCCCAACAAGGAAGCTCACCAGAGCCTCAAGGTCCAGAGTTTTTATTAGGGTTTTATTACTTAGGCATGACCGATTGAGTCATTGGCCACATGAACGAAGTCAACCTACAACTTCCCTCTCCTTCTGACCCATGGCTCAAAGTTGCAACCCTCTAATTACATGTTTGGTCTTTCTGGCAGGACTAGCCCGCATCCAGAGACACCTCCTTAACTCAAACTCAGGTGTGGTTCATGGGCCCAGCATGAATCACAGACACTCTGATGATTTGGGAAATTTCAAAGGTTTCGAGTCTCCATCCCAGAAGCCCAGGACAAAGACCAAATTCTTTGTTGTATAACACTGTAATTCTCAGAGGATGATATTTCATATTAAATAAGTTATCTATTGGGACCTCATACAATGTTGAGGAGGAATGAATCTTAGAAATCATTTAGTCTAAACCTCTCACTTGACAGGTGAGGAAACTGAGATCCAGAGGTGAAGAGAATCTCCCAAGCTAGTTATTAGTAAACAGCAGAGGTGGAGCTGGAGTCAGGGTTAGATTTAGGTTTTCTTATCTCAAGACCTCAGATTTGGGACCCGGACGGAAATTTTCATGCAAAATTTACATGGGAAACAATGGGGATTGGAAAAAACATGCATGACTGTGTGTGCACCAGCTGTGTGCGTTCAGGGGCTTATAGCAGATAATATTGGGTGTCTGCTGTTTACCTTGCTTGTACCAGGGCTGCCATATGGTTAATGAGGGTTCTTTAGACCACTGCTGGGAGAATTACTGAAACATAAAACTTGAGATGTGTGTCACCATTTCTCCCGGTCTAAGGAAACTTATTATAAAAGAGAAATCAAGAGCCCAGATTCTGACTGTCTGACTCAGTCAACTCATGAGAAAATGATGGGCAAACCATTCTACCTGTCACTGTCTTAACATCTCCATTTTTATAAAAAGGGTGGGCAGAGAAGAATGGCTTCCCAATCTGACACTATGGAATGTCTATGAAACATTGTATGTGTGTTTTTTTCTTGGGGCACAAATTTTTAAAAAATGCAGTCATTCTATGGTGACCCTCAGCATGTTGCCTTTCCTCCTCTTCTGCATGTAGGTGTTGGCTGACTAGATGATTTTTATGACCTCAGCCAGCTTCTGGAGTAAATATCTGGGTGATGAGCATACATCATTGCTCCCTGTATGCCCATCTGTAAAGCAAGAATAAAGATATTTCCTTGAAAAAAGGAGGATCTGGGTGATATTTGGGAAAGGAAAAAATAGAAAACTTTAAAAAATGACTTCCAGTTAACTGACTTTTTCTCTTTCATGCTCTTTCTTTATTCATTTCTAAATCCCTCTGGTCACAGGGATTTTTAGAGATTGGTAGAGGCAAGGCAGAGGCCTCAATCTAGCCACTATCATCTACTTCTTGTCTTCACCTGCCGCCTAGAATCTCACGACTTGTATTCTTCCAGTCTAGAACTTTCTCCTGGACTTCAGAACCAAAGCACCTCGAACTCTACTGACTCCAGCTGAGCTCTTTGTCTTCTCCTCAGTCACTCCCTTCTGCTTTTCTCACCTTGCCAAATGACACCACAATCTACATAGGCACTCAGAGTGGAAACTTAGTCATTCCTAAGGCAGCCCTTTCCTCACCTAGTCTGACTTTATGTCACCCCTTTTATCGTCTCTAGTTTACATTGTTATATCCCTTTGGTTCTGCTGTCTCAGTTCACATTCCTCACCTCTTATCTTCTGCAGTGGAGGCCTAACTGGCCTCCCTTATTCTGACCCTTTATCATTTTTAAGAAGACATTAATTCTGTGCTCTATATTATATTGAGCCAGGTGGCTTATAGACAGAAACAGTATTGAATAAATAAAATGTTTACAAGTATATTCCCAAGCTGCCTATATTATTGAACAACCAAATAACCTGAAGACTTGTTCAGCTGAGCCCAGCACAGGCCCTTACTAAATGTCTTTATGTAAATACATTATTTAGTCTCATTTAGAGTAGCTTCCAACTATTCCTATTCTTTGATCCTGGAAGCTCATGAGCCTGGGCTTTATAGGTAGGGACACTTTTGTTTATTATTATGAGTCTAGCATCTAATGACCTGGCAAATAGTAAGTGCTTAAGTTCTTGTGGACTGAATGAATGCAAGAATATACTTCCTAATGGATTTGGGAGCTAGGAGGACCCTCAGAGAAAACTTAATAGAATGTATTCATTTATAAATGTAGATGCTATGGTTAAAAGAGAGGAAGCAAGTCACATTGTGAACCACAGCTTGTCTGGCTGGGCTGTTCTTATGCCTCTCACGTTTCCTATTGGGTTTCCTGCTGTGCAATCACTGGTCTTTTTCATTGCGGAAAGTTTTCTTCTGTCCGCTCCAGTCCTCACAACACAGTCTGACCTCTTTGGCTTTCACCATGTGATGACCTGAATAACCCCTGCAAAAACTCCTTTCTTCATAACCTCCCCCCACTACCACCTCCCAACCGAAGGCCACCACCACCTGCTTTCCTGCTGGAGTCCGTTGGGTTTATAGCTCTTCCAGCTCCTTGGACCTCTTTCCCCTTGTGTCCTGGGCATAGTCCCTTGTGCCCTTTGCACCATTTCCTTCGGCAGCAGTCATCTTGTTTTTCACCTGGTTATGGCATTAATCTTCTAATCATTCCCCACTTTTTCTAGCTCTTTGTTCAAAATAAGGTTTGGAACAGTGGTGTCCACTTCCAGACTTTTCTGAGGACCCAACAAAATTCCTCCCTTGACAGTATCTATTTCTGACTCCCTACGGTATCTGTTTCTGACTTTTACAAACTGCTTTCTTCACACTGAGGCAATGCGAAACATCGATAAGCTATTTTTTCCAGTAAAGGAAAAAAAAGCCCTTAGTATAGAAATCTTTCACCAACATGGGAGCCAGATAAAATGTTTGTTTTTGTTATTTCCACTTTTAAAATGTGATGTTTTACTATCAGGCATACACCTGGTGTCAGGGAGTAGAAGAGAGGATTTTATGCTGCCCCAGCTCAGGAAGAATTACTCTCTCCTTCCCTGCCACTGAAACATAAAGTCCTCGGCTCCCAAGTCTGAAGCCCCATGGCCTGGTTAGCTGGCTCCCTTGATAATGTGCAGCTGTATGGAGAAGCCACAAAAAGCAGCCATCGTGATTTAGAAGCTTTAGAATAATAAGGTGTTTGGCCTTTGGGTGTGATCCCTGGTTGGCAGTGGTGGACGGGATCTGGGGCCTCCCTGTATGAGAAGATGAATCTAGATGTCTATCTATGATTTTTTTTTTTGGTTGGCAGGCTGGGGTGGGGGACGGTGAGGAGAAAGGGTCCTGCTCTGTCACCCAGGTTGGAGTGCGGTGGCACAATCACAGCTCACTGCAGCCTCAAACTCCAGGGCTCAAACCATCCTCCCACCTCTGACCTCCCACCTCCTGAGTAGCTGGGATTACAGGCATGCACCACCACACCTGACTAATTTTTGTATTCTTTGTAGAGATGGGCTTTTGCCATCTTGTCCAGGCTGGTCTTGAACTCCTGACCTCAAGTGATCCACCTGTCTTGCCCTGCCAAAGTGCTGAGATTACAGGATTGAACCACCATGCCTGGCTAGATCTCTTTGTGATCTGAAGTTGGAGCAGAACTGCTTATCTTTCGTGTCAACTCCACATTTTCTGCCTATCTTCCTGTGCCTCACTTTGTACATTCTTGCATCCCAGACTTACCCTGCTGCTTCTATTTCCCATCTAAATATGACCTTCCGTGCCTCCTCTATTTGCTGCATACCCTTACTCCACCAAGGAGCTTCTCACTATCTACTCATTTCTTTTTCGCTTAAAATACTTCCTATTCTCCAAAGCTGGGATCCAGAGCGGAGATTCTCAAAAGTGTGGCCCCCAAATCTGCACTGTTAACCTCACCAGGGAACTACTTAAGAATGAAAATTCTTGGGCCTCACCCGCATAACCCCTGAGTCAGAAACTCTGGAGTAGGCCCAGCAAGGTCTTCAGGGGACTCTGAAGCATATTAAAGATTGAGAACCACTGCTCTGGAGTGAATTCCAGGTCTTCCACATTACCCAGTGAGCACTGTCTAAGGGCCCATTGAAATGGACCTTACGAAAGATAAGCTGGGCCTGGGCTGGCTCTCAGGAAGGCCCTGGATTCTTTACCGCCATGCACTGACCCTGTTTTTCTTTATCCCGTAAATGTTTATGGAGAACTTCTTACTAAATGCAAGGGAATATGGTGGGCTTCGGGGAAATTGCAGAAATAACTTAGCTATGAATTTTGCACATATATAAGCTGTGGGGAAAGGAGGGAGGTTTAAGGTATGTAAACAACTACCAGGCAAAAATTGTCATCGATGAGAAACTGAGAAAGTTGAGTGGAGGGAGAAATTGTTTCCTGGTTAGAGCATAAGGACATGAACGAGTTTGAGTCTTTCAACAACAGTCATTAAATGCAGGTGGAAGAGCTGAGAAGGGGATCCTCACTGACTTCAAAAAAGTTCAGAGTTGGAGAGAAAAAAGTGACAGTAATGGTGGCCCTCAGTGCAAGAAGCAGACCAGGATAGTGGTTTCTAAGCATGAGCTCTGCAGTCAGCTTGGCTTCACATTCTGTATCTGCCATTTATTAGCTGGGTGAATTTGAGTAATTTACTCAACCATGTCTTTACCTGTGTTCCTCACCTGTGAGGTGGGAATAGTAAGAGTACCTACCTCACAAGGGTTTTGTAAAGATGAGCACACAATAATAAGTGAAAAGCATTTGGAACATTTAGCCTGTCACATAGTCAAGGCTCATAGTAACTAGAGGTTAGTCATTTTGTCATTGAGTGTTGTGATAGCAACTTGTATAATTGAAAACCCAAAAGTGAGGACTATATTGTATAACTGTTCTTATGATGTTTTACTTATGATAGAGTAGCTTTAGAAAGCATTTAGACAGTAAGCCCGGCTAGGCTTACTCACTACCAATACAATTACTTTCTATTTGTAGAGAATATAGTGCCAGGACTTAATCTGGAAATGACTCCAGTGTTTCCTCTTCTGATGAATGGATTCTCAGTCAGCCTGCCCCAGACGTATGGATTAGGACTGCCAAATTCAGAACTTCTAATGCCTGGGAGTCCGCTTAGGGTACCAGCTCTGTGTGAGACGGAAGACAGGCCAGGATCTGTCTTTTGCATCATCATATGTCTCTGGGTGGGGCAGCTTGCATTGAAAAATATAATAAAAGGTTGAGGTCACATTGCGTCCATTGGTGCCAAAGCATTCTGCTCAGGCATAGAACATATGGCTATTTTGTTTTTTCAGTTTCCAATTTTAGAGTTTCTATTCTTTGGAGCCTTTTGTATCTTTCTGTTAGAAGAAGAAAAACCAATATATTGAACTAGCTAGTAAAATGATTAGAAAATATTCATATTGAAACAACTGGAAATTCTGTTCAAAGTGAAAAAAATTCTCTCCCTGTGTATGTATAAAACGCTCTGGGCCAGAACTCTGACAGCATCACGGTATGTCCTCAAGTTTGCCTGACACAACCTCAGGAGTTTTTCTTTGGCCTACTCATCTGTATAGGTGAGATCAGGAATAGGGGGAAGGCTACGGTCATCTCAACCCTGAAGTTCACCAGTTATTATCAATGTGGGGCTTACTTTTGCCTATAGAACTAGGCCCAGTTAACTCTCAGTGTGGGAGTTGGGGGAGGTAATAGTTTGGAAGGTGAGGAAGGAGGAAGGTCACTGTTTGACAGGCCGTCTTTATTGTATGTGTTGAGGTGTGGACTTTTCATGCTACGTAAAGTCAAGCAATCTTTGTGGCACATGTTTAGGCTGGGGTTAGGACAACAGTCACTACAGGGTGAGCAAATCCATATGGCAGATGAGTGACTTACTAGACACTGGAGGAACACTGCGCCTCTATCTCAAACTCACCGAATTCGTTTTCTAGGGCTGCTGTAACAAAGTACCACAAACTGAGCGGCTTCAATAACAGAAATGTATTTTCTCCCCATTCTGGAGGCTGGAAGTCTGAGGCTGAGGTATCAGCAAGGATGGATCCTTCTTAGAAATATTAGGGATAGTCTGTTCCATTCCATGCCTCTTCCTTAGCTTCAAGTTGTTTGTTGGCAATTTTTGCCATTCCTTGCCCTCACTGCTGCCTTCATCTTTCCATAGTGTTCTCCCTGTGTGTATATTTGCATGTAAATATCCATTTTCTGAGGATGCCAATCATACTGGATTAAAGCCCACCCTAATGACCTCATTTTAACTTGATTACCTGTGTAAGGGCCCTATCTCAAAATATGGTTACATTTTGAGTTACTGTAGGTGAGGAATTCAACATATGAATTTTGGGGAGACACAGTACAACCCACAAACTCACATATAATGAATCCATTCTAATTCACTTGCGTACATTATTACATGGAAAGAGTTAGAAAGCACTGTGGACCACAAAACAGGAAGCTTGAGGTCTACCTCTAATTTGCCAGCTCTACCACTAATTTGCAATGTGACTCAGACACGATTTTAAGGCCTCTTTCCATTTCATAAAGAGAGGAGTTGGTGTTGTTCTCTTAGATTTCATTCAACTCTATGCTCCTAGGACTCTGCAGCTCTTTCTCTGAAGTTCTCCTGTTCTGTCTAGGAAGTGTGATGTTGGGTGATACCATCTTACTTACTTTTTTGTCTTGTAGTGATGTGAGCTGGGCCAGGGGTTGCTCCAACAGATTCCAAGCACTCATCGCAAGAGGGGAGGAAGAACTGAGTCATGCTTTTATTTTAACTTAATGCTAAATGAAACTGAGAATACTCATATGGTCTTCTGGTTTGGTGGCTGTGTGATGGGTTCCCAGTAGAGGCTTCTTTCTCCTCTACATTCTCCATTTGGACAGGCTTTGTCAAAAGCGTGTCTCTCCAGTTTCAGTTGACCTAGGATATGTCAACCTGAGTGAGTCTGACCACCTGGTGTGGTGTATTGGGTTTAAGACCCTATTAGGGGAGTATAGGCACCAGTGGATTTTGCTAAGTATTCACAGCCAATGCAAATGGTGAGCCATGCTGTGCAGACCTCGGTTGTTTCCACTGATCTGCCTAGCTATTCTTGAGTGCCTCGTGAAGCACATCAGGGAATTGTTGACTTGAAAACATTTTAATAATGTGTTTTGATTCCTAGTTTGTTCTTTAATGTTTCCTATCTTTAAGAATCCTTTGAGCATTATTCTTCAAATATTGTAAGGTGACCTTTTGTGTATCTTGGACAAGGCACTTCAGCTCTCTGAGCAACAGATTCCTCATCTATAAGACAGGCATAAAAACCTGTATTCTGCTCCCTTCTTAGGCTACAAAAATGGAGCAGATGAAATGGTGGATAATGAACACAGGGTTTTAAGGATGAGAGCCATATGTCTCTGTTTATATTGTTTTGGGGTGATAATTAATGATATCCCCTTGTACTCTCAAAAATGTCTGAGTGTGCATAATAAATTATATAATCCTCTTATATCATAAAATAATGAATGTAAGGATTCTTGGTTTTATCATTTATGTCACTATGTAAATTATCTTAAATTTTGTTTTCTTAGCCTCACTTGAAAAAAAAAGTAGGACTTTTTTTTTTTTGCTTACTTTGAAGGACAGAATAAGAGTTTTATACCCACACTCTTTCACGTAATTGCTGTCATTGGCCACAGTGCATCCCAGGCAGGCCCTGTTGCCGCAGTGTACTGGGACCATCCAGGTCTAGCCAGTGCTCAGGCCATCTACAGGCTTTAGTCACTCAACTGATTTGCTCCTACCACTTACTCTATCCCTAAGACTGTCTCCAAAGTGATACTGGTTTCTGCATTTGCCCATTTTCTTTCTGCACCTAAAGACAAGTACTGAAGCCCAGTCTATTTATAGGATTAAAAACCATGATCACACAGGTAGATAGATGATGGTAAAAAGAATAAAAACATGGAAAGGCTGCAAAGCTTAGGAAAGGGTATGATGTTCTTGCAAAGGGTTTGGCCTAAAACCTATCCTTCTCTACACCCTTGCTGTGACAGAAACTGTAAACCCCAGTGGGCTTCTGTCTTCTGCATTTATGGCTAAACCTGGGACACACACAGTTCTCTCCTAGTTTAGAGTACATTTTCTCTTTTGGGAAAAAGCATTTCTCCATTAAAGTCTTGTTCCTCAACTAAGGCTGAGTAACAGGTTATATTCTTTCCTTGAATGAGCAGTTTTCACCTTTGAGAATTTTTAGATTGGAGAGTAATCATTTGACAGAAACTTTTATTCATCTAACTGCATGTATCTTATTAATATTATAATTAAAAACTTTTTTTTACAGTGGAAAGCAACTTAGGGATCACAAAATCTACTGCTCTCATCTCCCTTATGCAGTAGAAGAAAATGAGTACTCAGAAGTTCGAAACCGTCCTTTAATTACAGAGTATGGGCCTTATGCAGGTCTCTAGGCCTAGGGTTTCTTTCTAACATACTATTCATAGTCATTTGTTTATCATTTTGTTTTAGCCCAGTTTACTGAATATAATAAGTGTTTAGCAATGAACAATGCAATTGTGGATGGACTGTATAGTTTCTAAATATGTGTCACAAGAATTGAGTCAGTGGATAGCATGCCTTTTGCTGCTTTTGTGGATTACAGTGGCCAGACTTTGGCATCAGTACTTTTAACATTCATGGTGTTTTGATTAGATACAAAGCAGCTGACCCAAGTCTATGGTACATAATAATTTGTCACAAGGTTAATAACTACCCCATGGGTTGTTCTAGGGATTACATGAGATAGGGCACAAAAAAATCCTGAGTATGAATGTAAATTCCTTGAGTTGCAACATTGGATGTAGGAGGAATCACTCAATAAGAGAGTCTAGTCATAAAACACTTAGCAATAACTTTTGAATGAGTTAGAGTCAAGAATTAGATGATTTGAAAAGCTGTCTGAGTGTGGTGATTCCTCAAGGATCTAGAAACAGAAATACTATTTGACTCAACAATCCCATTACTGGGTATATACCCAAAGGAAATATAGATCATTCTATTATAAAGATACATGCACATGTATGCTTAATGCAGCACTATTCACAATAATAAAGTCTTGGAACAAACCCAAATGCCCATTAATGATAGACTGGATATAGGAAATGTGGTACATATACACCATGGAATACTATGCAGCCATAGAAAAGGAATGAGATCATGTCCTTTGCAGGGGCATGGATGAAGTTGGAAGCCATAATGATCAGCAGACTATCACAGGAACAGAAAGCCAAACATCACATGTTCTCACTCATAGGTGGGAGCTGAACAGCGAGAACACATGGACACAGGGAGGGGAGCAACACACACTGGAGCCTGTCAGGGGGGCAGGAGGAGGGAGAGCATCAGGACTAATGGCTAATGCATGGGGGGCTTAATACCTAGGTGATGGGTTGACAGGTACAGCAAACCACCATGGCATACGTTTACCTATGTAACCAACCTGCACGTTCTACACATGTATCCCAGAACCTAAAATAAAATACAATTTTTTAAAAAAGGAAAAGGTTTCTGGATGTAGTTTTTATGGATGTGGGCAATTTATTATAATACTTAACTGATTTGTCTCTGTATTACAGTGTTCTTTACGTTTTTCTTGCCAGCACCACAGGCCTCTTTGTGGTTGCCCCTTTCTAATGCTCCTCAAGACAACCTGCTAATATAAGCAAAGAGTAAATGAGTGAGGAGAGCACCTTCTCATGTCAGGAAGCCTATGGAGTTAGATCACCTGGATTTGCTCATTTCCTGGACAAAAACTGCCCTTTTAATCCTCAATTTCCTATTAAGGACTGGTTCAACATTATCATTTCCCAGGGAGAGTCTTCAACTTGAAGTGATCACTCAATCACTAAAAGCCTCCAACTTGAAGTGATTGCAAAACCACTACAGCTGCACCTTTCTTATGCATTTCTTTTATTGCCTTTTGGATTGGACTTTATGCCTTATTTTTTTCTCCATTTCCAAGTGTGTCTTGCCTAGAATGTAGCACACAGTAGGAGCTCATAAAATATCCACTGAAATTGAGTTGAACAGGAGAGATAAGGCAAGGAAACTCAGTGGATCAAGGCCAGCTCTTGCCAAGAGTTCCAAACTTCATCTTTGTACCTGAGCTGCATATTTCTATGGCCTTGATGAATTCCTTGGCAGCAGAATGTTCAACAACTGAAACATTTATGAAAATTTAAGCAAATGGGTCAATAAAGGGAACAAAACGAAGCCCACACAGTCTACTCTTGTGCTCTTTTGCTTTTAAAGAAGCTTGTTTGTGTTATCACTTCAACGGTTTGATAAACAACTGTGCCTTCTCACGGATCTGTCCCCTGTGTTTGAAGTGGTAAAATGTGATGATTAGTCATGGGTAAAAGCTGTATGCATCTTTCCAAGCTGCACGGCAATACGTGTGCAGGAATTTGAGGTAAGTAGAGATGGGTGCATGGATATCAACCTAGAATGACAATTTTAATGTGTGTTCATCTACTTGGAATTTTCAGGTTTGTCCATACCAGACTTTAAAAAAAAAGAACATTCAGATAACTTAGTGATTTCTTTATTTATTTATGACAACAGGAAAATCTTATTTTTAAATACTTATAAAAATCCAGAGTTGCCCTCAAAGCATTTGGTCTGGGAGGTGTGTATCAGAGGAGTTGCCTTACTTTATCACCCACTCCTACCCACCCCAGGCTCTTCTCACAACTATGAGATTCTATGAAACACATAAAGCCTCTGTATTATTTCCTTTTATTGTCATATTCCTGCAGTTTACTATAGAAGACTATTGGACTGGAAGTCAAGAGAGCTACGCTCTAGTGCTGGCTTGGCTGTTAACTTGCTTTAATGTTGAGTAAGCCGCACTCTGTCTTTGGGTCTCAGTTTCTTCATCAGTGAAATAAAGAAATTTGTCTGTATGAATTCCTTGCTATGGTGATAGTTTTATTTAAATCCAGTTAATTATGAAAAATTATTTATTCCTTTAAACTAAACTTGTAATCACATAATTTTAGCAATGACCATGGGATTCAGATTTCTTAGATGATGTCTGAATGTTCTTGTGAGTGTGTGTGTGTGTATGTGTGTGTGTGTGTGTGTGTGTGTGTTGGTCAAGAAGCACAAGATGCTTTATTGAATGCCTCCACTTCACCGCAGCCTTCAGTTTCTCCCCTAACTAGAAGACTATTTCCAAGGTATAAAGAGTTATCCCATTTATCGTTGTACGTGATCTTTACAGAAAGTGTGTAAATATCATAAAGGGCATTTCATGTCCGTCTTACAGTGGAAGAAAAAACTGAAGCCTATGGACTTGCCCCAAAACACACAGCTGGTAAATGGTTATGGGTGTTTCTGCCTATTAGTCCCATGCGTCTACCAAACGTTGGGTTAACTTTTGACTGCTAGAAAACTGGTGATTAGAGAACATGACCAATACATGGAATTTCCGCTGAAAGCCCCACAAATATTTTGTCTTTAATAATTGATATCTTTGAATCCTGTTTACCTAATCCAGAATCAATGGTAAATGGGATATAATCTCTAGTTTCCCAACTGTTCACCTGATCTCCACTTTTCTCCCCTGCAAAACATTATTTTACTGTACTACTAGAGATGTTTTTTCTAAAGCACAAAAACAATCACATCACTCTCTTTTAATGTTTTCCTGCTGTCTAACTTCAAAGCTCTGCAGGATAATCTAAATTCCTTTACTTGGTATGTAAAAACATTCATAACCTGGTCTTTGTCTTCCTCAACAGTTCCCTCTCTTTCCATGCCTTCCATTTATTCATTGAAAACCTATTTTCGTACTTACGATATTCCAGTTTCCAAGCTAGGATAGACATGAAATCTGACAAATAAGATAGATCTAGGTGATTCCCTGAGATTACCATCTACAATCCAGCTGAGCCAGATGTCATGGATTTGGTACTGCTCAGCCCAGATCGCTCTCCCATTTTATCTATCTTCACTGTACCTGGAAAACATCTACTCACCTTTGCAATTCAATTTCTGTCCCCTTCATGAAGCCTTTCCTTGAGTCTCGAGGAGATTCAAACTATCCTTCGGGTCCCCATTATACTTTGTATATATGTCTATGATAACAAAAATAATGCTTTAACCATTCTTATTGATGTACTAGACTGCAGACTCTTTGAAGGTAAGGGACTCTATAAACATTTATTCAGTGCTTTAACTGTTTGTGAGTCCAAGTACTTTGCAATCAACAAACCAAGAACACTGGTCTATTTATTGTGCTCATATTATATGTAGAAAGGCTGATCTGCCCGTAGATCTATCCCAATGGATACATGTACATCATATCCTGGCCTTTTTATTGTATGGCAATTTATATTATTCACAACATTATTATTATTATTTCAAAAATACTATTGTTGTTAAAGATTGTCCACGTGTGATGATTACTCTAAAACATTTGGTCTCAGAAGATCTATATACTTCAAAATTATTGAAGATTTTAATGTGCTTTTATTTGATTTATATTTATTAATACCTACCTTATTAAAAATTAAAACTGAGGAATGCAAAAATAGTTATTTACTAAAAATAAGTAACTAAAATTATTACATGCTACTATAAGCAATATATTTTTATTAAAATAACTATATTTTTGAAAACAAAAAATTAGTGTGAAGAATAGCATTATTTTATATTTTATAAGTCTCTTTTAATGTCTGCCTTAATAAAAGACAGCTGGATTGTCAATCTACTTCTGCATTCAATATATGGCAAATATTGTTTTGGTTGAGGTATACTAAAAAATCCAGCCTCGTATGGGATATAGTTGGAAAATGGAGGAATATTTTAATAGTTCTTTTAAATAATTGTGGATATTTTTCTTAACACTACATCAAAACTCAGCCAGTGATTGTTTCTTAAAGATTAGAGACAAAAGGGAATTCAAAGTCATATCAATTAACTCTTTATGCTCTTTCACATTAGCTACCTTGTAATTTGAATGGATGTTTTGCTGATGGAATATGCTTTAATATCATATATTGATCATTTGAAAAATATTGGTTCACTGAGTCATGCAGCTCTTTCGTATGTTGACACAGTTTATTACACAATGTCATCATCTGTCATGGAGCCTCTGGAAAACACATTATCATAAGAAAATGATAATGAAAAAGGTAAATAACAATTTAATATTATTGGAAAAATAACTGTGACCTTGTGCACTCCTTGTAGAATTTCTGGGGACATCCAGGATTCTCTGGATCACACCAATTTTTTTTTTTTTTTTTTTTTTTTTTTTTTTAAGACAGAGTCTTTCTCTGTCTCCAGGCTAGAGTGTAGTGGCACAATTTCGGCTCACTGCAACCTCTGCCTCCCTGCAATCTCCACCTCCTGGATTCAAGCGATTCTCCTGCCTCAGTTTCCCAAGTAGCTGGGACTATAGGTCCCCACCACCATGCCCAGCTAAATTTTTGTATTTTCTGTAGAGACGGAATTTTGTTATGTTGGCCAGGATGGTCTTGATCTCTTGACTTCATGATCCGCCCACCTCAGCTTCCCAAAGTGCTGGGATTACAGGCGTGAACCACTGTGCTGGGACCACACTTTAAGAGCTGTTCCATCTGTCAATCACACTCATGTCAATGTTCAATTTCTGGAAAAGTCCTAGCCATAATAACATCTCTTCTATTTTTTCATGTTTTGCATTTTCTATCATAATCTTTTAACTTCCATTTCACTAATACAATATTCTACTCTAACATATACGATTTAGCGTATCTATTGAGATTCTTATTCCAATAGCCATATTTTATTTTTAAAAATCTTATCTTGTTTGCTTGCCTATTCTTTTATGCTCTAACAATTTTTAAAATACCTATGAAACATATTAGAGCATATTTATTTGTGTTTCACGTTTTGCATTTTTCTTATTTGCTTATTCTAATTTCCTAACTGCTGATTCTTTCAATTCTTATCATGGTTATTAGTCTGTTCTTTTCTCTGAGGGTTCTAATCCTCCTTTTAAAAAGTCTTATTCAGATTTATCTATTTTCTCTATTTCGTGGATATGGATTATCCTGTTTGTTGGATCTGGTTGCTTTATGTCCCATTGCTGAGCTTTTTCATGTGCTTTAGGATTCTTATTTGAGGTGTCATTTTCTTTGGAGATTGCTCTCTAGTAGTGCAGGGAGTTCTGCAGTTTTTAAATTCTGGGACCTACACGATGCACAGCTCCAAACCAGGTCTCATGATAGCATCTCAGGATGAGTTCTGCCGTTTCTGGGTAGTCAAATTTCAGGTCCTGCATCTGTGTACCACGCAGACCCTGTGTACCAGCAGAAAACCAGCAGAAGCCGAATTTCTGCTTCTGCCCTCAGAGTGGCACATTTCTGGCCACAGACCTAGGAGAGTGGGAAGAACTCTTCTCTTTGAAGGTAGGCAGTGCAATCTCAGCTTCTGCATTTATTTGGAGAGCCTATCTCAGACTCTCCTACTAGGCAGGAGTCATATTTGTCCCCCATTGAATATTCCCATTAAGAATCCTGACCCAATGTTTATATTCCTTCCCAGTTCCCCGTAGAATAGTAGTTTTGTCTCCGCTTATAGCTGTGGGTTGCCGCTCTGGTTCCACGATGAAGAAATTTTTTCATTCTTAGAGTATGCAGTTTTCAATTTTATATAACTTATTTTGTTGCATCTTTTAGTTACTTATTCTACCGTTTTTTTTTTCGGAGTTCAGAGTGGAAGATGGAATTTTTGGTATGTGCTTAATCTGCCATTTCTACCCATTTATCCATTTTAGTAAAGTACTAACATTTATTAAACCAATTCTCCATTCTTGGACATTTAAGGTGTTTTTAGTTTCTGGTTATTACAAACATCACAACGATGAACATCTTTATAGCTAACCATTTGCATGTATACATTATTATATCCCTAGATTACATTTTCAGAAGTAAAACTAATGATAATTTTTACCTTTTCATTATGTGTGTCTGATAACATTTTTCTTCCAGCTTAAAACCCCTCCTTGGCTTTTCATTTCCTTCAGGATAAAGCACTAACAACATAACATGATGTTCAAAATGTGTCAATATCTCACTCTTTCTGACCTCTCGCCTCCTGTTATACCCGTCTTCTCTACCACACTTGCCATTCTGCCATTCTGCAGATACTCTATGCTGTTTCACTCCTCTGTGTCTTTCACTGTGCCTGCCCCTCTATCAGGGATACTTCCCCTCACTCCGTCTCTTTGCATAGTAATCTCCTACTTTTTTTTTTTTTTTTTTTTTTTTTTACGGAGTCTCGCTCTGTCGCCCAGGCTGGAGTGCAGTGGCAGCGATCTCGGCTCAGTGCAACCTCCGCCTCCTGGGTTCTAGTGATGCTCCTGCCGCAGCCTTCCGGGTAGCTGAGACTACAGGTACACGCCACCAAGCCTGGCTAAGTTTTTTTTTTGTATTTTTGGTAGAGACAGGGTTTCACCATATTGACCAGCCTGGTCTCCAATTCCTGACTTCAAGTGATCCACCCGCTTTGGCCTCCCAAACTGCTGGGATTACAGGTGTGAGCAACCACACCCAGCCTCTACTCATCCTTTAAAACTCTGCTCATGTGGGTTTTTTCCTGTGAAGCCCTCTGTGACCTTTCCAGAAGCTTTTCTCCCTTCTATGCTATTATATAGATCCTCTATTAAAGCATTCACTACAGTTGTTTTACAAGATTATCTCCACCACTAGGTTGGGAAATTCTCAAAAAATTGTTATCTGAATCCCAGCACTTAGCAGAGTGCATTATACACAGTAGGTACTCACTCAATGCCTAATCAATGAATGAATGATATTATATGACTTTGTGAATTGTATCATGTTGAATCATGATTTTTTTCCTTTTGCTTCCACATAATAAACTTGTTTTGGGTGAAGATTATATTATGATGTTCTTTATGTCTATCTATCTATCTATCTATCTATCTATCTATCTATCTATCATCTATCTATCCAACTATCCATCCATCTAAACTATTGTATTCTTTAATCTCTAATGTAGTGTCAATCATATTGTTGGCACACTAAACATTTACTCTTTGATTGACTATTAAGCAAAATTACAGTATTGGTGAGATTGAAGTGAGCTTATTATGAAGTTCTGCTGCAGGTCATTACACTGTAGGCTGTCAGGACATTTGCATTGAATATGCACTTTGGATGAGCCTCTTTCCCTTTCTTAGTTTCCTCAGACATAAACAAAGGCTTTGGACTTGAAGACCTCCATGGTAATTTCCAGTTCTAATAGTTGATCTTCTTACTCATAATTACAGTCCTATGTCCAACAGCCAGACTATGGTCCCTGTTCTATAAAAAATAGGTGAGCCCTGTGTTTCATAGTGGCACTTGTTTATAGTATATTTGTATTTTGTGGAGTGCTAAAATAGAAGTCACAGCACTTGTATTTATGTTTTAACTTACATCTGGAAAAATGATTGTATAAAGTCCTGGGAAGAAAGCTTGTAAATCCTTCTGGAAATGTTTTGACTACAAATGAGCATCCATCCATATTTCTAGTGAATTTGAAAGTGATAGCAAAAAATGATAAACTGTTTGCTGCTTTGTAGAGAAAGTTCATAGACTGAAAATAAATTCTTAAATTAAGCAAAGCTATATAAAACTGAGTTGAAAACAGATATGAAACTCAAGAAAGCATCCTTAATTGATTATGAAAAAGAAAGGTATTTAAAATTAAATGACTTTTTAATGTTTATTTTATTGTTATCAAATTGAGAGCTATTGTTATCAAATTGAGAGCTATTGTTTTGGGGTATGTTCATTTCCAAAAATCTTTCTCTCTTCTACTTCATAGGTAAGTTATATTGGTTTTGTTTTAACTGCATAAGTACTAAGGATTATTTCTTAGTGGTATTAAAATTTGATGTATGTACTCAGTCATAACAAACAAACAAAACTACTAGAAACTTTGAGAATCAATTCAATTTCACCATTACTGATTGTGTCTTCTTCATGAAAGGTCTTCTTCCATAACTAATTGAATTGAATATCCTGAATTCGGTTTTGAGTGCTGGTCCCACATGTGAGACCTTAGATAAGGCATATTCTTTTTTTAAAAATTTTACTTTAAGTTCTGGGATACATGTGCAGAACATGCAGGTTTGTTATATGTGCCATGTGGTTTGTATACATGTGCCATGGTTGTTTGCTGTACCTATCAACCCATCATCTAGGTTTTAAGCCCTGCATGCATTAGGTATTTGTCCTAATGCTCTCCCTCCCCTTGCCCCCCACCCCCAAAAGGCCCCCGTGTGTGACGTTCCCCTCCCTGTGTCCCTGTGTTCTCATTGTTTAACTCCTACTTATGAGAACATGCGGTATTTGGTTTTCTGTCCTTGTGTTAGCTTGCTGAGAATGAAGGTTTTCAACTTCATCCATGTCCCTGCAAAGGATATGAACTCATTCTTTTTTATGGCTGCATAGTATTCCATGGGGTATATGAAGGCACATCCTTTATTGATTTCAGGTTTATCACTTATGGTAATGGCATAGCAATCTGTTCTCTCGCTTCGACTTATCTGTAGTTCAATCTTCATTTCCTTACCTTTTCCTATAATTGTTCCATGAACCATGATGAAGTTGATTTTTTTCATATTTAGGTAAAAGTCTATAAAGAGCAACTGTGTCTAATTTATTTTTTTATTCTCTACCCACTCTCCTGCCCCATCCTATTACTAATGTGTAACATGCATTTAAGAAATATTTTGTAACTACCTGTATTTCAATAAAAAGCTCAATCTCTCTAATACAGAAATCTTATTTCTCATTACCCTTAGATAAACCATGGTCCTGATTTTGCTGGATTTTCAGGATTAATGCACTAAAAATCTTACTGAACGCCAGATGAGGTTTCTGGATAATTTGTTTTTCTTCTTTGCGCTTTTCTGTGTTTTCTAGTTCTTCTCTACTGGGTAGGTATTACTTAGCTGTACAAAAACTAAATGTTAGTAAAACTCTAGATAGTAGACATTACGTCAATTTGTACTGGATTCTTTATTCCATGCAGAAGGAATAACAATAAATAATCAAACTATTTGGGGCTGGCTTTTTGGTGACTTTTTGTTGTAGTTGTTGTTGTGAGACGGAGTCTCACTCTGTTGCCCAGGCTGGAGTGCAATGGCGTGATCCCAGCTCACTGCAACCTCCGCCTCCCAGGTTCAAGCAATTCTCCTCTTCAACCTCCTGAGTAGCTGAGATTACAGGTGCATGCCACCATGCCCAGCTTTTTTTTTTTTTTGTATTTTTTTTGTATTTTTAGTAGAGACAGGGTTTCATCATTTTAACCAGGGTGGTCTTGAACTCCTGACCTCAGGTGATCCACCCTCCTTGGCCTCCCAAAGTGCTGGGATTACAGGCGTGAGCCACCGTGCCCCGCCTTTGGTGACTTTTAAAAACCTCATTGTATAAATTAGGGAAGTAATGCTGGTGGTAGTTTTAGTGCTCTGATAAGACCTCTAAAATCAGAAGCGCCAAGGTCCTAGAACAACTCTGGGGAGGAGTTTCACTCATTTGGCATGTCTGTGGCTCATTTAAAACAGGAAGTGCTCACACTCAATGCTTCTCAGTTGCTACTACTTGTCTAATCCACACAGTGGTAACTTTGTTGGATTATAATGTCTCTTCATTTTATTATTAAGGTATCTTTTTATATCTCATGATAGATTCATTTGGTTGACACAAAATGAAATATTAAGGTATATTACAACGAGGACCACATTGCTTAACTTCATAATTCCAACCACTTCCTCTTCCACGTATCTTGAGAAAGGTAGGAGCATTTTTACTCTTCACATCCATACACTCACAATCAGCTTTATCACTTACTAGTGGTAGGATTGGAGAAGCTTATGTGTACTATGTCCTTCAGGGGCTTCTTATCTAACATGGGGATACTATTACCTGCCTGTCTGTCTAATGGGATTATATAATGCATGTGAAAATGCTAGACTAATTGCAAACACAGAACAAACGGATGTTGTCACCATTATTGTCAGATCTCTATGTATGTGCAAAAGTGAAATCCTTGGAGACAAGCTGGGAGATTTTTTTTTTTTCTTTAGCATCTCTTCTGCCAAAAATATATATTGATTGCAGCTGGAAGGAAACCGTTCTGAGAGAGAAAATAATGTTGAATAGAAATCAGAGCCTGTTTGATATTTGACAGCTTGGACATGTTTCTTCATGTTTAATGATAATAATAATTTGACTTTTAAGTGACTTCTCTGACATGAGAGCCCCCTAAATCAGGAAAGCTATAAACTGATGCAAAGCTACCCCCAGAGAGATGACATGGAAGGGTAAATGGGATTGACCAGTGTGTTTGGCTGAGGGTACTCATCTGCCTAAGATTTTATGGGCTTCACAGGAGGCCTGTTCTGTGGCATGTGAATGACCTGAGAACAAGTCACCCACCAGCCTTGGACCCCATTTATTGAGATTCTACTATGTGCTACCCTCTGGAGTAGGTGCTTTGACAAAGTTATTACATTTGACCTTCAGAACAATTCTGCGAAGAGAGTACTATTGTACCATTAATGTCTGTAGGAAAATTGATACTCAAATATTCCCTAGACTACAATTATCATCAGATCTTCTAATTCTAAATCTGGTACTCTTTTCATTTTATAGACAACTGCCTGACAACCACATAAAACTGTATTAGTAACTACGCATTTACAAAGCACTTCTACACAAATTACCTTACTTGATTGTTACTTTTTCTGTCTGCAAGTTTTCCAAGTCATGCTAGTGTGTTATTTCTGTCTCAGTTCTGGTGGCCTACCTAAAAAGAACATTGCATGATCATGAACCAGAATTCTGGTATTGTCTCCTTCACCAGTTAGCTTTGTTACTTAAAGCCCTAAAAGAGAAGGGAATTGCCTCTACTGTAGCTATTTGGTAGAAGAATCCAGAGGAGAACCCAGGCTTCTTGAGAACCAGGTCTCCCAACGATCTTTGGAGATAAACAGTACTAAACATACAAGTATTTGTGCATTTGTTGCGATCATTATTTAATTATTTAAAAAGTATAATTATGATCTATTCCTTCTGGTAATCAATAAGACTCTGACTCAAAATGAAATAAGGGAAAATGTTGGTAGAAAAAGACTTAGCATAAAGGCTGGGTCCTTATTGATAGTGAAAATGATACTTAGAGGAGAAGAAGCTGTTTAAAGCTTGCATTAGTTGTAGAAACCCCAGCTTGAGGCACTGAATCTGTAAAAACTGGAGACAGAGTTTGGGCTGTATTTAAAAGAGTCTATCAAGGGCTCCTCTTTGTAGAGGATCCAAGTCAGACCTCCTAGCCTATGGAAATCAGCTTGTCAGAGCAAATGAATGTATTGGAGACTGACCCTGACCTAGGTAGCTTTCAAGTCATCCCTGAGAAAGAGCATTTTAGAGGTTGAATTGATGAGATGGCTAATATGGTTATTGAAGTTATTGGAGGCTATTTATTTGGATTTTGCAATGATTCAGATTTATGAAAATGAATCTGTAATGAAAATGAATGGTGGAAATAAGCTAATACAGGAAGTGTTCAGCTACCAAAGCAAACCTGCCTTTTCAATAAGACAAGGATATTACCTCTGGAGGATGAATAACATATCATTTGAGATATTTTATTAAAAGTTAACTGTGACTCTCTTTTGAAGGCAGTCGCTATTACTCCAGGGAGAATGACCTTGAGGCTACTTCCTTCTTTCTCTTACCTTTCCTTTTCTTTTCTTTCACCATTTCTTTTGGACATACGCTGGTGAATGAAGACTGTGGAATATGGAGTGAGGAATAAGGAAGCCCACTCAGGCTGAGTCAGATGCAGTAGGAGATCAGTGAAAGGGATTTTTCATTAGGGAGTGGGATGTGTTGATGTGATAAAGCTTCTTGAAGTAGAATTTTATGGCAAGCGTGATATTGTAACTTGCCCATATTTATGCAGCTTTTAAGTAGTAAAGCTACGATTTGAACTGGGTCTGTTTGTCTTGAATGCAGAGGCCCCAGGGAATTTACCAGGTCTGGCTCTCATTGGTTTTGGATAGCAGAAGGTTGAACCTTAACATGTCAGTCATTTTATTTGCTAGATTGATTACATTTTGTCTGGAACATGGTAATCTCAGACTCTAGTCAGTCTTCAGCTTAGGAAATATTTTCTTGATTATTATTTCTATTCCACTACTTAAGATTTGTTCTTAAGGATAAAAATTACTTGTAAAGATAAATCTCCAGTATTTACTATTTTTATTATCTTCCCTTTCATATCTTTCACCTTTTCTGATTCTTGGGAGAATTTCCTCTTTACATCAATGATTTAATTTTTACTGAGACCGAGTCTCACTCTGTCACCCAGGCTGGAGTGCAGTGGTGAGATCTCAGCTCACTGCAACCTCTGCCACCCAGTTCAAGCAATTCTCCTGCCTCAGTCTCCCAAGTAGCTGGGATTATTTTTAATCCCATGCCACCATGCCCAGCTAAGTTTTGTATTTTTAGTAGAGATGGGGTTTCACCCTGTTGGTCAGGCTGGTCTCAAACTCCTGACCTCAAGTGATCCGCCCGCCTTGGCCTCCCAAAGTGCTGGAATTGCAGGCGTGAGCCACAGCGCCCAGCCTATTTAATTTTTTTATAGTGCCAGTTTTGTTCTTTTCCAATTCCAGGGTAGGATTAATTTGGCTATTTTGTTACCTTGCTTTTCTCAGCCAGGTCCCTTAATAATTTTAGACTATATTGCCATAAATTGTCTTTTTATCTCATCACTTATCATCATCCCTAACCTTAACAAGCGTACCATTTCATGTATTTACTTGAGAACCCAGAACAGACGTTCCCAGTTTTTTTCTTAATATTAAATTATTATTTTTTTTTTAAAGAACTAGGGTTTTCTTCTGCACTTTCAGAACAACTTTTCCTTATTTCAATTTTATAGCATGTGTCCAGCCTGTGCTTTTTTTTTGCCCCACCCCCACCCCCAAATGTTTACTTTTCCTTGAGCATGAATCCAACCCTGGAATTTCCAAAAGTGAGGCTTCTCTGTTTTCCCTTATTCCCCAATAATTTCCATGAGAGTGTAATAGATTTGTACAAAGCTCTTCACTAATTTTTAGGAGGTCTATTAGTATGGTTCTGCCTAAATAAGGAAGTATCTCCTGCTTCCAATGTAGAAGATACTTCTTTGGCTCTGAAGAAGATAATTTTTCATCCCTTGTAAGTTGAAAATTTTCTAGTTCTTACTTTTCCAAAAACAGAGTATACAATGGTCAGAGCTCTTCCTATCTTCACTAGTGCCCACTCAACAACTTTACATTACGTCCTACTTGGAATTTCTTTCTTTTTTTTTTTTTTTATACTTTAAGTTCTAGGGTACATGTGCACAACGTGCAGGTTTGTTACATATGTATACATGTGCCGTGTTGGTGTGCTGCACCCATTAACTCATCATTTAACATGAGGTATATCTCCTAATGCTATCCCTCCCCCCTCCCCCCACCCCACAACAGGCCCTGGTGTGTGATGTTCCCCTTCTTGTGTCCGTGTGTTCTCATTGTTCAATTCCCACCTATGAGTGAGAACATGAGGTGTTTGGTTTTTTGTCCTTGCGATAGTTTGCTGAGAATGATGGTTTCCAGCTTCATCCATGTCCCTACAAAGGACATGAACTCATCCTTTTTTATGGCTGCATAGTATTCCATGGTGTATATGTGCCACATTTTCTTAATCCAGTCTATCATTGTTGGACATTTGGGTTGGTTCCAAGTCTTTGCTATTGTGAATAGTGCCACAATAAACATACGTGTGTGTGTGTCTTTATAGCAGCATGATTTATAATCCTTTGGGTATATACCCAGTAATGGATATATACCCAAAGGATTATAAATCATGAAGGATATGAACAGATATTTCTCAAGAGGAGACATTTATGCAGCCAAAAGACACATGAAAAAATGCTCGTCATCACTGGCCATCAGAGAAATGCAAATCAAAACCACAATGAGATACCATCTCACACCAGTTAGAATGGCATCATTAAAAAGTCAGGAAACAACAGGTACTGGAGAGGATGTGGAGAAATAGGAACACTTTTACACTGTTGGTGGGACTGTAAACTAGTTCAACCATTGTGGAAGTCAGTGTGGCGATTCCTCAACGATCTAGAACTAGAAATACCATTTGACCCTACTTGGAATTTCTGTACCACTGGGAATTACAGTCTTCAACTTTTTCTATAAGGGTAATCCACTAATGCTGCTTTAGGGAAAAAGCAAATGTCATGGGAGAGAGAAAATCATCCTAGATGGCTTAGTTAACCATTTCCTTATTGTATTTTCTTATTGTAATATATGTGGGAAGGGGGATGTAAGATTTCTGATTTCTGCAGGTTGGAGAGGGAGCTACACAGTGGGAGCGACTGATGGTTTCTGCTACTTTTCTAGCCCTGTATATACACATCAGCTGGGGATGAGGCCACATGCTCATCTTATACAGATGAGTACTGATTTCTCCTGGGTGCTGAAAAACTGTTGTTAGATATTATCAGTTTAGTTTTCATTGCTATAGTTCTGTCAGGTCATATTTTTTGTTTTTGTGTATTTTAATGGGATGTAGGGAGAAGAAATGCCATAAGATGTATCAACACTTTATTTTTATGATGTCACACTAATGTATTGCTACAAACTTACCCTCAGTAGTTATAATTTTCTGGGATCATTTTAGAATAGATGATGTCCATTGTTGAGCTCATGTTTTCCTATCCGTGGAAATCTAGCATCAGCAGCTGAAACCATCAGTTTTGGGATGACTTTCAAGCCTGATTTGTCCTGTCCCATGATCCACTCAAGGCACATAGGGAAGCAGCTTGGCGTCCTGGCCGGACCACTAACCCTGGAAGGCAGGGGCCATGTATGACTTACCTTTGAATCCTGTGTACTTTGCAAAGGGCCTGGCACCTGGGTTTCTAGAATATATCAAATTATGGTTTTTTGTTTGTTTGTTTGTTTTTTAGAACAAATGGAAAGCCTATAAAATTTCCAGAGAAAAACTCAGTCACCTTTTCAGGCACTCTGTCTTCAGCTTCTAATGGGATAACTATTTTGATATGTAGCAAATGAGGTTTTTTAAAAATCTTAAGTGCAGTGGTAATTTCATACTAATTATTGCACTGGACAAATAAATTATTTTCATTGAAAACCTAAGTTATGCAAAACTATGATTTAAAAGAAAAGCAGAATTTTTATTTATTCTCAAGCTAACCTATTATTTCAAAATAAGCCAAGTGCCCTGCTTTCTAGGGTAAAGCTAATGCACCCTAAAACTTTGTTTACTGGTTAGCACGCTCCAAACTCTGCGTTGCTCTGCTCTCCATGAGGATCTTCGTGCAGAGGCTGCAGCTTGCTCAGCTTCAGAAAGTCATGGCAGAAGTAATAAAACTGCTGGTAGCAGCATTTAGGTACCCAAGGGAACGTTCTCACAAGCCAGCAGCTGATCTTGAGTTGAAAGAGGCAAGTGATGAGCTACAGAAGCAATGCAGCAGTCTGATATGCCAAGTTCTGGGTACCTGACCACTGGCAGGTTCAGTATCAGCTTTCAGCCTGCTAAGGCATGGGTCCGGTTTACCACCTATTTTGTTTGTATAAAACTATATAGAAAATCTATTTCAATGTAATTTTTTAAACAGTGGACTGATTGATTATGTAGCACATTTACCATGGTTTTTCTGTGATTTTTCAAGAATCACTGATGTGTCCTATTGTATTTTTGTCCTAGTTAAACTTCACAGCGTCTCTGTCAGTGTACTGTTTTTTATCTGCAATTGCAAAGTGCTGATAAAGGTCCTTTCTGTTTTCCAAAAGAGCAATGATAGAGTGAAAAAAAAAACCCAAATAGTCTCGTGGTACTCATTGCAGAAATATAGTTTAGCCCAGAGTAAAAAAGCCTTTAAAACTTCATATTATCTTGCCACACTTATTACTTCTGAAAATTTTATTAGTGTTTTGATCTTTTGGCAATTTAAAAATGGGAGCTGCATGTTTGAAAACTAAAATTATTGTTTGGAAATGTCTAGGAAATATGGTTTTATTGATAAATTTGGGTTTAAGTGTTAGTGGACATGCATAGCTTGGTAGATACATAAGATCCCATTATACTATAGCCAAATGTAGGATTTTAAAAATTATGATTAAAATGTCTACTACCTGTATTTTAAGACCACATGAGTCCGAATCTCATAGATTTAACAAATTCAGGTAGTTGGAACTCAGTTGTAAACCAAGAAATAAAGCCAAAAGGAATTTGGTGCAGATAAAATTGATACCCAGAAGCTTGTATAGTCTCAGCTCTTCTTCCTTCTCACCTCCCTCCCCTCTCCCCCTACACTATGGGAGGTTCTTTTAGGAGCTTGTTTTACAGTTCTAATAGTTCTCTGTTTTTTTTTTTTAATAGTTCTCTCTAGTTAAAAAGAGGCAGTTCCAACTCTGCCAGAAAGGCAGACAAAGAAAAATGATAAAAATCAGACAGAAAAACTCTAAAAGCATTGGGACTATCTAGTGAAGTGACAGGAAGCCCTGAATATTTCATTTGCTCTAATACAGAACAATGTGGATATTCATCATAACCGCCCTGACATGTTAAGGGAAGATTAAATTATGTTCAATACGTTATATCAAATAAAGTTCAGAAATGTACAGTACATTTCAGGAAGCATTCTGTGCAAGAAAGTTATTGTCTTTATGAATGTAAAGGAAAAAAAAAACCTCAACTCAGCAGAGAACATAGATATCCAGAATAGCAACCATTGTATGATTACATATTAACCTTCCCATTGTTGATATGTACTGGGGACCTCTGTTGTTTATAAGTGCTGTGACCTTGGCCGTGAGACTTTATACTAATACCTATCCCTCAGTAATGTTCTGTAGATTCACCAAGATTTATCTTTGTAAAGTTTTTCACATTGTACTTGCCAATTAGTATATATTTAATAATTGTGGCTATTATGCATTTCAAGCTTCCTGTGAACAAAAAATACATTGGAAGCCAGGTCGCGTCAAGGATTACAGACCACACATTACATTTTCATGAGCCTACACTGCTAGGTGTTTTCTTGTTGGGTACTCTGAAAAATATTACATGAACTAAAAGACTGTCAACATTGGAGAGAGTATGCCATAATCTTGAAGTAGCTGGCATTGTTACTGGATATGTATGGCTTAAGTCTTTGGTTTGGAGGTGGGAGGCTGTCCTGTGCATTGCAGGATGGTTGGTTAACAGCATCCCTGGCCTCTACCCACTGGATGCCAGTAGCACCCCTCCTCCCACCCCAGTTATAACAATCAGAGATATAGGCATTGCTCAATGTCCCTGGGGGCCAGATCACCCCGGCTGAGAACCACTGCACTAGAGAAACAAATGTGTAAATATGGAGCATGAAGTTTTAAATAGTGGTCACAAGTGAATGCTGAGTGTGTTTAAATTCTCATTCCTTTTGTGCTATGAGGCTTTGACTACATGTATCTGCTTTACTATAATTCTCTCTCTGTGTGTGTGTGTGTGTGTGTGTGTGTGTGTGTGTGTGTGTCTTTTCACCTTATAATTTAGGTGTTGTTTAGTGACAGTTAAAGGATACTAAGAAAGGATTGGGATGAAACAGTGTGTTTTATCCAGTATTTTGAGAGTAAGGCTTCCCAGGTGAGCTTCCGTCACTGATTTTTTGGATGGCTGTACATTAATTAACATACATTTATTGAGTGCATACCCTTCTAAAAAGTCCTGTGCTAGGTACTGCAAGGAAAAGAATTTTTTTTTTTTTTTTTTTTTTGCCTGAACCTCCTGGATGAGGGAATTTCTTTTCTGGCATGTAACGTTTCTTTTCTCGGCCCATGTGTCTGGAGTGCTAGTTATTCTTCCCCTCCAGTCCCAAACAGCTTCTTTTCCTATGGCTTCACTGACCTTTCGCTCTAAAATCCTCATGCTTGTGTTCACCTCTTCCCATTCCCCCATCTCTATTGCATCATTATGCGGGTTTGCAAACATCATCATCTTCTTTCTGGCATGACTCAGACTCCTGATAACGTTCATTTCTGGTTGCCTTATTTAGGGAAAATCATCTTCTTCTTCTAGGCCATATTAGCATGGGACACTCGTCCATCTATTACTCAGTAGCTCTTTAATTTCAAAATATAGTCCTAATCAAAATTTTCTAGCTCTTTATTTTACTTATATTTTGGGGGACTCATCAGTTATGATTAAATGGGTCAACTAGTAACAGAAATCTAAGTAATACTTGTAAACTAAATAGAATTAATTTTCCCTTGATGTAGAAGTCAAGAGGCTGGTATGGTGATGTTGTGATTTCATCAGCCTCTCAGTTTTTCTCAATCCTTCTATTCTGCGTTCCTATTCTGTAGCTTCCATCCTCAAGGTCAAGTCATGGTCTAAAGATGTCTGTCTGTCTATTGCAGCTCCAACCATCACATCTGAGTTTTAGAAATAGAGATGTAGAAAAAAAGAAAGGCCTGTCAATGGAATGCTTTCTGCTTCTCTGAAGTCCCTCTTAAAATTGTTTAAATTTTAACACCTATCTACAAGGGTGGCTAGGATATGTAGCTGGGCACATTGTTGCTATCAACAATACAGAGATTGTGTTAATAAGGAGGAAGTGAGAATAGATATTGGCCAGGCAGCAGATGTCTCTGCACACAGAGAATTTTGAGTGGAATTTATGTCATCGATGTTTTATACACCATATACAAAATAGGACTTTAAGAAGATGTTTCATAATCTATACAGCAAAATTTACTATATTAATATTGAGTTATTACTCCTAAAATTTGTTCCTTGTGCTCAAATACAGAATTGGAAGGATTCTTTATCATTGCTCCAAGGAATGAGGGGGAAAACTGTCACATTCCTCTGAAAAGTAAAAAATGTGGTCCATCAATCTAGTTGACTATTTTTTTTTTCACACTGATCTGTCAGAAGTGGCTGATTAGCTGTGGGTTTCTATACATAGCTAGCATTTATCAGAGAAATATCATGAGGACACTCTTTCTGTTGAATATACGAAAACCATAACCAGTTTCTACATGTAAGGGAAGGAGTGGTACACAGGTCTGTCAAACTGTGATGCAGGGTGGTGTGGGGAAAGGAACGGACTACGTTCAAGAAGCCTCTCTTCTGCTTCACGTTGAACATTTCTGACTCTGTCACTTTTCCTCAATCACTGTAAGCCTCTGCTTTTCATCTATAAAATGGGACTAATCCTTAACTCGGCTATCATTTGTTGTGTCCCTTCTTAAAGATACATTGAATGCCCATCTGTGGCAAGATACCAGAGTAGGACAGAGCTATTGTTATGCTTAAATAAAATATCTTGTAGAAAATCATATGTAAATTCAAAGTGCTATTGGGTTGCTGATATGGAGATTATTTATTTTTTTTATCATTTAGATCCAGATCAGATTTTAGCCATTCTTGGCAACAGATAAACTCTATTTCTCAAAAATTTCTAGTAGCAATCAATTATCTCAAAAAAATTCTGCTGTCCTGTGTGACACTGCAACTATGTATTACCCATTAATGCTAATTAGGAAGGACCTGGGAAGCACAGCCAGATAACCTATAGTTTATTCCCAGCCCTCCTACTTGGCCTCCAAACTTCCACAAAACACTAGCTTCCTTTGTGCCTACTTCCAAGCCTAAAATTCTTAAGTAACTTTATTATTTATTTGTTTATACAGTGGCAAAATCCTGAAATCCTTCACATACTTGTTAGGCAACATTAAATATTTGTGAAGTCTGAGTGGCACACTCACCTTAAGAAGCTTCAAATGAGGCCAGGTGCTGTGGCTCATGCCTGTAATCCCAGCATTTTGGGAGGCCAAGGCAGGTAGATCAACTGAGGTCAGGAGTTCTAGACCAGCCAGACCAACATGGTGAAACCCCGTCTCTACTGAAAAATAAACCCATACACAAAAATTAGCCATGCATGGTGGCTTGCACCTGTAATCCCAGCTACTCAGGAGGCTGAGGCAGGAGAATCACTTGAACTGGGGAGGCGGAGGTTGCAGTGAGCTGAGATAGCGCCACTGCACTCCAGCCTGGGCGATAGAGCATGATTCCGTCTCAAAAAAAAAAAAGCCTCAAATGAGGAATATATATTGAAAGAGTTTTATTTATTTATTTTGGTTTAATGAAAATTTGATCTGTTGTATTTTTAATTAGAAATTATTTGCTTCAAGGTTTTTATACAGGACATACAGGAACTAATTTGGATATTTTTAATATTATAGATCTGTACTGCGTTCTCAGAAGGCTACAAAACTCTGTAAGAGAAAAATAATTATTTGGCCTGCATTGTTTAAAAGGAGATCATATCTAGTTGAGGAAAACTGGTGGCGTTGGAGCATGGCTTTGACAGATTTTGATGGGCACAGAAAGCGAGGCTGGCTGAGCATTCCAGGAAGAAACCAAAATGTAGGGACCAGAGAAACTCCTGGGGATGATTTGGGAAAAGTGAGATTTTTTGATTATTCTAAAGAAATGGACTGAATGCCTCAAAAACAAGAGCTATGACTTATTTCTCGTCACCACTCCTAGCCTAGTTACAGTGATGACATAAAGAGAGCTTGGTGATCATTTATCAAACTGAATTACAACCAGTTTTAAGCCAAACCCAAAGACTGCAGAGAAATGGATATGCCCACCGTCTCTTCTGTAACTGTCATGCTTAAATATGACATAGGTGTTCCCTAAAGAGCATTTCACAATTTCTATTAGTGCACCATTCGAAATATGATGTTACAGAAGGCTAACAGTAAGTTCTGTGTCACAACAGAAGTTTATTCCAAGGAGAGTAGGGCCACAGATGGCATCTACTCAAATTAACAATGGGTGCTTAAGTCTCCCTTTCAGTAGCCCTAAAAAGTGATGACTCACCACCTCAGCATAAATTCCTAGTTTATTCCCAAACAGTCCATCTTGCAAGCTTCTCTTACATGAGCATACAAAGTTAGCCTGTAGATTTCAGGAGTGTGTTGGTAATTCTGGGTTAGAACTGACGTTTTTTGGTATAAGGATATTCAAATGGGCGGAAGTCCTTCAAAGCAGTGATTCTCAAATTTGAGTGAACATCACAGTCTCCTGGAGTACTTGCTAAAACACAGACTTCTGGGCCCTACCCTCAGAGTTTATGATTTGGTAAATTTGTGACACTAGCCTGAGAATTTGTATTTCTCACAAGTTACCAGATAATACCAAGGCTGTTGATTTGGGCACCACACTTTGAGAACCGTTCTTAAGGATATTCCGAAGCCAAGAGCAAGTAAACATCCTCTGTGGCAAAGCTTGGAGAATGAAAAACATAGAGAGGATATTTTACTTTGCTGCCTCAGGGCTGGTCTGGCTTTCTCTGAACAAAACGATGCCCACTCAGTCTTTCTCCTGCCATACAGGCCAAAAGAACTACCTTCCTGGGTGAGCTTTGCACTCTCATCCATCCGGGCTGTCATTCCTGCTCTTCTTTCCATGTTGGCACGCCTTCCCTTGCTATGCTCCCTATTGAAATACTCCTCCCTCTTCAAGGCCTAGCTAAATGCCAGAGGCTGTCTCTGATTCTCATGAACATGATGAATTGTTCAATGGGTTCCCATAGTTCCTTGCTTATATCTTTATGTCCCACTTGTAACATGTGCCCATGGCATACAATTCGTTTTATCCACTTTAATCTCTCCTGGAAGTGTAAGATCTAGAAGTCCAGAAGGGCAGGGATCGTGTGAGGTTTGATATTCCCTGGCATCTAGCAGAGTGTCTGGCATAGAGTAGGTGCCTGGCAAATAGTTTTTGAATAAATAAATGAGCCTTCCAATCTCTTCTCTTCTCACTTAGCCACATCCTCTGCATGAATAATATGACTGGAGGGAGGGGTTGCATTGATAACAGAATGAAGCTGAATTGAATCTAGAGACTGACAATTGAAGCTTAGCTCTACATTTATTAGTTGCTGGACCTCACGCAGTACACTGAACCTCTCTGTCCCATCCTCTGTCTAAATCAAAGGGTCCTAACTCTCAGCGGTGTTTCAAAGATTAAACAAGGCATTACACATGAGTGTTTTGGAAAACTGTAAATCCTATATAAATATGAATATGTTAGTTGCTTAATATTTCCATGTATAACAAAAGTATGTACATCTTCTACAATGACCCAAAGTGACAGTGGTTTCAATATATTTTCTATAATGAACTAGAATAAATGCTTTATTTGTCCACCCATTTTAAATGTGTTGCATATAAGAAAAGCATCTTATTTTTGTTTTTAATTTGTTTTATTTTTTATTTTTTGTCTTCAAAGGCGAGGGGAAAAATGAGATTGTTGAATTGAGAAGCAGGCCTCTTATTTGCCATATACCAGTAAATATCACTTAACCTCCCTCGTCATTTATTATAATTTGAAACAATCCATAGCTTGACAGGGTGTGAGACCTGGAAGACTCTAGGGTATATCATCTAGGCCCCTAATTTTACAGAAGAGGAGCTGCAGTTCAGAAAGAAGTCCCCTGTCCAGGTTCATATGACTGGTTTGTACCCAATTCACCCCACCTGAATATCCCACTCTGAAGGCTTCAACAAATGTCGGTTAGTCTGAGAAGGTCAATGTTCTGTTTGCTCATCAGTCCTGGGACTAAGGTTTCTATCAACCCATTGACCCAAGTAATTAGAATGTTTTGTGTGTTTTGGAAATTCACCTGAATTTACACATTTAACTTCCTAGTAGGTGTCTGTGCCTACGAATACAAAGGACATAGATGTACAGATTTCATCTGGAAACTATTTTTTGGTGTCCAGATAATCAATATCTTCTTAGCAACTTGAGACATTAGGACAGAAATATATTTAACTTAAAATCTTGATCACTGTTTAGAATTAAATGTTGGTCAATGAAACCCATTATTTACTTTTTATATTCATGTTATTCATATTTTTCAAGTAAAAAATTCAAGCTATCTTGTCGGATGATAGGACAGAATATGTAAAGTCATAATTTTCCTATTGGACATACATTAATATGTGGCATTATTTTATTATATATTTTAAAAAATATTACTCTTGAAGAGATGCTGTTTCATTCCTTAGGTCAAGAATACTTCAGATTTATTCAGAAACTTTTATGGAACATCTTTGTGTGCCAGGAACTGTGCTAATTGCTAATAATATGAATTTGAAAGGTACACAGGTCTTGTTTGGAAGAAACTTATAGACAGACTAAAAATGTATTTAAGGACAAAGTATGACAGTGAGGTATAATAAATTCAACAATGAGATAAATAATAGGTATAGGGTTGGCACAAGTACAAGGGAGTGGGTTGTTGTTTGGGTGGCTCAGGGAAGCTCATACAGATGGGAACTGTCTTTCAGAATGAGTAGGAGTTTATCAAAAGTGGAAACTAGGAAAAGGATGGCAGTTCCAGTAGTGGAAATAGCAGGTGCAAAGGCATGGAGATGTGAAACAGTATGGCATATTCAAGTGGTTGTAAGTCGGTAGACACCTCTGAAATGCAGAATTTGTGTAGGTTGGTAGTAGAAACTGAGGTTGAAAAAGGAGGTAAGGACAAGTTCCTGGAAGGCCTTTGAAGGCCCATTAAAATGTTTAAAGTATTCTGCAGGCAAAAAGGAGTTTGGAGTATGTGTAATTTTAGAGACATGTGACATGATCAGATGTACTCTTAAAGAGGGTCTTTGGGGCTTCGCCCATGACTCTCTTTGGTTCTTCTTCCTTACAGTCTGCAACAGTGAAAGACTGTTTCCTACATGAAGTCTGTGAGAGAGAGAACAGGTTTGCATGTTGCCAAGTTATCAAAGAAAATACATTTCCTTCAAAACCAACTTATCCCCTGAAGCTGCTAGTAAGAAAAATATGAGCAAAATATACCACAGAATAAACTTAAGCTGCATTTTAAAAAGACTATTATCTTGTATGAAAATAATTCATAAGTTAAAATGTTAAAAGGCCAGGGACCACACCTGTAATACCAGCACTTTGGGAGGAAGGGGTGGGCAGATCACTTGAGGTCAGGGGTTTGAGACCAGTCTGGCTAACATGGCAAAACCCCATCTCCACAAAAAATAAAAAAAAAATTAGCCAGGCATGTGACGGTGCACGCCTATAATTCCGCACTCCTACTTAGGAAGGTGAGGTGGGAGGATCGCTGGAACCGGGAGGCAGAGGTTGCAATGAGCCAAGATGGCACTGTATTCCATCCTGGAAGACAGGGTGAGACTCTATTAAAAAATAATAAATAAATAAAAATAAATAGTTAAAATGATATTTCAGTGTAATTTTAGTAACACAGAAAACTCGATATATTTATTACAACTCAAAGTTATAATAATAAGAATAAAACTACATTGTCAAGGCACCCTATGAATTAAGAATTAAAACGGTCATTAGTTAAGCAGCAGAACGCTTAAGGAGAAGTCAATGAATAATGAGATTTACTGCACTTTGGGAGGGCCTAGCTCTTTCCGCCCATTGAATAGACATTACCATTGGGGTCACTCTACTTACTATAAGTGCTTACTATCGTATGCAGTGGCTGAGGTTTTGGCTGTGGCGATCAATCCTCTACTGTTGGATAAGGGATAGGTGAAATCACTTCACAGGTCACAGTAATGAATTTTTCACTGTCTGGGACACTATCAGTTAAATCATATCATGGCTACTTATAGGCGTATTGATTTGAGAGCTAAGACAACTGCAATTGGATAGGGTGACTCAAAAGCCTTCAACTTTTGACACCCTGCTTGTGCTGATTTTTAACATGATAGAGTGACCCCTTAAGATTGCAACTTCCCTTCCTCCATACTCAATAACATTTACTCTACCCTCCAAAGAGAAGGATGACTTGAAATCATTCCAAGAATGAGTTCCTTGATTTATTTGAGAATCCATATTGGAGATTAATCAGCTCCAAGTTTGGTGAACTCCCTAACTGGCTTCTGGCCCCATACTTCAATTTCAGTTTATATTTAGTTGTTACTCAATGGAAAGCCTTACCTCACAGAAAATTTATTCTGCTTTCTGCAAGCATTGTTTAAAAAGTCTTTTTTCCTTCTATTTTTCTGTTGCTCCCTTCTAATGCCATTTCTCATCCTTCATATTTTGCGTAAATTTTGGAGCACAAAGCATAATCATGAATAAAATAATCTCTATTGAAGCAATGATTATTTGCTTAAGAGATGTTTATCTAGTTGGAGAAGAATGAAAACCAACAAAAGCCAGAAAATTCATGGGTTTTTAAAACAATTTGCTTTTGTTAAAAGGGGAAATATCTACTGATGTGAGAATTTGAAATTCTAAGAGACTAAAAAAAAAAAAAATCTAAATAGTCTTTGTTCCTGTAAGTCCATGGATAGTTGAGAATTGACCATATCGTGGGGGAGACAATCATTTTGTGTATATAGATGTATCTCAGTGCCTTACTTTTCTTTGTGAAATGAACAAAAAACAATGACAAAAATCAACAAAACCAACAAAATCAATTATTTTTTCTAGGATACATTATTATCTGGACCACTAGTCAGTTGTTATAGACCATTTCTGTTATATCTTATGCCATTATTTACTTTCTATCTGACATTTGTGTATATTTTTATCCTACAATAATAAAAATAACAATAATAATAGTAAAAATAATGATAGAATATTGTGTCATGTCAGAATGTATTGGACTTGATGTCAGAAGATTTGAATTGATATAAAACTGAATATGCCACCTCCTAGAAGTGTGAGTCTACATAAAGTGGCCTTACTTTTCCAAGCCTCATTTTGACCCTTTGTGAAATGGGGCTATTCTTTCTGCACTGCTCATTTCATAGAGCAGATATGAGGATCACATTTGATAATAGATGTAAGTGGGGACCTATCAAATACTAAAGTGTTTTTATTCATAAATATTTTTAATCTGCTATTCTTGAGCAGCTTTCCTATTTAGTTTGCTTGGTTATTTATTCATTTATTCACATCTTATTTTCTAAGGAGTTCGTTAATTTGATGGAATCTCCATCATATATTCGTGTGTGTATATATATAGTGTGTGTATATATATATGTGTATATATACATGTATGTATATATGTGTATATATATATGTATATATACACATATATACATATATATGTATATATGTATCTTCATTTCTCTAAACATCCATAATAAATGTGTTAAGCTATGTTCCCCAGGTTGATATGAATTCCAGGTAATTATTCATTCTTTGATTATTGACTATCAAGGGAAAGTTGAAAAATTGATAAGTCCACTTTTTTTAATACTTCCTGAATACTTGCCATTATAAGGATTCAGCATCCTGATAAGTCACTAGGTTTCTTAAACTAGAAATATAATAAAATTTTAAATCTTACCTTGGCAGTCTTCAGAATGTTGGATGAATTTAACCCCTCTCTATCTTCTTAATGAAATGAACTTGTAGGTTAGTGCTGGCAGAATAAATGGAGTGCAAAACACCCCTTCTAGTTCATTGATGAATATTTTATGTGAGATAGAACCCAAAACCTCATTAAAACCCCAATGTGTTATAACTCTGCCTCATTTTTGATCAATCTTATCATTCAGCACGAAGGAGGAGACTTCCTAACTGTACTTTTATAAGGTAGCAAGTGGCAACGTTTCATAAGACACATGGATCTTGTCATCTTCATGTATTTGTGATGGATTACTGAAAGCGTTTTCAGTTTCTTTCCAAGTAAAAAATTAATCTTATGAAACTGAATTTCCAAAGTCATTGTTAAATACAGACATAACTCATTTAGCCACAACTCGTTGAAGACAATATCGGTTTTCAAAATTAATTCTGGTAAAATCCTACCTAAGCAAGCTCTCTAGATCTATCTCTATGTTAGTGTGTCATATATTGACACTAACAGGATGCAAGGAGGTCTCCCATGACATTTAAAAAAAACTTTATTGATGTATAATTTACATACCGTAAAGTTTACCCATTTAAAACATACAACGTACTGGTTTTCAGTATATTCGTAGAGTTGTGCATCTACCACCATTATCAAATTCCAGAACACTTTCAGCACTGCAAAAGAGAACCTGTACCCATTCAGCAGTCATTCCCCATTTTCCCCTCTCCCTAGCACCTGGCAGCCATTAATCTACTTTGTCTCTAACGATTTGCCTACTATGAACATTTCATATTATTGGAATCATACAATATGTGGCCTTTTGAATCTAGCTGCTTTAACTGAACGTGGTGCTTTCAAGGGTCATTCTTGCAGTACATATCAGTATTTCATTCTTTTGCATACCTAAACAGTATTCTCTTATATGGCTATTTCACATTTTGTTTATTCATTCCATGAGTTCTTTAGTTTCATCAAAGTGTTTTGTGGATTCCTCTTCCTACTCCCCAGAAGAGAACATTTCTGGTGGACAAATTAGCCATATATAATGACTCATATATTTATATTAATTGGGAGAAAGGGGCTCATTAGTAGATACCATACTGTGCTGGAAATGGTCAAAATCTAGGTTTCTTTTGTAGGCTTTACTTCCCCTGCCTCTTTTATTAAACGTTGACTTCCTGCATTCCACACTCTGATGATTGATTGATTGATTGATTGATATTGTGTCTCAAGTTATACATTTTCTCTGCATAAGTAGATCTCTTTGAACTAACCCCTTTCTACCTCTCATCCTGGGTACATGTGAGATGTCCCAACCACACTGACCTTTTCAGTATCTTGAATACAAAACTGTTTCTCGTTTTGGGGTCTTCACATATGCTGTTCCCACTTGGGGTGATTTTTCTTAGCTAACCCTTTATCAGGCTTTCGTTTCAGTTTAAATGCCCATATTTCAGAGAGGCTCTGACCATCTCCTACTCCCCAACTCAGTCTAGATTACATGGCCCCTGCTATTCCTTTTTAATAGCACTCTACGCCTTTCCTTTCTGGAACTTAACGTAAATTTGTTATCGTGGATTTGCTTGTATGCTCTAAAGTGTAACCTTCACTAGAATGTTGGTTCCAAGAAAGCTAGACTTTTTTTTTTTTTTTTTTTTTTTTTTTTACCTGTTTTGTCAACTGCTGTATCCTCAGCATCTAAAACAGTTTCTGGCACAGAATAGGCATTCAGTAAATATTTGTAGAACAAACATTTGACTTTAATTACCACCTGTACTCTGATGACTGCCTACTTGGAATCTCTCCCCTAGACATATCTGATGCTCCATTCTGGTATGGGCTGTCATCTTGACATCTCTATGTGAATGTTCCACATGTACACCGAAGTCAGCAGTTCTGAAACTGGACTCATTATCTTTCTTCACCAACTTTGCTTCTACCTGCCCTCTTTAGTGGAATAAAAATTCTTCTTACTACCTAAGCCAGAAATCTGAGCATCATCTTAAATTCTTTTCTTTCTTCAGCTATTAATATGGAACTGGTCATAAGGTCCAGTTGATTAAGTGTCCTAAACATTTATTTAATATGTTTTTATTTCCACCATCACTATCTTAATTACTTCTTTTCTCTCTGTTGTGCTGTTATGATATCCTCCTAACTTGCCTCACCCCACCCAAGTCTTATTTAATTCATACCTCACACCGCTGTGAGCTTTCTAAATCTAATAGTTGACCATGTCAACTGCTTTGTTACGAAGCCTTTGGGGATTATTTCTTACAGGTGAGATCCCAACTTCATTACTTGGCCTGCAAGCCCCAAGCTTCTTTGGCTTCAGCAGGAGCCATGTTCCAGTCATGCCAAACTGCTTTTATTCCCCGAAATATGCTACTTTTTAAAAACTGTGTGCCTTTTCCCATAAGGTTTCCTTCACCCACAAAGCCCTCTTTCTCCCATCTACTTAACAAACTTATAGTCATTTTTTTAAGATTCTGCCCAAATGTCATATATTTCTCAAAGATTTGGCTAACTACCCTAGAAGAGTTAGGTTTCCTTCCACCATGCTCAACGACACCTGTACTTATCTGAATAATAGCTTGAACCCTGTGAATTTAATCATCATGATAGCGATCTGTAACACTAGACATGAGCCCTTGAAGGGCAAAGGCTCTTCTCTGCTGACGTAGGCTTCAGATGATGGCAGACTTGTGTTTAAATCCTGATTCTTACTTGCAGTCCCACAGCTTGGGTGAGACCTTTAACTCTAACTGAGAAGATGTGTGTAAAGAGCCTATTATAGTACCTGACGTACAATAAGTATTTACTTAATGATAATTCTTATTCATATTATTTTTAATAATAGAAGTAACAACAGTGTCCTAGGTGTGAGACAGCAACTGACATTTGGTAACATTTGTTGAATCAATGATTCAACAAAAATTAACTTTGTTGTTGGTGAATCATGATGAAACCATCATGCAATAAAATAGGAGTGAACATAAACTTATGAGGTGATCCAGAAAACAGGTGCACAAATATACGACAACAGGGGTTTTAGCCTAGAGTGGCTGGAGAGAGGGCTGGGTGACTTGGACTTTGCTTCCCCTCAACTTGCTGAAGGCCAGATCTGAAAATCTGAAAGAATTCATACAAGAATCCAGGACTCCAAAGGTATGTTCAGACTAAGTTATTGAATGAAGTTATGGTTTGTTCTAAAAATGTATGGACATGATAACAATAGCAAAGCAGCAAAACATGTATTTACATTTTAGCAGTGGACATCACCAACTAAAAAAAATTGTTAGGGAAGCAATATGATCAAACGGGGATGTATGGGCACAAAGAGCCAGAAGACCCGAGTCTTAATGCTGCGTAAGTCGCTTTATCTTTTTTAGACCTTCATATTTTATGTGTAAGGCTGGAAGTTCAGCCTAGAAGGTCCTTTAGGTTTTTTAGCTTTGTAAGTTCTGAAGTCACTTGGTTTACTCTTCAAGTGGGGTGTCAGTGATTTCAGAACAAGAAAACTTCCGATAAATCAAGACCCATTTATTTTGTGAGAACTCACTGAGGTGATTTACCACAGTATATGAGTTCAACTGTTTTTTCATTTGTATTGTTTCACCAAAATTCAGATGCCAAGAAGTTTCCCTTATTTGATAGTCTTTTCTGTGGTTTAAAAAATGTATATACTATTTATAATTTATATACTGATATAAAACAGTAAAAACCAGAATGATGAATGTATAAAAATAAGTGCCACTGGAAATGGACACTAATAAAGTTCATTAAGAATTCAAGGAAGCAGAGCCTTGAAGAGTGGACAGGATCAGAATATGAAAATTAAAAGGAAAGGACATTCATATTATTTAAAAGAACAAGGAAAAATAGTGTAATACAACATGGCTGGTTTGGGAGTAGAATGAGGGACAGAAAGTATAATTTGCATGAAGGAGAGAGCTCATGGTGGTAAGATTAAAATGGTAGATTGGGGCCAGATTGCAGATACATTCACTGTGTATGTAATCTTTACTTTCAAGATTCACATTGGACAAAATCCCCTTTGGTGGTAGTTTCCTCACTGATTAAGACAGTTGGACTAGATGATCTGTAATAGTTCATCCAATCATAATTTTTTAAAAATTTTGTAATTCTCCATGTCAGGATCAATTAGTGATATTCTAACTAGCTAGCTAGAGATAGATAAATGGATATATATTCTAAATTTATCTATCTATCCATCCATCCATTCTAAATGATCCACCACTGTTTTCAGAAGCTTAGAATAGTAAAGAATTTCTCTGATATTTTAACTCCAAGTCTGAATTATTTTTAAAAAATCATGTCTGCCAGCTATGTGCAGAAAACTCTCTTGTGCAATATCATTCCATGAAGAAACACTTAATGATTGTGAATATACAGCCAGGTAATTTGCTGCTGGTAAGAAAACGTAATTGATAGGTGATCTTACTGTAAGTCAGAGCATTTAGTAGTAAAAAGGAATCAAAGGAAAGAAATAAAGAGTAGGACTCCAGATGGATTGGGCAGGACTCCCCATGAAGCTCCTCATCAGGTTCCTGCCAGAGCTGGCACGGCGTCAAAGAGCAGTGATGTGCTTCATCATTTTCTTTGGGCTACAAGTAAATGGCCCATCAAAACGGATTTCATGGCAAGGGCTATGCTGACCTCCGATTAACATTTAATTGGAAATTCTCTTTTCCTTGAGAACCATTGGAGCTATGTGAAATCTTTCCTGAGAGAGAGGCAATTCTTACTGGTGGGAGTTGCTTTCACTTGATCATCTTAGTTTGGCAACTTTTGAAAACCTTATTTGTTGAATAAGTAATATATGTGCATGGTATAAATTTTAAACAAAAGAATAGTAAGTCTTTCCTAACTTCTTCTTTGGCCAGAGACAAAAGTTATTCCTGATTATGTTTCCAGAGATAACCATGCACAGGAAAGGACTGTCATTGTTTTTATAATATTATCCTTTATTATGTTTTGGCTTCTCTAATCTCAGCTGTGATTATCTTGTATCTTTCAAGTGGAGTGCTGTTCTCTTAGGAGCACTTGGGTTCTGGGGTCAGGGCAGGAATCTCTTGCTGACTGAACAGTGCTCTTAGGAAAGTGTTTCGAATTCTCGGAGCCTGGTTTCCCTCTCTGTAATGCAGCAATAGTAATTATTTCCATGGGCTCCTCATGTGAGAGATTAATGGAATAATGGATGTGAAAGTGTTTGAGACAGACAGTAAAGACTGACGTAAATATGGTTTGAAAAGGAGGTGTCGACTATTGAGAAATTAGGAAAAATTCTCAGACATTTGGTATCCTTGATGAAACAGTTTGATAAGCCCATGGATGTATAACCAAAACACAGAAGGATATAAATCAAGTTCTGGGTATGTCTAATTTATAAACAAAAGATACGCTGTTTGCAGACACACATCAACATATTAAACATCTCTTCACAGACGTCATTTAGAGAAGGGGTGAGCAAATGTTTTCTGTGAAGAATCAGATAGAAATATTTCAGGCTTTTGAATGCTGTGGTCTCTGTTGCCACTACTCACTGTCATTGTAGCATGAAGGCTGCTGTAGACAGTCAGCAAACAAATGGTCATAGCTGTGTTTCAATAACACTTTTTATTTAGGAGCATGGAAATTTGAATTTTATATAATTTTCATTAATCAAAAACGTTTTCTTTTCAACCATATAAAAATGTGAAAGGCCGGCCAGGCACTGTGGCTCACGCCTGTAATCCCAGCATTTTGGGAGGCCAAGGAGGGTGGATCACCTGAGGTCGGGAGTTCAAGACCAGCCTGACCAACGTGGAGAAACCCCGTCTCTACTAAAAATACAAAAAATTAGTTGGGCATGGTGGTGCATGCCTGTAATCCCAGCTACTCAGGAGGCTGAGGCAGGAGAATCGCTGGAACCCGGGAGACAGAGGTTGTGATGAGCCGAGATTGCACCATTGCACTCCAGCCTGTGCAACAAGAGTGAAACTCTGTCTCAAAAAAAAAAAAAAAAAGGCCGGGCGCGGTGGCTCACGCCTGTAATCCCAGCACTTTGGGAGGCCGAGGCGGGCGGATCACGAGGTCAGGAGATCGAGACCATCCCGGCTAAAACGGTGAAACCCCGTCTCTACTAAAAATACAAAAAATTAGGCGGGCGTAGTGGCAGGTGCCTGTAGTCCCAGCTACTTGGGAGGCTGAGGCAGGAGAATGGCGTGAACCCGGGAGGCGGAGCTTGCAGTGAGCCGAGATCCCGCCACTGCACTCCAGCCTGGGCGACAGAGTGAGACTCCGTCTCAAAAAAAAAAAAAAAAAAAAAAGTGAAAGGCCAGGCACTATGGCTCACAACTGTAGTCCCAGTATTTTGGGAGGCTGAGGCAGGTGGATCATTGAGACCATCCTGGGCAACACAGCCTCTGTCTCTACAAAAAAATAAAACAAACTAGCTGGGCATGGTGGCATGTACCTGTGGTCCCAGCTATTTGGGAGGCTGAGGTATGAGGATCTCTGAAGGCCAGGAGATTGAGGGGGCAGTGAGCCATGATCGGGACACTGCACTCCAACCTGGGCAACAGAGTAAGACCCTGTCTCACACAAACAAACAAACAAACAAACAAACAAACAAAAAAAAGGGGTTTTAACTCTCAGCCTATACAAAAATGGGCTACAGTCCAAAATTGGCCCATGGGTCACAATTTGCCAAACACTAATTTAGAGCAAATTGTATATAGAAAAATGAACTTTTACCAACCAAAATTTTTATTTATTTACTCAAGTTTTTAACACATTTTATGTAAGATTGGGCTGACTGTGTGGACACTGGCAGGCCATGTTATCCTCTGAACCTCACTTTTCCTCCTATAAAATAACGGAGGTACCATTCTATGACCTCTTAGCAGCTTTCTTTTGCTAATATTTTGTGATTTAATGGCTCTGAATAACCTACCTCTGTTGGAGTTCATCTTTACTTATATGTGATATATAAAATTAGCCTGTGAAAAACATTCTCCCGGCAAGCTTTTGGCTTCTATTTTATTTTATTTCACTCTTTTATTTTTATTTCTTTAAATTTAAAATATAATTTATTGTCCATATTTGATATATACAACATGATGTTATGGATACATATAGATAGTAACATGGTTCCTAGAGCAAATCAGATTTACATATCCATCATTGCACATCGTTGCCCATGGTTTTTTGTTTGTTAATGTCAAGAGCAGCTAAAATCTGCCCATTCAGCAAATACAGCACACATTTATTAGCTGTAGTCCTCATGTTGTACCACATCCTCCAGATCTGCTACCTCACAACCTATGACCTACATCCCCCATTTCCTTCCCCCATTCCCATCCCGTGCCCCTGGTAACCTCTGTTTTATTCTCATCTCTGTATATTTCACTTTTTTTTTTTAATTCTACATATAAGTGAGATTAGGCAATATTTTTCTTTCTGTGTTTGGCCTATTTCACTTACTGGCCTCCAGGTTTATCCATTTTGTGGCAAATGGCAGGATCTTTTTCTTTTCTAAGGCTGAATAACACTTCATTGTATATACAGTCCTACCTTAGTGTCTATAGGGGTTTGGTTTCAGGACCTCCCAAGAATACCAAATCCACAGATGTTCAATTCTCTGACATAAGATCTACATTACTTGTAATATCTAATACAATGTAAATTTTATAAAAGTTGTTTTTCTGCATTATATAGGGAATAATGATGAGAAAAAAGCCTGTACATGTTCAGTACAGATGCAGTTTTTGTCTCAAATGTTTCCCATCTGTGGTTAGTTGAATCCACAGATGTGGAACTCATGGAGGGCAGACTGTGTATACCACCGTTTCCTTATCTATTTGTTGATGATGGACACTTACATTGTTTCCATATCTTGGCTATTGTGAATAACGTTACAATGAATGTGGAGTTCAGATATGTTTACAAGGTGGTGAGTTCATTTTTGGGGGCGTATGCCCAGAGGAGGGATTGCTGGGTCTTGTGGTAATTCTATTTTGAATTTATTTGGAAATCTCCATACTGCTTTCGATAATGGTTACGTTAATCCACATTTCCACCAATAGTGTAAAAGGCTTCTCTTTTCTTCACATCCTTGTCAACGTTTGCTATCTCTTAACTCTTTGGTAATAGCCATCCTCATAGGTGTGAGGTGATATCTCATTGTGGTTTTGAGTTACATTTCCCGGATTATTAATGACGCTGAGCACCTTTTTATATACCTATTGGTCATTTTTCTGTCTTCTTTGGAGAAATGTCTATTCAAGTCCTCTGCCCGTTTTAAAATCAGGTTATTTGTTTTTCTACTATTGAATGGTATGAGTTCTTTATAAATCTTGGATACTGATCCCTTATCAGATGTATGGTTTGCAAATATTTTTTTCCCAATTCATAGGTTTCCATTTTATTTTGCTGATTGTTTCCTTTGTAGTGCAAAAGCATTAAATGCAGGGAAAGCCAGAAGTGAATTTCTACATCTTTTAGGGTTCAGTTTGCCTTGGTTCGGAAGTTTCTATTAAATTAGGTGTTTTGGATGTGCATTAATTCTTCAATGCCTCCTGGGAATCATTTGGGACACTGCCATGTTATTACTGCACAGCCTAGTGAATCTGATCCGTGGGATTTTTCCCATCCAATACTCCCACAAATGTGGGCTGTAACTCATGCTAAATGAGCACATCTATAAAACAGAGAACTAATACCTACCTTGTGGGCATGTGGTGAAACTTAATTAGTTAATGCTTCTAAAGAACTTTCAAATCCGTGGATAAAATGTATTATTCAATTGCTAAGAGCTATCATTGTTTATTATTTCCTCTAGTATTTGCCAGTGAGTGCTTTACTGTTAGGATATAATGGCAGTAATTTTGAAACAAGCTGGCATTTGACTTTGTTTGCAGAGTGCATGAAGCTACAGGTAACATTTTAATGAAATCTTTCCCTCTTCCCCGCAGAGTCATTAGGTACACAGATACTGCCTCCTTCTCTTAAAGCTTTACACAATTGAGTAGTATTTAAGTAACATCATCATTGCTATAAAAAGAATCAAAAGAAAGAATCTTTTTCCAACTAAGACCAAGTGATTTAGTAACTTAATCCTTGTTTATAATTTTTTTGTCACTAAGGCTATGTCTAATGGAAGGAAGAACAATAAGTTGTATTCAATAATTCACTAATAGTTGTAATTGACCTTTTATGTTGGTCAGCATTATAGTTTAGATAAGAGTCACTTGAGACAGGCCCTAAGTTACTCTGCTATTATTTATATATGTACATATATACACACACATATATAGACACACACAAACACACACACACATAGCTTTGGCAAGGCTTACCATTTTTAGATGTCATGCCATTTAAGGCTCACTTGCAATAATGTGAAAGCCAGCCAGCATGTTATAATATGAATAGAAAGAACACTGGCCTGGAGGCAAGCCACCTCTTTAGAGACTCAGCTTTTCCCCTTCTTAGCAAGTTTCTTTTCTTTCTGCATTTCAGGTTTCTTGCTAAATTGGACGATTATACTTGATTTTCAAATTGTGCTTTTTGGAATTTAAGGCTTAGAACAGATGCTTCAAAATTTCTACCAACAGTTAAGTACTTTCCAACAAATATTAAAGACTTATATGCCCAAGAACCCTCATTTATTATTTTTTCTTATATATATTGTTTCCTTTTACACTTTTATCTGAAGATTTTTATTACTTAGGAAAAGAATTCTATTCTGTGACTCAAAAGATCCCTTCCAGTTCTGGCGTCCTATAATCTTTACTCTCAAAAGAAGCTAAACACCACAAACTTTGACAAGACTTCCTAAAAATACAGCTCTTAGCACAGAGCCTATGGTCCATTTAACAGAGAAGGAAAATGAAGCTGAATGCAGAGAGGTCTACCTTCTGAAAGGCACATTTGGTAAGTGGCAGAGGTGAAATTTGAACCCAGGCAAATGTACTTTAGTGCCTGAATGCAATGTCAATGCCATATTGCCTATAGATGTTTGGGGCACCATGCTAATAACTGTCAGGGGCCACAAATATGATACAAATTTTGTCCTCCTAGAGCTTATGGTCATAATTTAAGCTGAAAGGAAATATGAGTGAAAGCACTGAAAGAAATGCCAGGCGGCCTGCACGTCGGTGGCCAGAGGAGAGGTGCAGAACATGGCTATTCTGGGCGTCCTGAGAAGAGGGCCATAGAAGCTTGGCATCACTGAAGTGTCATTATAAAACCAGCCAAAAGCATTGTCAGCATTCCGCAAGATTTCCATTGCCTTATCCAAAGAAATAGGAGCGAGGGAGAGACGCTATAAAAGGAAGAATAAAGGAAACATCTATTTATCAGCTGTGTTCTCAGTCATCCCTCACTTGGCTGAGCTGACAGCCTATGATAATCAGGCTAAGGTGGATTGTCAGGTAATTCTGTGCAGGCCCATAGCTCTTTGGCTTCCTATCACCTCCCTTCTCCCACCTCCCTAATCAGTAGTTAACACTCTCTTCATTGCCATTGCCCTTCTCCTCTCATGGCCTTTCTTAGTACCCTGGCCACACTGACTGTATCCTTGTTTCCATTTCTGCTTTTAATTTAGTATGATACACATATAGCATTTTGGAATTGTCCTCTCTGATAACATCGCTGTTGCTCTCCTGAGTGCCTGAGTCATCAGGGAGAAGTCCCCTGAAGTCACCTCTGCTGACCAGTATGGCTAGGTTACCTCATGGCACAGAAGGATTCAGCAGGCAGAGTAGCCAATAGCTATGACTCTTCCTCAAACTCTGCACCAATTCTGATACATACACATGTACCCACACCCATTTTCAGGGGACTAGACACTGTCATATCCTTGACTCATGAAGGAGAAAAGAAGTAAAGATGTAGCATGACACCTTGGAAGAGATTTATGAAACTATTTGTTAAGAATTGACTTGTGCAGATTTCAACATGATGAAATGGTGGTAGTTTATAGTGGTTGTTGAAATTTGTTCAGAGAACTTTCTGCAGCGATGGAAATGTCCTCTGTCTGGGCTGTCTAATATAGTGGCCACATGTGGCATTTGAACCCTCAAAATGTGGAACTTGAAATAAAACCAAGGAAATAAATTTCAACTTTTATTTAATTTCAAACATTTGACTAGTGGCTACCACATAGAACAGGGTAGCTATGGATCAAAGTATCCAAATATTCAGAACTGACAATCTAGGGTGATCTAGTGTCTTCCTAGTTATATAACATATAAGGTGAGTTTCTATACATTACATGATTGTATTTGAGCAGAAAGGTCTCAGTACATCAAGGATTTCTATTCTATAAATATTTATTGGAAGAACACATATGCCATTTATCCTCCAGCTCCCTGTCTCAGTCTCAGAATCTTCCTCAGTGCAGTGTTTCGGGTAGCTAGTGTCAATTGGTTGTATTTGTGAAGAGAGAGACACCTGATTTCTATCTTTGAGGTGCTTGAGACAACATATATTGTGTACTTTGATACAGACATCATCAATTAAGACTTGATGACCAAACGATCTTTAAGGTCTGATCATGAGATTATATGATTCCATCAATTAAAAGAGAATCAGTTCTACATCTTATCCAGACTTCTCCATAGAACTTCAGAAGAGAAACCACCTCTATAGCACTAACATATACTAAAAGGATGGACCTCTACTTCCAATAAACTCCCTCCCCACACGTAAAAAAAGAACAGAAAGAAAAAAATGTACAGCAAGATTTTAAACCATCTATTGGTTGAAGTGATATCAAATAACTGATTGTTTTCTCTGGTTTCTGGATTAATGTATACACGGTGTCAGGCCAAGTCATAAGCATTATAAAAACTTACTACGGTCAAGCACTTTTAGGTGCTGGTATAGTACAGGGTTTAATGACAAGTTATTAAGTATTGTAAAGTGACGTAGCAAAATCAACAAAGCTTTACCAGGTTGTACTTAAGTTAAACAGTAATTCTCTGTGATATATGCAATACCATATATATGTATCAATTCTAGCATCAAAATGTACATGTGTATATGTAGGGATTTCAGTGATTTTTAAAACACAATCAGGTTGGCCTAAAGCAAGAAGAGTTATGAGTAAAGAGGTACTTGAAAAAAATTAAAACATTCTAAACACTAACACGGGGGACAAGTGATTCTAAATCATGTTATAGCTCTATCTTTTAAAACTGTAAGAATGTCTTACAATTATTATGTGATTATAGTAATAGATCATAGTATTTTAAAAATTATTCTCCGTCAGGCGTGGTGGCTCATGCCTGTAACCCCAGCACTTTGGGAGGCCGAGGTGGGTGGATCACTTGAGGTCAGGAGTTCGAGACCAGCTTGGCCAACATGGCAAAAACCCGTCTCCAGTAAAAATACAAAAATCAGCCGTGTGTGGTGGCACGCGCCTGTAATCCCAGCTACTCAGGAGGCTGAGGCGGGAGAATCGCTTGAACCTGGGAGGCAGAGGTTGCAGTGAGTGGAGATCATGCCACTGCACTCCAGCCTGGGAAACAGAGTGAGACTCTGTTGCAAAAAAGAAAAAAAATTATTCTCATCCCTATTGTGAACTTATACCTAAAATCAGTTATTCTTTTTAAACACTCACAGTTATTTTCTTCTTAAATATATAAATTAATTAATTTAGCTAATTAATTTTAAGTAATTTAAGTTTCTATAAAGTCATTTAAATATATAAAGTAATTTATTCATTTATTAGTGATTTATTGTACACCTTCTTGGAACAAAGTATACTGCAGTATACACTCTTGAGAGATAGTAAGGTATGGGGCTTCCTCTCTCAGATGTCGGTTTCTTCTTTTGGAATTAGGTGGATGTGAATGTGTGTGCATATATGTATATATAGTCATCCCTCAGTATCCATGAGGACATCCTGTGGATACCAAAATCCATGGATGCGCAAGTCCTTTATGTAAAATGGTGTAGTATTTGCATATAACCTATGCACATCCTCCCTGTATAATTTAAATCATGTCTAAGTTACTTTTAATTTCTAATACAATGTAAATGCTATGTAGATAATTGTTATACTGTATTATTTTTAAATTTAATTTTATTCTTATTGTATTACATTTTAATTTTATTTTTTGGATATTTTCGATCTGCATTTGGTTGAATCCATGGATGTAGAACCCATGAATATGAGGGCTGACTGGACGTACGTGTATGTGCGCATGTGTATATGAATCTACGTGTGTAGGCATCATGTGTATACAGGAAGAAAAAGATGAAAGAGAGAAAAAAGGAAAAAAGAAAGAAAAAGGAAGGAAGAATAAAGTATGATGAAAATTACATTTTGTTTCGTATCCTTTGAAGCAAAGAGGTAGTGCTATGGTAATTGAGGAGACAGATTTATATCTGCACTGGGCCTTTAGGAATGAATTTAGACCTAAATGGATTTTGAGCATGCAGATATGACCTGAGCAGACAGGGATTTCAGGAGAAGCAACAACGATATACAGTTATAAAAAGGTGGAGGAGATGCAGGCACCTGTCTAATTCACCTTGGTTTAACATAAAGGCGCATGAAGGGTTGTTGAGATGTGAGAGAGGTTACTGAAAATGATGGCCAGGTGTCCAGTTCGGGTATCATGAGCAACAAAAACCCTAAACTTTCAGCTGTTGGCTGAAGGGAGTTGAGCCTCCATATAGGACTGTCACAGATAGTTAATCCTGTGCTGATTATTGTAAATTAAAAGAAGTTGAATGAAGCGGGGGCTTTTGCAGGGTGATACGGAATGACTCCAGTGCTACAGCAGCACATCCTAACTTCTCTGACTTGGGCAGCATAATGTTATAGAAAAATGGAGTGAATTGGATAAGGGTTGAATATACTTTTGTTGTGGTCTTGGCTCCACATCCTATTACTTGTGTGATTTGGGGGAATCTTTTAACTCTTCCGTAGTGATGAATCGTGTTTTCCCAAATTAATGTCCGCCAAGAACCTAAGGATGCGATCTTATTTGGAAATAGGATCCTGAATTAAGATGAAGCCATATTAGCTTAAAGGGGGTCCCAAATCCAATGATTGATAAGACGAGGAGAGGCCGGGCGCGAGGGCTCACACCTGTAATCCCAACACTTTGGGAGGCAGAGGCAGGCGGATCACTTGAGGTCAGGAATTCAAAACCAGCCTGACCAACATGATGAAACCTTGTCTCTACTAAAAATACAAAAACTAGCTGGGCATGGTCATGTGCACCTGTAATCCCAGCTACTCGGGAGGCTGAGGCAAGAGAACTGCTTGAACCTGGGAGGTGGAAGTTGCAGTGAGCCGAGATCATGCCTCTGCACTCCAGCCTGGGCAACAGGGCGAGACTCTGCCTCAACAAACAAACACAACACAACAAAACAAAACAAAGCAAAAAGGAGAGGGCACACAGAGAAAAATGCCAAAGTGGGGATGAAAGCAGAGGCTGAATTGATGCATCGATGAGCCAAGAACACCAAGTATTGCCTGCAACCACCGGAAGCTAGGAGAGAGGCATGGAATAGATTCCCCCCCAGAGCTTCTAGAAGGAACCACCCCTGCAGCACGTTGATTTCAGAGTTCTGGCTTCTATAACCATGAGAAAATGCATTTCTGTTGTTTTAAGGTGCCCCTTTGTGCTACTTTGTTATGATGACCCTAGGAAACAAATACACCTTCAAACCTTTATTTACTTCATTGTAAAATGGGGATGATGATTTTTACCTCTGAGAGTTTCGATAAGAATTAATGAACCAGAATCAAATTAAGAATACATTTATCACATTTAAAGTGCTCTACAAATATCTGCGAATTTAAAACTCCATTTTCTAGTGTTGGGAAATATATCTAACCATTACTGAGCATTAACTGTGCATCAACCAAAGCATTAAGCACATTATGCCTGCTCTCTCACAGTAGAATTAGCAATATTTAGTTGTCATTTTACCTGCTTGGCATTTGAAGCTTGATGTCAACAAAATTTTGTAAGTCTTTACTTACTGGGGGAAAAAGTGAGTGCAGTGGTTAAAATGAGATGATTAATGCATTTTTACTTTCTGGCAGTGGTTTTTTTTAGTCAAAATCATTTCTTTTTCTCTACAGATAAGCAAAATTGCTATGCTATGGTTTAATAAGTAAAATATGTATATCAAGTTAAAATAAAAATTTCAGTGGGTGTTGAATTCCATGCTCTGGTTTTCAATTACTACTCACCCTCTCTTAGGAAAGTCACACTTCTCATTTGCCTTGGATTAGATGGGGGGAAGGAGCTCCATGTACCACATCGTAAGTGTAATATGGAATTCCAGGAGAAAATGCATGTGTAAAGCTATTTAGCTCAGTTCATTTTTAGATGATTTGGCAACTGTTGGCTAATTTGTTTGCGTTGCTCTCCTGAGAGAACTATGAGTTGGGTTCTTTTGTAACATGGAAGCTGAAATGGAGCAGTTCAGTGATTTACTAATATGTAAAAGGAGTAGATATTGCTGCTGGAGCTGGACTCCCAGGAGTTTAGGGCTCTACTCATTGATGAGCTTCCCCCACTAGCATGTGAAGACCCCAGGCAGCACCCACAAACTATTCCTGACCATGCTTTAAATGGCCAAATAATTTTTCTAGGTTTATAGTATATCACATATTGCAAAACCCATTTGCTCTGTCTTTAGCCTTCCAGTTTCCATTCCACTGCCTTATATGCAGAAATACAATGATAACTATAATGGGGTATGCCACCTGCCTTCAATGTGTCATGTCTAGTAATGGAGAGAGGAAGTTAAATCACAGTGTGTGAAGTGGCATGCCATTTTTTAGAGCTCCACTTTAAATAGACAAGGCCACTTACTTTCAGCAAGAATGTGGAGGAATTATGTAGACCAAAACATCCAGGTGCTAAACTTGCCCACTGGTGTGGTACAAGGAGTTAGGAAAATTATCCAGGTGTGGCTGCAAATGAGGGCTCAATGTGGTGAACAAATGATGTTAGCAAGATTTTCAGTTATAGTTAAACAGTTGCTGTGGGAAGCCAGGAGTGCTATACTGGATGAAGTGACATTACGTTCCAGTAGTTGGGCTAGATGTCGTGATGGATGCTAGAGGAGTGTGAGGACACAGTTAGTCTCAAATATCCAGACACTGGCATCAGAGTCGTAGGACCTAGTGTCTAGCCTGAAGTTTAGGAATAGGACTCTTCTCTATGAAAGGGGAAGTGAAAAGCAAATTCGGGCCAGCAAATAGATGGAGGACACTGAACTCTGAAGCAGGTTAGCAAAAAAAGATCCTTCTCATAAGAACAAAGGCAAAAAAAGTGGCAATGGCTCAGGAACTGGAGAAAGAGATAAGGAATAAGCTGCTGGCAAGGACTTGATACGTTTGAACTCCAGAATATGGAACCGGAGACAGTTTAGTAAATTGTGTTATGAGGCAAAATTTGGGGGGAAAGCCAGAATTGGAAGTGCCTGCAGATGTGAAACATAGCTTTAGCCTCAGCTGTTGGGGGGAAGAAGAGTGAAGAAGTTTGGAACCAGACTAGGCCATAATATAGTTTTTCTAAGAAAAAAAAAAGTGGGCCGGGCGCGGTGGCTCATGCCTGTAATCCCAGCACTTTGGGAGGTCGAGGCGGGCAGATCTCGAGGTCAGGAGATTGAGGCCATCCTGGCTAACATGGTGAAACCCCGTCTCTACTAAAAATACAAAAAAAAAAAATTAGCCGGGCGTGGTGGCGGGCGCCTGTAGTCCCAGCTACTCGGGAGGCTGAGGCAGGAGAATGGGGTGAACCTGGGAGACAGAGCTTGCAGTGAGCCGAGATCGCGCCACTGCACTCCAGCCTGGGCGACAGAGCAAGACTCCATCTAAAAAAAAAAAAAAAAATTGAATTTTTTTATAGCAACAATGTGTCACACAGCGTTAAGAGCACAGGAAGCGTGGAAGAGTTCTAGTTCAGCCTTTGTTAGGTATCAGGGGCATGACCCTGGGTAATTTTTTTTTTTTAGCCCTGATTTCCGTATCTATAAAATGAAAGCATTTCTCTATATTAATAATTCCCAAATAGCAGGCCATGGGCTGTGTGTTAGGCTGTTCTCGCATTGCTATAAAGAAATACCTGAGACTTGGTAATTTATAAAGAAAAGAGATTTAATTGGCTCATGGTTTTGCAGGCTGTACAGGAAGCACGATGTTGGCATCTGCTTGGCTTCTGGGGAGGCCCCAGGAAACTTACAATGATGGCAGAAGCCAAAGAGGGACCAGGCGCATCACATGGCCAGAGCAGGAGCAAGAGAGGCGGGCAGGGAGGTACCCCACACTTTTAAATAAGCAGATTTCTTGAGCACTCACTCACTATCACGAGGACAGCACCAAGGGGATGGTGTGAAACCATTCATAAGAAATCCACCCCATGATCCAATCACCTCCCACTGGGCCCCACTTCTGATACCGGGGATTCCAGTTCAACATGCGATTTGGGCCGGAGCTCATCCAGACTATCTCAGGCTGGCACTAAGTTGCTAATAAGGATTACCTAGGGAGCGTGTTAAAAATACGTGTTCTTGTGTTATATCCTCGCAGATTGTGCTTGAAATAGTCGCGGACAGATCCCAGAAATCTGTGCTTTGAACAGGCACTCCACGTGGTTCTGAGGTAGGAATGGAGATGAGACTACCTTAGAGACCGTGAAGTCTCTGCAACATTCTGTTTGTAGTATTTTCTCTTATCATCATTTGCCTTTGTACTTTTTTGTATTCATGAATTGGGATGATGCTCAAAGATCCAATAAAGAAGTTTATTGGCACACTCTTTCCAGCAGTCACTTGAAGTCTGGGAGCCAAATAATGCAGGGAAGTTAGTTTTTATTGCTTACTCAGCCCCAGCAGCACAAACAATCAAAAGTCCAATCTAGAATCTGTTTTCATCTGACTTCTGAGCCCATTTTTGCAGATGCAGAAGTTTGCATTCTTGAGATCGCTGGTTTCCTTTTTCTATTTTATGAGGCTTTTCTGAAGCCTAACTAGTAATATCTCCCCAACATTTTAAACTCTTTAGAGAAAAAGTTTTCATAAATAAATATAGGATCAGTCATGGTGGTGATTAGGTGATTTCTGCAGTAATGCAGGACAAGGGAAAAACTTTCTGGAGTTTGTCTCAGATGAAGTAAATCAACTTGCTGTGTTCAGTGGGTTACTTTTGGAGAACATGATATGCTCTAGGGCCCACATGTTACCTTGTTCTCCAAAAATAGCATTTCCTACTCATTAAGCAAATTAATTCTTTGTCTTTCAGAAGATAAATAATTTACAGATTCTTCCTAGATTCTAAACCTCATAGTCAGTCATGATAGTCTGTTTTATCTTATATTCATATAAAGTTAAAATTAAACATTATTAGAAACTTTGTAGTTTACAGAAACCATGTTCCAGAGAGAGGAAATGGTTTGCTCAAGATCACACAGTAAATTGGTGGCAAAAACAGTCTCAGCCTCTGGTTCTTAGCTCTGCATTCAGTGGCCAATAAAAATAATAAGAATATTCTCCATACCTATATTAGTCAGGGTTCTCCAGAGAAACGGAACCGATAGGATTGTGTATGTGTGTGTGTGTATATATATTAATATCTATGTAGAAAGTAATGGTAAAAACCACAATTACTTTTGCGTCAACTTTTATAGTAAAAAGTATATATTTATGTATATATGTGTATATATGTATTTATGTATATATTTATGTGTATATATACATAAATGTATATATACTTTTTTAATGTATATATTTGCTATATATACATTAAATCTATAATGAAATCACAGGCTCACAGTGTCCTCCATCTATTTGCTGCCCCGAATTTACTTTGTATATTTATGTATATATATGAAACTTTGGTTGGAATGAAAAATAGTATATATATATATACACACACACACTAATATATATATACATATATGTCTGTGTGTGTGTGTGTGTGTGTGTGTGTGTGTGTGTGTGTGTGTGTATTCCTTTGGTTGGAATGAAAAATTGTATAGCCTCTCTGGAAAAAACAATTTGGCAGTTTTTATTTATGTTATGCTCTTGAGTTTTATTCCAGAAAAACAAAAGTGTATTCCCACAAGAACCTGTATATGATTGTTCATAGCAGCTTTATCTAAAATAGCTCTGAAGTAGAAACAGCCTAAATATCCTAAAACAGGAGAATGGTTTAACAAACTGTGTTACATTCATACCATGAAATACTACTCAACAATAAAAAGAAACAAACTATTGATATCTAACAACATGGATGAATCTCCAGGGAATTATACTGAGTGAAAAAAGCCAGTCACCAAAGGTTATTTACTGTATAATCACGTTCATGTAATGTTTTTTAAATGACAAAATTTTAGAAGTGGAAAACAGATTAGTGGTTTCCAGAGGTTAGAGATCAGTTGGTAGGGTGGGAAAAGGAAAGGAGAGTATGTTTATAAAAGGGCAACATAAAAGATACCTGTGACAAAACTCATTTTGATTGTGGTGGCCTCCACATGAACCTCTACATATGATAAAATTGTATATAACTAAACACACACACACACACACACACACACATGCACACACACAGAGTACAAGTCAAACTGAGGTCTGTGAATTATATAAATGTTAATATCTTGGTAGTAAGACTGTAATAGTTTTGCAAAATATTACCATTGGGGGAAACTACGTAAAGTATACACGGGTTCTCTCTACATTATTTCTTACAGTTGCATGTGAATCTGCAATTATCTTGTAAAAATTTCAAATAAATGATATCCCTACTAATAAGCAAGTTAGAAAACTGTTAGTATTTTTCTTGTGCCTCAAAAGGATATTTGTATGCTTCTGTTGTTGTCAAGGACAGAGGAAAATAGATACTTCTATACTGTACTGATGGGAGTAGAAATTGCTGTACTTTTAACAATAATTTGATATATTTAATCCTTTGGCATGATAATTTCACACCTGTGAAATTGTCCTAGGAAAATAATCAGAAAAATGAATAAAATTTACATATAAGTGTTTAATTATAGTATTCGGTATAGTGTATTATGATAGCAATAAAACTAAAAATAACCTACATAATAAAATATAGTATTTTATATGTTTTATTAAAATTATATTTTCCAACTATATTTGTTAATTGGAGAAATGCCCCTGAGACAATGTTAAGTACAAAATATAAGATAAAATTTTATTTATTATATTACAAACTATATATCAAAATAGATATCTGACTCCTATGCTACTAGCTATGTGATATTGGGTGAATTGCTAAACCTCTCTATGGACTTGTTATCTGTGCAAAGGAATACAATAGGAATCGTTCATTTTCTTTTTTAATTAAATGATTATAGCTCTTCCAAGCATATCCTAGCATGTAGATTTTTAAGCTGATAATAAATAGCAGTTGTATTTGGTTAGTAGTAATACGTCTCATATTTACACTCTTCTGTATTTTAAAAATCTTTAACAGTGAGCATGAGCATGTGATACTTTTTGTTTAAAAATAATTAGTATAGGCCAGGCATAGTGCTCATGCCTGTAACCCCAGCACTTAGGGAGGCTGAGGTGAGAGGATTGCTTGAGGCCAGGAGTTCGACATCAGCCTGGGCAATGCAGTGAGACACCACCTCTACCAAAATTTGTTTAAAAATTAACTGGACATGGTGGAGCACACCTAGCTACTGAGGAGGCTGAGGTGGGAGGACCGTTTGAGCCCAGGAGTTGGAGGCTGCAGGGAGCTATGATAGCACCACTGCACTTCAGCCTGGGTGACAGAGCAAGGCCCATTCTCTAAATAAACAAACAACAAACAAACAAATTGGCATGTATATGTAGCGTTTAACTTATTCCTTCTTACTCTAATGATGACTAATTCCTGTCGATATTTAATTTATATCCAAAATGCCTACAGTTAGTCCATTTCTGAGAGAAAAAGACATGCAAATGTCTACCCAGCTGAAATTTTCCTTATAGATTCTCTTGGATAGTGACAGAGTCTTTGAATGGAGTATTTAATTTTTAATTTTAACTATGCCCAAATATAGGGTGTATACTTAAGGAATATGATTTGATCCTGAAGAGCAGAAAAAAAAGCGTTGAAAAATATTTACTGTTAATTTTGGTAGTAGATAATTAATTGACTGCCTGGAAAATTAATCACTGATGAGACCATGAAATAAATAACATATGCTAATTATTTCAAAAGATTGAGATGATACATTGGTGATTGGCATTGAAACCTCCAACCACTTACTGGGTCAGGTTATGAAGCATTTAATCATTTACTTATTCTTGGTGAGCATTTAATTTGTGTTAAAAATGGCAGTCATTATAGCAGCCGTGAGAAAATTTTGTAGACTTTATGCATTGCAGCACTGTCAGAGCAAAGAGCAATCTGAGGAAATAAGAAGCTACAGAATGTGGGTCAACAGGGACTGTCTCATCTTTCTAATATCATCTATTTATCTAATTTTACCCAACAAGCTAGCTATCAATTTACTTTTAACCCTTTAATCCTAACCTTGGGATCTTGGGAAAAATTGCAGTTCATGGTATTAGGTTTTTAAAGTTTAGAAACATGACATCTAATAACTGTTTTGCCCATTATTTGTTTCCATTTGTATTTGTTCATGCCCTTTTCCTTTTGAATGTATTTTGTGTTTTTCTTTTCAATATTTTATTACCTAAATACCCTTTGGGATAATCTAGACACCTAGTAACAAAGTACTTGAAAAAATATGACTTTTTAAAAAAAGTTTATTTTCTGAAAATAGAGATTTTTCCTTTATGTATTTGCTCAGTTTTTAAGAAAAAACCTAGAATCTGTATTGCTTTCTGAAAAGCATTAGTGTTTGACACTAATGTTTCTTGTTTAATTTTTAAAAGGCAGTAACAGCCTGAACTTATTAGGTTCTCATTTTTAAATTTTTAATATAGAAAAATAATTTCAAAACAGAAAACATTCAAGTGGCTATTAAACATATGGAAATATGCTCAATCTCAGTCTTAATAAGAAAAAAGCAAACTAAAAATTAAACATCAATATACCATTTTTAAATCCACAAATTTTCAAAGATGAGAAAATTTTATAACACACTCTATTGACTCAGTTGCAAGGGGAACAGGTACTCATAATACAAGTATGAGAATTGGTATAATATTTATCAAGGACAATTTGGCAACATCTGTCAAAATTACAGATATACATATTTTGATCCAGCAATTCTACTTCCAGAAATTTACCTCAGATATCCTGGGACATGTGAAAGATGATTATGTAAAGTAATACATCATAGAATCATCTATAAAAGCAAAAGATTAGACACAACCTAAGTACTAACTAAATGATGGCACATCTATAAAATGAAATCCTATATATTTGAAACATAACAAAGCTTTTAATGTGCTATATGGACTATTTCCCAAGCTTGTTAAGTAGACAGAGCAAAGGTACAGGACTATGACAGTAGTCTGTACCCTATTTGCTTCTTATTAATGTTTTCATAAAGTATCTCTGGAAGAATGCAGTAAAACATGACAAAATGGCTGCTCTATGGAAGGGTACTGATGGATCACAAATAGGGGATAGAGACTTTTAAAATGTATGGTCTCTTACACTTTCGGTTTTTAAACTATGTGATTATGCTACCTAATCACAAAAATAAATTAATTTTACAATCATTGTATACACACATAATATATAGTAAATGGAAATGTTTAAAAGCAACTTTCTCCTTGCTACGAAGCTAATTTTTTCCTAATATAGTCCTTTAACAAGGAAGATGCTATATAATTATTTTATAATACTGATGAAAAATGATTTTTTAAAGTTTAAAGAGAAGAATAAAGCTTTGCAGCATTGAAGTCAGTTTATTACCTCTACTTGTATTATTCACATGAGAAAAAATATAAATGAACACCTAAATAAGTGAATCACTTTCCCCCTTCTCCTTCCTCCTCTTCTCTCTGCTCCTCCTCTTCATCTTCTTCTTGTCTAGTTTATCTGTAGCATTCGCTGGTATTGGAAGGATTTTCAAAATACATTCACAAAATATAGGTATGTGCATGACAATTGTAAATTAATATTTAGATATTCATCTAAATTATGTTTTTCCTATGTTGATATAAATAGAAACAGGCCTAACTGCCTTTCTGCACATACCAGCCTTATTTTAATAGGGATTTTATTAGTTTTTCATTCAGTTTCATGTGGGATTTTTTTTTTTATCTAAGAGATTGTTCCGCATTTGCTACTGGGTTGTATGCCCTATGTATATTTCTATGGAAAGTATTAGCAAATTTCACTAATTTTTGCTATTACCAACTCTAAAGAAAATATGGAAAAAAGGAACTTAAACCACGGAGCCTCATAATGTCATGTCATCTCAATCTAGTTCAAGATATGGTGTGTTTTCACATTTAATTAACCTTCTGTCACATCCTGTGATAACCTAGTCTTAAAATTGATTATACAGTCGAGCATGTTTTTGGAGGCTCCATAAACTAATTACTTTTTGAAACATGCAGTTTTGGCAACTAGTCATGATTACTTCTGAGGCTCCTGTAAGGGGCTGTCAAAGAAGGGCTCAGCTCTGATGCACCATGAAAAAATCCAACAGGGAATAATAGCCGAGAGAGAGGTGAAGTTGGTGAAGTTATTGGACTTCCTTGGTCTCTGGCTGATTTTCTTACAGCCTCTCCTCCTTCTGCTGAATCTGCACTGCAGTGACTCGTTTATGTTCTTTACACCTAAGGAGGACAGCATTCTACTGTAGGCAAACGTATGAAAGAAACTAATGGAAGTCTGGTTTCCTTCATTCATAGAGCCTTGCTCTTTCTGCAAAACAAAACCAATACATCTGGATAAAAAACAGAATACAAACAAAGTAAACACCAGGGACTATGTACAAAACAAAAGAGCAATCGCAATTTTTAGGGCATTATATTTACAGGATTATGAAGAAATTCAGTTGACCTTGAGGCATCACCCCCCAAATCTGTATTAGTAGCAGTTTACACTGGCATTCAGATACCAAGCATCAAAACGTGTAATTTTAGCAAACATTGTAATCCCCTGATCAGAAATCCCATCCAGAGCTGTTCACAAAAAGCATATTTGGCTTGCTTAAATTTTTACTTTCTGTTGTCTCATCAGAAAAAAGATGATACCCCCCTCTGTGCTCTTGTAGTCCATTTGGTACTGACTTCACTTTTGCCTTGTTATTAGTTGCTTTCATGTCAACATGAACATGAACATGAACAAACAGAGGACAAAGACCATGTTATTTCTATCTTTATCTACCATAACCTCTAGCAGGGGACCTGGCTTATAGCTGTTACATGGTTGATGTTTATTTGATTTAATTGAATAATGAGTGACACTTTGATTATCCCAACGTAAACAGAGGGGAAAGGAAGGGAGATATGCCAGGTTTGATATAGAAATTGGTTTTATTTCTAATATATTAAGTGCTTGCTGCAAATGTCATAATCCAGAAAGATTGTTCTGTGGTCCCTGGATCTAGGAGAGAAGACGCCACTGACTTGCTCTCCTTGGTTGTCCAGGAAGGCCACCCTAAGAAAACAACAAAACCTTGATTTCTTTAGCCACGTGTGTGTGTCTGTGTCTGTGTGTAAGTGTGTGTGCATTTGGGTCCTCACCTGATGAAGAAAAGTGAGAAATCTGTTTATTTGTGGGTACAAGGTGTTTCACAGTTTATGAAATGCATCTGTGCTTTTCCATGATCATATTTAATGTTCAAAACGGTATGAGAATACTTTGTCTAGTTTACAATTATGTAAACTAAGCTTCAGAACAGTTAAGTGATTTGCCTAAGTTCTCCTAGTTAGTAAAGATTGGAACCAAGACTGGGGTAAACTTGAATTATGTGGGGACCTGCCTTGAACTCCACAGTGACTCCCACTGACTGGTGGTCCCTGACCCCTCCTTTTCCTAGTCACTGTTTCCATGAGAGAATGTTGTATGTCTTGGGTGTCTTAGGGTACTGTGAGGATTGGAAATATCTGATCCAAGGATTGGACTCCTAGTTTAGTGGTTTCTGCTCAGGGCATTCTACCAATGACTTACCTACTGTCTCATCGGTTCGATGATAACTCTAGAATGGCTCCATGTGAGGTTGAAAGGAGCACTCCTGGATGACTCTGTTCCCGCATGTCTCTTTCTTTCCCTTTGGACTGCTCCATAGCCTTCCTGTCTCTCAGTTGCTACATTTTGCTTGATACCCTTGGGCTGAGGGAGGGCATGCTGTGGAAATGATTACATCTACATACCAGTTGGCACAGAGAAGCCATGCTGTGCGTATTTATTTGTGCCCATGCCATTTGACAACAGCAAAATTTAGTACTTGGCTTGCATTTGTAAAGAAATTGGAAAAGAGGCCTTTTCCTCAGTGGGCTACTCACCAACAACTGGAAAGATCTGAGTTCTCAATCCTGGATGGCTGCAACTTTCTTCATATACATCTGGCATTATTTGACTTCTCGTCACAGGGTAAATATTTGGGATAGAAGATATGTACCAATTTCCCTTATTGCCCCCAAAGAACTTGCGTTGTATCATTTCCACTAGTGGCATTGGAGCACAGTACCAAGCGTCTTGCCAAGCTTTCCAGATTTCTTGAGGCCCCTTCTGGTTCTGAGAGCAACAGTTCTTAGGGCTGGAGGCAGGAGGATGTGTGCAAGTGTATGTTCCTTTTTTTTTTTTTTTTTTTTGTATTTGTATCTTGCCTAAGATATTGCTGAAAACTTAATTTAACCCTGCTACTTCCCTAAACAAAAGACACAATTTTCTCATCAATAAGAATATCTACTTTTTGACAGGCACTATGCTCCACGAGTCGTCTATATTATCTCTACTCTAAAATAGCCCTGCAGAGTGGGTGCTATTATTCCCAATATGCTATGAGGAAAGTGAGGGACTCCATATTTTCTCTAAGATCACAGTGGCAGAACTTCAATTCCAAATGGCTCTTGTCGGGCTTCAAAGCCCATGCTTTTTCTGGTATGCATTACTGCATAGCTGAACTACACAGAAACTTAGTTTTACAAAAGGTGACAATTAATTTCACACAGTAACTTTTACCCAACCTGCTACCTATGGGAAAAAATTCTGGACAGAAAATAAATTATACAAGAAAAAAGAATTTCATTGAGGAAGTACATTTCTCTATAAAATTTTTGAGGAAGGAAATTTATTTATGAAAATTAACCAGCTAAATGCAGGCAGGAAAGGTGAGGGAAAAGCGCACATATCATTTTGGGGGTGGGTGAAAACAAAAACAATGGTTTTTAATGGATTTAAAGTCAACAATGGATTGCTTGAAGAGAATGTAAGGTTGAGGGGAGGAGATGTTTGAAATTTTCAAGTCATATAGAATTATATTCCCTTAATTTACCTGACTAAAAATATATAAGTAGTATGTTAGAGTCAGATGATGCTGGGAGTTAATTCTCCAACTTTACAGATGGAGGCTTATGACCTGGAGCTCATACTGGTATATACGTAGACCTAGAACCTAAGCTTACTGAGCTCGAGCCCAGGTCTCCTTTGTGAGCTGCCATGATAGGCTTTGGTAGGGAAGTAGATATCCCAGCTCTTTCAACTTGCCTCAAAAATGAATCCAGAGCTCACTGCATTGATGTTGGGGGGCTCACAGCTGGGTACATGACAGTTCAGACATTTTGATCTTAAGAATATATCTGGACAATTCTGAAACCAAATAGACCTCATAAAGAAAATAAGAGTGAGTCTAGTGAATGATATACTCAGGGAGGACACAGCACATTAGGTTTCAGAACGTAAAAGCTAAATAATATGGACTCTTGATCAGCAGCTTGCCAGGCAAGAAGCTTGGGCAGCAGGTTGGTGGCATGCTGGCTAGCTTAGACAGGGTGGCATTTTTCCTACCGTATAGTTTTTATGCAGAGCACACTCCAAGCAAATAATTCTCAGCAGGGAAGGATGCAGATTTTCTCTAGTATGTTACAGCCACTGGGGTAGATGAAATATGGGCCCTGGAAGCCTTTTTGGCAAACTCTCCGATTACTGTAAGGAGTGCTTATAAAAGGAAGAAGAATGTGGGCTCTTTTTTAGTCTATTGAAACCTTGAAATATTTTTCAGGTTTGAGTGTGTGTGTGTGTGTGCGTGCGCGCGCGCGCGCGTGTGTGTGTAATTGATCTTGTTAAACTGAATCACGAATTTTTTTTGTGAATTCAGGGCCAGAATGTATTTTCACGTCCCCCTCGATGAGGAGGATGAGAGTGAGGTCGGCAAAAATGGAGTGTTGACAGGAAGTGGATGCCAATGGGAGTGAACCTGTGTTGTGGGGGATTTGAATAAGAGTTCCAGTAAGCTCTTCTCGCCCACTGAGCACAAATGACCACAGGGTATCCCGGTCTGAAACAATCAATAGGTTTCTCAATAAGTATTTTTGTCCTCTCAACCCATCTCAGCTACCTGTCCCCAAGGGTTAAGGAGAAGCTGTCAACTTGTTGGTTTGGGAACTGATTAAACTCCATTGCTAAAATCCATTCTTCTGCTCCAGCTGAAAATTCGCCCAGCAGGAGATGGTTTCCTGATTGAAGATATGACAAAAGAAAACATAGGTCTAACAAGTATTCCTAATTATTTTTTCAAGATGTTAAGAATTTATGGCCAAATACGTTTGGAATAGAGCAATGTATCTCCAATTTCGCACATTATAGGAAAATCAAACAAGCAAAATCAAAGAACTTCCCATAGAGAGTGTCAGAATTGGGTTTACTACTTGGATTCTAAAATCTCATACCTGAGCAAGATGCAGAGGTAACAGTCCTCAAATTAGTGCCAGCCCAAACTTGCCAATAAAAGTTCTGAGGTCAGTAAAGGCCATGGCTATGATACCAAATGTTTCAAAGATGTCAGCAGGAGGTGCTCGGGGGAAGCTTGGCTAGAGCGACTGATGGGAACGCCAGTCAAGGCCCAGATGTACTTCTTCAGCCTTGTCCTGCACCTTCCTGCTATACGCACTAGTCTAATCACCTTTCCCAGTTCCTGCCCACACTTTTCACTTCCCTTTGCTTTTCATATATGCTTTTGTTTTCTGTGCCTGGAAATGCTTGCTCCTTCTTTGAGGCCCAGCTCAAACATCACCTGTTCTGTAACATCTCTTTCAGATTCCCACCCATCAGGGGAGGAAGGAGGAATAAATTTCTCTTTCATCTCATCTCATTTGCCTGATAGAGGTTACAGGCAGCCAATTAAAAAATCTAATAACATGCTAACCACTTAAAACAGGACTACTAAAAAATATGTATATGTAAATTAGCAAATGTTTACCAATTAAATTAGCCTTTAATTAGCTAATTTAATTAGCAAACATTTACCAATCCCTTGTATATATTACATATATATTATATATTGACATATATATATTTTTTATAGGCTTATTTTAAGTGGTTAACATGTTATATGATTTTTTAATTGGCTGGCTGGAACCTCTATCCGACTGTAAGCCAGGTCTTGTCTGTGCATTCCCAGTCCCTAGCAAGTGTTTCTCACTTAGTAGGGATTGGTGAACGTTTGCTAATTTAAGGCGGATTCTTGGAACTGTTCTCACCCAAAGAGCAAATCCTCTTACTGTTTTTTTTTTAGTATTATAAGATAGTCGAACTTTGATCTATGAAGGCAGAAGCCACATTTGTAATTGAACAGCGTTATTACCTTTCTTTTTCATCTGTGAATCTGTTCTGGAAGACTTAGCAGCTTCAAATGAGACTGAAATTAAAATTTTGAAGCAGTCCATTTCTGAGCCAGAGTTTTAGAGAGAATATTTTTAGCTTTAATTCTGAGGAGAAATCGGTCAAATTTATTATTGATATGCTGCCATTTTAATACATTAACTAACTCTTCTCATCTTGTCTATCATACTGTAAGTCTCCTCCCTTCCTTCCTTCCTTCTTTTCACCTAGAAGTGATAATTTTTAAAAATCAATCTATTTATTATCTTGCCTTACATCAAATGGCACTAATCTGCCAGAACTTGATGGACTTGAGTCTGAGGTCATGGGATACACATTGAGCTTAGAGACCTGTACCAGTTTGGAATGCAATTCTATCAGCAGTAGCATTCTCTGGTTAACTTAGCGGACTTCAGAATTTTTTTTTTTTTTTTTTAGTTCCCCATGATATCTCTTTATAAAAGAATGTACTCTTTTTCACCTTAGTGATTCCATTATAAAATCAGAAAAACGTACAATAAGAAAGGACCTTGGCTGTCACTTCAACAAGCCCTCTACCATTCCTGTAAGGGTTGCTTATGTTCATCTTGAATACTTCCATTCCAAGCGATTTATTATCTTCCAAGTTAACGCATTCCTTTGTTAGTCAACCTCAATTCTTCTTTGCCATCCTGGGTATACAGATGGAGTCATATTTATATCAATAACCCAAATTTATTTTCCTTTCCTATATATATGTTCTTAAAATACCTAGGATAGCTGGAGTACTCCCAGCGTTTCTGGGTATGTCTGGATTGTGTGTGGAGGGTATTTCCAGAGTATTCATAAACTACCATGTGGGTTTCGGACCCTGTTCAGCATCTACCCAGTTTTTCCTCTCCTACTTAGCATTTTCCTTGTCAATTTCTTCTCATCTCAATAATCTCTACTAAAACTCTTCTACCTGGTGGTTGTTGGACTAGCACTATCAAAATTACGTGATAGCTCATTTGAAAGGTGGAATCTTGGGTCCCACCTCAGACCCACTGAATTGGATCAGCATTTTAATAAGAGCCTCAGGTTGGTTGTATTCTTATGTAAGTTTGAGAGGGATTGGTCTGTCTAAATAGTGCCTTATGATGCCTGTGGCTTTGCCCATTCTTATAACACCAATTTCAAGACTGAAAGAGGTGCTTCTGGCTGATTTCCAAACCAGAATGGTCAAGTTGGAGAAGGTTCTGCACAGAAAGTGGGAGAATGACTTCTCCAATTTTATGACCCCCTTTATCACTTTGTAGTGTCCTAGGCAGCCATGTCCTGAACCCCACTCTCTCCGTGGAGCTTTTCATAAAACTTGATCCTCCAACCTCCCACCTCCCCCACTTTCCTTCTGAGGGATCCTGGAAATGCTATCTACACCATTATGTTTTTTCCAATGACTTTTTCAAACTTCTCTTTAGGTTCTTAATATATCCCTAGCCTATTCTCCTTAAGTCTGAAATTTAAAAGCTTACCTAGAAATCAGTTGGTGCCAAGACCCTTGTGGACCCACATACATCACACACATGCAAATAAGCCTGAATTCCTTCTGGATTTAACTGGACCAGCCCGTATTCATTTCTATTGTACTGACATACCTTCCAAAAACTTCTTCATTTTCTAATTTTTGTCTTCCGAAGCCATGAAAAAATATACTTTTAACCTCTCTTCCATGTATCTGTTCTTTAGGTATTTGAAGGTCATTTTTATGCCTGTGTCCCCCAAACTTTCTCATTTCTGCACTGCACATTCTGACATCTCTCACATTTTTCTCATGTTTGATTTTTCAGTTATTTGTCCAGAATATAGCTTAACTCTCTAAAGAGTGGATGATACAAGTTGATCACAAAATAAATTGATGATCACAAGCAGGAGATAGCAGAAGGCAGAGAATAACAACACAGGACATTCTCATATACATGAGGGTGTACATAATGCCGTAGAAGATTTCCACATGCAACCAAGCTGGAAAAGAACTCTCTTACTTTACTACCTCTCATGCATCAAACAGATGAGCTACTCATCTTCTCTTCTCAAAATATCACTGCCCATATTACTTTTTTTCACCAGTTTATTTATATTCTAGATTTTAGTTTCTCAGCACTTATGCTGAGAACTCTTCAAACAACAAAATTCTGAGAGTCTATGCCTCAAAGGCTCTGTGTGTCCAGGGCTACTCAAATTATTGGATGTTAAAAACAATAGGCTTAGGAATCATAATAAATCTGATGTAAGAAATGTTGTGATGGCTGAGGCTTTTATAAGTTGATGAGGTATATACCTAAATAAACAATAAACTAACTTAGATTCATAGGCTTCACTGATGGTATTCCATTTCTCAGATTGTAGATCGTAAGACTTTAGAGACATACTACGTTTATTTGTTTTAGTTAAACAAATAAAAATAAGTTAAATAAACCATAAGTGATTTTGAAACTTCTCTGAGGCTGTGACAATGTGGCACACTTTCTTTTCTTTGCCAATGATTCCAATAAATACAACTTAAGATAATTTTTTCAGTAAAATTTGCTCTATTGGAATTTATTACATGTAAGTATCTATAAAATATATTAGTTGTTGGTATATTACATTTGAGGTTATATGTGTTAGATTTTAAGAAAAAAATTTTGTAAGCATAAAACTAATAATTATTGTAGAATTTTTAATGCTATAATTGATTATATTTACAAAGAAATTAAAATCATCCATAATCCCATTACTTGTAGATAAATGTGATATTTTGATGTACTTTTTTCATTTTTAATCAATGAAATATATAAACATATACATGAGTATGGTTATTGACTCTATGCAATGTCATATTCTGCTTTTATCACCTGGCATAAATTTCCATCTTGTTAAATATTCTTTGTCTTTAATTCTTGCATAACAAAGCAGCACAAGAATATGCCATGCTTTGTTTATTTTACCATTATCTTCTTGCCAAACATTTAGATTTCTTTTAACATTTTATTGCTTTCACTGGAATGCATATTCTTGTATATATATTTTGAGCACTTCTGTGATTATTTCCTTATAATGGATTCTGTGAATTGGAATCAGTGAGTTAAAAATTATGGACATGTCATACATATGTTTTAAATGTGTAGGTGGTTTAGTTTGTCCATTAATTAAAATGCCACTTGGGTGGAGTGGATAGTGTGTATGGGGTCTGGCGGGGCTGGTAAGGGGTGAGGAAATGGAGAATTGGAGTTACATATTCTCAAGGAAAGAAAAGGAAAATCATTTGTTAGTAGATGATTCAAGATCTTAGCTATTAAGTAATTCTAAACACTCTAAAATGTGATTTTATAATGAGAAATCTTAATTCTATAATTATAGAGAAGGGAGAATTTCGAATCTTTTCATCTTCTAATAGAATAAAAAAACACACACATTTAAAGTGTGTAATTAGTTGTTTATCTTGGCATAACACTGAGATTGTATAATCTCTTTAAAATTTTTTTAAAAGGTTTATATTATTTTCTTCCTGTCATAAAAGGAAAGACACACAAAATCAATACTGTAAACTCCGTGAAGGCAAAAGATGGCGGCTGTCCCAGGGGCTCTGCATCTCAGTCCCCCATAGATCTCTTGACACATGAAGAGTACACAGTAGATATCTGGACAGTGTAGAGAATCTCTTCCTTGTGACTTCTGGAGTATTAAATAGATCTGGTCAAGATGATTTTATTTTCATCAAAATTCTTAGAGAGTGATATAATGGAGAAAAAAACCCCTGTAAACAAATAAAACAAAAACAGTATGTAAAGGCCATTCTGAAGGTTGAAGTACTTAGAAGGCTGGAAGTGCTCCTCTGTCTAGAGATTGCGGTAGATGGGATTTTTTTCTTAACCAGGAAAGTCCAGGAACTCACAGAAAACCTTTCTCTCTCTCACTTTTCAAAGGCCAGTTACCTGAAACTCTGTCTCTCTGTTCTTCCTTTGCCTTATTACAGCATAAAGAATACTAAATAACACCTTCAGAAATGTTTCCTTTTAAAATGTAGTCTCCTACGACTGAGAAAAAAACGGATTAGAGTTTTAAAAAATCTAAATTCTACCATTTGTAGCAATACAAAGAAAACACACTATTCTCTGTTCATGTATCTAAGGTAATAAGCAAATTTAAAGAATAATACAGAAAAAGCTAGATAAATTAACTTGAATGAAATAGTTTCTTTTTTTCTTGAAATGGCTCAAGTCCTTTTCAAACTACCACTGAAGTTTTTTAGAAGTTAAAAAATCCATGGCAGGATATAGGTTTCTTCCTTCTTGTCCCAATTAAAAGCATTCTGAATACTAAAACTCTAATTTTATTCTCTTCACTTTCGTCTAGATGTAGAAATACAAGGGCAGATGAGCAAAGGATCTTTGTAGCAGATTGTTTGAAAAAAGGAGGATTTAAAAGAAAAAAATTAGCTTTAACTATAGAAAATGTTGACCCTTAGGAAAAAATTTGTAAATGCAATTAAAGGAAAAAAAAAGGAAATAAAAATTTAGAAATAAAATGATCTGTGGTAGGGATATACAGAGTGCTACATTGAACACACGTTTTCACCCCTCATACTCCTGGAGCAAGTATATGTTCAGGAGAGATGAATAACAATGTCTTCAGTGGGAAGCAATGGGGAAGGACAAGAAATGCTAGGATGCCAGGGGAGAGCATGCTCTTATGACTTTGATTCAATAAGAAACCCATCCATCATTCCAAGGTTGATCATTCTTACCACTGATAAATGAATTAATTTACATTCCTTTGTGTAATGGCCTTATTGCAATTGTAAATTTATAAGTGATGTTTTAGGATCTTATGCATAATTACTGAAAAAAAAAGTTTGCATTTTTGAGCCTGTACACAGGGTTGGAATTTTACTAATCAAAGATTTCATTTTGGATGTTTCCAATAATATGAGTGTAAGTAGGAATGTGTCTTGGTAGTTTGCTTGGTGTACCTAGGATCATTCACCTTTGACTTCTCTTAACTGGGAAAATTGATCATACCTATTTTTTTCTTTGAACATGCCAAGACTCTTGGTAAATATTTGTAAATTTTTATAAAATATCTGGAAAATTGTGTTGAAGGTCTACAGGTCAAATAGCATTTGTTCCACAGAAGAGTCCTTTATTGGACGATTTATTTATTACATGTTCTCCGAACCTAGATATAATAATCTATTCAGATAAAGGTAAATGAAGTAAGTCCTATATTGTTTTGCTTTCAGTCTTTAGTGTCATATTTTTATAGCAAACACTTTCTCATCGTACTGTTCCAGAAAATAAAACAGAGCAAGATATCTGTGGTATACCTGTGAGGGGGTTGTCTGTTACAATTTCCTCTATCATAAAAGCAATTCCTATAAAAATGCTCATAAATAAAATGAGAAAGGGTTTGGAGGCAATCAATAAGGGAGAAATTATACAATAAAGTTACTAATCTCTTTTCAGAGATAATTTTCATCAAATGAATTGTACAAAAAGTCTTCAAGGAATAATTGACTTCAACAAGCTTTCCACTGGTCAGCAAGACTTTTTGCTTTGAAGTAAAACAAAATAAAACAAAACAAAAAACAGATCAGAAAAAAAATGGTAAATAAGAAGTAGTGCCTACAGATCTTCCCACCAAGAAAAATGAGCAGGGAAAGGTCACCAGCGTGTGTTTTCAGGATTATTTGTCTATCCCACAGTTTGTGGTTCCAAAGTATTTTTATCAGCATTAATTTGTTTTTGCCTTAAAATTGTGGAAACATTCAACTCAGAAGAGTTATGCCAATTTAAATCTCAAAGAAAAATTTGGGCAAGGAGCATGTTTCTTGGAACAGGGGGTATAAAGGAAAACTGATTTCTATTTATTTGGTTTCCATTAAAACACCACAAGTTATTGGCTTAAATGTCCCTATTTTTTATGTTTTGAAATTAATACATGTTCAGCTTAGAAGAGTTGGTATGAAATAAGCAGAATATGAAAATATATAGCCCTAATAATGTTATTTCATAGCTATAATTTGTAGGTCATTTTTATATCAGAAGTAGCTTTGTATCCTCCACCCTCACATTTTTTTCTTACTTTATGGTGACCATTTTCCCGTGACATTTCCCATTCTGCAAAGTATTTCACCATCTAGGTTTATCATAATGTATTTAATCAGCCTCCCTTTTAGTAGCCATTTGTCTATTTATTCTTAATTAAGATGAATATCATCAATTGAATATGAAGTCAACCATGTAAGCCAAACACAGTTATGAAATTCAGATGTGTGTTATAGATCCCAGTTCGGCATAATAAAGCAAAACTTCGTTTCTCTGTCTTCCAAGTGATTCATTTACTTTCAAAAGGCTAACAAAGGAAATGATATACAAACCTAGTCAATTAAGAAGTGCAAAAATGTGGAGAAAATATAAAAAAAATCCAGGTAGATAGGAGCACCCAAAGTCCAGGGTCATAGAAGGAAAGCAGAGGATACTTCATCCAGTCACTATAAACCTTTAAAAATAGAGCCATTTCTCTACTACTGTGACTGGTTTGTTTTCGTGGCCAAGAACTGGCCTTGGTTGCAATTCTACATGGCTAAGATAAATGGGTATATAGAGAGTCATGTGGTGGCATGAAGCCCAAGTAGTATTATAATCCCAGAGCCTCTGCAGGCCTGTTTAACAGGGTTGAACTCATCAATGACTCTCCGTAGAATGTCTGCCTCATCTCCCTCAACTCACTTGAGTGCAGAGAGATTCCCTAAAACACTGAATCTCCATGAAATGGAGAATGAATAATTTCCCAAATTTATTTGAACGTGGGGCTATTTACTCACCTAAAATAGCTATTAACCTTTCACAGATGACTACTGTCCTTTGGAACATAGTTTGAGGAACATAGCTCTGACTAGACAGCATTACTCTTTCTCGTACTCCTCTAGCACTTATATCTGTTGCTCCTTCAGTATACATCCTTTTAATATGACAGCAGGAGTAAAACCTGGAGTGAATATGACAGTTACGTGGGAAGTACTTAAGAATTCCTCTGTTCTTCTTTCTGAAACCAGGTCCCAGGCAGTGGTTTGGTTTTGAGTTTCTTGGGCAATTCTATTATGAAGCTGTGTTCAGAACCATTGCCTGACGGTGCACTTTTTCTTTATGTATTTTACAGAATACATTCAATACAGCTTCAGATATCCTTAAGGCTAATGCAAGGACCTTGTAGATAATAGATTCTCAATAGATATTTGTTGAATGAATGAACACACCCGTAAAACATGCTAATGCAAACAGTATCAAAGTAAGATCTAAAATCAAAATTAAAAAGACAATCCCTGATAACAGCCTCCTTTTCTGACCACTGTGTATGTAGGCTTTAAAAGCTAGAAATAATTCCAATAAGTAGCCATACATGCTTTTCAAGGATACTCTGATCTTCCCAGAGGCTTAAAGAGTTTTAAATTCTACAAGCAAAGCAGAAAGCAGAGCTTCTAGGTATGTAGCTTCCACGTATGGCATTGCAATGGAGCTGGCCCTCCATCTTTTCTTCTTTTCTTTCTTCTATAGCTGATTATTAAGTGATTAATATGTAATGAACACTATTGTAGGCTTTGAGATTATGCTAGTGGACAAAACAGACAGAAGTTCTTGCCCTTACAGAAGTTAAAATGTAATTGGGGAAAATAAAGATCATGATAAGGGCTAAAGAGGAAAGTAAAACAGAAACGGTTATAGGGAGTATAAATGAGGCTGCAATTTTTATATAAGGAGGCTAGCTTAGGCCCTGCTGAGAAGGTGTCATTTGAGCAAACAATGGAATGAGGTGAAGGAATATTTGGGTGACAACGTTCTCCAGGCTGAGGGCACAGCAAGAGCAGAGGTTTTGAGACATGACCACACACCTGGTATATTCGAGAAATAGCCAGGGTATTAGGAGTAAGAGATAGTCAAAGAAGAAATGGGGAAGCCAGATCTTGCAGGGCCTTGCAGGTTCTAATATGGACATTGGCTTTAATTCTTACAGAGATGGAAAGTCATTGAGGCTTTTGAATAAAGGAGTGACCTGATCTGACATTTTAACAGGATCACTCTGGTTTCCATGTTGAATAAACTGAACAAGGTAATGGATGTAGCAAAGAGACCAGGCAGAAAGCAATTGCAATAATCCGGATGAGATAATTGTGGTTTGGAATAAGGTGTTAACAACGGGAGATAAACAGTGGCCAGATTTTATGTGAATCTTCCCTTTGATCTGTGGACCAATATAACAAGACTGGAGAGAACACACAATTTCCTCCCTGGATATACATCATCACTGTTCATATTTTCTTGGAGCTCAGTGTACACTTCTAATGGCTTCCTTTTTATAATTGCAGACAATGTACAATAAAAGGGAAATTTGATTCACATTCAGTAAGCTCTCAGCTTCTTTTGCTTGGATTCTGACTGACCAATGAGTGAAAGAATCTGAAGAGGAGATTTCTGTACCCAGCAGCGGGTGGAAATAGATGAATGTGAGCATTCTTTCTAATTCTGAGATTCTGTGATTCTGTGATCCTTAGTAACTCTGGAAATTGAATGTTCAAAGACTGAAAAGTTATATATGATAGTGGCACCAATTGTCACAATAAATTGGAAGCAAATACTAATGATCATGGATGTATTTAAAATATTTCACACCTGTCCTAGCACAGACCAGTCAGAACAGATGCCAACTGTAAACAGCAGGCACAGCCATGCATCAGGCTGAATATTAGTTGTGCTTATGCTCAGGTACAAATCAAATTATATTTTAGCTGACATGGTCTGACAAAGTTCTACGTCTGTTTGAACCAAGTCAAGTGAGCAAGTGCAGTGAACACAGATGTTTTGCCTAGGTTTGTGCCTGATATTTTGAGAAAAATATTAAAAGGGGTATAAAATACAGTTATGACCTTCTGAGTGTTTTTAATCTGTTTCAGAAGACAACACTTTGCACTCAAAACAAATTAAGAATGTTGCAACATATGAGGCCATAACAACTATTTTACGGGTTCTTGGCTCCCAGCAGCTTGCCCCTAACACGGTAACTGTGTCTTTCCTGAGATTTCAGAGTAGTGTAATAATGAAAGAAGAACAAGCTTACTTGCAAGATATTAGGAATTGTTGACTTCATGATGCTTGCTGGCATCTTAAGAACAGACATGCAATGTCTCAAGCCAGCGTTCAACACACTAACTTAGGCAACAGCCGTATAAGGCAATATATCTTTTCCATATTCATGATCCCTCCCTCCTACCCTGGTTTGGGTGCTTCCCAGCACTATAAGAACCAACAATCATAAGCCAAAGTATATCTGGAGAGTGGGAGAAGCAGTCCTGCAAATGCAGCCTTTTCACACGCTTCACCCCCCGTTTATGATTGGCTTCAGGAAAATCTGTGTTGTATGGCATCTGATCAAGTATGGTCAAGGTCTGCCTATGCATCATCTATTCAGCATGTAACACAGTTAGCTGGGTAGAGGGTGTGACTACCGTCCAGAATCAACACACCAGGCTTATATAACAAATATGGAGAGTTTGCAGAATTTTAGTTTATTTGACCTGTTGAACCCCCGTCATTAAGAAGAATCTAGAGGAAGAAGAGAATGATCACAGCTTTATCCAGAAGGAACACAGAATTTCCAAAGTTAGCTAACTACAGATTCTGTCCCTTAAGCTGGATGCCCATTATAGCTCAGCCAAATGCCTTTTTTAGTATCCTCCTCTTTAAGCCTGCCTCACTAAGCTGGTTAAGTGCCAGAATATGTGGAACTGACCATGCACTTCTTCTGCATTAAATATTTCGGAGCTGGTAAATTTAGAACAACCTAAAGAGTCATGTTATGTCTCTCTCTACTGCTTATCAAATTGGCATAAGGGTTAGAGACTTAAAACTGGGGGCTGGATTTTCCCAGAGGGCTGAATTATTTAACCGTCAGCAATTTTGAGGTTCACAGTAAAGTAGCAATAATGAAATCATCTGCTTCTAGATGTAAAAGCATCTTCTCGGAAGGCCAGAAGGAGTTTGCAGCTTTTTCTATCTGTTGGGTGTTCTGGGCTCTGCCTAATACACACTGTTTATCTGACCTGAAATATGAGACGATTCTGCCATAGGAGAATAAATTCCATATAAATTTAAAAGGGAGGGTCTGCATGTGCTGATGGCTCCTTATAAGGGGATAGTTTGTCAAATTTGGTACATATTCCTCTCCTTTTTTAATTTTTAATTTTTGTAGGTATATTGTAGGTGTATATATACAGAGCACATGAGATATTTTGATACAGGCATGCAATGCATAATAATCATATCAAGGTAAATGGAATATCCATCACCTCAAACATTTATCACTTCTTTGTGTCACAAACATTCCAATTATACTCTTTTAGTTATTTTTACATGTTCAATAAATTATTGTTGACTGTAGTCACTCTGCTGTGCTGTCAAAAGCTAGATCCTATTCATTCTATCTAATTATATTTTTTGTACCCATTAACTGTCATCACTTCCCACTGCCCCCACCACCCTTCCCAACTCTGGTAACCATCATTCTACCTTCTATCTCTATGAGGTTCGATTGTTTTAATTTTTAGCTCCCACAAATAAGCGAGAGCATGCGAAGTTTGTCTTTCTGTGCCTGGCTTATTTCACTTAACAATGGCCTCAATGATCCAGTTTTCTCATCTGTAAAATGGGCACAATAATGGCAAGGACATGTTCCTAACTGGGTTTTTGTGATGCGGAATTCAGTCAGAAGAGGGACTGGCTCAAAGTAAGTGCTCAGGGAATGTTAACTATTCTTCTTCTTCTTTTTTTTTTTTTTTTTTTTTAATTTTCAGTGTTCTCTGGGTATGTTAACTATTTTTATTTGCTCATGGTGAAACGAAGAGAGCTGACAAGAAAATTTCCACCAACGAACTTTTTATGTCCTTTTTAAAAATTGTCAAAGTTCTATTGAAATACATGGGGAGCTTAAATAAAATTAATGAATCATACATCAGAGTAACAAGAGTAATAATCATTGTATTTTTAAAACAGTCAATTAGAAATGAAGAAAACCTTTTACTCCAACAAAGGAACTGACATATTTTTGAAAGCGTGCTATATGTCAGGCATTTGTAATGGCATTGACATCATATTTAGTCTTCCCTTCACCCTGGCACTACTATCAGCATGTAATAAAGAAACTAAAGCTCTAGTTAACAGAAGCTCTAGTGGAAAGCAGGATGAAAACTCAAGTCTGACACCCCTGAAACTCCTCCTCTTCCACTAACTCCAAATACCACCACATTCTTCGTTCTTCCTTATGCCAGGCCTCAATTTTCTTTCTGTGGTGTTGAAGCACCTTCTCTCTGTGCTCCTCTCTTCTTTGCTCAGCAGAACGGCTTTCTGATACTGCTCCTGAACACATGGGGTTTCCTGGATAAGGTGGATTTCATGGGAACTGCTGCAGGATGTGGCAGCTTCATGTGGGTTTTTGTCCAACTTTAGTCAAATAGCAAGCCTCTTATGTCCAGTAGTCAATGGCTAATGACTCTGGTTGTAGCTGTTAAATAAACAACAGTGAAAACATTTCAAAAGTTACAGAGAATCAGTCAGAGCATAAATGGTAAAATTGTGACTGAATGGATAGTGTACCTGCGTGTGTGTGTACCTGCGTGTGTGTTGGGGGAGGGGGTTGTCCTTGAAGCTGTCTCTGCATTCTTATGAAGTTCCAGTAATAAACATTTGTATTCACCTGGCTTATTCAACATGCTGCTGCAATTACTTTAAGATATTTCACGCTGTTTGGAAGAGGGGGATTTATACCTGGGAGTCAGGGGGAAGACTGAAGTTTACTGGAGGTGTGGAGCAGGGAATTCCCAGTTGGAAGCTGTTTGATAGCCCAGACTTGAGAATAGAACAGATCCAGGTTCAAATCCTTGCACTGCTTTTAAATAACTGTATGACCTTGGACAGCTTACTTAACCCCTTAAGCCTTGTTTCTTCCTGTGTAACAGGAAAATAACCATATCAATGTTACAAGATTCTCTGTGATGATCAATGAAGTAATGAGAATCAAGTACATGGCACATAAATTAGATAGTGCCTAGTGAACAGTGATTATTAATGTGCACTAATTTATTATTATTATTTTAAATTTCAACTTTTATTTTAGATGCAGGGGGTGCATGTGCAGGTTTGTTACCTGGGTATATTGTGTGATACTGAGGTTTGGTGTACAGTTGATCCCATCACCCAAGTACTGAACATAATACACAATGGTTAGTTTTTCAACCCCTGCACCCTCTTTCTCCCTCCTCTTTCTGGTAGTCCTCAGTGTCAGTTACGGCCGTCTATATGTCCATGAGCACCCAATGTTTAGCTCCCATTTGTAAGCGAGAACATGCAGTATTTGGTTTTCTGTTCATGCATTAATTTGCTTAGGATAATGATCTCCAGCTGCATCCATGTTGCTGCAAAGGACATGATTTTGTTCTTTTTTTGGCTGCATAGTATTCCATGGCATATATGTGGCACATTTTCTTTATCCAGTCCACCATTGATGGACATCTAGGTTGATTTCATGTGTTTGCTATTGTGAATAGTGCTGTGATGAACATATATGAGTGCATGGGTCTTTTTGGTAGAATAATTTATTTCCTTTTGAATATATACCCAGTAATGGGGATTGCTGGGTTGAATGGTAGTTCTCTTTTAAGTTCTTTGAGAAATCTCCAAACTTCTTTCCATTGTGGCTATACTAATTTACATTCCCACCAACAGTTTATAAGCATTCCCTTTTCTCTACAGCTCACCAACATCTATTGTGTTTTGACTTTTTAATAATAGCCATTCTGACTGCTGTGAGATGGTATGTCATTGTGGTCTTGATTTTCATTTCTCTGATAATTAGTGATGTTGAACATTTTTTTCATGTTTGTTAGCTGCTTGTATGTCTTTTAAGAAGTGTGTGTGTTCATGTCTTTTGCATCTGTATTTTTCTGTTTTTGTTGGGCCTTTTTAAAATGAGATTATTTGTTTTTGGCTTGTTCAATTGTTTAGCTTTCTCATAGATTCCAGATATTAGACCTTTGGTGGATGCATAAGTTGTGAATATTTTCTCCCTTTCTGTAGGTTGTCTGTTTACTCTGTTGTTAGTTGTTTTGCTGTGCAGAAGCTCTTAAGTTTCATTAGGTTCCGCTTGTCAATTCCACTTGCTTTTGAGGACTTAGTAATAGATTCTTTCCCAAGGCCAAGCCAATGTACAAAACAGTGTTTCCTGGGTTTTCTTCTAGGATTTTTTTTTTTTTTTTTGAGACGGAGTCTCCCTCTTTCCCCAGGCTGGAGTGCAGTGGTGCGACCTTGGCTCACTGCAACCTCCACCTCCCAGGTTCAAGAGATTCTCCTGCCTGCCTCAGCCTCCCGAGTAGCTGGGACTAGAAGTGTGTGCCACTATGCCAAGCTAATTTTTGTATTTTTAGTAGAGACAGGGTTTCACCATGTTGGCCAGGATGGTCTCGATCTCCTGACCTGATGATCCGCCTATCTCGACCTCCCAAAGTGCTGGAATTAAAGGTGTGAGCCACTGCCCCTGACCCTCTTCTAGGATTCTTATAGTGTGAGGTATTACACTGAAATCTTTAATTCAGCTTGAGTTTTTGTATATCATGAAAGACAGGGGCCCAGTTTTACTGTGGCTAGCCAGCTATCCTAGCACCATGTATTAAATAGGGAATCCTTTCCCTATTACTTGTTTTTGTTGACTCTGCTGAAGATCAGATGATTGTAGGTGTGCAGCTTTATTTCTGGGTTCTTTACTCTGTTCCATTGGTCTATATCTGCTTTGTACCCATACTATGCTGTTTTAGTTACTATAGCCTTATAGCATAGTTTGAAGTTGGGTAATGTGATTCCTCTGGCTTTGTTCTTTTTGCTTAGGATTGTTTTTGCTATTCAGGCTCTTTTGTGGTTGCATATGAATTTTAGAATAGTTTTTTCTAGTTCTGTAAAAAATGACATTTGTAGCTTGATAGGAATAGCATTGAATCTGTAGATTGCTCTGGGCAGAATGACCATTTTAACAATATTGATTCTTCCAGTCCGTGAGCATGGAATGCTTTTTCATTTGTTTGTGTCCTCTATGATTTATTTCAGCAGTAGTTCGTAGTTCTCCTTGTAGAAATCTTTCAGTTCCTTGATTGGATGCATTCCTGTTGTGGGAAGTCAGGGACCCTGAACGGAGGGACCGGCTGGAGCTGAAGAAGAGGAACATAAATTATGAAGATTTCATGGACATTTATCAGTTCCCAAATAATACTTTTATAATTTCTTATGCCTATCTTTACTTTAATCTCTTAATCCTGTTATCTTCATAAGCTGAGGATGTACGTCACCTCAGGACCACTGTGATAATTGTGTTAACTGTACAAATTGATTGTAAAACATGTGTGTTCAAACAGTATGAAATCAGTGCACCTTGAAAAAGAACAGAATAACAGCGATTTTTAGGGAACAAGGGAAGACAATCATAAGGTCTGACAGCCTGCACGTGCATGCAAAAAGAGCCATATTTTTCTTCTTGCAGAGAGACTATAAATGAACGTGCAAGTAGGGAAGTATCACTAAATTCTTTTCCTCACAAAGACTATTGATATTAATACTCTGGGAAAGGAATTCATTCCTGGGGGGAGGTCTATAAACGGCCGCTCTGGGAATGTCTGTCCTGTGTGGTTGAGATAAGGACTGAGATACGCCCTGGTCTTCTGCAGTACCCTCAGGCTTACTAGGATTGGGGAACTCCATCCTGGTAAATTTTTGGTCAGACCAGTTCTCTGCTCTCGAACCCTGTTTTCTGTTAAGATGTTTATCAAGACAATACGTGCACCACTGAGCATAGACCCTTATCAGGAGTTCTGCCTTTTGCCCTTTGTCCTGTTTCCTCAGAAGCATGTGATCTTTGTTCTGCTTTTTGCCCTTTGAGGCATGTGATCTTTGTGACCTACTCCCTGTTCAGACACCCCCTCCCCTTTTGAAATCTTTAATAAAAACCTGCTGGTTTTGAGGCTCAGGTGGGCATCACAGTCCTACTGATATGTGATGTCACCCCCAGCACCCCCAGCTGTAAAATTCCTCTCTTTGTACTCTTTCTCTTTATTTCTCAGCCGGCCAACACTTATGGAAAATAGAATCTATGTTGAAATATTGGGGGCAGGTTCCCCCAATACATCCCTAGATATTTTACTTTATTTTTTTGTTGATATTGTAAATGGAATTGTGTACTTGATTTGGCTCTCAGCTTGAACATTATTGGTGTACAGAAATGCTACTGATTTTTGTGCATTGATTTTGTATCCTAAAACTTTACTGAAGTGATTAATCAGTTCCAGGAACCTTTTGGCAGAGTCTTTAATGTTTTCTAGGCATAGAATGATACTGTCAGCAAAGAGATATAATTTAACTTCTTATTTTCCTATTTGGATGCCTTTGATTTCTTTCTCTTGTCCGACTGCTCTGGCTAGGACTTCCAGCACTATATTGAATAGGAGTGGTGAGAGTGGACATCATGTCTTGTTCCAGTTTTCAAGGGGAATGCTTCCAACTTTTACCTATTCAGTATGATGTTGCCTATAGATTTGTCATAGAAGGTCTTATTATTTTGAGATATGTTCCTTTGATGCCTAGTTTCCTGTGGGTTTTTATCATGAGGGGATGTTAAATTTTATTGAAAGCTTTTCCTGTGTTTATTGAGATGGTCATATGGTTTTTGTTAATTCTATTTATAGAGAGAATCACATTTATTGATTTTCATATGTTGAACCAACGTTGCCTCCTAGGAAAGAAGCTTACTTGATCATAGTAAATTGACTTTTTGTGTGCTGCTGGATTTGGTTTGCTAGTATTTTGATGAGGATTTTTGCATTTATCTTAATCAGGGATATTGACCTGTATTTTTCTGTGTTTTTTTTTTTTTTGGGCCTTTGTGCACTAATTTAATTAGAAGTGCCAGATACTCATAAACAGCAACGTTTTCCTGGGTCCCACAGTGGTATCATAGATCTTTTCCTTAACAAGTATCTATTGAAACTTTGCTGTTTAGAAACAGTTGCATACACACTGTGGCAGCAACTTGTACATGCCTGAGAGTGGACACTTCTTATCAGCGTTAATTCAACTACACTTCACAGCTCTGAGAGGATGTGTAATCATCAACATAGAATTTGATGGATAAGGTGGTAGAAGGATTTGCTTAGTTGGATCCTTCTCATTTTTTAGGTTTTGCACAAATACCACCTCCTGGGAAGGAGCTTCCCTGACCATGATGTCTCAAATACCCCTCACCTTACCCATGACCCAGCCAGCTGTAATCTGTCCTCTTTAGTATTATTTATTTGCCTACTAATTTTTTACTTCTTAAATAATAGACTTTATGTTTTGAGCCATTTTAAGTTCTCAGGAAAATTGAGCAGAAAGTTCCTATATATCCTCTCCCTCTCACCACATACACAATCTCCCCACTATCAACATCTTAAGCCAGAATAAGACATTTGTTAGAATTGAATTGGTGAACCTACATTGACACATCATTATCATCCAAAGTCCATAGTTTACATTAGGGTTCTCTCTAGGTGTTGTACATTCTATCAGTTTAAACAAATGTTTAATGACATGTATCCACCTTTATAGTAACTAACATGCAGCATACAGTCAGCCCTCCATATTCATGGGTGCTACATCTGTGGATTCAACCAACTGTGAAACAAAAATACTTAAAAAAAATGGACAGTTGTGTCTATACTGAATATGTACAGACTTCTTTTGTTTTCCTTATTCCCTGAAAAATATTGTATAACAACTATTTACATAGTATTTGCATTGTAGTAGGTATTATAAAGAATCTAGAGATGATCTAAAGTACATGGGAGAATGTTTACTGGTGATATGCAAATACTACACCATTGTATGTGGATTTTGGTATCCACAGGGGTTCTGGAACCAGTCCCCCAGGAATACTGCTGGATGACTGTAGTTTCACTGTGTTTAAAGTCCTCTGTGCTTTGCCGATTGATCTCCCCATCTTCACTAACCCCTAGCAACCAGTGACTTTTTTTTTCTTTTCTAAGCTGACCTATAATAATTGTACATATCTGTGGGGGTACATTGTGATTTTGCAATACATGTAATGTATATGATCAGAGAAGGGTAATTAAGATATCCATTATCTCAAACATTTATCATTTTCTTGTGTTGGGAACATTCAATATCCTCCTTGTAGCTATTTGAAACTACATATTATTATTAACTATAATCACACTACAGTGGTATGGAACACTAGAACTTACTCTTCCTATCTAGCTGTAATTTTTATGTTTTAACAGATCTCTCCCTATTTCCCCTGTACCCTACTCTTCCCAGCCTATAGTATTCTCTGTTCTACTTTTAACTTCTATGAGATCAACTTTTTCAGCTTCTACATATGATTGAGAACTTTAACTTTCTATTCCTGGCTTATTTCATTTAATGTAATGCCCTCCACTTCCATCCATGTTGCTGTGAATGACAGATTTTATTCTTTTTTATGGCTGAATGGTATTTCGTTGTGTATTTATATCATATGTTCTTTATCCATTCATCAGTTGTTGGACACCTAGATTGACTCCATATTTTGGCTATTGTGAATAGTACTGCCATAAACATGGGGTGCAGATGTCTCTTTGATATTGCTAATTTCCCTTCCTTGGGATAGATGCTCAGTAGTAGGATTACTGGGTCGTACAGTAGTTCTATTTGTAGTTTTTTGAGGAACCTCCATACTGTTTTCCATAGCGGTGTTATGAGTTTACATTTTCATCAACAGCATATAAGAGTAACCTTTTTTCTGCATCCCTGCCAGCATTTGTTATTTTCTGTATTTTTGATTACAGCCATTATAATTGGGGTGAGGTGATACTTCATTGTGGTTTTGATTTGCATTTCCCTGTTGATTAGTGATGTTGAGCATTTTTTTCATGTATTTCTTGGCCATTTGCATATCTTCTTTTGAAAAATGTCTTTTCAGTTCATTTGCCCATTTTTAAATTGAATTGTTTGTTTTTTGCTGTTGAGATGTTTGAGTTTCTTGTATATTCTGGACATTAATCTTCTGTTGTATGAATAGTTTGCAAATATTTTATTTCATTTTATAGGTTGCCTTTTCACTTTGTTGGTTATTTAATACTACCCAAAGCAATCTACAGATTCAGTGAAATCTCTATCAAAATACCGATGATATTCTTCACAGGATTTTTTTTAATCATAAAATTTGTATGGAACCACAAAAGACCCCAAATAGCCAAAACGATTCTGAGCAAAACAAACAAAGCTGAAGGCATCACACTACCAGACTTCAAAATATATTACAAAGCTGTAGTAACTAAAATAGCATGATGTTGTTATAAAAACAGACACATAGACCAATGGAACAGATGACAGGGTCCAGAAATTAATCCACATATCTACAGCCAACATTTAATTTTTGACAAAGGCGCCAGGAACAGTCATTGTGGGAAGGACAATTTCTTCAATAATTAGTGCTGGGAAAACAGGATAACTATATGCAGAAGAATGGAACTAGGTCCCTGCTTCTCTTCCTACACAAAAATCAACTCAAAATGAATCAAAGACTGAAATATAAGACCTGAAACTGTAAAACTACTAGAAGAAAACATAGAGAAAACAATTCAGGACACTGGCACAGGAAAGGATTTTATGAATAAGACCTCAAAATCCAGGTAACAAAAGTAAATATAAACAAATGGGATTGTATCAGACTAGCCACTAACTTTACTATCTCCACACTTTTTTTCTCTATAATGTCATATAGTTGGATACTTTATTTTTAAAACATATATATCACTATTTGTATTATTTACATGTTTTATTATTTATTTTTTTCTCCCTCTAGAATGACAGCTGCATGAAAGCACAGTCATTCTCTTACTTTTTAAATGTCGTATCCTCAGTGCTAGACTATGATTGTCTCAGAAAAGTCCTCAATAAATATTTATTAGTTAATAAATGAGTAAATCTTCCCTCCATTATAATTACTCTCATCCTTCTGCTAACATTAGAAACTGGTCGTTGGAAATACTTACATAGTGGCAATAACAATATTGGTTGTCATTTTTATTATCTTATAGATGCCAGGCACTGTGGTATACATTCTAAGTGCATTATTTTATTCAATTCTCAGAACTACCTTCTGAGGTAGGTAACATTTAACAGGTAATATAGGTAGTATATAAGTAGTCGAGATATTTTTTAGGTACAAAAATGAGATTCAGAGAAGTTAACTTACTGAAGATCACATATTTAGTAAATTGCAAAGTTAAGGCCTAAATTCAGGACTGTAGGATTCCAAAGGTAACAGTCTTTATTATTATTATTATTATTATTATTATTATACTTCAAGTTCTGGGGTACGTGTGCAGAATGTACAAGTTTGTTACATAGGTATACACGTGCCATGGTGGTTTGCTGCACCCATCAACCTGTGATCTACATTAGGTATTTCTTCTAATGCTATCCATCTCCTAGTCCCCCACCCCCTACAGGCTCCGGTGTGTGATATTCCCCTCCCTGTGTCCATGTGTTCTCATTGTTCAACTCCCACTTAGAGTGAGAATATGTGGTGTTTGGTTTTCTGTTCTTGTGTTAGCTTGCTGAGAATGATGGTTTTCAACTTCATCCATGTCCCTGCAAAGGATATAAACTCATCCTTTTTTATGGCTGCATAGTATTCCATGGTGTATATGTGCCACGTTTTCTTTGTCCAGTCTATCATTGATGGGCATTTGGGTTGGTTCCAAGTCTTCTTAAACTGTATGTTGGAATTTAGAGTGAGAGGAAAGTGTATAGCTAATCCACTCCACTCTTTGGATTTGAAATACGGTTGCTTAATCTAAGTGCCTTGATATTTAACTCTAGTCCATTTAATAATTACACATCTACTATTTGCTGTGCCATGTGCTCTAGGGTTATCACCTGACTTTTCTTAGAAATGCAGACTTTTAGCTGTACTCCAGGCCTACTGATGCAGAACCTGCATTTAAACAAAATCTCCAGCAGCTTTGTATACATGAGATATGTGTGTTTGAGAAACACTGCCCTCTAAGGAATATCAAGACCCAAAACTCCCATGTCCTTGACTAGTGAGCAAACAAGGATCTTAGCTTTTAGAATACCTTGCACTTTAGGAGGGGTCATAGTTACTCATGCTTATCACACTTGCTAGCACTAATACACACCCAGAATTATTATAAATTATACAAGCAATGAACTATCAGCCAGCTAGTAAGGCAGATAGTGTTGCTGAGGGTGAACAAGCCAGCCTCTAGCCCCTCGACAGTATAAAATATTCTTTTCCAATAATGCATAGACAATGCAATTTCTTTTTCTCTTGCTGTGATTCACTGGTGGCGTGGGCATTTGGTGTCATGTTAGCTTTTCTAACTGTAGTTGTGTAGAGTTCTGTTATACCAGTTAGACTGTAGTACATCTGCAATTATGCAGTAATGTGCATTGCCAGGAAGGGCTGATATTTTACTACAAATCACAGAAGAGCTACTGCATGTCCACCAGGGAAGTTGTGGGTGGTCAATCTTAGCACATCTTGAGGCTGCTGTGTTCTTACAATAGGGAACAAAGTGTTGACTGTTTTCTAACATCTCTGGTCCAAACAAACCCAACCTTCGTTACCCACTTTACAGTTTATGAGCATTTATTTACACAAGGGAAAATGAATTTTGATACTCCAGGTATGCCATCTATCCCAGCCTGTCTGCATCAAAATGCCAGATTGTCATCTCCAGTTTAGGCCCCCTCTTTTTCTGCTGTAAGTTGTATTTCAGTCTGAGGATGAATTCAGCACTTTAATCAGTGCATTTGTTTTCTGCTTTGTCATCCACGTAACTGGCAAGTCTGGCCAGGGCACTGTTTGCAGATGAAATCTGCCTGTGTCTGGAATGCAGAGTGGCCAGTTTCTCCGACTTTTCTTCTCTTTCTCAGTCAACACAGCCACTCTTTCCATTTGTTCCCAGTTCTATGCAGACTATAATTATGTATATTTCCTTTCATGCCACTTACACTTGTACATTTCTGCACTAGGGTGAATGCAATTATTCCATTTTCTCCTTTTTTCCCCTTTGTGGCTCAAACTGTTGCCTTGTTCTTTCTCATTGATTCCTGCACTGCAAAACAGTCAAATGGAAATACAATATGTTGCACCTGACATTCATTTAAATCACCTGCCATGATGGTAATACATGCTGGTGATTTCTTAGTGTACTAGTCAATGGAAAACTGTATTAGTATTGCAATAATATGCCTATATTTGCTTTTTCTGGAATATACTGTGGTTTGGTGCGTGAACGATTCAATAGAATTTTGAGGATGTAGTGGGAATGAGTAATAACACTTCACTCAATATGTTCTTTAATGTTCAAATCCTAACAGTCCTAGCACATCCTTTTGCCCTTCCAATAAGTTAGGGTAGGAATTAACTCTTATTGTGCACTCTCACTACTCAAGGCCCTGGACTAGGTACTCTGTATGTACATTCTTAGTTTCACATATATTTTTGCGTAATCCTTATTAGAGATTAAAATTTTAACATATACATATACTTTATTTTACAGGCAAGGGACTTAACATTCATAGAATTAAGGTGAATTTTTTCAAGGTATCATAGCTGGTCAATGACAGAATGAAGATTTGTTTGACTCCAGCATTTATCCACTTTCTACACACTATCTTCCTCTTTGCAAAGTTTTAAATTCCAGAAAGTTTAGCAGCCTCCTTGCTATCTGATGCTGATTAATTGGGTGGAATAGAGTCTATTTTTTAAATCTCACTCAAAGTATTCACTGCAAAGCTGCCGTGTGTAAATAATTGTGTGTGTGTAAAATAGATGCTTTCTGTAATTTGTGAGTAATGTATTATGGGTCCAATTGCATTTTAAGAATCTTTTAGCTTATCCTAAATCCTCATGGCATTTTTAATCTAGTTTTCATTGTGTGTCAGTAAATAATCCTGGTGAGCAAGACTAAAGATCAAGTGCTAGCCCTGGCTTTGCCATATATTTGCTTTGTATCCTAGGGAAAGACATGTCAAGCCTCTAAAACTTAGCTTATTTATCTGTAAAGTAGAGTAATACACATACCCTATTCACCTCACAGGATTGTTGTATATGTTGAATGAGATAATGAATATGAAAAGCTTAGGAAACCACAGTCATACATAGAAATGTATCATTGTAAGTCAATAGGTGTTTGCCAGGTCCATAGCATTAGCCTACGTTAGACACTGCACTGAGGAGGCTACTAGGATTTCTTTGCCTTCAAAGAAGTTAAAATGTAGACAAACAAAAAAAGTAGTCATTGAACAGTCTTGACGTTTCAATAAATTTACAAAAATTACTCATTGTTTTCAATATCATCAGCAGTTAATTCTCAAGTAGAGTAGGCATCATGAGAAATGCTATTATCTAATATGTTGTAATTCACATTTTAAGAGTATATTATATTATATTATATTATATTATATTATATTATATTATATTATATTTTTGAGTCAGGGTCTGGCTGTGTCACCAGGCTGGAGTACAGTGGTACAATATCGGCTAACTGCAACCCCCGCCTCCCTGGCTCAAGCCATCCTCCCACCTCAGCCTCCCAAGTAGCTGGGACTACAGGCGTGCACCACCATACCTAGCTAATTTTTATATTTTTGGTAGAAACAGGGTTTCACCATGTTGGTCAGGCTGGTCTTGAACTTTAGCTCAAGTAATCCACCCACCTCAGCCTCCCAAAGTACTGGGATTATAGGTGTGAGCCACTGTGCTTGGCTTTCAAAGTTTTTTAAAAATAAGTCTTACTTTACTATGTCTTGCATTCAACTTGTCAAATTGTTACAGTGAAAAATGCCTTCTAATCTACCAAGACCAAGTTCAAAGCCTACCACTTACTACAACAATGATTTTCCAAGTGTGGTCCCTGCACTAGCAACATCAGCATCATCTGAGAAATTGTTAGAAATGCGAATTCTTGAGTCTCACCCCAGGCCTACTGAGTCAGATACTCTGGGGTGTAGCCCAGCAATCTGTGTTTTAATAAGCCCTCCTGGAGATTTTCATACATGTTCAAGAGTAAGAACCACTGCTCTACTAAAACCTCAAGGTATAAGTCAGACGTTAAGAACTCAAAGGCTCACCGAGGCCAAGAAGGACACATGAATGAGGGAAAGGACTGGAAATAAGATTATCAGGAGTGGGAGGAGGAAACTGTGTTGAATTGGAGAGCTGCCCTTGCTTAATGGGAGCAGCTAGTGATTATTCTAGACATTGGTTCCCATTTAGGAATGTGAAGCAGGTCCAAATATAATTTTCCAAAAGCTGAAAGAAAGCATGACTGTCTTACAAATATACAGTGAACGTGTCAAAGATTAATTTAACTCATAATAAGAATTTAGTAAGATGACAGCTGGTTCAAAGGAGAAAATGAGAGGCTGGAATATTTATACAGTCAACAGAAATAAGAATACTGAGAGAAAATAAAGTTAGTTAAAAAATTGGTTAATACCCTACAAGGAAACAAAACTGTTACCTATGGAGTTATTTATTCTATTGTACAAAAATAATTTACAATCACTCAATCTTCTACAAGTTGGCATCTAACTTTATAGACTTTTAACTCTAATCAGTAGTACACAGTAAATGTAACAATATTGCATCACTAGAGTCTAGGGCCTAGACAATTGTATGAGTCTTAGGCAGGTATCTTAGTCCATTTTCTATTGCTGTAACAGAATATCACAGATTCGGCAATTTATAAACAAATTTATTTCTTACAGTTCTGGAGACTGGGAAGTCTAAGACTGAGGGGTTGCGTCTGGTGAGAACCTTCTTACGGCATCATAACATGGCAGAAAATATCACATGGTGAAAGGACGAGAGCATGTCAGCTCAGGACTCTCTTGCTCTTCTTATAAAACCACCAATCCCATCATGGGGGCCCAACTCTGTTTAGGATCAGACCTTATCTGATCCTAATTATCTCACAAAGGCCTCATCTCCAAAAGCCATCAACGTATGAATTTGGGGATTACGTTTCCAACACATGAAACTTGGGGGACATATCCAAACCATAGCAGCAGATTTTTTAGACAATATTCTATTATGACTGAATGAGCATGCTGTAGTCCCTTTGTCTCATTTTTGTCTTATTTCCAAGGCCTGGGTGATTTTTTCTTAACAAGCAAGTGTGGCAGACCTTCTACTTTTAAAGGAAAATGGAGATCAAGATTTATATGTGAAATTTTTTCTTTAACAAATATAGGCTAAATAAAGTGTGCTTGAGGACTGGCAACTGTGGATTGCCACCTTGCAAACCAGGTAAAACCATTATTGAGTGAATGTGTGGACTCTAAAACTAGCCCATTCATCATGTGATGACACTCATTCTATTCATTTTATCCATTGTGTCCAGTTATGCACCCCGTGTTTCACTATCAAAGCCTGTTATCCAACTTTTGAAAATAGGCAGTCTCCTGTTCAAATGTCCTTACCAGACATTTCAAGCCCCAGCTCCACTACGTTCTTTGGAAAATTTTAGCAGATTTGCTCTTTTTGCATAACTTTACTCTAACCGACAAGCTGCTTACCCTCTTAATATTTAAGCAATTCAAGGCAAGACTAAGAATGAAAGTGTCTAGACAAAGTAAGACCAAAACCATTTAAATCCTTATTACAATATTCTCAGGCAGAGTAATGCAATTTGAGGATTTTTATAAAAAGAGGAATTTTTTTTCCTGGTTTTTCCTTTGTTCCAGAGCCTTCTACCGTTTGAGCCAGTATCTTTCAAGCCTCAGAGGGAGGGCAGAAGCAACCCAGAACAAAGAAATCAATGCCTAGCTTTGAATTGAAAAATGAACTTTTAAAAGTGCACCGCAGAAAAAATAATTTTGAAACCCAATGCAGGCTTCTTGTGAGATTGTTTTTCGGTTCGTTTGTTTGTTTAGTTCCAAAGATTGACTTTGCTAATAAAGATTCAAAGTTTGGTGAACTCCCAATTTAGAGTTTGTTCATTCATTCATTCACTCATCCTACAAACATTTATTGAGTATCTGTAAAGTGCCAGGCACTGGGTATTCAGTAGCAAACAAAATAATGTGTTCTCATGGAGTTTATGTTCCAATGGGTGGAAATGAGCATATATCAGCAAATAAACAAATAGTATGTCAGGTGATAATAAGTGCTGTGGGGAAGAAGAGGCAGAGAGAAGGAGAAGAGGGTCACAGAGGGCATAGGGTTGCTATTCTACGTATGATCATGAGGGAAGAGGGTCACGCAGGTGCATGGCAGTTGACCAGACCTGAAGGCAGTCAGGAAAAAGATATCTGGAGTCTAAGCAATGGGGACAGCTTGTGCAGAGGCCTGAGGCAAAAGAGCAGAGTGTTAGAGAGGAGGCAGGAAGGGCAGATAATATAGGGCTTCCTGGGTCAATATCAGAGCTTTGGATTTTATTAAGAATGAAGGGGAAACCAATGAAGGATTTTGCGGAACAGAAGAATGATGCTATGTTACTTGCATTTTAAAGGGATCACATGGCTGCTGTTCTGAATATAGGTTCTAGAGAATCAAAAGAGGAAGCAGATGGACCAGTGAGGAGGCAATCACAGTAGTACAGGTGGAGGATGATGGTGGCTCAGACCATTATTGTAATGGCAGGCAGGTGAGGAATTATCAGCTTCTGTATGTATTTATCATAGTCAGTCAGAAACGTGTGACATCAAAGCAGACAATTTTGTGCCTAATGGGCAGGAAATAGCACTAGAGGAGCTATGAGTCGAGCTGAGGTGTACTGAGTCTCCATGAAATGCTCAACCCCTCTTCCCTTTGCTTGATACCAAGCTCTGGAGATAAAGAGAAGATGGAGACCCTTGGAGAAATTTGAGGGAATTCTGGAAAGTGGTTTTGTTTTTGTTTTGTTTTTTTCTGCAAGGACAACTATGCCCTGTGAAGTATCCTGCATCCTGCATGATATTATGATGGTAGAGGAGCAACAACTGGGCGAGGAGCTTGGGAAGATGGACAAGAGTGTTGCTTCTCAAATTCCTATGCATCCCGCATGGTGAACAACTAAAAGTTTCCCATAACCCTAAGAAAGAAACAACGATAGGAGGGGAAAAAACCAGCAGAAAAGAAGGATCTGTGACTAGGATCAGGAGGACACAGTTTGCAAATACCACTTTACCAGGACCCGTGAAAGGGCCAGAGATGCTGGTGGCAGTAGACAAATAAGATTGGATTCCAATACCTAGAACCAGGTAGTCTGAAATGTGCTACAGTGTACACCAGCAAAGACAGGGGCAAATAACGAAGACATAATCTCTTCTCCCAAAAAGGAGGGTTTATCCCAACAGAGCTTTGTAAAATGTGTGCAATCTTCATCAACAAGACAATACTGATAAAACAACTTCAGACAAAATGTCTGTTTACTCTATCAGGCCCGAGTTGAATGGGGAGCAATTATAATTCTAGAATTTTGAACTAGGTAAAAGTATCCAGGTATACAGGGCTACTTGTCCTAATAGAGATTTTTTTTTCCCCCTGCCTAACCTATTTGTATTGCCTACACAGCCTGTAGCAAAACAGAGTAGCAAGAGTAGTCACTTATAAGTAGTTTTTCTTATAATTTTTTTTTCTGGTTAAACCACTGAGATTATGTACTGTGGCAAAAAAAGAAAAAAAATGCTTAGCTTCCAATTTTATTTGTGGTAGGAATAATCTAGTCCCAGCTTTCCCTCTACCCATACCCTTCCACCCATCCTTCCCCAAAGTCTTCAGATTCTCCATCTATAACGTGAAGGGCTTGTGCAGAAAATAATTACAGTTCCTTTAATTCTAAACATGGTGGACTTTCTATTGCCACGTAAGCATTTCCAACTATACCATCCCCTTTCCTGTCACTCACCTCAGTGTCTGGCACAATGCCTTGCTTATGTTGGGTACTAAATATCTTTTTGCCTTATGAGTAAATGATGCATGAGAAAGAAGACTTCAGCCTGAGCCCACTGTAGGGCCTTGTTGAGGTAAAGGGCTTGATGGGCCTTGGCCTGAACTCCATTGGAACCAGATTATAAATAAGCCACAACCAGCTTATTTCCTGTCTCTTTTTCCTCAGTGCCACCACTTAGCTACTTTCTGGTTTAGTCCTTTAGGAAAAACAATAAGCACCTTTCTCATTTCTTCTCTTTTCCTTCACTGGCAGCTGTTTTAAGGCATTAAAACTGGGAGCCGAGCATGTCCAGAAGTGAAAGATTCTCTCATGATGACAAATTGAGTCTCTATTTTTAAAAAATGTATGTAAGAGTGCTCCAACTGGTCATCAAAAGGGCTAATTAGAAACTTCCAATCCCCAGGAGCACTCAAGTAGAAGACGGATAGAAGACACTTCTTAGAGCAACACTGCTGCTTTGGTCCGACTGTGCCTATGAAGGAACTGGGTTTTGCCTGGTCTCCATAGATACCGCCTTCTTCACTGACTTTATCTTAGACTCACACTACTTGTTTCCAATACGAGATAGCAAAGCATATGAATAGAAAATGAAGAGAGGTGACCTGATTGGACTGAGGAAGGCAAGGCCCCTTGAGGAGACAGACAGTTTGGTGTTTTGTTAGAAAGTGATATGCATGGGAGGAAGAGGGAGAGAGAGAACTATTCAGAGAACTGTGTGAGCAAGGGGGAGCAGAACAAGGTTTATGTCAAGAACAGCAAGCTATCAGGTCATCACTGTGGCTGGAGCTGTTTTTTTGTTTGTTTTATTGGGACAGAAACTTAAGTTGATGGTGCCACTTTTGAGAGGTTTAAAATCTAAGGCCAAGAAGTCTGTATTTCACAAAATCCATAATTCAAGAAAATGTGGCAAGGTCCATGTGATTATCTGCTAGATGTGTGGTACAGAGAGGAGTGGAACATGAGTAATTGTGATCCAAACCTCCATCTTTGGCCTTGAAGCAAAAGGAAGTCATTCGTTTTAAAGATGGATGTAGAAATAATTTCTGTTGATAATTTTTGGGCAGCACTTGACTTCTATGGGGTTTTTGATTCAGAATAAATACTTACCTACATAATTTCATTTATTTGTTCTGCTGAAAAATATTGTTTTCCTGCTAAAAAGAAAAACCTTCAAGTGTTCATAAACCTTTCTGATTATCTGCAGTTCTACTGATATGTTCACAAAAAAATAGGGATAAATGAATTCGAAATGTAGGAATTTAATTTCCTGAGAACTATGTATGTTTTCTGAATGAATTAACTATCTATAAAGTATGACAATGTGCAATGCAGTTTAGGCTTTACAAATTTTTTTCATGGTTTGAAATTTTTCTCTTTATCTGTGTTCTGATTTTATATATTTCCCTGGTTCCATACATATACTGGTTCTAGAATGAATCACTATGGTGTCTAGTTTTACACTCATTAATGCATGAATTTGATATCTGAAGCCTGAGTTTTAGGTTAAATATGGTGGTAGGGTGGAAAGAGCAAAGGACTTTGAGAGAGAAGAACCAAGGTTGGGATCCCCATTCTACCACTTCAGAGTCCAGTGGCCCTTGAGCAATTAAAAAAAATCTCCCAAGATCATTTTTTTCTCATCTGTGTAGTAGTAAAAACAATACCAACCTCCATCTTGGTAGAGAAGGAAGATAAGAGTTTCTCTCACAGGTGCTGAACAATCACTATTCTTCCCTCTTCTTTTTCCATAAAATATATTACTTGCTTGCATAGTCTTTCTCCTAAAAATTGTCATTTTCTCTGAAAAGTCCTCCTACCGTGTGACCTTAAGAAAGTGATTTGTGTCCTCCGAGCATCAGTCACTCTTTATGTAAAGTGAGGGACTAAAGGAGATTGCCAGGGGACCTTACTTCGATTAGTGTCATTCAGTGAGTTTGGGGGATTTCATCTACTTCTTGACTCCACTCTTCCTTGACTGTCCATTTCCTCCCTCCATCCCATGAATCCTATAGGGTTTCAGTGTGACTTACATAATGGGTGTTCTATATCAGACATCCTGGACTTGCTGATGAGATTTAAGCCTAGAAATAAGTTGATAGAATTTGATGAGACCTACTCATGGAGCAGGCAGTGTTTTTCCTCTTGTTAGCTAACTTTCTTTTCCATTCCAAAACATTGTGATTTGCAAGTCTTTAAGAATTTTATATCTTCTGACAATTTAGCACAACCTGCTCGTATAAAATGGTGTTATACAATCCAGTAGCAGTTGTTTTCTTTTTTTAAAAAATTTTAGGACTTTTTTTTTTTTTTGAGATGGAGTCTCACTCTGTCACCAGGCTGGAGGGCAGTGGTGCAATCTCGGCTTCCTGCAAACTTCGCCTCCTGGGTTCAAGTGATTCTCCTGCCTCAGCCTCCCGAGTAGCTGGGACTGCAGGTGCGCACCACCACACCCAGCTATTTTTTGTGTTTTTAGTAGAGATGGGGTTTCACTATGTTGGCCAGGATGGTCTCCATCTCTTGACCTTGTGATCCACCTGCCTCGGACTGCCAAAGTGCTGGGATTACAGGCGTGAGCCACCACGCCTTAAAAATAAGCTTAAAATAAGCTAATAAAGTGTGAAATTCTTGACCATGCTGATACAGTTTCTAGCGACCTCTGTCACACACATCCCTATTAGTCTCAGCACTTGAGTATTCTGTTATGGAGCTCAAGAAGTGGTCACAAATACATACAACAGGTAATAAGGTAAGATGATAATATGTTTCATTCTTTTACTCTCTAGAACAAACATTATAATTACTAATTTACCTCTCACCTAAAGAAAAATCCCAGGAATTCCAGCGTGCTTTAATGTAGTGGAAAGTGAACTCAAATAAGAAGACCTGGGTATAAATACTGTCTCCCAGTTTCTAGCTGTATAGCCTTGGTGAGTTAATTTGAGTTAATTTTCTGAGCTTTAACATCTTCATGTATAAAGTAGGAATAATAACCCTGGTATCCCAGGATGTTGCATGGATTAAAAGAGTTGATATATGTAAAATAACACTGTAAAGTCTAAAACACAAAAATTAGCATTATTATAAAATAACTTCTTTCTTGTTCCTAACATCGTTACTATTATTGTTTTAATTTTATTTAATTTTTTTATCCAGATGCTGAATTCTTTAATATGCCACTGTTTTATAAAAGAATTTCTTTCTTGTTCCTAACATCATTACTGTTTTAATTTTATTTAATTTTTTATCCAGATGCTGAATTTTTTTTTTCTTTTTTTCTTTTTTTTTTTTTTTTTTGAGACGGATTGTTGCTCTGTCGCCCAGGCTGGAGTGCAGTGGCGCGATCTCGGCTCACTGCAAGCTCCGCCTCCCGGGTTCACGCCATTCTCCTGCCTCAGCCTCCCGAGTAGCTGGGACTACAGGAGCCCGCCACCACACCCGGCTAATTTTTTGTATTTTTTTTTCAGTAGAGACGGGGTTTCACCGTGTTAGCCAGGATGGTCTCGGTCTCCTGACCTGGTTATTCACCCACCTCGGCCTCCTAAAGTGCTGCGATTACAGGCGTGAGCTGCTGCGCCCGGCCTGGATTCTTAAATATGCCCCTGTTGTTAAAAACTTCTATAAAATACAAGGAAATCATAGATGATCAAAGAAAGTCTATAGAGTGATGAAATAACTAAATTAGGTAACCAAAAGTGAAGGCAAAAATAAAAGTATTATTTGTCTTTTTCACCCATGTTTTAAGAAGGTGGTGCCCAAAGTTTTAGAATTAGAAATTCTTTTTCCTCACATTTTCAGATTTGAGAGAGATTACGTATATATGATGAGAAAGAGGGTCTCCCTGTGTCACCCAGCTGGAATACAGCGATGCAGTCATAGCTCCCTGTAACCTTGAAGTCCTGAACTCAAGCGATTCTCCTGCCTCAGCCTTTCAAGTAGCTAGGGCTACAGCTGTGTGCCACCACATCTGGCAAATTTTTAAAAAATTAAAAATACAGTGATAGGGTCTCACTATGGTGCCCAGGCTGGTCTCAAATTTCTGGGCTCCACTGATCCTCCTGCCTCAGCCTCCCAAAGTGCTGGGATTACAAACATGAACCACCATGCCCAACCTGGGAGAGTATCTTGAGTTGATTTTCGGCATGAATTTATTTCTTTGTTATTATATGTAAACATAAGGCTGACATTTAGCTGTCATGCTTGTTAAAATATTACAATATATCCATATTCTGCTGTTCAAAGACCCTCCTACTACCACCACAACCTCTGCCAGGAGTGCCCGCTCCACAGCCCAGCAATAAAGTGGGTCCACTCCTAGAATAAGTGGGGGCCTCTAGAAACTTGCTTGATCACAAGGCATTCATTCTGATTGATGACCCTGCAGAACTAACTGGTAACCGTTTTGAGTACCACTCTTACCAAGTTCTACATTGAGGATTAAGTGGCTCCATTACTACCAGAAGGTAATGTCTTTTCATTAACAGAAATGCTAGATGGAGCAGTTATGAGCAGCACTTTCCCTTCAAATGCCTTGCTGGCATTAACCTTAGAGATTTAATTCAATTCATAAATTGCTTTAAACTATAGCTTTTATATATATATATTCTGAGTAGACCCCCCGGGGTCAGTGATTCCAAAAAAGTGTAAGAATTATCATGTTAGACTCTTTCTAAAATAATACATTATTAGGTTTATAATGTAGAGACACAGGGGGAAATGTGTACAAATGGAAACCACACTAACAAGAAGTACAGTTGTCAGCAGTTTAATAGAAAGAATTTTAACAAGACTTGAATGATTTTTTTAAAGAGTAAAAATGAGTGTGGTCTAGTCTGCAGCAGGACATATGCACATTTCCAACATAAACAAATGGATCTCTATGGCGTTACCTAGACTTACATTTATATTTACTAAAGCCTCTCTACAAAAATGAGAGGATGAAATTTAGTCTTTGATACCCACTTCTGGAGGAAAATAGAGCCTTCCTTGCTGGCTTCTTCCTTGCTATCCAGTTCAGGCAAAGTTATATTGCAACATAGACTGTGTCAGAGGCAATTAAGCTCTTTCTGGAGACACTAATACCAATTTTCCAAGCACTATTTTGGAATGATTTAATTATATTAAGATCAATAACAATAGCTGATTGTATAACTACATTTACTATTTGTCAGGTACTATACTGAGTTCTTTATTTACATTCTTTCATTAAATCATTGGTAACAACCAATGAGATGGATATTATTATGGCCCATATATAGATATGGAAATTGAGGTTTAGAGAAATTAACTTGCGTAAATTTCCAGAGTTCATTAGGTAGCTCATAAGCAGGAATCCAGAGCCTTCATAAGCTCATGAGCAGAAATCCAGTGTAGGGTAATATACTGTCTGCTTCAGTATTTCATTTGTTCCAGGTCTTCAGTTTTAGGAGATGTGATTTACCTGCTTGTTACCCATGCTTGTCTCATCTGGGTTATATCCCCACCCCCCTGAAAAATCACAAGTGCACAAGAAGCAAAGACTCATACCTTTTTATTCAGTTTGTGTATGGTGGCTTTCACATGTACACTTGGTTAATTTTTATGTTTAGTAATCATTATAACAATGATTTTTTTCTTTTATGGACTATTCCCCACTTTCCAGTGTCAAGTTATTTTCTTTTGAAAAATTTTTTCAATACAATATTTTCTCTTCATATATTATTACTGCTACTACTGTATGCTTTCTTCACTAGTTCTTAGATATGTTGCTAGATTTCAACTAAATGTATGTAAACACATTCGACTAAGTATAAGTAATCATGGGGTTTCATCGGTGAAGCTAAACTCTTAGACATAATATTACATTGCTATAAATACAGTTATCCCCTTCCCCACCTCCATTCAAGACAATTGACTATTGGCCCCAGTCTTCCACCTATTGTTGTTGTTTTGCTGGTTGTGGGTGTTGAGGGGCTCGGGGAGTTCATGGATGGCAAGATAAGGCTGAGCAGGAAATGTCACGCAACCCCTCCTCAGTAAGTGGGGAGAAAAAAATTGGGTCCTGGAGTCCCCAGAGTTCTACAGGCCCAACCTCCTTGGGTCAAGCTGGTGAGATACCTACCAGCTTGTTAGGTGTCTAGAAGTTTCAGCCAATCACTGAGCCTAGAATCTCTTATGGACATTAGAGTGGGAGCAGGAAACTTGCCACCAGGTTGTGCCAAACCACAACTAAGTGTTGGATATGATCTCTACTGAGATCCCTGAAACTGCTCCCACCCCTCACTCCTGCTTACAGCTGGAAAGAGGCACAAAGATAATTTATTATATATGGTAGAACATATAAAGATTTATAGTTGAAGAGACCTGGGTTATATCCTGTTGCTTCCAAGGTTTTTGTGGAGTCTAAAATAAGACAGTGGTGAGTGCAAGCAGGCAGGAAGCACAGTGTCCAGCATTTACCAGGCACTCCATAGTATTGTTTGGACCCGACCTAGAAAGAATTGACTTGGCATGCAGTTTGTTCCTTAAATATTGAATTCACCTATGCTATTGCCACATTACTTTATTGAAAGCAGGGTAACTTTTTCTCACTTGATGTTGAATGCAGCAGAATAAACCTGTTTCCAGAATGAGAATTTTTTTATCTGAAAATAACTGAACCACATCTTGTCTTTAACCAATTCACTGGCTTCAGCAAGGCACCTAGCTAGGGCCTGGCATACACTATTGAAAAGCAGATGTCATATCCCAGAGATGTCTAGAGATGGGGATGGCATTCTTTATGGAGGGGCAGAGTTTTGTTGGCAGCTTTACAGTAATTCATCAATAGAGGAAAAGCAACATTGCATAAAAGCCCAAGAGAAGCTTGAGACCTGAGGAAATGTCTTAGCCAAGCAGAGAGAGCAGAGAAAGGAAAAAATCTTAGAAGCTGATCACAGGATAGCCTGAGGATCAGACAATACAGGGCAGCCTGGCACAATCCGGAAAGGTAGGAGACAGGAGTATCAGATTTTGTCTACAAACTCTGGTGATAAGGCCAGGGATGAAGGATAAATAAATATAGAAAATGTGGCTGACATTCTGGTATGCAACTAAAAGAGCCAAACCTCTATGTGAAATCGTCTGAAAGTATCTAGGGCAACAGTAGGCAGCACATTGAGAACCTCAAACTCTGAACCCATCGCAGTCTGCTTCAGGGATGCCTCTGACTTGAGATAAGGCCTCAGTGTATCTCTGGACCTCTCTGGGCCTCTGTTTTCCACAGGGATCGCTAATATACTAGATAAAAATTCTTATAATTATGTTATCATGATTAAAAATAAGACTGCAAATAATATTCTTAATTGGTGCAAATTTACAAGGCCGAAGAAGATCGGCATACAACAAAGAAAACGGCTATGGCTTTTCCATACTTGCAAGTATAGAGTTGTGCCCTCAGGAAATGCCCAGAGATTTCAAAGGTTAACAAAGGTATCAAAGAAACAGTAATTACTAAGGTTAATCTGCCAGTAATTATTCATCTCTTTTGCTCCTTCTGAAACAGAGCATAGGCAATATCAGAGGAAATGAAGGTGTGGGATGAAGCCAGTTCCACGTCTCTTAAATGGCTCCTTATTGAATTTAGAAATACCGGAATCATTAAACTCCATGATTCCATGGTAGATCAGCTTGATGTTCCTATGTATTTCTAAAGAAGATTATGAGCTCAGATTTTTTTTAAGTCAGCAGAACCCTATTCTTCACAACAGCTCAGCAGGCTTTGTAAAGCTAGTCAGACTGAATTTTTTTCCAGGATTTAAATTAACAGAGAAAAAGATAAAACGATCATTTCAGAAGCAGCCCTTTAAGGCCTATAAAACAAGCTAAATTGAAAGTCAGAGTTAGGAGATAGAGCCTTTGTGAAATATGTCTGTAGAGATAGAAATCTAGTTACTGATGCCTCTCCTAGACACCTGTCTGAGTGTGGAAGCACCAAGGAAACAGGTCAGATGTCAAGACTGTGACGTTGCTCTTCAATTGTAGGTAGGATGAAGTCAGGGGGTCTGAAAGTCACATTTTTTTTTCTGATCCATTTTAGAAAGATTCACATTTAGTATTCTGAAACTCAAAACTGCTTCAGTCTTTTTCTGCTATTATATGTGACTTAATATCCAAGTCTTGAGTTTTTGAAACTGTTCTTGTCAATTCAGAAGGGCTGAAAAGTACCACTAAAGCAAATCAAAGATAGGTTCACTCTCACTGCCAAAAGTATTTTTTTAGGACCGGTAACAGTATTTTCTCTAGAAAAGGAAGAACATCATATTGTGAAGATGCTTGAAAAGTATAAACTATTTTGTGCAATAATATCATTAAACGATTCGCATCGCTCATCTGATATCCTATGTACCTTCAATGTTTTCCACCCTACACTAGGCCCCATGGAGAATATAAGAGAGCACGAAGCCAGTGATATTCACCGTTGACCTGCAGAGAAAATAAAGGTGTGTGTTATTTGAGGCAGTGTATAATTAGATAGCAAACTGGATATCATTTAGCAATGCATAAAATAAAGATTTGGAAACTGGAGAAATGAATGAGAACTAAGGATCTCTTCATGGAGGAGATGTGATGTGACCTAGCTCTTGAAGAAAGGGGATGGTCTGGAAAGATTGAGGAACAGATAAAATCTCATTTAGGCCAGGCTATATGTGATGAGGGGGAAGGGAAGGAGGAACAAAATGAGCAAATTATAGAGCCAGGAATGAAAAGTGCACAGTGTGCATGTTTGTGTTGAGGCTAGGGATGTGAGGAAGGGAAACAGAGTGGGGTAGGCCTGGGGAGTACCTGCCGAGAGCTCAGGTGTGGTAGGGTCAAATGAAGCTGAGAAGCTAGGCACAGGCATTTGAACTGCCTCATTCATCTTCACCTTGATCCTGGTTCATACCCAGACCTTTATATCTATGTTCATAATGACAGTAAGATAAGGATTTTTTTTTTTCTTTTTTTTACTAGCTGTGGAAGCATTTCCTGCTCCATTTTCTAATCACCAACCACCAGGACTGAAATTCTACTTAGTTTCAAAGCTATTCAAGTCAGTTTAGCTCCTGACCCTTAGGACTGCTCTCACTTCTTACATGGCATTTGAAGTTTTCTTTTCATTTCTCTTTGTGCTGGACCAGATCTCACAGTGCTTAGTAGCTGGAAGGCTTCATCCTTGTCAAACGTCAGCCCATCCTCTTCATAACTTGCTAAACTATGTATTAAGGTAGGAAATAGTAATCCAGTAATAACAATGAGTGAACGTGATAAAGATACAAACTCTAACTTTCAGTTAGAGTTCCCCTCCTTTATAGGCTAACAACTCCCATTTATATTTATAGTATGTGCTTTGGAAGAAGATATGAAATAAAACATAAATTTTTTATGTTAACAGTCTATGGCAGATTAGCTACAATCCTAAAAATAACTTTATAGAGATTCTAAATACACAGCCACAATTATTTTTGAAAGTTTAAAACTATTTTTAAAGCTGCCATAATTTAGTAATTCTGAAATAAAATGCAAAGTGTAATGCAACGGTGAACCAGGTTAACATCTGTACAGCTATATATAGCTGCTTAATATATCAAGAGTTTGGAAAGACTCTACTTTAGTGGGCCTAGAATAATTTTATTTTCCCACAAATCCTGAACAAGTACAAGTGTTGCAGAAATATTGTCAAAGAGTAAAACATTGAGTCTATCAGGACATTTGAGTACCCTGAAGAGAGTAAGGCATTCATTGTTTTAAGCATTTTTATATGTATTTATAATCTTTTAGGTAATTAAAGATAATGATATTTTAGAGATAACTGTGCTCAGCACATTGAGTAATTAAGAATTCACCATGCCATGTAGATTTGGATGCAGGAAAAATTTGAATTACAGTGTATTTAGATAAAAAAGCCATCATGCCATTTGGGTTCTAAAGAATGGAAAAATTTGAAGTCCTCTAAAATATTTTCATTTACATTTTAGAAATCTTCAAAGTCCACAAAGAGTGATGGGAGTTGAATATTTCAATGGAAGGAAAGAGAACACTTGACCTCAATTATAGAGAGCATGACAAAGTCAAGAAATTTTAGAATCTCTAATTGTCCAGAGTTAATATTTTTGACATTTTTGCATGTATTCTTCCTGTATATATATATATATATATATATACACACACACACATATATATACATATATATATACACACACATATATATACATATATATATACACACACATATATATATATTTTAGAGAGGTGAGGTCTCATCATGTTGCTTAGGCTACAGTCTCAAACTCCTGGGCTCAAGACATCCTCCTGCCTCAGCCTCCCAAAGTTCTGGGATTACAGGCATAAGCCACTATGCCCGGCTGTATTAAGATGTGTTGAAATATATTTTAACATGCTTTGAGTCTTATAATTCTCTACATACTTTATTTATTTAGTAATAAATTGTGTTTATTGGCCCACATCATTGAAAGTCTTCTATATAATGTTTAATGATAACAATTATCTATGAAACAATGATTTCATAATTAACCATTCCCTTCTCACTGAGTATATTATGTCCAATTTTTCTCTATTATAAAAATAGAACATTTTAATAGACATTTTATGCATATCTGATTATTTCCTTCATCTCAAATTGCTGTTCAAAATGCATGGACATTTTAAGACTTTTCATATGTATTTCAAATAAATCTACTTCAAATTAAATCCTCACAACATGTATTAGTGTCATTAAAATTCTTTATTGAGGCCGGAAGTGGTGGCTCATGCCTGTAATCCAAGCACTTTGGGAGGCCGAGGCAGGCAGATTGCCTGAGATCAGGAGTTTGAAACCAGCCTGGCCAACATGGTGAAACCCTGTCTCTACTAAAATTATCTGGGCACAGTGGTGCATGCCTGTAATCCCAGCTACTCAGGAGGCTAAGGCAGGAGAATCGCTTGAACCTGGGAGGCGGAGGTTACAGAGAGCTGAGATCGGGCCACTGCACTCCAGCCTGGGTAACAGAATGAGACTCCGTCTCAAAAACAAAACAAAACAAAACAACAACAACAAAAAAATCTCTTTATTGAGAAGGATTTTTTGAAAAGCCCCACATGTGGGACATAGACCAATTTTCCTCTCAGACATAAACTATGTGGAGCTATACCTTAGGATCCCGGTATCTACATATTATGACACATTTCCTTAGCAAGCTGCTCCACAGTTCAGCGGTCACTAGATGTTTCCTAAAAAAATTATTGAGTTGGATTTCAGGGAGAGCTTGAAGCAGTTTTCATCTCTAATCATTTTTTATAAGGGATTTCATAACATTTGCAAAAAAAAAAAATAGAAATGTTGACTCCATGATAAATTCCAGTAGCTTCTTCTAATACCGCACATTGGCTGTCACCTTTATGGCCAGTGAGATAGCACACAGGAACTTGAATCACTGCATAAGATCTTGCATAAAGTGCCTCAGAAAAATAAGTAAGTATATAAGCAAATAAAGAGTAAGCTACAACGTTGTATGTCTTGGATTTCTAAAAAAAGAAAAAGGAAAGAGCAAGCACTGAATTAAAAGTCAAGAGGACCCTAGTCTGCCTCCCTCCCAGATTGTAAGTTATTTGAGGTCAGGGAGCATGGCATCTGTCATCACCATTTCTCTCTACTGCCTATGAGAATGCCCAGGAAACGGCCCTCAGTAAAAGCACGTTACCTCAATGAATGAGTGAATAGATAAAAGAAATAATGAATGAAGGAATACTGAGCTTGAGGCTCTTAGAAGAATAACATGTGGGGCCAGGTGCAGTGGCTCACACCTGTAATCTGAGCATTTGGGGAGGCCGAGATGATCGGACCACCTGAGGTCAGGAGTTCAACACCAGCCTGGGCAACATGGAGAAAACTGTCTCTATTGAAAAATACAAAAACTAGCTGGGTGTGGTGGCACACACCTGTAGTCCCAGCTACTCGGGAGGCTGAGGCAGGAAAATCACTTGAATCCCAGAGGCATTGAACCCCGGAGGCAGTGGTTGCAGTGAGCCAAGATCATGCCACTGCACTCGAACCTGGGTGACAGAGAGAGACTTCGTCTCAATAATAATGATAATAATAACATGTGGTTTACAGCAACATGGAAACAGTGCTTGTGTGTCCTGAGCTTACCTACCCTCCAGGGGATATTTTCATGGAGATACAGGAAGTGCCTACCCCAACAAATACCTCCACTCCTTGTTCAGGAATATATATGCGCAATTCAGTTTTTACTCTCTTAAATGTATCTTGAGAATGAGTTGTCTGCACAATTTCATCTTTTCTTTGTGTGTGTGTATGTATGTGTGTGTGTGTTTTAAGAATTGCTTTTCATAGTGCTGTAATCAAGTCTTGTACCTTGAGAACAGATAGAGATCTTAATTTTCTTTATTGGAAACAGGCTTATTACCAGGGTGCAAGGTAACCTTTTCCCAAATAGGAAAATGTTTCCTCAAAATGAAGACACATCATAGATGGAAATAACATTGAAACCCTGTATTTTAAAGACCATTGTCTATTTCAGAAAAACCTTAATGATGAACATTAGGTACTTGAAAAAGAACTAGTGAAAATCATTAAAAGAAAAGAGAAAAAGAAATTATAAACTTAAAGGAGTGTTGGAATGAAGATTTGGTGATAGACATTTTACAAACCAAGGCAGCGTGGGAGGTCTTCAATTGGTATTTTTAAATGTGAGCAGATGGGCTGAGCATTCTTATAGAAAGTGGATGTGTGTGTCTATGTGGTGAAAATGTAGTTCATGAAGGCTGTTCCTTTGCAGGTGGGAATAATATGAGCTACTCGCTTTGCAATAACAGGAGAACTAAAATCAAATCCGCAAATCATTTTACATATGGTGACCCAGTTCTTATTTTCTCATTAACTGTCCAGGGAGTTGTTTTTTTCTTTTCATTTGATAATTTGAGTGAAAAAGGTAATATTATCAAAAGAAATTTGAATGTCCAGCAAGTAAAGATCAGACACATCATAGCAGAAGAATATCTATTACTTGGCTCTAAAAGTACTGGGTGTCTCTGAGGTTAGGTGGGACAAAAATTAAAGACACACTTCCTACTTACAAATCTAATCTGAGAGGCAAAACTGCCATGAAATTAAGGAATAAGAGCAGTTAATAAATAAGTTTTGAATATATGCATTGTTGTTATTGTTGTTGTTTTATCTTAAAAGACAGTAAAGGGTTAAGAATGCAGACTCTGGAGCCACAAGACTTGGGTTTAAATCCTGGCTTTACTAAATATTTCCTAGCTGCGTGACCTTGGGCAAATCACTCAATCTTCCTTTACTCCAGTAAAAAGAAAGGAACAAGGAGAATAATAGTACCTATCGACAGGGAAGTTTAGGAAGACTAAATTAGTTAATATATGTAAAGTGCTTAGAGCAGTGTCTGGCACATTGTGATTGCTACATAAACAAAGTGTTTTTATTTACTATTACTTACTTGGTATTAATTTGATATTACACAGGTAACTAGAGTTTGAAATTATCTTTCAGACAAATGTACCAAAAATATTTTTTGTTGCCATAGAGAACACGATTATCTTTCATGAAGTGAATGTACAATGTTGCTATTTTAGATACCCTGCCCCCCGCCAACCATAACCCCTTTCACTAGACCTTGCTATCTCCCTGCACCTTTCTTTGGAGCCAAATATTTACCCATAGTTACTGCTTGTCATAAAAAGAGCATTTTCTTTTGTTTTGTTTGAATTGAAGCATCCTTTTAGGGCTTTATCTAACACTTCACATTAGTATTTTAAGACTTCTTGGATAAATACATGTTTATTCAACCTATAAACTACAACTCAATTCAGGCACCTGCTATTTGCCAATACTATGCATATCATTGTGAGATTAGAAAGATGAGTAAAACAGTTATTATTCAGGAGAGTAAAGTACAGTGGTATTCAGATATTCAAATATATAATGACAAATTATTTTATGAACCTCAATCATATCACTTTAGTCTTAAGGGATCTCTATTTAAGATTCCTAAATTTTAGTGAATTCCTCTATGCCATATGGCAGAGTTTCCTCTTCCTTTGTTCTCTGTCCCAGCTTTTTTCTAAGTCTGTTCTGGTTTCATCTCTCCAACACTGCCAAAATGCACATAGCATTCCAGGTAAAGTTGGCAGGATCATGTTTCCACTTTGTTACATATACCCTTTGTGAGTGTTTTGCTGCTGGAACCGAGTACATACAAAGGGCCAAATATTTAGAAGATAAGCACAATGACTCTCAGAACCATTTGTTCATTTAAAAAAAGATTCTATTTCTTGCACTAAGGACAATATGCTCACAGTTCAAAAGTAGAAAAGTATAGAAAAGAATAAACAAACACAAAATCGTTTATTGTCTCACCACCAGAAAGAGCATGGCTACCATTAGTATTATTTATTTATTTATTTTTTATTACACTTTAAGTTCTGGGATACATGTGCAGAATGTGCAGGTTTGTTACATAGGTATACACGTGCCATTGTGGTTTGCTGCACCCATTAACCCATCATCTACATTAGGTATTTCTCCTAATGCTATCCCTCCCCTAGTCCCCCACCCGCCGACAGGCCCTGGTGTGTGATGTTCCCTCCCTGTGTCCCGGTGTTCTCATTGTTCAATTCCCACTTATGAGTGAGACATACAGTGTTTGGTACTCTGTTCTTGTGTTAGTTTGCCAAGAATGATGGTTACCAGCTTCATCCCCTGTCCCTGCAAAGAACATGAACTCGTCCTTTTTTATGGCTGCATAGTATTCCATGGTGTCTATGTGTCACATTTTCTTTGTCCAGTCTATCACTGATGGGCATTTGGGTTGGTTCCAAGTCTTTGCTATTGTGAATAGTGCCGCAATAAACATGATGATTTATTTTTCTGCCCTCCCCTGCCACCTAGCAGATTTGGGACTAAACTGTTGTTCTTTCTCTGCCTTTCAAACTTAATATTAAAATATGAGCATTTTTTTTCCATACCATCAAGTATTCTTAAATAATGTATCTGATGGATTTAATTATCATTTATTTAATCATTCTCTTAGTATAAGGAGAGGCCATAGCATGCAGGTAAGACATTGACCTGATTTCCCCTCAGTACCTTTCTAAGACATTACTCTTTACTTTAAGTCACACAATACTTCCTTTTCTTACCTCCTTTTCCAATCAAACTTTCTTCTTAAACATTTCAGTGTTATGGAAAATGTGCAAGATTTAGAGTCAGTTGTTCTAAAACTAGCTTGCGTGGTATTTGGCAAGTTACTTTATCTGACTTACCTTCAGCTCTCTCATCTGTGTGATTGGGTAACATTCCCTGCCTTTGTTACAACATGGTTGCTGTGCGGATGAAATCATATGGTGAATATGAAATTGTTTTACATATTATAAAGTGAGAGATGGTTCTTTCCCTGTGCTGTACTTTTCTAACCCAAAGGCAACATTCATTATTTTTCTTCGTTTGTAAGCAGAAAAAAAAGGGCTGCATAAATGTGCTGGAAAAGACATCATTCAATTGCCTGACCTCCCAAAGGATTTGTTAATGTTTAACCCCAACTCACCCTTTCCCCTCAGTGACCTGATTTATCTGATGATTTAAAACAAAGGTTATTTGGATGGTGAAATTACAATTCTAAAATTTTCATTGCAAGTAAAAAATCTATTGGTGAAAGAAAACCTTAGTTATTTTTTTCAAGTACCTTTTTCATATTTATCATAGAATATAACCTTATAGTAGTAACAATATCAACATAATAATTACAATGTATTAACTATTCATAAAGTGGCAGCTAGGTGCTACATATATCAGTTTAAAGCTTCTCAACACCCTACAGATTATTTGTTGGGGTGAAAAGTTTATCAATAGGCCAGAGTCATTTAGAGAAGAGATCCAGAATAGATCTTTAAAAAAAAATCAGTCTGAATTAGAAAGAAACTAGGCTTAAGAGGGACCAAAACCTAAATGCAAAAAAAAAGCATTAGCAAACCCTACTGGCTAAGTGGTACCAAAAGAAGGAAAAGGAAAAACAAAGAAAGGACTTCAATATGGAAGCCCTAGTGGGAGGCAGAGAACAGGAGACTTTCCTCCTCCTCCTCCTCTTCCTCCTCTTTCTTCTCCTCCTCCTCCTCTTCCTCCTCCATGTTGCTGTGTTAGCCCTTCTTCCACTGCACTGTGGCTATTAGCGAAGTTAATGTCCTTTATTCCAAACTGAAGTACATTAGGACAGGGCCAATGCCAATGCTTTGATCACCATTTTTACTTGATTTTTTATAGCTCTATTGAGGTTTAATTGACAGATTACAACAAACTGTGCACAATTAAAATGTACAATTTGACAAATTTTGACATGAAACTATTACCATGATAAAATTAATGAATATAACAATTGCATCCCCAGAGTTTCATTGTACGTGTTTGAACTCTTTCTCTCTTTGCCTCCTCTCCATCCTTAGGCAATCACTACTTGTTTTCCATCATAATTGATTAGTTTGTCTCTTCTAGGCTTACTTCACTCCATGTAATTATTTGAGATTTTAAAGCATGTTATATATAATAATAGTTCACCTCTTGTTATTGCTTAGTTGTATTCCATTGTATGGATATACCATAGTCTGTTTATCCATTTATCTGTTCATGGATGTGTACATTATCCATTATTGCATAAAAGATTATCCCAAAACTCAGTGGCTTAAAATAACTATTCATTATCTCACAGTTTCTGTGGGCCAGACATTTGGGAGCGGCTTAGCTGGGTGGCTCTGGTTCAGGGTCTCTCATGAGATTGCTGTTAAGCAGGTGACCACTTCTGCATGTGCAGTTACCTGAAAGTTTGACTGGGCTGGAGGAGTCACTTCCAAAGATGCATTTTTATCTACTGTCTCAATTATTGTACCTAGTACACAGTAGTATTCAACAAATATGTGTTGCTAGAGTAGGTTAAGCTTTGATTATGGAGGTTCTTAAATTTTAGGCTAAGCATTTGAACATTTGCCCTCATCCCCCCTAAGCAATGGAGAATCATTGCAGGGGTTTGAATGGGGAATGCTATGATAACCTATGTTTTGGAAGTCTGGTTTCATTGACAGGAGGTGGCCCATTTTTGAGTAGGACGACATGAACTATCCAATTGTGCAGTGCTACTTAGAGATTCAGAGGTTTATTTTCTTGATTTGATCTTTAAGCAAAAGTTTATATGGTAAAGGGTCAGAAGCATAGCCCCTCCTGCAGAGCAGACATAGTGGATTTTCATGAAGCTCCAACTACACTTTTTAAAAATTCTTGCATCTTAAAGACATGCTAAGAATTGAGGCTTCATTATATAGCAGGCTTTACAGATCTGCTAATAATTGCTGTATGGTACAGATAGGACATTTTTCTCCTCTGAGGCTTTGTTTCTCCATATCCAAAATAAACAATATTGACTAGCTAACTTCTGCACTCCTTTTAAGTTTTAGGATATGTACTATGAGAAGTAGATTATTAATTGCAGAAAAGTCAGTAAAATACAAGAGTCCTGTATGTGATCCCTTCCCAAAGCAGCATCTAGCTTTATAGCTCAACGATAATGTTTAATCTGGACAGGAAAGACACTATACTTCACTCCCATGATCCTCTGTTAGGGAATGGCTGGGCAGAGGCCCTTGCTTCAAGGGCACCTTAGGGTAAAAGAGGCTGGGAAAGGAGAAAACTGGGTTAAACCTATTATTGAACTTTTGTTCCTAACTTAAATGAAGACTAAATGACACTTGCTGAACATGTAAGAGGAAGGGCATGGATAAGATGGCAATTAAATGTTGCTGACACACCAGCAGTGTTGACATTTTAAAACTCAGACCGCTTTTGAAATGTCTTCTTGCTCTGTTTGTTTCTTATACCCAAATTTGGTTGGGTTTTATTTTTTCTAATAAGTATCGTAAAATAGGTATTATGTTAGTCAGGGGTCTCTGGAGAATTGGAACCAATAGGAGATTTTTATTTATTTATTTATTTATTATAAGAAATTGGCTCATGTGATTATTGAGGCTGGTCCACTGTCTGCAGAGCCAGTGTCCCAGTTTAAGTCCGAAGGCTAGTAGGCTGCTGTAGAACCAGGAAGAGTTGATGCTCCAGTTCAAAGGCCTTCAGGTAGGAATTTCTGTCTTAATCAGGGGAGAGTTAACTTTTTGTTCTACTCAGGCCTTCAACTGATTGGATGAGGCCCACCCACCATTACAGAGGTCAATTTGCTTTACTCACTCTACTGATTTAAATGTTAATCTCATCCAAAAACAACGTTGCAGGAATACTTAGAATAATATTTGAACATATATCTGGACACTCTTTGGCTGGTCAAGTTGACACATAAAATTGACCATCACAGGTATATTGACTATCCTTTTTTTTTTTTAAGCTCCACAAGGCACCAACCATCCCCTTTCCAAGATTATTTTTAAGGCCAGTTCAGAAGTAGGTTCCATAAGCACTGAGAACCCCTATCCTACAGGAAGAGAACAACTTTCCAAAATAACCTTTCCTAGTTCTGACCACTGAATATAGAATGAGACTCTTTAGTATAAAGTTTTGCTCATTACTTCTGTCCTTTGCTTTCCCAAGTATAAAAGAAAATACCTTTTCCGAATGCCATTTCTTCATTCCTAGAGTCATGTCATCACCCTTCTTCCCTCATTTTCTCTCTCCCTTTTTCTAACATTTACTAAATATTTATTTTATATAAAGTAATTCTAACGGTTGGAAAAACTATGAGGATGACCATGAAATGGCTCCTATTTCTCATTGTAGGCTTTTAAAATGTTCTATACATTGCCATTGTGATGACAGTGAGTCCCCTGCATTTTAAATTGTACATAAAAACAGAATTCTTGGTGTAAATTGTGAATGGGTCACTGTGTGCTTTATAGCTCTGATTAAAATAGTTTAGTATGTAATTTCTAAAAATAGTCTAAGGGGTAAACTTTTAGCATTGTTACTGTGTATTTGGCCCCAGTGAGTGGTATTTGTCTGTGCATAAAACTGTGCATATTTAAGTCCTTGGGTTCAAATTAAAGGGCTAAAATACTATACATGCCACCTTTGCATTCCTTTGAGTTTTGTTTGTTTTGTTCTGTTTGTGTCACTACAAAACTTATGTTGCCCTTATATAGCACATTTTTCCTTATTGTGTCCTTTTGATTAATTTTAATGACCATTTGTTCTCTTTTAAATCACCTGCCTGCTCATCAGTATCATTAAAGGACAAAAGGTAAATGGAGCTTGACGCTGTGCATGATCATGTGAATTTTCCCCTTGCTACAAGAGTTCTTCAAATGGGCCCAAGGAAGATCAACTGGGCGCTCAAGGAATAAATCATTAAATGCTAAATAATCATTTGGAGGAGGCTGTCAGTTTTATGTTCCTGGAGGATGGAAGAAGTGAAAGAGCTCATTTTCTTCAATTAAGTCTCTTTCGAGAAGAAATAAAAAACAAAGAGGAAGGAAAACAGAAGTTGTGTTTATTAAAAGCTTCCATCCAGGATCTGGATTACTATGAGAAGGTTCGTGATGGGTCCTAGTTTCCTAAGCCTCAATATTCTGATTTATTCATTGTTCACTAAATTGTCCATTGTATACTAGGCACTGTGGATAAGTCAGAGATGTATGAGGATTGCTAACACTCGTATATTACAACTAAAATTAAAAAAAAAAAAAAAACAGCAATAGTGCTAAGGACCACTATATGGACCCTCAGAAAGTTCCCAGGAGGGGCAAAGACTCCTAAGCTCTGGGAAGACCTCTAGGAGGCATGGGCATTGTGAGATCGAGATAGATTGAACACCCAGATTGCTGCTGGGGCTGCTGCTGAGGAAGTTGGTGATGTGGCTTTGAGTGGGGAAGAAGCAGCTGCTCGGAAGTTGCTCGCGTTGCTGCTTTGGCGTTTGAGGAGCAAGTGCAGGATCTTGCAAAAGCTAAATTGCTGCCCTGCCCTGGGGGAGCAACCTTGACACAGGACAGATTCAAAAGCACAGTCTGACAGATTTATTTTAAGAAGGCCCGAGAACCCTATCAAGATGTTATCTTCTAATAAGTTGGATACTGAAAGCTTTTGCTTTCTCGGATGGAAAGTCTGGACCCGGGCAGTGGGTCCCGTCCGCCCCGTGGCACCTTCTGCCTGTTGATGCCGCGCTGCTCGCGCGCTCCGTCGCTCTGGCAGCGATCCCGGTACTGCATGAGTCAGTTTTGCGCTGAACCTCGGCATAATGGAGGAAGGTGCTATTTTAGGATAACAGGCATATGATCAGGGTTTTTTTGTTTTGGTTTGGTTTTTTTGTTTGTTTGTTTTTTAGGGGGCAGATTTCACAGACCGCGATGTTTGCAGAAAGAGCGATCCTCCAGAATTCCTCCCTTTCTGCTACAGCACAGAAAACGATTTCACGAAGTCATTGTTGCCTTTCCAGGAGAAAAGGTTTCACATTTGACATTGACAGTCCATTAACTGTGTTAACAGCAGTAATTGCTTTAGAGCAGTTTAATGGAAGATGTTTATGTGTGGCTAATAAGGTTTGTTTTTTCCCCCCAACACCAATGTAGAAATGAAAGCAGAGAGGAATTGGAAAGGTGTGGAGAAGCTCTGAAGAATCAGAAGGTTAATGGAATCACGGAACCCTAAATGAATAGAACTCCCCGTCTGTTTCCCCTCCCTTTTCCATTACTACGTCATTTACTTTCCTAGCCTTGCTAGGACGGATGCCAGAAAGTGAGCTTCCAGCTTAGAATAGTTATTAAAAAGGGATGTGCTAAGGTTATAATCTTATTTTTTATTTAGTTTTATTTTTTCTTATACATATTATTACTGTTACAGTGAACTTTTTTTGGTAATAAGCCAAAATCAATAAAAATATTTTATGAAAAGATAAAACAATGTATGGATGTGTGTGTGTGTGTTGATTTCCAGGATTGTGAAGTTTGGGGATCTGCATACTACTAGATGTGCTGTAGACAATATGGTGCTATGAATACAGCAGATGTTATTCTTATGTCCACATGATGTACACTCTGGTATGTTTTCTGTTTCATAAATCCAGCTAACCAAATTTGGGGAAACTTCCAGACTCAGTCCTTAATTAGGCTGAGAGATCAAAGGTGACTATGATGAAATCCCCACCTCCAGACACATCATAAACCTTTATCTTTTATAGTGTTTGTGCCAGCCTGTCTCTTTTTTTCTCTTTGGCAATATCATTAATCACATATTTGGACTACCAGATTTGCATGTTTTTCCCCAAGTATTTATCTGTAACTAAAATCTTTTTTTGATAAGTTTAACATACATATGCCTAAATGTCTGCTGGAGCTCTCTACTTGGATTTCCATAGGCAACTCAAATTCAGTATGTTCAAATCCAAACCACCTATGGCCCTCCCCCCCATGGAAAACAAAAGCAAACAAACACAGCTAGCCTGATGCTTGTATTACATCCCTGTCTTGGTATATGGCACCTCTGTCTTCCTCCTTGCTCAAGCCTGGACCTTGCTAATCATATTCTGTCCTCTTTTCTTTTTTCTTCATCCTAACTATTCACTCATTTATTAAAACCTATAGATTCTGGTTCTTACTTGCCTTTGGAACTTCTGCCTCCTTGCAGTCATCACTGGCACTTTTACGGCACTGGCTCAGTGTAGGGCCTTATCTTTTCTCTTCCAAAAATTGTCATAGCAGCGCTAGTATCCTCACATCCTTAGTCCTGTTCTTCCCCAATCATTGTTTTATACACATATTTCTAAAGCATAAATATGAGTCGTGTTTTCCCTATTGCAACCTTCCAGTAATTCCCTGTTATCATTAGGATAAAGTCCAAACTTATTTGTATGGCACATGCGTTTCTCAATAAAGAAAGTGTAAGATCTGGAATCAGACAGATCTGAGTTCAAATCCTCATTCTGCAACTTACCAGTTGTGTGACTATGACTAACTTCTCTATATCTCAATTTCCTCTTCCGTAAAATGAGAATAATTTGGTGGCTACCTGCGATAAATCTTACTTCAGTTCCCCAATACCTGCTTCTCCTCTAATTTTGGACATTATCTTTCCCTGGCCTTTGAAGTTAGGTGTGTACAAATGACTTGCTTGGCAAAAGAAATGTAAGCACAATAGCTATATGTCACTTCTGTGTATAAATATTTAATTACTGGTACTGAATTCTCCAGACGTTCCTTTGCTGAATGTGAAAACATAGGAATACGAGGGTTCCTTAGAAATTAAGGAGATAGAATGCTGAGGCTACACACAGAAGACAACTGTCCTGAGGAATGACTCAAATCCACAGCAGACTATGTGTGGATGAGAAATAAACATTCATTAGATGAAGCAACTGATATTTGAGGGTTGTTTGTTACCTCAGCACAGCTTAACCTACACTGACATTCTACCACAAAGGCTGTTATGAGAAATTATATAATATACAAAGGCATATGCTATGATGCTTGGCCCCAAAGCAAGTGTTCACATAAGATTATCTTTGCAGACAATATTTTTTTTCTACCTTTCATCGCTGTACTTTATCCAAGGCACTTAACCAGTTGGTTTCACATTTTAGCATCTTTAGACATGGTGATTATTCCGCATGTACTGTTTTCTCCTGTTTTGCTCAGCTAATAACATTTATTCAACTTTGGAGAACCAACGTAAGTGTGCCCTTCATAAGTTGGTCTTTTATGAAGGACACCCTTAAGTTGGTTCTCGAAGGTTGAATAAATGTTATCTCATACCTGAGTCTACCCATAGCCTAGAGTGGTCACGTGGGCTCTATGCTCATGTATGCAAAGGATCTCTCCTTACTGCTTGAACACTACCTCACAGTGATAACGTTATGTATCTGTCTCTCCTACTGGGTTATGGATTTCCTGGCAGAAGGACTCTGTCTTGCCCATCTCTATAGTCTCAGGATTTATTAAATATCCACAATAGGCAGATATTTAATAAAACGTAAAAATTAACAAAAACACTCTCAAAACTAATGAGGGAGATAAGATAGCTGATTCCACTATAATATGACAAGTAATTGGCAGAAAATATGAATGCTTTCATTTCTCTGAAGCCTTACTGTTCATTTCCTCTTAGACCAAGAACGCTTTTGACTGTGACCATTGGCTGGTCTAACTCTCTTATTTTACAGGTGAGGAGACAACCCAAGGAGAGGATACAGCAAAATGGTGTCAGATTTTGGAGCAGAGATCAGATATTATTGCTCTATGGCAACTAAACACACGGAAGGGTAGGAGTCCATAATGTGTACATGCATGAGCTCCCCACTGGCAGGAGGAAGTACAGTCACAAGAGCACTACAGTGGGTTGAATGGTGGCCTTAAAAGATTTCCCCGTGTCTTAAACCCTGGTAACTGTATATGTGATCTTATTTGGAAAAGGGATCTTTGCAGATGTAGTTCTGCAGATGAAATCAATCCAAATTATCTAGGTGGACCCTAAATCCAATGACAAGTGTCCTTATAAGAAACACATGCAAAGGGCGGGGCATGGTGCTCACACCTGTAATCTCAGCACTTTGGGAGGCCCAGGCAGGCAGATCACCTGAGGTCAGGAGTTCAAGACCAGCCTGGCCAACATGGTGAAACCCCATCTCTATTAAATATACAAAAATTAGCCAGGCATGATGGCTGGTGCCTGTAATCCCAGCTACTCGGGAGGCTGAGGCAGGAGAATCACTTGCACCTAGGAGGGGGAAGTTGTAGTGAGCCAAGATCGCGCCACTGCACTCCAGCCTGGACGACAAGAGCAAAACTCTGAAAAAAAGAAAGAAAGAAAGAAAAGAGAGAGAGAGAGAGAAAGAAAGAAAGAGAAAGAAAGAAAGAAAGAAAGAAAGAAAGAAAGAAAGAAAGAAAGAAAGAAAGAAAGAAAGAAAGAGACACATGGAGAAGACCATGTAAAAATGGAGGCAGAGATTGGAGTTATGCACCACAAGCCAAGGAAGGCCTGGCATTAACAGAAGCTAAAAAGTCAAGAGAGGATTCTCACCTAGAGCTTTTGGAAGGAGCACAGCCCTGTGGACACCTTGATTTTGGACTTCAGACCTCCAGAAGAGTTGTTTTAAGCCCCCAAGTCTGTAGTGGGTTTTTAAAGCCGCCCTAGAAAATGAATGCAAGCACCATTTGGAGGATACATGCTTTTCCCCCCAGGCATATTTCTCTCCAGTTAAGCTTTCTATAATAATCTCTAAGAAAATTTTTAGCCTTTGTTACTTAAAAAAATAAAGCCCTTTCCCTTTCCTTATCTTTTCCCTTTTTTTTTCTCCAACTTCGGTGAGGAATAACTTACAGCCCCAACCCCTTAAAAAATTCCCAGTTCTATTAAAAAAGCCTTAGATTTTTTTCCCCACTAAAGTTGAAGGTAGAGTATTCCCATTCATATTATATTTCCCCAGATCATATCCTAAAAGAAACAACGACAAAGTTTTGATCTTTGTCTCACCTTTGAGCCTCTGAGGTGCTTCTAGTACCTGGAGTAAAACTTCCATCTTTATCCTCCACACAAAGCATGATCCTTTTCCTGTTGACTTCTCAGAGTGGTGGTAAGAAGTAGACGAGAGAAAGTATCTGTGGGAGTTTTGTAAAGTGTGAGGTGCTGTGTGGAGATAATGTTACTAGCATTACAGCTGCTGACTAATATGTATGAACTCAATAGAGAATAGACGGAATCTGAGAATTCAGTGCATAGCACCCTCTAGGCCGCCGGCTCTTGCTGCTTGTACCCTATACTTTGCTGCCATCGTGTGGCCTTTCTGGTAGTTGTTAGTGTTGTTGGTTCTTATATTTAATAGTTTTAGCCATAAATTTTATAATTATAAATTTTCAGGGTAAAAAGTAATTTTTATTTTAGAAAAATACTGGTCATACAACTGTGAAATTGTTCAGTGTCTATGTTCTTGTTTGAGGGAAACTAGGAGATGGTTTGGAAATACCATTTGAAATATTATGACGGACAAATCTAGAGATTAAAAGACTGGGATGGGCCAAAGAGACAACAGACAGTGTTGTAGACTTTAGAGAAACAAAAGCATGTGCCCTATCCAGGGGCATCCATAAAATACAGTTATTTGAATTCTAACATTTCCTGCAAATTTTCCCAGGCTCTCCACAGGTAGTCTCCAAGTCTTTTTAGCTTCTTTTCTCCAATATCTCTTTCATTTATTCTATACTCTCCAGCCTTATGGCTATTGTGTATTTGAGGCCTTTGTTTCTTTCTGTCTGGATCATTTTAATACCTGGTCTTCCTATCTCCATGATCTCTTATTTTTCTTTTATCTTGCACATGCTGCTAGAATGATTTTCATGAAGCACTATAGAAAGAGTACAGAGCAGTGATTGAGAGTAAAGTCTGAGGCCAGATTCCTTGAGTCTGAAACTGAGATCCCTCAATTTGGCTCTAACTAGTAGAGCGATTTGGTAACCGGAGGCAAGTTACTTAAATGCTCTTTATTTCAGTTTCCTTACCTATGAAATATGATACTACTAATGCCTGCTTCATATGCAGTCATGCCTCTCTCTTGCTTTTTTGAGACGGAACTTCGTTCTTTTTGCCCAGGCTGGAGTGCAATGGCGCAATCTCGGCTCACCGCAACCTCTGCTTCCCGGATTCAGGTGATTCTCCTGCCTCAGCCTCCCGAGTAGCTGGGTTTACAGGCATGTGCTACCATGCTCGGCTAATTTTGTATTTTCAGTAGAGACAGTGTTTCTCCATGTTGATCAGGCTGGTCTGGAACTCCTGACCTCAGGTGATCTGCCTGCCTCAGCCTCCCAAAGTGCTGGGATTACAGGCGTGAGCCACCATGCCCGGCCCAGTCATGCGTCTCTTAATGACAGGGATATGTTCTGAGAAATTCATTGTTAGGTAGTTCTGTCTTTGTGTGAAAATTGTGGGGCATACTAACACAAACCTAGATCATATAGCCTACTATACAACTAGGCTGTAGTGTATAGCCCACTATACAATAGGCTGTATGCTGTTGCCTGCTATTCAACTAAGCTGTAGGGTATAGCCTATGGCTCCTAGGCTACAAAAACCTATACAGCATGTTACTGGGCTGAATACTACAGACAACTGTATTTGTGTATCTAAACATATGTAAACAAAGAAAAGATACAGTAAAAATATGGTATTATAATCTTATAGGACCACTGTACTATTATGCAGTCCATTGTTGACTGAAACATTGTTACGCCATGTGTAACTTTATTTCTGACACAGATAAAATGAGCGAATTCACATCAGTGCCTATAATTTAGTGTTCAACTAATATTTGCTATTATTAGCACTCTGATAGAATGCAAATTATTTTGAATGCAAGAATTTGATTTGTCTTAGCATCTTCAACTTCACCTATCACTTTTAAGTTGTAGTAATTTGATAAGATTTTTAAACATATAGGTGAAGGATCACTAAGCTTTAAGCCAGTTTATTTCTTGGAACTCTCATTATATTACCAAAATATGCTTAAAGTCATCTCATGATTTGTCTATGCATTAATCAGAGAATTTTCAAACTTGCTAAATTTTTAGTTAATAAACAGTGATTAATATTTATTGAGCATTCACCAAGTGAAAAAGCTCTGTTCAAAATGTTTTATGTAGATAACCTCATTTAATACACACAGTAGTTTTGAGATCAGTAGTAATGTCAGCATTCCTATTTTATGTAGAGGAAACAAAGGTGTGGGAAAGTCCCACAGCCAGTAAATGGAGAGTAGATTAGAACCAATGCAATTTGTCTCAAGAGCTTACATTCTTAAGGGAATTCTGTGCTATAAATACATTCTCCTCTAATCTTTCATTTCAGTCCTGAGATGCTGTTTCTGAATACCAAAACACAGAAACATTTAAAAAATTCCAAACCCAGTGGAATGCAGAATGTCAAGCTCATTGCTGCACTGAAGCTACATCAACTTGCTATAGCCCATTTTGGGAACAGTGCTCCATGTGATCATGAACTGTGATCACTGGTTTCTGTTGCACTTGGATTTCTTTAAGTGTGCAGATGGTGTGGAGACCCCAAAGACCAAGTATTTTAAAGCTTGTACAGTAGGAAAGACAATGATTCAATTCCAAAAGCAATTCATTAGACATATCACATATCACCTGCTGCCTTAAATGCTGGCTTGTGTTGGAAAGTCTTCCTGAGAATACTGTCCCCGAAGCATAAAGTGGACATGAAAAAATGTAATCCCTGAGGTAAGTGGAGCATCTGGAACTTCTAGATGTTCCAATAAGACTACACATGGTCGGCAGGGCGCAGTGGCTCACTCCTGTAATCCCAGCACTTTGGGAAGCTGAGGCAGGCAGATCACCCGAGGTCAGGAGTTCAAGACCAGCCTGCTCAACATGGAGAAACCCCGTCTCTACTAAAAATACACAAATTAGCCGGGCATGGTGGCGGGCGCCTGTAATCCCAGCTACTCAGAAGGCTGAGGCAGGAGAATCACTTGAACCCAAGAGGCGGAGATTGCAGTGAGCTGAGATCGCGCCACTGCACTCCAGCCTGGGCTACAGAGGGAGACTGTGTCTCAAAAACAAACAAACAAACAAAAACAAAAAACAAACAAAAAAAAACAAAAAACTACACATAGTCTAATTTTAAGCCTTGGTGCCTCCTAATATATGGACAGGTTGAACACTGAAAAATGTAGGCATACCAAATGGTAATCATCCATTGATAATAGCACATACCTATGTCTTGCAATACACTTTTCTTAGGCTTGATTTGAATTAATGAATTTAATCCTCATAAGAAGTCTATGATATAGGTATTCTTGTCATCTCTATTTTCTCAGATTGGAGAACTGACAGAGAGGTTAGGATTTCAAATCAGGCAATCTGGATCCAAAGTTCAAGCTTTAACTACTAAGGAATACTACTTATCATTGTGTTTATCTATTGATAATAGCAGAGTTAAATATCATTTTATTAATTATGTAGAATTTCTCTCTTTGTTTCAGGACACTAATGATACATCTTTGCTGACAAAGCACTATGTAATTGTGTTCATACTTTTAAACTTGTCAGCTGCTAATGAAAATGCCATTCTCAAATATTATCCTTCCTCATTGGATTTAGCTTGATTTTTTTCCTCTTTAGGGAGTACAATTGAAACTACTCTGGCTCTCCTCAGTCTCCAGTATTAAATCATTGGCAGCAGCTGGTAACAAACTAGGAGGAGGATGGGATTGTGTGTGCAAGTCTTCATTGTTTGAGCAAGTGGTGAATGTGTGAGTTGTGAGCTTGGGGGCATAAAGAGCCTGGTGAACCATCTGCACCCAGAACCATTAAATCTTGGGATATGAGAGATATTAAAGATTGGATTGTCTAGCCATTCATCAAATGCTTAAAATTTGTGTCTATTTACCTGTTTTCAGTTTATACAACTTTTTAATAATATTCCATTAATCTTGGATAGATCTAACTTTGTTATTTTGAACTGAAATTGCTTTACTTTTAACTTCAACGGTAGGTCCCAGTTCTAAAGCTCTCAAAATCACATAAAAAAGTCTAATCTTCTTTCATGGCATATAAAAGCCACTTATACGTCCAGTATGAGTCTTCTCAAGATCCTTGGAGTCTTTCTGTGATAGCACTTTGAGTGTCCTTATTACCCTGGTCATACTCATGTGGCAAACAATGTGTCTAAGAGTATGTAAGCCAAACAGTGTTGGTTTCAGTATGGGAAATCCGTGTGAATGCTTGATAGAGAACGTTCAGGATGAACAATGACAGTGTGAATAAGAGAGATAATTGTTTGCAAGAGAAGCTTAGTGGATGAAACATAGCTTCTCTCATAGCACAGTGAAACATTGCGCCACTGCACTCCAGCCTGGGCAAAAGAGTGAGACTCTGGCTCAAAAAAAAAAAAAAAGTCTCAGAGGTAGGGTTAGTATCACCCAGAATTTATCTTCTGTACCCAAATTTCCATACTAGTTGCCATAATGAAGAGTATACCTATTTACTGATTACAAATATGTTTTATTGAAGATAATATAAATTCACAGCAATTATTTGTCCCATGGCGACAAGATGGCCTATATAATTTTTTTATTTATTAATAAGAGCTGTATCTAGTACAATTCTACTTCATTGTGGGTTTTTTATTTCAATCAAATTTTGAACTTTACTGAAGAAATCCCTTCATGTTTTTCTTATTATTTACTTCATGCATTTATGAAGTAAAAATACATGCATTCTTTGTGTTTCTATTGTCTAATTAAAAATTTAAATGCAATAAAATGCAGAAAGTTTAAATGTGTAATTTATTGAGTTTTGTTAAATTAACCTGTATAACCAACACATTCATCAAGACATACAACATTTCACTTGGGAAAATTTCTTCACATCCCTTCCAGTCAGTCTCTTCCCCACCCACCCACAACCAATTATCTAATTTTTCTCATCATAGACTTGTTTGGCCTAATCTTGAATTGCATATAAATGAATTTTTTCAGTCTATACTATTTTGAAACTTCTTCCTAAACAAAATTTCTGAGATCCATCATGTTGTTGTGTATCACTAGTTAATTATTTAAAATTGCTGAGTATAAGGTCTATTGTCTAAGTATTCCATGGTGTATTTATTTGTTTTTATTTTGGTAGACATTTGAATTATTTTCAGTTTTTTACTAACTTGAATAAAGCTTCTGGAAATATTCATGTACAAGTCATTTTCTTTTTTTTTTCTTTCTTTTTTTCTTTATTATTATTATTATTATTTTGCCATGTTTTAACTTCTCTTGTGTAAAAACCCAGGAGCAGAAGTACGGGGTCATAGTGTAAGCTCTTGTTTAACTTTATAATGAACTGGGAAACAAATTTGCAAACAATCTGATACTATTTTAAGTGACATTTCTAGAAGTATTATTTTCTAATCGTTTGTAACATAGTACACTCCCAATGTATGAGAGTTGCAGTTGGTCTGTATCCTCACAAATAAATAGTATTTTCCAGGCACGGTGGCTCACGCCTGTAATCCCAGCACTTTGGGAGGCCGAGGCGGGCGGATCACAAGGTCAGGAGATCGAGACTATCCTGGCTAACACGGTGAAACCCCATCTCTACTAAAAATATAAAAAATTAGCTGGGCGTGGTGGCGGGTGCCTGTAGTCCCAGCTACTCAGAAGGCTGAGGCAGGAGAATCGCTTGAACCCAGGAGGTGGAGGTTACAGTGGGCTGAGATTGCACCACTGCACTCCAGCCTGGGTGAAAGAGCGAGACTCTGTCTCAAAAAAAAAAAGAAAAGTGAAGTTTCTCACCATCATTTTAATTTTCATTTCGCTGAAGACTAATGATGTTGATAACTTTTCATGTACTTATTGGTCATTTGTATGTCCTCTGTTCTGACGTGCCTGTTCAAATATTTTGCTTATTTTAAAATTTGTGTTGTCTTTTTATTATTGATTTGCAGAATGTGTGTTTGTGTATATAGCTGTGCGTGTGTTTGTGTGTGTGTATATATGGCATATATATATGTTGGTTACTCCCCGCTTCCCCTTTCCCTTATAGATTTTCCTGTTCTGGGCATATCAGATAAATGGAGTCATGTAATATGTGACCTCTTGTGACAGTCTTCTTTCACTTAGCATAATGTTTTCAAGGTTTGCCCATGTAGCATGAGTCAATACTTTATTCCTTTTTGTGGCTAAATATTTTGTTGTATGCATGTACTATATTTTGTTTATTCTTTTTAATACTCTGCTAGGTTTTGTTTGCTAGAATTTTATTACTCTTTCACATCTATGTGTATGAGAATATTAATTTGCCTTTTTTTCAGTAATAGGTTTGTTAGATTTGTGACAGGTTTTATTTCTTCCTCTAATTTAGGAAAGAGTTTGTTAAAATTAGCATTCTTCTTTCTTTAATATTTAATATATAGTTCAGCAGTTAAACCAACCAGGCCTCCAGCTTTCTCTGTGAGAAGGTTTTTAATTTACAAATTAAATTTATTTACCAGGCAGAATTATATTTATTTTCTTCATTTTTCCTTTCAATTTTTAATTCACGCTTTTCAAGAAATTAATCCTTTTACCTAATTTGAATATACTAACACAAGGGCATGTATAATATTTGCCCATAGAATCTACAATGACATGCCATCTTTTATTCCTAGTATTGGTAATTACTGTTTTTTCTTTTTTCATCAACAGTACCTATGTTAGGGTTTAACCATCTTATTACCTTTTTTTACAAAAACACTTTGGCTTTTAAATTTTCCAATATTGTTTGTTTTATATTTTGATTTTTGCTCTTTATTATTTTTTTATTTATTTGAGTGTAATTTTCTCTACTTTTTCTATCTTCTTAAAGTAATCCTTAGATTATTGATTTTAATTTTTTTCAAATATAAGAATTTGAATCTCATATATTTCTAAGACTTAGTTAAACTGGATCATACAAATATAGAGTGATTTGTTTTCGTGAACATACATTTTCAGAAATTATCTAATGTGCCTTGTTGTTTCTTCTTTACCTTGGGTGATTTACAAATGTGCTGTTTCGTTTCAAAATATTGAAGATTTTCTTCATCTTAGTGAATTTTAATTCAATGCCATTGTGGTCAGAGAACATACACTGTAAAATTTCAATATTTTTAAATTTATTGCTACTTATTTTATGGTATATCATGAATGAATCTTGAACATTTTTAGCATTTGAAAGGGATGTGTGTTCTGCAATTGTTGCAGTAGTGTCCTATAAATATCAATTAGGTTAAAATGGTTGAGATAGTGCTGAAATCTTCTACTTACCTACTGATTTTTTTAATTCATTAACGAACTTTAGTTTTTAGAGGAGTTTTAGGTTCCCAGTAAAATTGAGTGGAAAGTACAGAGAGTGTCTCTATATGTCCCTGTCCCCAGACAGACACAACCTCCATTACTATCAACATCTCCCACCTCAGTGGCACTTTTGTTGCAATCTATTGACACATCTTTTTTTTCTTCTTTTTTTAGTTTTATTATTATTATACTTTAAGTTTTAGAGTACATGTGCACAATGTGCAGGTTTGTTACATATGTATACATATGACACATCATTATTAATCAGTGTTCTACATTATGGTTCTTGCTTAGTGTTGTACATTCTATGAGGTTTGAAAAATGTATAATAACATATATACACCATCATAGCATCGCACAGAATTGTTTCATTACCCTAAAAATCCTCTGTGTTCTACCTGTTTACCCCTCCCTATCCCTACCTCTTGATAACCACTCATCTTTTTACTATTCCCATAGTAACATTGAGCATGTTTTCATACACCTATTGACCATTTATATGTCTTCTTTGGAGAAATGTCTACTCAAGTCCTTTGCCAATTCTTAAAACATTTTAAAAAGTGGGTTATCTGTTGGTTTTGCTATTGAGTTGAAGGGGGTCTTTATATATTTTGGAATTAACTCTTCCTCAGATATATGATTTGCCAATATTTTTTCTCATTCTTTAGGTTGGCTTTTACCTGCAGATTGTTTTCTTTGCTGGGCAGAAGCTTTTTAGTTTGATGTAGTCCCATTTGTCTATTTTTGCTTTTGTTGTCTGTATTTTCAGCGTCAAATTAATGAAATCCTTGTGAAAAGCGATATGAAGATGTTCCCTAATGATTTATTATAAGAGTTCTATAGTTTCAGATCTTGCATTTAAGTCTTTAATCGACTTTGAGTTTATTTTTGTTTATGGTGTAATATAATGGTTCAATTTCATTATTTTGATGTGGATATTCCATTTTCCCAACACTATTTGTTAAAGAGACTATTGTTTCTCCATTTTGTAGTCTTGGCACTTATGTCAAAAATCATTTAACCAATATATACATATGGGTTTGTTTCTGAACTCTTTATTCTATTCCATTGATCTATATATCTGTCTTGATGGCAGTACCAGATTGCATTGATTATGTTGCTTTGTAATATGTTGAAGTCAGGAAGTATGAAGCTTCCAGCTTTATTCTTCTCTCTCAAATCATTTTGGCTATACAGTGTTTTGTTGTTGTTGTTGTTGTTTATTTTTTGGTTTCATATGAATTTTAGGATTTTTTTTCCATTTCCACAAAAAATGCCAGTGGGATTTTGATAGCAATTACATTAAATCTTTCGGTCACTTTGGGTGGTCTCGACATTTTAGCAATATTAATTTTTCCAATCTGTGAACATGGGATGTCCTTCCATTAATTTGTGTCTTCTTTAATTTCTTTCAACAAAGTTTTGTAGTTTTTAGTGTACAAATTTTTTACCTCTTCAGTTAAATTTATTCCTAAGTATTTTATTATTTTTGATGCTATTGTAAATGGAATTATTTTCTTAATTTCTTTTTCAAATTATTTGGTATTAGTGTATAGAAACACAAATTATTTTTGTTTGTTGATTTTGTATCTTGCAGCTTTGCTGAATTTATTATCTCTGTTTTTCTGTTTGTTTATTCTGATATGCACTTTAGAATTTTCTCTATATGCAATCATGTTATTTGAGAACAGAGATAATTTTACTTGATCCTTTCTGATTTTGTTGGATTTTATTTATTTTTTCTTACCTAATTACTCTAGCTAAGACTTCAAGTACTATTTCAGTTAAATAGAAGTGGTGAGACTGTGCATTTTTGCCTTCTTACAGATCTCAGAGGAAACATGTTCAATTTTTTACCATTGAATATTATGTTATCTGTTGGTTTTTTATATATAGTCTTCATTATGTTGAGGTAATTTCCTTCTATTCCTAGTTTTTTGAGTGTTTGTTAAATGAAAAAGTGTTGAATTTTGTCAAATACATTTTCTGCATCTATTGAGTTGATGATGTGGTTATTACCCTTCATTTTGTTATTATGGTATATCACCTTGATTGATTTTTGTAAGTTGAACTATCATCACATCTCAGGAATATATGTTACCACCTGGTAATAAATACATGATTCTTTCAGTGTGCTGTTGAATTTGGTTTGCTAGCATTTTGTTGAGAATTTTTACGTATGTATTCATTGGGAATATAGGCCTATAATTTTCTTTCTTTTGGTGTCTTTGTTTGTCTTTGCTATCAAGGTAATGGTGTCCTCATAAAATTAGTTTTGAAGTGTTCCCCTCTCTTCAATTTTCTACAAGAGTTTGAGAAAAAATGATATTAATTCTTCTTTAAGTGTTTTGTAAATAGAATTCATAAATGAAGCCATCTAGTCATGGGCTCATCCTTTTTGGAAGACTTTTTGGTGCTGATTCAATCTCCTTACCTGTAATTGGTATTATTTTATGTCTGTGGCATGAGTTGTAATGTCACCTCTTTCATGTCTTTTTTTTTAGACTTATCTGTTTTTTTCATACTCTGGCTAAAGGTTTGTTGATTATCTTTTCAAAAAAAAATTCTTAATTTTGTTGATTTCTTTCTATTGTTTTTCTACTTGTATTTTATTTATTTCTACTTTAATCTTGATTATTTCCTTTCTTTTGGTGACTTTGGGCTTAATTTGTTCTTCTTTTTCTAGTTATTTCAGGTATACCATTAAGGTTTTTATTTGAGGTTTTTTTTCTTATTGCAGGCATTTACTGACATAAAACTCCCTCTTACGGCTGCTTTTGATGCATCCCATACATTTTGGTATGTTGTGTTTTCATTTTTATTTGTCTAGCAATATTTTTAAGTTTCCCTTTTGGCTTTTTCTTTGACTCATTCGTTGTTTATCATTCAAGGGTGTGTTGTTTAGTTTCCACATATTTGTGAATTTTTAAGTTTTCTTTCTGCTTTTAATTTCTAGTTTCAATCCATTGTGATTGGAAAAGATACTTCGTATAATTTTAATCTTCCAGGAGCTCAAACAACCCTATAGGAAATAATATCCTTAAATTTGTTAAAACTCCTTTTGCGACCCAACACGTGATCTATCCTGGAGAATGTTTTGTGTGCACTTGAGAAGAATGTTTATCTTCTGCTGTAGAATGTTTCTTACATGTCTGTTAGGTCCATTTGATAAATAGAATTGCTCAGCTCCTATTTCCTTATTGGTTTCTTCTCTGTATGTTTGGTCCATTATTGAAAGTGGAGTATTGAAATCTCCTATTATCATTGTACTACTGTCCATTTCTCCCTTCAGTTCTATCAGTGTTTGCTTCCTATATTTGGTTGCCCATATTTTGGGTGCATATATATTTATAATTGTTGTCTCTTCCTGGTAAATTGACATTTTAATCATTATATAATGTCCTTCTTTGTCTCTTATAACAGTTTTTTACTTGAAGTCTATTTTGCCTTAAATAAATATGGTTACCATGATTCTCTTTGCTTATCATTTGCATGGAAAATCTTTTCCATCTCTTCACTTTCAGTCTGTGTGTGTCCTTAAATCTAAAGCAAGATTTGTTTATATCTTATAGTTGGATCTTTAAAACAAAAACAAACATTCAGCCACTCAATGTCTTTTGATTGAAGAGTTTAATCTATCTATATTTGAAGTAATTTCTGATAGGGAAGGACTTATGATTGCCATTTTATTAGTTGTTTTCTGTCTATCCTGTTGCCTTTTGGTCCTCCTTTCTTCTCTTGTTGTCTTCCCTTGTGTTTTGTTGATTTTTTTTTTAATAGCAACATGCTTTGATTTATTGCTCACTTTCTTTGGTGCATCTTTTATAGATACCTTTTATTGTGTTTACCAAAGGGCTTACATTAGACATTTTATAGTTGTAACAATCTCTTTTTAGCTAATAATTTCAATTGTACACAAAAACTGCCCTTTACGTCTCCTCCCCATGGTATCAGTGCCATCAGTTGTAATGTCTCCCCGTGCACACACTATGCTATAGATGTCACAAATTACATCTTTTTTTTTTTTCCCCGAGATGGAGTTTTCCTCTTGTCATCCAGGCTGGAGTGCAATGGCATGATCTCGGCTCGCTGCAATCTCCACCTCCCGGGTTCAAGCAATTCCCCCACCTCAGCCTCCCGATTAGCTGGGATTACAGGCACCTGCCACTACACCTGGCCTTTTTTTTTTTTTTTTTTTTGGTACTTTTTAGTAAAGACAGGGTCTCGCTATGTTGGCCAGGCTGGTCTCCAACTCCTGACCTCAGGTGATCCACCCACCTCAGCCTCCCAAATTGTTGGGGTTACAGGTGTGAGCCACTGTGCCTGGACAATTACATCTTTTTATATTGTGTATTATCATGTTTTTATTGTCATTTTTTGTACTTTTATCTTTCAATTTCTACACCAGAATTAAAAGTGATTTATGCACTACTTTTATAGTACCATACTATTCTCTGATTTTCTATTTACCTTTGCCATCTAGCTTTAAACTGATAGTCTTATTGAGCCTCCCTTGTATGTGAAAGTCACTTTCTCTTTTGCTGCTTTCAAAACTCTCTCATTGTCTGACTTTTGACAATTTGATTACAATGTGGCTTGTTATAGATTTCTTATATACTAGTTTTATACGAGTTGAAGTCTTTTGGTATTCTTGAATATGGATATTCATTTCTTTCCACAGATTTGGGAAGTTTGGGCCCATTACTTCTTCAAATAATCTTTCCTTCCCTTTCTCTTTCTCCTCATCTTCTGAGACCCTCATATTGCATATAATGAACACCTTGATCATGTGCCATAAGTTTCTTAGTCTTTCTTTACTCTTTTTCATTCTTTTATTCTTTTCTCCTACTGGATAATTTCAATGACCTGTCTTTGAGTTTACCAATTCTTTGTTCAGCTAGATCAAATATGCAGTTGAACCCCTCTAGTAAATTTTTCAATTTAGTTATTGTATTCTTTCATTCCAAACTTTCTGGGTGTTTAAAAATATTTTATTTTTGTTGATATTCTCATTTTATTCATGAATTCTTTTTTTTTTCCTTAGCTCATTGAGCATCTTTATAGTAGCAATTTAAAATCTATTTCATGTAATCTCCATACCTTTGTTTCTTTGGGTTCAGTTTCTGGAGATTTATTTTGTTCCTTTTATTGAACCATGTTTCTCTGTTTATTATGTGCCTTATAACTTTGTGTTGGGATCTCTTCATTTGAAAAAATAGCCATATATATCAGTTTTTATGAACTGGCTTTGTATAGGAAAAGATCTTTACCAATCAGCCCAGCTAGATATTCTAGAGAGCTTCTCAAACTTTTCCTATGGATGCCTCTTCTCTGGACTTGTGCATATAAATTCATTAGAGAGATTTGCCAGTTTCTTTTTTTAAGAATTCATCATCTCTTTCTCCCTCTAATGTGTCTGTTTGTGTTCTTTGGAGCTGCCACAAGGTGCCTAGCTCTCTTTTGCTCTCAGTGGCTTCTAGTAAATGTTGGGACACATCAGTGCACTAAGTCCGAAGACACAGAAACAATTCCCCCCAGAGAGCTCCCTGAAAAGCCAGACCACTAGAGGCATACTCTACTCTTCTCTTCTGGCATGACCCCACAAAGGAGAGACCACCAAATGGCATAGGCCTCTGTCTGTTGTATGTTATCAGTAGCAGCAGCAATCTGCCCAGCTCTATTTTGTCCTCTGTGCCTTGCAAGTACATAGAGTATTCGAGGTCCCTCCCATCCATCCTCCAAGACAGGCAAGACAGAATCTAGTCCTTCGGGCAGTCCCTTGAAAGTTCAGAATTTTGGACACACACTTTAACTCTTTCCCTCCACAGGGATAAGCCAGGAGTTGAGGCTTCTTTTTCTCCCTACTCATTCTGCACTGAGCCAGAGGGGAAGGGTATAGAATTTTGGTGAGCGAGTGTTTGTTAGTCTAAACCATTACTTTTGTTTTCAGTGGTCCCCAACCTGGCCCTTTTGTTTTTCTGTGCTTAGAGTCAGGCAGGAGATAAACCAGTTCCTTGGGCAGCACCGCAAAAGTCTGAGTTTTGGATGTGTTTTAGTCTTTTCGTTTCCTCCCCAGAGAGAAGCCAGGAAATGGGAGTTTTCTCCGGATTGTACAACTCTGAGCCGGGGGTTGGGGGGACTATGGTGTATGAGTGACACGAATTTTCTTACTGGTTTCAATGCATTTGGCTTCATATTTGCCTGAGGTTCAGGAACCTCATAACTGGTTTATGGGTTTCTAACAAGGGACATTTGTCACTGAATTGCTGTTAAATGGTGTCCTATGAGGGGAAAGAGGTTCTGGGCTTCTTATTTTGCCATCTTGCTCTTCTATTGGCTTTTTAAGCTGTGCTGCTTTATTTATTTTTAGCAGTTGTATGGGGATTAAAATATGTATTCTTAATTTATTATTACTTACTTAGAGTTACCATTGTAGTATTTCATATAAAATGTAAGAACTGTATTATAATTATATTTATACCCTTTTCCATCTTTGTGGTATTGCTGTTATATATTTTTCTTCTACATATGTTATAAACCCTACAATATAATTTCTTTTTTTTACTTTGACTAGTAAGCTGCATTTTAATGACATTTGTAAAAGAAAAAATAGTTTCTTTATATAGATTCATATATTCAGCACTTCTAATTTTCTTCTTTCCTTCTTGCATATCTGTGCTTCAATCTGGTATCCTACTTCAGTTTGAAGAACCATTAATAACAAATTATTATAGCGTATTTTTACTGGTGACAAATTTTCTCAGTACGCATTTATTAAAAATGTTTATTTTATCCTCATTTTTGAAGTATTTCCACTGACCGTGGAATACTGGCTTGACTTTAAAAAACTTTCAGTACTTTACAGCTGTTGTTTCAAGATCTTCTGGCATGTATTTTTTTCTTTTTTTTTGGTTTATGTTTTGTTTTGTTTTTGTTTTTGAGACAGAGTCTCACCCTGTCACCCAGGCTGGGGTGCAGTGGCATGATCTCGGCTCACTGCAACTTTTGCTACCCAGGTTCAAGCGATTTTCATGCCTCAGCCTCCGGAGTAGCTGGTGTTACAGGTGCACACTACTATATCTGCTTAATTTTTGTATTTTTAGTAGCGATGGGATTTCACCATGTTGGCCAGGCTGGTCTGGAACCCCCAGCCTCAGGTGACCTGCCAGCCTCGGCCTCCCAAAATGCTGGGATTATAGGCATGAGCCACCATGCCTGGCTGGCCTGTATTTACTTTTCTGATGAAGAGTCCATCATCTTTCATCTTTTTTCCCTTCATATGAGGGTTTTTTTTGATACATTTTAAGATTTTCTTTTTACCATTATCTTTCAGCACTTTGATTATAATATACTCAGTCAAGGTTTTCTATTTACATGGTTTAGGGTTTACTAAATGTCTTGAATCTGGAGGGTAATTTTTAAAACAAATTTTGAATTTTGAATTTTGTTTTTTGCTTCTTTTTCTCTCCCTACCTTTTCTTCTCTCCTACTTTTTCTCCTCCTCCGTCTCCTTTTCTTCTTCCTCTGGATTTTCACAAATAGTTGAATTTTCTGAGGTACCAGGGCTCTGCTTGTTCTTCTCAATCATTTTCTTTTCATTGTCTTCAGATTGGTTAATTTATATTCACATGTTTTCAAATTCATTGACCCTTTATTGTAGTGTCTAATCTGCTGTTCAGCCCATCTAGTGAATTTATTCAGGGAAAGTATTTTTTATTATAGAATTCTCATTAGTCCTATGTTATAGTTTTCTTTTCTCTCCTGAGATTTCCCAACTCAGCATTGTGAATATATTATTTCTACATTTTTCTTTAAGTTTATATCTATATCTCTACATATATATCTCTATATAAATAATAACATATCCACCTATATATCTATATTTATCCACTTTTAAGGTCTTTATCTCCTTATTCCAACATCTCTATCATGTTGGGATTTGTTTATATCAACTTTTTACTTTTGACTATGGGTCACATTTTTCCTACATCTTTGCATGTCTAGTAATATTTGACTGTATGCTTGACATTATGAATGGTATGTTGTGGGATGGTATGTATTGAGTATTTTTTTTTTCTTTGAGGAGTGTTTAGTTTTATTCTGGCAAGTGGTTAACTACTGGTGGCTTGTTTTGATTTTGTTAGAATGGATTTATACTTTATTTCAATTTTATCCTTAGTTCTATGGCATGGCCATTATTTTAGGTCACGGTCTTTCCTCCTAGGCATGGTCATTCCAGCATCTCGACCGAATGCTTTTGTTGCTCAGTGAAGCTTTCTCACTCTGGCTGCGTTAGGACTTTAACATCTATGAGCACTGTTTAATGTCTCCATTCAGATGAGCACTGAAGGATTTGTCACTGCTATAGTTGTTCTCTTAAGAGTGTCACAGAATACTCTCCTGAACAAAAGTAGCCCATCTTTTGGCCAAGGGCCTGAGGGCAACCTCTGTGAAGATTTCTTGCTTCCCCTAGTCTGCGAAGCTTTCTCTCCTCAGTACTTGGCCACACAAATTCTAGCTACCTTACCAGCCCGAAACTCTGATCTGTGCCTTCTCCTCTCAGTAAAATTGTCATTCTCTATTTGGCCTCTGTCTCCCATGCTGCCCCTGGAAAGTGACCCCGGGTAGAAAGCTGGAGTTAATACGGGGTTAACTTACATTTTCCCTTTCTCTAAAATATGACAGTCCTGCACCATTTGTTATCAAGTGCTTGAAAATAATGTGTTAATAGTTTTTGACCCAGTTTTATAATTGTTTATGGCAGAAGGATAAGTCCAATACTAGTTGGACTTTGTCATGGCTAGAAGCAGAAGTGTTGTTTTTATTTAATATTGCATACACAATCTATTCCTAGGGTTCCTGACCTAAGTGACTCTCTAAACCTGACAGTTACATGCGTTCCAGGGAGAGGAAGCTAAAATAAATGGGGATAATTTTGCTTTTTGTAAAGAGAGAGAAAAAGGTATTCGTATCTTTAAATATTTGAGTATTTTAAAGTATTTTTAAAATTTCATTTTAAGTCTTCTACAAAACCTTCATTGAATTATATTCTTTTTCTTAAATTAGCTCTGAACTCTTTGGTTATGTATCAGAAATTTTCCCCTGTGTACCTCCAATCTACCTTTTTCTGCTTACCTCCTACTTTATCTCACCTGATGCTCTAGTTGTGTTATACTATTTGTTCTTTTAAAACTATACCCTACCTATGTAATTTTCTCTTTGTCTGAAACGGCCCTCTTCCTTTTTTTAAGGCTTAGCAAACTTGACATACTACATTCTTTGTTACTTATTTCTGCATTACTCATGGTTCTTCAGAGAACCATGGTTCATGGAACTCATGGTTCTTCAATAGGTGTTGTATATCATAATATTATATCTGTGTAATATATAATGTAACATATGCAATATATAATATGTTATATATGTAATATATGTAATTACATTATATATTATGTATACACACATATAATCTATTATATATGTATGCACATATATAGGAAGGAAAGGAATATATTATATATGTTTGCACATACATATATACGTGTGTGTACAAATATTATCTATGCACATACATATATATACATACATATATATCTGTACATATACACATATGTGTATGGTCTCTGATACACCTCACATCCTGTGGCTCACTCAAGTGGACACATAAAATTAACCATCCCAATTTCCTTTTTTCTATATGTGTAATTATATATACATATATATATACACACTCACACATATACACATATATAAGTGTGAGTGTATAGATATATGTGTGTATATATAATATACATATATAGAGAGAGACAGAGAGAGACAGAGGGAGGAGATTTATTATAAGAGATTGGCTCACATGTTTTTGGAGGCTGATAAGTTCCAAGGTCTGCAGTCTGCAAACTAGAGACCTAAGAAAGCTGTTGTGTAGCTTCTGTCCAAGTCTGAAGGCCTGAATACCAGGAATGCTAATGGTGTAAGTTCCAGTCAGAAAGCTGGCAGGCTCAAGACCCAAGAAACGCTGATATTTCAGTTTGAGTCTGAAGGCTGAAAAAGACCAATGTCCCAGCTCATAGCAGTTAGACAGAAGGAGTTCCCTCTTGCTCAGCCTTTTTGTCTATTCAGGTCTTCAATTGATGGATAAGGCCCACCCACACTATGAAAAGCAATCTGTTTTACTCTATCTACTGATTCAAATGTGAGTCTCATCTAGAAACACCCTATAGTCATACCCAGAATAATGTTTGGCCAAATTTCTGGGCATTCTGTGGCTCACTCAAGTAGACACATAAAATTAACATTCCAAATTTCCTTTTTTCTATTTTCAAATGTGATTTTATCCTCCTTTTCATTTGTTCCTATATCTGACACTTTATACACTTTACCATGAATAATCATTATTCTGTCATGAATAATAAATGTCTATTTTTCATTTTGAGCCCCTTTTCTACTTAGCACAATTCCAGGAGCTTGGACATTATTGCTTCTTCTTCTTTACTTCCACACACAATCAATTACTAAGTTACATTAATTATTAGAATCTGTTCTTTTATTTTTATCATGACTGCATTTGCCATCGTTTAGGGTTTTACAATTTGTTGTCAGGTCATATTGGTTTTCTCTGTCTCCATACTAGTACCAGAGTAATCCTCCTGAATCACATATATAGCCTACTAGGAGTTAAAATCTTTCAACAGCTTTGATAGCATTTTTAAAAATCCAGATTTCTTAGCCTGAGCAACAGTTAGTGTAATTAGCTTGCCTGGTATGGTTTAGGAAGCATAAACTATTACATCCACTTTAATGCCTATTAAGAAATGTGGCAGTGGTTTATAATAGAGAAGTGATGTAGAGATCTATGAAAGACTTTTTTTGATGGAAGAAACACAAGTGAAGTATTTTTTCAGGTTATAAGAGACAGGGTTATATTGCAATGAATTATTCCCACAGGAACAACTGTAGATTAGTTATGGAATCAGCTTTCCTTTCCATTTTTTAGGTTAATATTGCCAGGTTTTTTTTAATGCTGTGTGTTGTTATTGGTGAGATGAATAAAAATATCAGTAAATGTGTTAGAAGGGATATAACACTACAACTGGGTAAATACATGATTGTCTTTGAGTCTATCTGCTCTGAAACACAATGGTGGCATTATTAGAGAATAGCTATCACTGGAATTAATAATAATGTTCAGAATCTGGCTAATACATACCTTGATTAATTAGTTAACCCCATCTTAGACACGGTAGATGAGCCATTGTAGTGTCACTGAAAATACAGGTGATAGCCACACAGTTGATAAGAATCAATCTAGCAAAATCCTCTGGAAAAGGGATTTAGAAGTGAAAAGGCTTGAAGTCTGCTCCAAGTTGAGTAATTATGTTGTGAGTTTTTCTGAGTGATTCATTTCCCTATGCCTCAGTTTTTTCCATTTGTACAATGAAGGCATTGAACTGTGTAATGTCTGAAATTTATATCAATTCTAATATTGAATTTGAAATTTAAGAAATATTTCTGATTCGTGTTTTATATTTTTAAACATGTGTATCAATGCTTCGGGAATTAAGGACTTTAAGTTGCTTAATGTTATCTATTGTCACCAATTCAACTGGTAACAGCTCTAAAGTCTCTCTATGTACTAGACAGCAAACACCCTTCTTCTCTCCCTCAGCATACCCTGACACTTAAAAAACAGGAAATGTGTATTTTTGGATGTTATTCAAATTTACTTAGAAGTATTTACTCACTTAGAAGCAATTTACTCATTTTGAAGTATGCTAAGAAAGGCATTTTCAAATCCTGTAGTAGTTGGAAAGTTTTTTAAATCTTGGTTTCATTTTTTGACTTCATTTCTGGTTCTAGTCATCTACATTCTGAATGTACAGAGGCCTCCAGTAAATTTTCTAGCTAATACTTGGGAAGCATTTGTAAGGGAACAGAGTATTATCTCCCAGCACATGTTGAAGAAAATGATAACAGAAGCTATAGAAAAAACAGTGACAGAAGCTATAGAGAAGAAAATGATAATTTTTATCGCAGTGACTGAAAGGCAACCCTGGCCAGTGCTGTGATGAGGAATAATACTAGTTTCATTGGTTAAGTTCTAGCATTATATACCTAGAGCAGGTATTTTTAAGAACAGGTTGGAGAACGCTTCCTGTTGGTTTTGGATTCAGTTGTGAATTCAGCAAACTGTTTAGAATCCAGTATCATTTCTATGTGGCCAATTTTACTGCAACATAAGCTATAATTTGTATACATATTGAGATTTGTCCACAACAATATACCATTGTAAAGATAATAACCTGTTATAAATTATAATAATCATTTATTAGAGACAACCTTCCTGAAATAACTTGGTATCATTGAGGTGATGAAAGAGAGACATTGGGGGAGTTTATTGCAGAAGCAGAGACTCTATAAAGAAAATGGTGAACTTGAGGGAGTTGAGAACTATGTATAGTTTGATTGTGGATTATTCTATTGTGATCAAACTGAAAAAGACTAATTCATAGAGACTACTTATAAAAAACATTTAATTAATGAGTCAGATGCTGATGGATACATTTACACTGGGAGAGAGACGTCACCTGCTCTACTACCAATGGAAATTGCCACTCTGTTTTCTATAAAGGATTCCATACATGGCTTATAAAAAGCCAAAGAGTCATCACAAGGTTTCTTTTGATATGTGAAATTAGTACAGATAGAGTTGGGTAGGTCTAAGGAACATTTGTGGAGGCTCAGCTAGAATCTGGTTTGTCTTGCCCCACTATTGTTTTTTTGAGACCGGGTCTCACTCTGTTGCCCAGGCTGGAGTGCAGTGGTGCAATCTCAGCTCACTGCAGCCTCAACCTCCTGGGCTCAAGCGATCCTCCCACTGCAGCCTCCGAAGTAGCTAGGACTACAGGTGTGTGCCACCATGCCAGGCTAATTTTTGTATTTTTTAGTAGAGATGGGGTTTTGCTGTGTTGCACAGGCTGGTCTCAAACTATTGGGCTCAAGGGCTCTGCCCACCTCAGCCTCCCAAAGTGTGGAGAATTATAGGCATAAGCCACCCCACCCAGCCCACCCTACTATTTTGTAAATAGTCATTGGTTATTAGGGTACTGAGTTAGGGTTCACTCATTTGTCAATAAAAGTCTATTGAGTAGAGACTATGTGTCAGAAATAGTTCTGGTCTCTAGAAATACATTGGTGAATCAGATAAAGTTCCTGCCCTCATAAAGCTTACATTCTATCAGGAAGGAATAAGCATTGAACCAGGGAACTACAATTAAACCCTTATTCTCCAGTTGTGGTTTTGGTGTATTCTTTATCTGTCGAAATATCCTTTTTTTTTTTTTTTTGAAAAGTAGCAATTTCTCATGACAAACATGTTACAGATTCTAAAATTTGCTGCGCATTTTAAATTTCTCCTTAATTTATGAATTATATATATATAATTGATTTTTCCATAGATGATCTTAAAAAGCTGGGATCACTGTGGTTTGCACCTAAAGTATTAGTGATGATAGGTTTAATTTGTTTAGTGCCTATTGTAAGCCCTGTAGTGCGGTAGTCACTATATGTATAATATCTCATAGACTTCTTACAATACTCTATAATGAGGCATTCTTATCTATATTTAGAGGAAACAACTGAGACTCAGAGAGGTCATGTAAATTGTCTAAGATGACACAGCTAATAAATGACAGAACCAGGATTTGAATCAAAGTTGTCCAGACTCAAAAGTTATGTTCTTTTCCACCACACCACTCTGTCCCTCATTTACTAGGTCTTTCCTAAGGCAATAATTACAGCTAGCTAATTACATTTCATTCTGAAATGAAGTTATGACTTCTTCCTTAGTTTATTTGGGTGGAATCCATTCAGAGCATAGAGATCCTTATGCCTTTAATCAGTCAGATTGGACTACTTTTCTTTTCAAAATCTCTGAGATCTAATTTGTCTTAGAGAGTGTAGCCAAGTGGTTCAACGTCCTTTGCCCACAGCTCAAATGTCCTCTGAAAGTAAAAAGAAGCTCACTATGAGTAGAGACAGGTAATTCCAACTGTGGATGGATTTGAGAAAGAGAATATTTTTTAATATTGAGTTGAGAATTGTCTCCTTAAAGTACCAGCATCTACCACGCTGAAGAATTACAATATTTTATCCATAAAAGAACCCTCTGGATATTATGTGGACAATTTTGTTTTCTTCTGGAAGCTACTTTTTCTAGCACCTACAGTTTCATTCTCTTCACCATGTGTCACTCGCCTCGGGATAGGGGCCAGCTGAGACAAGCTATAGCTATGGGACGTAATTCACAGCTTTGCTAGAAGGTAAACATTTCACAAAAGCTATGCACATACTTGTGAAGGGTTTTCTGTGGGAGAGAAAGATCAGTGGTTGTGGAGGAAAGCTTTTTCAGAGGTCGTTGAAACATGACTATTCACAGCTGAAGACTGTTATTTGTGATGCTCACTGTCCTTTGTGATAACATTTATCATGTGGATGCACATGGTAAATGCCTCCTGGAATTCAGTGCCAGGGAAAATATGTTGGTAATGATAAATTGGTACAATTGTCTTGATAATTAAGGCTTATACACAAGTAGTTTTGGGGGCCAGAGTGCAAGTGTTCGGTTGGTACCTACATAAAGGAATATCCTGTAGTATTTGATTCCCCAGGCAGTTGTAGTTGGCACAGAAATCCCCTATAATGCTATGCTAGAGAGTGCTGCTTCTCATAGGTGTTTCTGATCATTGTGGGGCTCGCTTCCCTTGGACATGGCTCAGTTGATCTTGCGTGAGTCTTTGTACCAGCTTACTGATTATTCAAGTTCTCCTTAAGCTATCTCACCTGACTTCTCCTCCATCTCCTCTTCCAGGAAGAGGAAAAGTCAAAGTCCAGACAAAGTAGTTGCGGCGATTGCCCTGAAATAGGTGTCTGCTCTTAGACAGACCTGTTGACTTACAGACTGAATGGAAATACAAAGGTCTGCTATACTCACGACTGTACCCTGATTCTGTGCCCAAGCTTATACAACTTGTGTGGGCTAGACCTGGAATGAGAGTCTAAAAAGTCTAGCTCTAGAATCAGCTCTCTTAAAACCTACAGTATAGTGCTTCACTAATAATACTTTAAAATAATAAAATGAATGTGAAATCCAGACCCTACTTCTATAAAAAAAAATTGTAAAATTTAAAGTGTTGTAGAGAGAAATCTATATGTTTTGTTATGTGTTAAATAGCTCTTTTGGATAACTTTAATACTGAGATAAAATAAATTTACAGTAAAATTCTCAGAAGGATGAGATAATTTACATGAGTTCACTGTCCAGATATCGAAACTTACTCCTTCTAAAAATTAAAATATCAGAGAGGAAGGCAGCGCAAGATGGCCAAATAGAAGCCTTCACTGATTGTCCTCCCAGCAAGAATAACAAATTGAACAACTATCCACACAAAAAAGCACCTTCATAAGAACCAAAAATCAGATGAGCAATCACAGTACCCAGTTTTAACTTCATATTGCTTAAAGAGGCACTGAAGAGGGTGGAAAAGAGAGCCTTGAATTGCCAACAGTACCCATCCCCCTCCCCCCAGCAGCAGTTCTGTGGCGTGGAGAAAAAAAAATCTGTGTGCTTGGAAGAGGGAGAGCACAGTGATTGTGGGACTTTGCATTGGAACTCAGTGCTGTCCTGTCACAGCAGACAGCAACACCAGGCAGAACTCAGCCAAAGCTAATGGAGGGAGCAATGAGACCAGCCCTAGCAAAGGGGAATTGCTCAGAACCAGTGAACTTGGGGGGCATGTGACCTAGTGAGACATCAGCTTGAACAGCAAAGAGAGTGCTTGCACTATCCGTTCCCCAGCCCCAGGCAGTGTAGCTTGCAGCTCTGGGAGATACTTCTTCCCTCCACCTTAGGAGAGGATAGGGAAGAGTAAAGAGGACTTTACTTGCCACTTGGATACCAGTTTAGCCACAGAAAGACAGGGCACTAGGCAGAGTCCTGAGGGCCCCATCCCAGACCTTAATTCCAGGATGACATTTCTAGACACACCCTGGGCCAAAAGGGAATCCACTGCCTTGAAGGGGAGAACCCAGTCCTGGCAGGATTCATCATCTGCTGACAAAAGAGCCCTTGGGCCTTGAACTTTCAGCAGTGGTAGCTGGGCAGTACTCGCTGTGGGCCTTGGGTGAGACTCAAAGACATGCTGGCTTCAGGTGAGACCCAGTACATTCCCAGCTGTGATGGCTATAGGGAGAGACTCCGTCTGCTTGAGAAAAGGGGAGGGAAGAGTAAAGGGAGCTTCGTTCCTTAGCTTAGGTACCAGCTCGGCCACAATGGGGTAGAGCACCAAGCAGACTCTTGGAGTCCTCATTTTGGGCCTTGGTTCTTGAATGGCATTTCTGGACCTAGCCCTGAACCAGAGGGGATCCCATTGTCCTGAAGAGAGTGTCCCAGGCTTGGCAGCATTCACCAACATGCTGACTGAAGTGCCCTTGGGCTTTGAGTGAACATCAGTGGTAGCCAGGCAGTACTCGCCATGGGTCTGGGGCAAGGGTGGCCACAGGCAGAAACTCTGTGCTTACAGAAAAGGGAGGGAAGAGTGTGAAGGACTTAGTCTTGTGGCTTGGGTGCCAGCTCAGCCACAGTAGAATAGAGCAACAGGTAGATTCCTAAGGTTTCTGACTTAAGGGACTGGCTTCTGAAAAACATCGCTAGACGTGACTGGTGCTGGAGGAAACTCACCATTCTGAATGGAAGGACAAAAGCCAGAGTGGCTTTGTCACCTGATGATTGTAGAGCCCTAGGGATTTGGGTGAGCATAGGTGATAGTCAGGCAGTGGTAACCACAGCCCTTGGGTGAGACCCCAGTACCATACTAGTTTCAGGTCTGACCCAGCACAGTCCTAATAGTGGTGACAACAGGAGTATTTGTGTCACCTCTCTTCTAGCCTAGTTAGCTCAGCACAGAGCTGAGCTGTTTGGGAGAACGTAAGGAAAGAGAACATGAGTCTTTTCCTGGTAATCCAGACAATTCTTCCAGATCTGATCCAAGACCACCAAGAAGTATCTCTATAAGTCTGCAAGAACCATATTGTTACTGGGCTTGGGGTGCTCCCTAATACAGATGGGGCTGCAGTGACCAGAAACTTAGAGCACAACACCCAAGTGCCTTTGAATGCTTGGAAAGCCTTCCAAAGAAGGACAGGTGGAAAAAAAAAAGACTGTGAAGACTACAATAAATACCCAACTCTTCAATGCCCAGACACTGACAAACATCCACAAGCATCAAGATTATCCAGGAAAATATGACCTCACCAAATGAACTAAATAAGGGAGCAGCAATTAATCCTAGAGAGACAGAGATATGTGATCTTTCATTCAGAGAATTCAAAATAGCTGTTTTGAGGACTCGCAATGAAATTCAAGATAACACAGAGAAGGATTTCAGAATGCCATCAGATAAATTTAACAAAGGAATTCAAATAATTAAAAAAGAATTATGCAGAAATTCTGGAGCTGAAAACTGCAATTGAAATACTGAAGAATGCATCAGAGTCTCTTATCAGCAGAATAAATCAGGTGGAAGAGATAATTAGTGGGCTTGAAGGCAGGCTATTTGGAAATAGCCAGGGGAGACAGAAAAAAAGAAGAAGAAAAAAGAATGGGCCAGGCATGGTGGCTCACACCTGTAATCCCAGCACTTTGGGAGGCCAAGGTAGGCGGATCATTCAAGATCAGGAGTTCAAGACCAGCCTGGCCAACATGGTGAAACCCCGTCTCCACTAAAAATACAAAAAAAAAAAAAAAATGCCAGGCATGGTGATGTGCACCTATAGTCCCAGCTGCTTGGGAGGCTGAGGCCCCCAACGTCAAAGATAAAGAAAGGATCCTAAAAGTGGCAAGAGAAAAGAAATGAATAACGTACAATGGAGCTTCAATATATCTGGTAGCAGTCTTCTCAGTGGAAACCTAACAGATCAGGAGAAAGTGGCATGACATATTTAACGTGCTGAAGGAGAAAAACTTGTATCCTAAAATAGTAGATCCAGTGAAATTCTCCTTCAAGCATGAAGGAGAAATAAAGATTTTTCCCAGACAAATAAAACTAAGGGGTTTTATTAACATCAGACATGTCCTCCAAGAAATGTAAGGGAGTTCTTCAGTCTGAAAGAAAAGTTTGTAAGTGAGCAAAAAAAATCATCTGAAGGTGCAAAACTCACTGGTAATAGTAAGTATACAGAAAAACACACTATATTTTGACACCATAATTTTGATGTGTAAACTACTCACATCTTAAGTAGAAAGACTAAAGATGAACCAATCAAAAATAAACTACAACAACTTTTCAAGATACAGATAGTGTAATAAGATATAAATAGAAATAGCAAAAAGTTAAAAAGTGGGGGACACAATTAAAATATAAACTTTTAATTAGTTTTCTCTTTGTTTATGCAATAGGTGTTAATTTGTCATTAATTTAAAATAATGGGTTATAAGATATTATTTGCATGTTTTATGGTAACTTCAATCAGAAAATATACAACAAACACAATAAAAATCAAGAACTTGAAACGTTAAAACATATCGTCAGAGAAAATCACCCTTGCTAAAAGGAAGACAGACAAAAGGAAAGAAGGAAGAGAAGACCACAAACAACCAGAAAACAAGTAACAAAATGGCAGGGGTAAGTCCTTGCTTATCAATAACAACTTGAATGTAAATGGACTAAACTCTTCAATCAAAGCACATAGAGTAGCTAAATGGATTTAAAAAAAACAAGACCCAATGATAAGTTGCACTTTTCCATAAAGACACACATAAACTGAAAATAAAGGGATGGAAAAATATATTGCATGCATGTAGAAACCAAAAAGAGCAGCAATAGCTATACTTACATCAGACAAAGTAGATTTCAAGACAAAAACTATACAAAGAATCAAAGAAGGTCATTACATAATGATAAAGAAATCAATTCAGCAAAATGATGTAACAACTATAAATATATATGTACCCAATACTGGAGCACCCAGATATATAAAGGAAATATTATTAGAGCTAAAGAGAAAGATAGACTCCAACATAATCACAGGTGGAGACTTCAACACCCCACTTTCATCATCGACACATCATCCTCACGGAAAATTAGCAAGGAAACATCTGGCTTAATCTGCACAATACACCAAATGAACCTAATGTATATTTACAGAACATTTTATCCAATAACTGCAGAATACATATTCTCCTCAGTACATGGATCATTCTCAAGGATATACCTTATGTCAGGTCACAAAACAAGTCTTAAAACATTAAAAAAATTGGAAGTTATATCACGTATCTTCTGTGACCACAGTGGAATAAAACTAGAAATCATTAACAAGAGGAACTTTGAAAACTATACAACCATGAGGAAATTAGACAGTATGTTCCTTAATGACCAATGGGCCAAAGAAGAAATGAAAAAGGAAATTGAAAAAAATCTTGAAACAAATGATAATGGAGACACGACACACTGAAACCAATAGGATATGGCTAAAGCGGTACTAAGAGAAAAGCTTATAGCTATAATTACCTACGTCAAAAATTAGAGAAACTTCAAATAAACTACCTAATTATGCTTCTTAAAGAAATAGAAAAGCAAGAATAAAACAAACCCGAAATTAGTAGAGAAAAAATAATAAAGTTTAGAGTAGAAATAAGTGAATGTGAAATTAAGAAACAATACAAAAATCAGTGAAAGAAAATATTGGTTTTTAGAAAAGATAAATAAAATTGAGAAAACTTTGGCCAGACTAAGAAAGAAAAGAGAGAAGGACCCCAAAAAAATCAGAGGTGAAAATGAAGACTTCACAACTGATACTGCAGAAATCCAAAGGATCATTAGAGGCTACTGTAAACAACTCTATGCCAACAAATTGGAAATTCTAGAAGAAATGCATACATTCCTAGATGCATATAACCCACCAAGATTGAAACATGAAAAAAAATCCAAAACTGGAACAGACAAATGACAAATAAGCAGATCAAAGCAGTAGTAAGTCACCCAGCAACGAAAAGCCTGGAACCTGATGGCTTCAATGGTGAATTTTACCAAACATTTAAAGAAGAACTAATATCAACCCTACTAAAACTATTCAGAAAAATAGGGCAAAAGGGAATACTTCCAAACTTATCATATGAGGCCAGTATTACCCTGATACCAAAACCAGACAAAGACACCTCAAAAAGAAAAGAAAACTATAGGCCAATATCCCTGTTGAACATTGATGCAAAAACCATCAACAAAATACTAGCAAACTGAATTGGATTCAATAACTCATTAAAAAGATCATTCATCATGACCAAGTTGGATTTATTCCAGAAATACAAGGATGGTTCAGCATACACAAATCAATCAATGTGATGCATTATATCAACAGAACAAAATACAAAAAACACATGATCATTTCAATTGATGCTGAAAAATTATTTGATAAAATTCAACATCATTTCATGACAAAAACCCTAAAAAAAATCTGGGTATAGAAGAAACATACATCAACACAATAAAACCCATATATGACAGACCCACAGCTAGTATCATAGTGAATGGGGAAAAATGGAGAGCATTGTTTCTAAAATCTGGAACATGACATGGATGCTCACTTTCACCATTGTTATTCAACATAATAGTGGAAGTCCTAGCTAGGGCAATCAGACAAGAGAAAGAAATAAAAAGCATCCACGCTGGAAAGGATGAAGTCAAATTATCCTCGTTTGCAGATGATATTTTTGTTATTTGGAAAAACCTAAAGGCTGCACCCAAAATTATTCAAATTGATCAACAAATTCAATAAAGTTGCAGGATACAAAATTAACATACATAAATCAGTAACATTTCTATATGCCAACAGCAAATAACCTGAAAAAGAAATCAAGAAAGCAATCCCGTTTGCAATAACTACAAATAAAATAAAATATCTAGGAATTAATTTAACAAAATAAGTGAAAGATTTCTACAATGAAAACTATAAAACATTGATGCAAGAAATTAAAGAGCACAACAAAGAAATGAAAAGATATTCCATGTTCATGGATTGGAAGAATCAATATTGTTAAAATATTCATACTGACCAAAGCAATGTACAGACTCCATGCAAGTCCTTCAAAATACCAATGACATTCTATTCTTCACAGAAATAGAAAAAAAATTTTGAAAATTTATATAGAACTGCAAAAGACCCAGGAAAAAGCTAGAATTATCCAGCTAAAGCTATCATGTGCAAAAAGAACAAAACTAGAGGAATCTCATTACTTGACTTCAAATTGTACTACAGAGCTATAGTACCAAAATAGCATGGTACTGGCATAAAACCAGACAAATAGACCAATGGAACAGAATGAAGAACTCAGAAGTAAATCCATATGTCTACAGTTAACTTATTGCATAAACAAAGATGCCAAGGACATACATTGGGGAAAAGACAATATCTTCAATAAGTGGAGCTAAGAAAACTGGATATCTGTACGCAGCGGAATGGAACTAGACCCCCTATCTCTAGCTAACCATATACAAAAACAAAAACAAAACAAAAGAAAAAAAACGGATTAAAGGCCTGGTGCGGTGGCTCATGCCTGTAATCCCAGCGCTTTGGGAGGCCGAGGCGGGCGGATCACCTGAGGTCAGGAGTTTGAGACCAGTCTGGCCAAAATGGTGAAACCCCATCTTTACTAAAAATACAAAAAATTAGCCGGGCACAGTGGCACACATCTGTAATCTCAGGTGCTCAGGAGGCTGAGGCAGGAGAATCACTTGAACCTGGGAGTAGGAGGTTGCAGTGAGCCGAGATCGCACCATTGCACTCCAGCCTGGGGAGCAAGAGTGAAACTCCATCTCAAAAAAAAAAAAAGGTTAAAGGCTTAAATCTAAGACCTTACACTATGAAACTAATAAAAGAAAACTTTGGGAAAACACTCCACAACACTATTCTTGGCAAAAATTTCTTGAGTAATACCCCACAAACACAGGCAACCAGACCAAAAGTGGACAAATGGGATCACATCAAGTTAAAAACCTTCTGCAAAGTGAAGGATACAATCAACAAAGTGAAGAGACAACCCACAGAATGGGGGAAAATATTTGCAAACTATCCATCTGACAAGGAATCAATAACCAGAATATATGAGAAGCTCAAACAACTCAATAGGGAAAAAATCCATTAATCTGAATAAAAAATACATGAATATCTGAATAGACATTTCTCAAAAGAAGACATGCGAAGTGGTATATAACAATATGCTCAGCATCACTGATTATCAGAGAAATGCTAACAAAAACTAACAATATGTCACCTCACCCCAGTTAAAATGATTTTTATCCAAAAGACAGGAAATCACAAACACTGGCCAGCATGTGGAGAAAAGGGAATCCTTGTACACTCTTGGTGGGAATGTAAATTAGTACAACCACTATGGAAAATCGTTTGGAGGTTCTTCAAAAAACTAAAAATAGGGCTACCATATGATCCCACAATCCCATTACTAGGTATATACCCAAAAGAAAAGAAATCAGTGTATCAAAGAGATTTCTACACCCTCATGTTATAGTAACACTATTCCCAATAGCCAAGATTTTGAGGCAACTGAAATGTCCACCAACAGACAAATGGATGAAGAGAATGTAGTACATATACACAATGGTGTACTATTCACCCATAAAAAAAGAATGAGATCCTGTCATTTATAACAGCATGAATAGGACTGGAGGTCATTCTGTTAAGTAAAATAAGCCAGGCACAGAAAGATAAACTTCACATGTTCTCACTGATTTGTGAGAGCTAAAAATTAAAACAATTGAACTCAGGGGGATAGACAGTAGAATGATGGTTACCAGAGGCTAGGAAGTGTAGTGGCGGGGAATGAGGATAGTTAATGAGTACAAAAATGTAGTTGGAAAGAATGAATAAGATCTAGTATTCGATAGCAGAATGGGGAGACTAAAGTTAACAATAATTTACTATATATTTAAAATTAACTAAAACTATAATTGGATTACTTGTAACAAAAAGAAAGGATAAATGCCTGAGGTGATGAATACCCCATTTACCCTGATGTGATTATTATGCATTATATGCCTGTATCAAAATATCTTATGTACCCCATAAATACACCCAGTATGTACCCACAAAAACTAAAAGTTAAAAAAATCAAAATATCAAAAGCAAAAATCTTATTTTATATATATATTTTTAAATGTCTTAGAAAATTCTCAACATATTTTACAATTTTTGTTAATGTCTCAGGATCATTATTATTAATTTTAATAGTTGTATTGCCCTGTAAAATACACTTTCGGAGACTTGTTGACAACTTGATAGGCTTTCTGGTGTTATTTGTCTTCACACATGATGGCACCATGTATTGTGACTTTGGAGGGCATGATATTTGTTGGTTTGTTGTTTGCTTACTTTTTTGCTATAAAATAGTTATTTCTCACCATATGTTTTAAAATCTGTCTATTTCAACTTTTGCTTCTTGATAAGAGGTTAGCAGTCCTTTTCTGCTAAGAGCCAGATAGTAAATATTTTAGGCTTTATGGACCATATAGCCTTTGTCACAATCACTCGACTCAGGTTGTAGCCTGAAACAGTCATAGACAACACAGAAACAAATGGCTTTGGCTGTGTTCCAATGGAACTTTATTTTCAAAAACAGGCAGTTTGCTGGATTTGGTGTGTGGGTTGTAGTTCTAGACCGTTGAGCGTGGTGAAATAGCCGTGTAGAGTAATATGTAAAAAAGTAAATAGAATTTTTAAAAATGTAAGTACATATTGTATTAGGACATAATGTTACCCTACAAGCTATGTAAAATTTAGTGCTACAATTTTATGACAGCATTTGTGGGTGGTTAGATGTCTTTCTTTTGTCCCTTCTTTGCATCTTCTTTCAGGTTTGTATCTATGTGGCAGATATTTGGGGTTATTGAATGAATGAGCTCTAGAACACTTGCTTCATATGAAAACGTGCATATGTATGTTTATGTATCTCAGATACAGCTAAATTCATTGTACCAATTAAGACCTAGCTAAGATTGGTTTGAGCTCCATTCTATGAATTTTAGAGTTCAGTAGTGCCCACCCCAACCACCAGCAAGTTGTATGCAAATTTTCAGTGTGAGTTTATATTTTCAAGGTCTCCTCTGGCTCTGAATTCTGCTTCTGTCAAATTATTTCATTTTAGAGATTGTACAGCTATCCTTGTTCTCTGAAAAAGTCTCTTGGCCATTTCTATACCTCAGACTGCAGCCTCCTACCATGGTTTTTGGTTTTCCTTAGTCCCTTCCAGATGGCTCACAGGAGCTCCAAATTCTTCTCACATTGTTCTGCAGATTAATTCCATTTCCTCCAGTCTTACTCCCAAATTTCTCTCTGACTCCTCTGTGCATGTTTTGATCTACCAAGATGCTTTGCTGAAGAAAGAAGACCTATTCTCCCTTAATTGAACTGTCTTCCTAAGAAGGGAGTTTTAATTTTAAGTAGAATTTTTTCCCTATGGATATATGGATGAAAGACTAGGTGGATGGATGGCTAAAAAGATGTTATACAGTACTGTATATTAGGATAGCTACTTCATATGGAGGCTAGTACCAAATATGAAAAACCTATTTTTAGCTTATTATAGTTGATTTTGTGATCTAGATATTATTCAGCATTGTTCTTCAAATCCCCTGCCATAGCCAAAACACACCTTATATACTATTTCAGGAAGAATTTTTTTCATTTCTTATTTGTTTCATTTTATAACATATCCTAATAATGATTTTATTACAAAAGGAGTCAGGAATACCACTTCATATGATAGTCTACTAAATCTTAAAAATAGAATATAAGATCATAAATTGTGTAAGGTAAAAGTTAGACTTAAAATCAAAGTATCCACTGAAACTTACAATAGTAAGGTGGTATTTCTATTTGGAGGAATGTCTCCAAATCTCCAATATTAGAAAAATAGTTATCTTATTATTATTAAATAGTTCTAAAATCGGTAATTTTAAAATGATTTTATTCAAAATTAGTATTATTCAGTCATATATGAATTATCAGCCACTCTTAATTGTCTACAAAGAGCACTGCAAAGAACATCAAATAAACAGATACATTTTTAATAGACTAAAGAGCATGGTGGTTCATGCCTGTAATCCCAGCACTTTGGGAGGCCAAGGCAGGGAGATCTCTTGAGGTCAGGAGTTCGGTACCAGTCCGGCCAACATCACAAAACCCCATCTTTTCTAAAAATACAAAAATTAGGTGTGGTGGCATGCACCTATAGTCCCATCTACTTGGGAGGCTGAGACACGAGAATCTCTTGAACCCAGGAGGCGGAGGTTGCAGTGAGGCAAGATCATACCACTGTACTCCATCCTGGGCAACAGAGTGAGACTCCATCTAAAAAATAAAAATAAAAATAAAGAGCTTACATCTGGTTTTGTTTCTGGAAGTGATAGAAATATGATTAAATGATTAGAAAAAATCAGAAGTTTAAAATATAAGTTAATTTTTTAAAAACTCACATTTCCTGAGCACTACAGTAACCTAAAACCAGCTTCTTTGAAGTTTACTCAGTGTGTTGAACTGTAATGGAAAGCTAGCAGCTATACTGCTTATACTTTTTTCTTAGAATCACTAGAAAATATTTGACCATAAAAAATAGATTCTGAGTAAAATTACTTTTTTTAAACAACCAAACCTGATCCTTTTGTAGTTCGTAAGCATGATGATTGGGTGTTCACGTGTATGTGTGAGATGTGCCACCCTTGAACCTTGTCAAGACATCGGCACATTACCCATCTGATATGAAAAAAAAAAAAACCCTGTCATCTTATAAAAATTCACATTTATAAAGAGGAATAGAGATAGGACACTGAATGCTTTGGGTTTGTTTTGTCGACATTTATGTTTTCAAGCAGGCTTGCTTCATCCAATTTTTATATTCTTTTGAGGAAAAATACACTGCCAGGAATCACAGTATGCAATGCAAATTAGACACAGAACTATTCCCTATGGACTTTCTAGCCTATGGAGAGAGATATGCATGCAGACAACAGAGAAAAATGGGGTCGCTTCTGATGTTTGGACTGGCCCACGATAAACTTTAATAAACTAGAAGAGACATAGAGGACAGTTTTGGCTAAGGAAAGAAAATGAACAGAGGCTCAAAAGTTCAAAAGTCTATGTCCAAGTAAAGCAAGTGCAGGCTTACATTTTACTGTCTTTAATTTCTAAATTCAAGAAGCTCTGAAGACCACTGTGTGTGTTGTTGTTTTTCCTTAAGCTACAGACTGACCTGAATTGACAGGAGGCTATTTATAGTCTTTATTTGTCCTACTTATGAGAATATTTATAGATTTTACTGCAGAAATATCAATGTATTTCATTATAGGTGCAGGCCCCAACATACATGGATTTTGCTAATATTTTATACATTAACTGTATTACTTTAAAAAAATACCACCTTGTTCCCCAAAAACCTGAATTACAAAACTCACTCGGCCCCAGCTGTTTCTGGTAAAGGATTGTAGACTTGAAGTAATTATGGGGGAAGTGATATTATAGAAACTATGTCCAGAAAGCTAGGTGAAGATTGTGCCAGTTCTTGAACATACCAAGTTACAGATTTTGGTAATTTGACTATAGATTGTAAGGAACCATTATACACTTTTGAAGAAGAAGTGAAGTATTCAACCAGTTTTTATCAAAATTGGTTGAATCCCTGAGCACACGCTATTTTAAATTTTTTCTCCATGCAATTACAAAAACTCTGAGTAAGATGGTGTCAGATGAAATGCCTTTTGAAAATAGATATTTACATCCATCATTTGTTTTCTTGTGATGGTGTGTAGGAGAAATAAGGTTAGAGAAAACAATTCTAGATCATGTCTGCAGCTTGCTAAGTGTCATGCCACATAAATATGGTCAGAGTTTGATGTCCCCAAATGACTATGCATTAAAAATACAAGAATTGTCTCATAGAAGAAAAAAATAAACAAGCAAAAAACCATAAGAAATAGTGATTTATTTCATATTTGTTCATGTTTCTTGCTAAAAATACCTGAAGGCAAATTCCAGAAAATTTGTTTCTGATTTGGTTAAGAAAATTGAGAAATTAAAAATGTTATTGTCATTGTTGTGTGTACAGTGTATGTGTGTCACTCATAGTGAGTCTTTAAACTCTGCCTTTAAGAACAAGCATCAAAAGTTTGGTACAAAATCAATGTTCACAAATCAGTAGCACTGCTATACACCAACAACGACAAAGTTGAGAATCAAATCAAGAACTCAATTGCTTTTAAAACAGCTACAAAAAATAAAAAAAATACTTAGTAATATACTTAAGTAGGTGAAAGATCTCTACAAGGAGAACTACAAAACAATGCTGAAAGAAATCATAGATGACACAAAGAAATGGAAAGACAACCCATGCTCATAAATGGGAAGAATCAATATAGTGAAAATGACTATACTGCTCAAAGCAATCTACAGATTCAGTTCAATCCCCATCGAAAGGTCATCAGCATTCTTCACAGAGCTAGAAAAAAAAATCCTAAAATTCATATGGAACCAAAAAAGAGCCCACACAGCCAAAGCAATACTAAGCAAAAACAACAAATCTGGAGGCATCACCTTGCCCAACTTCAAATTATACTACAAGACTATAGTTACCAAAACAGCATGGTACTAGTATAAAAAATAGGCATGTAGACCAATGGAACAGAATAGAAAACCCAGAAATAAAGCCAAACACTTATAGCTAATTGATCTTCAACAAAGCATACAAATACATAAATTGGGGAAAGGACACCCTATTAAATAAATGTTGCTGGGAAAACTAGCAAGCTACATGTAGAAGAATGAAACTGGATTTTAGTATATGCTAATCCAGAATGTAGGTCTAATGCTGAGTGTCTAGGAAGACCATGGACTAAAAACAACTAACAAACAAGAAAGCACTATCCAAATAAGCTGCCATCAGATTAACACCTCCTAAGCAAAAGCTACTTATATTCCTCAACTCAAGGTGTCAGTGACAGCATCAAGCGTGTGGTAGAAAATTAAAGGAGGGGGTTGATTTCCCAAATTTTATCTTCACATAACTTCCTTTCAAAATATAACAACCCAAAATGTTGTTAATAACTTTAAGTTTTAAATTTCACCTTTAAGAAAAGTATTTTCATTTGCTTTAAAATAATTATACGTTTTAAAAATAGGGACGACCAGTGGGTGTTTCATAATAGGTTCTGACCGGAGAAAAAGAAAAAAAAATACCCAAACCTCTTTTTTCGGAATGTACTAGTCCTTTTGAAGAAGATCTTCTGTAAATGGGGAGTCCACTAAGTGCTAATCTCTATGTTAAGCATTTCCTTTTCTTTCTTTCTTTTTTCTTTTTGCCACAACAAACCTCAAGGCAGACTATTAGCTTTGTTTTGCAAATGGGGAAAATGAAATTAAAGTTAAGAAATGTGTCCATTAACACACAGCTGGGACTTGAACTCAGCAATGTGTAGCTCTCAAGTGTTTCTTGTGATGTCATCTAAGACTTTGACAACCAAACTGATCATAATCTCTACAATGTGGAGTGGACAACTGAAATGAAAACAGGAAAGAAAAAAAATCACCACTCTAATAACGTGTGTAGCTGTAAACTATCTTGCTGTCCAATATTTTTCTTATAGTTTTAAAACATTAAACTGCAGGGCTGGGTGTGGTGTCTCATGCCTGTAATCCCAGCACTTTGAGAGGCCGAGGTGGGTGCATCACCTGAGGTCAGTTCGAGACCAGCCTGGCCAACATGGTGAAAAGCTATCTCTACTAAAAATACAAAAATTAGCTGGGCATGGTGGCATATGCCTGTAATCCCAGCTACGTGGGAGGCTGAGGCAGGAGAATTGCTCAAACCCGGTAGGTGAAGGTTGCAGTGAGCTGAGATTGCTCCATTGCATGCCAGCCTGGGTGACAGAACAAGACTCTATCTAAAAAAAAAAATTAAAATGCAATTCAGATACCATAAAATTTACCCTTTTAATGTGTACAGTTCAGTGGTTCTTAGTATATGTATAAGTCTATGCACCCATCACCACTCTAATTCCTGAACACTTTCATCACCTCAGAAAAAAACTCCATGCCCATTAGTATTCACTTCTTATAGAATTTTGATGAAGCAAAATCCTTCAAAAGCTTTCTACTAAAAGTCCAATTTTCTTAGATTTCTCCTTCAAACAAAGACAATTCTTAAATATTTTATAGATACAGAAGAGAAATTATTAAAATAATCTCAAATAACAAATGAGCAATATTGCTGTTGTTGAATAAATCTTCAAGGATGAAAGGATGAAAAGGATTATTACTGGTAGAGTTTCCCAAAAGTCATAAATGTCAATAAGCTTCTCCACCATATCATTACCACAATTTTTAAGGACCTACGATCTGGCAGGCACCATATTAAGATATTCTATCTCAATTTATTCTGACAACAATTCTAAGGAAGTATGAATACTCACTCTATTGTACACATGAAAACCACTGAAAGAAGGAGCAGTCGTCTCATCCAGTAAATGTAAGGGTTGAGAGGTAATCCTAGGTCCAGTTTGATTTCAAAGCTCAACCTCTAAACACTAAGCTCCACCAAGTGAGAGAAAGTGGATCAAAAGAGAATGTAGATGTCAAATTAAAAAAAAAAACAGGATGGAGAGAGAAGGATGAACAGAAGTGGGTTAAGGGTACAAACATACAATCCAATAAGAGGAATAAATGTAATGGTTGGTAGCAGAATAGGATGACCATGCTTGACAAAACTGTATTATCCTCAGGTGATGGACATTTTAGATACCTTCCCTTAATTGCTACCCATTAGATATGTGTAACAACATTTCTCATGCACCTCACTGATATGGTTTGGCTGTGACCCCACCCAAATCTCATCTTGAATTCCCATATGTTGTGGGAGGGACCCCATGGGAAGTAGTTGAATCATGAGGGTGGGTCTTTCCTGTGCTGTTCTTGAGATAGTGAATAAATCTCACAAGATCTGATGATATAAGGGGGAGTTTCCCTGCACAAGCTCTCTTCCCTTGTCTGCCACCATGTGAGATGTGCCTTTCACCTTCTGCCTTGATTGTGATGCCCCCCGAGCCAGGTGGAACCATAAGTCCATTAAACCTCTTTCTTTTGTAAATTGCCCAGTCTCCAGTATGTCTTTATCAGCAGCATAAAAATGGACTAATACAGTAAATTGATACCAGTAGAGTGGGGTGCTGCTGAAAAGATACCCTAAAATGTGGAAGCAACTTTGGAACTGGGTAACAGGCAGAGATTGGAACAGTTTGGAGGGCTCAGAAGAAGACAGGAAAATGTGGGACAGTTTGGAACTCCCTAGAGACTTGTCAAATGGCTTTGACCAAAATGCTGATAATGATATGGACAATGAAATCCAGGCTGAGGTGGTCTCAGATGGAGATGAGGAAATTGTGAGAAACTGGAGCAAAGGTCTCTTGTTATGTGTTAGCAAAGAGACTGGTGGCATTTTGCCTCTGCCCTAGAGATTTGTGGAACTTTGAACTTTAGAGAGATGATTTAGGGTATCTAGCAGAAGAAATTTCTAAGCAGCAAAGCATTCAAGATGTGACTTGGGTGCCATCAAAGGCATTCAGTTTTATAAGTGAAAGAGAGCGTAAAAGTTGGGAAAATTTGCAGCCTGACAATGCGATAGAAAAGAAAATCCCATTTTCTGAGGAGAAATTCCAGCTGACTGCATACATTTGCATAAGTAATGAGTAGCTGAATACTGTTCCCCAAGACAATGAAAAAATGTCTCCAGGGAATGTCAGAGGTCTTCATGGCACCCCTTCCCATCTCAGGCCTAGAGGACTAGGAGGAAAACGTGGTTTTGTGAGTGGGGCCCAGGGTCCCCATGCTATGTGCAGCCTAGGAACTTGGTGCCCTGTGTCCCAGCTGCTCCAGCTGTGTCTGAAAGGGGCCAATGTACAGCTCTGGCCATGACTTCAGAGGGTGCAAGACTCAAGCCTTGGTAGTTCCAATGTGGAGTTCAGCCTGCCAGTGCACAGAAGTCAAGATTTGGGGTTTGGGAACCTCCACCTAGATTTCAGAGGATGTAAGGAAACGCCTAGATGTTCAGGCAGACTTTTGCTGCAGGGGCAGGGCTCTCATAGAGAACCTCTGCTAGGGCAGTGTGGAAGGGAAATGTGGGGTTGGAGCCCCCACACAGGGTCCCTACTGGGGCACTGTCTAGTAGAGCTGAGAGGGCCACCATCCTCCAGACCCTAGAATGGTAGATCCACTGACAGGTTGTACCGTGTACCTAGAAAAGCTGCAGACACACAACACCAGCCCATGAAAGCAACTGAGAGAGAGGCTCTACCCTGCAAAGCCACAGTTGCCGAGCTGCCCAAGAGCATGGGGACCCACCTCTTGCATCAGTGTGACCTGGACCTGAGACATGGAGTCAAAGGAGATCATTTTGGAGCTTTGAGATTTGACTACCCCACTGGATTTCGGACTTACATGGGGCCTGCACCCCTTTGTTTTGGCCAATTTCTTCCAATGCTTGAACCCTCATTGTATCTTGGAAGTAACAAACTTGGTTTTATTTTACAGGCTCATAGGCAAAAGGGACTTGTCTCAGATGAGACTTTGGACTGTGGACTTTTGAGTTAATGCTGAAATGAGTTATGACTTTGGAGGACTATTGGGAAGGCTTGATTGGCTTTGATATGTGAGGATATGAGATTTGGGAGGGGCCAGGTGTGGAATGATATGGTTTGGCTGTGTCCCCACCCAAATCTCATCTTGAATTCCCACATGTTGTGGGAGGGACCCAGTGGGAGGTAGTTGAATAATGGGGGTGGGTCTTTCTCCTGCGCTATTCTCCTGATAGTGAATAAGTCTCACCAGATCTGATGATTATATAAGGGGGAGTTTCCCTGCATAAGCTGTCTTCTCTTGTCTGCCGCCATGTGAGACATGCCTTTCACCTTCCACCATGATTGTAAGGCCTCCCCAGCCACGTGGAACTATAAGTCATTAAACCTCTTTCTTTTTTAAATTGCTCAGTCTCTGGTATATCTTTATCAGCAGCATGAAAATGGACTAATACACCCATAAATATGTACAAATAAAAAAATAAAAATGAAAATAACAGTTCAGTCTAAATGGATTATTTACATAAGCCCAGGATGCTGAAGATGGTTATCTAGTGCTGGCTCCTAGAAGCATTATTGCAGTGATTTTCATATCTACATATTGAATGCTTACAATGTGCACTTGCATAAGACCATAGAAAACAGATCTTTCTGATCCTTCCATTTTTCATTATTTGTTAATTAACCTATAAAACTAGAAATGGAAACAATGGCAAAATCTGGAAGTATACAACCTTTCAGACTAATACTATGAACCTCTTCTCCCAGGTCTTTGTCTGTTGGTCTTCCAGGATCTTTATCCTAAACTAGTCATCATCTTAGTTTATTTTCTGTTGTTATAACAGAATATCACAGACTGTAATTTATAAAGAAAAATACATTTAATTTTTGCAGTCCTGGAGGCAGGGAAGGCTGCTAGCATCTGGTGAGGGCCTTTTTGCTGTGTCATATCATAGCAGAAGGCAAGTGTGTGCTAGCTCAGGTCTCTCTTCCTCTTCTTATAAAGCCACCAGTCCCATTGTGAGGGCCCCACTCTGATGATGTTATCTAATCCTAATTACCTCCCAAAGGCCCCACCTCCAAATTTTATCAATATATGTTTGGGGATTGAGTTTCTAACACATGAAATTTTGAGGACACATTCAAGTCAGCATCAATTTAAGGGTTCCAAAGGCTCCTTTTCTCCTGGCTTGCATTTCTTTTGGATTTTTTCAAGACTTCCTTTATTTTTATCATACTTGAAACCATGTGGTAGGTGTGTCATTGATTTTTAGGAAAGACAGAAGGCATGACGCATACTGCTTTTGTTGTAACTGAAATGTAAGGTTATAATAAATTTGATTAAGGCTTTATCTTCAGTCGAACCATATGGTTAACTCTAAAGAAACAGAATCATATAACTATTCTGCAACTCGGGTAAAGTTTTCAATTCAATTCAGCAGATATTTATTGACCATTTCCTATGTTTTGAGTAGCATCTGTATATTGCGAAAGGCAGAAATAGTAATATTTCATGATGAATGACTTTTAAGACTTACCATGAAAGGGAACAAAAGTGACTGTGTTTGTGTCTGTGTGCATGTGTGTGTGTGTGTATGCGTGTGTGTGTTTATAAGCTTGAGGTGAGGAACTGTATATAAAGCATGTGCCCAACTAATTGTGACACAAACTATGATGTGATAAGTGCCTCAGCATTTCCTGATTCCTCTGGCTAAATCAACACTTCTACCACCTCTTTAGACACCATAAAATCATGTACTTCTCCACTTTTGCAGCCGTTACAGTTGTAATAATATATTAGTTTGCATGACTATTTGGCTAAATTTTCAAGAAGTACTTTGGCTTTTTGGAAATCAGAGACTATTGTGTGAAAGTTCTGTGCTAAGAAATATGCGCAGGTAAGCTCCAAAGAAGGGCACCTAATCCAGCCAGGGAAGGTTTATTGACAGAGGTGATAATGAATCCAATTTTTGAAGGGTTGGTGTGAACTCACTGGAAGAAGAAAGAAAGCAGGATAGTCTAAGCAAGTGAACTATCATGTGCAAAAACATGTAGACATGAACATGGAAGTGTGACTCAGGCCAGGCGCGGTGGCTCATGGCTGTAATCCCAGCACTTTGGGAGGCCAAAGCAGGCATATCACGAAGTCAGGAAATCAAGACCATCCTGGCCAACATGGTGAAACCCATCTCTACTAAAAACGCAAAAATTCGCTGGGCGTGGTGGCGCACACCTGTAGTCCCAGCTACTCAGGAGGCTGAGGCAGGAGCATCACTTGAACCTGGAAGGCGGAGGTTGCAGTGAGCCAAGACGGTGCCACTGCACTCCAGCCTGGCGACAGAGTGAGACTCCGACTCAAAAAAAATAGAAAAGAAAAAAACGGTGAGACTCAAGGACATGGATGGAGTTAAGTTCATGTACGGAGATAAAAGAAGACAAGCAAATCATCGTAGGTTTTATGTACCAAACTTACACTGTCGACTTAATCTTCAATACAATGAAAAGTTTCTGAAGAGCCACATTCTTTAGGGACTTAAGTTTTGGGGTGATTATTTTGGCAGTATGGAGGCTAAATTGAAGGCAGTTGGAATATTTTTGTAAATATGTTGTAGTAATTAGGCAAGATGTGATCAGGGCCTGAAGGAAGGCAAGAATAAAGTGATGGATGTTAGAGATGTTAAACAAATAGTATCTGTAATACTCTCTGATTGGAGATAAGTTAGCAAGAACAGTCTAGGATGGCTCACAAGGCTTTGAATTTGGAAACTGGATAGTTAGATGTAGTTGCTCATTAAAATATGGAGCTCAAGAAGTTTACAGAGAAAGATACGTGTCCAGTTGTAGTTATTATTATTATTTTTTTGAAATACCTGTGGATCCTTTAGCAGAGGTTTCCAGGGAAACTTGGAAATGGATGATTAAATCTATGTAGGTATCTTGTCAGCAGACACAGATCCAGGAGTTATCAATAGCGTAGGAATTTTAATGTGTAAGAAGATGCCTAGTAACAGTAAAAATGGAGAAGAGATTGAAGCTTGGTAAATAGTAACACTTAGAGGATGGCAGAAAGAGAACTATGATGTTAATAGAGAAGTAGAAGGAAAACCGAGAGAAAAATGATGTTTCTGAAGATGAGGAAGAGTTTCTTGAAATAGAGTGATCAATAATTTCAACACATATAATTACTGCATCTTTGTAGCATTAGGACAAAATGTGTCCATTTTATCTGGAATAGCCTTGATTATGGTGATTTTATAAAAAGAACTTTGGTGAGATTGTGCAAGCAGGAGGCAGCACTCGGGTTTAAGAAAGAAAAGAAATGCTGAAGTGAAGGTAGTACATATAGCCTCTTCTTTAAGATGTTTGTATGTTTGTGGAAGGGAAAAAAGAGAGGATAGAAAAATAATGCACAAAGGAGATTTCAAAATTCCACATGTGCCTTTTGCCTGGTATGTGAGAGTGGCAACTTTGGCCTTAACCTGTGTTCTGCACAGGCAGAAAGATATATACATACGTACACTTGTGAATATATTTGTGAGCATAACAATCACCTTAAAGGGGCTGAAATATTCATTCTCCAAATTACTTCATGTCCAACAAGCCTTTGATATGGATCCTAATGAACATCTCCAGTTAACCCTTTTTCTCCTCCTTTCCCACAACCATTTGTATTAGGACAGTTAAAAGCTTGCCATCAGGAAAGTTAGCCAAAGTCATAAGCTTAGACTCTTTCCTATGCCCTTTTCTGAAAGTTAACACTAATAGAAAGCTCAGAGTTTACTGTAAAGGCAATGCTTATTTTTATTGGTCAGATCTTTAAATGAATGGCTGCCTTCTGCTTCTAAAAAGCAGACAATTTACAGAGAAAATTCAATTTCCAGGGAAAGGAAAAATGCCCTGAAATAATTTCTATGCCTATTATCAAGTAAGTTTGATTCTGATGCTATCAAAACCAGGGGCAGCATCATAGTGTCTTTTGGAGAATGTTGCACTAGGAAGGGGGCAGGGGTTCTGAGCCACTTAGTTGCAGCCCTGCTGCTGGGGGCCAGGTGACTTTAGAAGTCACTGTCCCTTTTTTGTATTTTTTTTTTCTGTTAAAGGATGGAGTTAGAAAATAAATGTCTACCATGAGTTGACTTATGTTAAAATTTTATTCCCTAAAACCCCAAATGAAGTCATTCCACATATACATATCCTTTTTCTATCTGCATTTTGGAAGAACCTCTTCTTTACAAATATCATGATACTGCTATGTGGTTTTACATGGTTTGCATCCCTCCTCGGCAATCAGAATCACTCTTCTCATCTGTGCTATCATTACCACAGGCTTCACATTTCTCTATCCATCTCAACATTGTTTGTATAGCTATCTATTATTTCCATCCCTATGAGATAGTGAGTCCACTGAGGGCAGGGTTATATTTAAACAAAATATGCACTCGCTAAATGTGCAGTGAATAGAAATGAATATTGTTTAATTCATTTAACAGGTGGACTTAATAGTATCTTATAAAATTTGATGAAAGTTTTATTTGGAGAGCTTGGATAATACGAAAGCTAAAAGAGGTTGGGTGAATCTTTATTATCAGACTTGGGTAGGGCTCTTTATTACTGTTTTGGTGTCTTTAATACTCAAGATTGTTGAAATTCCAGAAGGGCATGTGGGAATCAAACATGGTTTATAACAATCACATGGAAGTAACTATTTTTCCCAATGTCACCTAAATGTAAGACTTCCCATTTAAAAATGAATATATAGTTTAAAAGTAAAATAAGAGTAGCACCTCAGATTTATGGCACTTTGGAAATTTCTTATCATTTCCTCATGCATCCCTTCATCCTAGAGGATAATGATCATCAATACTTGAACTCCTTTTGGTACCAACATTCTACTGTTAGGCTCTGAGAAGTTATGATGTTCACTTAGGTCTTCTGATTCTCAAGGCATCAAGACTATATCCTGTTGCAACTTAGAAATAACATTTCTAGTCCCTGTGTGTCTCCTTCACATTCTGGATTTTTGTATTTTAATTAAGCTTAGTAATAAATATGTTTTAAAAATCAAAGCCAAATTTATATAACTGATTTTTGTTGTAATATGTTATTTATTTTGAAGAATATGCATATGGTACATTTTTAAAGTATAAAATGGAATGCAGTCAAAAGTAGGTCTCCCTCTCTGTTGTGTTCTGCTACCTAATCTTTCTCCCTCAGACGACAACTGATGCCAATTTCTTGTGTACCTTTTCAGAAAGAGTCCATGAGTTTATAAACGTGAACGTATGCACATTCTTATTTTCTAGATTACACAAATTGTGGCAAACTATATTTATTCTTTTATATGGTTGTTAAATTCAGTAATAAATTTCACAGATCTATTCATATTAAAAAAATTGTAGCACATTACTTTGTGGGAATATACCAAAATGTAAGTTAGTTCCTTATTGATAGATTAGTATCACTACTATCAAATAGTGTTATCAACAATGTTGTACCGACTACTTTGTGCAGTTGTCACTGTTGTATGCTTATGCAACTATATCTAAAATAACTAAATAAGAATTTGCCAAAGGGGGAATTGGCTTTTTAAAGTTTGAAGGTTAGAGACAAATAGCTATCCATAAAGGCATTAATGCTTACTTTTACCAAGAATGTATGAGGGTTCCCATTTCCTTTATATTCTCTCTAGTACACCAAGTTATCAAACATTTTTATCCTTGAAATCTTATACGGTATTAATATTTGATTTTGGATTATATATATTATTTCATGTGTGAATCTGATGACTTTTCAAATGTTTAAAAGTAAGTTATATCTTCTATCTAATTCATATCCTCACTCTAAATTCTTTCTGAGCTATTGTTTTTAAATGTAATACAGAATTACAAATATTTTTCCCAATTGGAAAATCACAAAAAAGTCCCCCCCGTTTTTTTTTGTTTTTTTTTTTTTTGAGACGGAGTCTCGCTCTGTCGCCCAGGCTGGAGTGCAGTGGCGCGATCTCGGCTCATTGCAAGCTCCGCCTCCCGGGTTCACGCCATTCTCCTGCCTCAGCCTCCCGAGTAGCTGGGACTACAGGCGCCCGCCACCGCGCTCGGCTAATATTTACTATTTTTAGTAGAGATGGGGTTTCACTGTGTTAGCCAGGATGGTCTCAATCTCCTGACCTCGTGATCCGCCCGCCTCGGCCTCCCAAAGTAAAAGTCCCCATTGTTTTCATTTCATCAATATTTAAATAAATTATTTCTTACATATTCTAGGTACCAAGATATACAAACATAAAAGATATGAACATGAACACCAAAATTTGGAGGCGAAAAGGCTCATAGTCTCTTGGGGGGAAAATATACATGTGCAAGCTGAATAAAATAAATCCTATAATAGAGGAATTGCAGTGTGCTGTGGGAACTACGAGGAAGCTGTGACTGCTTTGGGGGAGGCGGGGAGATAGGAGGGAAAGTTTACCAGAGAGATCGCTGTGGCTTCTATGGTAGGTCTCAAGAAATGTGTATAATTTATAGGGTCAGAGACGTGTTCAGGTGATAGGAGAAAAGGGTGGAAACACCCATTTTGTATTGTGCCCCTCCTTTGGTAATGAGTTTTGACTAATGAGCAATTGCTTTTTTTCCTTGACATTCATAAGTATTTATTATCCTGAACTGATTGACCTCATATTTTGCAAAATAAACAGCTCATATTTTACTATGATGATTTAAAAACATTTTCCTTCCATTTGAATTAGATAACTCATCTTTAAAGTTTTCTTATGGCTAACGAGCTCGTGTTTATTCAAGACAACTTGTTACAGTGCTATTAGAAGAGATGGAAAACGTCCAACTGCAGCCCCAAATCCTGGAGGTATCTATTTGAAGATAAGAAAAAAGTTCTCAAACAAATGACAAAATGTTCAAACTCAATCATAATTAGAGATATGCAAATTAAAACATTACAATCACACTGACATAAATGAAAAAGTAGGACAATACATTATGTTGGTAAGGCTGTGGGCAAATAGGCAATCATATATTGCTGGCAGGAATCTAAATTCATACAAGCCTTCTGGAGTAAAATTCAGCAATACTTAGCATAAATATCTATACACATACTTTTCGACCCAGCATTTCTTTTTCTAGGAGGCTACCCTGGAGGCACACAGAGTGTATTTCTCACAGGAGTATTGGTTAGCAGTGTTTTCTACAATATGAAAATGCTACACACAAGGTTACTTATTGCAGCATTGTTTATAATAGTACAATACTGGAAACAATCAAAAGACCACTACATAGAAGAGTGTGTGTGCATTTGTACAAAAGAAACACAGGCAAGATAAACTAAAGAAACCAGTTACCTATAGGCAGTGCATGGGAAATAAGTGGAAAAAAAGAGGGAACAGGAACTGGCCAGGAGGGATAATGAGGGAATAACGATTATCAAGCTATACTTTTTGGTAAAGCTTTGACTCTAAGTACCATAGTAACGTTTCACGCACCCAAATAAAAAAAATAATTTAAGTAAACTAAATCTAGTTAAATAATTAAAATCAATGTGTATGGAATATAAGTTTACAAATGAATAACCAAACCACACTGAAGAGGATGGGCAAGTAAAGAAGCAACCTAAGTCACTTTCAAAAGAAAATAGTATTTTGATTGGATACTGTAAAGTTCAAGACAAAAATAAGTGTACATAAATACTGTACTCTTGTAATAAGTGTTTCTCACAGGAGTATCAGTTAGCAATTCTCTAACTACCTTAAGTGTATAGTAGGATTTAATAAATAAGTGAATATATTATAAATAACGGAAGTCAGGCCTTTCACTGTCAGAAAGAAGTTACAAATAAGGAAAAGGCAAAAAATAAAATGAACCTGGTGGTATTGACTTAGGATTGAAGTATTAACGATATCTATCTCTATCTCTAGCTCTACATGATATATCAGAATCTATCTAAAAAGATATACCGATAGAAATGTAGAAATAAATATGATGTACGTGTATGTGTATATAGATTTCCTAGCTCTCTCTGCTGAGAGGACCTGAGAGCAATAACACCCCAGTAAGAATGAGGACACTTAGCGCTCAGATGTTGGTTGCTATTGTTCTCCAAAGAAAGAACCCAGACTCATTTGGCAATCATTTGAATCCAGGGCTAGGGTAGAGGGGACAAAATAAACTTGGAACATTATGTGATGCCAAACAATTAAGGAACTGCTAAAAAACAATTGGGGTATGTCAAAAGGACACAATAGCAAATCAGAAGGATCTCCCAATGGCTAAAGCCAGAACAATTTTAGCCACAAAATAAATAATGATAGTATTGGATTATAATCCTTAGAATAAATATCCTTGAGGCCATACTGATATAAATAAATAACTGAATACATAAATAAATGTAGGAGAAGGAACAGCTCTTACAGAATTCCTATTACTTTAGACAGAATAAAGGAAATACAAAAGTCACTGCCGGGCAAACTGCACATTAATAATTGTTGCAAGCAAGATCTGTCAATGGATGCTAAAATCAGTGGATAAAAGTTTGAGGAAAAATAGGACATTAGCACAGCATCAAAGTTTTTTCCTCAATATATTTATCAATTATAAATGAAAAAAATGTAACTTTACAATATGGAAATCTAGTAGACATAACTTTAACCAGGCAATCAAGGTTAATACCACTAACTGACATCATGTACCCTCCCCCCTGCCATAATGATATACTAAGAAGGATACAACATCACTTCTATGGCATTCTTGCCAAATGAATAACCTTAGACTAATCATTAGAAGACATTGGACAAATCCAAATTGAAAGACATTCCGCAAAATATTTGACCAATACCTATTAGAAATGCCAAGGTACTGAAAGACAGGGAGACTGAGGGACCATCACAGATTGAAGGAGATTCAAGTGACATGACAATCAAATGCAATATGGGTCGTAGTTGGATCTGGTACAGAAAAAGGACATGAGGGTGGGGAAGAGCTGGTGAGAGCTGCATAGCTGGTGAGAGCTGAATAAAGTTTGTAGTTTAGTTAATCACAAGGTACTAGTGTAAATGCTCTGGGTTTGATATTTGTACACTGGTCATGAAAGTCATTAACATTAGGGAAATTGGGTAAATGGTATGTATGAACTCTCAGTCTTATTTTATAACATTTGCATAAGTGGAAACTTATGATAAAAAAGTTTGGAAAATAATAGAAGGAGATAACGAAGATGAAGAAGATGAAGAGAAGGAGAAGGAGGAAGAAGAGGAACAGGAGTCAGGGAGGGGAAGGAAAAAGAAATAAAAAAGAACAAAAGGAAGAAGAGAAATTTTAAAATAACATGTTTGCTTTTTTAAAAACAGTATCAAGATTGTATTTGAAGGTATTGCTAAGATGAGAGCTACAGGCATGGTTTTGTGCCCTTTCAGAGTCAATGGGCTATATGCATAACATGGAACAAAAATGCCATGTTAGATATCGTACTGATTTTCATCTTTTAGTTTATATGTTGGTTTCTTTGTGAAAATAAATTTAATATCAATTCAACAGACATTTTGCCATTGATATATTCAATAAAAGTTTTGCAACCTGGCATGATTCTTTATATGTTATTACCAATTCAACATTCTCTTCCAAACAGATAAATATACTGATTAATTGCACAGCTGATGCCAAGAGTGAACAGATGCCTATGTTTAGTCTTAATAGAAAAATATCTTAGATAAGTCACAATTTAAATATCTCAAAACTCCCTTACACAATTATTAATTTCTACAAACTCTTAGTAATTATTTTTAAAAAGAAAAAATTTAGGTACTAGGAATTCAAACACATTCATCCATCATTATATACCAGAATTCCTAATCCTTCTCAAAAAGTGCTAACTTATTTTATTTTGAAGCCACACTGGTGAGTCACTTGCTATAATTTGTCCAAGATGTCTAAGTCAATTAGAAAACAGAAAGAATGGCTAACTTTAAAAAATCCCAACTACAGACAGATAACATAATTTAAAATTTGGGTATTAAAACAATAATATATCTGAATATAAAATTAAAAATATTATTGCCAGTAAAATTTTGAGTTTGGCTTATGGGATAATACACAGAAAGGAGAAAAGATGAATGTTCTTGTTCAAACTAAAATACATCACTTTCTTACCCTTCATGTGCTCCTGGCTATTTTTTTTGTTTTGTTTTGTCTTTTTTGGGATGTTATGATACATGTAAAAATGAATTCTGATATATTGCTCAAGATACTTCAGAAAGACTGTACTCTGTGTGCCTAATTGTGGAAGTGGGTGACAATCACATGAGGAGTTGCTTTAAAAAGCATGAACATTGAAATCCTGATAAGTGTAAGAGCCTTTTTTAAAAAATAAAAAACTGTCTAAGTAATACAATTCTACTGATCAAGTCCCTTTCATACTTACTTACAAAGTAGAAACTTATGTTGATATATACTTACAAAGTACGAGCTTACTATTATCAAATGTCCATACTATACAGTAAGAAAATATTTTGCATTAAAATGTTACGTGCCCTCTGAACTCACCTGAAAGCTCAATACCAACAAAACAATCTATAAATGTAATACTTCAGTTTGTTTTTATAAGTACTGTGATGATCCATTTCCTCTCTGGTCATAAGAATCACTGTGATAGCCATTTAAACAATACAGTACACTATTTGAATATTAATTGTACTGAGTTGTCTTTCCTGCTTTGCATCCTAAAAGTTTACAATCCTGTTGTGGAGTAAGAAGACTCACACATAAATGCTTCCTATAATCAAATAACAGAGCCACTGTATTAGACGTCAATAGTCTAACACCCAGAACCCAGGGAAGTTGGTAATAACACCTTATGTTGCAAAGATAATTAAAATCTTCAAAGCACTTTCACATGTTTTACCTAATTGAACTCTTGCCACAACCTTGCCAGGAGGCAGAGAGGGTTGTGATAAATATAAAAACTGATGCTCAGGAGGTCATATGTGTTTTAAAATCACACACGGACCTGTTCACTCTGCTCAAGTGCCGTCGAGGGAACCACAGCATTGTCCTGTTCATTTGCTATTTTTCCAGGAGTAGCACTTCCCTCAAAGTAAGGAAATAGCTCTAGGTATTGGGTTCCAGAATAGGAGAGCCCTACCGGAAAACCGTGTTCCGCTGCAGCACAAAGGACTATTTTTAGATGTTTTCCTTTTGCTAATTGTCTCTCCCTCTGTGGGGAATTTCTATGGGTAGAATCCCAGATGAGCCAATTTTCTCACTAATTCTCAAAGAGACAGGAAAGATGAAGACCATGGCTCAGGTTGCCCTGGGGCTGCATAACTTCTTCGGTGATGTCACTGCAGTGGTTTTAGGAAGATCTTCAAGGACCTTGGAGCTTAAAGAGCTTGTGATACCACTGAACAACAGGACTAAGAGGCGACTAGAAAGAAAGGCCTGGGCATATCTTCTTGAATCTTGGAATCACCCCAAATGACCTTTCCTGGAGCTTCAGCTTTGAAAGGAGCTAAGAGGGTGTGAACCCAGGTGGTGGCTGTAAACTCAAGCGGCCCTCCAGATGTTCTGGTTTTTCTTCCATCACCTCTGAGAGAAAAAAGGAAGAGACTTCTTCCAGGCAACTTCAAACATCATTTCAAGTGTTAGGGAGCCAGTGGAACCGCGAATGTTTAGCCTATATAAGAGAAAGAGAACAGGTGTGATGCAAACCATTTTTACTCCCTTGCAGGGAAGAGCTAACCAGTTAGTGCTAGGCAGCCTTGAGACAATGGATGGAACAAAGGTGAGGTCAGTTGTTGGCTCAACCTCAGGGAAAACCTAACAGTTTTCGTGCAATGAATTACCTAGGGAGCTGCTGAGTTCACTGTCACCTGGATTATTCAAGCAGAAATTCACTGGTATGAACACTGGCATTCATCGGAAAGTGAAAATGATTCACAACCCTACAGGTGGGGTCTAAATAATAATAATTGCAAACACTATTTTAGCACTTACTTTAAAACAAGTGTTTTCTTAACTCTCAGGGGGTGTGTGAGACAGATGCTATCTTTAACTTTCTTTTAAAGATGAGAAAATTGAGGGACAGAGCGGTTAAGTAATTTGTTCAAGGTCACACACCTAGTAGGAATTTGAACTTAACGCTGCTTGTCTCTAGTGTCTGTGCTCTTAATCACTTGTATTGCTAAGTGTCCCCTAAAGTCCCCTCTTGCCCTGAGATTCCACATAGGGTTACGTCCTGTCACTTCGACAGCATTCTTCCCATGCTTACTCATTGCACTTCCAAAAGGGCATTGTTGGCATCAGGAAAAGAAAAAAAAAAAGAGTCAAGGGGGCTGCTGGGAAAAAAAAATCGAGATCTTTAAACTCATGGAGAAGCTGTTTGGTCATCGGGGCGGGCTGGCAGAGGCAAAGCCTGCCAGAATACTGGCGCCAAAGCGAAGCGCTCTTTTGTCTTCAGATTTCTCGCCTCACCTGCCTCCTCTCCCTCTGTCCCTTCTAGCTCCACTTCCCACTGCACCTATGCTAAGCTTTTCTAGGAGCCTGAAAGGCACGGGGACAAACAAGCACGCCGCTGCCAATCCTCTATCTCACACCCTCTTCCCCACCCAGATTGACGGGGAGACGCCCAGGGTGGTAAGTGACTTACCCAAGGACACAGAGCCCCGACCAGAAAATCCAGGTGTCCAGACTCCCACATCGGCACTCTGTCCACGCCTACGCACACCTGACTTCTCATAGCCGGCACCCAGGAGCTTTCTTTATTCCACGTCCCCGCCTCCCTACCCCACCCCCTAGTTCCCTAGAGTCGCTTCTGACGCTCTGCAGCCTCCGGGGTCCAGCCCTCCCTGCGGGTGCTTCCCTTCCGCCGGATTCCCACACCGGAGTCGCCCTTGGCCGCGCGCAGCCCGCGGGACCGCTGCCTTCCGGGCTGGAAGCCGCGCAGCCCTCTCAGCGCCTCAAGCCCGGGACGGCTGGGACACCGAGGTAGTCGGGCTCCCAGGGCACAGGGTCCGGCACCGAGGGCAGGAGCAGGGGAGGTGCCAAGGACCCCGGTCCAGAAGGCACCTGTAAGGAAGCACCGACCCGCAGTGACGTCCTCCGCGTCGTCCTCAGACCAGCCACCGCCTCCGGAAGGTCTCAAGGGGCCGTGCTCGAGCCCACCGAGGGGTGGCAGCGCCTCGGGCTCTCGGAGGGCTGCCCCCGGCGGACCGGCACTTCCGCGTCCCGGCCCGCCCCCTGCCGGCGCCCGGGCTCCCTCCGGCTCCATGTGCAAACTCCCCTCCACCTGGGCGCGCGCGATGGACTCGGGACCCGGCTTCCGAAGACAGGCCGCCTGTTGGTTGGACTACTAGCGCAGGTGGGCGGGGAGTTGACCAACCCCACACACGCGCTTCTCCATGAAGATTCTTGAGCTTTCTCTGAAGAAAGGAGTGCATATGCTGCAGTGTCTCTGTGGAAGGAGCCTGAGGTCCAGCGACAGCCCAAGTGGTGAGAAAATGTTCTTTCCCCAGCCCCCAAACACTGCAGAATGCCCCCTTCCCTTCTTCCGGGGCCCTCTCCGCCGCCCTCCTCTGCTTCATTCAGCGCTGCCTGTGGCGGAGGGAAGGCGTTTCCCGACTGGGGCGAGGTCAGGGCCCCTCCGCTGGTTCTGTCTGTGGGTATTTTTTCTTTTAAATCCCTGAAGTCATCGACGCTTTGTAGGGAGAGCGCGTTGGCTTTCGCCGGGCGCGCCTGGGCTGAAACCTGCGGGTCTCTCTCCAAGCGGCGCTGGCCGTGACCTGCGTTCGCACCTTCTCGCGGCCCTCTCTGCGATTTGCGAGGGCGGCGCGCGACTTGGAGTTGTTCAGTGTCTCCGAAAAGTTGCTCGTGCGTTCCACAGGAGAGGGGACTTTTAAACAGATGGCTGGCAAGGCAGGTATATTTTCTTTTTCTTGCTTTGTCTGAAAAGTAGACATCTGGCGGTGGTTAGGGGTACGTTTCCCCTGGAGATTTAGCGATTTCTGTCCTTGGTGCTGAAGTAGGAGGGTCCCAGTTAGCCTTGGGCTTCAACCGGGTGCCCTGGGAAAGACTACACGGAGGAAAAGAAAGAAAATCAGAACCTTTGAATGAACTGAGATATTGAGAAAGGCCATTAAAAATTGAATGAAAAAAACCCCACCAAACTAATATCAAATAAGTGTGATTCTTTTATGCTGAAGTCTTGCAAAATGGTGTGCTGTTTCACCACGTTTCCTCCATTGTCTATCTCTAATTGTTTATAAAGTTCTTTAAAAGGTTTGTATAAGTTATCTTTAAAGTGGTGTGTCTATTAATCTTGCAAGGGCTAATTCAGTTTCTGTGTCTTGATTTTCCTTTTACAAACTGGGAGTGGGGTGTGGGAAGAGAACAATGACACCCTAATACATCTAGACAAGTGTCTTTTTGCCAAGAAATATACGTTTTTGGTCCATGAATTCCAAATAATTTTACTTTTCAAAAATTTAACAACATTATACAAGATTTCGTGTTTAAAACTCCATATGTTATTTTGGAGAGTCTGATTCATTTGGTTATGGCACCTATTTTCACTCTGTTCTTGAGCTATGAAAATTATATTTGGAAAGATTATAATATATGTAGGTTTCATTCATTCTTATAGATCTTTGACTTTGTGGTTACTCATCAGTCTAAATGAAATATAAAACTACTTAAAAAGACCTAATTAGAATTAAATAGAAAACTACTAAAAAGAACTGATTTATGAAATTGCAGAACACACTTTCAAAATGGAATCAGCAACGAGATCTCATTTTTACTTCCATGCAGTTCGGAAGATTATTTGTACATTATTTTTTGCCATTATATTTGTAAGTACTAAAACGCATCATACCACTATATTCTAAACGAAGTGGCTTTATGTTAAAGTTTCGTGTTTTGATATACATATTTCAAGAAGCCAGTAGAGATATGTGTTATTATTTCATTTTTTCCTGGTCCACAGTAAATATAATGTGAATAGATCATAACTTGGGTATATGTCTCTTAGAGGTGAAAATTTTAAAACTGTGTAGGGTATGTAATGAAGACAGGGCAGTCTCTCATGTCAAATTAGGAAAGATATTCAGTTTACCTGCAGAGTCAGTTTCCTAAATAGCGATAGATCCAAATAGAAGGGTTAACTTATGTGATTGGACAGCATAGTTTGTTGCAAGTATGGGACTGATTTAGTTGTAACACATTCTCAATAAGTCACTACCCATCTTTGAAACTCATTATTTTTATCTGACAACAGTGGAAATGATAGACATAGCCTGTTATATATATATATATATATATATATTTATTTGAGTATACTCTAGGTTTAACAGTGAGTCTGTGAAAACTTGTGTTTTATTTATATATGCATTTTTACTTAGTGGGGTAGAGGAATTCTTGTAAAATGGTATTTAGTTCCAAGTAGTGAAGTTTCCTTCCCACCCTTTCCACAGACAGAGGTAATATACGGTTTTGTATCAGAAGACTGTTTCTGGGAACTAAACTACCTTTACGAAAATTGTGACTCTTTTAAACTTATGATCTAGTGTAACTAACATGGCCTTGCTGTTTCCTAATTAGTGCATAAATGTAAATTACTATAATAATGGTACCTACCTAATAGATTGTTGTAAGCATTAAATGGATTAATAGCAGCTAAAGATTTAGTTGAGCTCTCATAGTATGCCAGGCACTGTTATAAGAACTTTAAGCCTACTATACACCATGTGCTTAGTATATTTTAGGTCCTTTTATCATTGTGTTCTATTTTAAAGCGATATTTTTTTCATGTGGTCTGTGCCATTAGTATGACCTCACAGCAATTTTTCATGTAATATTGCCATGCCCAGTGTGCATATGCAAATTGAGGTAATGATATCAAACATTTTTTTTCACAGAGCAAATGTATAAAAACAGCTCAGATGAACCACTCTAATTTTTAAAACTAACTTAAGGAGAAATTAAGTAATATTTTAAACAATGTAAGCATGTATAACAAAGTTTTATGCCAGCTGCTTCTTCTCCATTATTTTACAGTTGAGGGAGGTGAGGTCCACAGAAAGGAAATAACATAATTTGTTACAGTAGGTTAAGAGATTCTCCTAACAGATTGCTGAATAGTTGGAATTATAAGCATTTTGATATTTTATTTAAGTTTTATTAAATGAATAGTACTAAGAAAATATAAACTAATCATTTATTTTGAGCTTTTTAGTATCATTAAAATATATTATTGCTCCGGTCTTTCCTCTACATTATCAGATATGAATGTCTTGTCTAGTTTATCCATCATATTAGTTTCTGAGTCCTTTGTACTGCAGTAGGATGGGTATAAGCTATCAAATGGAGGACAATCTCAGACAAGGTTGAGTGGATTGTTTAAGGCTAAATTCTGGGTCTCTTATGATTCTTTTTTTTCCATTTCTCAAAATGAATTTTTTTAAGCATGTAAAACCCATCCATTAAATGAAAGATTTCAAGTTTAAGATGCTAAACAATATTGCTAAGGTTAAATGGCACTTGTATTAATCTGATAATATATTAAGTTTTTAGTTTAAAGGGGAAGTAAAGCAAGTTCATTTTTCTCTAGAGATAGAAACTTTACAAAGAAAAAGACTCACAGAAGAGTAGTGATTAAAACAATAGCTAATGCCTATTCCCATTCCTCTCAAAATGTAGTCAGGGGAAATGTGGAAGCAATCCATCAGAGTGGTGTTAAAATTGCAGGTTCCTCATCACTTCAGCAGGAAAGACCATTAAAATGTTGTAGAAGAGGAATTCCTGTCCTAATGATCAGGCTCCTGAGAAAGCTGGGTTAAGTCTCAATCTGAAACAGAAGGGCAGCATTTTTGGCAGTAGGTCCCTACAGTAGTAGTAATAGTAGCAGGTGTGTGTGTGTGTGTGTGTGTGTGTGTGTGTACACACAATTGCTTCCTTGCTTGCCTGTGTTATCACTTGGGCTGCCCCAGAAAATCAACCTCCTTCTGTGTATAGTTATGACTCTTCTGCGTTATTTACTCAGGGGCTTCTCAGGCTGGTAGCCTGAAGGATTATCAGATGCCTAGAGACTGAGCTAAACAATCACATCAAGTGGCCTTGATGTGGAATTGAAACACTGTAGGCAAAAAAAACCTCAACGATCCTATAAAAAACACATACCTCAAACTCCATCTTTCCTAATCCCTGAAAACCTATGGCCTTTTTACTATCTCTATAGTTTAGCATTTTCTAGAATGCCATATGGTTGGAATAATATAGTGTGTAGCCTTTTTATATTGACTTCTTTCACTTAGTAATATGAATTTAAGTTTCCTCCAGGTCTTTTCATGGTGTAATAGCTCATTTCTTTTTAGCACTGCATAATATTCCATTGCGTGGATGTACCACAATTTATTTATCCATTCACCCACTAAAGAACATCTTGGCTGCTTCGAGACTTGGAAATTATGAAGAATAATGTTGCTATAAACATCCTTGTGCATGTTTTTCTGTGAACATAAGTTTTCAGCCTGTTTGGGTAAATATCAAGGAGCACAGCTATTGGATTGTATAGCAACAGTGTTTAGTTTGGTAAGACAGTGTCAAACTGTCTTTCAAAGTTGCTGTAGCATATGGCTGTCCCACCAGCAATGAATGCAGGTTCCTGGTGCTCCACATTTTTGTCAGTGTTGTCAATGTTTTGGATTTTGGGCATTCTAATAGGTGTGGAGTAATTTCTCATTATTGATGCAATTTACAATTCCCTGATGACATATGATATTGAATATCTTTTCATATCCTTGCTTGCCACCTGTGTATTTTCTTTGTTGAGGTGTCTCTTAATGTCTTTTGACCAGTTTTAAATCAGGTTGTTCATTTCTCATTGTTGAGTTGTCATTAGCACTTTTCACCCAATATTTTGGGTCCTTCTGCTGGGCATATTGTTGGATGGCATTATCCCATTCACTGGAAGTTAGGTGTGGCCGTATGACTTGCTCAGACAAATGAAATGTGAGCAGAAGTGACACACTGGAAGCTTTCATAGCCTGAGCACAACTCACCTCAGGTTCTTTGCTGCAGCTGACATTCAAGGCAGTGGTTACTCCCTTAGCCTGTGTACCTGAGTATCTGTGATGAAGAGCCCCGCCGTATGACCTATGATAGACATTTAATGCAAATAAAAAGTTAAAACTTCTTTTTGTGAGTAACTTCAATTTTTAAGTTAGTGTATTATCTAACTTGCCTTTGTTGATATAATAAGGCGGTGCAGCTTAAATAATAAGATTTAATGGAAAGTTACTGAGCTATGTTGAAGCCTGTTTTCAGTTAAAATGCTCTAATTTCTCTGTGATATCATGTGTAGTATATAATAAATAGATGTATTGATTTCTGTTTGTAGTCTTTTGATAATTAGCTTAGCATACCAAATTATGAGGTTTTGTTATTACCATTCTAGTTAGTGTGTGTCCTGAGGCTAGTTGGTGCATTATTCCTTAAATGATATCGATCTCTTTTCCAAAGATGTAATTAATCCCCACTGATGTTTTCCAAGAACTTTGAGATTATTCTTTCAAAGTTGTAATTTAATTGCAAGACTCTGAAAAACTCAGTCATTCCTTTCTACTTACTCTAAAATGTGGAAATTACCTTTTGAGGCTCCCGATCACATCTAGGAGAGGAAGAGTTATCTCCATTGCCTGGAAAGCACTGACAATGTGGTAGCTTTCATCACTGCTGCAGTTTTGCCAGGCAATGGAAACTGCAAATAAATGCTCCTTTTCTTCTCTCAACTTATAAACAAAGAGTTGTGTGCATTGGGAAGAATATCAGGGAAGTAGTTTATGGTGAAAGGATAGGCTCAATGCTCCCATCTGGCTCATGGGCCAGCAATCCATTTGCCCGACTCTGTGTTAAGCACAGCAGAAGAGAGAAGGGAACCCAGACTTTTTCTGAAGCCTAGGATACTTGCACCATGCCAATTAACCTTCCAAATTGCCACCCCTCCCTTCTTTCTTTCCCTCTCCATCTGAGATTAGAAAGTTAGAGAAATATGTCTCTTGCTTCAGAGATTGCCATTTTCCAATTTAGCAAAAAAAAAAACCCTTCAGGATTGATTGTATCTAGGTTCTGTTTCAGGCAATAGAGACTCAGCAGGGAACTCTATACCTATAAGCAAAAGGTGTCATACAAGGCCAAAGTGCCAAAATGAAGTAATTAGGAGTCTCAGTTTGTTTCAGTTCAACAACCCTTACTTGATTTAATGTTTAATGGTAGAAGTCACCTCAAGGAAGGAATAATTAATTCAATCTAAGATTCATGATAATCTCTCTGAGCTTGAAAAGCATTTAGGAGTTCACAAGGAAGTGCTGGGGTATGACAGATGAGAGCTTTAATGGAAATGAGTAGTATCTCTGTATATTTTACTGGAAAAAAATGTGTTTGAATACAACTAAGATAAAGATATAAAAAGAAGCAATTTTTAACAAAAGGCAATTACTCTACAACTCAGTTCAAGTCTACTTAGCTTTGCCCATATTCAGATATCCTGCAAAGTTATCTATGTGATACCTTTTCTCTGCTCTTGCTTCAACATAAATCCATTTATTTACAGCCAGATATATTAGAAATCAGCTTCTTAGAAAGGTGCAAGTTCTATTCTGTGGTACCAGAGTTATAAAGAGACATCCAGCGAGTACTTATAGATCTGTTATCTCAGTTTCTATGGAGTATCTTAAAACAATGGAATTATTGTTCTTTGTCTAATTTAGTGTATGCAATTGTTATCCTTATGCCATGTAATTTTCACTGGACAATATTATGAATGTCATGTTTGAATATTTCTTCTGATGCCATTAAATGTGGGGCATTTGCATTTCATAGGGTGACAATCAGAAAGATACTGTGACTTTTTTTGAGACAATCTCTCTTTCTGAAATGATCTTTCTTGTTTATACATAAGCTTCTAGTACCGACCTACCCCCTCCACTCATTACTGTTTATAGAAACGATAGCATTGCAGTTGGTGTCACTGATTGCCCACGTTGTTACTTCAATGAAGCCAGCTGGGATGCGATTGCATGGTCTTTAAATAAAACTTAGTGACACAAGATGAATCTCTTTTTTTGAGGGGAGAGGGGTTGTTGCTAGCTGGATCATTTTTCTAAGGCACTAATTATTTGCTTAACTTGGAGGAACTTGAGAACCAGTGAATCGCCATGTTGGTTCAGCATCTGACCTTGGCTCTAAGGAACTTGTGGGTGGATAGCAGAGTTACAGTCATTATGAAGCCATTCTCAAAATGATGATGATGATGATCCTTTTACCCCAACTAATTCCACCATTATGCAAATAAGTCTTTGACTAGAGATAGTAGATGTGCCTGTAGTTCCAGTTCCTAAAAGGCTGAGGCCAGAAGATTAATTGAGATCAGGAATTCTGGGCAGTAATAGCCCTTTCAGCCTGGTGACAGTCTTCTGTTCACAAGCAGCCTGGGGATTACCTAAAAGTGGTGAAAAGGAGAGTGAAAAGTTGGTGTTGCATTGTCTAAAACTGCCATGGTACGGAATATGGAGAACATCAATCATTACCTTTGACCTTTGGGCTTGCAAATCTTATCGTGAGATAAAGTAAGATAGCATTCCTCCTTACAGTTATAGAAGACAAATTAGGAAACCGAGACTTCCCCAGGTGAAGATTTAGGTCTATGTACATTATTTTATCCTGAAAAAATTTATAAATTTTAAATATATTTATATCTATTTAAAATGTCTGTGTGCTTGTATGTGTGTGTGTGTGTGTGTGTGTGTGTGTGTGTGTGTGTGTGTGTGTATTTGGTCAAATGCATTAAAAATTGCTAATGGCAGTATAAACTACAACTAAATGCTAAGCCCCTTAATTGACTGACTGGACCCCCCTCTCAACCAAGAGGCTCACCCCAGAAGAGCCTTAAAAGCTGTAAAAACTGAGTTCATGGCCGGGCACAGTGGCTCACGCCTGTAATCCCAGCACTCTGGGAGGCCGAGGCGGGCAGATCACGAGGTCAGGAGATCAAGACCATGCTGGCTAACACGGTGAAACCCCGTCTCTACTAAAAATACAAAAAAATTAGCCGGGCGTGGTGGCAGGCGCCTGTAGTCCCAGCTACTTGGGAGGCTGAGGCAGGAGAATGGCGTGAACCCAGGAGGCGGAGCTTTCAGTGAGCCGAGATCACACCACTACACTCCAGCCTGGGTGACAATGCAAGACTCCATCTCAAAAAAAAAAAAAAAAACTGAGTTAATGGCCATGACTAGATGGGAGGTCAGATTCGCCGTTATATCCTCTCTGTTTTGCAGTTTAGACACAACTGACCAGCATTGTTAAAATGGAGATCATACGGCTGTTAGAACAGACTCTTTGTGGCCAAAAATTAGCAAATTATAAATAGAATCTAAAGCCATCCCAGGCAAGGGTTAAGTTATGCACCCCTACACTTAAAGAATAAACTATGTTAGCCGGGCTCGGTGGCTCACGCCTGTAATCCAAGGACTTTGGGAGACTGAGGTGGGCAGGTTACTTGAGGCTGAGAGTTCAGGACCAGCCTGGCCAACGTGGTGAAACCCCATCTCTACTAAAAATACAAAAAATTAGCTGGTTGCAGTGTTGCGCAGCTATAATCCCAGCTACTCTGGAGGCTGAGGCAGGAGAATCGCTTGAACCTGGGAGGCGAAGGTTGCGGTGAGCCGAGATCATGCCACTGCACTCCAGCCTGGGCTGCAAAGGGAGACTTCGTCTCAAAACAAAAAAACAAAACGAACAAAACAAAAAACAAAAAAAGAATAAACTATGTTCTAACTGCCACAGGATATTTGTTTTTCTGTAGCAGCTAAACAGGCACTGGCTTTGAGATAAGCAATGTTGAAACAATTACAGCTCCACCAAATGCTAACTGACCCCCAACTTCTCTTCCACAAGTGATAACTGTAGCTTTGATTGGACAAGAGATTGATATCAGTAACTTTCTCCTGATAAGAGACCATTGACCATGCACTGGCTCTGGCTGGCTTACAGAAGCTATGCACTTGAGTGCCTTCCTATCCCTGCTTCACCTTTTGACCCACTGGGCCCAACTGTAATACACTTAATATTAAGCCTCCACCCCAAAGTGAACATAGGTCATATGTTACATGCATATTTGTTCAGTATGCATGCATCAGAACTACTTTCATGAATATTCGTAACTCCTCCTATATTAGCCACCCTGTTTAGCATAAAGCTCCCACCCCAACCCTCCTCCTTCGAAGTTCGTGTGTCTGGTCTTCGCCAGAGCTACACTTCCCAGCCTGTGGGAATGGCCACTTAGCAGGCTGTTACCCTCGATAAGAAATAAAATCTCCTTCCCAGATTTATAATTCTGTGATTTTTCAATTAACCGCAGTTACCTTTAGGGAATTTGACAGCTGAAAAGGAAGACTAGCTTTTTACTTTACATGTGTTTATATTATTTAAATTTTTATTAAAAATGTGTTTCTTTTATAATTAAAAACTAGTGATTATATATATATTCAGATTATGCAGTTTTCTGATGATAGCACAAGACTTTGAAAATGTAAAATCTCTGTAGAGTAAGAAAATCTCTTATAAATCTATAACCCCAATATAATCTCTTCTATTCTATGCGTGTGAATTTTTTAAACAAAAGTTATCACACAAACATTAATATGTTTTGTTTCCTTTCTATGGGACTAAACAATTATTCTAAATATGGAAAGAGGTACATATATTGAAATATTTGGAACATATATTTTTTCCAAAAGGATTTACAAGCAGCTATTAGTAATGATTACTTGAAGAGAGAAACTTCTGAAGCAGCGGGAATGAGGCTTTCCCGTTTTAGCTTTGTGCATTTCTGTGCTGTTTCTAATGATGTGTACATATTGACTTTATTTAAATATAAGTAAGGGTGTAGCTAGGTGGAGAATAGTGAATCATTTTTGTTTCTTTTTTTTTAAGCTTGTCTGTATTTAAAAATACTAATGGATATGCCATTTTACAAAAGATTCTCCCAAACATGATTTTAAATTACGTTATGGAATGACATTACAGGTCTGTACCATACGTACCAGTCTACTCAATGCCATTTGATATTTAGATTTTTGTGTGTGCTGTGGGCTTGGGGGAGGACATCAGTAATAACTTTTCTTTCATTTTCTTCCTTTGAACTCCCTCCTTCATTCTGAGTTCCAGACAACTGAGAAAATACAGAAACTTGTCAAACAGATGGCTATCCACCTTCTTAGTTGATTGCTGGAATACTAGATTGGAGAAGATCAAAATGGAACTTAGCACCTTTCTCCCAAAACTAAATCTTGACACGTCGAACTCACCAGAGGGAAGGTCTGGGTCTACAGAGAGGACTCATCTGCTGAGAATCCCCGCCTCATCTTTGTTGAACCCCAATAGTAGTGTGAGAGAGATTTGGGTTCCACATCTACCTGTAGAGGCAGGTCGAGGTCCTGACCCATTAGTGCCTACTCAGCAGCTCAGGATGTGTCCAGCCTGTGGCCAGCCTGATCCACAGAGAAAGAAACAACAGGCTACACTTCACGTGTTCAATTTCCCCCCGATCTCACCAAACACACAAAAGTTTTCTCTTCCCTGGAAAAGAGTGAGAAGAATGGATGGAAGGGTAAAGACTCTTATTTCCAATACTCTGGGAAAGGCAGAAGTGCCTCTTTTGTGGGCCAGGAAGTAACTGTGGAAAGTGAGAGAGCAAATGTTAACTCTTACAGTGTGTAACTTTCAAAGGCATAGATATTCTTTTATTTATTATTTTCACTTTTCTTTTAGGTTCAGGGGTACATGTACAGGTTTGTTACACAGGTAAATTGTGTGTTGTAGGGATTTGGGGTACAGGTTATTTCATCACGCAGGTACTAAGCATAGTACCCAATAGAAAGTTTTCTGGTCTTCACCCTCCCCACACCCTCCACTCTCAAGTAGGCCCTGGCGTCCGTGGTTCCTCTCTTAGTGTTTATATGTCCTCTTTCTTTGTCTCCCACTTATAAGTGAGAACATGCAGTATCTGGTTTTCTGTTCCTGTGTTAGTTCGCTTAGGATAACGGCCTCTAGATCTATCCATGTTGCTGCAAAGAACGTAATCTCATTCTTTTTTATGACTGCATAGTATTCCATGGTGAATGTACCACATTTTCTTTATCCAGTCTACCACTGATGGACATTTAGGTTGATTCCATGTCTTTGCAAAGTGAACGGTGCTGCAATGAACATATACATGCATATGTCTTTATGGTAGAATGATTTATATTCCTTTGGGTATCATGAGGTCAGGAGATCAAGACCATCCTGGCTAACACAGTGAAACCCCGTCTCTACTAAAAATACAAAAAATTTAGCCGGGCGTGGTGGCGGGCGCCTGTAGTCCCAGCTACTCCGGAGGCTGAGGCAGGAGAATGGCATGAACCTGGGAGGCAGAGCTTGCAGTGAGCCGAGATTGCGCCATTGCACTCCAGCCTGGGTGACAGAGTGAGAGACTCCATCTCAAAAAAAAAAAAAAAAAACACACACACACACACCAAAAAAAAAAAACCAAAACAAAAACTAACAATCACCATAATATCCATAGAATTCAGAAAAAAATTCAATTTGGTTTTTCACGGATAAAAAATGTAAAATGGTATTGGGCAGTAATTTGGCTGTAACATATAACTTGGGTGATAGTCTTTTAAGTGATTTTGGATCACTGATTTTTTGGAATTCGGCATAGTAACACTACTACTGAATAGTCTATGGTGATCCATTTTCAACCCTCTCTTATGTTGGTAGATTATTCAGAGGATCAGGACAGGAGGCAAGCCAAAGTCATATTAAAATTTAACATTATAAATTATATAACAAAAATTTTTGACCTCATTAACCTGTGACTAAAAAGTAAATTCACTTTTATTTCTCAAGTCCTGACAGCTGGGCTCATTGAGTAGACTGCCGATTTTTCATTTTCTTGCTGTTTTTCTGTCACCAAGTAATTTCTAAGAAACACTGTAAGTATTTATACATTCCACAAATTTATCCTGGTGTTTATTTGACATATCCACCAACTTTCCTCGAAAACTCAGAACCGCTGAGGCGCAAGAACTTTGCCACTCTCCTCTTTCAGTCTTAAGAAAAAACAGACTGTGGGTCTTTGGAATAATTTGCTGAATTCCTACAGAAAACAAAAGTGTATTACAGTGCAGAAAATGGAAATGTTAAGCTAGATATTAGCTATCACTGCTTCTACAGCCCTTAGGCCATGTGCTTCCCTAGAAGAGCCTCTTCGTCTTCTCTCTTTAACTTCTAGCCTAGATATGCATAATGGATATTCTTTGTTTCCTCTAGCAATTAGGCGCTACTCCCAATTCCATAGAGAAAATTCCTGCTCCCATTCCAACGTTAGTTGCTTTTCTTACTGCCACATGACTGAAGGTAGAGCATCTCTGTCTTTTAGGAGAAACGCTTGTACCACAGGGCATGGTCTGGCCACTCCTGGTACAGAAAAGTAATCACAGTAGTTATCTACACAGTCTGGCCACTCCTGGTCCAGAAAAAGTAATCACAGTAGTTATCTGTACATTTCTATGTGTTTGGGTTATTTCATTTTAAACACTGGATGAGAAACACTAAGAGTCTGGCCCAAGTAGCATTACACCTTTCCATTATCTGTTATACAACGTAGATTGCAAAGAGATTAGTCTGACATGCTCTTCTTGGGATGATCTGTTCTCACAGACTTTTAGGAAAAATAAGACGTTCTTCTAAGAATGATAAACAAGGATTTTCAAACAGGGCAGCCAAATGCAGAGGAAAAATTTTTAAGTCTGCTTAAACTTGGTTCTGCTTAAAATATACCCAATGTAAATTACTAAACAAAATACTTAACACCTCGTTGGAAGCATCTGTTACAATGGTGGTGGTGGGAGGGGTATTTCCAAGAACAAAGAATGGGAAATGGACTTAGATTTGTATGATTAGAAAGACTCACAAGGCAGTCCCTCTCAAAACAAAGTAATTTCTAGGACAAGGGAAAATTCTCATCTCTACCCTAGGGAGCAACAATTACAAACACTTCCCAGACTGGTATCTATCTAGCTATAGGAATTTTAAAGGCCAGCCTCATTGGTCACCCTACTGCTTGAAGAGTTGAATGTTTTAGGTTTGGGAAAGAATGACATTATGAAATATTGCTTCATTTATATGTTTTCTTCAACTAGCATTACTAAGACCCATGTCATGTGCCAAGCAATGAGCCTGCATGAACCCTATTTTAAAAGAACTCACAGTTTGATAAGGGAGATAACATGTGAGCAAAACTGATCCTAATTAAGATATTAATGATGTCTAAAGTGTGCCATTCTTAATCAGCATTGTCATTGTTCTAGCAGAGACTGCTATGTTTAGAGTAGAAATAAATTCTCCCAAATATTTTTGTTTGTAGGTTATCTTCTCTGGCAATTACGGTTGGCTGCTGTCATTGTGTGCGTGTGCTCAGTTCCTATTCTAGTTGAGTGGTATGGTTGTTGTGTTGTTTTCACCACTCTCAGCTGGAAATATTCTATTTGTAGTTACTATTACGCTAACTAGCCCTAGATGAGTCATCATGATGATTTTGTTTTCCAAAATGCAATACTTATGGATTCCATGACTTCAACTGGAAGTAGAGTTCATGGCATTGGAATTGGGAAGGCACAGGAAGGAATAGAAGAAAAAATATATGTAGTTTGTTTTTAAGGTTAAGAAACAGAAATGTGCAGAGAATATGGTAACAAACACCAATACACCTAAAACTTAGAATGAACAAATTTGCTGACTTTATGTCATATTTATTTCAAGTTTTTTTAAATGAAGAAGTTAAATATTAGTGATACAATTAAAATTATTAGAACCCTTCCCAGCTCTATTCTCCAATTCTTTTTTTCTCAGGTGTAACAACTATAATGATTTTGGTGTGTGTCCCTCCAGTCCATGTGTTTACATTCTTAACATATATGTAATGGTTTTGAGTGTTTTAAACATTTATATAAATTATATCTAACTTTACTTATCTCTCTGCATCTTATTTTTCACTCAAATTTGTGTTTTTGAAATGTATGCCTGTTAAAAGAAATTTATCAAATTTAGAAAGAGGTAGCCTGATGTGAAATAGTCTACTACAGCGGCTGAGAGTATGGACTATGGAGCCACGTTGCCTGGGTTTTACGTGGCTCTGAGAGGTACCACTTATGCGATCTTGAACAACCTTCAGAGTTGTTCTTTAACCCCTCAGTGCCTCAATTTCTCCATTCATAAAATGGCAATAACAATAGCACCTACTTTATGGGGATTATAGTGAGGAGTAAAATGAGTTAATATATGCAAAGCTCTTAGGATAGTGCCTGGCACTTATTAAGCACAATGTAGTTATTTATTATCTGTATTTCACTTGGGAATGCATATTCAGTCATAGTAGGAGGAGCAGTCTTGCTTGGCTAATATTCTCTGATTTCTTACATTCATGTTAACTAGAAAAAAACATTCTGTGTTCAGAGTTGGATTAGTCTCAGAAGCAATTGGGCAGTAAATGAAGCAGAAAGAGTAGTAACCTGAACAGGATAGATTAGGCTGTTGCACAGCGGACTGGCATAGAGCGAAATTTGTAGCATCTGCTGAGAAATTGCCTGACTATTCTGTGTGTGTGTGGCGGGTGGGGGGATGTTGGATTTATTATATCAGCAATACCACAGGGACAAACTGAGAATGGTCTGAAATCCTATTCTATTTTCTAGACCTTCAATTGTAAATAGGTGCACTCTTGTCATCTCACCTTTTAAATGGAAAGGGCATGGTTCTTGGTTGAGCTGGAACTAGAGTGAGCACTTGAGACTCAAGTAAATCCTTCCAGGTGTGTAAGAGGAAAAATAACTGAAAGACAGTATGTGGAGCTGGGATTGTCCAGTGACTTCAGATCTGTGTCAGCTCTACTTTCCAAGCCACCTGGGCATCCTTAGCAGGTTTCTTATGTCCAAAAATAGCCAGCTGTCTCAGAAAGGTGTAAGTGCATTTCTAAGGCAGACATTGACAGAGGCAGGACTTTGTTTTGATTGATCTTCTCACCTCATGAATCCTTTAGGCATGACCAAGTTTCACTAATTCTAATGCACCTTGCTGTTATTATTGCAACAAAGATTTTAGGAAGAATAAAATAATACCTGGGTTGTAACTTTCTAATGAAGGTTACAGAGCTTAAGTGCAGAGAGCGTAAGTGACTTTAAATGCAGAATCTTAATATTTGGATCCTAGCAGGCCGGGCACGGTGGCTCACACCTGTAATCCCAGCACTTTGGGAGGCTGAGGCGGGCGGATCACAAGGTCAGGAGATTGAGACCATCCTGGCTAACACTTTAACTAACATTTTTAGTAGAAACTCCATCTCTACTAAAAATACAAACAATTAGCCGTGTGAGGTGGTGGGTGCCTGTAGTCCCAGCTACTTGGGAGGCTGAGGCAGGAGAATGGCATGAACCTGAAAGGTGGAGCTTGCAGTGAGCCAAGATTGCGCCACTGCACTCCAGCCTGGGCGACCGAGCAAGACTCTGTCTCAAAAAAAAAAAAAAAAAAAAAAAAAAAAAAAAATATATATATATATATATATATATGGATGCTAGCAACAATTGGAGGCATTGAATGCACCCTTTTAGTTGGCAGATTAATAAATTGAGGGCCAGTAAGCTTGAGATGTTTTTTCAAAGCCCCAAGTCTGTATAAAGTGGCTGGATCTTTGAATCCAGAACTTTTACCTCTTAGTACACTTGGGATTTGTAGACTTGTGACCTGGGTTGAAATCTAGTTATTTTGGTCACTCAATGCATGACCTTCGGCAAGTTTCTTAACCTCTTTGACTCTCAAAATTCTCATCTGTAAAGTGATTATGATCATCCTTGCTTCCATCAAAGCATTGTGAAGTTTAAATGAAATAGTGTACGTCCAAAGCGTAAAATATAAAAAGCATGACACAGATATAACTTATTTAGTATCACTGTTGTTATATTTGATGCATTCATAACACAAAGACTATATCAGGGATAAAAATAAAGCTTCATTTTATATCACCTTGGAGAGAGATTTAAAGGCAGAAGCAAATTATACCAACATGAATCTTACAGCTTCTTTGGCGTAAGAGGTATATCTTCCAATAGCTATTTTGTTGCACACAAATTTTTCTGACCTATTCTGTTATGATGCTGTTTACAGAAGATGCTATCCTTATCAGTTAAATAGAAACTTTTCAGTCTGTGTTGTGGACTGGGATAACATGATAGAGATTAATGCATTTTATTGATTTAAACTTGTTTTAAGGGTTTCACCAGTTACCAGTAACTAGACTCTTACAAAGTGTGTGGTAATGGACTCCAACATCCAGACTGACTTCTATTATTAAAGGCTTGTGTCACTCTAGTTCTCAGTCAATGGTGAGCAAATATATACTCAATCAGGGTTTAATTCCTAGGACCTACATGCATTTTTATCTGTAATCAAAGAGTAACTAGTAACTAGACTCTTACAAAGTGTGTGGTAATGGACTCCAATATCCAGACTGACTTCTATTATTAAAGGCCAGTCAATGGTGAGCAAATATATACCCAATCAGGGTTTAATTCCTAGGACCTACATGCATTTTTATCTGTAATTCAGAGAGAACAGTTGAACTACTTTTAGGTGTGGCAACCACATTAATGAACATCAGCTGTTAGTAAAAATAACAGCACAGGCAGAAGGAAATAGTAAAAGCTCACTTAAGCACTAGTGATTAGACACATTTAGACATAATTTTGTTTCTAGTAGGTGCCGGACTTTGGGCATACAAAGATAAGTCAACGCCTGCCCCAAGGAGTTCATAGTGTAGCCAGGGAGCAAATATATAATCAAAAGTACATCTTCAAAAATAGGTGCTAAAGATAAGAATAATTATCCACAGGAGCAAACAGAGATGAAAGCAAGTTATCATTCAAGTTGCAGTTTTAAAAATAAATAGGCATACACTTGGCATAGAAGGTGATGAGAAAGAACACTTTAAGTAAAAGGGAAAATGTGCACCGAGTCATGGGGCCAAGAAAGAACATGTGCTTCAGGCTGATGAATTTGCTCTTTCATTTATTCCTTCATTCATTTATTGATGGCCTACTGTTTGCCAGGTGCTATTTTAATTACTAGAGATTCAGTGGTGAGCCAAATAATGTTGATTTTGAAAGCTTATTTTCTAGTGCAGAAGTAAAACAATAAATAAACAACTTGCATGTGTATAATAGAATGTCAGGTGGTGATAGGTGCTATAAAGAGAATAAACCCATTGAGGGGATAGAGAGTGAAAGGAAGAACTCTTTGGATAGAGCAGTTTTCTCCTAGGGAATTGCTTTTTAGTAAAGACCAAGGAAGTGAGGAAGCAAGCCTGCAAATACCTGGGGAAGGTGTATCCCAGCTGGAAGGAACAGCAGGTGGAAAAGTCCTGAAGCAGGAAAAAACTTGGCATATTTAAAGAGGGGCAAGAAGAGCAGTGCGGCAAGAGCAAAGGGAAGAAGAATTGTAAGAAAGGAGATTATTTGGTGTCTTACACTGTGACATATATTTGGGAATGAGGATTATGGGAAGTCATGGAAGGATTTTGGACAACGGTGGCATGAGCCATTTACATTTATAAACGGATCCCTCTGTCTGCACTATGAAAACAGACTCTAACAGGGAGACCATTTAGTAGGCTATTCAGCATTTCTGGTGGGAGGTTTGGAATAGGGTGATAATGTGTTGAGTAGTGACACATAGTCTGACTTGGAATATATTTTGAAGGTAGAACTGTCAAGATTTGCTATTGATTGACAGCGGGATTTGAGAGAAAGAGAGTCCTCAAAAAGGACTCAAGTAATCAGTCCTGAGCAACGAGGTGAAGAGTGACACCTTTTACTGATTTGGGAAATAGAGTAAATCTGTGTTGTGGGGTGGAGGCGGCAGAGGGCGGAGGAATAAAGTGTTCTGTTTGAATGTGTTAAATTTCACATGGAGTAGAGAAGAGACATTGAATAGAAAGATAAAATTCTGGAATTTAGGAGAGACTCGGGCTGAGACATGAGTGTGTGATTCATCAGCATATAGATGATGGTATTTAGGACCACAGAACTGTATTTAGTCATGTAAGGAGTTAGTGTCAATATGGAAGAAAAGAGATATAAGGACTAAGCCTGCAATGTTCTATATTTAGCCATCAGGAGCTAAATCCTACCAAAAACCCAGAAGGAGTAGCTTGAGAAGTAGAGGAAATTCAGGAGAGTGTGATAACACAGGAATTAAGTGAACAAAGTGGCAGAAAGGAATGACCAGCTTGATGAGAGTTATCCACAATACGCAGACTGGGAATGGATCTTTTGACTGGGAAATGTGGAGGTCATTGGTAACCCTGGTGAGCAGTTTCGACGGAGAAGTGGGTGACAAAGTCTGATTTGAAAGGGCTCAGGAAACTAGAAAGTGAGGTAGTGGGGACAGTGAGTATGGAAAAATCTTTCTCTAAGAGTTTTGCAGTGAAGTTGTGTGGAGAAGTAAGGGAATGTGAGATGATGAGAACATTGTTTTTATGAAAAATATTATTAGCATATTTATATGCTGATGAGATAGATTGACTAGAAGAAGGAAAGCTGATGTTGCAGGAAAAAGACGGCGGATATTGCAAGTGTAAAAGCGTCTTCCTATGGCTGGCAAATGTCAGGCTTGGACCAGTATATCAGAGTCACATCAGACTCTTGTCAAACAGATTGCCTTGTCCTGCACCAGACCTCCTCTATCAGAAAGGTTCTGTATTTATATTTTAGAAAAGCTCCCCCCGAGATTATATTGTACAATTAGATCTGGGAACATTTGTTTTAAGCAATGTAAGATATTGCAGTGGTGGCAAGAATCCATTAGCTTGGGGTGGAAAGTTAGACGTTTTATAAATGTTTCATCTTGCTTCGGCTTTTCTTGGTTTTGAATTTCTCCTATTAAGAATGATCATAGCATTTGTGACTAGAGGCTGCTAATGGTTTTTGGAGTCCATGTGGTTTCTTTGGGGAGTATTTACATAAGAGTCTAGCTCTATTTATGATTAGAAAAACTTTAATCATGGATTTTAACAAATGGTTTCCTGTTTTTAAAAGTGAAGATTAGGCTGGGCACAGTATCTCATGCCTGTAATCCCAGCAATTTGGGAGGCCGGGATGGGTGGATTGCTGGAGCCCAGGAGTTCGAGATGAGCCTGGCCAACATGGGAAACCCTGTATATAAATATATATATAAATTAGTTGGGGGTGGTGGCACATGCTTATGGTCCCAACTACTCGAGGCTGAGTTGAGAGGATCACTTGAGCTTGAGAGGTCAAGGCTTCAGTGAGCCATAATTACGCCACTGCACTTAAGCCTGGGCAACAGAGCAAGACCCTGTTTCAAAAAGGTGAGGGCTATTGGATTTGGAATACAAAGGCCTAGGTTACAATTTTGTCTCTGTAATTTAAAAACTATGTGAATTTTGACAAGCTTTGTGTGTTATTTGAAAATGAGTGTGCTAATTCTTTCCTTGAGTTTACAGCATCCTGGAGTTCTGTAAAGATCAAGTAGGTCTAAAACACTTTATGATTGATAAAGACTTACACACACATATATAATATAGGTTTATATATATCATTGTTGTGAATTGTGGAAAACAGCTTTCATAAAAACAATTATATACTGCATGATGTAAGTATCTTGGGAAAAAACATTCATATTCTACTACTTGTGATGCAAAGTAAGACTGATTAAAATGTTTATGTACGGACACTTTATATATTCACATACATATATATAAGCATACATAGATATAAATGTGTATGTTGTTGTATAGCTTTGTTCAGTATAGCTTTGTTATTAGGTTTCTTCAGAGATTAGGATGATTTCTGGATTATGGCTAATGAGACTGTAGAAAATGTGTTAGTGGCCAGGTGCAGTGGCTCACGCCTGTAATCCCAGCACTTTGGGAGGCTGAGGTGGGTGGATCACGAGGTCAGGAGTTCAAGACCAGCCTGGCCAAGATGGGGAAATCTTGTCTCTACTAAAAATACAAAAATTGGCCGGGCGAGGTGGCGGGCACCTGTAATCTCAGTTACTCAGGAGGCCGAGGCAGGAGAATTGCTTGAACTTGGGAGGCAGAGTTTGCAGTGAGCTGAGATCGTGCCACTGCACTCTAGCCTGGGTGACAGAGGAAGACTCCATCTCAAAAAGAAAAATGTATTTTATATATATATATATATATGCATAGGCCCTCCAATTCTTCCCACAGCACTTTCAAGTATGTAGATAAGCCCTTGAGTTTTACTAGTGTTTCTCTGTACTACAACTGTGTTTCAATCTGTGTCCCACATATTAAATAAATCACAAATGAGAGAAGGAATAGAATGCATGATACAGTAGGTTGTACCATTGTATTCCATGCAGATCACAAAGCATTTGCAGGTGGGAAGGAGGAGATTATATCTGGTCTTGGGAATCATGATTTTCAAGGAATATTATCACACTAGAATGCATCTAGGGGATAATGACCAGGATATTAGTAGGATTTGGAATCATGACTCAGAAGGAACAGGTAAAGACTAAAAATATTTAACCTAAAGAAGAGAGATTGAAGTAGGATATGATGGTCTGATGATTTTGAGGAAGTAGAAGTAGGTTTGACAGATTTAGTTTGAAAAGCAGCTCTGTGCCAACAGGAAGTACTATTGTAGAGAACACAATGGATGTTTTGGCTGCTTATCAACTTTGCAGTGACTGTTATTGTACAAACAGATGCTAGATGACTGTAGGGATATTGCAGAGGGAGTTAAACATCTGATATGAAGCAGAAATAAATGACCTATGAAGTGTCTTCTAGCTCCCATATTCTGTGTCAAATCTAAGATGTTACGAGAGGAAGAGCTAGTGAATTTTCTGAGCTCTAATGGAGACTGGAGGGGAAGCTACAGAGGAAGACAGAGATGCAAGACATACTTGGTTATGCTAAATAGTAGAAAGTATTTCAGAAAGTATCTAGAAACATGAAACTTGCCATTTGATTTCTGAAGTGTTTAGATAAATCTCTAGGTACGTGCTGTTCTGTCATTCTCTTCTGATCCAAGGAGTCAGAACTGTGTCCTTGGTATATAGCTAGTTCTCTTCTAAATAACAGAAAAAAATCATCCTGTGATAGGGTTTGGATCTGTGTCCCCATCCAAATCTCAGGTTAAAATGTAATTCCCAGTGCTGGAGGTGGGGCCTGGTGGGAGGTGATTGGATCACGGGGGTGGTTTTTCCTGATTGAACACCATCCCCCTTGGTGCTGTTCTTGCAACAGTGACTTCTCCTGAGATCTGGTTATTTAAAAGTGTGTGGCACCTCCCCCTTTTCTCTCTCTTCCTCCTGGTCTGGCCGTGTGAATTACTTGCTCCCCCTTTACCTTCTGCCGTGATTGTAAGTTTCCTGAGGCCTCCCCAGAAACCGAGCAAATGCCAGCATCGTGCTTCCTGTACAGTCTGTAGAACTGTGAGCCAATTAAACCACTTTTCTTTATAAATTACCCAGGCTCAGGTATTTCTTTATAGAAGTGCAAGTCCTGACGAATACATTCTTTGAGGCCTTCTTATGTCTTCCTTTGAGTGGTAAAATTTGCTATAAAATAATAAAACCCTTAGCACATAGACTTGGATAAGTGCATAAATTGGGTGGAAGAAGCAAGAATTTAATTTATGGGCCACTTAGTTAAGAAGAAGTCCATTTGACATACTTAACAGCTAACTGTGCTCCTAATGCAGAGTTAATGTTTTATATGTAGACTCACAGATTGATGTTGCAGAGAGAATCTTTAGAGATAATTTAGTCCTTTCACAGATGAGCAAGCTGAGGTTCAAGGAAGAAATCTGCTAAAGGCACACAGTCTCAGCACCTAGACTGAGACCCTGGACTCCTGCTGTCATTGGCCAAGGCATACTCTGACTCTTTATATTTCCATTTGTCTCCTAAATTTGTAATTCCCATGATTACACATTGAGATGACTATTTCTAAGTTTTCCTAAAAATAAGGGTGGATTACTTGAGCCCAGGAGTTCAAGATGAGCCTGGCCAACATGGTGAAACCCTGTCTCTAAAAAAAAAAAAAAAAAAAAAAATTACAAAAATTAACCAGGCATGATAGCACATGCCTGTGGTCCCAGCTACTTGGGAGGCATCATCACTTCTTATCTCTACCATCCTGTGTATAAATTGGAAAAATTTTGGAACTGACCCAGAGGAAAGCACCATTAAGGAGGCTTTTCTCACACCTAGTGACATGTGAGGAGCAAATATCAACTAACACAGTAGCCCAAAACTAGAAATTCTTGCACCTCTTGAAGAATTGTGTTATATCGGTGTGATCCTTTCTCTTTTAATCAACGTATCTAAAAATTAATTAAGCTTTGTCCTAGTAATGGTGTCTGTAAAATCACAAGTTTAGCATGCTGTTTTTTCTACTATAAAAATAATTACTTTAATATAACCATACTTTTTTTTAACAGTTTCATCTGTGTGTCAACTAAGATAATTTTGTATACCGTGCTTTGGGAATTGCTGAGGAAATGAGACTGTTTCAAAAAACTCTGCAATGTGTAATAATAATTTCTTCTTCTCCACCCTCCCCATCTGACTACTAATATCTCAGTAATTTAAGAGAAAAAAACATCAATCCCTACCTTTGCGTGTGTGTGTGTATGTCATTTTTATATATTTTTTTCTTTCTCCATAAGGGTGGAGGAAATAGGAAAGAACTGGAAACTAATTTGTTAGAAACATGAATGAATCAGGTTACAATTATATATTAACTAATGATATGAATCTTTTGGCTAGAAAAAGTGATTAAGAAAATGTGCAAAATAATTATTTCATTCCTTCTTAAGTATTGATCAGGTGTTTACAAATTTATTCTCATTAGATATGTAAGATACAAACAAAGTGTCCTTTATAAAGTTTTTCTTCCTGCGATGCCACCAAAAAGTCCATACAAACCTAGATAAACATTCCAAATTCAGTTTAGGAGATTTAAGTCTGTAGTATGAATACTCTTACATGATGAATGACACTCCTGTTTTGATCCCAATGGTGATGGGAGCAATCTGTCTTGTACACCTACCATTGTGTTTGAGCTCAACTTAATGCATGTTGCTTGAGAGACACAATACCTTGATCCTATCTGAGCGAGAATTTTTCATTTTAGTAAATTCATGGTTTTCTAGTGCTTTCTAGCCAGTGTGCATAATTACCTGTCCTCCAGCTCTAAGAAGCCTTGTTATTTTACTCTAGTGTATTGTACAATAATTATAATTTTCTAGGTGTGACATGACATGAAAAAGGCTAGGAAATACTACTGGAAGACGATGGAGAACAATGCTTGTAGTTTATATACAGTTTCAGAGTTTATGTAACATCATATACATTAAGTCTCTTGAGATACATAGCAATTTTGTGAGGCAGACATGATTATCTCCATAATTTAGATGAAGATATTGCAGATCTAAGAGGTAAAGTTGCCTGTATTAGTTTCCACAGCTAAAGGTGGTGTCAAGTGAAGGCTTGTAAATAAGTTCATCACATTTTTCATCCAATGAGTCTTCTACACTACAGCTGCCTTAAGAATTGCAAAACTTCATGATATTAGGTTATGAAAACTCAAAAATGCAAAAGCACACAAAACAGCTGATTTTTGGTACCTATGTTTTATAGAAAGCTATTTTGAAGTAAAACTCCCTTCAAAGATGATTACTGATCTATCTGGTGCATTGCAGTATGACATAGCACAGATGAGATCCTTGCCATCAGAGAGGTCATGGTCTTATGGGGAGAAGAGGTGTTTACATATACAAACATTGTAATACAAAGCATCTTGGGATATCTGTTACATGGTAAGTGTAGACAAAATTCTATGGAGGAATAAGAGAGAAAAAGGTTAAATAGAAGTGAAGAAGGAACCAAAGGAAGGGTTGTAGAAGAAATGTGTTTATGTTAATGATAATTCTTTGGCCTGAGTAAACTTTTTTGCTTTGGAAAACAATTTCTTTAAATATCACATACAGAGGAATGCACGAATCATAGATATACAGTGTGGTGTAATTTCACAGAGTGAACACAACCATGTGACTATGACGTAGATTAGAAAACAGAACATTCCCAGCATCCTGGTAGCTCTACTTGTTCCTTCTTCCAGTCACTGCCCTCCCCAAGGGCAGCAATTATCTTGCGATGACACCATCGATTAGGTGCCTGTTTGAAAACTTGAATCAATGAAATAATACAGTACATCTTCTTTTAATCCTAGGTGCTTTGCTTTGTGTTATGTTTGTGAGATCTATCCTTATTGTTGCATGTGGCTATAGTTGCAATTTGTTCATTTTCAGTGCTATAAACATACCACACATTATCCTTTTTACCACTCATGTCCATTTGAGTTGTTTTCAGTTTGGGGTTTTTATGAATAGTGTTTTCTATGATCAATCTCTGTCTTTTTGGTAAATATATATATATGTATATGTGTACGTATGTGTATATATGTATATAAATGTGTATATTTGTGAATGTATACATATGTGTGTATACACATACATACACATGTATACATACACACTTATATGTTTATATATGTTTGTATACAATATCCATACACACATATGTGTAATATAAACATATATATGCATTTCTTATTGAAACATTACTAGGGGTAGACTTACTGAGTCATGAAATACACCTGTACTAACATAACTTTTGATGAAGAAAAATAAAGATGGCAAAATACTTCAGTGATGGAGGTAGAACCATTTACAAAATCCTGCAGCGAACCACAGAGAGAATTCAGAGAATCGTGAGCAATTTGAGTGGCTATTTGAGAGCTAAAGTGGAAAGCAGATTTAAAGAGAAACACAAGAAACAAGGTGAGACTTTTCTTTAGAAGTCCTGAGCTACTAAAAAAACCACTGTATCACTTAGAAAAGTATTCCACTGTAAGTTACAGACTTCAGTGTCTTCATCAAATGAGGATGGATTTTTCTCAAATACTAAGTCTGAAAGTAGGCATTTTGCTGGATTTCACAAAGAACTTAGTATTTTTTTAACTTTTATTTTAAATTCAGGGGTACATGTGTAGGTTTGTTAAATAGATAAACATGTGTCATGGGGGTTTGTTGTACAGATTATTTCATCGCCCAGGTATTAAGCCTGTTACCCATTAGTTATTTTTCCTGATCCTCTCCCTCTTCCCAGCCTCCACCCTCTGATAGGTCCCAGTGTGTGTCATTCCCGTCTCTGTGTCTAGGAGCTCTTTCTGTGGTATCTTTAGTGTGTTGCCATTTATACTCTGACTTGCTTTTTTAGTCTCAAGATAGTTGTTGCAGTTCCAGATATGAAGCCTAAATTCAAAGCAGCAAAAGGGTGGCAGAGTGATGCCTGCCACCCTAGTCTCTCTTTCTCCTCAGGGGAGTAAAAGTTTCCCAAACATCCCTGCAAAGGCTTCTTCCCAAGTCTAATTACCGAAAGTAGGTGACTTCTGGCTAGAAGTGAGGCATAGTATTATTAAGTTTGGCTTGCGTTGATTATGATTAGTTACCTGGGACTAAGCACATTGTTGTTCTGAAGAAAACTGAGACTCTCTTGGCAAAGAAGAAAAAGAAATGGATTTAGATAGGCCATTAAATGGGTCTTCTATAGCAATGACGGCATTGGAGTGAAGAATGAATTAGGGGCATGGGTTTTTTGTAATGTGCAATTTTATATTCACATAGAGAATTAAAAAAAATGGAAATTTGTATAGGGAAAATTAAGTATTCCATTTGATGATGGGAAACTCACTAAGTCTTTTTATGTGTAGTATTTTTGCTCTTTTTATTGTTATTTTTATTATTGTGATAATAATGATATCACGAGATTAAAAAATGATTAGATAATATGTCTAAAAGTTACTTTGGCCCAGCAAGTCATCAGTTACATAAAGTGACTTTTTACCAGCTTTTCCAGAATAAAGTGAAACCAGAGCGCAGGCAAGCATTGTGAGATGCTGCAATTACAGGCAGTGGTGTAAAGAGATTTCTATGATGCATAAATTAAAGCATCCTATCATAAGGCTAACAGATCCAAAATAGCCCCAATTTGGTCTTTCATGTGACTTTATTTCTATCTCTAACCTGCAGTTGTTGATTTCTGACAAATTAATTTGTCATGAAATCAGTTGAGTTAGTGCACAGAAAGATAGCACATTGATTCAGATGTTGTTTCAAAGCCGAAGTATGTATTGCCCTACAGAGAGAAAGATGGTCATATGAAGTTCTTGAGGTTCTTTTTGTTTTAAACAAGTCTTAGGAATCAGGTTAGTCTATAAATTCCGTTTCCTGACAGTTGACTCCCTGCAAGCAGCAAGACGAGGTTCTCATCCAATTAAGGCTCACACAACATAACTTTTGTCTTTGATGGTCGTTTGTTAATATTTAGTTTGGTGATAAGGTGGTAGAATTAATTTGGCAAGAGTTGACATTTTCTGTATTGAATGGAAGGAAAGAGAAAGAAAAGAATCACAACTATGTCATTTCCAATGTGGTATTGATAAAGGTGGAGCTAATGGACTGAGAGATTTTCATTTTATGCTGAGTCTGATGAATGTCTTTTCCGTCCAAGAAGTTTTGCTCAGGAAGAGGAAGAAGAGGAAAGAAATGTGACTGTGATTGGAAGATACAATTTAGACCTGGGTTAAGCAATATTTAGGTAACTCTATTTTCGTATGTGGTTATTAGTGATGAACGTTATATTTCCATATTAGGAAATATTCCCCAGATATTTCATAATTTCATAATTATTGTATCTATTGGTATGTTTCAAGATTATGTATTGAACCAATAGTTACTTTTATCAAGAGGTAATTAATGAAGAATTTTATTATTCTGAGGGATATTATAGATTCATAATATAAATAGCTTAGGAAAACAGCATATGAGCCAGAAGCCATAGCTTATAGTTAAGTAACTGGTGTTGTTTGGAGAAGAAAGTGATATAGACGATGCTTCTGTTATTTTAGAGATCTTGTCAGCAAGCATGAGCATGGTTTTCCATTTAGCCATCTCATATGTCCAGAGCACAATATTGTGCTGCATGTCTCATAGCCTGGCATTCATTCCTACTCAACAAAATATGTACTGAGAAGCTTCCCAGGTCCCACTACTCTAGGTACTGGAGTTACAGTAATGAACAAGTTAAAATTCCCGACCTAATACCCTTACATTCTTTTAGAAACATTTAGTTTTCATGATTTGACTAAATTGCATACTTTCCAGGCAGATGAGAGTAAAGGGATAAAACTAGAAACAGGCTTCAGTTAATCTCAACCCAAGAGGTTACACATAAAATACAATTAGGATTGTACATTCTTTACGTTTACATTATAAACATATTATAAACAAAGCACGTTAGGCAGCATCGATTTTGCCAACTAAAACACTTAATTTTGTATACAATACCCTGCCCCTCAAAGGGTCCAGCAATGACATGAACAGTAGATGTAAATAGTGCAGAGGCCCTGTGTGAATGTCTTCAGAAACAAGCATGATCGAACAGGCGAGCTTGAGACCTGGGATAATGGCTCACAGAACTGAAGCTAAGCACTAGGCTTGGATGAGCAATGAGATAGGACAAGTTGATGTTTCATGCCTAGGTGTGGTCTTGGAGAAACAACGGACAAAGTCATCTGGGACTAATAAGTGAATTAAGATCAGGTTTAGAAAAAAAAGATCAAGTTGGCATAGTCTTTACCAAGGTTTCGAAGCGGCACTAGGAACAGCTCCCAAGGGCTGTGATTGTTATTAGTTACTATGGTTGCTATGAGGAAGTAGAAAATAATAAATGCATCTAGCTGTAGCCAACAAGTAAGAAAAGTGAATGAGGTAGGCTAGTTCTTAGGCAGTAGGGGATTTGGAAGAAATGTGACAAATATGAAATCACAGCACTTTCCAAATGGGGAAATTAACCAGCTACTACTCAGCTCCAGCCAGTTGGTTCTAGGCAGGACTGCAGGCTCAATGTTACTGGATCTTCCAGAAAATAATAATAATAATAATAGTAAAACAAATCCAAAGATGCAGGAGGAAATCCAGATATTTTAAGTGAAATCTCATGATTTTAATAATTTTGGCAACTCAAATTAAAACATATAAAACACACTTGTAAACACAGTCTTGGCTCTAGTTCCTTTTAAGACAGTTTTGGCTCTGAATAAAAGAGGTCGTATCCTTGTCCATCTATGAGTGTTCAGTGTTTATTCATGACACATCTAGCCATCTTACCCACTGTAGCCTGATGTTCTCAAAATATAAATTATATCATGTTTGTCTACTGCTTGTACTCCTCAATGTCTTCCCATTCCACTCAGAATGAAAGAAGAACACTTTAACATGGCCTTCAAGGCCCTGAACAGGGTGTCTTGCTTACCTCTGTGACCTTGTCTCATGCTCTTCTTCCTCCTGCTCACAATTTTCGAGCCACAGTATTCTTCTTTTACTTCCTAGGCTATGCCAAACTTTTCCGACACTAGAGGCTTTTAATTTTTTGTTCCCTCTTCTGCAACATTTCCCCTTGCCATCCGTGTTCACTCTTTGTTTTTACATGGCTCATTCTTTCATCAAGGCCTCATCTGAAGCAATATGCTCTCCAAGAGGCTCCCACGGATGATTATTTAATACCAACTGGTCCTCCCAGTTACTCTGTTTGCCACAGGACCATTCATACACTGAATGCAATTTGAATTAAAAAAAAAACTATTTGCTTTCATGTTAATTATCTGTCTCACTCATTTGAGTGTAAACTACTTGAGGATAAGAAACGTCTGTCTTGCTCATTGATATATAACTCCAGTGTCTAACACACAGGAGGCATTCAATAAATATGAATGGATGGATCACTGCATAAAAGGACTTGAAAGGCTTATGTCCTGGATGTGTTGGTTTGGTGCTGTATTCTTTGGACCTAGATCTTCTGGAGCAGTGTTCCTCGAACTTAGGTAAAGGACTCACTTTTTATAATGAAAAACCGTATTAATGGCCATCCACTGTCAACTTAGGTTATTTTTACTACGTATTATATATGCACGTATATGGCATAAAATTCTCTTGTTTATAGTGCGTACAAAATGATGAAACTAGATAATTTACAAATTAAATTATAAACAAGTCTATACAGAGACAATTCAATCTAAATTAGCAATATTAATTTAATGTTTAATGACATAAAATTATCTCAGTTCAGATGCAGTTATATATTTAATGTTTCTATGCTTTTATTTCAATAATACTTATACAGAGAATCTGTTCACATAAGTATGTTGAATAAAATTATATTACTAATTTCTTGGTTTTTTTACTTAAGGGTAATTAGACTTCATACTTAACTAAATGTTTGCCTGCTAGAAATCCTAAAATGCTAAATGTAATGATATCACTAAAAAAAATTTTGGAAGACAGTTAATAAGACAGCATTACTGAAAACTACATTAAAATGTTTTATCAACTAATTGCTGGAATTGGGAACAGATAAATTTCTTGTTGAATATTTGCTATTTAGTCTTACTATGAATGAATTATTCTAACAATGGTATTCCTAGAGCTGGGATTTCTGAAAGACGTATGCCTGCTAAGTAAAATGTCTTCTTACTGTCGAAGCATTAATATTTAACTTTTCAAAAGTCTGGTGATTACTCCATTTTCTCAATTTGAACTACCTCAAACAATTATTTCTTCAATTCACAGTGATTTAATCTTAACTTTATTGGAGTGAAACATATAATACAAACCAGAAACATTCGTTTCAAAATTTTGTGGCAATAATTAGTCTCCATAAAGTCAATAAAGTCATTGCTCAGATGCCTTAGAATATGTCTACTTCTAAATAATAGATAAACATACTTATGCACACATGCACACCTGTTTATAGATATAATACATACAGATAGATGGATGTTTATGTGTATACATATAAAATTTAAAATTTTAAAATTTATGTGTACACATATAAAATTTAAAATTTTAAAATTTATGTGTACACATATAAAATTTAAAATTTTAAAATTTATGTGTACACATATAAAATTTAAAATCCAGGCATTGATTATGGAGGGTGGGGCTGTAGACCAATCTTGAAACATGTAGACTTAAATTAAAAATACAAATAAAGAGATGAAACTCCTAGAAAATGCATTGTTGTCTTTGAACTGAGCTCTGGTCTAGAAAATAGCCAACAAGTTGCACAGTTCCGGGAGCACCATTCACATGGCTTTCTGGAATTGTGTTTCAAGAAATTACATTTCATATAAATACAATGGAAATAGTGCCCTTTGGGCCTGTGCAATGTGGGCCTGTCGATTCAGCCTGGGAGAGTGCATAAGGTCCGCCCACCTTTATGGCAACTGTCCTCTCTTTTCACCCAGAGAAACCTGCTCTTCTCCTATACTACCTCTCACAGCCGATCATTCACTTTGGCAACAGTTTAAATGATAATTCCCTCTTACAGAAATATTCACATCCTAAAAGTTAACTGCTGTATATTATGAATATGTCAATAATAGAATAATAAGGTAGAACAACAGGCTGTATTTTGCTTTTTGTGGGGATATGCGAGCTGTAATCAGCATATTTTATCATGCACTGACTGAAGGGTCTGTGTGGAATTTCAGAGTCTATGTTTATATCAGGTTCTAGAGCAAGCTCTAGATTAATACAAATTGATGTTCTTTTTTTTTTTTTTTTTTTTTTTAGGAAAATGGAAGGATCTCTATTGGATTAAAAGAGCATCCAGTTGTTGAGTGTTCTTTTGCATAGAGATCAGAATCTTTGCACCTAAGTGGTGATAATAGAGAGTACTCTCTCAGAAAAACACTGGCTTTAACAGTATCACCTGTCCCCAAAGTGCCCTTCTCTTTGATTCAAGACCAAAATAGAGTTTGCTATTTCATCTACTTAACTGGGCCTCTGTGGCTAGTCTTCATTGCTATCAGGGATAAAATCAGTTCCCCAATCTTTCAGGCTCAAATTCTTGGATTTACCTTTAATATCCTACAATTTTTTTTATATTGATCAGTCACATATAATTAACATTTGTTCTTTATAATGTATATTATGCCACAAGTGACTTCTCAAGAGCATAATGTCTCCTTCATATGTACAGCAATACGCCTGTTAAACCTTACAGCAATTTTTATTTTCTATTGATGTGTGGCACAGCCCATGTGATTGTTAGATGGGTTACTTCTCTACCTTTACCACAAATAAAATACATTTTTTTTCTTCTAGGGTACTGCTTATATATTTTTTCTAGCTGGAACGCCTTTCCACTTCCTTTTAATGCATCCAAATAGTAACCTTCCTTCAAACTCCACCTCAGCTACACTTCTACTTGGCAATTCATGCTGGAATGATCATTCTCTGCTTTGAATTCTTCTCTCATTTACACAAATAGCTTGTAACACGAATTCCCCTATACCATATTTTCTCCTTCTATTATTTTCGTTTATTTATTGAACTGATATTTACTATAATATTTGTGAATTATCTCATTTTAGCATCTTGAGGAAATAAAACCGTATCAGGCATAATTCTGTTCATAAAGCCTTTACACTTCAGTAAGAGACATTAGACATTTTTTTTACGTGTGGCTGTTGTATAATACGTTTTCATTTTGTTTGGTTTCGCTTTTAAGAGCAAGCAAGTTACAAATCAAGGGCTGTGGAAGTTTAGAGAATGAAGGATGACAGCTAGTGGTGGTATATGAATCCCCAGGAAAGAGGGGGCATTTGAACTGGGCTTTAGGTATAGTAGTCCATTAAAAAAATTGTAAATAGTAATAATGTATTAAAAGACATAGGTAGATGTTAGGTAGGCAGAGAAGGAGTATTCTTCAAGGAGGAATAACAAGAGCCAAGATATGTAAGTGGCTAACATAAGGGGTGCTGAGAATGAGGTGTCTAGGAATGCTGGACGGCAGGGTTACTGGCATGCAGAACTTGTAAAGATGAGTAGTAGGAGGTGAAGCTGGAAACATATATTGAAGCCAGGTTGTAAGTTGTAGAAGACTATAAATTCTATTCTAAAATATTTGGACTTTATTCTTCAGACAATGGAAAGTTGGCAGCCTCGAACAAGGAAATGAATCAGTGTTTTACCATGCACATTTTATCTTTCCAACTAGGTTAAATACTATTCATTTTGTGGAAATCATATGTGAATAATAAATATTTTATTAAGCTTTTTTATATTATCTAATATCATCCTTTTAATAGCTTTTGAAAATTTTATTATTATTTTGTTTTACTGCTGAAGGGAGTGCCTCAGAAAGTTTAAGTAAACAGCACAAGATCACACAGCTAAAAGGCAGAGAGGAATTTAACCATGTCTCAAGATTCATACTCCATGCTGTTCTTTTTTTGTTTTTTGTTTTTTGAGACGGAATCCCGTTTTGTTGCCCAGGCTGGCGTGCACTGATGCGATCTTGGCTCATTGCAACATCCACCTCCCAGTTTCAAGTCATTCTCATGCCTCAGCCTCCTGAGTAGCTGGGATTACAGGCATGTACCACCACGTCCAGCTAATTTTTGTATTTATATTACAGACAGGTTGTCTCCATGTTGGTCAGGCTGGTCTCGAACCCCTGACCTCAAGCGATCTTCCTGCCTTGGCCTCCCAAAGTGCTAGGATTACAGGCATGAGCCACCACGTCCGGCTCATACTGTTTTTCTTTACCACGGTACCTGTTCTCTTCTCTGTTGACTTTTTAGTTTTCCAGTAAAAGCTTAGGTTATCATTTAATAAAATAATCTTAAATAATATATGAATATGTTTATATTTTTTCTCATACACATTTTGCTTAGTTCTTTTCAAATTCTAAAACACTAAGGTTGCAATCTCTTCTATGATTGAGGTTCAAAACTCAAACTTGGAAACTCATAGTGATCCCAATAATGAGGTGCAATGTTCTTACCATTCTCAGCAGTGATAAGGTTGGCTTGTGATAATGACATAGTAGCAAACATTGGGCCCAGGAGTCCCCATTAGTTACTATTCCTAAAAATCATCTTATCTTCTTCATGTGACTCTTCTTTACTTCTTCATATTTAGACAAATAAAAATATGCTTGAATACCCAGCAGTCTTTAAGGTTCAGTTTATTATTCTCTGACTATAGGCTCTGTGAACAATTGAGCAATACATGTTGCATAGTGGTTAGGATACTTTTGGGCAGAATTTCAGAAAATATGACTCAGCCTGGCTTAAACACCAGGGGATAACGTGATTCATTTTATTGGAAAATCCAGACGTAGACCGAACTTCAGGGTGGGCTGGTCGAGTGGTACAACTCTTTCATCAAGAACTAGATTTTTCTTCACTTTTCGCTCTGCCATTTACAGTGTTACTGGCTTCATTCTTAGATTGGTTTCTCTTGTGGCCATGGATAGGAGGCTGCCTGAAGCAAACTTACACTACTCAGCAGGATAGTGTGGATGCCACTGAACAACATTCATGAAATCTCTGTGGCCAGAGAATTATTATTAATTGATTGGTATAGACCTAGTTTATCTTAAACAAACAAGATGCATAGGATTACCTTTATAGATGTGGATTAATTAGGACCTTCCCCTAGTTGGAGATACTGGTAAATCCTATCAAAAGAAATGACTGCTACCCAATGGAATCTGAAAAGAAAGACTAGGGTCCAGTATACATCAGGACAAATGATTTTTTTTTTCCTCAGAGAGGATAAGTGCATTTTTTTAAACCATCCAAGCTATTTATGCTCTTTTTCATTTTCAAAGAGTTTTCTTTAAAAATTTTATATCAACGTACCCTTACATGAAATGTATTTTGAAGAATGCTGATAAAAGTCATTCCTCAGCAAGCCCTAGAGATCTTAGAAATGAAATTTCTCTTATATGCAGTATTCTGAACAAGACATACAGCAAATAAAAAAATGTCATCTTTCAGCATTATAGTTACTTGATTTTGAGGGGAGGTTAAATTCAGCATGTTTTTTTAGAAAAATAAATTAAGCATACAGGGCATTAACCACTGCTACTCCTTTCCCTGCCTTCATGTTATGTCTGACCAATTATAATGGAGCCTTCTTTGATTTAATTTTAAACGGATCATGGAGTAATTAATCTGTGTTAGCTCAGCATGCAGACAAAGAAAACACTTTGATCAATCAATAGTAATGGGTGAATGTCACAAGATAATGCAGTTAAGCTGGTTTGGATTCCATTCTAGGTTTCACAATGTAATGAGTTATTTTATTCTTAATGTAGAATATATCATGTATGGAATAAGACTGTAAATGACTTTTGCTGTGTTCCATATTGCTGGTGATTGGGACTTTGGACAGAAACTTTTTATGTTGCTTCAGTGTAGGGAGAGTTGAAAGAGGTCTCAGTGTTTCCCCATAGTGAGATACATGCTTTCTGCATTTAGCAATGAGTCTACTCAATGGACAACTTTATTTGCAAAATACCTTCGCTCTTTTATTGTTTCTATACATGGAAGCATCATTTGTCTCAGATTCCTCTTGGAAAGAGGACTATCTTCTCTAGTAATAAGCATATCCTCTTTGCACTGGCCAGCACAGCAATTATATGCCATTTCTACAATGAGTGACTTCCTAGAATTAGCCATGGGCTCTCGTACTGATATTCAAAATCTTGTATTTAGAGGAGAAGTGAAGGAAGTTAATGTTGATACTTAAAGGTGATTGTGCCAAGTGAAATGCTAGAATCTCATAGTCCAGGTTTTGTGGGAGAAAAATAGGTTTTGTTGGCAAGGGTGAGAAGAATGGTAAGGTTCCTTTGCGAAGTCTTACGATTAAGTTTTTTCCTCTTTATTCTGTCTCTATAATAATCAATGCTTAGCACTGAAATTGTTTCAGTTGTCGTTAGATTCTGTAATTCCCTTTCTTTGTCTCCATCCCCACAGAAAATAATTCTACTTGTTGGTGCCAGCCAAATATTCCCAGAGCACTGATGTCCTCTTTGCTATTATCTTTTCATCATCTGCATGGCATTTCCCCCCTCCTCCAGCCCCCAAATCCTTCTTTCTTCTCTTTCTCAATCCCAATTTTGTCTTTCAAACCCAGGCTGGCCCATATCTGTGCCACAAACCCTTCCCCAGTTCTCGAGTCTGTAAAAATTCCTGATTGTATATGCTCTATAGTGTTTATAGGGTCTTCATTACCTGTAATCTTATTCTTTAGCCTAACTCATGTTACCGTAATAATTTTTAAAATATTCTTACTTCTTAATATTCTAGGGGATGGGAAATGCAACTTAAATTGTGCAAACTCCAGAAACTGGGCACAGTGGAGGCATTCAGTTAAAATGGACCAAATGAACTGGGTAGCATTGTCATGAGAGTGTAAAACAGGATTTTGTTTAACCAGACTAGGTTAGTAGACTCATGCTGCTATTTTTCTCCCCCACCTTACTCACACCTACCATTCAAGAGTAAGGAATCTCTCTTTATTTTGGTTTGCTAAGGAAGATAGGAGAGTCTGCAGACTTTTTTTTTCCATTTATCATTTTGTTTGGTGAAAGAGAAAATAGATAATGCTTAAGGTCTCCCAGGTGTTTTTAGTTGGACATCTGAAATAAAGAAGTTGACTAAATCTGCATTATTAAGACTCCATGTGACTTTCACTGGGTGATATGTTTCAATGACACCTGACTCAGATGGAGCCTGGGACTTTGGACAGGTGGGCATCTGCTCAGGGACCCATCCTACTGCTCTGTCTTTTGAGATAGCTGCTACTGCTGCCTTCTGAAAGGATGATGGTGTTAGACTCTAAACATAGATGGCACTGATATAGTCTCCTGTGGCCTTGGAAGTGGAATAATTCCTTTTAGACACTGGTGAGGAGAAGGAGGGAGGCCCAGGCATATTGCCTCTTCAAAAGGGAATATATTTCCTGTATCCAGAAAAAGAAGAACTAAAAGAAGGGAAGAATTTGGCTTTGGATAAGAACACTCATCTGCATGATGTTTCACAGTGTTTTTCAAACAGCATGCCTCTTTTAGGCTTCCATATTTTGATCAATATGTACAACCGGAGATTTATTTTGCCTTAGTGATGTCTGTTCTGCAGAAAAGTGGACTGAGCAGGTTCTAACCAGAGAAAACTTTTAGTAAGAATTAAAATATATAACATAACATCAGGACAACACCAACAGTATGTTTCATGCTTACTGGAATATGAGAAACTGTTTCTTTTGAGTTTATGCAAGTCAACAGTTACACTGAAACAGTAATCCAATTCTGAAGACCAATTAAATACTATGATAGTTTTTAAAAGAATTTTCTAAACTTCATTTTTCTTTCAGCCGGTGTTCACCTTTAACTACTTCAAGTATGCTTTTCCACAGTCTAGTATTTGAAAATTTTATCTTAGTCACAAGAAAACTGAAAATGATTAATAGATGATCAAAATATTTACATGAAGAATGAATACAGTAGACTCTTTGAAAAGTTATACTTAGGGAATGATCAAGAATCTTAGATATTATAAAACAAAAATTATACATTTGTATAATTCTTTACCTTTACATAATATTTTAACATGTTATTTCATTCAAACCCTAAATGACTATTATGGGGTAGGAAGATAGTACAGTATATACTATCTACTAATTATGGAGTAGGAGGATATATAGTATATAGTTTGGAGTTGGGCCAGGGGCTGGATTCTAATCCTACTTTATCATTTATTAGCTGTAAGACTATAAGTAAATTACTTAACCCACATTAATAAGACTCACTTTTCTTATCAGTAAAATGGAGATAACTGTTGTACCTGCTTCTTGGGTTGTGGTGATAAGTACCAACCTGGTGGTTGGAAAACGGTAATTGCTCAGTATATATGTTCTATGAGAGGTTAGGTAGGGCAAGATATTTGCTTAAAAAGGTCAAAAGACTTGCCCAGGGTTACAGAGCTAAAATGCAATGAGATTTTAGGCCTAATGCCTACCAAGGATATTTTGAATTTAACGATTCTTAGCAAAGTGAAATTCTGGCTTACATTTTTCATAAGCCAGTGTGCTTATCAGTCACACAAAGAGGTAACCTATGGATGCCCATGTGGGAAAGCAATTATCTCCAGAATTGAAACAAGTTGTATTTTTAAGTGATGTAAAGTACAACCACTTAGCTCCTGATTAGGAAACACCAACGTTCTTGTTGATGACAGTTTTCTATTGTGTCATGAACCTGAAAGAATAATTGATCAAACAGCATATTAAACTATCATTATAAATATGTGGTTTCGAGTGAAGTCATTTTTAAATCAACCATATGCAATTTTCTGCTACTAATAATTTATAGCTAATTTTTCATGCCAGATCAAATTACCAATCAAAAGTGTGTATTTTGGGGCCAGACTTGACTCTTCCCCTCTCTCCACTCCCATTCTCCATTTCAATAGCTGCTATACTTACAGAAACTGGAACTACAATATAAATGAGTCTAGTGTTTAAAAATAAATATAGTTATACAATCATTGGGAATAAAGTATCTTTATACTGGTAATAATATCGTACCATTGTTTCTACTTATTCTTCATTTATCTTAATACAGGTAACTAAAAATTGTCTATAAACTATACTGCAATAGAATTTTTCTTGTTATTGGGAAGACTTTGAGCCAGATATCGTTGGTTTGGGCCTCCAGATCCCCTCCACTCTCCCACCTCTGCTTTCTTCCTGGGGGTCTCCCCTATGTGAACTCTTTGAGGGGCATGAGTGTACTCTGCTGCTTGTTGGGTTTGTCCAGTGGGAAGCGCTGGCAGGAGATAGAGTGAAGAGAGAAAGCAAAGTCAGTCTTTATTCCTCTAGTTTCTTCCCTGTGAAGTGACCTCTGGCTGGCCATGGCAGAATGTCACCGCTGCCTTCTGGGTAGTTTACACTGTACAGCTTTCTCCCCTGGATTTGGGTAGCCCCTCTCTCTTCTTTTTCCGTTAAGCTAGTACAGCTCTGCTGCTACTAGCCCTGGGTTCCTACCTGCTCCCTGTAGTTTCTCTACACCTCATTCTTCCTTCTGTAATCACTTCTTTTGTAAGTAAATATTCCTCAAATTATCCAAACTTAAGAATGCCATATCCTTTTGGGATCTAGTCTGATATCAACTTAATCATCCGAAAGCATTTATCAGATACTTGCTTGTATATGGCTCCAATCTTGTTACTCCTCCTCTTAGGAGCCATTCAATGGCTCTCTATTGCCTTCAGAGTAAAGATCATCCAAACTCATTTACAATTTGGCTATAATCAGTCTTTCTTTACTCCCACTAGTGTCCTCCAGACAACCTTTCTTCTAGCAAAACTAGACTGCTAGGTACTTCTCTGATCCTCAGTGTCTGACTTCAGGGAAGCCATTTTGCTTCTTTGTTCTCAGATCCCAAAGTTTGAGCTTCTTTCCTGCAATTTTGCATTATGTTGTATTTGTGGAGGTAATTCCATGAAAAGTCACAGTGGGGATTAATACCAACAAAATAAACAGGGGGCATATTACAGATGGCTGTGAGGCTGTTGGACTTAATGCCATTGATCAATTCATTCATTAATTATTTATCAAGTACTTCCCATATGTTGTGGTAAAATGATGAGTAATTCATCAGGGTTAATGTAGAGTGGTGGTGGGAGTCAGGCTTTAGACTCAAACAATTGGGATTCACATTTAGATTCTGCCACTTTTTTGTTAGAGACCTCTGGGCTTCATTTTTTTTTCATCTGTAAACAAAAATAACAATATTTTCCTCATAGGTAAGAACTAAATGGTAGTCACTGGGCAGAATCATTTAGGTAAATGGATGCAGAAAAAAGTTTCAAGATTGTAGCTATGATTATTTTTATGTTGTCCTGCCCTTTAAAATATAGAGCTCACATGTGATCTCTGAAGCCAATGTTTAGGCCATGTATGGAAAGTCTTTCGGGTGTCATCTCACCTGGAGCTGCAGGTGATCTCTTGGGGATCACGTTATTCTATTTTATGCTGTTTGATGATGGTTTGGGAAGTTCATAGATTGTTACATTCTTTGCTGAGTGGGCTAGGCTATTTTTCAGAAATATTTTATATATCTGCCTATCATTATCTATCTATCTATCTATCATCTATCTATATCATCTATCATCTATATCTACCATCTATCTATTATCTATCTATCATCTATCTGATCTATAATGATTTTAGGCTTCAAGTGGTGGACTTCTGGAAGGAAATTTTCTGACTATTAGGTCGGAATCGTATTTCAGACACATAGAAGTTGTGTTCGGTCCCTGTGAATTTCCCTATCACGAGAACAGCTTTTGCACTGACGTGTAATCCTTTCATTTCTTTGTCATTTAAAAATTATGATATGAGAAGATTTGGTCTAGAAAACATGGGCCTCTCCTGAAATACTGGAATCCATAATCACTTAAAGCACTCTGGCTTTTTCTGTTTGGCTTAGCTTTACAACTTTCCCATCAGTGGGTAGAAACATCTTTGAATTTGTGCTTTCCTTGTATTTTCTGTATTTATTTCAGTATTTCTGGAAAAATAATTCTTGGACCAAGCTGGTATTTCCAGTCATCTAAGGCTTGCAACCTTGTGCATCATGCTCTCTCATGCCCTTCACTGGCACCTACATTAGTTGTATGTTTTGTGTGCATGTCACTTTTCTGTGTCCCAGTCATTCCGTTTATAGATTAAGGGGGAAAGGTCTTCCTTGGATATGGGCGGAAGCTCTGGAAAGGCTCAGGAACAACCTATCCTTAATCCTTACTAATTTAGAGCTAGAATGGACCACTGATTAGGGTTACCTGGCGTGCTTTCAAGAGCATCATCATTCTTTACAACCCAACTTGCTGAATTGGATCAATGTAATATTTGTTCTGTTTTGATTTATAAACTAATGGTTGAAAGCTACTTTAATTCAAATTATATTCAATAGTACTTGAGATACAGAAACTCAATTTTAATTTACTTAAGCAAAGAAGGAATTGTTAGAAGGATACCAGGATTGCTCACAGAAAGAAGAGCTACATTAATGAGGTAGATATGGGATTTCAAGAACTAGGCAAAAGACTCAAGAGCCCACAGAACATTCTGTTAATTCTCCTACTCTCTTTGTGGGCTTTGTTTTGTTTTTCTTTTTCCTTTCTTTCTTTTTTTTTTTTTTTGAGATGAAGTTTCACTCTTGTTTCCCAGTCTAGAGTACAATGGCACGATCTCAGCTTACTGCAACCTCTACCTCCCGGGTTCAAGCAATTCTCCTGCTTCAGCCTCCCAAATACCTGGGACTACAGGGACACATCACCACACCTGGCTAATTTTGTGTTTTTAGTAGAGACAGGGTTTCACCATGTTGGCCAGGCTGGTCTCGAACTCCTGACCTCAGGTGATCCACCCACCTTGGCCTCCCAAAGTGTTGAGATTACAGGCCTGAGCCACCGTACCTGGCCTTCCTTTTTCTTTATACCTTTTGGGCATGGCTGCAGTTTACTACATCTGTGAACCCAACAAAAAAGGTAGCAGTTTTCTCCAACCACTTCAGTATATGGAAATTCAAGGAAGGACTCTATCATCCTAGATTATGTTCCTATCCAAGCACCAATCACTGTGACAGAGAAAATGAGGTGCTATAATTGGCCAAATCTGGGTTATGTGCTTAAACTTGTGGTCTGGGAAGCCAGTGTCCTATGATTAAAAGCCTTAGAAGAATTACTTGCCCCTAAAATGAGATGAGTGTTGTTCCTGGAAGTAGAGGAAGAAATTCTGAACTGACAAAAACAACAGATGTCCAATACACAAAGGAGAACTAATTTTTAAAGTTTTAATTTCTACATCGTTAAACACAACCTGTTTTACTTTATTGCAATTATATTAATTCAAAATATTTATTTAGAACCTTTTAATGTGCCAAACTATAAAAAGGCAATATGATATCATTCTTATCCTTAAATTAAAATAAAATCAGTCTTCAATAATTTGCCCTATGCATAAGGTTTTCTTCTGTGTTCTGTGTGAAGACCAACTATAAAGCTGAGTGGCTTACAATAAATATTTAATTCATGCTCACACACCATGAGCGCTTCAGGGCATGAGTCTAGGTGAGTGTAGTTCTGCTCTATGTTTCTTTGCATTGTGGAACCTTTACTGAAAGAGCAACAACCCCTGTCTGGAGACATGATATTCTCATGGTGGAGGGCAAGAACAGAAAAGCTTCAGCCATCCACACAGTTACACTAAAGGCTTCTGTTTAATCATGGCAAATGTCTGCTCACCGTTCTTTTGGTCACACGGCCAGTGCATATCACATGGTGGCCAAGCGCAGAATCAATGAGGTGGGAATGTGGTTCTTTCCCAGAGAATGTATGACAAGTCATTTGACAATAAATAGAGATGTATAATCCTGTTTTAGAGAGGAAACATGATTCAGGACAGTAACCCAAAATACTACACTTACAAAGTAATATTGAATTTTCACTAATTCATTTCTTAAGTGTTTCAGAAATGACATATTGGTATATAAGTAATAATTACCATGAGTTTTCTTTCACGTAGATAGAAATTAGATAGAGTGTAACCAGCTAAATAATATTTCTGTATTTCATTTCCTGGATTCACCAGCCATGTATACAGCCTTTAATGACCACTATGCCTTTAGTTACCCCATAATAACCATCAACTCATGATAAGGGATGGCAAGTAATGTCATCTGGTCTAGAAAACTTGTTGGAAGTAGGCATGGGAATAAATTAGTGAAAGCACAAGGAAATCAGTGTGTCAGCCATTCTGAAGGTTAGGTCAAACTTCTGCAGCTTGAGGGGTGAGGTGTGGTTGATAATTTTAAGTTACAATTGGCTCCAAAACATACCTTGTATCTTGTATTTCCTGTTTCAATCAAACATTTTTCCATAAATTGAACACAACCTAAGAGTTAGAATTACAAAGATGAGTAAACTCATAGGCTCTGAACTGAAAGAAATCACAGTGAGTAAAAACATGTCAATTGTAGAAGTTTTTTCAAGTACAGAAACGGCATTAAAGAGAAAATGGCTAAATCTTTCTGGAGCCTGCCATGAAGGAGAGAGACATAGGGAGAGACTTCTCAGAACAGGTGATACTTGAACAGAATTTTGAATAATGGGATAGGAATTATTTAGGTAGAAATTACATTTGTACTTCTCAATACCAAGTAAAGAGAATAGCAAGTACAAACTCGAAATCATGGAGACACAGGCTTTGTGTTTTTGTCTTTAACACCCCTGGTAGGAACGAAGGGCAAGTAGTGGGAGGAGGTGAGGAGACAGGGCTGAGGAGCCCAGCAGGGAGAGCAAGAGAATTAGAGAAAATGAGACATCCCTCTTCCTGGAGCAGAGTGTGAATGACTCTCTCCCTTCCTACTCTTCATTCCTCTGTGGAATAGCTGGATGCTGTTCATGAGTTTTAGCTTATTAGCCTTTTGGGAATTTCCAGGGTGTTGTGAGTCTTTGGAGGCCCTGGAATGTGGGCTTTGGGGGAACCTTTGGACTCTAGCAGAAGACAGAAATCAGAGGGAGAAAAAGCCAGGTGACAGTATGGAGTGTCATCCAGGTACCATGTGGAAGTGACAGTGTTAGGAAAGGAAATGTTAAGTTTCATTCCAAGTATCTGAACCTACACTGGTGTAGCTGGACTGGATGACCGGAGAGGCCTGACCCAATACGGACAATAAGGGAGTGTGGTGTCTACAGATTTAAAAATATTAGGCTGGGTGCGGTGGCTTATGCCTGTAATCCCAGTACTTTGGGAGGCCGCGGCGGGCAGATCCCGAGGTCAGGAGATCAAGACCATCCTGGCCAACATGGTGAAACCCCGTCTCTACTAAAAATGCATAAAATTAGCCGGGCGTGGTGGCAGGCGCCTGTAGTCCCAGCTACTCAGGAGGCTGAGGCAGGAGAATTGCTTGAACCCGAGAGGCAGAGGTTGCAGTGAGCCGAGATCACACCGCTGCACTCCAGTCTGGTGACAGAGCGAGACTCCATCTCAAAACACAAACAACAACAAAAACAAAATTAATAAAGTGAAATACAATCTATAGGCTTTTTTTGTTTTAATCAGCATGTGCAGGTACTTGATAACATACTCTTCCCCTTAAAAATCTTCTGTTGCAGTTGCTTACAGTTGAGTTTTTAGAATAAATATGTAAGCTTGAAATTCTCACATTTTAAAATCATGTATCCTTGAACACACTGTATTCTATCTATATGAAAGCTAATTTAGAGACTTCCCAGTTCCACAGTCGGTCCTCAATACATGCAAACTCAGCTACACATGTTCATTTTGAGCATAAATTAGCCATGGCTCAGAATATCCCAGCTCACTTTGAGAGCAGCTTATATCTATCAATTCCTGGATTTAAATAGTAGATTTGAAATCAACAATAATAACACAGTTTGTGAAGATGAAGAAGTAATTTGAGTTACTTCAATTCTGTGACCACTTGAAGAGCTTTTGTGCCTAGCATTTAAATCAGTGAAATAAAATATGAACCATGGTATACAATTTTTCCCTTTTCTAAAAAGTATATGAATGTAATTGTTTTATTTCTTCTCATTACATTATTTTTATTTTACTGCTGGTTTCATTATATATAGAATTGAATAAACACTTTTTCACTGTTTGCAAATTTCTCTATTAGTATTATGATTACAAATAATTTTGTTGCATATAGGAGAGAAATGTTAAAAAGTAATTTTTTTCTGGTGTCATATGTAGTAATTATACCACTGCTTGGCTCCTAAAGCTAAGAATAGAAATAGGGACTCAGAGAAAGCTCTGTTCCCGGGCTGAAAACTGCATCTGAATAAAACATTCCCAAGAAGTACATGTCTGCAACCTGAGCGAGTATGATGTTTATGGAGCATCTAATCCTTGCCAGGCACCGTTCCTAGTACTGGTAACATCACAATGAACAGGCCTTGAAGAGCCATACATTCTAGTGGGGAGAGAGTGAAAGTCATCATGTAAAGTAAAATACTTTAAATGAAACAACCAATGAAATAAAACTGCACTGGGGATAATAAAGGGTGGAGGAGAGGTAATTTCAATAGGTGGTCAGGCAAGATGTCTGGGGAAGTGCCATTTGATGAGAAGCCGGAGGTGTGAAACTGTGGAGGAGGAAGAGTGAAGACAGAAGGGTCAGCCGCAGCACAAGCCCAAGGAGGTCATGCTTCATTTGTCCAGAAGATGGAGAAAGGGCTACAGTGACTGGCGTAAAATGAACATGGAGAATGAAGAGATTAGTTTTCCCTTGTGGGAGAAAAAGCCCAAGGAATAACTGACGTACCCTGATAATGATGAATGTTCACGACAGTTATCAAACTCCGTTACTAGGCCGGGTGTGGGGGCTCATGCCTGTGATACCAGCACTTCAGGAGGCCGAGGCAGGAGGATCACTTGAGGTCAGGAGTTCGAGACCAGCCTGGCCAACGTGATGAAACCCCATCTCTACTAAAAATACAAAAATTAGCTAGGTGTGGTGGCGGTCAACTTTAATCCCAGATATTCGGGGGGCCGAGGCAGGAGAATCACTTGAACCTGGGAGGCAGAGGTTGCGGTGAGCCAAGATTGTGCCATTGCACTACAGCCTAGGCAGACAGAGTGAGAACCTGTCTCAACAACTACAACAACAACAACAACAACAACAAAGTTCCATTACTAAAACAAGATATTTAATAGAGCCAATGTTGGATTTTCAAAGCATTGTAATGCATTTAGATTGTTCTCGCATGTCGTTTTGAATTAAAATATCTTCAGTGCTGAATTTTTTAAAAAAACCTCTTACCCTTTAGCTTCTGGAGGCCTTGAATGACAATAAATTTAATATGAGTAAAAAAATTGTTTTTAAGTTAAAGACTGATCTTATTATTGGCCTTTGATGATTTCATTGACTTCTTACACATTGCCTACTTTGATTTTTACCTCCAGAGAGGACATTGGAATTAGTTACACTCTCCAGCGCATCACACATCATTATCTTGGTTCAGTGAAAATGCATTTCTCTTATTTTGTCATACTCTTTCCCTTTATATCCAGTTCCATTCCCCTTCCCATCATGATATGCAGAATCTGATATGTGCCAAATATACACACATAGCTTTGTAAAACAGATAATTTTTATGTAGGCGTGTGTTTTAAATTTACATAAGTGGTATTATTATTGATCTCCTGACTCTTCATTCAACACTGTTTTTGAAGTCTATCCAGGTTCAGTTTATTGCACAGTGCCCACTTTTTATATCCATTACCTTTTATGTTTCCATCCCCCAGTGATGGACACCTAGGTTGCCTTCAGTTTCCACAACTACAAACATTGTGGGGACGGTTATTACACACATTCCTTTATAGACCTTGGGTAAATAGCACAGAACAGATTCTCTGGGTCATAAAACATAGAGCTACTTAATTTCACTTAGCCTAATTTAGATCTTACACAATTCTACTTAGTTTGGTAAACATACACACTTTTGTGTTGGCTGAGTAGGTTATTGTGGAGGACAAGCTCTGCTATTGATTGTCCTCTGGGAGCCAGGTTTCTCATCTTTTGAGAAAAAGTTACAGGTAAAGAAGGAAGGCTATCATGAGCCCTCTGGTATTTGATTGGATTTACAGGTATTAGTAGGAATTCATAGTATTTAATAGATAGACATACAGAGAGAAATACAGGTGTGTACATGCAGGTGTTAGCAAATGTACATTTATTTCCTAGATCTATTGGCTGAGAGGGTGTAGAAACAGAGGCACTCTGTTTATAATGAACACACTTAGCAACCAGATCTAAGTTTCATTTCTAAATTGCATTCTTTCATAAAAAGAGCCAGGACACCTTAGAGAAGTGCTAGATTGCAGCGCTGGGGAAGGGAAAATGTCAGATGAGCCTGGAGCATCTTGTGATACTAAAAAATGAGGACGTGCTTAAACAGGTATGAGGACTTGTCAAAAGAACACAGGAGCCTACCTAAAGGCTCTCGATATCCAAATCTGGAACAATTTGAGCATGAACATAATGGTAGTATTAGATTTTAATCCACGGGATAAAAGAAATAGCCGTGAATCTATACTGGTATAAATAAATAATCAAATAAATGAATGAATGGGGGAGAAGGGATCAGTCTTCTTTTCAGAAGAATTTCTATTAATAAATGTAGAAGGAAAAAGGGAAATAGAAAAATCACTGTTCCGCAAACCCCACGTTAATAATGAATGCAGATAATGTGCCTGATGGAGGCTAAAATCAGGGGGAAGTTTTTGAGAAGAACAGATATTTGTAGAGGCTCGGAGTCTCCTCCTCAAGATATATATTAACTACAAGTGAAAAGACAGTAACTTTCTGGAGAAGAAACCTGGAAGATGTCACCTTAACCAAGTGATCAAAGTTAATCATCACTAGTAGTAGACATATTAACATCAGCTCCTTGATATGATGTCTAAGAAGGACACAGCATGATTTTTGTGGCATCCTTTCAAAAAAATGCGTAGCCTCCATCTAATCATGTGAAAACAGCAGACAACCCTAAATTGTGAGACAGTCTACAAAATAACCCATCAGTATACTGCAGAAGTGTCAAGATTATGAAAGACAAGATTGAGAAAGTGTTGTATGTGATACACTGGAAGAGATGAAGGAGAAATGACAACAAATGCAATTTGGATCCTGGATAGGATTCTGAAATAACAAATGGACATCAGTGGGAAATCTGGTAAACTATGAATAAGGCCTATAGTTTAGTTACTATGGTACCAGTGTTAATTTGCTGGTTTGGATAATTGTACTGTGATTGTGTGAACTGTTAACATTAAGGGGAGCTAGATTAAGGATATACAGGAATGCTACTCATCTTTCAATTTTTCCAAAAAGATTGTCATTGAAACCATCAGACAGGAAACCCACTCTTTAGTCATAGAACTCCATGTCTCTTATGTATTCATGCAAAAGGGGGCTGTTTGAATTTCCGTGTCAGGACTTCCCCACTGTCGGGAGTGTACCATGGAAATTGGTGTCCTTGGTGAACCCTGGTCCAAGGTCCACGCCCTTTCATCCTCTGCCGAGGAGGGGAACTTTAGTAAATGCAAATAGCAAAGACATTTGAGATGTATATGGCCTGTTGTGCTCGGTGCCTGCCGCTGAAGACTTCTTTTAGAGCCTCTTCTAGATGTCAAAGCAAATGTGTTCTCTGAGACAGCTTTGCTACATGTTAAGTGTAGGACATTGACCTGGGAGTCAGAAGACCTGTCTTTAAGTTTGAGCTCTGCCATTTCCTAGCAGGGAGGCATTGGGCATTCAGTGGTTCTTCATGTGCCTAGTATTTTTATCTTTAAAACGGGCCTGAATCTTCTATTGCTAGGAATTCACAATCATGTAGTCCTCTTTTAAAAGACAAACAGAGACCTTCCTCTCTGTAAGTGTAGCTGTGTTTCTTGACATAGCATGTCAGAGGCAGCCAACCTGTGAATATTTCTTTCTTAATTATGGTAATTCCATATAACCTTCCACGTTTTCCTCTTCAGCACAGTGCTCTAGGCGTCCCGCTCACCTGTTCGGCGCACAGTCTGGCTAAAGTAGAACTCTGCTGCCATCATCTGGCCAATTCTAGGTACTGTAAGGCTGGGAAACTAACAAAAGAGTAAACAGATTCAGGAATTTACAGAATCATAGACCTCTAAGGAGGTGGGAGATCCCTCAGAATTCACCTAAGCCGATCCCTTTGTTAATAAGGAAACTGATGCCCATAGAGGGAGAGTGAACTGCCTTGTGCTACTTACTGATCAGTGGGAGAATTAGGAGCAGAACCCAGGCCCATGCAGTTGAAATTAATTTTCCGACATATATGATGATAGGAAAAAGATTCGAATACTACAAAATTTGAATAACTGAAAAAATTCTAAAACCTTTTGCACAGGGCCTCTCTAGATTCGTCTTCTTTTAAATTTACTCTATGCAGATGTTACAAACAATTAAGAAAAAACCTAAAAATTATAAATAAGAAGAGCCATTATCTATTGTTTGTATCATCTTCCAACAAAATGGATATTTTAACCCTAAAAAAAGGCAGAACATAGCTAAAAATATGTGGCGATATTATATTACTTTTTTTTCTCATTTCGCTGAGGGCTAATGCAACTTCTTTGCTGGTATAAATGTCTGTCTACAAACCACATTTGAGGGAACTAGTTATAATGAGGAGAAGCCAGGGGCTCTGGATTTTAATAACTGGGTCTGATTTCAACTCTTCCATACCCTGTGAGTGTGAAGTAATTTAACCTTGATCAGACCCCTGACCTTCTTTCTCTTGTCCCCCATTTCCTCATCTATGCTAGTGAATAGCTTCCTCACAGGAAATTTGCCAACATTAACTAAGAAAATTAAGGTAAAATTGGTGGTAACCTGCAAGCACAATAAGTATGCTTATTACTTTTTTATAATTATGGAGTAAATTGAGATGAGACAAAGAAATTTGTTAATGATATGGAGAGCTCTCAGGAACCCCTTTCGTCTTCTGCTGAGGAGGGACCCTTTGGTAAATGCAAACAGCAAATACATTTGAGAGGTATATACCTGTTGTGCTCGGTGCCAGCCACTGCATATGTGTGAATTTATTACATGTTTAATTTTGTCTCTGAGTGCGTGTGTGTGTGTTTAAGTGCTTTCCTGAGGATCTCGAAGACCACGCATACATTCTGTGATTTGCTGGAAATACTCACAGGATTTAGTAGATATCGTCATGTGAATGACATAACAGCATTACAGTCAACAAGAGACTTGCCTGTATGATGGTAATCCTATAATGTTATAATACCTTATTTTTACCGTATGTTTTCTGTGTTTAGATATGTTTAGATACACTAATACTTACTGCTGTTACAATCAGCTGTGGTGTTAAGTGCAGTAGCATGCCGTACAGGTTGGTAGCCTAGAAGCAGTAGGCTATGCCACATAGCCTAGGTATGTAGGAGGCTGCACCATCTAGGTTTGTGTACGTATGCTCCGTGGTGATCGCACAATGCTCACAGTAGCGATCGCCTGATGATGCATCTTCCAGTCATTAAGCAATGCATAAGCATAGTTGCACTATCCACTGAAGTTTATTGCAGGGAAAGGAAATATAACAGGATCAATAGGGGAAAAGATACTCAGAGACTGTAGAGATTCATGCGGAGGCTTCTGATGTTTTCTGTCTCCTCTGAGGGAGCACTGAGGGTGCTCTTTTCTTCAGCAGCAAAAAAACGCAGTAACATGTATACAATGTTTCTTCCCAGGAAGCTCATTAGAGACAGAGCATGCAAGGAAATTACCTGACTTGGGAGTGGGGGTCGGGGAGGGCGACAGTCACGTAGGCACCCTCTGCCTAGCAGCTATCAAAATTTAAGAAAAGTAGCTATTCAGCATAAATCGCATTGTTTGTATAGACAGTCTGTGCACAGCAAACCATCTTTATCAGAGAGAGAATGGAGGGAACTCTCCATCGACCAAGTTTCCAGACGCCAGCCCAGGGCCAACCTTTCAAGACAGACACTCTAGAGACAGCAGCCTCAGTTCCACTTTCTTAACTTTTTTCTGCACAGTCAAGATAATTTCTACAGATTCTGAGTGTAGGGCAAGTCTTGGGTTTATTTTTATCAATATGGTTTTAAAAATTCATGTATTCACCTTATATCCATATGTTAATTCTCAACTTTTACCTGATTGTATATTTTTAGACGGTGTTTCGGAATTTGGGATTTTTGGAAGAAATTTAAATATTTCACTGTTGCCAGGCTATTTCTTTGAAAAGTTAAGTCTTCAGTGGACTCAAACATAGAGAAGTTTTATATTGCCTTATTAACCAGCTAATTTGCATTTAACTTAAGAAAAAGTTCTGCAAGGTAAAAATTCTTCTATAAGTTTTTAACAAATAATTGGGATTTAATCTGCCCCAATTTAGATGCCAGTGAGGAATTTACATTATTATACACCCACAGAAATATCATTATATAATGTTAAATTGAAGTTGTACTGTGTTATATTAATTAAAACATACATGATCTGTAATAAGAAAGCACGGGATATTTGGGGGCCTTTTCTCATTAAAATCAGATCACAATGAGATAGGAACTTCTCCTCCACTTGATGCTTTAGCTTTGCTCATTCAGCTCTAGGGCATTTTTCTTCTTAACAGCCAGACCTCTCAGAGGTGTGTCTGCACCTACTGTCTCTATTGCCACACCTGTTTTTAACACATTCAGGCAGGCTTGCACTACCCTTCCCCAGTCCACAGGAAAAAGCTGTAATCCAGTTGTGTAAAGCAGAGCCCCTTCTCCCAAAGGAAACTTCTGCCATTCGGTCCAGCAATCCTGCTACTAGGTATCTACTCAGAGGAAAAGAAGTCATTATGTGAAAAAGAGACTTGCACATGCATGTCATTACAATTAGCAATTGCAAAAATATGGAACCAGCCCAAATGCCCATCAATCAATGAGTGCATAAAGAAAATGTCATACACACACACACACACACACACACACACACACACACACACACACACCATGGAATACTACTCAGCCCTAAAAAGGAATGAAATAATGGCATTCACAGCAACTTGGATGGAGATGGAGACCGCTATTCTAAGTGAGGTAACTCCGGAATAGAAAACCAAACATCCTATGTTCTCACTTAGAAGTGGGAACTAAGCTATGCGGATGTAAAGGCATAAGAATGAGACAGCGGACTTTGGAGGCTCAAGGGGAAGGGTGGGAGGGGGGTGAGGGATACAAGACTACCCACTGGGTACAGTATACACCGCTTGGGTGATGGGTGCACCAAATTCTCACAAAATCACCACTAAAGAACTTATCCATGTAACCAAACACCACATGTTCCCCCCAGACCTACTGAAACTAAAAACAGCAACAGCAGCAACAACAAAACTCATCCCTGGGCCCCACCCTGAGCAGTGTAATTGGAATCTCTAAGGGTGGACCCAGGCATTGTGTGTTTTAAAAACTTCTCACGTGCCTCTAATTTGTAGTCAAGAGTAGAACCACTGATCTAAGAGTAGGAGTAGAAAAAAGAGGGTAGTATGGCAAGGTTGGAGAGCTTCACCAGTGAGCCGGGTTTGGGTTGGGAACACTGGCAGGAGTCATAGTATGGACGATAATAAAGCATGTTGTTTTGCAGGTAGCTTTGTTCTTAATTTAAAAAAACAAAAACAGAAACTAACCTAAAAAAAGAACAAAACAGATGAATACCAGCTACTCTGATTTAAGTGAGTTAAGGGACTAAATCCTACCCACAAGCTCTTACTCTTCCATCATCCTTTCACATGATTCCCTGTCATGCCTAGAGCTTCTGGAAGCAGAGTTCCGAAAGCACCCATCTAGGTGCCAGCCACTGTGCTGGGCTGGGAAGGTGTCGGGTGGTTTTTGGGAATCAAAACGCACGACTGTTAAGTGCAACTGGCAGCTCATAGGATATGTGATGTTAACTTTTGGGAATGGCCAGGTAAGCTTGAAGAGTTCATCCCCAAAAGATAAAACCATAACCAGTTGATGGAAACAAGGTATGTCTTTTATTATATAATATTTTGATAATTCCTTTGAACAACGACAACAACAACTTTTTTTTTGAGACAGAGTCTCACTCTGTCACCCAGGCTGGAGTGCATTGGTGCAACCTCAGCTCACTGCAACCTCTGCCTCCCAGGTTCAAGAGATTCTCCTGCCTCAGCCTCCCAAGCAGCTGGGACTACAGGTATGTGCCACCACACCTGGCTAATTTTTTGTATTTTTAGTAGAAATGGGGTTTTGCCACGTTGTCCAGGCTGGTCTCGAACTTCTGGCCTCAAGTGATCCACCTGCCTCAGCCCCACAAAGTGCTGGGATTATAGGCATGAGCCACCGCACCCTGCCAACAACAAAATCTTCTATCACCCTAAAGTAACAACTTTGAACAGCTTGGTCTGTTCCTTTCTAATGCCTTTGATATTATTTTCCCTCCTCTATACCTGGGGATTTATTATAACTACAGTTTTCCAGCTTGCTCTTTTCACTTGACACAATAGCATGAGCATGGTTTCATATCCCCACAAACTCTTCGTACATCATATTTTTAATATCCCTGAAAGCTTTTCGTAAGCCATTACAGTTGTGTAGCTTCTACAGAGTGCTTCTCTTATATGGCTGCATATTTAAATTTCTTACATTATAAATCAGTTATTTGTATAATTAATATATATCATTATCATATGAAACTTTATACATAAAGTCCTTTTTAAAATGTATTAAGTCTACTGTAGGCTTTTAAATCAAAAGTTAGGGGCATTTGTACCTAATGTCCTCTCAGTGAACTGTCATATTAAAGAACCTTGGTAATGCCTTCTTAACTATCTGAGAGTTCTTAACTTGCCAATAACTCTGTGTCAGTCTATTTTCTGTTGTTTATAACAGAATACCTAAAACCAGGTAATTTATAAAGAAAATAAATTTATTTCTTACACTTATGGAGATTGAGAAGTCCAAAATTGAGGGGGCATATTTGCTGAGGACCTTCTTGCTGGTAGGGACTCTCTACAGAGTCTTGAGGTGGCAAAGGGTATCACATGGCCAGGGGGCTGAGCATCCTGCCATACTAACTCAGATCTCTCTTCCTCTTCATGTAGAGCCACCAGTTCCTTCCCATGATAACCCATTAAATGCATGAATGGATTAATCCATTCATGAGTCAGAGCCCTCAAGACCCACTCACCATTTAAAGACCTCACCTCTCAATACTGCCACATTGAAGATTAAGTTTCAACATGAGTTTTGGAGGGTATACTCAAACCATAATAATCTCCGTCCAGAAGAATTTATACTCCCACTGTTTTATTGACATTAGAAATTCTTAATAGTTTCAGTGTTTGTTAATTTTATTATTTTAATATACATTTCTTTATTACTAGTGAGTTTTAAAAACATGTTTTAAATTTCAAAATGAAACAAGCCATATATTTTATTTGATTCATTTTCTTATCATCCAATAATCATTAAGTAATAATGTGTGTTTTTTTTTTTCTTGTGACAGAGTTTCGCTCTTGTTGCCCAGGCTGGAGTGCCGTGGTGCGATCTCAGCTCACTGCAACCTCCACCTCCCGGGTTCAAGCGATTCTCCTGCCTCAGCCTCCCGAGTAGCTGGAATTACAGGCACGCACCACCATGCCTGGCTAATTTTTTGTATTTTTAGTAGAGACGGGGTTTCAACATGTTGGCCAGACTGGTCTCAAACTCCTGACCTCAGATGATCCCCCTGCCTTGGCCTCACAAAGTGCTGGGATTACAGGTATGAGCCACCGTGCCTGGCCAAGTAATAATGATTTTTAAAAAACATCTTCCCCACACTTCTGCTTACACACATACTTCTGTTTAGGGTCAGATAACTGAAAAGTGAATTCAGTTATAATCTCAGTTATATAGCTTGTAGGAATGAGAACATAAAATTTCTTTAAATTAAGAAATAAAAACCACATCAGATAAAAATACTGATTAGGATTTGATAGATACTAGTTTATAATTTACCTTATAAATATGATGGAATTCCAGTCACTATTAATCCTTCACAGGAATTTTGTACTCTTCTCTTACTTTAGGGTATTTAACCTAATTTGGGTATGTTCTATAGTGCTCACCATTTTTGATATCACAGTGCCAATATTTTCAATTGTCATTATAAATTAGGCAAATGTGTTCCATGAAGATTCTGTTTAACTTTCTTTTTGATGATCTCAAGCCTGAATGTTTTGAGCTGGAGGTGTGCATGTGGATCATTTTTTTGGCATGTCTTTAAGCATGTTCCTCCCAGTGTAATTCAAGGTATATTTGTTATTCAAAAATAAATGTTTTACAATGTTCATTTACAAAAATCCCATTGTTAAATGATTGCATTTTCTGAATAAGCTTCAGCCTGTGAAAAAATGTGTCCTGTATGTTATATAGGTTATCACATTGAGTAAACATTACTTGAAACAGATCATGGATTATAGATTTTAAAACTGGCCCCCATATCACTTAGCACAAACTGTGAGCCATACCACATGCTTAATGAATATATGTACTCTGGATAAAAAAGAAAGGTGCAAACACTTAGCAGTACCGTATGGCAGGAAATACATAGGAATTAAAAATGCTTAACTTTTTGCTCCAGTTCAGTTAAAGTGATTGTGAGAAATTCATTTTAACTCTCTAAGCCCCATGATTCTTGCCCTAACCAGCTTAGAGTGCTCTTGAAAGTAGCAAATTAAATAATATATAAGAAAAAAGTTTCCAACTGTAAGGCACTATCTAAATGCAAGTAAATGCAAAGTGGATATATATATATATATATATATAAATATATGTGTGTGTGTGTGTATATGTATATATTTGTTGTTGCTGTTGTTGTTTGTTTTTGTTTTGTAAAGGGGTGAGTGTGGAGCTACAGAGGGGAGATTCGGAAAGCGTCTGTAGCCTGTGCTTGCTGGTTGCAGAGCACGTGTACTCTGCTTGCGGGTTTAAAGGCACTTATGTGACATTTGTTTCAGAGTTGATTCTCAGAGACCTGATACATGAGCCTTATATTCCACTGTTTTTCAGTGGACATCCTGAACTTCGCTGCCATTCCTCTAGCTCCGCTCTGAGGCTGTGGGCAAAGCTCAGACAGAGAACTCAGGCAGGTTTCTGAATTTAGAAAAAACTCCCTCTTCCTACCCGAACTTAAGCATGAGTAGGAATAAAATTTGTGTGATCCAAGTGGTTAGTTCAGCTGAGTCTTTTGGAAAAGGAAGAAGTTCAGGCAAGGAAGAAAAGGTTGGAGCATGCTTTACATTTTCTTTGCCTATTATGACTGAGATCTTGTGCTTGTCTTTCTCATTAGGTCCCTAACAGTCAACAGAGTGTTCCCTAACTCCCCCCTCCCACAAGGTAGAGTTGGTTACCTTTCTTCTCACCCACCAACTCTTCTTTGTAAGTATTTGCATTATCCCCATATCGTAAATGTACTTATGTCTGTTCATCCTGCATGACTCGAAGACTAGATTGATCTAGATCATCTTTGTAGCTTAAAAGTCTAACATGTCTCTCAGTACATGAAAGGTACTCAATGAGGGTTTTTTGAAGGATGTTGAATCACCTTCTGTCTCCTTCTCTCCCTCTCACACACACACGCACACACACAAACACACACACACACACACACTAAACATACATGCAGGAAAGATTTCTTTTCAGATTATTAAGAATTTTTCTTAAAAGGTTGTACAAGTATAAGCAATGCCATATTTTAACCAGTCAGATTAAAGCACATACATCTTCAAAACTATTTTATTTTTCCTTCTGGAAACCATGCAACCATTCTAAATTTGATTCTATTATTAATCCACTTTAATATTTGAATCAATGTATGCAATGTGCCCAAAGACAAGGCTCATGCAGAATGATGCCTTGTTTTTGAAGACAAAAAAGATTAAAATGTCTGGTTCCCATGGGAATGTAGCCATAGACATGGAAGCAATCAAATAAGATTCACAGTTTTGTAATGTTGTTACTGCACAGCATTTTCCAAATCCTTTCATTTTGAATGTAGCATCATAACAAATGCGAGTTAAACAATTTAAGTTGACCAACTTATGTCTCCTAAATACCAGGCAATTCTTTTGAAATGAAAGAGAATCAGATGTAGGAAATGCCAAATTTTGTTGCCGTTTTATTTAGCATTCACAACAAGAATTGAAGCTCAATTTTTAGATCTGATGAGAAGTTTGCTAACTTAACTAAGTTGGTGAAATCGAGCAACTCCAGTATTTGATAATTTAATTCTGAATTGCTATGGAATTCTAGGAATTATGTTACAAAAATAGACAAGATGAAGTCTCTGCATGTATTAGCCTGTTTTCACATTGCTGATAAAGACATACTCTAGACTGGGAAGAAAAAGAGGTTTAATTGGACTCACAGTTACACATAGCTGGGGAGGCCTCAGAATCATGGTGGGAGGTGAAAGGCACTTCTTACATGGTGGTGGCAAGAGAAAATGAGGAAGAGGCAAAAGCAGAAACCCCTGATAAACCCATTAGATCTCGTTAGACTTATTCACTACTGCAAGAACAGCATAGGAGAAACTGCCCCATGATTCAAATTATCTCCCACTGGATCCCTCCCACAACACGTGGGAATTGTGGGGATACAATTCAAGATGAGATTTGGGTGGGGACACAGCGAAACCATATCATTCCACCCCTGGCCCCTCCAAATCTCATGTCCTCAAATTTTAAAACCAATTGTGCCTTCCCAACAGTCCCTCAAAGTCTTAACTCATTTCAGCATTAACCCAAAAGTCCACAGTCCAAAGTCTTATCTGAGACAAGGCAAATCCCTTCTGCCTATGAGCCTGTAAAATCAAAAGCAAGCTAGTTCCTTCCTAGATACAGTGGGGGTACAGTTATTGGGTAAATACAGCCATTCCAAATGGGAAAAATTGGCTAAAACAAAGGGGTTACAGGCTCCATTCAAGTCCAAAAACCTGTGAGGCAGGCAAATTTTAAAGTTCCAAATTGATTTCCTTTGACTCCAGGTCTCACATCCAGGTCACACTGATGCAAGAGGTGGGTTTCCATGGTCTTGGGCAGCTCTGCCCCTGTGACTTTGCAGGGTACAGTCCCCTTCCTGGCTGCTTTCATGGGCTGGCATTGAGTGTCTGCAGCTTTTCCAGGCACACAGTGCAAGCTGTCGGTAGATCTGCCATTCTGGGGTCTGGAGTAGGGTGGCCCTCTTCTCACAGCTCTACTAGGCAGTGCCCCAGTAGGGACTCTGTGTGGGGACTCCGACCCCACATTTCCCTTCTGCACTTCCCAAGCAGAGGTTCTTCATGAGGGCCCCACCTCTGCAGCAAACTTTCGCCTGGGCATCCAGGCGTTTCCATACATCTTCTGAAATCTAGACAGAGATTCCCAAACCTCAGTTCTTGACTTCTGTGCACCTGCAGGCTCAACACCACATGGAAGCTGCCAAGGCTTGGGGATTCCACCCTCTGAAGCCACAGCCCAAGCTTTATGTTGGCCACTTTTAGCCACAGTTGGAGTGGCTGCGACAGAGGGCACCAAGTCTCTAGCTGCACACAGCACAGGGACCCTGGGCCCAGCCCACAAAACCACTTTTTTCTCCTTGGCCTCCAGGCCTGTGATGAGAGGGGCTGCAGTGAAGATCTGTGACGTGGCCTGGAGACATTTTCCCCATGGTCTTGGGGATTAACATTAGGCTCCTTGCTACTTATTCAAATTTCTGCAGCCAGCTTGAATTTCTCCTCAAAAATGGGTATTTATTTTCTATTGCATCGTCAGCTGCAAATTTTCTGACTTTTATGCTGTTTCCCTTTTAAAACGAAATGCTTTTAACAGTGCCCAAGTCACCTTTTGAACGCTTTTGCTGTTTAAAAATTTCTTCCGCCAGATACCTAAATCATCTCTCTCAAGTTCAAAGTTCCACAAATTTCTAGGATGGGGGCAAAATGCCACCAGTCTCTTTGCTAAAATGTAGCAAGAGTCACCTTTGTTCCAGTTCCCAACAAGTTCCTCATCTCCATCTGAGACCATCTCAGCCTGGACCTTATTGTTCATATCACTATCAGCATTGTAGTCAAAACCATTCAACAAGTCTCTAGGAGGTTCCAAACTTTTCCACATTTTCCTGTCTTCTTCTGAACCCTACAAAGTGTTCCAGCCTCTGCCTGTTACCCAGTTCCAAAGTCACTTCCACATTTTGGGTATCTTTTCAGCAACACCCCACTCTACTGGTACCAATTTACTGTATTAGCACATTTTCACACTGCTGATAAAGACATAGCTGAGACTGGGAAGTAAAAGAGGTTTAGTTGGACTTACAGTTCTACATGGCTGGGGAGGCCTCAGAATCATGGTGGGAGGTGAAAGGTACTTCTTACATGCCAGTGGCAAGAGAAAATGGGGAAGATGCAAAAGCGGAAACCCCTGATAAAACCAACAGATCTCATGAGACTTATTCCCTACCACGGGAACAGTATGGGGGAAACTGCCCCCATGATTCAAATTATTTCCCACTGGGTCCCTCCCACAACACATGGGAATTATGGGAGTATAATTCAAGATGAGATTTGGGTAGGGACACAGCCAAACCATATCACTGCATGTGTGGATTTATGTTATAATCTAGAAGAGAGTGCCTAGCTTTTGAGTGTATAGGAATCATACATTCTCATAGTACTACCTCTATTCACTGCAGTATGGTTGAACTGAGTCTCCAAGATATTTACTAAACATCTATATAGCTAAACCCTGCAGGGTGTAATTCTTACCTTGCAGTCCTTATCTGCAAAGAGTTCATACATAAAATGTTCTAGGTGGTGGTATTTAAGTCATTTCATTTTTTTAACTTTTAAATTATTTTTAAAAATTTTTGTGGATACGTATTAGGAGTATACATTTATGGGGTAAATGAGATTTTAAAATAACTTAAAGAATCAAATTAGATCATTTCACTTATTTTAAAAATGTATTCATCAATTTTTTTCTACAATAAGCCTGTATCACATTTATAATAAAAAAGATTAATCTTTGGAAAGTATTTTTAATGAGGTATTCAAAACTATCTAATTGCAATGAAACTCCATTCTCTAGCCTGCTTGACAGCAGGCTTTGGGCTAAGATATCTCTAAGTCTCAGATGACCTCTGCCTCTTAATTCCAAGTTTGGTCAGTGGCATAACAAATTTGGTTTTCCAGTTTCTTTTATACATAATCCTGAAAGTAGAAAGAAATTTTTGATAACTGTGTAGGTCTAAAACATAACAATACATTTCGAATTTTAGAGCATAATTACATTTCAAATATTTTCTCTTGTATTCTTCATAAATTGTGAAAATGTAATAGACATTACCATGTTTTTATCATCTCTCATATTTTGTCATATACCCAGAATAGTGATACCTAATGTATCAATCATCTTTTCAGAGTTTAGGTAATGTGAGTCAGGTTGAGTTGATAACATATTATGGACCCAAAAGACCAGTTACTGGCTTTAGGGGACCACCTCTGCAAGGCCCCACTTATTAACCACTTTGCTTCTGTCTTGAGCATCCCATGAACTGTGTGAAGTATGTTTTCATCTTTATGATTTTTAATGCATGTATGTGGAATTGTGTTTGAGGGACCAATGGAACTGTTGACATTTGGTATCATGGAGGCGTGTGGTTATTCTGAACATATTCTCAGTTACATCTACTAATATTCTGCAGAAAATCTTAGAATTATTTATGATAGAAACTTAAAGCCATCTAAATATGCAGAAGCATGGTAAAGACTAAGTGCATTAGAGCAAATCATTGGAATATTATTCAGTTATTGATAATGTTATAAAAAGTTTATAACAACACGTATGTTTATATTTAGCATATAATGTTAAATAAAAAAGTTATAAAATGTTATCATTGCA